>NC_000012.12:79960128-82460128 GCF_000001405.40 Homo sapiens | reverse complement strand
CCCACATCATATGTGATAAGAAGATGGGTTAACAACTGAGGTAGTTCTCACCACTTGATGGTGGGACTGAAGGTTCTTGGCTAGGACATAATTGGCTTAAGAACTAAAGTAAGTGGATGTGAAGGTGAAGCCATCAGCGGATCCTGTCAAAAAAGTCAAGGAAGACAAAGCCATTGGCAAGGAGGCTGAAGTGTTCCTGATATTCTCAGGTTGATAGAGGAAGTTATCCAAAGATTAGTATCACTGTGATCTTCTGGAATAAATAGAGCAAAGGTGACTCAGTATGTTTATTACTTTTAGGTATGATTTCATTTTGCATGTAACTGATCTTCCTAAGCTTGAAACATATGGGCTTCTTGCTTTTTAGTTTTCAAGTTTTCTATTGATAGATCCTCAAGTTCACAGATTCTTTCCTCATCTGTGTTCAGCCTAATAATAAGCCCATCAAAAACATTCTTCATTTCTATACTAGTATTTTTGTTTGTTTGTTTTTCTTTTCTTGGAGACAGAGTCTTGCTCTGTCATCCAGGCTGAAGTGCAGTGGCACAAGCACAGCTCACTGCAGCCTCAAACTCCTGGGCTCAAGCAATCCACCTGCCTCAGCTACCCAAGTAGCTGGGACTAGAGGTGCATATCACCACACTATCTAATTTCTGAATTTTTTGCTGAGATGGAATCTTACCATGTTGCTCAGGCTAGTCTCAAACTCCTGGGCTCAAATAATTCTCCTGTCTTGGCCGTCCAAAGTGTTGGGATTACAGGTGTGAGCCACCATGGCTGGCTACCGTGACAGTATTTTTTGATCTTTAGCATTTCCTTTTAGCTCTTTTTAAAAATTTCAATCTCTTTCCTTACATTTTCAGTTTGTTCTTGCAGGCTATCTACCTTGTCCATTAGAACTTTTAGTATATTACTCATTATTGTTTTAAATTCCTGGTCTGATAATTCTAACATTTTTGCCATATCTGAATTTGGTTCTGATGCTTGCTCTGTCTCTTCAATCTGTGTTTTTTGCCTTCTAGTATGCTTTGTAATTTTCTCGATAGCGAGATAATAGAATACTGGGTAAAAGTAACTGCTGTAAATAAGCCCTTAGTGATATGATGGCAAGGTGTGAGGGGAGGGGAAATGATTTTCAATGGTTTGTAGTCCTATAATTATGTCTCAGTCTTTTAGTGAGCCTGTGTCTCTGTACTACAAACTTTATCAGTGCTTCTCCGTATTTTTACCCTTTCTTGGGTGGCACAGGATGGCTAGAGTAGGCTGGAGTTGGATATTTTCTTTCTCCCCCATGGAAAGTTAGATTTGGCTGGACCTAGGTATTTTCCTTCCCTCAGGTGAGTTAGGCTCTGACAAAACACTAGCAGGTTAAGTTCTGATTATAGTTTCTTCTGAGAAACTATTCATAAGAAAGTATTCAGAAGAGTAGAATGCTCTGGCGTATTTAAAAAATGTTTATTTTTTCCTCCCCTTGATGGAAGGAGGGGATTTTTTTTTTCTCCACTATTCTCTAAAACCAGGTTGAGCTCATTAAGGTAAAACTCACAAAGGTGTGGGTGGTCTCTTATGAGTGGTTCTCTCTGTATTTTTTAATTCCCAAAGTTGTCCACACTGAGCCTCCAACAATTAAATTACAGTTCAGGTTTTCCTACTCTGGCACAGGTTTCTGTGGCGGTTTCTGCTCCTGTAAGTTGTAAATCTCTGTATTTGCCTGTCTTTCCAGTTTGGGAGGTAGCAGTTTGCCCTGTGACCTCACTTCTCATTAGATCTGTGGATTTTTCTGTTGTTTTTAGCTTTTACTTGCTAAGACTGAGTGGCAGTTTCCAAGCTTTTATATGCTGGACTGGAAGCTATCCACTGTAAATGTTTTTGTGCAAAGTAAGTAAGGTAATGTTTGTGATGTCCATAGCATAATATCTATCACAGAGTAAGTGTTTGGTAAATATTAACTATTCTTAGTATCTTATTAGTTATATACTAATAAATATATTAATAAACATTTGCTGTGGTTATTATTAAAGACAAACTGGGAAAACAAAGCCAGAAGGAATGATAATAAATTTTTTAATTTATTAAGTTTAAGTAAAACTGTAGCTCTTAATTTGTGACAATAATGCTTAGGTTTGTGTTCTTGATATTAAATGCAAGACATGAAATGAGATATGCACTAAAGGTTTGCACTAGGTAAGACTAATTGGAAGGAAGATCAGTCAGGTGAATGAAAAACATTTTTTTTAAAATAACCTAGAAAATAATCCAGAAATAAATAAATTAGTGTAACCTTGTCTATTCTCCTTCATTTATGCAAAAACTAGGAGAGTCTTCATTTTAGTGACTAAATAAAAATATTTATAAGCATCATGTTGATTGTGTTGTTACTCATAGTACATACAAAGGGATTACGATAATTAAAAGGAGTATCATATAGTTAGCATTTACTATATACACTGCGTTAAGAGCTTTATGTATATTACCTAATTTAATCCTTCCTAAATCCTATGGCTTTCTTATAGCTATTTTAAAGGGGAGGAAACTGACTAGTCCCAGTTCAATTGCTTTGAGTAATAAAGCAACTGGGGACTAAATGAATAATTGATATAATAAATAATAATACCCTTTAGCTTTGATATAACATTATTATGTCCTTGTAACATTTTCAAGAAATCTATTTCATTCCTTTGACCACATACTCTATTCTTCGTTTCAATTTATACTCAATTCAAAATACCAGAGTAATCCAAGTTCATTTAATATTTTAGTTAATAGCTCGTCTGAATGTTGAAAGCTGTTTTTTTTTCCCTCAGTGGTAGAATATTTATTACTATCAGTCAACAAGTTTACCTTTCTGCTTTCAGTAATATGTTATCAATTACTAACTTGGGCCTCCTATGATATTACAACTTTTCAAGATTCTCCTATTTGAAGGCTTTTGAATTTAAGATTTTTAATTTTAGTTATATAAGCTGTAAATAGATGCATTTCAAAATTAAAACCATTCTCTCTTGCTTTACTTCTATTTCTCACTTGTACTGTTGTCCTGCTTTTTAACTGTATTTTGATTTGTAAATTGGCACATTTTTAACTCGAACTAAAAGAGGGAAACTCTGGAGATACATGACAGTAAACTTTCTACAATGACAAGAAGGATAAACTGGAAAAAAGATGATGGAGGTCTTGTTTCAATATAATTTGGACCTTTTCACAAATGAGAGAAAATTAGAAGGGAAACTATTTTGTATTCTCTCAATTCATTACAAAATAGAAGTTCTTCTGTCTTTTCTGAAAATAATGAGTCATCATATACTGACCTTGGACTCATCTAATCCAAGCTTCTTTAGAGACCGTCTGACATAATCCAGAAAAGAAGAACATTTGGAATAAATTTTACCAACATGCCGATCACTGTAAAACAAAATTGAATAAATTTTTAGTTTTTCCAATGTAAATTTTAGATGGTTTTAATTTCAATCATGAAATATTTTTAAATATTTTCTGTGGATATAGCACAAGATCCAAATGTGATCAAAATACAGTAATACTTTTGAGGACATTTTAAAGTTACATGTTATAATGTATTCAGGATCTGCTTCTGACAATTCTTATAACATATAGCAGTGAAGGCTGTGAGAAAGAAGTTTTAAACACAGTATTAAAAAGCCTCATTTTTAAAAGGAACTATTGGTCTTTCAAAAGTTTCCATTGTGCTATGAAACACATTTGAGATTTACTGGCTCAATATTACAATGCACATCTCATGACAACACCTGTTAGTAGAGGCAATAATTCAACAGCTATGCAAAGAGAACTTCTTCAATTCCAGCCATTGATCAAGCCCCATATAATGAGATGGATCTGACTTGATCTCATTTATGCCCTGCAAACTCTTATTAATAATGTACACAAAGTAGCATGGGATGGTTTTGAATTTAAACAATACAATGCTAGAGTACCACATCTCACAACTTTGATTACAATTTAGGTGTAATGTAAAAATCAAGAGGATAAAAAAATTAACTACGAATTATCAAAAACAAGGAATGAAGCCTCATTTACTCTTGGCAATATAAATATTAACACCTCTGATTAATTAGACATAACATTCTATCAATTCTTCCTTTAAAATATATTCAAAACATATTTCTTCAGCTCAATTTCAAGACGGCATCTCAATTCCACTTTTTATTACATCATGTCCTGATTATTCCAACTATTTCCTAATTAAGACCTCTAAAACTGAAGTCTCTCTTCTTCACCTCTTCCTACATGTTATTTTCTAAGAGCCTTTTTATTTTGTCACTTTTCTGCTCCAAAAGCTTTCAATACCTCTCCCATTTATTGGGATAAATTTGAAAGTCCTTAAACCATCAGGGCCCACTATAATCACATTTCTCAACCGCATATCCCATTACATTCCAGTATTTAGTTTTTTCTCCTTAGATCAGTCTACTAATTGTTTCAGACTGTCTTCCACATTTCTGCCTTGGTACATTTGCTCATGCAGTTTCCTCTTAATGGATTACACAGTTCCCCACTCTCTTCTACATCTTAGTTGAACTGAAGTCTTCCTTTATGATAAAGTGTAAATGTACATGTTCTTTTTGGTAACATGACTAATAATAATCTTTTCTAATTTTGAATTTCTATAGCCCCTACGATTCTTCCATTCGTTTGTTATTTATCACTGCCTTGATTTAATAGTCACTTGAATAGGTATAGGTTCCAGAAGGCAGAAAATATATTTTTGTAGGTTTCTGTATCATTCTCAGATCCTGCACATACAGGATCCTACACATACACATTATTCTCAGATCCTATACATCTTAGGTGTAACAGATACCATATAATAGATATATATCTTATGTATCACAAAATAATTGATTTCACTGTGTAGCCAGGAAAATAGGCCATTTAATATTAACTTCCTGCTGCTCAGCTTAAAAAAGTTAAGCTTTGATTTTTTTTTTTTTAATCCAAAAGGACAAGCACTTAAGTTTTTCCCATAAGCCAGTTATTCTGGCTCCAATTTTATACCATTCTTCACCGTCTTATGGAGTAGCTCTTGAGAAAAAGCATAGAATAGTACATAAGAGGGTGGCTTCCAGTCAGACTGGCTCTATCATCTATGAGTTTCTTGTTCATTAAAAGAGGATATCAATAGCATTTACTTCATAGAGTCACTATGAGGATTAAATTTCGTAACACATATAAGGTGCTCAGAACTGAGCCATGATGTAAGCTGTTGTTGTTACTTTCATTAATATTGCTTTTATAATTACTGGTATTATAGTCTAGATTTTGCTTTTATTATACTGTTAAAAGACCCTGAGTAAAATGTTCCTAAATAAGTATTAAACATTGTAAGTGTAAGAGAGAATATAGTGTAAGTATAGGTGGTATTGGTTTGTTTCCTGGGTGTTGTCCTTCAGACTACTTGAAAATAAGAGACACATTTTCAATTTTAATTTGGCCTTGTTTTAGTTTTCCCTTTCAAAATACACTACTTTTTACTGTAGCAAAGTATCACAGTATGGTTATTATAAGATTGCTTTTAGTGTGTTAAGCAGTGATTTGCTATATAAGACTTTTTCTTTAAGTCCTTTGTTAATCTGTATTATTTCAGACCTGTTTTTAGCAATAACAGGAAAAAAATCACTCAACTAGAACTAGAAAGTTGATGATGTGATCATGTTACTTCATCTCTTTATAACACTGCCTCCTCAACAACACTGGCATTCTCTTAGTTTCTTGAACATACCATGCTTTTAGCTACAAACACTATTCCCAGAACACTATACTCTCAATCCCTCTGCTTTGGAAACACCAAACTCCTCCTTTCAGATCCTATCTCAAATATTGCTTCCTTAGTTAAGCCTTTTCTGGCCCTCCAGAAGTTGGGCTCCTAACACAGAGAACTTTTCCTTCACATACTCTCTCTTCTTTGTTTCTCTGATCATCTCCCCCTTGATATTTTAAGCCAGTGAATTCTCCAAAGTGGGTGAACACATCCAAAGGGAAAGAGAATATTAGATTTTTTATTTCTATTTTGTCTCTTTTAAATTTCAATTTCTGAGTTTACTGTAAAATCTATATAATATGCTAGTGGAGAGACATGTATACCACTTATAAATAAATATTCATTTTTGCATACATGCTCAGAAATGTTTCTTGACAGAGGTGTGAAGCATAAAAATATGTTTGAGACTACTACTTTAATCAGCTGGAACACAGCTGTCTTGCTCATAACAATATCCCCAGAACCTAGCATAGTACCTCACACAGCAGGAACTCCATAAATGAATTAAATAAATAATATCTCAGCTAGCAGAAACAAATACATCTAGTTACAAAATAAGAGAAAAATGCATTAATATAATAAACAGGTCTATCTATTGTATTCAAGTATAATAGATAAGCATATAGGCAGGCTTAGTTATACAAATAAGTGTAATTTAAAATAGAGAGCTACTGAAGAAATATGTAACAGAAAGTGCAAAGTTAACAATACAAATAACAGCTAGTATTAATTTTGTTTACTATGTACCAGTAATTCTTATGTCCTTTGCTGCATTTACTCACTTAATCCACACAACCACCCCATGTGGTAGGTCCCATTATTATCCCCATTTTAAAGATTTTAAAGTAGACAGAGGTTAAGTAAACTTTCCAACATCTGACTTCATAATCTGGGATATTAACTATTAGTCAATATTACTTCCAGCATACTACTTGAATAGGATTCATACTCAATACTGTTAAACTGCAGATGAGGAATGGCCACCTCTGTGTTACAGGTAAACAGCAAAACAGATTCCATGACACCACACCAAAGTGTGTGTACATATTCTTACAGAAAAGCTATGCAGACCCTCCTGCTATAATTAAGGAAACAGAATTTTAGTGTTTTAGTGAACCTATGGGATACTAAATAATTCTAACAATTAAAAAATTATATGAGGGAATAGACTTCATAGGAAGGGATTTGTTCTTCCCAAGTCATTTATTGCTAGACTTATTGCCCAAACTCATCAGCAATTAGGACCAGGAAGTATGTTTATGATTTCCAAATGTTATACATGTTAATTAGGTTGCTTATTCATTCATTTTAAAAAACATTTATTTAAATGTTGTATATGCACGATAGTGTAGTGGTTGGTATAGGTTTTGAACTAAAGACTGAAACAAGCTTGAATCTGCACTCTACCCTTATACAACCTCTTTGCCTCTTCTTGATCATCAGTAGAATGGTGTTGTTAAATCTATCTCATAAGGCTGAGGATAAAATAAAATATTCAATATACGGTGCATGGCTCAAGAAAAAAGGGACTTTTTCAGAAAACAGAAATATCAGGTATAGTATTATTACCACTATTAAGTATAACGAATCAGACTTTAGAACCTTTGAAAGTTAAAGGTTACTTTTGCATGATATGAGACCAATTTCTAGAAGGCTTGGTATTTCATAAAGTAATCTTAAAAATAATATCTGCAAAGTGAGTTTATGATGTAGAATGTAATTGCTCTTTTGTAGGTGCAAGGAAAGGGAAGTATTCATTAGTATTTAGAAGGGTCTATAGTTTTAAGGATAAATATTGTGATTAAAAATTATTTATTCATTCATGTAATTTAGAAACAGGGTCCTGCTCTGTTGGCCAGGCAGGCGTGCAGTGGCATGATCATAGCTCACTGCAGCCTCAAACTCATTGGCTCAAGTGATTCTCCTGCTTCAGCCTTCTGAGTAGCTGAGACTACAGGCATGAGCCACTGCACCTGGCTAAATACTGCAATTGTATTAGTTAAGCAATAGAAGAAAAAGAGGTAGGCCAAAGAATCTTTAAACAGAAAATAAAAGGGCAGAATAGGATTATTCACAAAAGGAATATGGGGTGTGTTATATTTTTCAGGAATGGCAGTCTTATTTATAAGAGAACGCGCTATAAAAGAAAATTCACAAAAATCTTTACAGTTTCTTGAGAGTATCATTTATGGCATTTTGGTCCAATAATGTTTTACTCTTCATATTTAATAATTTAAAATAAAAACTTATAATTTCTTTATGTTGCCTCCATGTAGAAGTATTAATGTAACAATAGCTCAGTCTAGAAGAAATTTTTAACACATAGAGCCTTATGGGCACAGAAACTTCTGTCATTAAACAGACATGATAGAAAATAATAAAAGGAGAGCAAAAACCATTCACCAAAGAGAAAAGATGTCACACTGTGTTCCTAAGATAAACTGTTTACTGTAGTTAAAAGAAAATATTAACATTTAAACATATTAATATTTCAGAAGAATTCTTGAAAGTATTTTATAGTTCCCTATCAATATTTGTGATATTAAAGAAAATTATGACAAAATATTTATTTTGTTATTGTCATTTCCTTTGGAGTTGATAGGCAAATAATCACTTAAATCCCAAATGAGACCCTAAAAATCAGAATAATTATTTTCATGATTTTCCTGTGTTTTTCAGAGTGGGCTCCACAAAACAGTGTTTAATTGTCTATACACAGTTCGGAGAAGAAAGATTGTATGAACAAGTAAGCATGGTTTCAACAGAGGTAAAGAGATTTCTTCTAATAATAATAAAAATCAATCAGTATGTTCCAGGCATTGTTGTAAGTACTTTTTAGATTTTAGCTTCATTTTCAAAACACCCTTTTGAGGTAGGTACTGCTATTAACCCCAATTTACAGATGGGAAAACTTAGGCAAAAAGATATAAAATAATATGACCACGACCACAGTGATATGATGCAGTGGGGATACTGGGATTAGAAACCAGGCAGTAGAGCTCCTGTGCTTATGTTCTTAATGGTGACACGCTGCTGTCTCTCACCAAACTATTAGGAGTCTTTAAAATATAAATACGCACTTAAGTCTTAAAGAGGAGGATACTGCATGAAGCATTCACTTTTAAGAAATTCTTTTCTTCCCAGGTATTTTCACAGAATCATTGCACTTTAGGACAACAATCTGGAGAACAGTTACAGAATAATCAAAGTCTGATTTATCCTCTTTCAAAAGCTTTTCTAAAATACTCTGGAGTCAGGTTCTTTGGTTCTATTACTTGGTGAACGAAAGGAAACAAAAAATCATTTGAGATGGGAGATGATCAACAACACAAATAAATAAAACATGTACTATTAATATATTAGATAGTAAGAGCTGATGAAAACCTGGTGATAGAGGAGAGAAAGCAGATATGAAAGGTTAGAGAGGAGTGATGGTAAATAGTGGATATCTCAAAGATAATAATTTTGAATAAAAGACCTGAAGAAAGAGGCTGAGCTAACCAAGAGACTATCTGTGGAAGAATTCCAGGCAGAGAATGTGGCATAATTAAAGGCCCTGAGTAGAGAAGTGTTTCTGGTATTTTCAACGAACTTTAAGGAAATTAGCGTATCTGGCACAGACATGAACAAAAGGAAGAGTAGAAATGAGGTCAGAGAAAAAATGAGGAGCCAGATGACATAAGGCTTTGCAGATCACAGGAAAAACATTAGCTTTACTTCTGAGGTAAACAGAAGCCACTGGAAGATTGTGAGCAGGAGCCCACTTAAAAATATCAATGGTATCACTCTAGCTATTGTGTAAAGAATAGGCTATAGTGAGCAAAAGTAGAAGAGAGAGACCAACTAGGAAATTATTAAAATAATCTGGGTGAAAGATGATGATGGCTTGGACCAGAGTGATGGTCCTGAGGACGGTGAAAAGTGAAAAAAAATTACATATATTCTGAAGGGAGAGGTTATAAAGTTGCTGAAAGATTGAACCTAGGCAGTGAGAAAGAAGAGTCAAGGATGTCTTAAAGATTTCTGGTCTGAGTACCTGGAAGAATATGATTGTCATTAACAGGTGAATTTGGGATTCACCAGTATAGATGATACTTAAAGCCACCAGATGGGATGAAATAAGGTATGTAGTAGGTATAGACAGAAAAAAAAAGCCACCTCAACAATTAGAGGTTTGAAAATGAGAAATCAGCAAGAAAACTGGAAAAAGAACAAGAGTGAAAGGTGAGTATATTCTGAGTCTTTCCCTAGAATATGAGAGAAAGAAGTGTTTCAATAAAGAGTGGAAAATTGGGTGCAATACTAATGGCAGGCAAAGTAAGAAGAGGACTGAGAATGGATCACGCAATTTAACAACATAGGGTCATTCATGTTCCAGAACAGGGTGGTTTGCTGGAGTGATGGAAATAAAATCTTACTGAAACATGTTTAAAGGGAAATGGGAAAGAAATTGGCAGCACTTTCAAGGAATTTTGCTATAAAGGAAAGAACCAACATAGGACAGTGGTTAGAGGGGAAAATTGGGTGCAGAGGATTTTTAGAATCTGTGCTCTTAAGCACTATGATACACCATTTCATTTAATAAAACTGAAAAAATGGTCATCAAGGAGCTCAGAAGGTAGCAGAGGAGTAGAAATACAATTAATTGTATTATTCAGGTTCAGTAAGAACAGTGAATCACAGCTTAAGTATTACAGGAGAACAGAAAAAGAAGAAAAGGAGGAAAGAAAGCTATCACAGAGATGTCTTCTAAACTGGATTTTAAAAAACCCAGAATTTCACCTTCCAGAGGTCCTGGAATGAAAGGATGGCAGAAATAGGGAGAAGAATATTCCAGGTAGAGAGAACAACTCCAAGAAAACACACAAAGTGTAAAAATAATGGCATGGGAAATGATGAATAATCTGGCGTGCCAGGACGGTGTGCATGGGCAGCTGTTCATGGTGCACAGGAAGAATGGGATGATGGATTAGGCTGGAATGAAAATTAATAACAGATTTGAAATGGCCTTGAATGCCACAATAATAGTTTAGGTTTGGGCATAAAGAATTATTAGCAAACATTTGAAACTTAGAAAAGTGACATGACTATTTGGGAAAGACAAATGATGAGAAGTTAAGAACAGATTAAAAAGGGCCTCTCTGTCAGAATAAAGCATGGTCAGCATGCTAAAAAGGAATCAGTATACTTTCTTTTAATAAAAGTGAATGCACTGGATCTAATTAAAATTCTACTCAAGTGAATCCAACAACACCCACATGCTTCTCCAAAAATGCAATTGTAAGAACATGGTTTACTTGTAACACTTTCCAAGGAAGCAGCATTTTGGAGGGAGATTTTAGAGAAAGGTGAAGCAGAGGTATACTAAATAAATGAAAGCAAACACATGCAGGACAGATTGTACCAAAATTCAGTTTCTCCATAATCACAAAATATTTATGAAATTATTGTAACATTATTATTATTTTGTGCCTTTTGTATGCTAATACATATTGAAAGACTTAAAAGATCAACATAAAATTTTGCTGTAAATAGCTATCATTTAAGGGAGCTCCAAAAAATCTTCAAGTTACTTTTCAGTTTAAAAGATACCTTCTAATTTCAACTTGACCACACATTATGGATTAAATGATTATCTTTAATTTTGTGAGATAGTTTTTAAGATCACTTTCCTATTTGATTATAACAAAATCACAATTAAAATTAAACTAGGTAACATAATTATAGGTAGCAAAATACTATATATATTTTTTGTATAGCTGTATACATTTCTTATTATGCAAGAGAATAATAAAGTGAAAAAAGTGTACAAATTGGATTTTCCCTGTTTTCTTTCCAAGTGTTTTAAAAGAGATTTTTAATCCAAGAAATTCCTTCCTTGGCATTTTATTCCCCTTAGAAAGTTTCTATTATAGATAAGTACTAATTGTAAATAAATTTCCATAAATTATTGAGTTTTAACATAAATGGGCTAAATCACAATTATAAATAATAAAGTTAAAATGTTATCCTTAAATCCCTGAAAAAGGCTTACTTCTAACCTTAGGCTATATAAACAATTACACTTAAAGAACTTTCAGGATAATGTTTCAATTATTCTAAAACAGTATTATTACTGGAAGATGATTTATTTTAGCTAGCAAGAAAAATAAAGAAAATGGAAAAGAAGTAATTAAGTGACCTTATTTTCTGTCTTTAGTACTATTGCTGGCCAGTAATTCCAATAACCTTGATTTACAATGCTAATACAAAGAGCCTTGCAAATCAACTCATATTAAAAATATCTCAAAGAGAATTTACCATTAAAAACAAGAATGGGATGGTGAAAATCTTTCTGGACTGTGAATTTAGTCCTGATCCTGGTTCTTTCAGGCTATATGACTTTAGACAAGCTTTTAACCACTTATTTTAATTTTTCTTATCATTATAATGAGGTGCCTATATTAGATATTGGAGTATAATATGTGGCTCAACTGACTGTGGGGTATAGCCTGATAAAAGATCAATATTTTAGTGATACTGAACAAAAGCAATAAGCGTTTACAAAACATGTGTAAGGCATAAAGAATGTAAATAAAACAAACTCTTGTACCCAACATCAAACTTGAGAAATACATTACTAGTATTAAATACCTTGATTTCTATATGTACTTCTCCTCTTCCCTACCTTATCATTCTGCCTAATAATCCACTGCTCCCCGCAACTCCCACAGGAAACTATGACATTGAATCTTGTGTTTACCTTACTTATGTTGTTCTTGCTTGTTTACCACATATTTATACTCCTAAATTATTCAGTTTTGCTCTTTTCTGAATTATATAAGTGGAACCATTTTATAGGAGTTTTTCTGAGATTTCAGTTAAAATTATATTCACAAGATTCAACCACATTGATGCATGTAGCTGTAATTCATACATTTGCATTGTGGTATATAAAATACTTCTATATACATGAATGTAATACAATTTATCCATTCTTCTATTAATGAGTTTTTTGTTCCTGGATTTTTGCTTTTATAAACATTGCTGCTATTGATCATTCTTGTAAAAGTTTCTAGAAGCAAACATGTAAGACTTTGTCTAATATATATATAATTAGGTGTAAAACTGCTGAGGCATGTATATATATTTTCCATTTTATTAGATAATGCTAAGTTGTTTTCATTTCATTGATCTTCCGTGGGTTTTTTTTCAGTCTCAATTTTATTTATTTATGCTCTGATCTTGATTATTTCTTTCTTTAGAATTTTGGATTTGGTTTTTGCTTTTCTAGTTCCTTGAGGTCATTTATTTCAAGTTTTTCTACTTTTTTGATGTAGGTGTTTATTGCTATATACTTTGCTCTTAATGTTTCTTTTGCTGAATACTATACAGTCTGGTATGTTGTCTTCATTTTCATTTGTTTCAAGAAATTTTAAGGCCGGGCGTGGTGGCACATGCCTGTAATCCCAGCACTTTGGGAGACCGAGGCAGGCAGATCACCTGAGGTCAGGAGTTTGAGACCAGCCTGGCCAACATAGTGAAACCCCGTCTCTACTAAAAGTACAAAAATTAGCCGGGTGTGGTAGCTTACACCTGTAATCCCAGCTACTGGGGAGGCTGAGGCAGGAGAATAGCTTGAATCCGTGAAGCGGAGGTTGCAGTGAGCCGAGACTGCACCACTGCACTCCAGCCTGGGCGACAGAGCGAGACTCTGTCTCAAAAACAAAAAAAAAAAAAAAAAGAAATTTTAAAATTTCCTTTTTAACTTCTTAATTGACCCGTTGGTCATTCAGGGTCATGTTGTTTAATTTCCATGTATTTGTACAGTTTCCAAAGGTTCTCTTGTTATTGATTTCTAGGTTTATTCCATTGTAGTCAGAAATGATACTTGATATGATTTCTACTTTTTTGAATTGGTTGAGACTTGTTTTGTGGCTAACATATGATCCTGGGTAATGATCCATGTGCTGATGAAAAGGATATATATGCTGCAGCAATTGGATGAAATGTCCTGTAAATGTCAGTTAGGTCCAGTTGTTCTACAGTGTAGTTTAACACAAAGTTTCTTTGTTATATTTCTGTCTGGCTAATCGGTACATTACTAAAAGTGGGGTGTTCAAGTCCCCTATTATTATTGTATTGCAATCTATCTCTCCCTTTAGATCTATTAATATTTGCTTTATATATTTTCATGCTCTGGTGCTGGGTGCACATACATTTACAATTGTTATATCCTGCTGAACTTACCTGCCTATCATTATATAATGACCTTCTTTGTCTCTTTTGGCTTGAAGTCTATTTTATGTGACGTAAGTATAGCTGACCCTTAAACAACATGGGGATTAGGGGTGCCGACATCCTATGCAGTAAAAAATTTGCATGTAACTGTTGACTACTCCAAAGCTTAACTACTACTAGTGTACTTTTGACCGGAAGCTTTACCGATATCATAGTGAATTAAAACATATTTGTATTTCACAGATAGTACAAGTTTTTTGCACAAGCTGTTATAGCTGCAGCAAAGGTGTTAGGAATTTCTTTTTCTCTTTTTACAGTAGTCCTTATGCTGGATTCATTTATCTTGAAATGGTGGGCAACCACAGCTGCAGACCTCAATCTATAGTACATATCAAGCAAATCAACTTTTTCTTGTAATGTCATGACTTCTCTGCATATCGGGAGCACTTCCAGGATCACTAATGGCACTTAATAAGGATATCATGGTATTGTTATTCAAGGTTTATGGTACTGCCCTAAAGACAACGAAAAATAGACAAGAACTGTGAGAGATCACTTTTTACTGATACACAGTCCACTGGAGAAACAAACTGCTCACAGAGATTTGCAACACAAAGTGTTTTAAACGAATACTCGCAACACTTGAGCTCAATACAATGCTAATAAGAGGTGGCTATAAAATTATTACACTATATACTATAGCTAATTTAATGTGGTTATAATTTAATATTTCATACTTACATTAGTTTACATTTCTCTTGACTGTGAATAGTGCCACATATTGTCTGTGTTTGTGTGCATGTTTTTATATAAATTTTGACTTTTATTATAGATTTGTATATATTTTATGGTAGTAAATGGTAAACAATATGTATATATTTTATGCATTCAAGATAGACCTCATTTTCTTAATTTGTTGATATTTTTAGGCTACATGGTTTGTGTGTGAGTTTATTCAATTGTCACAGGTCTCAAATATATTTTCCAATGTACTTATTAAAAAAATACTGCATATAAGTGGACTTGCACTTGGGTTTTGCTTTTCTAGTTCCTGGAGGTATACTATTAGGTCGTTTCTCTCAAGTTTTTCTACTTTTCTTGATGTACATGTTATACACTTTGCTGTTAATATTTCTTTTGCTGAATTCTATAGAGTCTGGTATATTCAACTCTGTGTTGTTCCAGGGTAACTGTATATAGCAATACCTGGTTTCCATTTGAATGGAGTATCTTTCTTCCATCTCTGTACTTTTGGTCTATGTGTGTTGTCCTTACAGGTGCAGTGAGCTTCCTGTAGGTAGCATGTAAGAATGGCTGGGTCTTGTTTTTTTGATCCATTTAGCTACTCTATATCTTTTAATAATTTTGTCAATTTACTTTCAATGCTATTGATTGGTAAGGAATTACTACTGCCATTTTGTTACTATAAAAAAGCTAAAAAAACCTCTATAACTCCATCACCCCCACATTTTGACTTTTTGATGTCTGTTTACTTTTTTATGCCTATCTCTTAACAAATGTTATGATTATTATTTTTGATATATGTCTTTTTGCCTTTATACCAGGGATATGAATTGCGTGGCGTATCACATTTACAGTATTAAGAGTCTTCGGAATTTTGTCTGTGTACTTACTTTTACCAATGAGTTTTATACCTTCAGCTGATTTTCCTGTTGCATGTTAGCATCCTTCTCTTTCCGACTGAAGAACTCCCTTTAGCATGTCTTGTAAGACACCTCTGGTGGTAATAAATTCCTTCAGCTTCTGTTTATCTGGGAGAGTATCTCCCTTCATATTTGAAAGATAGCTTTGCTGGCCACCATATTATCGGTTGACAGTTACTTTGGCACTTTGAATGTCCTCCCACTTCCTCCTGGCCTGAATTTTCCACTGAGAAGTTTGTTGCCAGATGAATTAGAGCTGCTTTTCCCTTGCTGCTTTTTTGATCCTTTCTTTGTCTTTTACTTTTGAGATTTTGATTATTATATGTCTTACAGTAGTCTTATTTGGGTTGAGTGCAAAAGTCTTTAACTTTCCTACATTGAAGTATTTGTATCATTTTCTGAGTTTAAAAGTTTTCTGTATTATTTCCTTGAATAAGCTCTCTATCCTCTGCACTTTTTCAACTCCATTTTGAAGGCTGCTATAGTCTGAATATTTGACCCTTCCAAACCTCATGTTGAAATTTGATCCCCAATGTTGGAGGTGGGGCCTAATGGGAAAAGTTTAGGCCATAGGGGCAGACCTTTCATGAATAAGTTATTGCCCTCCTGGGTTGGGGGACAGTGAGTGAGTTCTTGCTCTATTAGTTTCCACAAGACCTGGTTGTTAAAAAGAGCCTTGGCACCTCCCCTCTGTTTTGCTTCCTCTCTTGCCATGTGGTTTCTGCACATGCTGTCTATACTTTGCCTTCTGTCATGAATGAAAGCAGCTGAGGCCCTCTCCATAAGCCAAGGAGATGTTGGGACCATTCTTCTTGTATAGTCTGCTTAACTGTGAGCCAAATAAACCTCTTTTCTTTATAAATTACTCAGCCTTAGTTATTCCTTTATAGCCACATAGAAATGGACTAATGCCATGACTTAAATTTACTCTTTTGAGGTTATTTTTTAGGCATACTGCATTCTTTTTTTTCTTTTTTTTTTTTTTTTTGGTCTCCTCTGACAATGTATTTTCAGATAGGCTGTGTAGGCTGTAGGCTACTTTCTTTCAGCACTTTGAAGACATCACTGACTTCTAGCTTCCACTGTTTATGCTGAGAATTCAGCTGGTAGACTAGTTTAGTTCCTTTAGGGGTATTCTGCTTCCCTCCTTCACTCCTCTCACCTCTGGCTGCTTTAAGAATTTTCCCTTTGTCTTTATTTTCAGCAATTTTACTCTTACGTGTCTAGAACTTTTCTTTTTACTTCATCATAAGATTTGTGTACTTCCCAAATCTTAAGATTGATATCTTTTTGTCAGGATTGAAAAATTCTTAATATTGCTATTGCCCCATTCACTGTCTCATCTTCTTCTCAGACTGCAGTTAATATATACATGAAACCTATTCCCTGTATTCCACATAGCTCTTAGTCTTTGTTTTCTATTCTCTAGCTTTTTTTTTTGTTTTTTGATCCCTCATTGTAGATATTTTCTTCTGATCTTTCAGTTCATTAATTATTTCTTTAGCTGTGTCTAAAGTGCTGTTAAGACTATCCATAAATTTCTTGATTTTAGTCATTTTCTTGTTCAGTTCTAGAATTTTCATTGGGATTTTTTTAATGTTTTGGTTCTCTGACAAAAAATATTTTATTTCAATGTGCATATTGAGCATAGTTCTTTAAATTAAACTTTCAATTTTAAAATAATTATAAAATCACATACAGTTGTAGGAAAGAATAAGGACTGGTGTACTCTTCATCTGAATTTCCACAATGTCTCATGACAGTAATATTCAGGATACTGACGTGGATGCAGCCAAGATACAGAACACTTCCATCACCACAAGGATCACTCATGTTGCTGTTTTACAGCCATATGCACTTCCTGCTTACTCCACCCTCTTTTCCTACTTCAGCAACCACTAATACCTTGTCATTCTATAATTCTGTCATTTCAAGAATGTATATAAATAGAATCATATGGTATATAACCTTTTGGGATTGGCTTCTGTTCATTCAGTATAATTCTCTGGAGATTCACTCAGGTTGTTGTGTGTATCCACAATACTTTTTGTTTTATTGCTTAGTATTTCATGGCATGGATTATTACAGTTTGCTTAAATACTCACTCACTGAAGGACATCTGGGTAGTTTTCAGTTTGGGTGACCAGGAATAAAGCTGCTACAAACATTTCTGTACAAGTTTTTGTATAAAGGTAAGTCAGCTTCTATTGATTATTAAAGGTCTTTTTTATTGCTGGGACTTCCAGATTCCCATGTGATCTCCACTGACACCCTGATAGGGGTTACCTTGTTACTGCTGAGTGATGGTGAAAGTCCTAACTCTCTACTAGGCCTTCCTTGATACCAACCACCCTAGTAGGGGAAACGAGGGGTGTCATATGGCTGGCTGGGTAGGAAGTGCAGGCCTCTCACATGGTCTGTATGACACTGTGGTAGTGGTATTGCGTTAATTTTTATCGCAGTTGGATACAAGTCCTAGTTTCCTACTCAGCCTTATCTAATACCTCCACAAACGGGTTATAAGGGAGTTTCATTACAGCCTGGCAAGGATGAAAGTGCAGGCTCTGTACTTCTTTGCCTTTGTTGGCATAGGTGAGAGTGGAGTCACAGGTTTTTCTGTGTGTGTGTGTGTGTGTGTGTGTGTTTCTATTTTTTTTTTTTTTTGCTATAGTATGGCAGTAATGCATAAAAGTTTTTCTAGGCCTGCCCGCTTCCTGGTCTTTCAGTTTTCATTTGAAATTTCTTTTTTTTTCTGTGCCTATTGGTGGTTCTAGATTACTACCTTTTTCAACTCCAATCCTGGGCTCTATGAAACAAAAAGAAAACCCGGGGGACTCGTACTGTGTTGTTCCTTCGGTCCGGAAACCCCTAGCCAGTCTGCTCTATTCTCTTTACCTTTTGTCTTTTTGTATTCATTTTATACATAATGTTCGGGGATTTAGTTGTACTTAGCAGGAAAAACAGAGAAAAGTACATCTATTCTATATTTCCAGAGTTGAACTCTCTCAAGTATAGTTATTTTAAGCCTTTCTCTGGCTTTCCTAAGGGTACATTTCTGTTGACTGTAGTTTATCTTTGATTTTGGTCATGTTGTCTTGTTTCATCACATAGCTAGTTATTTGGGATTGGTTTTGTAAGGTACTATATATATATATATAAGATGTTAGTGATAATTTGAGGCTTAGATTTACATTATTTTGTCCAGAGGGAATTTATTTCTTGTAGGCAGCTAGCAGAAGCAATAATCTGAAATACTTTAATTGCAGCTTGAGATAATTCAAAATGGGGCTTTACTCATTTCAGGACTATTCTAGTTCACTCTTAACTCTTACAGTATAAATCTTTAGGGGCCTAACTCAAAGTATGAGTGGTTTACTTGGCTTGCTCCCAAGTCCTCACCAGACCATGAACTCGAACTTTTGTTTCACTAGAACTGTCTTTCTATTGAAAGCTGTGCTCACCCTCTCTGTTGATGGGTGGACAGTTGCCTATTCCAGAACTGACAGATCCTGCTGGGGAAAGTGCAGCCATAAAAGCTGGGTTTACTTCTGTTGAAATCCCATTTCCTCTTTGATTTTTGTCCCATAATTCTTACCTACTTCAATAGGTCTCTGATGTTCACAAACCAAGTAAAAACAAATTTAAACACACACACGCATGTGCACACACATCTCTGGCATGGTTTTGTTTCCTCAGAAGTGAGGTTAGTCCTAATTATTTAGTATGTTATTGAAAGCAGGCTTCAATCATTTCGTTTGGTTTTCACATAAGCCATCCTGACTAGAACATAAATTGTTCTTGTGTGGAAACCATTACCTATGCATCCAGAATCCCCAGGACCTAACATGTTGCCTGTCACACAATAAATAAATTCTGGATTAAAAAAAAATAACATGTACAAATCTTGATAACTAATTATGTGGTCTGATGATAAAAGTAGAATCAAGTATCATTTCTAGACTTCTAATGTTTGATAACGGTCATGTCATTTCCAGAAATAACACCTGTTTATTAGAAGTCAAGAGAAAGAAGAAAAGAATAGAATTGGTGGGAAGAGAACATTGGTTTTGGAGGTAGCTGACTGATGTATTTGTGAGGTATTTAAGTGAAGTTATTCAGATGAAAATGAGAAAGTGGATGTGGACTTCTGAAAAAGAGATGGGAGCTAGTTACATATTTCAAGAGTCATTTGTAGTAAGGATCCTAAGAGAAAGAGGAAATATAGAGATAGGAGCTGCATATAAAACATTAAAGAATGGCTAGATATAACTAGGGGATAGAATAATAAGAAACTGTGAAGAAAACATATGAGTGCTCAGAGTAGAAAAATGAAACTCAGAGAATACAGAATAATGGAAGATAATGAGGAAGAGATTTTAGAGAAAAAACAATTACCGACATGGTCAAATGTGACTAAAAGGTCAATGGGGCTAAGGAAGAAAAGTCTTCTAATAAATACGAGCTGTCTTCTGAATACTAAAGGAACACAGGCATGTGGAGCGTTGGAAAGTATTGAGTTTTTAAGTGAGAAGAAAGGTTTAGAAAAGAACAGAAACAAATTTAAGAAGTCATAAAGGAAATAAACACATGAACAGATCTGAGGTCTTTAAAGAAGGCAGGTAGTAAATATTTGAGTTGACATGAATTTGCACAATTTTATGGCTTTTTTCAACAAGGTTAGCATCTTAGGGTAAATATAAGAGAAGGAACTAGTTTTCAGGAGCACATGAAAAATTCAGTTTTAGACATTTTGATGATTTGGAAAAGAGAATGGAGACTGAGATACAGATTTGGGAGTTATCTACATAGGAATGACAGTTGAAAACAGTCTGTGTAGGTACTTGTATGTAGTAACTTCTATCCGTAAAAAGTGGATATTTTTTCTTACAGAGAAGTAATAGCTAATCTAAAAATCCCTTTTATATCTTTTCATAAATGTGAATTATTTTTGAGAACCTGAAAATTGCCTTATTTTAATTTGTAGAATAATCCTATTATACCAAATAACTATCAGAATCCTAAAATTGTAATTAGCAAGAGAACATTCATAAAGCATGCCAGAATTACAAATGTATGCTTGAATACAACAGTTGTTGAACCAATATTATGAAAAAAATTATCCTACCCCTTGCTTTTCTGTATAAATAGTGCATTATTTAGGGGCAACAGGAATAAAACAAAACATATGTAGTGCTAGTATTCTACTAGCAGAGACCTGAAGGGCTATAATAGTTGTTTGTGATCAATATCTGTTCTAATTAGAGTTAAGTGTTTATGCTATAATAGTTGTTTATGATCAATATCTGTTCTAATTAAAGTGTTATGCTGTTTATGAAACATTCTAAATATGACTCTTGCTCATATAATATCGTCACTGAACTATTTAATATTTTAATACTTCAAAAATTCTAAAGTACATTTTACATAGATTATTTTATCATTACAACAAGCTTTCAGGACAAGAAGGAATCATTAGAGCCCCCACTTTAATGATAATTAACCTAAGATACAGTTGTTGTGTACTTGTTATTGACATTATGCTCAAATTCAAAGTTGCTTCTACTAATAACAGTGACCCTGCATAAATTCACCTGAAGACTAAAAGTCACTTTACTTACAATATAACATAGTTATTCTTATTAAAATAAAATCCTCATACCATTTGGTGATGCCATAACAATCTTTAATAATATCCTGAAGAACAGCACGATAGAAGAGTGATTCAGTAGGCAGCTGAAAAAAATGTAGACATATATAAGCACAAGAAACAAAAAAAACAGAAATAAAATAAATACCAGAATGTTGGAACCACACGTGACTGTCAGAAACCTTTGTTGCTAAACACAGAGGATGACTTAATAATTTTTCCATTACGAGCGAAAGTGTTACCCTGAGGCTAATTCTCATTGTGAAAGTAATTCTGAAAAAAAAAAAAAAAGAAACCATAAAAGAAACAGTAGTGAATAAGAAAGAAAAGTTATAATCAATGAACAATAAGCTAATGCCCAAATAGAGTCCTTACCAGTTAAAAATGAGAAATACTTTCAAGACCAACCAAGTCAGCTCTGGAGCATTTAAGAGTCAGGAAGGATATGTGTGAAAAAGAAGAGAATGTAGATTTGTCTTAATGGAGGTGGAATAAAGATAATAACAGCTAGGAGTCACAACAAGAAAGAAATAACTACCCTAAGTAAAGAAATACAAAGATTGTCTGAGGTCTGAAAGACAGTACTGGTTACTACAGAGTTGAAAAGTAGAGCCTTGGAAAGAACATAGGATAAGAGATTGCACTCTTGACAATGCTTCACTTCTTGCAGAAAGAGATATGGGAGATGTCCCATAAAGGTTCAAAGGTTTTTGAATGGAAAGAAGCAATAGCTGAAGAGAAGGGCTCCAATGAAGCACGATTGTTTTAAAAGAGCAGAAAGTAAAACATTACTATTTATAAAAGAGCACTTCACTGCAGCAACAGAATTACTCAAACTAAGAAACAAGTCACCAAAACCCTATGCACATCCCCACAGATCTCGATATTGATAGTATAGGAACATCCAACACAAAATAATGTCAGCAACAACAACCCAGCTTGCATGTAGTTATTATTTTTTTAAAAAATGAGTAAGAATAGAAGGAGGACAACAATACGGAATGCTTTTAAGAAGTCAAATAAGGTAAAACTGAAAACTGTCCAATGACTGGTAAAGTTTTAAAGATATAATTCAGTAAAACGTGTATATCCATGGAGTTATCCTTTTGTAACTTTTATTATCCTTTGGAGTCCAAAACTGTTATTTTCACATGTTTTCAACTAGAATAAATATGTTTTAATTAATTCAGATGGAGTTTATAGCAAAATAAATTTTTCGTGCTCAGGCAGAAAACCTACTCTACTGCCCCTCTCCCTTATTTAACATTAACTTCCCATACTGTGCTGCTGAGACTACAAAAACTAAAAGTTGTGAGCTGAGGGTCAATCATTTTCCTTACATCTTCCCCTGATGGCACTGCCCTCTGAAGTCGCTAGTGAACACAGACTTGTAGACTCTTAGAGCATTGTGAAAGAATACAGGTTCTACCACTGTAAAGCAGGAATAGTGGGGATGGTGTTACAAATATCACAGTCCCCAAATAACTGCTAAAATAATTCACTGAAGGTAGACTCATATACATGTTTGAGTGCCCACACTAAAATTTGTAACTTTTCAAAGGCACAATTCTTATATAAAATCTCTTTCCAAATTTGTCACAAATGCCTTCACTTGAGGAAAAAACGATGGATTTCAAAACTTAACTTTCCTTAAAAATTACATCAAAACATTTCATTTAGAATTTCTTAATCTCTGGATATATTTTCCATTTGAGATTTTCTCATCTTGAATAACTTTTTCTACAGCACCAAAATCTCTACTTTATCATCTGTCCCCCACTTTCTTAAAAATCCTTTCATTTATCTCATAAAAATGCTGAAATACATTTTCAATATTAATACCTATTCCTATAACATTTTATTGAAATTCAAAGTCACTTTCGCAAGTCTACTATTGCATGAATTTAAATATTAGTACTATAAATGGCTTACAAAGTTCTTAACTTTTGGTTTGACTAGCTATAATAGGTAAGTTTAATTTTATATGAAACGCCTAAAAATAGTTAAAATCTCTTCTTTCTCATGCCTTTGAACAAATTACATTAAATGGTATCAAGATAACTTTGAAATAAATATGTATTTATATTGTTATTAAAATGATTGTAAAATACAACAAAAAAGAACAAGTTCATTTTAAACAAGATAACATAAAAAAATGAATGCACAGAAAAATACAGCAGAACAGAATAAGTCATCATTCTCAAGTTACTCTGAGTAAATAAGAGCTTTACAGCTGTTTCCTAAGAGAAAGGGAAGAGGTTATAAAATACCTTCAAATGTGCATTACTGGAATAACTAAGTCGGACTACCTATCCTGGTAAATACAAATGGGTAAGTGGAAAGGGAATCAGTATCTCCTGAACAGTCTGTGCCTGACTATTCCAAGAACAAACTGGATGTGGCCAGAGTTTACTTTATTTCCCTTAAGTGATACATTAACATTTTAATGCATTTTTAAAATGGGAGGGAACACAAAGTGTATACCCTTAAAGCATGTGTATCAGACATGCATTTTACAGGTCTAGTGGAAAGGGCACTAAGTTGGAAGTCAGGGCTCTGCAATTAATTAAGGGAACTAGAACACACTATTAAACTTTTGCTCTATATCATTCTCATGCAGGTTTAGGATAATACCCAACTAATAAGATTGAGTGTAAGTATGAGCAAACACTTGTAAAATTAAAAAAACACCACATGAATGCATTAGAGTATTATGATAAAAGCTCTCTTTTTTCCCCCAGACCTCTAGAAAACCATTAAGTTGATATGCAGTATAGTAGTTAAGAGCTTGAACTGCAGACTCAGAGATTCAAGTCTTAGTCTTTGTTACCTTACAGTCTCTTCATGTGTATCATGGGATAGTAAGAGTACATACTATATAGTACTATGTATTTATTATCTCAATTGATGAGAAGATCTTTAAATAGTACTTTGGTAAGCTCTGTATTAAATTTAGCTATTATTTTCATGATCATAATTATTAATTATCTATAACAGCAACAACAGTTGGCATTTATTGAGCAATTACTATGTGTTAGACATTGTTTTAAGCATTGTACATTTTTCATTCACTTCATCCTAACAACCCTATAGGAAGGTATTATTATCACTCCACTTTTTTTCCCTATTTTACAGATAAAGAAATTAAGCTACAGAGAAATGATGACATGTGTCCAGGGTTATGAACTAGTAAGTGATAAAGACATGATGCAAACCAGTAGTTTGTAACTAAAGTCCCACACACTTAAAGTCCCCAAACTCAAATGATATGCTCTAACGCTAATGCCTTCAAAAGAATCAGATTTTATCAATTTTAAGATAGGCACAGTGTATATATTAAAAAGATAATTACATACAAAATGCTTAACAATGTTTCTGGCCCAGGGTAATCACTCAGTAAATGATACTTGTTATTAAAATTATTTTTTAAATTATTATTTTTAACAATTCAAATTGACACATTAATGTTCCTTGAACAAAAGCAAAAGAAATATTTCTAAACTTTAGGTTAAATTTAAAAATTTTATGAAAGGGTCCAAAAACTCTTAAAAAAATCTTAATGTTTCCTGAATACAAGGTAAAGGATAAGACAATTACATGGATATTTGGGGGATTATATTTAACTTCTATCTCTAAGTGCAAACCCATTTGGCCACTGCAACTAATGGTTAATCAAGTCAGTAAAGAAAAAATTTATCAAACAATCAACTGAAGTATGTGTTTTGGACTATAGTTAAAATAATGCACTGAATAATATAGGTTATCTTTGCTTGAACTAAGCACCTAAAAACCTAATTGTCAACAACAGCATTCTTCAGAAATATTTATAGACTGTTTAGTATAATACAAAGAAATGAGTAGTATAAGAGCATAATGCAGACATTTTCCTAAAAGCTCAAAAGTTCTGAAAAGTTCATTTTGCTTTTAAAGTAAACTTACAGAAAATGCACAAATTTGAATATGCATCTGGGACAAGATATTTATTAAATTCCATTAGGTTTTAAGTTCATCAGCAGGTCAAGTATGAAGAGTACTTGAGAGAAAAACTGTCGTGTTCATCAGTTAACACTCTTACTTACCCCTTGGCCAGCTGCAACCCGCTCCAATGCCTTAAAGGGAAAAAAACAAGACAGATTGTTGATATATTGAGTCTTATAAGATTTATAAACACACTGTATAAGAGTTTGTAAAACTGACATTTAGAAAGATTAATTATGTGATAATATGTAAGTTTATGCACTTAACAGTGTTAATATCATTAAAGAATGTTAACTAATATGCTTGTGTAATTTAGAGCTAATTTATAATGGATGTGTGTCATATACACAAACACATATCCTTGAATGTCAATTCTAATTATATACAGTCCTTGAATTTCAGAAGGAATTAGAAAACAGGAAAGAAATGAAATGACATAGTCTTGGTTCATTTTTAGTGTAGCTAAAACAATCAAATAAATCCAACACTATTATTATGCACATATACAGACATAGATATATTTATATATTTTAACATATTTTCTCATAATTTTAATAAACATATGATTTCATCTTTTAGTGAACAAAAAAAATCCAGATTATAATTAAAAACTTATTTTGGAAAACTATATGTATTTTTGGTCTGTGTGATCTACAAATTCAAATCAAGTTCACATATGATCAAGTACCAGGTAGAAGAGAAAGTAAAACATATTTTTACAATTTTATATACACTGGTTTTTGCATTTATATTTATTTAAAATCCAAAATATTTTTTACAAAATATTTCCTAACATTTATAATAAATACTCACACTTCAAAATATATAAAAGATTTGTCATAATTTAAATATGGAATAGAGTATTCTGAAACTTTGAGTTTTTAGATATATTTCCAAATATATATAATTTTTAGCTAAATTTTATTAAAAAAGTTTAAATTAGGAAACATTTCAAACACAGAAAAGTAATAAATGTATAAGAGATGTGCATATACTTGCTATTCAAATTTAAAATACCCATATTTGCTTCAGGTTTTTATATTTTCATAAATGAAACTGTTTACATATAGCTAAATCACACACTTTTAAAATGAAAAGATAATTTACAATATCTTTTCATAAGTATAAGAGCAATTTTTGTAGATACACAAGATCACTATCAAGATAAGTTAACTTTCCTCAAATTGCATAGCTAGTTAGCAAAGAACTGAGCAAGAACTAAAAACCTGTTATTTGAATCCTGGTTTAACATGCCCTCACACCATGTGGAGTTAGTGGGAAAAAGAGTTCATTGCATGAAAACTGGCTTCACGGAAATGGTTTGAAGAAAAAAAATGTAATATTCCCATTTACTTGAAGGATACTTTCACTGAACATCTACAGCCAAGTAGAATGTTACGAATACAGGAGACAGCTATTACATAATTTTCATATTATGATAACAGCAACAGGTCCAGAACAGATTTATCCTTGAAGATAACAATGAGTTTTCATTTATGGTACTCCTTGTGCTAATTTCAGATTAGATTTTTCTTATAAATTTTCCTAAAGGCCAAACTGAATTAAAAAAAAATAGACTATTTAAAAAGAGGCGATTTGGTGTCCATAAAAATATCATATACCCCAAGACTGCTTTTGGTATGTGTTGCTGATAAGCTTAATTTAGAAATAGAAATAATAAATTGTGATTACATAATAAAAAATAATCAGGTAGGTGGTTACAAAGTGTTTTGCAAACATTAATACTATTCTTGAACAATGAACAAAGAGGATGAGAAAACATACCAAGCATTCATTTCATGCTACTCTGGAATAATTTAGAAGTTTTATCAGGCTTAACATATGCTAATGATATTGCTCTAATTTAATTAATATTTTGTGTCTGGTTAGTATCCTTAACTGTTTATCTGAAAGCATTCCCCAGAAAACCCAGCAAAGTATCTTTTTTTTTTTTTTTTTTTTAAAGAAGACCACTTAAGATTTGAATATTTTTCAAAAATGTCAGTTATGGAGCGAAAGGCAATAAAATAAGATATATTAAAAGAATTGTTCCTTAGATTTTCCAACATTACTTTGGAATCAAAAAAATAAGACAAGGTGGACATGGGTTGGGATGGAGCTAAGGAGAAGGGCATTCCATGGGCAGCTGACATTGATCAGGGCAAGTTAAGGCCAGCATGGTCTGCTAATTCTATATTTACAGAATTTATTTTCCAAAGTATTTGTTTTGGTTCTCTGAATGTTTATTTTAATAGAAATAATTCTTTTTTATGGATACAATCTATTCTTTTGTCTTTCTAAGGGATATTACATAGTTCTTTTCTTTTAGATAGTCTACATTTCTTCCCAGTTGCTTTTTCTTTTTTTAAATCTAATCTCTCTCTTTTTTTGTCAAGGGTATAACACTGGCTATGAGCATTTTGATGCTCAAGTTATCCCAAGAAGAAGCTGTCATTCTAACAAGACCTTGAACAAGTACCATTTACTAGAGAGTGAGAGAACAAGACAAATTTCCAGAAAAGTAATTTAAGTGGGGCTACCAAAGGAAATTATTATGTTAGCATAAATACATTTCTAAGATAATTCTAGTATATAACTTAGAACACTGGCACACTATTTCTTATATTGCTATGTAACAGGCATAGAAATAATGGGTCCTAAAAGAATTGGTTTATCTTGCAGTTGGACATTAAACATATTATTTAATCAACTGTATTTTATTTTATTTTACTTTGTTAAATATTTTATTGCATAAATTTAAAGTATACAACATGATGTTTATATATATATAGACAGTTCCCAACTTTCAACTTTGCAATAGTGCAAAAGTGATATGCATTCAGTAGATACTATAATTTGAATACTCATACAACCATTCTATTTTTCACTTTCCATACAGTTTTCAATAAATTGCATGAGATATTCAGCACTTTATTATAAAACAGGCTTTGTGTTAGATGATTTTGCCCAACTGTAGGTTAATGTTTAAGTGTTCTGACCACATTTAAAGTAGGCTGAGTTAAGCTATGATATTTGGTAAGTTAGGTATATTAAGTGCATTTTTGTCTGTAGTTTCAAGGTATGAAGGGTTTATTGGGACATAACCCCATCATAAGCTGAGCAGCATCTATATCTAGTGAAATGATTATAATAGGTAAGCAATTTATTAATAACATATCCACCATCTTACATAATTACTGTTTGTGTGTGTGTGCAGTAAGAGCACCTAAAATCTACTCAGAAGATTTCCAGTATATAATACAATAGTAACTATAGTCCTTACGTTGTACTTTAGGTCTCTAAATTTATTAATTCTACATAGCTGCAGTATTTTAATTTTCTGATAACACAAAAATCACTTACATTATTTAACTCATTTCTTTGTAAACTGACATAGTGCCATGAACAGAGAACATTATGGGCTAGAGTGTTCTAGGTCTGAGGGCACTAGTCAAATGCAGCACAATAAATGTTTTATTTAATTAGATAGTTACTTCATATCTCAATTAGCTTAATATTTTTCCCATTCTATAAAAATTTAGGAAACCAAACGATCTGCTATAAAGAAACACAAACCACAGAGCGTTGGATAAAGTATTGAACACTTTACATTATATTTTATTTAATAATTAAAATATATATAATTTTATCATGACACTGCATGTAGAGTGGATATTGTTTAAAGGGCAAGTCATTTTTTTCTTATAATTTCCAATGCACAAAAGCATTAATGGGATGTTCTGCAAAATTTGGCATTGAATGCATGATACTAGCCAAAAATAATAAATTCTACAACATCTGGATAAAGCTGTTACTCCAGGAAAAAATATAACCATACCAAACATGCTGACATTCTGGCATTACGACCACAGCACCATCTCTCTTCCTTTAAATAGTGGCACATTGGAAATCCCCACTTTTCCTGAGTACGTTCTGCAGATGGGGGAAAAATACGGATTATTTAAATAAAATTCTTTCTTTTTCAGTTAAAATAAATAATCTACCAAGAAAGCAAATCAGTCATTGAGAAAGTAAAAACAGTAGTTAAACATGGAAATGGTGATGTTTAACAGTTCCTTCCAGTTTGTTAATTGAAAGCATACAAATGTTATGAAAATGGTATTTGCTCAACACAGCTGCTTTGTGTTTAAATTCCAAGTCTGGTACCAACCAATTTGCCAAAACAATTTCTGTAAGATTTAGCAATTTAAAATGCAAATACTCTTGATATTCAATATAACTATAGGAGATAAGTAATGAGATATTGAAAATTTATTGTTGGTCTGACTTTTTAAAAATGATTTATTAAATATGACATTTGGCAATTTATTATAGGACAATATAAATTCATTCCTAACAATGTTGAAGCATCAGATTTTTTCTTTTAGCCACTATGTTCCCCTTTCAGAAAAAGAACAGCTGTACAGGCTCTTATTTCTTCATTATACTAACAGACTGTAATATTTTCAACTATGACCCAATTCAGCTCAATTGCACCTGTTTTACAACAAAAACAAAAATCAATGTTCATTACTTAATCACATATCTACTGCTCAACTTATAGTTACACATGCAACTTGGTGATGTTAAAATTTCTGATGTAGAACTATTAGTTCCACAGGGTTTTTGAAAAGAAAAAAAAAGCAATTTCTATTTTAAATTAAGACCTGGAAA
Source organism: Homo sapiens (assembly GCF_000001405.40). Classification (NCBI taxonomy): domain Eukaryota; kingdom Metazoa; phylum Chordata; class Mammalia; order Primates; family Hominidae; genus Homo; species Homo sapiens. The sequence goes on along the minus strand of NC_000012.12, from coordinate 82,430,151 downwards.
ATTTTATTTAAAACAAACCCAGTGACAATTAAAAAAAAGTCGAGATAAACATAAATATTAATTTATATTATATTATAAAAAGTAAAATAAAATAAAAACAAAAAGGTGCTTTGTAAGAAAATGCAATTGGGATAGCTTCCCCTAAATAAACTTCTGTACCATGAGGGATCAGATGACTTTTGATTAAAAGAGAACAAGTTTAACTTTTACAATCATAGCCTAAGAAAGATGTTACAATCATAGCCTATCCAGATGTTCAGGTATTAAATAAAAATTTATAACAGACCCTACTGATAATCAGATGGAAGATATGGACGATCCTCCCTAGGAATATAAATAATAATACAAATAAACAACTCAACAGCAAAACAACTAATTCAATTAAAATGTAGCCAAAGGATCTGAACAGACATTTCTGAAAAGTTGGCATATAAATGGCCAAGAGGTGTATGAAAAAATGCTGAACATCACTAATCATCAGGGAAATGCAAATCATGTAGCTAGCCATATGAAAAACAGCATGGAGGTTTCTCAAAAAAACAAAAACAGAACTACCATACATACAATCCAGAAATCCCATTACTGGATATTTATCCAAAGGAAAATAATCAATTATCTCAAAAGGATATCTACAACCTCATGTTTATTGCAGCACTATTCACAGTAGCAAAGATATGAAATTATCCTAAGTATCCATCAACAGATGAATAGATATAGGTAAGGAAAATGTGGTATATACACAATAGAGTATTATTTGGTCAAAAAAAAAAAAAAACCCTACATTTGCAGCAATATGGGTAGAAACGGAAGTCACTGTGTTAAGTGAAATAAGCCAGGCACAAAAAGGCAAATATTGCACATTCTCACTCATATGTGAGAGCTAAAAATATTATCTCATGGAGATAGGGAGTAGAATGACAGTTACTTGAGGCTGGGAGGGGTATATGTGCTGTGGGGAGAGGTAGATGAAGAGAGGTAGATTAATTGGTACAAACATACAATTGGATTGAAGAAATAAGTTTTAATATTCGATAGCACAGCAAGGTAGCTATAGTTAACAACAATATATTGTATATTTAAAAACAGCTAGAAGAGATTTGAAATGTTCCCAATACACAGAAATGATAAATGCTTGAAGTGATGGATATCCTGAATACCCTGGCTTGATCATTACACATTCTGTGCATTTATCAAAATATCACATATACCCTGTAAATATGTACAAATATTATGTATCAATAAAAATGCTAGTATTTACACAGCACTTAACATTGAGACACTATTGTAAGTCCTTTAAATGTATTAACTAGCTTCAGTTCCTAGAACAATTCTGTGAAGTAGGTATACTATTATTCTCATGTTCCAGATAGGGAAACTGAGCACAGACAGACAGGTTAAGTCAATTGCCTTACTTACAAATCAAGCACAAGGCAGAGCTGGAATTTAAACTCAGGCAATCTGAATCCAGAACTCATGCTCTTAAACACTCATGCTATATAAATGTACATTAACAAACAATTTCAGTTACAATTGCATAGGACTCATAGAGCCCTTGCAGCCTATCCAAGTCCTAGGGACTCTGGGCTACTTCTTCTATTTCCAAGATGACTTCAAAGACTGGTTTGGGTTTTACTGAAGCTTTTATGATTTAAGTGAGACATGATTATTGCTAAATGAAAGGGTTACAATAAGTATTTTATTTTTTTCCTGACAAATAAAAAGAGAAATACAGATCTCGCTGTAAAAAGTAAAGGGCTAGAGAGACAGGGGTGTGCTATTTTATTCAAACTGGTTTATTACTAACCAATAAAACAGCTACTCCTCCCTTTACCCATCCGTTCTCTCCTTATTCCTAGTACTAACAGAGAACTCAACTGCTGAGACTAGAGGCTGCAATTCTCAGATTTCCATGCAACTACTAGGATAGCTACATGAGTAGGTTGTGGCCAGTTGAATGTGGGCAGAAATTATATGTGCAAATTCCAGGTCACGTACTTAAAAGGGATGGGGGGGTATGTTCTTTCACCCACACTTTCTACCCCTACCTGCTTACTTAATTTCTTTTCTGTCTGGAATGTGTTCACGGTACCAAGCAAACTAAGACCATGCAAACAAGAGCAGTAGAGAGTAGAGCAAAAAAACAGAAGAACCTTCGGTTCCTGTAAGACTTTTTGGTACAAAGCTTCTAGAGCAGTTCTACTTGTTGACCTCTGGATTGAAATATAAATGTCCCTGTGTCTTGTTTAAGTCACTGTTACTTTGGTCCTAAATCTATTTTACATTTAAATCTTCATCTTAATGTTTGCCAAACTTTTTATAGCTCAGCAATCTTGGAATATAGCAAAATCTGTATATCACACTAGAATAAACAGATGATGATTGTGGTCACAGGCGAAACCCAGGGAACAAGGGAAACAATATCTCAGGAATACCCATAAAACATCTCTGTTCTAATTAACACAGAAGTCTTTTTCTGAGGGTGTGCTATTTGAGCAGAGATTTAAATCTAATAAAGAAGCATGCCATAAGGATGAGAGGAAGATTTAATGAAATATGAAACAAAAATTTAAAAACTGAGCTTCCAGTGGGATATAGTTACTCTCCAGGCAGAGAGGTCTTCCCTCAGTGATAATCTAAAGAAAACTTGGACTAGAAAAAATACTACTTAACATTAGATTGAAAGGGGTACAGCATATATGAAAAATACACTACACTGGAAAGGGTATATTATTAGAAGGAAAAATCTAATACAAGAAACCCATAGCCAAGTATACTCCCAAATTCTTGACCCACAGAAACTATGAGAGATACTAAATAATTGTTGTCGCTATAAGCCATTGAGTTTTGGGGTGACTTCTTACACAACATTAGATAACACACACAGTCTACGATTAGCAATGAGAAGTATGGAGGCTTATTCCATACAAGGAATGTGGGAGAGAAATCCACTGCTTGAGGAGTATGGGTAGTGTGCTTCATTACAAGAGCTAGGTTTTGATTAGGTAGGAAAATAAAAAAACTTTCAGAGAAGAGGCAGTATATATAGGCAATTTTGATAATGACTGACTGTGAATTCCAGAAAATGGGATACTTAGTAAAAACCAAGCGCTTATGGAGATACCTTTGATTAGGGTCCTAGGAATAAGAAACGAGCTGTGAGTCCTCAGGCTCTGGTGGTAGCTAATATGAATAGGGATAAAAGGCATGATGGGATTAGTTCTCAGAGTTCTAGAGACAAAGTGGTGAAGCTGTAAGTGTTGTGGTAGAGGGAAGATGGGGTGAAAATTTTTCCATGGGAACAGAGTTCTGGGCTTCCCAACTGATTTCTGGTGATAAAGCGAAGATATGGGCAGAGAAACACAGGATTCCTGGGATCCCTCTTGTTTCCAGGTGATACAGATGGAAGCCAGCAAGGGAGCCATCACACCTGGAGCCCATGGGGCTGTGATTGGAGAAGTGGAGCATAATAAAAGATGGTCTTACTTCAAAAATGTTTCCTGACTTGTGCTGATGAAGATTATGAGGCTGAAGGAGGGTTACGGTCTCCCTTAGAACACATAAAGCTACTATTTACCACCACAACAAAGGCTGACAGAGGGTACTCAACCTGTGTGTAAGAGAGCTCCCTCTTAAATATTTAACAACGTATGAAGGACAGAAGGGCAGTCTTCCTTGATGCACCTGGATCCCTGAATTCCTATCCAAAACACCTAGGAACTTTAAGATACGACTGCAGTTTACAGGAACTGCCAGCCTTGGCTCAAAGCTACAGGAAAACACATCACTCCTCTGGACACCACGTGGTTACATAACCATCTTGAAGTTTTCTGAATCTGCGTTAACAGTTTCCTTTGCGGCTGAGATCACAGTGGCCTCACACCTTTGCTCTTTATCTAATGGAGTTAAATGCAAACAACTGATAAGGAGGCAGCAAACCCTCAAAGTCAAACAAAGCCTTTTATGTAGATCCTCAATATTATCTTCAGAATCTGTTTCATTAGTTTTATTCTGTCTGCAGTGAGGACTGAAGCTCCCTCATATGACCTGAATCAAAGTTAGAGTTCACCATTTCTACTTTTATGTATCAGTCTTCTCTTTGCATTCATATACCCATATTCAAATCTAATCAAATTAAGCATTAATCATCCTTTATCAGTGAATCAAATTGCTTTCCCCTAGCCTCACTTCCATAATTTTGGAATAGATGAAGTCTCTTCTTTTCTATCCTATTTCTTAGTATTTCTTGCAAGCTTTAGAATCAATAATCTCTTAGAGATTGTACTAGTTATTCCTTCTTGTGTTAATATCATTATCCACCTAACTAAACAAGCTTGAACTTTAGAACCATTTTCCATTATTCTAAATTCTTATACATACATCCTCTTAATTATACTTCCTGTTCATATTCAGTCTTCATTAGCTACTAACTTGGTAATGCAATACCTACTCATTAAATCTTTAGTCGCTTTGTTTTGGTCTTTTTGCCCATCCTTTATACTAAGAGCAATATTATCTTTCTAAAACACACACATTAACCATGTCAGCAGCAGCTCTTGTTTCCCTCAACAGCGTAATCTCTGAGAACAAACACAATGGGTTAAAAAATACTGTAGATTTCCGGAAACTCTTGATACCTCATTCATTAAACAATCTCTTCATCTGGCTTCCATAATGCCATTCTTTCTTATTTGTGGCCTTAATTCTCTTTATACTCCCTTGCTGACTCATCACATTCTATCTGCCTATGAAATGTTCCTGTGGTTTTCTCTTGCCATTCCCCACATCCCTTTAATACTTTCTTTGAACAAAGGCTCAAAAACTCAAATGCCTGCAGTGGTTAAACACATGTATAAAGTGGTAGGTAGGATGTAATAGGTATAAACCTATTTGTATGGTAACCAAGTATCACATCTGCTGGGTCCTACTGCTTTTTAAAGCACAAGGTGGGCATAATAAAATTGCCCAAGTTGCCCAAAATTAGTCTGTGAGCACCCTCTGTCAGTGATAGCCAATTTGTAACCTTTGCACTACCTATACTCTTCCCCTAACTATACCTTCTCTAGGATATCTTATCTATACCGTAATACACAATGATAATTCTTGTATTAGTTTTCTCAGGCTGCAGTAACAAAATAACCACAAACTGGATGGCTTAAGACAACAGAAATTAATTCTCTCACAAATCTAGATGCCAGCAGTCCAAAATCAAGCTGTTGGCTAGGCCACAGACCCTCTGAAGGCTCTAGGGAAGAATACTTCATTGTTTCTTCCATTACCAGTTTCTGGTGATTACTAGCAATCCTTGTCATTTTCTACCTGTCTTCACATGGCAGTTTTCTCTGTGTCTCTCTGTGTGCACTCTCCTAGGATATCAATCATTAGATTTAGGGCCTACCCAATCCAGTATGATGACTCCATCTTAACTAATTAAATTTGCAAATACCCAGTTTTCAGATAAGGTCATATTCTGAAGTTCTTCATGAACATGACTTTTTGGGAGGTATTTATCAACCCATTACCATTCCTATATTATATCTGGAATCCTATAGTCTTCTGTGAGATCTAGTTTTGCATTATCAATATCCTTTATACATATATATATATATATAGTTTTATATTATACTTTAAGCTCTAAGGTACATGTGCACAATGTGCAGGTTAGTTACATATGTATACATGTGCCATGTTGGCATGCTGCACCCATTAACTCGTCATTTACATTAGGTATATCTCCTAATGCTATCCCTCCCCCCTTCCCCCACCCCACAACAGGCCCCGGGGTGTGATGCTCCCCTTCCTGTGTCCAAGTGTTCTCAATGTTCAATTCCCACCTATGAGTGAGAACATGCGGTGTTTGGTTTTTTGTCCTTGCGATAGTTTGCTGAGAATGATGGTTTCCAGCTTCATCCATATCCCTACAAAGGACATGAACTCATCATTTTTTATGGCTGCAGAGTATTCCATGGTGTGTATGTGCCACATTTTCTTAATCCAGTCTATCATTGTTGGACATTTGGGTTGGTTCCAAGTCTTTGCTATTGTGAGTAGTGCTGCAATAAACATATGTGTGCATGTGTCTTTATAGCAGCATGATTTATAATCCTTTGGGTATATACCCAGTAATGGGATGGCTGGGTCAAATGGTATTTCTAGTTCTAGATACCTGAGGAATTGCCACACTGTCTTCCACAATGGTTGAACTAGTTTACAGTCCCAGCAACAGTGTAAAAGTGTTCCTATTTCTCCACATCCTCTCGAGAACCTGTTGTTTCCTGACTTTTTAATGATCACTATTCTAACTGGCGTGAGATGATATCTCATTGTGGTTTTGATTTGCATTTATCGGATGGCCAGTGATGATGAGCATTTTTTCATGTGCCTGTTGGCTGCATAAATGTCTTTTGAGAAGTGTCTGTTCATATCCTTCACCCACTTTTTGATGGGGTTATTTTTTTCTTGTAAATTTGTTTGAGTTCATTGTAGATTCTGGATATTAGCCCTTTGTCAGATGAGTAGATTGCAAAAATTTTCTCCCATTCTGTAGGTTGCCTGTTCACTCCGATGGTAGTTTCTTTTGCTGTGCAGAAGCTCTTTAGCTTAATTAGATCCCATTTGTCAATTTTGGCTTTTGTTGCCATTGCTTTTGGTGTTTTAGTCATAAAGTCCTTGCCCATGCCTATGTCCTGAATGGTATTGCCTAGGTTTTCCTCTAGGGTTTTTATGGTTTTCGGTCTAACATGTAAGTCTTTAATCCATCTTGAATTAATTTTTGTATAAGGTGTAAGGAAGGGATCCAGTTTCAGCTTTCTACATATGGCTAGCCAGTTTTCCCAGCACCATTTATTAAACAGGGATTGCTTTCCCCATTTGTTGTTTTTGTCAGGTTTGTCAAAGATCAGATAGTTGTAGATGTGTAGTATTATTTCTGAGGGCTCTGTTCTGTTCCATTGGTCTACATCTCTGTTTTGGTACTAGTACCATGCTGTTTTGGTTATTGTAGCCTTGTAGTATAGTTTGAAGTCAGGTAGCGTGATGCCTCCAGCTTTGTTCTTTTGGCTTAGGATTGACTTGGCAATGAGGGCTTTTTTTTGGTTCCATATGAACTTTAGTTTTTTCCAATTCCGTGGAGAAAGTCATTGGTAGTTTGATGGGGATGGCAATGAATCTCTAAATTACCTTGGGCAGTATGGCCATTTTCACAATATTGATTCTTCCTATCCATGAGCATGGAATGTTCTTCCATTTGTTTGTATCCTCTTTTATTTTGTTGAGCAGTGGTTTGTAGTTCTCCTAGAAGAGGTCCTTCACATCCCTTGTAAGGTGGATTCCTAGGTATTTTATTCTCTTTGAAGCAATTGTGAATGGGAGTTCACTCATGATTTGGCTCTCTGTTTGTCTGTTATTGGTGTATAAGAATGCTTGTGATTTTTGCATATTGATTTTGTATCCTGAGACTTTGCTGAAGTTGCTTATCACCTTAGGGAGATTTTGGGCTGAGATGATGGGGTTTTCTAAATATACAATCATGTCATCTGCAAACAGGGACAATTTGACTTCCTCTTTTCCTAATTGAATGCCCTTTATTTGCTTCTCCTGCCTAATTGCCCTGGCCAGAACTTCCAACACTATGTTGAATAGGAGTGGTGAGAGAGGGCATCCCTGTCTTGTGCCAGTTTTCAAAGGGACTGCTTCCAGTTTTTGCCCATTCAGTATGATATTGGCTGTGGGTTTGTCATACATAGCTCATTATTTTTAAATACGTCCCATCAATACCTAATTTATTGAGAGTTTTTAGCATGAAGGGCTGTTGAATTTTGTCGAAGGCCTTTTCTGCATCTATTGAGATAATCATGTGGTTTTTGTCTTTGGTTCTGTTTATATGCCGGATTACGTTTATTGATTTGCGTATGTTGAACCAGCCTTGCATCCCAGGGATGAAGCCCACTTGATCATGGTGGATAAGCTTTTTGATGTGCTGCTGGATTCGGGTTGCCAGTATTTTATTGAGGATTTTTGCATTGATGTTCATCACGGATATTGGTCTAAAATTCTATTTTTTTGTTGTGTCTCTGCCAGGCTTTGGTATCAGGATGATGCTGGCCTCATAAAATGAGTTAGGAAGGATTCCCTCTTTTTCTGTTGATTGGAATAGTTTCAGAAGGAATGGTACCAGCACCTCCTTGTACCTCTGGTAGAATTCGGCTGTGAATCCGTCAGGTCCTGGACTTTTTTTGGTTGGTAAGCCATTAATTATTGCCTCAATTTCAGAGCCTGTTATTGTTCTATTAAGAGATTCAACTTCTTCCTGGTTTAGTCTTGGGAGGGTGTATGTGTCAAGGAATTTATCCATTTCTTCTAGATTTTCTAGTTTATTTGAGTAGAGGTGTTTATAGTATTCTCCGATGGTAGTTTGTATTTCTGTGGGATCGGTGGTGATAATCTCCTTTATCATTTTTTATTGCATCTATTTGATTCTTTTCTCTTTTCTTCTTTATTAGTCTTGCTAGTGGTCTATCAATTTTGTTGATCTTTATTTTTTTGAAGGGTTTTTGGCTTCTCTATCTCCTTCAATTCTGCTTTGATCTTAGTTATTTCTTGCCTTATCAATATCCTAACCACCATTTCCAAATGGATATTTCATTGGCACCTTAAAATCAACATATGTAAAATTAAACTAACTTCATAATACAAATCTAGATCTCATGAAGTTTCAGAATTTAATAACTGGCACTAATATTTATTAATTTACACAAGTCAAAAAATTCTGGAGACATCTCTGACACTTTCTCATTCAGTTTGTTTTAGAAATTCCTGTTTATTTATCTCCTAAATTTTCCTCAAATCTATAAATTCTCTATTTCCACAATCCCAAACTACCTGGACTGGTACAACAGTCTTTTGATTGGTGTGCCAACATCCACTCTTGCTCCCTTGTATTCCAATCTCAATTCTGCAACCATGATGATCTTTTAAAATGTAAACCTCGTCAGGGCCAGGCATGGTGGCTCACGCCTATAATTCCAGCACTTTGGGAGGCCAAGGTGGGCAGATCACCTGAGGTCAGGAGTTCAAGACCAGCCTGGCCAACATGGCGAAACCCCGTCTGTACTAAAAATTTAAAAATTAGCCAGGCATGGTGATGGGCACCTGTAATCCGAGCTACTTCGGAGGCTGAGGCAGGAGAATCTCTTGAACCTAGGAGGCAGAGGTGGAGGTTGCAGTGAGCCGAGATTGTACCACTGCACTCCAGCCTGGGTGACAGAACGAGACTCCACCTCCAAAAAGAGAAAAAAAAAAATCAAACCTCATCAGTTCACTTTCCTGTTTAAAAAATCCTTCTTCTCCTTAACAAATCCCTTTTCTCCTTTTAATATTAAGACCCCAATCCTTAGTACAATTGACAAAATCCTACATGATCTGCTTGTGCCTGGTTTGCCAGCTTCATTTCACACTTCATTTGCTGTTTCGACTTTTTACAATTTGGATTTTTAATCTTATATATATTTATTGAGTACTTAATATGGGCCAGTCACTCAATTCATGGCTAAATATTCTTTAGTTTCTAATGAATGAACAATTCACACCTGATATGTATTTTTCCCCTCCCTTTCTTTTCTTAAAACTGTTTTATTGAGGTATGGTTGACATATAAAAAGCTGCAGATATGTAATGTATACAACTTCATGTGTTTGGAAATAAGTCAACACCTGTAAAGCCATCAAGCCAGCATCATTAGCAATGCCAAAAACTTATTCATTACCTTTAAAAGTTGTCTCCTCCCTGTTTTTTTCTCCATTTGTAGTAAAAGGACTTAATATAAGATACACCCTTTTAGGAATTTTTAAGTATAAAATACAGTACTGTGAATCATAGCCCCTGTATTATACACACAATATATCTCCAAATTTTATTTTGTATAATCAAAACTTTGTACCCTTTGACTAATACTTCCCTATTTCTCTCCCACCCAGCCCCTGCTCTTGCTTCTGTGTTTGACTATTTTAGATTTCACATACAAGTGAGATCATGCAGTATTTTTCTCTGCCTGGCTTAATTCACTTAAGATAATTTTCTCCAGGTCCATCCATATTGTAGAAAATGGCAGGACTTGCTTCTTTTTAAAGGCTGAGTAATATTCCATTGTATGTGTGTACCACAGTTTCTTTATCCATTTATTCATTAATGGAGATGAAATGATTCCATATCTTAGGTTACTGTGAATAATGCTGTCATAAATACAGGAGCACAGATATCTCTTCGAGATCCGATTTCAATTCCTTTAGATACATACTCAAAAGTCAGAATGCTGAATCAAATGGTAATTCTACTTTTAATTCTTTGAGGAACCTCCGTATCATTTTCCATAGCGACTGCACCAATTTACATTCCTCCCAACAGTGTAAAAGGGTTCCCTTTATATCCTTGTCAAGATTTGTTGTCCTGTGGCTTTTTTTTTTTAATAGCAGTCATTTTAACAGGTATGAGGTGACATTTCATTGTGGTTTTAATTTGCCTTTCCCTGATGATCAGTAATGTTGAGCACTTTTCCATACACTTGTTAGCTATCTGTACATCTTCTTTAAAGCAGTGTTGAACTTACGGGGTTCTGCATGGCCAGGCACATTGTCCAGTATCATATCAAAAGAACTTTAAAAGCAGCCCCTTATGGACAAGATACTTCATGACTTCAGACATAGCATTGATGAAATCAATCCAGAAAAAGGGTTCTTGTCCAGGCCTTCTCGTTGTACAACTGAAAAGCAGGCAACTGATGTCTATCTTTTCCCTTCAAGGCCCAGGAGTTAGTAATTTTAGAGATAAGGACATTTCTGATGATAAACTTGACTGAATTTGCACAAAACAGTAGCCTTAGCCTATCTCTTCCTGCCTTAAATCCTGGTGCTTGCTTCTCTTCCTTATTAATAAGTGTTCTTTGTGGCATTTTTTTTTATCCAGAATATGGCACTTTTATCTGCACTGAAAATTTTTTCAGGAAGATACCCTTACATTTCAACAGTTTTCTTAATAGCATCTGGGAACTTGTCTGCTGCCTCTTGATCAGCATCTGCTGCTTCTCCTATTATCTTGACAATTTGTTTTAAGCCAAACGTCTTTCTAAAATCATCACACCATCCCTTGTTGACATTAAATTCTCCAGCTTTAAATCCTTTACTGATGTAGATTTAGATCCTTTTGCTTTAACTTGTCATATAATGACTTCACTTTTTCTCAAATCAAATTAGTGTTTATAGACAGGCTTTTCTTTTCACAATCACATACCCACATAAAACTGCATTTTCAAAAACCTTCCACAAAAAGTGTCAGTGACACTTTCACAGCTTCCCTAATTTTCTTTTCTTTTTCACAATAGTCCTTATGATGGATTCATTTATCTTGAAATGGTGGTCAACTGCAGCTGCAGACCTCAATCTATGGTACATATTAAGCAACTCAAGTTTTTTTGTCATAACTTGCCTTCTTGGGAACATTTACAGCATCACGAGTGGCACTTAGTATAGATCCCATGATGTTATTCAAGGTTTATGGTATTATACTAAACAAGATGAGAAATATGCTAGAACTGTGAAATATCATTTTTACTGCAATATGCAACTTACTGAAGAGACTAACTGCTCAGGTGGAGATTATTAGTGTCACACATTTTTTAAAGTGGGTATTTCAAACATTTGACCTCAATGAAATAGCAACGGGAGGTGGCTACAAAATTGCTACAGCAGAATAGTATATATTATAATTTTATGCAGTCATGATTTAGTACTACACCTTTATGTTTGATGTGCCTTTACATTTCTCTGTAAATAGCAACATGTACAATATATTTATCAAAACATACACAAAGTCAACCTGTTCGAAACTGAACAACTCTCATCTCAGTCTGCCCTTTCTGCAGTTATATCCAGATCAATAAATGACAACTCCATTCTTCCATTATTTTAGTTCAAAAGCCATTGATATATACTTTGCTTTTCTCTTTTACACTTGCATATTAAGTGTCAATACATATAAAATATATTCAGAATTTAACTATCTCTTGCAAAGTTCCCCTCTGATCTGCACTATCGCCACCTTCCATATGGATTCCAGCAATAGTTCCCTAAGAAATTTCCCTGCTTTTTGTCACAACACTGTTTTAGCTATGCTCATCTCTGTTCTTTCTTGAAAGGGCCAACAGGTTCCTGCCTTTGGGTTTTTTACTTGCTGTTCCCTCTGTCTGGAAGACCGTCTGTCTCCAAGACAGCTGCATGGCTTGCTCCCTCATCTTTCAACTGTCTGCTCAACGTCATCTTAACAACAAAGCTTCTCCTGGCTACCCTATATAAAACAGCATGCCTCCAAACTCACATTGCTTTATTTTTCTCCATAGTACTTATCACCATCTGATGTACTAGATATATATCTGCTGGTTACTCTGCTGTCTCTACCTACTAGGAGGTAAATCACATGAGTGCAGGGACTTTTTTTCCACTTCTCATTCAAAAGTATCTGGCACATTGTAGACACTCAATAAATATTTTTGAAAGAATATATAAATGTATGAATGAATTATTAAATTCAGTTGGAATCCTTTTGTTAGAAAAAAGGTATTTGTACATGTACCCATTTGTATATGTAGGTGCATAGCAAGAAATATGTGAAGGGAGTGTCACAAGTAATGCCAAACAAACTTTAACTTTTTAACGTATATGCTTGCATACTTTCAGAACTCATTTTATAATGTGAATATATTTATTACTTATGTTGAAAGGTAAACATAGAAATAAATGTTTAATATTTTGAGTTCATTCATCGTTGAAAGTTTTTTATTAAAGCTTCCTTTTTGTGTGTCACATGCATCTACATCACTTTTATAATGCTTTGAAACAATAAAGTAAAATTTAGGTTGATAGGCATCTTACAATCTCCCACAAAATATAGATTTTTTTTCAAGTCAAGTATTTGTCATTTACCAGCCATTTTACCTTGATTTTAAACTTTAGTCTCTGTTCCATGTTATTCTCTTTAAGGACTGATGAAGACTCCTTAGGTTTCCTTAAAAATATCCTTCAAGGGTATCTGAAGAATTGCCATGTAGATTGACACACTCTCAAGTAAAGATGACCTCTCAGTTTTAGTTGCAAGTTTAGAAACTCATTTCCCACCTTAGAATTTTATAGTTTTATAATTAGCATCAGAGGTTACAGGACAATTCTATAAAATTTTCTTGATTTTCATTTCAGGTTTTAAATAAGGCCAAGTATATATGATATTCAAAATATTGCCTACGGATAAAAGGTGTATTAAACACTATATTGAACTATCAGGATTTGTGAAGTACTTACATGTTACCGGTTTCTAAAATATATTAAAACTAAGAGGATAGGCCCAGCATGGTGCTCACACCTGTAATCCCAGCATTTTGGGAGGCCGAGGTGGGCAGAATGCTTCAGCCCATCCATGAGTTCAAGACCAGCATAAGCAACATAGTGAAACCCTGTCTTTATGACAAAAACAAAACAAAACAAAACAAAACAAAAAAGCAAAAATTGACCAGGTGTGGTGTCACGCACCAGTAGTCCCAGCTACTTGGGAAGCTTGGGAGGGAGGACTGCCTGAACCCAGGTCGAGGCTACAGTGAACCATGATCATGATACTGCACTCCAGCCTGGACAACAGAGTGAGACCCTGTCTCAAAAAAAAAAAAAAACCTAAATGATAAATATAATTAAATAATTAGGTAAATCAGACCTACTCTTCAGGATTAATAAAATAATGAAGAATAAACTTAAAATAGTATAACCAGAAGAATAATAATATAGAAGGCAATTTAAAAGCAGGCAAGTTCTAAAAATTGCTCTGCTCTTAAATGATCAGAAAAAATGTGGGTGTAAAAAGTAACTTAAAAAGATAATGTTTATGTGCTGTTGTCAACAATGATTCAAATTGTAAAGGAGATACTTAACGATTCTAGAATTCAAGACATTTAAAGAAAATCACAGCACGATGATTATATGTTCATGGCAATTAACTAATTCATTCCATAAATATGGACTGAGCCCCTACTGCTACTTTCTTTCTGCCTTCACCAGACTGTAACTTCAATTTAAATCACTGAGATATAGACTCTATGTATGAAGTTTTGTTTCCCAGAAAATACAAACGGAGAGAGTTGGTAATAGTAAAATGGTAATGATTACAATACAATGATTAAATTTATTATCTCTGATTTGTTTCCTACTGGGCCACGCCAAGTGTGACGGTTAATTTCATGTGTCAACTTGACTGAGCCATGGGATGCCCGGATATCTGGTTAAACATTATTTCTGGATGGCCCGTGAAGGAGTTTTGGGAAGAAATGAGTGTTTGAATTGAATGAGGTCTGAATAAAGCAGACTGCCCTCCCTAGTATGGGTGGGCATCATCAAACCCATTGAGGGTCTGAGTAGGACAAAAAGTTAGAGAAAGGTTGAATTCTTTCCCTCACTACCTCACTGCATAAGCTGAGACATCCGTCTTCTCTTGCCTTTGGACTGTGACTTACACCAGTGGCATTCCTGATTCTCAGGCGTTTAGTCTCACACAGGAATGTACACCACTGGCTTTCCTGGGTCTCCAGCCTGTAGAGAGCATACTGTGGAACTTGTCAGCCTCCATAATTGTGTCAGCCCATTCTTAGTAAATCTAATTACATGTATGTGTATGATCACCCTGCCTAATACACCAGGTATATATAGCCCGATTTACAATATCCTTTTTTTCTACTTCTCATCTCCACTGCTAATTCCTTTATATGATCAATGTACTAGTATTTCACTTATCCTTTGGTTAAAAACGCAGGCTGGAAATGTGATCTCAAGGTATATGTATATAAAGTGTGATGTATATAAAGAAGAAAATAAACACCCAATTTTAAAAGACATGTATATTACTTTAATGGAGTCATATCTACATTAAAACATTTTTTATTAATGAATCAGTCCAGATACAACTGTCCTGGTATTTTTATGCATGACTATACAATGGCAAAACCCAGGTGCTGAGGGAAAACATTGTGTTGGTTTGGCAAACACTGTGATAGGAGCTTCCCAGTGGAGTTTCTCACTGTGTATGACAGGTTCCCTCTGCTGCAAAACTTTATGCTTGATAAAATAATTTATAATGAGACACATATGGAACACCTGAGATAATTTTTATACTAATATTACAGATGATGTTGTAACTTCATACCAATAAAAATTTCACACATTGTGTCAGATGGATGATAATGAAGAAAATTTAGGCAACTTTCTGGTAATTTATTTACCACAGGAAAAAAGAAATGAGAACGCTATAGCAAAATATTTTTCAAGGTTATTTGCTTAGCTACAGTATCAAAATCTCGATTTATATATAAAATGAGTAGATTATAATCTAGTTTTTTAAAAACCTGTTTTATATTAATTTGACTGTCAACTCTCTGACAAGAATTTGTCAACTTTGCTTTCATATTACTTTATATACAAAGTATAAACTCTTCCTCTTTACTACTTCTTTTAAGTGGACATATTCATTTTCTATTTTGGATTTAAACACATTATTGGCTTCTTTTATTTACCATGAACACAGGGAGAACTTTTTTATGCTGAATAAATCCAATCTGCATGCGCTTCAAAAACCACTTTCTATTAGTCGCAAAAAATAACGAGGTGCAAATTAAAGAAAAAAATAAGCAAAATATATTGAAGTTCCATTTCTAACTACTTATAGGCAGCAAGAACATGCCCCATGGCAAAAATAAAATCAGCGCCAGTATTCTAGAAAACACAGAGCTGACTGAAGATCACATACAGCTGTCAGAGTGAGGTAAATTGTGCACAGAATGCCAAGTACATCTAGAAATCTCTGTATTCATCTCATATTAATTGGCAAGAATGTTTCTGAGACATAGGTCCAGCTGAACAATGAGGAGTAATGTGATATTGTAACAAAAGCTTATAAACAGCTGAATCTACAAGGCTGGCAGTAAAGTTTACTCATCTACTGTAGGATTGCAAAGAACAATACCTACACTAGCCACACCAGAAACTTAATTCAAGCCGAGATAGATCCTGATAGTTCCTCACTGAATTACTGAACAAACTAATACACTATTAATATTAATATAGTTAAGAAAAAATATATATATATACATTTGTTATAAATTTTTTATTGCTAGTTTTACTTCCTAAAACCCAAACATATAAAACTGGGAGAAACAACATTTATGGCCATTATTATACTGGTATAAATGTAAAAGTATAATTTTCAAAAATTTCTTATTATCATCCAAATGCAGAATCATAGCAGGAAAGTAGAGTATTTATTATTTATTATTTATTTATGCAAACCCAATATAAGTAAGAAAAAAAAGATACTAAAAGTAAATGTCTTGATAAATACAAATAAGGTTAAATTGAAATAATACGCATGTTTCAGAAAGCTACATTCAAGTTATAGAATGGTATCATCAGAACCAGAAGAGACAGATCATCTAATTTAACCCCTCTCTTGCTTCACTAATTTACAGATGATCCACAAAAGCTAACCGATCCAGGTCACAATACTGCAGAGACAGAGGAGAACGCTAGTCGGTCAAAGCAACTTTTCTTCTATGCAGTGTTTCTGCACTCCCTTGGACATCTAGAAATCACTCTCTCTATGCTTGGAATGTAACTTATACATAACTCTAATACAGTACCTATCAAACTGTATTACAGTTGTCTTATCTGTAACAAAACCTATTTATTATATTATATATTACTTTAAAATGTTTCATTTAGATATCTTCAGTATCTAGCAAAGTGGGCAGTGGGTGCATACTTAGTTTGCTGAGTGTCTCCTAAATCTCAGCATATTCTATGTTGAATAAATATTTATTGATACTTATGGCCCAATGTTGTTGTTACTAAATTGGCTCTTATGTTCTCATCATTTCAAAGTCTTCATTTTAGTTTCATGGTTTAAATTAGGAGTTGCTAAAAAATGTTCATGCCTCAATCTCCAGATTCTTGACAAAATACTAATGATTTATAGGAAGGCCAAAAGAGAGTCACCGAAAAGAATTAATTTAAAATATAATCAATTACATACAACTGTTTTTTAAATCTTTCTTTTCTTCAAGGATTTATTTTGAAGCATAATCAATCACATAATTTGTTTTAAAACTTTATTTTTTAAAATTTTATGTTAAAATTATTAGAAAAAAATTATAGTAATAAACATGCAATGCTGGGGCACAACAGTAAGTAAAGTAAAATATTTCCTCTTCAACTTAGGAGAAATTTATGAATCTGGAAAATCCCTGTGAGATTCCACTGAGAAACTGGAGCCTTTATGTGAAAAGTTCAATGTCTGAAATAGGAACAAACTTAAAAGGACATAAATATTCTTTTATACTTGTCAAAAGAAACTTATTCTTTTAAAAAATATATATTTAGCATCTGATATATGCCAAATACTATTTGGTAAACATAGGATAACACAGTTAAGGTGATTTGCAGCTTAAATGAGCAAATTCAGTTAGTAAGAACAAACAAATTTATATAGCGATGTTTTACAAACTGTAGGTGAAAGCCAGTGGAATGGAAAAGCTGGCTCTTACTGGGTCCAGAGGGAGCTGACTGTGTGCATCTCTTGCCAACCCAGCATTTACTGACATCAGGTTGGTAGCTTGAAACTGACCACATTAGGTATACTTGCACAATGGAATGAGGAAATACTACACATTAGGGTTTTTATTCAGAGGCAGAGCCAACCATTAAACATTTACCATCACACTGCTTAGTCAAAACCCATTAAAGCCTTATGAAATCAATTGAATAGATTGTGATGAATATTTTATAAAATTTGAAAGAAAGGAACTGAATAAGATTGTCAACAGGAATGCATGTGTTATAAGATTAAGTACCTATTAAGGAAAAAATACTAACCAAAAAGAAAAAGAGTTCAGTTATTTTTTTTGTAAAATGTAAGTACTAGTTTTATTTATTTCTCTATATACCAGGTAGTGTTGTAAAATGTGTTTCTTAATGTGAGTCTGACTCAAAAATATGTGAAACTACTACTATAACCAAGAGAACAAACATAATGTTCTTCCATAAACATGTTTAGTAACTTTTGTGGTCATTATATGCTTTGTGGTTAAAGATCGCACGTTTGGAAGAGGAAATAAACCTTCATAGCTAATAGGAAGCTTAATTATTAAATTGTAAAGTTAAATAATTCTTTATTAAAAATTAGTTAATTTGGAAGCATCTTGTTCCTTCTCAAGGAATACCGAAGCGTGGAATTGTAATTTATAATCACAAAAGAATCTGACTTTGTGTAGATTTAAAGTTAAGTAAGACCTTTGTCTCACCAGAGTAGTATGCTTTGATCATTTTGCTCCAGTGGTTGATGGAATATAAACTTTCTCTAACCTTCTTCTGTTTCTTATCTTTGCTAAGAAGAGCAAAGCCAAACAAGTACCTTGAATTCTCAAATTACTTATGTCAATATAATTATTTCTTCTGGAGATGTCTCATCAAATACCTTTGTTTCTTCTTTAGTTTTGACCAGTGCTGAATCAGTGCTTTTTTTTTCTTACCATTTATAATTTTATTTCATATGTTATTCCTTTGTTGACTGCTTGCTATATACCCCACTTTATGGTAAATGGTAGGAATGAAACAAAAACATTAAAGAAACATGTTCCAACTTTGCCCCAAAACTTGATTCTCCCTTAGTGTTTCCTATCATATACATTGTTCTGTCACCCACCCAGCTGCTCAAAACAGAAACCTGATAATAATCCTTGATAATCCCTTTTCCTTTATCTCCTTTAAACAATCTTAAATGCTTCTTGAATTTTTCAAATGTACTCTCTTCCTACTACTGCTACCCTTATTTTTGTTCCCACCTTTGTGGTTTCTAATTATGAAATTATTAAAGCTCAAGTTTGCCATGGTACACAAATACCCTTAGTAGCTTCAGTGTTTCCATTATCTTTGAGGACTTCAGCATTCTTGTATATATTGACTAGATATATGTTTCCAGCTTTTCAATGCTTCTAGGAAAAATTAATTGTATTCAGCATTTTTAGTTCAATATAATAGGAGGGTCAGCCAAGATATCTAGCCACATGTATCTTATGATTTAGTGGGGATTTTCTAAGATTTGAGCTCATATTTAATAGATTTTAATCTGTTGAAATTTCAAGAGCCTGAATTTAAGAAGTAGTTCCCTTAAAGGATTTGAATTTGCTTATGCATGAGACAGACTGAAGATGGCTTTGTCTCATTCAAGGGTATGGCTTAGTATGGACATTTCAGGATCAGCTTCCGTATTAGTTGGGGACCATTATTAGTTTTTAGATCTCAATGTGACCAGCATTTATCTCAGAACAACACTATCTATCACTTTATGGCTCATAGTTTCCTCCTTTGGTCTCAACTCCTCTTCCTCCCTCTTCCCATTCTCTTCTTTAAAAGTTTTTGTTTATAATTCTTCTTGATCCATAGAGATTTCCCTTATTTTGTGTGGACTCAGCAATGCCTAAAAAAATACGTGTTCTAATTTAGCCAGGATCTAGCTGAACTGTAGCAGGAGGAACACTCAGAAAAATCTCATCTCTCACACTGCTGGAAACGGAAGTCAAATTCATGCTGTTTTGAAAAGAGAAATGATGCTTTATTCCTCAATATCCTCCAAACTTCCAGCATTAAAAGCCCATAGCAGTAAATAGTCTTGTTTAAGAAAATACATATTGTATGAGATAGAAAATATTGTCAGATCTTTACTGAAAAGACAGCAATTGTTTGCATTGTTTCAATGATAGGATTAATTCATTGCCATTAATGGACTAAGACATTAGTCATACATTTCTCTATGATATAATACATGATTTAGTGCTGATATTAACTGGTTAATGTTATGTTAGCAGTTTTAGTACCATATATAGAATATTTGATATGACGGAATATCATATATAGAATATTTGTTTAAGTAAGCTTAAACAGTATGTTATATGTTCAAACGATGTGCTCAACACGTTTTTCTTCAACCTCTAGACACCTTTTCAGATGAAGTACCTCTAAATTTAAAGCAAAGGAACAATTTTTAAACCTCAACAACAGTAAAGATAATGATCTACATATGTATATATGCAGCCTTCTCCCTCACAATTTCCAGAGATGATACAACTTAAGAAACAATCTACACTAGGATAGGTATCATGCACCCTTGACAAATTTCTGTTTGACACAGAAATGGCAGCACCAGATTGAAAGACACCATCAAAAGATGATTCGTGACCCTCTACTGTTTTTTATTTTTTTTAAGTAAATGGAGGAATCTTTGGGAGAATCACCTCTTTATCCCATATCATATTAAGGCTGGGGGTAAACATGAAGTTAAGCCTGCAGGCTTTCGAGGGTTACACCACTGATATTTGACTGTGCAAATGTGGAGTGCACTAACAATACTAGAAGATGCCCTGGGTCTACTAGGCTGGGAGGAGGCAGGGAAGGAGCAGATCAGTCACAAATTTGCACCCTGGCAAGAGTTGCTCCCAGTAGCAACTGATGATTCCTTAACAAAATCATGGTTCAGTTAGCAAAGAAGAAAAAATGTGTGGATCTGAATTGGTAACTAGTAGTGCTTCCTCTATTTATACCTTTTATCAGGAAAACAACCAAGTTATACTGGTATTTACCCAAAAAAGTTATCTCCAAAACTTCTAGAAGAAGAAATAATGTAAACACTTCAAATTAATTATTACAATAATCAATATTCAAAATACTGAAACATTAATCAAGCTTGGCCAAACAGACACTCTATAAAGGACTGCAATAAAAATGTTTCTCGTATTTCTTGTTCTCCTAGGGACAACTGGCTTATAATGTAAAAATATTTAAAAGTAGTTTTAAAACATATGGTATAAATTCAGTATTCACAATGGCTCATAGAGCTTTGCGGTATTTTTGAAAACTGACATTCATGACAGACTACCTGCATGGTCTACCACACTGTATTGGGTAAACACATTCATGGAAAACATATATTGTTTACATAGTAAATATCATCATAAAAAGTAGCAATGTACATACCAGAATTTTCTACTGTACTATGCTAGACTATTAATAACTCAAATTTACATCCCAAAGGGCAACACTGCCCCAATTCAAACTTAAAAACAGCTGTGCAAATAAAGTGAGGGTGAAGGTGTGTAAGATATTAAGAGAAGGACACATGACATATTTGACCATTCAGAGATATAACTCCATGGAACCTAGTGCTTGATATATTACAGGAAATATGCTAACTTTGTGCACATAAACCCCTTTCTCTGTAAGTCAGATATTTTAGCATAATGATCAAACTATATAGCAGTAGATTTGTATTTTAGTATGGAATACTAGGCCTCCATAGCATATACTGTACAAACAAAATAAGGCTATGTCCATATTCCATCTATCAAAATAGTTTCTGCTAAATAGCCCAGAACCAACTCTGTTTGCCACTGTCTGCCTTCACACACACACACACACACACACACACACGGAGTCACATCTGTTCATTGATAAAGGTAAGCTATCAAAAATCTAGGGATACCCATAATAATTATCCCAAACATACTTTACTTGTTCTAGATTTTTCTCCTTGAATTTGTTTAGCTTCTAACCACTTAACTTCATTCCCTATTTATGACCCAGTTTCCTGCCCTCTTGCATCTGTGTTTTTTTCCCCAGGTTTTTGCTCTGACCTCTATACTTCAAGGACTTTGTTTTGGTCTAGTTACTCCAGCTCTCTGCATTTTGGACTTTGATGTACACTCCTAGGCCCTTTTGAGTTTAACCTGTCATATGAATCCGCAAACTGGCACTTGACTAGGACCCATCTAAGTCTCTGCATAGAAGAACAATAACTATAAATAATCTTGAACATATATCTATAAGTCATCCTGTAGAATTCTTCATGTCTTCTTATATAATCATAATACATACCTTGTTTTCAACCATGCTGTTCATCAGAATTACCTATAGAACTTCTTAATCATACTTATATTCAAGTCCTATGCCTAGAGATTATTATTCAGAAGGTAAGAGGCAGGTCCAGGCATCTATACACTAAAAGTGTCAAATTCGACTCAGCTAGGCAGCTAGAATTGAGAAATACTGTTATAAAAATTTCATGGGATGGTTCACATCTTCTCTGTTTTACTACAGCAAAGATACAGTGAGAAAAATGGAGATGGAGTGTTGGAAAGAGAAAAGGGAGTATGTTACCTTTTCCATCTGGTTTTTGAGATGAGAAAATGTGGCAGTCCAGGGCTAGGCAAAACTGTAATATAAACCAAGTTTACTTTCATTATTCCTATCACTTATTTTTCCACATTTTTCTCTTATCTCTTGGCTTTCCAACTGTTTTCTTGACCTCCGAAGTATTTGAGGGTACTCACGTTGCATACGTCCCCGCCCATTTCATCATATCACTCAGTCCTGTTTCCTCCTGCTTATTCTTTGCTTTCCTGACAAGCAAAACTCCCAATCGTCTATTCATTTCAAGTATGTATCAGGAAATTAAGTAACATTAAGATATTACTATTAGCTTTCCCCACTGAAGCCTAGCATTGTTTGCCTGATCATATCAATGATTCTTGATGGGTAAGATATTTTTGACAGGAAGGCCTTTCCAGTTTACTATTCCTATAGGGAGGGAAATTCAGAGTTTATAGCTGCTGGTCACAGTTCTCACAAACCTTTCCAACACTTTTTCTTATTTAAATCCTGTGGCCAAAATGTCCTGCAAACCTACAGTGAACAACAGCAACTTCAGAAGAGAAGACAAAACTGCCTTTACCCAGGCAGGATACAAGACTAATGCTTGAGAATCTGTTAACTGAGAGGCTTCCATTTCTAGTGTGCAAAAGTTTGGAGCTATTCTCTTCAACTAATTTCCTTAGAAGACTCAAAAATGATTTTATGAATGACCAAGTACTAAAGAAAGAAACTAAGAGAACCAAGAAGAGATTTTTGGAAAACAGATTATGGAGTAATCTTAAATGTGAAAGGAGGTCAATAAAAATCATGCCTTTTTACTGACTGAAATGGACATTAGGATTATCATTATAATTGCTTCTATGAAAGACATGAGCAAGAATAAGACAGAAGAAAAGACAATTACAATGAGAAAAAGTGACTATGAAGTCAAAGAGAAAAAAAAAAACTTGATTTTAAACATCTATCACTGCATGCCTTTGTTTATTCTGCCTGCAATACACTTCTTACTTCCTTGTCTGATTAACCTCTACTGAATCTTTCAAGACACAGTGGATATCACCACACGGGAATATACCCTCAACCCCTCACAGACTGAGCTACATGCTACTCTG
This sequence comes from Homo sapiens, assembly GCF_000001405.40. Classification (NCBI taxonomy): domain Eukaryota; kingdom Metazoa; phylum Chordata; class Mammalia; order Primates; family Hominidae; genus Homo; species Homo sapiens. Next base: position 82,406,765 of record NC_000012.12, on the reverse strand, counting down.
CTGTAAGATAACAGATGTAATACCCTGTCTTATAGCAATTACTATATTATTTTGAAACTAATGTTTGATGATAAAGAAAACAAAGATGAACACTAGTGCCATATTTTATGTTCTCTAAACTCTACATTGAACTGCTCAACAGTTCACTAAATTTTGGTTTATTAAAAGAAGAGTACCACTGCCTTAAGCAAGTATTAACTATTTAGTACTGAATAAATAAAATACAATATATTAAACACCTTGCAAAATGAAAAAGACTAAAGCAACGTTCTCTGTGCTGATACAGAAAGACTATAAAAAATATATTATGTGGAAAAAAGGTGATGAACAGTTTATACATTTGTTTGCCTAAAACATATAAGAATATAGAATGTGTATATGTACTTTTTTTCTAGAAAGATACATAAAAAAACAATATAGGTACGGGGACTTACTTTGTATTTTCTTTTCCTTTGTTATTTGAATTTTCTATTCTAAATAGTTTTTACAAAAAAACAATGTTTTTAAAAAATTACTAATAAGGATTATCTGGTTCCTAGGATTGAGGGCTTTTTAAAGAAATTATTTAAGGGTGAACACGATATCTCATTTTTGTATCTCCACCACTAAGCACAGAGTGGAACACAGTTGGCACTGATGATGTTGAACTGAACTCTGCTTGTCATCTATTTTTCCTATCTCTTTCCATAACTATTGACTTTTTATGAGCCTCTCCCCCATTTCCCTTTATTTTACATAAAGTACCAACTACAGTGCCTTGAAAATAGTAGCTGCTCAATAAATGTTTGTTCAGTGCAATAACATACTCTCTTATGTGTGTAAAATGCAGCTGCCAAGGCAGGAAAACAGTGATTTTTTTTCTATTCCTAGTTACTTGTTTTTGACACACATTATACAAACATTCATCTATTCAATCACGTTTGAGTGAATGTGCTTAGTACTGAAGATACAAAAGTGAATGGAATCTGGTGCCTCTCAAGACTAATCAATCTACCAATTTTTCATTTGCAGGAAAGAAATGGCAATGACAATATGTGGATGCACAATCTTGCTTCTTTCTTCCTTTAGGTTTTTCAAAGCCCTCTCTATCTAACATGCCCTATTCAAATTCATTTTAGTTAGAATACATGACCAGTGAATATTTGCTAACAGTTTAAAGCAATAATCTATTAGAAAACGTACTGGAAAGCTGATTTAAAATGGATTAGCAAGGAGTAACTAAATTTCTTTTTTCAATCCTGGCAAGTAACTTCTGCTACTTTTTTTAAGTATGAGATTGAAGAATCCAACATCAGATAAAAAAGGCAGTAATGACACCTTCTGGTTACCATAAAATAATGATAGTCACCTAAATCTGAATCTATTTACATATTTTACAAAAAAACAGGCAAGAGATAAAATTGCTCACAATCCACAGCAACGCAACAAATTTTAATTTAAATATGTTAGGAAAGACACTATCCTAAACCAGCAGAATGAGCTCTGGGGATCACTCTGGAGAAAGAGTAAGGTGCAACTGTGCAGAAAAGAGTGTGAGAGAGAGTAGACTACATTGCCAAAAAGGATAGGGTTCATCTTTGGTGGGAAAATACTGAGACTACCTCTGAGACTTCACAGTACAGAGTGATGGCTGCTAGGGTCTGACCAGAGATGGCAGTCTTAAGAAAGCACTGCGTGAAGAGGAGAGGGAGGCCCCTTGGAATGGGAAGGCATCCTTGGGGGCAATGATGATAAAGTGAAAGAAGGAAGCAGGTAACTGAAATTAAAGACCTTAAAATGTAGTGTAAGGATAGTGACTCTAATTTTTTTTTTTTTTCTTTTGAGATGGAGTTTTGCTCTTGTTGCCCATGCTGGAGTGCAATGGCGCCATCTTGGCTCACTGCAACCTGTGCCTCCTGGGTTCAAGAGATTCTCCTGCCTCAGCCCCCAGGGTAGCTGCGATTACAGGCGTCCACCACCATGGCCAGCTAATTTTTTGTATCTTTAGTAGAAACGGAGTTTCACCATGTTGGCCAGGCTGGTCTTGAACTCCTGACCTCAGGTGATCTGCCTGCCTCGGCCTCCCAAATTGCTGGCATTAGTGTCTCTAAATTTAATGACACACAAAGTGTCTACACCTGTCCCCAAATTGAGCCATTTATTAATTGAATTTCATTGTACCTACAGAACAGGAAACTCTTGAACTAACAACCAAATAGTAAACCCCAAAAGGAAGCACTTACCTACATAAATCTTACCCTACTGCCAATTAAGGAAAATGTTATACACAGAACATTTAAAAAGCTGTAGAACTGTGATTGCATTAAAGTATTTTTTCATTTATTTCAGAAAAGATACATAAAAATACTATAATATAATGTAAATATGTGGGTATATAATTTAGTAGAAATACTTTTTTTTTCTAAGTTCATTTTTTACCCTAATTTTTGGTCTTGAAAATTTCTGTACTTAGAAAAAAATGAGTTGGTAATAATAGCATGACAATCGTATACTCTCCATCTAAATTAAACTAGTGCTAAATTTTTGCTAATTTGCTTTCTTTCATTCTATCTCTATACAGTCATAATTTCACTATTTCATACTTTTCCTAAAATAAAAATGTCAAAACACTGACATAAAATAATTATAATTTAATTAACTATATTTCGTAAAAATGTGTGCCAATTCTAAAAATGGTTTCTGTTTCACCTTGTCACATTTCAATAAAATTAAACAATTACAATGTTTACCTCCTGGGCATGACTAAATAAGAAATAATTAAAATATATTAATCTGGGTTTTAAAACTAAGAAAAGATCAACCAATACCATCTTAATGCACACAAAAGTTGGTAACCTAAAAATTCCCGATCTAAAACTCTTAGCAAGGACACAGATAAAGATATCATTAAACTAACATAAAAACGAACTACTATTATTAGTATACTAAATAACCATCTAATCTGAACCAGCAGTTTTGAAATCATATTTTACAATATCTTATGGAAAGATTTAACATGTAAAATGGAGCAAACAGCTATTTCAGGAGCTGCTCTGAATGAATATGTGGGGTGCTTCAAATCTTGCAAACCTACTCCATACTCTGCTCATCAGCACCTTCTAAGTACAGGTAGCATAGTTTGAATACTATTATTTTAATGCAATCACACAGTTTTAAAGTTTTCTAAAATTTTGGTATGTTGACTCTTCAAAATACAGTAAAGAACTTTTTCTTTTTTAAATATCAGTATTCCTTCAGATATGAAAAAAGGCTTTGGAAACAAAAGCAAACTTTGAAATTCAATATTCATAACAAAATAACTCAGTTTTACTAACTCAGTAAATGTATACTTCACAAGTATTTTAAAACAGAAGTTCTCTAAAATATGTATCACATAAAATTTTCAAATATTTGCAAAGGCTTCAGCACTCATTAAGCCCATTTTATGACCAAAGAAACTATAACAAATATACAGGTGGTGATGCATTAAATTTCAATAACACCGTAACACTAAAAGTGCAAGTAAGTCAGATGTTATCTTAAATGCTGATCCAAATCATGGTAATGACGAAAAAACGGGGAGAAATAGAAAATAGAAATAGCATATTTCATTATGCTCAAATGAATAAAAATTATGACACATGGGGAACTTGTACCTTTATGCTGGTTTTCAAATTCTTCAGATAAGAGGTGGTAGCAACAACCCACACTGCAAACTCCCTTGATTTCAGAGTTGGAGGTAAATATTCGCAAAGTATTTGGAGCCAGATCACCACAAGTGTGGAGACCCACCATCAAACAATCCTTTAAAATACAAGAAGAAAAATAAAATTTGGTAATTAAAAAGAGGGTTGTTTAAAATTTTTATTTATTTTTACATACAGGATCTTGCAATGTTGCCCAGGCTGCACTGTGGTGGCTATTCACAGGCACGAATATCACGTGCTACTGACTCAAATTACTGGCCTCAAATGATCCTCCTGCTTCAGCCTCCCAAGTAGCTGGGACTACAAGCACATTGTACCGCCCACAGCATGAGTTGAAGATTTTAAATCTTTCAATTTAAACATCCATTAAATCTTTAATGATTTAATGATTTAAAGATTAAATTAAATCTTTCAACTTTAACGTCCATTAAAATATGTAAAGCTGTTAATAATTATCAAATTCTACCTAGAAAGTATTCTATGTTTTTATTTTCATAGTAATAATTATTTCTTTATAGGTAAAATAACTGTGATCTCTTTTTACAACTTTTGAATTTTTTTCAGTGATTTCACTTATTTACCTGTTTATATTTTCTCCCATTTTACAACTAATATTTGCTTAACAACTAGACAAAGCAAAAATTGGACTAATCAAATGTAACATGTATTTCTAGACCAAACCTGTGCTTTGTTATAAATTTATATCACACTTTGACCATAATATTAATTTTTGAAATTAATTTCACGTCTCAGATTGCCCATCAAAACCTTATAAAATATTGTTATAAAAAATAAATAACTGTTGTAAACTTGGTATTTCTACTTTAACAACAAAAAGCTTAGTTTATACACCGCATCAACTATGACAATATAAAATTTAATTAAAAAATTTTTTCCAAATTTTATAGTATACATCGTATTTAAAATTCTCCTATGAAATGTTTATTCTAATTATCCAAAGCCTAATTTAAATGTACACACACACATACACAATGAGTACAAATGTATACATGCACAGAATCTTGTTCAACAATCATTTTGAAGTTGAATTTACTAATAATACTCTTCTGTCTTTGACATGACTCATAAAAATTTAGTTAAAGTAGGAGTAAAAAGAAACTTGTAAGAAAAAAAATTTATACAGAAAACCTGTACCCTATTAGAATCACATACTTTTACCATTTGGAACTAAAAAATTTCTAATAGTAGCCTCTCAATTTTCCAGATGACACTCAAACCATGATAATGTAAAGATCATGTTTTAGTGTAAATCTGTGAATATAGGTATATTAATTTCTAGTTTTTTAAAATTAAATCATCATGTCTCTCAAAGTGTTCTCTAAAGTATTACTCATCAACTAATTTTAGTTGGTACTTTATAATACCAACTAAAATTAATCTTAAAGCTGTAAATATTAAAGATACATGTGTTTACTTAAGAGATGTTAAAGAAATAGTTATTAATGAACTAATTGCATAACCTGTAGTACAGTCATTAAGAGCACAGTCTCGGGAAAAAGCCTGTCTAAATTCAAGTTCTGTCACAGTGTGATTTGGAAAGCAAATTGAGGAAACTGATTTCCTCAACTGTAAGATGGAGATAATAACAGTACTTCATCTCAATGGGTTCTTTCAAAACTTAAGTAAACTAATCCCTGTAAATGACTTAGTACACTACCATATAATAAAATTCAGAAAACATTGTCCATTTTTTTATCATTGTAATTTACTTTAAATTACAAATTCAAAATAACGTTAAGTATTAACTTGTTTCTCAAACACATTTTTATAACTATTGTCAGCATATAATTGTTTCACTAACATTTTTAAAAATTATTTTACTAAAATGTTATTTTAGCCTATGTCCTAGACATAAAAGACAGCTGTAATCAAACTTACTAAAAAAAAAATTACGCCTGTAAGTGGTTTTGACCTGATAGAACACTCAGTTGCTTCAAGCACTATCCTTTTCAAAGCACAGTTTATAGAGGTTTATACAGCTACTCTGCTTTTCTTGATGATTAGTTTAGATAGGTTTTATTTAGAGATTATGATGTCATCAGTAAAAAATAATTCAGACAAGATTTATTGCTACTTAGGGACAGAGTAATAAAGCTACGAATTTCTCTCTTTAAGCTTAATTTAGCTCTCCCTAAAGAAAATAAAAGAACATTTAACCTCATTCTTTATTGTATTTATCATATAAGATTAGTTAATATTAGCAAGTAGCAGCTAGGAGACAAAAATATGTAGTCACCATATTATCCTACTAGTAAAATATTTAAGTATTGCGAGAGGGTAGGGGGAATAGGGGGTGTTAGTTAATTCTGTTATTAAATTGTGATTTGCTATAGGATCCAAGAAACATTCTTCCAGTATATCTTATTTTAGATGGTTCTTAAAAGAATTTGTATACAGTTTTGATCATATATTTTCAGCAAGATTTTGAGAAAATTAGAAGGTGACAAAATGTACTAGAAATTTACATTTAAGTTAAACTAAAGTCATTGAGATTGTTTAACCCTAAAAGAAAGTCTAAAATAATTACTAATTTCATGTATAAGAAAAAGAATTAATGAAGGTACACTAGATTCCCTTAAATCCAAAAATATCTGGGAAAAAGAAAAATTTCCCATTTAAAAAATGGTAAAACAATGGTCAGCTATCAAACAAGGATTTAAATTTATAAAGAACTCTACTATCTCTTTTATTTATACATTTCTTTTTTTCTTTTTTTTTTTGTTGGGGGGGACACCGTCTCGCTCTGTCACCCAGGCTAGAGTGCAGTGGTGCGATCTTGGCTCACTGCAAGCTCCACCTCCAGGGTTCATGCCATTCTCCTGCCTCAGCCTCCCGAGTAGCTGGGACTATAGGCACCTGCCACCACACCCGGCTAATATATATTTTTTTTTGTATTTTTAGTAGAGATGGGGTTTCGCTATGTTAGCCAGGATGGTCTCAATCTCCTGACCTCGTGATCCACCTGCCTTGGCCTCCCAAAGTGCTGGGACTACAGACGTGAGCCACGGCACTCAGCCTATTTATACATTTCTTTGGGGAAGAATTTCTTTAAAAAGAAAAAAAAATTACAAGGGTAATACAACTCCAAAAGCTACCTTTTTTTTTTTTTTGAGACAATGAGTTAGGCCAAACGATCTCTAGAATCTCCTCTATAATACTGTTTCAACATGCAACATTGCCTTTAAGATCTGCTGTCTTTCAATTACATAAACTGACATACTTGTAATTTAGAAAAAGTTCAAGCTTTGAAGAACACTTAGAAGCTACTCTTGCTCAAGGAAATTCCATATTGGCAAGTGTAACATTGAACATTACTTTGTTCTAGATATCCCTTTACTTCAAATTTAAATTAAAATTTAACTACTTGTTTAGAATTTTAACAATTCCTAAACTGCAGAATGAGAACTTAGTTTACTTACTAGCTTTTGTGCCAGGACTTCAATTTGATTTAAGAGGCTTGAAATGAGTAGAGGATACTCTATTCTGAACAGGCTCATGTCAGGTTTTGATGGGTGTGGGAATAATGAAAGCCTACTTATGATTTCATTTTCTTGGTCTGTTAGATTAATGTGATCAAGTAAGATATGTATGTTAAGTAAGCTACTATTAAAATTGAATACAATGTTTTTGTAAATCAAATTAAATAATTCAAAGGTAAAGTCACCTCCAAATCTTTAATAATGTCATGGAGTTCTGAATCAGCAGTGATAAAAGAGGTTAAAGGTGAATATATATTTGATTCACTTGACTTTGATGTCATTTTTCTTCTCTCTTTATTGGCTTCAGATGTTTCTCTGTTGGGTATTTGCTGTGAAGAAGTAGGCTCTACAGCATTAATAGGCAAAAGGTTTATAAGAGAAAAGGAATTTTCAAAACACAAATTTTCTTCTTGATGTGGCTGAGAATGAAGGGTTTCCATTTGGTTTCTGATATTAGAAATTACAGAGCCAGAAAAATCAGGCAAAATAGCTGAGGTAGGCATCTTTTCTTGATTTGTAGGACTGTTGTTAAACACTTCCTCAGTATCAGCTTTATTTTTAACTTTATTTTGCACTTTCCTTTCTTTTGCCATTTTTAATGCTAGTCCATTGACATCTAATCTTGACTGAGCATGACAGAGTTTCCAATGTTTCTTCAATTTTCTGTTTCTCTCCTCAGCTCCATGAGTATTGGTATTTGAAGAATCAATTCCATAAACTTTTAAGCCATACTTCAAGGACAAAAAAGAGCTTAGGTAGCCTTTACCGGAACCCAAGTCAATCACCTAAGATTAGAAAAAAAGAATAAATTAAAGAATTTTAGGCAAATGGTAATAGAAAGCATTCTAGATTTTTTGAAGTAAACAAATGAGTTATATAACTTAAATATTATTTTAATTTTTTTTTATTCCTATGAAAAACCAACCACTCATCATTTTTATTCAACATTTTACTGGAGGTTCTAGCTAGTTTAATAAGTCAATGAAAAGAAGCAAAAGAAATAAATAATGTAAGGGAAAAAGGAAAACTGTCTTTTTTGTACATAGATGACATAGTCATGTCTGCAGAATATCTTAAAGAATATACAAAAAGCTAACAGAAATAGTAAGTGAATTTAGCAATGTGTCAGGGCACAAAGTCAATAGAATTAACAACGAATCATCAGAACATATATAATATAGTAGCAAAAAACAATTAGGAGTCAAGCTTGGTGGCTCAAACCTATAGTCCCAGCACTCAGGGAGGCTGAGGGAGGACTGCTTGAGGCCAAGAGTTTGAGACTGCCCTGGCCAATATAGCAAGATCCTGTCTCTATAAAAAAAAAAAGAAAAATAAAAATTAGGAAGTAAAATTTTAAAACAATTAAAATAGAATAAAAATAGAATATATAGGAATAAATTTAATGAAGGATGTACAAAACCTATACATTGAAAACTATAAAACACTGCATAAAAAACTAAAAAATTGATATAAAGAGATATACTATGTTCATGAAATGGTGGACTCAATACTAAGATGGCAATTCTTTCTTCACATTTCAACACAATCCTAATTAAAATCCTAGCTAAGCTTTGTAAAGAAATTGATAAGTAGATATTATGATTTAAAAAATAAGGCAAAAATGCCTAAAATAATGAAAACACTTTTGAAAAAGAATAAGGTTGAAGAATTTTACTGACTCAAAAATATAAAACTAAAACAGTGTAGTATAGCTACAGCTAGTATAAAAACAGACACATAAATCAATGGAAAAAATGGAAAGAAACAGCTGATATAAAAATAAACATATAAATCAATGGGAAAAAACAGTACAGAAATAGATCCACACTTATATAATCAACTGATTTTGGACAAAGTGCCCAAGATAATTTAATGAAGAAGATAGGTTTTTCAACAAATGGTGCTGGTATAACTGGATGTTGATATAAAAAAAAGAAAAAAAATTTTTGTCTGCTACAAATCAAACACAAAAACTAATTAAAAGTATATCAGAGATGTAAACATAATAGAAAAAAATGTTATCTGATGGAAGAAAACAGGAGAAAAATTGTGACATTTGGATAGGCAAACATTTCTTATGTAGGACATAAAGATCAGGAATAACAAAAGAATTTTAAAAATGGACTTTACTAAAATTAAAACTTCTATTCAAAAAGACAAAAATGAAAAGAAATACTTGCAAAACATTTATCTGAGAAAGGACTTATATCTAGAATAAAGAACTCTTACAACTCAGTAAGAAGACAAGTAACCCAGTTAGAAAACAGGCAAAATATTCAAACGTACTCTTCCCAAAATAAGATATACACACTGCCAATGTGAAAAGATGCCTAATATCACTAGAGAAATACAAACAACCACCACAGTGAGATGTACGCAGATGTAAAATGGTATAACCACTTTGGAAAACACTGAGTTTACCATAAAGTTAAATATACTTTACATATGACCCATCCATCTCACTCCAATTTATCTAAGAGAAATGAAAACATGTCCACACAAAGGCTTATATGTGAATATTCAGAGAAGTCTTACTCTGAATAGTAGGCAAAAAATAGAAACAACTCAAATGTCCATCAACTGGTAAATAAAAAAACAAATAGCATATCTGGACTACAGCATATGGCATACTACTCAGCAATAAAATGGAACAAGGCATTAATACACAAAAAGATATCAATTGCTCTCAAATACTATGTGCTAAGTGGAAGAACTGAAATGAAAAGTCTACATACTATGATTCCATTTGTACAATGTTCTAGAAAAGTCAAAACTAAAAGCAGATCAGTGATTCTCTGAGAATGAAAGAGAAAATATCCTACAAAATCACACAAGAAAAGTTTTTAGGAGGATAGGTATATTCTTAATTATGCTAGTGGTTACATTAACTGTTATAATTACCAAAATTTATCAAAGCTAGAGTTGGTGAATATTTAAATTACACATTCAATGAAACAAAAAATAAGAATAAAAAGTTATAAACATTATAATTGCCATGTCATTTCATAAAATAAATGGAGAACTATGGAAATACTATCACAACAAATCATTACCTACTCTTATACATATCTTTAATTTCTAAAGTCAATGAAATCTTGACATAAGTATGAGCCACTCAAGGAAACATTCCTATACTTACAGTAATGCATAACCGTAATTAAATCCTCAAAACGTTTCAAGGTCTTACAATGAGACCAGTTCATAGGAAAAACTCCAGTAAATAATGTCTCATAAATACAAAATAAACTTAGTAATTATTCCCTATACTTCCATTTTATGTTATTATTCTAGGATAGGTATTGCAGGGAAACACAGAAGAATTATATACAGTCATGCATCACTTAATGATGGGAATATGTTCTGAGAAATGTATTAAGAAATTTTGTTGTGCAAACATCTTTGAGTGTGCTTATGGAAACCTAGATGGTATAGCCTACTAGACAACTATGCTAAAAACCTGTACAGCATATTACTGTACTGAATACATAACAAAATAAGCACTTGTGTATCTAAGCATATAAAAGGTACAATAAAAATACAGTATTATATGTTATGGCACTACCATCTTATATGTGGTCTGTTGTTGACTGAAATGTCCTTATGCAGCATACAACTGTAAATCTTGACTTTAAGAAACTACAGTCTAACTGCAGATACCATATCATACTCATGCAAGGGCTATATAGTAGAAACTCTATTATTTAATTAGTTTTGTCTTCAAACTATCTGATCAGAATAGGAAAATCCCCACCACCCTGATCTCCTGCCCTTCCCCACAATAGACGTCCCTGCTGGATCATATGCCATACATTATAGGTTTGAAGACAGAGGAGTCTCTAGTCCAATACCTGGTGGGAGGGATCTTCTGAGTATCCCAATGTTGTTTAGGAGACTTTCCCACAGAAACATTGTTACAAGCAGTGGTTAAATTTTGTAATAACACTAGTATGGTACTGTACTTTAGATAGTAAAGATACATTTTGCTGACAGACCTAGAGATCTAACTACCATTCCAAGCTAATGACTCTCAAATTTGTAACATACCTCCAGGTAAAGAACAGGACTCCTTCTGTCTCTCATAAGCTACATCTGAACTGTGAGCAAATCCATGATCTCATCACTTACCAGAGCTACTTCATACCAACTCCATCCTGAGCCTGGTTAACTGCAATGGCTTTCTCAGTGATCTCCCTGTTCTCACCTTTCCCTTTTCACTCCATTTTCAACAAAGAAAAACAAAGTCTGATCATATATCACTACTCTTAGCAAATCCCTCATTACCTCTTTGGTTTCATCTCATACTGTTAACTCCTACGTTTGCTGAGTCTTTTTGCTTCAACTCTGGATGCTCCTGCTCAGATAGGAGCTAATTTTGCAAAGTAACCAGCTCGAATGTCCACAAAGACTATGGTAAAGAAAAGAGGCAAATATAGTGGAAATATCTGTTTCATAATACAACCTAACAGAGTAGAAAGAATGATCCAGTGGCTCCAGTGGCTTCCAGTCTCATTCAGGATAAAAACCCCAAATTATCACAATGACTTCCAAGACATTGCAACTTAATGTCCTGTCTTCTTCCACCACAACCTCAGCTCCTACTACTTTCTGCTTGTTCAATCTGACTTCCTGGATGTTTCAGAAACAAAGTATGCATGTTCAGGGCCACTGAACTTGTTGTTCCCTCTATAAGAAAAGTTTTTCCTCTAGATCATCTAATGGATAGCTTACCTCCCGAAGGTTTTAACTCTATTATCGTTACAATGAGGTCTTACTTGACCTTCCCCTCTGTATCAAAAACTTTAATTAACTATCCCCAGATAAGCTCCTCCCTTTTGTTTTAATTTTTCATCTTTAAAATATATCAACATACACATTAAAATACACTCATAACCTTTTTATTGTCAATCTCTCCTAATTAGAACATAAATGCCACTAGGGCAAAAATATTTCTTGTTTGTTTTGTTCACTGATGCACCCTCAGTATAGAAAATAATGCCTGGAACATGGTTAAGAGCTAAGAAATATTTGCTAAATGAATGAATGCATGCAAGTATGAATGAGTGAACATGTTTTAGAGATAAAAATTAAGAAGCCTTGGTAATGTGAATGAAAGAGACAAAGGTGTTCGGCATGTAGGGAGCAATATGGCTGAGGTAAAAATGATATTCTTGTTTAGTTCTCTATGGTCACCAATAAGGTTATGTATTTCAGAATCTGGGTTTCTACTTACCTCATGAAATTTGTATTTATTAAATCGCATTTTAAAAATATAATAATAGTTGGGGACTTCAACAGTCCCATTCAGTATTGGACAGATCATCCAAACAGAAAGTAGGCAAAGAAACAGCAGACATAATCTGCACTATGGACCAAATGGACATAGTAGACATTTGCAGAACATTTCACCCAACAGCTTCATGTTCTTCTTCTCAGCACATGGACCATTCCCAAGGATAGACCATATGTTAGGACACAAAATAAATCCCCAAAATTGAAATTATGTCAAATATCAATAACAAGAGAAACTCTGAAGAGTATAAAAACACATGGGAATGAAACAACATGCTCCTGAATGACCAATGTGTCAATGAAGAAATTAGAGTGAAATTTTTAAATGTATTGAAAGTAATAAAAATGGAAACACAACATACCAAAACCCACGGGATACAGCAAAAGTAGTACTAAGAAGTTGACAGCAATAAATGCATGTAACAAAAAAGTAGAAAATTTTCAAATAAACAACCTAACAATACACCTTTAAAAAAACACTAGAAAAGCAAGAGCCAACCAAACCTAAAATTAATAGAGGAAAAGAAATAAAGAAACCCACATCTAGCATCATACTGAATAGAGAAAAAGTGAAAGCCTTTCCACTAAGATCTGGAACAGGACAAGAATGCCCACTTTCACCATTTTTATTCAACATAGTATTGGAGGTCCTAGCCAGAGCAATCAGGCAAGAGAAAGATATAAAAGGCATCCAAATTTAAAAGGAAAAAGTCAAATGATCTTTGTTTACAGATGATATGATCTTATACCTAGAAAAACTGACTCGATCAAAAAACGATTAGAACTGATAAAGAAATTCAGTACAGTTGCAGGATACAAAATCAGTAACAAAAACTAGTATCATTTCTATATGACAACAGAGAAAAATCTCAAAAGGAAAACAGGAAAGTAATCTCATTTACAATAGCTACAAAATAAGATCCCTAGGAATAAATGCCACCAAAGAAGTTAAAGATCTCAACAGTGAAAATTACAAAACATTGATGAAATAAATTGATGAGGACACAAAAAAACTGAAAGATATTTCATGTTCATGGATTAGGGGAATCAATATTGTTAAAATGTGCATATTACCCAAAGAAATCTAGAGATTCAGTGCAATCCCTATTAGAATATCAATGACATTCTGCACAGAAATAGAAAAAAAATCCTAAAATTTATGTGGAATCACAAAAGACAGAGAACAGCCAAAGCAATCTTGAGCAAAAAGAACAAAGCTGGAGGCATCACACTACTTAACTTCTAATTATACTACAAAGTTATACTAACCCAAACAGTATGACACTCCCATAAAAACAGACACATAGACCAATAAAACAGAATAGAGAACCCAGAATTAAATCCATGCATTTACAGCCAACTCATTTTCAACAAAGGTGCCAAGAAGATGCATTAGGGTAAGCACAGTCTCTTCAGTAAATGGTAAAACTGGATATCCATAAGCAGAAGAATGAAACTAGACCCCTATCTCTCACCATATACAAAAATCAAATCAAAATGGATTAAAGACTTAAATCTAAGACCTGAATCTATGAAACTACTAGAAGAAAACATTGGGGAAACACTCTAGGACATTGGTCTAGGCAAAGATTTCTTCAGTAGGACCTCAAAAGCATAGGCAACCACAGCAAAAATGGGCAATGGACAAAAATGGGATCACATCAAGCTAATAACCTTCTGTACAGCAAAGTAAACAATCAGAGTGAAGAGACACACACAGATTGAGAGAAAACATGTGCAAACTACCCATTCGACAAGGGATCAACAACCAGAATACATAAGGGACACAAACAACTCAATGGAATAAAAGCAAATAATCTGATTTAAAAATGGGCAACAGCCATAAAAAATGATGAGTTCATGTCCTTTGTAGGGACATGGATGAAATTGGAAATCATCATTCTCAGTAAACTATCACAAGAACAAAAAACCAAACACCACATATTCTCACTCATAGGTGGGAACTGAACAATGAGAAAACATGGACACAGGAAGGGGAACATCACACTCTGGGGACTGTTGTGGGTTGCGGGGAGGGGGGAGGGATAGCATTGGGAGATATACCTAATGCTAGATGACGAGTTAGTGGGTGCAGCGCACCAGCATGGCACATGTATACATATGTAACTAACCTGCACATTCTGCACATGTACCCTAAAACTTAAAGTATAATAATAATAAATAAAATAAATAAAAAATAAATAAATAAAAAATAAAAAAATAAAAATGGGCAAAAAATCTGAATAGACATTTTTCACATGAAGACATACAAATGGCCAACAGGTATATGAAAAAATGTCCAATATCACTAAGCATCAGAGAAATGCAAATAAAAACTATAATGAGATATCATCTCATCCCAGTTAGAAAGGCTATTATCAAAAAGCATTAAGGTAGGTGTTGGCAAGAATGTAGAGAAAGGAGAACTCATATACTGTTGGTGGGAATGTAAATTAGACAGCCATTATGGAAAACAGTATAGAGGTTCTTCAAAACACTAAAAATAGAACTATCATATGATCTAGCAATTCCACTACTGGGTATATATCCAAAAAAAAAAAAAAAAGGAAATCAGTATATGGAAGAGATATCTGGACACTCATGTTTATTGTAACACTATTCATAATAGCCAAAATACGGAAACAACCTAAGTGTCCATCAATGAATTTATGGATAAAGAAATGTGGTATATATGCACAATGAAAAGTTATATATGTTTTATATAACATTTATACACACACACACACACATATACTAACAAAACATCACACTGTACAATTAACATAAGTTCATTTATATCTCAATAAAGTTAGGATTATGGACAAATTTTGCACATTGGCTAGAAAGTGATTAAGACTGAATTATATTTAAAGTGTAAATAAATCTTACACAGTGATACATCATTATATTTTTAATAAAAAGAAAAATCTGTAAAACCAACCCCATAGGAATCCTGACTAAAATCCCTTTCATATAGTACACATTATGTTTTGGCCACTTCTATATTTTCCTGCTTCTGCTTTGTATTCCCAAACTAAATGACTGGGTCTTTGCCTTGGTTTCTATATAAAATCTAAGTCCAGTTCTTGTTCTGCCTCATTCAGACCAGATTTCCCCTCAAGACTGGACCTTTACTCCATTCTCCTACTCTGTAACTGGATTCGTACCATCCATGTACAGAACCTGTATCCAGCTTAGCTGACTACCAGTTATCTGAATTTTCTGTCTTTAGGGCTCTGTCGTCTCCAGTGGACTTGCTGTTATATTAACTGATGCCTTAAGTCTGAGTTCATTATGCCCCTTTTAATTCTAACTAAATTATGTATTTGGTCCTCTAGAGACCAATCCCATTATTACTGCTCTTAATAGAGGTTGGCTGCCACCTGAAAGATATTTAGAAACAGCACTCGCTCCCCAAGATTTTGATATGGCACCATGGGGGAGGGCTTGCCTCTTCGACTCCGGCTAAGTATCATTGCCATAAGGCTGTTACTGGTACTGACAGATATTGCTTAGGTATGAGAATCTGGAGAAAAGGCTGAAAACTAGTATTACCTTAGCTCTTACTCTATACCCACCCTAGAGATCCATGTTGCCACAAGTGGCTCTGCAAGCCTATGCCAAACTTTCATAGTTTTCTAATCATCCTCAAACTCTCAAGTTTTGATGAATCCATGGAAAGATTCTAATACCTAATAAAAATTACAGGAAGGAAAATCTCCATTACCACCACCGATCTTCTTCTAGAGATAAGAAAAAACTTACTATTTTTATAAACAAGGAATAAGAAAAATAACTTACTATTTTTATAGGCCAATGTGTACAATCATTAATCTTATTTTAAAATCTACTATCCAATATCATTATCTACCATAAAAACTATTTTTCAAAACAGGAATGCATTGTGAATCAAACACTATGATATAATCCAAGTCTTAAAAACATAACTACTTTGTGTTACTATAATGATGCAGGTATCCCAGACCACAGCTTGGTAACCCATATCCTGAAAACATCTAGCAGCAAACAGTTTTGCAGAATGTCATCCTCATAATGCTACCTCAGACTGGAGAGAAAATTTATCAAAGAGAATTAAGCTTAATTTCTGTCCACTCTGAAAAGAATGAAATGTGTGGCAAAACATTAACAGTCATGTCTTGATTTTACTATAAATTTTCTAAAATTACAATATACTAGGAAATAACAGTGTATGCTTAAAGAATCTGATGTTTAAAGGATCTGATGTTTAAATGATGCTATTATTTAATGACATTTTAAAGGCTAGCTGACAGTAAAAAGGTGAAATATGAATAATACCAAAAAGTGGCAATAATTTTAACACCTAAAAACATACGGAAATACTCTTACCTGCTTTATTCCATAGTAGTCAGCAATACTGCTGATCAGCTCTGACATTGCCTGAACTTCATGAGATTTCTTCATATTCATAAACTCAACTGCCTTCTGATTTTCACCTAATGAAAATAAAAGTAAAAACTGCTATTAAAGAATCAAAATTTAGTAGGAATTATCAGTTAGATGTTCATATTTTTTGAAATTAAGTAGGAAAATAATACAGAGATTCTACTGTGGTTTCTGGATAGATCTCTACTAGCTTAGCCACTATAAATAAAAATTTAAATTAATAAAGTAAATGTAAAAATCCATAGAACATTAAAACTATTCCGTAACAATTAACTATAATGGAAAAGACTGGTAAAGTGGACTACAAAAGAAATTTTTCATCAAAAGACAACATTATGAGGTAAAAAGGCAAACCCCAAATGAAAGAAGATAATTCCAACACATATATCTACAGAGAATTTGTATCTAAGAATAAAATAAAACAAACTCCTATAAATCAATACAAAAAGAATCACCCAATAGAAAAGTGGGGAAAAAAACTTAAACAGTCATTTCATTACCTGTGCTGTCTAATATAGTAGCTGCTAACCACATGTGATTATTGCAATTTACACTAAAATCAAATATAATTGAAAATTAACATTCTATGCTCCACTAGCCACAGGTGAAGTTCTCAACAGCCACATGTGGCTAGTTTCTACTGTACTGAGCAGCACAAGCACAGAACATTTCCCTCATTGCAGAACTACAGTACTATACGAGTATACACTGTATGCTACACATTATAAAGTATATTAAAATGGCCAAAAAGCATATGACAAGGTAGTCAACATCATCAGTGATGTGGGAGTTGAGTGGTAGGGAACTGAAATGTAGGACTGGAATGGTTATTATGGCACGACAGTGTTCATATCTGTGAATGCCTTGGTATAGGCTTAACCTGGGATTACCACATTGGGATACTGGGTTTTAATGAGGTCTTTCCAGGTGTTAA
This sequence comes from Homo sapiens, assembly GCF_000001405.40. Classification (NCBI taxonomy): domain Eukaryota; kingdom Metazoa; phylum Chordata; class Mammalia; order Primates; family Hominidae; genus Homo; species Homo sapiens. The sequence continues at coordinate 82,388,931 of NC_000012.12, read as the reverse complement.
GTGCTGGTTACTCATGGTCCTGTAGATGGAAGGTAGCACCTTCTTGGTAACATTCTGAGGGCACTTTAGGACATGGTCTCCATCAGAGAGGTCTGAATTCCACAATGTCATTCTGTTGGCAGATACTAACCTAGTAAACAAATATGCTGATTACTCCAGGATGGGGAATATAGCCCCTCCACTCTCACTTATCACCAGCATGCATCTCTCTACATGGCTAAGTCAACTCTTTCTTGTACTGGACACAACAGAGTCCATCCAGACCTTGAATGGTGGTTTTGCTGTTTGTTCTTGCCTAGGATATAACATCTTTACTCACTTTGATGCCCAAACTGTGGCCCTTAAACTTTATACATTGGGGGAGGGGCCAAGGATTTATACCCTTGATGCAGAGGTACACTCATTTATTGCCAGTCAGCAGCACCTGGGATAGAGTGTTCTCCTTAGACCTTTCATTGCCAGTCGACTACAGCCCCCATAGTAACGTTGCTAGTGAACCCATTTGCAGCTATAATGGTTCTTACCAAGAGCCATAATTCACCAAACAGCCCCTCTCTTGCTCCAGGGGGAACACTATGAAATAATTTTGCTTAAAATGGTTAGAGAGATTTAAAAAATTAAAATAATAATAAAAGAATTGGACTCAAAGATAAAAGGGTCCTTTTACAATGGAGAACTCCAGTAGACCCACCTTTACCAAGTGAGTAAACTTAGGGTCACCAATAATGTGACAAAATTCTATGTGCTTCCTAATTTGATATGTGAAAAAGGAATCACTTGAGTAGTACTCCTATCAAAAATGCATAACCTGAATCTAATGTTGGGGAAACAATAAAATAAACCTGCCTATAGATATCAAAAGTATCACTGTCAGGAAAAACAAAAGCAAGGGTAAGAAACGATTTAAGATTGAAAAGACTAAATAGACATGACAACTAAATGCCAGGTATGAGCCTAGACTAATTCCTGCATGAAGAAAAAAAAATGGCTCTAAAAGATATTCTTGGAAAAAGTAAAGAAACTTGAATAGAGACTGCTTATTACACAATATTACTGTATCAGAGTTAAACTCCTGAGTGTGCCAATAAACTATGAGATGTGTAGGAAAATGCCCTTGTTATTTTGAGATACAGAGTGAAGTATTTGAGAGTAAAATGCTAAAATATCTATAACTTATGTTCAAAAGATTCAGAAAAAGAGTGTGTGTGTGTGTGTGCGCGTGTGTGTGTAGAAGAGAACTACAACAAATGTGGCAAAATGTGAACACATGGTGAATCTAGGTGAAAAGTATACAGGGTCTATTGTACTATTCTTGTAACTTTTCTGTAGGTTTGGAAATTTTCAAAATAAAAAGGTGGGGAAAAATAAGGATCAAATAAGAGATATGAAAGAGGTTTGTGTAAGATAAAAGAATCTGAGTTTTTTTTTTTAACCACAGCCTTCTGATCTCTGCCTTTTAATTGGCATGTAGAAACAATTTACATTGAATATTATTATAGATATGGCTGAGTTTTAATCTACCACATTATCATATTTGTTTTTTTAATTTGTACCATCCCCACTTTCTGACACTCATGCTTCTCCCCACATCCCCAAATGTCCCCTTCCACTCTTCCCACCCTCTTCCCATAGAGAACATTAGCCTGCTGCAACAAAAATAATGTAGATTTTGGAATTTGTAGTAGCTCACTGTGATCTGTGTTTGAGGGGCAGGAACTATCTGCAGTAGAAGTTACAAGAGTTACAAGAAGTTACAAGAAAAAAATGTGGACATCTACAAGTTGTTCTGTTTAATATAGTACAAGGGGAAAACCTACACTTCTAAACAATAGTTAATTTGTCAGGGCTTATATATTAAGGTCTAACAATAAATTAATAATATTTTGGAAAGATACACATATATGAACAAAGTATTGCTTCTAAGTACCTAAAAAGCACACATACACACACATAAATAGACATACCAATTCTCTGGTTTTGATTTCCTCGAAGGGCTACAAGCAACTGTTCAAAAGGAGTACATATTCCCAAGTTTTGTACAGAATAGTATTTCGCAGCCAGAGCAAAGGCTTCCACACTCACCAACTTCTGAGAAGTTTCACAAAATATTTTGGGAAAATCAGTCATACCTAAAAAAGTGAAGACAGAAAAAGTCTTCAGCAATAATTAATGGTTAATTAGTGTGATATTAATAAACAACAAATGAACACTTAATTTGTATAACAAATGCCAATATTTTCATTTTGTTGTGAATTTTGGCAATATATCTAATGGCTCCATTTATATTTACTATTTAAACGATTAGCTATATGGAACACCCAGTTTTCTCTTAATATTTTATGCAATTAAAAATTGAAACTCCAAATTACAATCAGGCCTTTTTTATGGAAAGAAAGAGACAGAGACAGAGAGAGAGAAAAGGGAGGAAGGAAGGGAGGGAGGAAGGAAAGGAGGGAGGGAGGAAGGGAGAGAGAGAGGGAGGGAGGGAGGGAGGGAGGGAGGAAGGAAGGAAGGTAGGTTGGTTAAAATCTGAATAGTGATGTATTTATTAAATTTACGAACTGTCCTGGCTGGCCTATAACTGTGCATTTAAAGGTAGTCAGCCCGGGCAACACTGTTACTCCTTGTCCACAGTGCATGAGGAACAATGGTAATATCCCCAGTGGTATATAAATGTCCCTGCAAAACAGTTCCTGCATCATTTGGATGATGCAGACTTGTGGCAGGGGGGCGGGGTGCACGTGCTCAATGCACTGTCAATATGAGTTCCAAAACGAATCAGGTTATAACCTGGTGAAAACAACTCATTTTCTTCCCATGGCCAGTTTTAAACCAGACTTTCTATAAGCTTAGTGTGTAAATGTCAGCAGTTTCCAAATACTCACTAATTTAGACTAGAATGATAAACTGTTGTGCTATTTGCAAATATCTAGTGCCCTTCTCTGTAGGAGGATCATGAACCTTGTTGAACTCAGGTGTGGCTGTATCTTGCCAAGGTGAACCATACCATTTTCAGGAAGAAGTTTTAAGAGTGTCAGAAGATTCAGTACTCTTTTTTGTCTCAGCTCTGTAATCAAAGCATGTGTCAAGACGGAACATTCCTCAGCCTGAATCCTTTAGTGACTACAGCAAGGACAGCATTACTATCAAACTACAATGAACACAAAGCATATATTAAAATTAAATTTCATTCCTTTCAGTAAGTGAGTTTTAAGTTTATTACTGCAGCACACCCCTGCTTATTATGATGGATGCACATAGGCACACTGACAGATTAGTTCAATCTCATTGTTCTATGGCCATTTTTAAGGCAAGTTAATTTATTTAAAAGAGTTAAAAGAAAGCCTTCCAATTTGTCTGTAGTGGTTCAAAGGAGCTCAATAGACGGGAAAGTCCAATCAGGCCCATTCATTGAAAATTAATTTTGAATAATTCAAAAAAACACACATCTTAAAGGCTTAAATGAAGTATGCAAAACGTTCACCTCATGAAACCATGCTGCAATCTAGGGAAGAAGTTTAGTTCTACCAAAAAAATCCATACTATAGGCTATGAAGTCTTCTCCAGCATAGCTAATCTTCTGTAGTTACTTATTAAATTAAAAAAAATTCTTAAACACAAAAAATAGTGATGTTACCTGACAAAACTTAAAGCAAGATAAGTAAGATAAGTGATGAGGGTTTGTAGAATTCTAAATAAAAACTACATATTTAAGCTAATATCTATTAAGCTGGTGGTGGTAATGTTTACCAAATTCATTAATATGAATAAAATCAGCAGATATATATACCTTCCATTTCTGAATCAACTAAACATAAATTAAAATTACTAGAGTAAATTAATTTAAGATATATGTTGTGAATGATGTAAATTTCTATGGATATTTTATAAACTGAATTTACTAACTCAGCCAAAAGTAATAAAATCCACATCAAAATATTTAGCCATGATACAAACTGGAAAACTCAGTCAACTATTAAGTGAAATTCTCAGGTTTAAGGGGAGTCTCAACATCCCCAAGCTCCAAGGCAGCAATTTTGTAGAGTGTGATAGAATAAGAGTATTAAATCTCCAAGTGCAAAGGGACCATTATAATAGTTAGCTATTGGACAATGTTGCCAAAAGAAAGAATTGTGATATTTCTGTTGGAAATGTAAACGTTAAAATCAACTTAACTATCCTACAGAAAAAACTTGAAAAAAATCCAATCCAACATGAATTAAATGCTGTTAATTTCCTTTAAGTACAGGTCTCAGCAATTTCAGAAATTTAAAGATCTGAGTTACAATATTATCTTTACAACAATATTTTTTTTTAAAAAAGGGTAGTTTTCTAATTCAGTCTAACAGTTTATGGTATTTTGGTCTAACCCTAGTTTTACTCAGATAGTCTAGAACTCCATGAAAAAATATTTTTGAATTATGGAAATATAGCTGCTGTACTTTATTTGTTTTCAAGTTATCCAGCCTGTAACTTCCATTACTTGCTATTTTTAAAGATTCAGAGAGAGGGAGGGGGGAGGGAGGGAGGAAGACAGAGAGAGAGAGAGAGAGAGAGCTGTTTATGATCTAGTCTTCATTCCATCTCTGAAACAGTTATGTGAGAAAGTTATGGGACAATAGCAATACATACATATATTCCTCACAGTTCTTCCCTAGGTACTTGTATAATCGCTTTGGATTTGGCAACCAGCAAAACAGAAATTCCAGTGTTACTTAACTTATATTTAGTAAATTAATTAGTACTTAGATTTTTTATGAAGGGAAAACTTTAAATTTGCTGCCTATCGCACCTGCATATTATATGGCTTGATTGTTTGGCCTACATCTCCCTCTACTGGAAGTCCCTGTTCTGCTTTATACATGCTTTACTTATCATCTTTACTTACTCTTACTTTTTATGTACCCCATACCACTAGTCCACAGAGGTTTCTGATAAGACAAGTTATAAGATGGGTTCTTAAAAGATAGGCTAATTGGTCATAAGGGAAGAAGGGAAGGAAAGAGGCAGGAGAGATTATTTTCTACAAATATGAGACCAGGATATATCTCAGTTTATTTTTTTCAATTGTTTGTTTGTATACAAGGGACCAGTGTACAAGGACAAAGATAGAAGAGTCATATATATACACCTTGGATTATAAAAATCTCAAGGCAGAAAAACATATAATATTTTAAAAATAAAAATAAAGTAAAACAATCACTGAATGTATAATATTTATAATTAGTAAATAAAAATAAATGTCTGTCATCCTACTTGAATGTTATACAGCACTTTAAGGAAAACAGAGTACTGTTAGGTCTTACAATAATTCATCCCTATTATTCTAACATTTACTGTATGTATACTATGTGCCAGGCACTGTGCTAAGCACTTTACCTTTCATGTGACAGTTTTATAAGTAGACATAATGCTCTTATCCTCATTTACAGAGGAAACAACTGAGACGTAGGAAGGCTGTAATGTATCAAAGTTTGTACAGACACTAGGTGGATGAATCCAAGGTAGTATGAATTAAGACCTTGGTCTTAATTCCCACATTCCATTAGCATGCCACAGTTGTTAAGTACAGTGGACAAACAAAGAAAATCAAGCAGGACAGCAGTAAAGAAAAGCATTGTCCCAGCTACTTGGGAGGCTGAGACAGGAGAATCACTTGAACCCAGGAGGCAGAGGTTGCAGTGAGCCGAGAACGCGCCACTGCACTCCAGCCTGGGTGACAGACCAAGACTCCGTCTCAAAAAGAAAGAAAAGCATTAGGGAGACCTGACTCTCAGAATCAAGTCTGGCAAGTATTCCCTCTGGCAGAGATCAATATACAGTGATATCCTAAGATACTATATTTTATTAATTATTTCACTTTCTTCACTCCCCTCTACACCTCCCTCTCCACAAAAAGTAATTTTAAGGTTTCAAGAAATTAGCTGGGCATAGTGGCTCATACCTGTAATCCCAGCACTTTGGAAGGCTGAGACATGAGGATTGCCTGAGCTCAGGAGTTTGAGATCAGCCTGGGCAACATAGCAAGACCTCATTTCTACTAAAATTTTAAAAAATTAGCTGGGTACAGTGGCATATACCTGTAGTCCCAGCTACTTGAGGAGCTTAGGATTGCTTGAGCCTGCAAAGTCGAAGCTGTAGTGAACCCTCATCATGACACTGCACTCCAGCCTGGGCAACAGAGCAAGACCCTGAGTCAAAAAAAAAGTTTTAAGAAATTAAAAAGTCATTTTACATATAAAATAATTAATGTCTCTGAAAAAGAAATATCTTTGTAAAATCTTATTATGATATCTATTTGCTGAAACAAAGTAAACCTATGCTTTATGCCCAGTTGTAAAGCAACAATACTTTGCACAAGGCATGAATGAATTGCATGAATGACAGCAATCCCTCAGTACAGTTTGTAGCATCATCAACTATAAAAGGAAAATAAATTCTCCTAAGGCTCCATGGTAATAGCAATCACTGAGGCCACTACAAGGACTTCAATAGCCCAGGGAATGTTTATAATCTCAGGATGAGAAAAAGGTGATTTAAAACATTTAGAATGTGACATAAAGTAAAACGCAATTATGTACTAAATTTGAGATTTTGTTGTTACAGGGTTGGGAAAAGGTCACTAACATCATTATCACACAGCCTAGATCTGTCTCATGGCCCAGAGTTTCAAGAAGAAATCAACAGTGTCCTCTTAATTATAATCTTCACAATGACACAGAAGTATTTTGTATTCATTCCTGCATAAATGTCCTACAGATGTCTTCAATTCAAAAGGTTCAAAACTCAACTGAACATTTTCATGCTCCCAAAACCTTTCCCTTGTTCTATTTTCTAACTTGTTTAATAGCCTTATCACTCACCCACTGGCAAAGCTAAAAGCCTTTACATTACCTGAAATGCTTCTTGTGCCATCAATCCACATGCTAAGCCACCCATCAACTCTGATGTAAAAATGTCCTTCATTTGAAAACCCCCTCCCACATCACTACTGTATTTCAAACCTTGTTAATGCTCTCCAGTACTACTGCCATAGCTTCATAGTTGATTTTTCTCCCTTATCAATAAAACTCTGATAGACAATGCTCAATAGGTTGAGTTGAATTGAACATGTTTTCTAAAATGGAAATTTACTTTTATTCAATGCAAACTTAAACATTTTAAGGCTTTGCCTTCCACAGCAGTTGACTTTTGACTTAAATCTTTGGTAATTGTTTAATACAGCTTAACCGAAAGCTAAAGTCTGTCTTATTGAACTTTGAAAATTAAAGATGGGATGAGTTAAGTTTTCCGAATGTTTTGAGTCTGTTCATAATCCTATACTGTACCAAGGGAAGAAAATAGAATATATACTATCGCTTTCAAAAGAAATTAATTTATATCATCCAATTATGTGCTAGAAAACATTTTGCCTAAGCTATTTCAGCTCACTTTATAGTTGCATATGAAGTGAAAAAATGTTATATAAACATGCAAACCATGCTCTTAGAAGGAATAAAATTAACAAGATATTGACATGCATGTCCTTCTTGTACCAATATTAACATCACATTGAATGTATAAAGTGCATTTAACCATTCCTAAAGCAGTTTCACACTTAACTACATTACTTATAAAAATGAAATTAAATGTAAAAATAGAAAAATGTAACCACAGTATTTTAACTCTAACAGACTCTTCACAGTTTAATTTGAGGGAAAACAAAAATATGCAAAGAAATAGAAATTTAGAAATTGATTTGCTAAATAAAAAATAAACAATTCAGGGGTACCTACCATGTATAAGTTAAAAACTAAACTTGAATAAAGCTACTTTGTTATAACTTACGATTGTCTATGAGACTTAGTGTTTTACTATTTATAGTGTATGCAGACAACAAATGTTCAATATGGATTGAAGGGGGTTCAGCAACTCCCAGTTAGAATTCTATTGGATGCCACATGGAATGAGCTTACTCAGGCCTTTGCACTTGTTTTTACCTCTGTCTGAGACCACCTTCCCTCATGAATTTTCATGGCTCACTCTTCTTTCAGGTGTTTGCTCAAATGTTACCATTTCGGTGAAAACTTCTCTGACAGTCTTGTTAAAAATTGCAATCCCACTGAACTCTCATCACCCTCTGAGTCTTTATTAATTTTTTAAAGCACTTATCACCATCTGGTATAGTAAGCAAGATCCAAGAAGACAAGAATTTTTATTCACTGCTGTATCCTCAGAACCTAGAATAATGTACAGCACATAGAAGGTACTCAATGAATGAACGAGGAAGAACTAGGGTTTGAATTCTGGTTCTCAGAATGTCTATCCCTGTGGCCATGAGCAATTTATTTACCTGCTCTAAGACTCAATTTCTTCATCTATAAAATGGGGAACAATATCTATTTCATAGGGTTGTTTTATGTAATTCACACACATAAACAAATACATATATACACATATACATGTACATTCATATACACACATACAATTATGTACTTAACTACATATATATATATACATACACATACATATATAAACTTTTAAGGTCGGGATGCATGTGCAGGTTTGTTACATAGGTAAACTTTTGTCATGAGGGTTTACTGTACAGATTACATATACCATGGAATACTACGCAACCATAAAAAATAATGAGATCATATCCTTTGCAGGGATATGGATGGAGCTGGAGGTCATTATCCTTGGCAAAGTAATGCAAGAACAGAAAAGCAAATACCAAACGTTCTCACTCATAAGTGGGAAATAAATGATGAGAACACATGGAAACATAGAGGGGAACAATTAACTATATTTTAATATATATTCCTAACACGCAGCCTAGAACATAAATAGGCAACCCTTAAACCATTAAGTCCAAATTAAGTTACTGAGTGTCCTAACAATTGGATCAACTTTCCAAATTTATTGGAATATAGAATTTTTAAAACCTCAAATATTTAAGGCCAGAACATCTTACAGGCTACTAGAGAAGAAACTGAAAGATCAATATGCACACTTAGCTTTTAAATGTGGGACCTGCTGGGAGAAAGGAGATTTGGGCTCTGGAACCTGAGTGCAAGATCTCCATCAGCAGAATGAAGGCATGACTAAGGATGGATGAACTGCACCTTGAGAACCAACATGGAGGTCCAATAGTTAACACTGGATACTATGCTCTAGGTAGGATGAAAGCAAGAATTACTCAGTTTCTGTTAATCCACTGGTTAGCACTGGGCATCATGTCCCAGGATCAACTTTCAAGTGCAGGAGAGAGTTTTAGTATTAATGATACTTCTTACTAAATTTGATGTGAAATATGGTAGATATAATTTCAGCTATGCCTTAAATACCTGGAATAAAGTTTCAAGTTTGCTTCACGAGAATGTTTTAATTTCCCATAATCTCAAACTGTTTCAAAAAATAACAAAAAACAACAGATACTAAATTCCCAGAAATCCAATAAACTTTAAACTTCATTTAAAATGAGAAGCATTTAAGAATAAATTAAATATGTATAAATATTTTCTGAATAATAAATTCAAATTTGATAAATCAAATATAATTTTGTTAGCAAAATACAAATTTCAAATTGTAAAATGTTAAAAAGTGATGTAAAGTATACTAAAAATATATTTATTTCAGTGCAGTAATTGCTTTGAATTGATATCAACCTCTGTTCTTCTCTTTTTCTGACCAAAGATACATCATTTCTTACTTAGGTTGTCATTTCTGAACACCACTGTAGGCTCCACTGCCCCACAGCACCTCAAAATGTCACTACCTTAGTCACTGCCACTGCTACTGTCCATTTACTGAGAAGACCAATATCTCTCTTTATATCTTGATCTGGACCTAGACTTTTGGGCTTCCAAAAATAATTAAGACTTGTCAATTTGTTTATTATTGTTGCTGTTGTTGTCTTTTGAGAAAAGGTCTCACTCTGTTGCCCAGGCTAGAGTGCAGCAGCATGATCATGGCTCACTGCAACCTTGATCTCCAGGGCTCAAGTGATCCTCTCACCTCAGCCTCCTAAGTAGCTGGGATAAGGGCATGCACCACTGTGCCCAGCTAATTTTTTAAATTTATTTTTTCTAGAGACAGGGTCTCACTATGTTACTCAGGCTGGTCTCAAACTCCTGAGCTCAAGCAATCCCCCCACCTCAGCCCTTCCCAAATGCCGGGATCATAAGTGTGAGCTATTGCACCTGGCCAGTTTGTTTATTATTGAGGCAAGGCACATAAAGGATTCTTTGTCTCAGGAAAACTGTAAATTTAAACATAACTAAATTACTAATAAGGGATTTTGAGGGAGTAGAATTAAGTTATATCCCTCTCTTAAAACTGTATTTTTCTTTCCCGTTGTGCATTTCATTAATTTGAGTTCAATTTCATCTTCTATTCTTATTCTAAGCTCCCTTTCAACATTAACACAAAATAGATGTGTTTATTCTACTCTATCAACTGAATTTAGTTATAATCATTTGCCAAGTAAAAGGAAGAAGTGAAAGGTCTTTGCAGTAAACACATACTTTTTTTCTATCTAGCTCCTACCCTATCTCCACCAGATCTTGTTCTTTACTACTTCCTTAGTTTTTGTAATGATGTGTATAGTTCATAAAAGTTAGGTCAATTTTATTCTTTACAGGCCATTATTCAAGGTAATTGCTGTATAGAAAATAAACAAGTAAAATACCCAACCTAAATGTTAAATTTAAATTCCCCATTTGATTGCAATCATTATGTAAAAGGGAAGAATTAAGCCTCAGTGACTGTCATTGGTATCAGCCTAAAGACACTGGTCTGATACTCTGTGGCTGAACCTGAAATGCAGTGTTTACTCAGAGGAGAACCAACAGTTTTCAGCACTTGATAAAAATTAGTTAAATAAATGTTTGAAAAATGGAATATTTCTTAACAAGAAATCAGAAGATACACGAAAAAAAAATAGAGAAGAAGCACAAGTGTCGGCCTAAATCAAGATGAATTCAAACAATTGTAATACTAATAATGTTTTCAACCAGCAGTTCTTATCCTGATGTCTAAGAGTTTACAAGGGCTATGAATCACCTAAAATTGTATGTAAAGTTTTGTGAATATTTGTGCATACTTAAGCCTTTTTTTGATGCAGTGGTTCTATAGCATTCATTTAAATTAGCTATTAAATGGGATTTGTGACCTAAGATATTAACATTACTATCTTTCACAGTTTCCTTACCCTTCATCTCACACAATGTTAAATTACGACAAACAATTCAATTAACTGTTTTTTCTCTTGATTCTAGAGATTATTTTAAATATTCAAAGCAGAAAAACTAAGTAGTTTTTTACTTCCTAAACAATCTGAGATTATTCTTTTTTCACTGGTAGACTAAATTTCCTATTTCTAAAATTAGTCTAACTTTAAAAAACTAAACTTTACTCTCCAGTATTTTCATTATTAAACAGATCCTCTTTCATTCTTCACAATTTTAATTACTAAGCTGAGTTTTTTAGATAACACCCAGCTAACAAAAAACTAGAAATAATTTAAGATACCAAACATACAGGTCAGAATATTCCATTTGACAACATATGTTAATAACAGTAAATGGTTATAATAAATTTGCATGATGCAGGTTGAAATCTATAATAAAGGCAAGCTTATTGTCTTTTTGCATAATCCTAGAGATATGCTAGGTGACGCATGCAACCACTTGATCCAGAGAAGAATCAGCCACATGTGATATTTACTTTTTTGACTAAATTTTTTTTAAATTCATATATGAGATGAACAGAAAAAAAGACTAAAAACAAACAAAAGTAGAAATAAATTACAATATTTTCTTTCTTTCTTTTTTTTTTTGAGACAGAGTCTTGCTCTTGTCACCCAGGCTGCAGTGCAATGGCATGATCTCGGCTCAGTGCAACCTCTGCCTCCTGGGTTCAAGAGAGTCTCCTGACTCAGCCTCCCAAGTAGCTGGGATTACAGGTGCCCGCCACCACGCCGGCTAATTTTTGTAGTTTTAGTAAAGACAGGGTTTCGCCACATTGGGCAGGCTGGTCTCAAACTCCTGATCTTGTGATCTGCCCGCCTTGGCCTCCCAAAGTGCTGGGATTACAGGTGTGAGCCACAGCGCCCGGCCAATAAATTATAATATTAAAGTTTGCAAAGAAGATGAAAAATGACTCTCCCCCTCCAAAAAGTAATTATTTAAAGATAATTTAACAATAAGATTATGCTTCCACATTTGTCTTTTGTAGGAAATATTATAAAGTATTAAGCAGTATTAAAGGTTTATAAATGAAAGTGTTCCAGACAAAAGGATAGGTTCACTGTGTTTGGATAATGCTTTTATAGTCAATAGATACAAAGATAGTAAACTAAGATAAATTTTGAGAAATAACCGTTGTCAAAGATAGAGCCACTTGTGGTGAAACTCTGAATAAATTGTAAAAATACTGTTATGATTTAAATTAAAAATAATTGTCATAGAAGATTACTTCAGTTCCCAATAAAATGACATTGAAATTTTTAAGAAACACATGGAGAAGAATAAAATTATAAATGAAGAACAGCTTGACTTGCAGAAGCAGGGGGACTAGAATTTCTTGCAGAGAATTATCAAAACTAACTCATGAAAGCAATACAATGATTGAGAGATGTACATGTTTTTAATTTAGAAGATAAAGAATGTTGAAAAAGAGGGATGAATGTATGAGTTTAAAAATTTGTATGAGTTGAAAAACTTATCTGGAAAATGAAATCAACTAGTTTTCGATAAAAGTACTGTCACATAATTGGAAATTCAATAATTTAAAAAATATAAAGATTGAAAACCATTTCTTGAGCAATGCTCAGAGCATGGACTTTCACATATTACTTAATCTAGAAAAAGTATAATTCCTACATTAAATGGGAAGAAACTAGAATAAAATTCTGCTTAGAAAGGCATAATCCATTCATCTTCCATTTTGTTTTGTGCTACAATTATTGATATCTGTTATCCTCCTTATTGAGATGTACATTTTTGAAGGCAGAGGTCATACCTGTTGTACTGGCCACAACTACAATTTCATACTGATAAAATGCTAAGTAATTTTTGCAAACCTAAATTGGGATATAAGGGTAACCAGGCATTCTGAGGTCATAAGGGATAAATTCCACTGATCTATTCTTAATTCTATTAATGACCACAGTATTGAAGAATACTGATATTATAAAGGCCATAAAAGAGATGCTCAAAGGTTGTCTATTCCTTCTTCTCAAACATCAGTAGGTTTAAATTCATTTCAATCACTTCTGGACCTCACTAATTCAGCCTACTGCCCAGAGTAGTGACAGTTTACACTTGAAACATCTCAATCATTTCTAAAAACTTAAGGTAGTAGGTGAGTGATTGGGAGGCAGTGAATGGGACTTCTTAAATATCTCTACATGGAAGACCTCAAACACAACTGTTTCAATCCTTTCCTGCTATAACAAAATACTTGAGACTGGGTAATTTATAAAGAACATATATATATTTTTTTTTTTCCTCACAGCTCTAGAGGCTGGGAAGTCCAAGAACAAACCAATCGCCAGCATAGTTGGTACAGATTGAGGGTTGCTCTCTGCTTCCAAGATGGTGCTCCTTGCTACATCTTCACATGCAGCAGGGGTGGTCAGCTTCCTTGTACCTCTTTTATACGGGCACTAATCTCATTCATGAGTGCTCCACCCTCATGACTCAATCACCTACTAAAGGTCCTACTTCTTAATACCATCACACTGGCAATTAATATTTAGCATATGAATTTGGAGGAGCATATTCAGACCACAGCAACATATATCTAAAATGCAATACATTATTTCCCCAGCTTCCTCTGCTGATTCTCCTAATTTTGCTAGTGGTACCATTTGTTCATTATTATTCTGTAAGTTTGCAATCAAAATCTTGGAATTACCTTTGATTCTTCCTTTTCTCTAAACTTTATATAAACAGTCACCAAGCACTACCAATTTTCTCTGTACAGCATCTTTCAAAACTATCACTTCCTTTCTATTCCACTGCCATCACCTTGTCTCAGCACACATCCTTCATCTCTAGACCACTATTGTCCCCATGGAAGGATGATTTCAAAAAGTTTAACAGCCAAGCCTCCAAAACTATCTGCAATATTTTTTTCTGACATTATTTTTAGCTACTTAAAAATATATTAATACTTTGCTCCATGTTTCTAACTGTCCTGAAATATGCTTTATAATTTTCCAGCTTCACCCTTTTGCTTACACTGTTCTATACACTTGGAATGCCCACATACTCTCTATGTAACCATATTAAATTCAACAAACAGAGGTGAATCCAGCTGGGCTTCTGGGTCGGGTGGGGACTTGGAGAACTTTTCTATTGAGCTAGAGGATTATAAATGCACCAATCAGCACTCTGTGTCTAGCTAAAGGATTGTAAATGCACCAATCAGCACCCTGTAAAAACACACCAATCAGCACTCTGTGTCTAGCTACAGGACTGTAAACGCACCAATCAGCACTCTGTGTCTAGCTAAGGGATTGTAAACGCACCAATCAGCACTCTGTAAAATGGACCAATCAGTGCTCTGTAAAATGGACCAATCAGCAGAGCCAAATAAGGGAATAAAAGCTGGCCACCCCAGCCAGCAGCAGCAACCTGCTCAGGTCCCCTTCCATGCTGTGGAAGCTTTGTTATTTCGATCTTCACAATAAATCTTGCTGTTGCTCACTCTTTGGGTCCACACCACCTTTAAGAGCTGTAACACTCGCTGTGAAGGTCTGTGGCTTCGTTCTTGAAGTCAGCAAGACGAACCCACCAGAAGGAAGAAACTCTGGACATATCTGAAGGAACAAACTCCAGACACACCATCTTAAAGAGTGTAATACTCACCGCAAAGGTCTGTGGCTTCATTCTTGAAGTCAGTGAGACCAAGAACCCACCGGGAGGAACAAACAATTCTGGACACATTTTGGCGATCACAAAGGGACTATCACCAAGCAGTGAGTACCATCAGACCCCTTTCGCTTGCTATTCTGTCCTATTTTTCCTTAGAATTCGGGGGCTAATACCGGGCACCTATTGGCCAGTTAAAAGCGACTAGCATGACCTCCAGACTAAAGACACAGGTGTTAGACTTTCTGGGAAAGAGCTCTCTAACAACCCCTGGCTCTTTGGAGTTGGGAGCACTGGTTTGCCTGGAACCAGCTTCTGCTTTTCCTGTACTTCTGGGCTGAGCCAAGGGTTGACAGAGAGAAAAGCCAATCAGCTCCAGGGTCCCACAAACAAGTTGGTTGACCTTGCAGCCATGAGTGGAACTCTCAAAGTTATGTCGCCCCAGCGAGACTCACTCATCTATCCTATCTATCCTGACCCTTGCCTCCTGGGTCCTAATGCCTGTCAGACAAACTTTCTCTCACCTCTCTTCTCCAAGGCTAGTCCCGCTTCTAAAAACCACTCCCTGTCTCTGATGCTTTTCTAGTTTCTCCTATATGAATGATTTCTAGCATAAACTCCAGGACTCTATTCCCTTCTTTAGGCACCCGGGCTCACCAATCAGAAAGACATAATTTTTGCCCAAAGCCCCATTGTAGGAGGGACTATCTTGAATTTTAGGATCCCGCCACAGACAAGCAGGCCTAACAAAAGCTATTCCTGAAGCTAGGATATGGGGAGCTTCAGAAATGATATCCTTCCTATTCAAGTGAGGACAAAAGGTGTCACTCTTCCAACCCTCGAGATCCCTTCCCTCCCTCAGGGTATGGCCCTCCACTTCATTTTTGGGGCATAACATATTTATAGGACAGTGGTAAGGTCCCAATACTAACAGGAGAACGCTTAGGACTCTAACAGGTTTTCGATAATGCATCAGTAAGGGACACTAAATCCGATTTTTCTTGGGCCTCTTTGTGGTCTAGGAGGACACGCAAGGGTGCAGGTTTTCGAGAATGCGTCGGTAAGGGCCACTAAATCCGACCTTCCTCGGTCCTCCTTGTGGTCTAGAAGGAAAACTAGTGTTTCTGCTGCTGCGTCGGTGAGTGCAACTATTCTGATCAGCAGGGTCCAGGGACCGTTGCAGGTTCTTGGGCAAGAAGTGTTTCTGCTGCTACGTCGGCGAGTGCAACTATTCCAATCAGCAAGGTCCAGGGACCCTTGTGGGTTCTTGGGCAGGGGGAGAAACAAACAAACCAAAATCACAGGCGGTTTTGTCTTTCAGATGGGAAACACTCAGGCACCAACAGGCTCACCCTTGAAATGCATCCTAAGCCACTGGGACCAATTTGACCTGCAAATCCTAAAAAAGAGGTGGCTCAGTTTTTTCTGCACTATGGCCTGGCCCCAATATTCTCTCTCTGATGGGGAAAAATGGCCACCTGAGGGCAGTACAAATTACAATACTATCCTGCAGCTTGACCTTTTCTGTAAAAGGGAAGGCAAATGGAGTGAAATACCTTATGTCCAAGCTTTCTTTTCATTGAAGGAGAATACACAACTATGCAAAGCTTGCAATTTACATCTCACAGGAGGACCTCTCAGCTTACCCCCATATCCTAGCCTCCCTATAGCTCCCCTTCCTATTAATGATAAGCCTCCTCTAATCTCCCCTGCCCAGAAGGAAACAAGCAAAGAACTCTCCAAAGGACCACAAAAATCCCCAGGCTATTCGTTATGTCCCCTTCAAGCTGTAGGGGGAAGGGAATTTGGCCCAACCCAGGTACATGTCCCCTTCTCCCTCTCTGATTTAAAGCAGATCAAGGCAGACCTGGGGAAGCATTCAGATGATCCTGATAGGTATATGGATGTCCTACAGGGTCTAGGGCAAACCTTTAGTCTTACTTGGAGAGACATCATGCTATTGATAGATCAAACCCTGACCTTTAATGAAAAGAATGCAGCTTTAGCTGCAGCACGAGAGTTTGGAGATACCTTGTATCTTAGTCAAGTAAATGATGGAATGACAGCTGAAAAAAGGGACAAATTCCCTACCAGTCAGCAAGCCGTCCCCAGTATGGATCCACTGGGATATAGACTCAGATCATGAGGACTGGAGTCGTAAACATCTGTTGACCTGTGTTCTAGAAGGACTAAGGAGAATTAGGAAAAAGTCCATAAATTATTCATTGATGTCCACCATAACTGAGGGAAGGGAAGAAAATCCTTCTGACTTCCCTGAGCAGCTACAGGAGGCGTTAAGAAAATATACTCCCCTGTCACCCGGCTCACTTGAGGGTCAATTGATCTTAAAAGACAAGTTTATTACCCAATCAGCCACAGATATCAGGAGAAAGCTCCAAAAGTGAGCCCTGGGCCCTGAAAAAAATCTGGAGGCGTTATTAAACCTGGCAATCTTGGTGTTCTATAATAGGGAACAAGAGGAACAGTCCGAAAAGGAAAAACGAGATTAGACAAAGGACACAGCCTTAGTCATGGCCCTCAGACAGACAAACCTTGGTGGTTCAGAGAGGACAGAAAATGGAGCAGGCCAATCACCCGGTAGGGCTTGTTATCAGTGTGGTTTACAAGGACATTTTAAAAAAGACTGTCCAACGAGAAACAAGCCGCCCCCTTGTCCATGTCCACTATGCCAAGGCAATCATTGGAAGGCACACTGCCCCAGAGGGCAAAGATTCTCCGGGCCAGGAGGCCCCAACCAGATGATCCAACAACAGGACTGAGGGTGCCTGGGGCAGGCACCAGCTCACGTCATCACCCTCACTGAGCCTCGGGTACTTTTAACAATTGAGGGCCAGGAAATTGACTTCCTCCTGGACACTGACATGGCCTTCTCAGTGCTAATCTCCTGTCCTGGATGACTGTCCTCAAGGTCTGTTACCACCTGAGGAATCCTGGGACAGCCTGTAACCAGGTATTTCTCCCACCTCCTCAGTTGTAATTGGGAGACTTTGCTACAGATAGTAAGTGTGTTCATTTAATCCTACATGCCCATGTTGCAATATGGAAAGAAAGGGAGTTCCTAACCTCTGGGGGAACCCCCATCAAATACCACAAGGAAATCATGGAGTTATTGCATGCAGTGCAAAAACCCAAGGAGGTGGCAGTCTTACACAGCTGAAGCCATCAAAAAGAAGAAGGAGAGAGGAGAACAGCAGCATAAGCGGCTGGCAGAGGCAGGGAAAGGCCAGCAGAAAGGAAAGAGAGAAAGAGACAGAAAGTCAGAGAGAGAGAGGGAGGAAGAGACAAAGAGGGAGTCAGAGACAGAGAGAGAAAGAGAGAGACAAAGAAGGAGTCAAAGAGAGAAAAAGATAGAAATAGTAAAGAAAAAACAGTATACCCCATTGCTTTAAAAACCAGGGTAAATTTAAAACTATAATTGATAATTGAAGGTCTTCTCTTTACAATCCCAAATAGACTCTTTGGCAGCAGTGACTGTCCAAAACCGCCAAGGACTAGACCTCCTCACTGCTGAGAAAGGAGGACTCTGCACTTTCTTAGGGGAAAAGTATTGTTTTTACACTAACCAGTCAGGGATAGTATGAGGTGCCACCCAGCATTTACAGGAAAAGGCTTCTGAAATCAAACAACACCTTTCAAACTCTTATACCAACCTCTGGAGTTGGGCAACCTGGCTTCTCCCCTTTCTAGGTCCCGTGGCAGCCATCTTGCTATTACTCACCTTCGGGCCCTATATTTTTAACCTCCTTGTCAAATCTGTTTCCTCTAGGATCGAGGCCATCAAGTTACAGATGGTCTTACAAATGGAACCCCAAATGAGCTCAACAAACAACTTCTACCAAGGATCCCTGGACTGACCCGCTGGCCCTTTCACTGGCCTAAAGAGTTCCCCTATGGAGGACACTACAACTGCAGGGCTCCTTCTTCACCCCTATCCAGCAGGAATTAGCTAGAGCAGTCACTGGCCGATTCCCAACAGCAGTTGGGGTGTCCTGTTTAGAGGGGGGATTGAGAGGTGAAGCCAGCTGGGCCTCTGGGTTGGGTGGGGACTTGAAGAACTTTTCTGTCTAGCTAGAGGATTATAAATGCACCAATCAGCACTCTGTGTCTAGGTAAAGGATTGTAAACGCACCAATCAGCACTCTGTAAAAACGCACCAATCAGCACTCTGTATCTAGCTAAAGGATTGTAAACGCACCAATCAGCACTCTGTAAAAACGCACCAATTAGCATTCTGTGTCTAGCTAAAGAATTGTAAACGCACCAATCAACACTCTGTAAAATGGACCAATCAGCACTGTGTAAAATGGACCAATCAGCAGGACGTGGGTGGGGTCAAATAAGGGAATAAAAGCTGGCCACCCCAGCCAACAGCAGCAACCCGCTCAGGTCCCCTTCCACACTGTGGAAGCTTTGTTCTTTCACTCTTCACAATCAATCTTGCTGCTGCTCACTCTTTGGGTCTGCATCACCTTTAAGAGCTGTTAACACTCACCGTGAAGGTCCGCGGCTTCATTCTTGAAGTCAGCAGGACCATGAACCCACCAGAAGGAAGAAACTCTGGACACATCTGAAGGAAGAAACTCCGGACACACCATCTTTAAGAGCTGTAACAGTCACCGCAAAGGTCCGTGGCTTCATTCTTGAAGTCAGCAAGACCAAGAACCCACTGGGAGGAACAAACAATTCCGGACACAAAACATTGAATTTGTACCTACTATGTGTCACTTACTATATCCTACACACCAGGACACACTGGAGAGTTAAAGAAAACTGGAAGTTAAAGAAAACAAATCATCATAACACAGTGGACTAAGTGCTCTAATGAAGCTATGAATAAAATAACATACAATGAGTAATTTCATTACTAATTTAGTGTAATCTGACCTGGGCTTTGAAAGAAGATGCAATATGAGTGAATATTTATTATATAGATGGGAGTAGGAAAGCTCTAAACAAACAGGATACCATGAACAAAATTAGAGAAAAAACACATGGTACATTCAGAGAACAAAGTGGCTAAAGTATACAGTTTAAGGGTAGAGGGAAAATTCCAAGAGAAGTGTTGATAATACTAAACCATTTCCTCAAACCTCTTCCCTTCTGCTTTGGCTGAAAATATATCTTAAAAATTAGGAACATCAAATTATTTCACCCATCTTCATAATCAAAGTTGATCAGGGGTCAGATCATGTAGGAAGTTGAATCATTTATTATCTAGGTGACCCACTGACTGGTTATATAGACTTTTTCATTTCAAGATCCAGATTGACACAGCCCTTCAACATGACCATGGTGTTAATAGCAGGGACTAATAAGGTCTGAGGATAAAATATTTAAATCATTGTATTTCCCTAGGATTTGAGAACTGGAAGAAACCCTAGGTATCTTTTATTCAATTGACTTATAACTATTTTTGGTTATCAGTCTCCTTTGAGAAGGTGAAACAAATTCCTGAATTCATTTTCGGGGGTATGAGGGAACTGATTGGAGCCTGCAACCCAAGAGCTGAACTTCTGGTACCTTAGGGGGCCAGGCAGATTACTTCTATTCATGAAGCTAGCTAGAGGAAACGGATATATCCCCCAAAAGAAAGCTGTCTGCCACACAGAGATATGCAACAAAATGGCCAGATCTAATGTTTTCCACAGAAGCTACAATTCCAGGGGTGTGTGTCTGTGTGTATGTGTGTGTTAAATCTGAAATCTGTCAATCTTGAAATGTTGGCTAAAAAAAATGTAGGCACCATATTGGTTAAATGAGATGTGTTTCTAAGCCACACAAGTCTGGCAGTGGCTATTTTTCTACCTCTGCCATAGGTGAACAACTTACGCAGTTACTTCTTGGATGAGAAAATTGAGCCCTACAGTTAAATGCCCTGTGCAAGATAACACAGCTAATCAGAGTTAGAGATGGATTAGAATCAGGTCTTCTGACTCTGCATCTAGTCTGCCTCCATCTGAGAGCATCAGAGTAGGAAGAAGGTGGCTATTATTTATTATGGGGCCTACTCATTTGCACACTACGTTTTAATATATATCTCATTTACTTTTATGGAGACCTTTCAGACAAGAATTAGGATTCCCATTTTTCAAAAGGGGAAATTGAGCTGCAAAAGCTTAACTAAAGTGCACAAGATTATGCAGTACTAAAGTATCAGAGCCAGGATTCAAAACTATGTGTGACTGACACTAAAATCCATATTCTTTCCATGCTATCTCCTATTTGTTTATATTAGTAGCCAAGTTCCAGCTGAAGAGCAGATACAAGATAAGGCCAAAGGTGAAGAACTTTATTTTGTAGGAAATGAAGAACTACTGATGGGTTTTGAGCAGAAGAATGACAAGATCAGAACTACGGTTTTGGACAATAAATCTGAAAGCTGTTGAGTGGCAACATGAATGAAATACAGTCTAAAGGCAAGAACAACAGGTTGGAAGCCATTACAAAAATTCTGTTGCAAGATTTAAAAAGGAGAGGTGACACTGAACTATTTTCTATGGGAATGAAAAAGAGCAAATGCAAGAGTAATGGAGGAAGAGGAATTGGCGGATTATGAACTGAGGTAACAGGAAGAATAATAATGTCATTTATAGAAGGAATGCTTAAACCACTGAGGTGATGAGGAGTAAACAAAATAAATACAGACTCCAGAAGGCATGAAATCATGTAGAAAAGTTTTTTTTAAAACCAAGGAAAGAATTTAAATTATGATAAATGATGATAACAGGTAACCATAACTATAAGCTTACAAGGAAAGTTTAATGATTTGATATAAAATTTTAAAAATCCAAACGAATAGAGGCAACCAAATATATGATGATTGGCTAAACACAGGAAAACAGTATAATATAAGTAGAATGAGGAAAAATGCAACAGATGAAAGGAATCTCCATGAACTCTGTTTTACTGAACTTCTAATAATTGAAAGATATGGGGAAAGGGGAAAGTAGTGGAGGAGGTACCATTAAAAATTAGAAAACAAATTTAAGTTCTAAATAGTTTTATTTAAAAGGAAAATCTGAAGACACTTTCTATATCTCAAACAGACAAAAAGAAAAATTATCCTTGGTTCTCAAAGATTTGTTTGCATTGCAGCTCTCTCTTACTTATGATTACAGAAGTTCCCCTGGAATGGGGCTAACACTGGCCACTATCTTGTTATAATGTAATATTATTTTTACATTTGAAATCTAAAATGACTCAGAAAAACTGAAAAAGAGAAAATGGAATTCAGAAAAATATATAAGGAAAGTGAATGAATAAAAGTTACATACAGCAGAGTAAAACAGAACACACTAATTATTTCTCCGTTGTGCTCTCACTGTCTGTTTCCAACAACATACTTTCTGCCTTCATGTGTTTCAAATTAAATATGAGCGCAATTTCAATGCATTCGAATTACTACCACCACCAACAATAAAAACTACTTAGGATGGCCAAGAAAACATTTAATTTATTAAGATGCAAAAAAAAAAAATAAAGACAAGCTTGATAAAAGAATAATCTATCATGGACATACACTTTCTGTGTTGTTCAATTAAAATGGTAGTAAAATAATTACACCAGATGATCACCAAAAGGAACTGATTCTATAAACATTTACTCAGCACCCAATCCTGGTAGGATCATTTGAGTAATAATGTGAAACAGGAGAAGCAGCATATGGCGTCAAGAAACTGAAAGAAAAGTCAAGAGAAAGTCCCTGGAGGCTCAGTGCCTTAGAGGATCCCTATGCTTTGGCAGGCACAGAAGCTGGAATTCCTGAGAGTTCATTAGGCTATCCCCAGCTAATTTAAATAACATTATAAGATGTTGACTTTGAAATACAAATGTATTAGTTTCCACTGAGAAATATACCTATAACAATAATCTGTAACACTCATTTGTTAGGATAGTCTCCTAATTTTAGAATTACAATGAGAACAAATGAGGCCAGGTATTCTTTTTTTTAAAATTTTTTTAAATTTTTTTGAGACGGAATCTCACTCTGTTGTCCAAGCTGGTGTGCAGTGGCGCAGTCTCGGCTCACTGCAAGCTCTGCCTCCTGGGTTCACACCATTCTCCTGCCTCAACCTCCCGAGTAGCTGGGACTACAGGTGCCCGCCACCATGTCTGGCTGATTTTTTGTATTTTTAGTAGAGACGGGGTTTCACTGTGTTAGCCAGGAGGGTGTCGATCTCCTGACCTCGTGATCCCCCCGCCTCGGCCTCCCAAAGTGCTGGGATTGCAGGCGTGAGCCACCGCGCCCGGCCGAGGCCAGATATTCTTAAAATTTTCAGCAAGCTAAGTAAGCTGCTTAAGTTGCTTCTGTTGTTTTGATCTATTTCTGTTTCATAAAATATTTTAGCTATCCTGACTTAGACTATCTCTCCCCTCTTGCTTTTCAGAAGAATTTTCTAGATTCCATTAAACAACAATTAATTTCTGAAGATCAATGATGATTCTGCTGAGAATGTTACAGATTTACACTTACAGTCATTACTTCCCAAGAACACAGTCTGGTTTCCTTGAAGGAGCTATAATGAAATCTTAATCTCCAAAATAAGATATAGGTCATATTTATCCTATCAGCAAAATATTTAGAAGCTGTCTCTACTGGCTTTTTTGCTGCAGATGGTTAATCTCGCCTATATTATGTACTAACTTTTAGACATTTTAACCTGAAGTGATACTTGTTCTGATTTTATGTCCAAATTCCCAGGGTATTTTATTGTAATCTGTAATGTACTAAATAAAGTACTATATTTCCACATAGGGAAAGAACAGTTATTGATTTGTGTCTCTTCAAATAAATTTAAAAATCTATTAGTTGGATCATATAACTAATATTTATTATCATACACAATGATCATAAATATAACTCAGGGATCAACCAGAAATAATATATGTCTAGTTGAGTACTAGGTATGTGCAAGGAGTGCCTTCAATAAGACTCTTTATTAGATCTATGTTTAACTTCATTCTTTCAAGAATTATTTAAACATGATGTACACAATAAACATACATAATTTTTATTTGCCAATTAAAAATAAACAATTTTAATGTAAAAATAGAATCATTTAATTTACTCATCTATAAACAGAAACTGTTTATGATGCTGAAAATAGTGAAAAAGACAAACATTGTACCTTTGTTTTTTGATAGTTTATAATTTAGTTGCAGATACAGACAAGCCAACAGACAATAACAATAGTATGTTATTTATTAATATGGCAAAAAATATATTTGTTTAGAACATAAACTTCCAGGAACTCTGGACAATTTATTTCTTCCAAGTAAAGACCTAATTATACCATCACTACCAATCATCATCACAACCATCACAATCATGTATTAGCCACAATTTATTAACCCATGCTATATTCTCAGTTCTATGCTAGGTGCTATGTATACATCATCTTTAATCTTTGCTGTCCTAGAAGGTAGGTAATATTATCCCTACTTTTAAAAAAGGAAAGAAAAAACCCCAGATGTAACAGACAGATGTCAGCTCATAGCTGACCTTGAACTAACATGTAGGCCACAGTCTTTCCTACTAAACATGAAAAATTTCTCAGTACACCAACATCAGACAAGGTTTGTGACCATGCCAACTTCATAATCATGTCTGAGTGCAGACAAAAACAAGAACGTCATGTAAACACAAAGTTGCCACAAAAGCATCCCCGTAGGAAAAGTTCACATGGTATGAAACTGAGACCTCATGCCAACAGCCTGCACCAACTAGCCACCTCCGTGAATGAGATATTATGGCCACCTATGCGAATGAAATATTATGGCCACCTATGTGAATGAGATAATCACAGAGGCAAATATTTCAGCCTCAATCAAGCCTTCAGCAACTACAGCCCCAGCCAACTTCTTGACTGTGACCTCTTAAGATCCCAAACCAGATCCACCCAGTTAATCTGCTCCTGAATTCCTGACCCACAAAAACTGATGAGATAGTATAGGTTTAAACCACTTGTTATGCAGCAATAGATAATACATAACATTAATACAATTGTGTGTCGGTAAGTGTGTACTTTTCATTTCAAAGGGGCATAAAGTAGGTACTATAATTAAATATTCCTTAATACCATAGTTTCCTTTAATTCTCCCAGTGTATTTTCTTGGAGCTCTTTAAACATATTTATAACAGCCACTGAAATCCAACACGTTAGCCCAATTAGGATCAGCACTTATTGACTTACTCTTTTTTTCCTAAATACGGGTCACACTATCCTTCAATTCTTTCATCATAGGTACTAAAATCCAGCATTAGGGCTTACTTGGAATTAGTTTCCTAAGTTAGAGTCACACTTTCCTTTTTTTTTTTTTTAAACATCTAGTTTTTTTTAGTTGAAAAATGGAATGGCAGATACTTTATTGTAGTGAATCTATTTTGTTTTCCTAAGGATTTGTGGTGGTTGTTGTTCTATTAATAGTGGGAAGTCAACTTGTTTTGACTCAAACTGTGAAAACTATCCCCCCTTCAGAGTGCAGCAGCTGATGTCTCTGCTTAGTTGCTTTTTATTTACCCACTGTCTGGTGGTATACCTGAGCCTGCAGAGTTTAGCAGTCAGATAAAGATTTGGGTAGATTTTCTAGTCAGATTTTGAGGCTCACCCTTTCTGTAGTTCCTTTTTTTACAATTCAAAGACTCCCTAGTGTAAATTTCCAGTTGCTCTGCCAAACTTGAATTTTGCCCTTTCATACAAGAATTCAATAAGGCTTCTGATATTTACCACCCAAGTTGTATGTACTTTAGGAAATACACTCTGTTGAAGGTGCAGCAAACTTGTGGGATCTCTAGCCAGGGGAAGCTCTGCCTCTCAAAAGTTTTTTGCCAGTGTTTCTGCTAGGATCTCTAGGTCTCCCAGGCATGTGGAGTTAAGAGATCATTTGGGGATTCAGGCAGCGTTTATACTCAGATCTTAGATCTCAGACCTTTTGTATCTCCTGTTTCCAGAATGTACGTCTTAAATTTGCACCTGCTCCGATCTCTGAATTTTGCCATCACCACCTTGACCTGGTAAGGATGTGGTATTCCACTGCTAGATCTACAGGGGCTAGGAGCATCTCTAGCAAGAAAGCCATAAACTCTGACTTCCTACCCAATCAATCACAGTCTTTCAATAGTAACCTCTTCTTATATTTCTGCCTTTGGCATTTTCCAGAATCTTACAGTTGTTTTTAATAATCTGGCCAGTTTTCATCATTGTTATCTGCAGGGGAATCTGACCTCTTCAAGCTACTGTTCCTTGAAATGTCCCTGGACTATTTTAATAGCCTCTTATATTGTATTCCTGTTTCTTCCCTTAATTTCCTTCACCTTTCTTACCTTCTCTTCTCCACACAGAAACCAGGTGATTTGAAACATAAATCACACGGTATCACATCACCACACAAAATTCTCAAAGAGCTTCGCATTTCACTCAGAATAAAAGCCAAATACTGAGTACAGCCTACAAGTTTTATGTGAGGATGTCCTGGGCTACCTCCAAATGCCATCTCTCACCGGTCTCACCAAGACTGCTCAGCTGTGTTTAAAATGCACCAAGCGTGCTCCAGCTTGGGCACCTGCTGTTCACTTCACGTGAAAGATATCCCTTTCTATATATTAGCTGAATTACCTTTCACAGTATCCCATCAGGCAGGTACTAAAGTTACCCCCATTTTACAGATGAGGAACTAATGTACAACGAGTTGAAGTAAATTGCCCAAGTTAGCACAGCTACTAAGTGCTGGAGTCAATATTTGACCCCAGGAAGTCTGTCTGGAAAGCCATAATTTATGCACTGAAAAGATAGTTATTTCTAACATATTTGCTTTTTATTTTAGAGAATTAAATATTTTATTCTAGTTCTTTTTAGACGAACAATGAAGAAGAAACTCTTAGGACTCTAATGAGACAAGAAGATCACCTGGCACATGAAACCTACTGAAATGGACACACTGAGGACTTTTAGAAAAAACTTTGTTCCATAAAACACCAAATGATTGTGCCGAACATCTGTTAGTGTGCTTTTCCAAACTGTGCATTGCGCTCTGGGAATTATGTTTACTTGTAACTCCTCACAAAATATCAGCAGAAGACTGAGAGGTGACAGCGTGCCGGCAGCCCTCACTCGCTCTTGGCGCCTCCTCAGCCTTGGCGCCCACTCTGGCCACGCTTGAGGAGTCCTTCAGCCCACCACTGCACTGTGGGAGCCCTTCTCTAGGCTGGCCGAGGCTGGAGCTGGCTCTCTCAGCTTGCAGGGAGGTGTGGAGGGAGAGGCACGGGTGGGAACCAGGGCTGCGCGCCACGCTTGCTGGCCAGCGCGAGTTCCGGGTGGTTGTGGGCTTGGCAGGCCCAGCACTCAGAGCAGCCGGCCAGCACCGCTGGCCCCAGGCAGTGAGGAGCTTAGCACCCAGGACAGCAGCTGCGGAGGATGCACCAAGTCCCCCAGCAGTGCCGGCCCACCAGCGCTGCTCTTGAATTCTCACCGGGCCTCAGCTGCCTCCCTGCGGGGCAGGGCTCAAGACCTGCAGCCCGCCATGCCTGAGTCCCCCTCCCCCCCACCGTGGGCTCCTGCGTAGCCCAAGCCTCCCCAACGAGCACCGCCTCCTGCTTCACAGTGCCTGGTCCCATCGACCGCCCAAGGGCTGAGGAGTGCGGGCGCACGGCATGGGACTGGTGGGCAGCTCCACCTGCAGCCCCAACGTGGGATCCACTAGGTGAAGCCAGCTGGGCTCCTGAGTCTAGTGGGGACTTGGATAAACTTTATGTCTAGCTAAGGGATTGTAAATACACCAATCAGCACCCTGTGTCTAGCTCAAGGTTTGTAAATGCACCAATCAGTGCTCTGTGTATAGCTGATCTAGTGGGGACTAGGAGAACTTTCATGTCTAGCTCAGGGATTGTAAATGCACCAATCAGCACCCTGTCAAAATGGACCAATCAGCTCTCTGTAAAATGGACCAATCGGCAGGATGTGGGTGGGGTCAGATAAGAGAATAAAAGCAGACTGCTGGCGCCAGCAGCGACAACCCTGTGGAAGCTTTGTTCTTTCACTCCTTGTGATAAATCTTGCTGCTGCTCTCTCTTTGGGTCCACACTGCGTTTGTGAGCTGTAACACTCACCGCAAAGGTCTGCAGCTTCACTCCTGAAGCCAGCGAGACCACGAACCCGCCAGAAGGAAGAAACTCCGAACACATCCAAACATCAGAAGGAACAAACTCTGGACACGCCGCCTTTAAGAACTATAATACTCACTGAGAGGGTCTGTGGCTTCATTCTTGAAGTCAGTGAGACCAAGAACCTAACAATTCCGGACACAAGACCATACTCCTTGTGAGTCCCTAGTGGAAATCTATTTCAGTCTCCTTACAGCTCCTTAAACATACCTTGTAGGCTCCCTCGTCAGGGCATTTCTGTTTCCTGTTGTCACTAAATGGACTGCTTTCCCTCCAGAGATCTTCATGGCTCGGTTTTTTTCTTATCTTTTCAGCGTTAGAGTCACCTCAGTGAGGTCTTGCCAGGACAACTTACTTAAAAATGCAAACATTTTCCTCTTCTTCCCCTTACTTACTCCTCCCTTATCTAGTATACTTTTTTTCTTACAGCACTAAAAAAGTTTCAAATCAGATGACCCAGGTTTGAGAATCTTCCATTATCAGCTATATCCCTTGCAAATTAACTCCTCAAGTTATAATTCCACAAATCGACAATAACAGAACCTATCTTGCAAGGCTGATGTAAAGATTAAAAGAGAAAATACACATGAAGACACTTAGCACACTACAGGGTATATAGTAAATATCAAATAATCCAATTATTATTAGAATATGTAAGACAATCTGACTCTACCATTGTCTGGAGACCAGGCTAAACACGTATTAAAGTCTTACACTCTAAACTTGAGAGTAGTTTCATTTTATTTATTTAAAACTAACATGAGTAACTCATTAATTCCTCCATTCAACAAATATTCATCCAGTATCTAATGTATGCCAAGTATTTTACCAAGTGCTGGGAATACATCAGTTGACAAGTCAGACAAAGACTCTGCTCTTTTGGAGTTTAAGTAAAATTGTCATATCATAAGTGCCATATATTTATTATGAGAGCAAACTGAAGAAGTGCCTAACTTTTCAATAACAATTACTTAAAAAAACAACAACAGTATTTACCAAGTGCTATTATAAGAGGTCCCTCTAGTGATGCTTTGCATTCAGAGAATGCTCAATGAATAAAGTTCACTAGTAAGGGTAACTTTGGGAAGTCTAGAAGGAAAGTAAAAATCCCAGAAGCCTGTTGGTGTCCATCATTCTACTTCCAAAATATGCTTGCCTGAGAAGAATCTACATTTCTTGAGGGTAGGAAAAGCTTGAGCCTACAAAAATTCAAGACACATATTAGGTACTTTAAAATAGTTTTTAAATGAAATAGTGACTATCCGAATACCATCCTAGTCCAAGATACAATCATCTGTTGTACTACTGAGGTAGTCTCCTAACTGGCCTCTCAGCTTCAGCTTTTGCCCTAGTCTATTCTTCAAATAATTCACAGTTATCTTTTCAAATGTGAATTAGGTCACTATGTTGCCTAAATAATCCCAAGGGTTTCCGTCACACTTAAAATCCAAAATCCTTCCAAGGCCTAGAAAGGCCTGTGCCATCTGGCCTCTGCTTGCCTCCCGTCCTGCACCTGCAGCCCCTCACCTGGCTAGAGCCAAGCCTAGCCTGCGGTTCCCACCGCCTGCAACCCCTCCCTGTGGCTCTGCAGCTAGTGCCTTCTCATGTTCCTGACCTCCTAAATTGAGGCAGCCTCCTTACACAATCCCTACCACATTACACTGTTTTTATTTTCTACTTCATTACCACCACTTGAAATTATCTTTATTAACTGTTGAGTAATCTTCCACCACATGCTGGCATTTATAAAACCTGTGAGAGCACTGCTCCCCTAGTTTCCCTAGCGTCAATTATTATGGAATTACTAGATGAAGGAACTCCCCTGCCCTGTTTCCTGCTTTCTTTAAATTGTGGACATACACAAGCACCCAAAGAAAGAGTGATCCTGATTCCAAAGAACATCCCCACCCCACCCCTCAACTAATCCGACCCCTCCTCGGTTTCCCAGCGGGCCGCCCCGCCTCCGCCGCCACGCACCTGGTTCTGCTGGCTTCCACCAGGGGGCTCGCTTCGTCTGCCGGGACCTTCTCCTCCGCCTCCCTTCCCGCCCCGCCTACCCCACCACCCACCTGCTTCCCACTCTGCTTCCACTAGGGGGCGCGTCTCTGAGGGCAGGGCCTCCGTCTCCGACGCTGACTTCCTCAGCGCAGCCAGCACTGTCTCCGGTGGCAAGTCGACCAGCTCCTCCCACACGGATTCTGTGTAGAAATCCACGGTATGTGCATTGGAAATGGACAGGGCATCCCTCAGGAACTGCAGCAGTCCCTGCAACTTGGCACGCAGCGTGGGCAGGTCCGGGGTCACCGGGAGAGGGCAAGAAGCCGCCATGACGCTCACCCTCCGAGGCTGTAGGTGGCGCAAACATGGCCGTGAGGCGCCAGCTCGGC
Organism: Homo sapiens; assembly: GCF_000001405.40. Taxonomy (NCBI): domain Eukaryota; kingdom Metazoa; phylum Chordata; class Mammalia; order Primates; family Hominidae; genus Homo; species Homo sapiens. The sequence continues at coordinate 82,358,506 of NC_000012.12, read as the reverse complement.
CCAAATTAGCACAGGCAGGCTCAGTAGAGCTCCGAGCCGGATTCCTTCTGAGCGATTGATTGCTTCGGCTTGGTGACGTATTTTGTGGGCGTCCGTCGTGGTCTTCTGATGACGCAGTTAGTCGGCTGCAATGGCGCCGGTGAGGCGGTCCGCGAAGTGGCGGCCTGGTGGTATTGAGGCGCGTGGTGAAGGGGTTTCCACTGTCGGGTACAGGAATAAGAATGTGAGACAGAAGACATGGCGGCCTAACCACCCGCAAGCCTTCGTGGGGAGCGTTCGCGAGGGTATGTAAGAAGGCAACCATTTGCAAATCCTCAGGCTTGCTAAGTTTTAGGATATAAGATTCGCTGAAGCTTGGAAGAAGGATTTAGGAACCAGACCCGGTCCTACTTGGGGCAAGGGAATTCATTCCTGAGCCCGCTAAAGCTGTGAGCTTCGCAGAGCTCTAGATAGGAAGACGGAGCAGTGTTGCTATTATTTAAACGTCTTTTCTGACGTAACCCTGTATTTCATCAGAACTTTTTTCCTATATTTTTCCTGAGAAACTGAGCAGAGAGAGTCTATGACCCTGTGAACTCTTGCGCATGTGGTAAGGTAAAGGATAGAGAGGAGGACAGGGCCAGAAACACTGCTCCGAATTCTTCCTTATTACAAATACCCGAGGCCCTCCAGCCTTCGCTTTAATTTGTGTTTGTCATTTTGTATTGCTGTCTGTAAGGTCTCTTAGATCCCACTTGGAATATATAAATGTTAAATTCAGTCTTCCGATAATTGCTAGCTTTTCAGACAACCATACACTGTCTTTTTCTTTCGTGTTGAAACATTTTCGAAAACATGTAGTTTGTCCAAGATACTAGATGTGGCATTTTCTTTCCTATTTTTTAAGCATTTATTGAAGGCTCAGATTAAGTGTTTTAGATGAACTAAGGAATTTGTTTTGATTTGTGAATACAGCTGTAAACTCAAGTTGTGCAACAGTCTGAACTGGTCAGTTTTTCTTTGAGATTCTTACTTGGATTTCCGCATGACTGTTAGCCTGGTCTTTTTGCAAAGGGCCAACTTACTATGCAATCCATCAGCTTAAATTTGTTGCTTGAAATAATTTTTTAAAGCAAAATATAATACTAGAATCTGAATGTGATGACGTAAAAAAAGTTTTCATTTGTAATTAACAGCTCCATTCTTCGTTCAACTTCTTTTCTCTGAAAGTAATTTTGGATGATATTCCTCAATGTAGGACAAGGCTTTGCTTTTCGAAGAAAACTGAAAATACAGCAAAGTTACAAGAAATTGCTACGGAAGGAAAAGAAGGCTCAAACGTCACTGGAATCTCAATTCACAGATCGATACCCAGATAATCTGAAACATCTCTATTTAGCTGAAGAGGAAAGACATAGGAAGCAAGCAAGAAAAGTCGACCATCCTTTGTCAGAACAAGTTCACCAGCCGTTGCTTGAAGAACAGTGTAGCATTGACGAGCCTTTATTTGAAGATCAGTGTAGCTTTGACCAGCCTCAGCCAGAAGAACAATGTATTAAAACAGTAAAGTATGTATTTTCTTCATTTGAAATCCTTTAAGTGTTGTTTTATTATTTAAAAGTACTATAGGATAATTTATATAGGAATTGTATTTTTTCTTATTTAACACATTTTAGAAGTCACGGTTTAATTAGGGAAACATTTTCATGGAGGCTCTATTTTTAGCTTCAATAACTGAATTAGGCTGGTTTAGCCTAATTGACAAAGTAACGTAATGGGAATTAAGAGCTCTGGAATTTGGGTTTCTTCCTCTCAAGTACAGGTGGTAACTTGATTGGACCATATGTTATGACTATATTTTTGAAAAATAACTTCTGAGAGGTGTTATAATTTTAGTCATTAACAGTATGGGTTCTAGAGCCAGACTCAACATGTTAGTGCCCCAGTGACCTCTTCTTTAAAATGGGAAAAATAACACTATGTCCTCTTTAAATTGGGAAAGATAATACTGTAATGAATATATACTTCAGAGCTGCCATGTTGCACAGCTCCAGAATGGATTACTCACATAAACTCAGGTGTTCCTAAGGTGTTTCATGACATTGTTGTGAAGACTCAGCGAGTTAATGTATATGAGGATCTTAAAGGGTATATATGGTACGTGGTTAGTGCTCTTGAGCGTTAGCTACTACTATTAATCTGGATTTTCTGCAGAGGACCAGAAATGGGTTGCAATTGCAAATGCACAGCTCCGTGACGCTTTGGTTTTATAAGAGTTAACTTATAAAAAACTATCGCTGCATACTTAAAGTTAAAAAACAATGCTAAAATCTAAAATTGCAAGAAGCTGGGTATTAACTTGGGAGCATAATTTTTTACTTCATTAAAACCGTATCTTTTAAAGTCGTGAGCTATTTGCGCTAAAAATAACAGGAAATGGGACCACGGGGGGTAAAAATGTAATTGGGGATGAAGGCAGAGACACAAAAAGTTTACTACTTTTGGTAGGCTTGATCATTATATTGTTAAATAATCAGTATAAAGTTCAGGGAAAAGATTAGCAGTAGAAATGTAGATTTGAGTTATTCTCTGATAATTGAAGTAAGGAAGTTTAAATCATGAGAAAGGAAGGTAAAAAATCATGCTTTTAAAGATTACGGTTTATTTTGGGGTGGAAACAGGGAAAATATTGTCATTGAGGAAGTTAAGCTTTTCAGGACTGGAGAAAGAGAAATACAGTGACAGCTCAGTCCACAGAGAAAAGTTGTGAGGGATTAGTCAGCTATCAAATATTGTGGTCCCCCGTTATCTGTTTGGAAGATGTTCCAAGACCCCCAGTGGATGCCCTGAAACTGCAAATGGTACCAAACCCAGTTTCTGTCAATTGGAATGTATTTCTGTTAATGTCTTTTACTTGGGAATTTAATGCCTTTTCCATCTTAAATCACGTACTGTGGCCATAACTTTTGCAGTTTGAAGTATGACAGCAAAACTAGCATGAATTTATTTTTCCTTCACAATTTGATGTATAGAAGATTTTTTTTAAAACCATAGATCTTAGCAACTTCAACATACGATTTTTTTTCCTTCCTTATTAAGTCAAGAACTTTTACCTTTTCACTTAAAGCAAACACTCAGTGTGGTGTACAATTTAAAACATATGAATTGTTTATTTCTGGAATTTTTCAATTTAATATTTTTGGACCTCTGTTGACTGCAGGTAACTGAAACCGTGGAACAGGGAAACCATGGATAAGGGGTGTGCTACTGTACTATAAAGTTGAAGGTGAATAGGACTGAGGACAGGTCTCTGGATTTGTGGACTAGGCAGTCACTAGTCACTAGTCCAAAGTCGCTAGTGATTAGTAGCTATTAAAATATTATATTGTAGTTACAGAGTATAGTGAAAAGTTGAATGATAGAGGAAAGTAAAGTTATTACTGAATCAAGGATGCTGAGGAAATGAATGGAATTCCAAGTAGTTGGATTAGCCTTGACAAAAAGGACATCTTCAGAGAGGTGAGAAGTAGTTAAAGATAGAACAGTTCAAAATGGTATCTAGATCCAAGGTATGGTGATTCATGACTAGGTAGGTAAAATGGAATAGAGAGGAGGGGCTCAGAAAACTTCGAGATTAAAGTTCATATATACACATAATTTTCTTAACATCCTTAAACAACAAGTTTAATTCTTTTTTCAGTCTGGCATTTCTATCATTCATATACTGGTTTCATTACTTTTAAAAGTTTTTTTTTTTAACATTTTAGGATTTTTCATAGCTTTCTATATTTTTTCCTAGTTGAAATATTTCTCTAAGAATCCCCATTTGTGCCTTTTATTTAATATATACTCTTAAAAGCTACAACTGTGTTTTTAATACCTTTTTGGACATTTTACTAATAAAGTCCTGTTTCCTCATCCCCCAATTAAAAGCTCCTTTACAATTCCAAAGAAAAATAAAAAGAAAACATCAAATCAAAAAGCACAAGAAGAATATGAACAGATACAAGCCAAACGTGCTGCTAAGAAACAAGTAAGTTCTACTTTGAAAATATTTAGTATAGTTTTTCTTATTTATCCTAAATATATATACTATACCTGTTGTGCTTCTTGGTGCTGGGCACACAGTATTCTCTCTGTAAATATTTGTTGAATGAATGAGTAGTCTGAGCAAAGGTAGAGGATTGCATCTTATTCCAAGTCCTTGCTTGTATTATGTCAAGCAATACTAGTAGGTCAAAAATAGGATTTTGAACACATTGTTTATAGGTCAATATTGTGAACATCTGGGACAAAGTTTCACTGAGTTTGGTCCAGGAACTTGCACTTGTTAACAAGCACCTCAAAAGATTTTTATGTATGATAAAACTTGAGAACCACTGACCTAAGAAAAATATAGATGATTTTCATAACATTACATTGAAGAAAGTAAAAGCAAAGGGGAGGTGTTAGAATAAAATACTTTTTTACTATAAAGAGGTGTTCTTGCCTGTTTAAAAAAAAAAAACAACTATTATTTTAGCTTAGCAAAAGTTAGCACTCTATTATTTAGAAAACCAGAATTGTAGACCAGAATTAGGCTTTTTTCAAATGAATACAGAATTACCCACAGCCTCAACAAAATTGTCATTTTGTTGTAACTGTGGTAGTTCTTGTTTTTCCATTGAAGTTTTATTGATCTGTAGCTTTAAAAAGTATAATGTGTCAGTTAAAAATACCCTAAAGATATGTAATTTTGCTTGTTTTTGCTTTAGAATATCTGTAATTAAGAATTCTTAACATCAAAAATGTTTTCATTGTTCTTAAGCTGGTGGCAGATTAGGAGAAAGCAGGAAAATTTCTTCATGGGAATACTGGACCAGTATTAACTAGCACAGCTTTATGCTTTTTCCAACCATCTGTCACCTTTGGAAACAGTATATCAGATGAAGTGCAGTAATGACCATTATGCTGTAAAACATTTAATGTCCTTTTAAAATTTTGTTTATATAGAGCTGGGGCTTTGTGATCATGAAAATTCTCTGTTATACCATGGGTCATTATAATATGAAGGCAAAGAGGGTACTTTGCTTCAATTAGGAGAAACAGTGCACATCTTGCAAAATAGAAGAGACAAACCTTAGAGTGTTTGCTTAGTAATAGCTATTTCAAGACAATTTCTGAACTGTATCTACTGTTTGTTGCTAATGAAAGTTACATATGTTAATAATTTTAGGAATTCGAGAGGAGAAAACAGGAGAGAGAAGAAGCCCAAAGGCAGTACAAAAAGAAGAAAATGGAAGTGTTTAAAATACTGAACAAAAAGACTAAAAAGGGCCAACCAAACTTGAATGTACAAATGGAGTACCTTCTTCAAAAAATACAAGAAAAATGTTAAACATTTTGTTCCTACAGGTTAAAATATCTGCTGCCTATTAGGTTCTTCTGTGACATGTGCCTCCCAGCAGTGAACTAAATTTGTCGACATAAACTGGATTGCTAAACTATGCTAAATATAAGATGTTCACATATTTTTATTATGGTAAAAAATTTTCTAAATATGTTCTACATGTTTCTTATTTATTTGCCTCTGAAGGAAGGTTGGCCTGAAGAACTGAAAGAACCTCTTATTTTGCAAGACAGGCCCAAGCATGTAATACTTTTGTACCATATGAGATTTATATGAAATAAATTTTTTAAAAATAAGGAATCAGAGCTATCAATGAAGCATTTCAATGAAATATTTCAATTTAGTAAACAGTTACGTTGTTTTAAAATTTATTTTAATGATGAGGGAGGCAAAGACTCCTCTTGGACTTTTTATTTATTTTAAGTACATGTTACAGGGTGATGGGTGCTGAAATAAACTGCCCTCACCATATAACAAAGCGACCTTCACAAAGCAGTGAACTCAAAGTCTGATATTTATAAACATTCCCTTAAATGGATGTACATGGCTTGTTAGTCTAAGGTCTTTTAAATAATGATGGAAACCCCACAGTGTCACAGCAAGAATTAAGCTTTCCAGTTCCTATGGACCCTATACTTTAAGAACATTATCTCTGTCTCCCTTGTTGGTACCCTTGTGAGCTGAGATAAGCCACTGGGATAACTGCTTCTCATGCTTTGCAAATTGCAGAAGAATGAGAAAGGCTTGAAATATATATATAGTCATTGTAAGCAAAAAGGGCTGACCAATAATACTTGCCAAATATTGAATAATAAAATTTTATAAATGATAGCAAATACAGTCTGAAATTGCATTAAGATTTTAGGGAGCTCTTTCAGTCTACTAATTTATTCTGCATTTCAAGATCAGTAGAAAGTGCTTAGATAACACTGAACTTAATCTTCATTGCATAGAAAAGCAATGCTTTAGAAATTTGCATTGCACTATATTGCATTTAAAGTAAGCAGCCCAGAAAGCCTAAATTTGGCTACATTGGTGAAGACACATCACATCATGATGGAGGATAAATTATTTCAGTAAATTGCTTTACAATTTTTGTGCATTTTCACTTCTAGACACTTAATCATGACAAAACATGGAAGGAGATCTAGTCCTTTTGAGAGACAAGTGAAAGTCAAATTATATTCATTTTAACGACTTTGTTAAAAGCTACTTTATGCAAAACTTATATTAAGGAGTTACTCTTTAAAATTCCAAAGTTCTTGTAGAGGAATAAATGCCAAGTAATGGTATAATGGGGGAAAAAGTAATCAGTGACAATCAGATAAAGCAAAAGGTTAAGATTTTAGTGTTATCAATGAAGCACCCAGGAAGCTTTTCCTTTTTCGTTTTTTTTTTTTTTATTATCTTGGTGGTGGACAGTCTCCCGCCCACGCTGCAGTGCAGTGGTGTGATCATGGCTCACAGCAGCCTCAAACTCCTGGGCTCAAGTTATCCTGCTCAGCCTCACGAGTAGCTGGGACTACATGTACGTGCCAACACCTGGCTAACATTTTCTGTAGAGATGAGGTCTTGCCAAGTTCAGCCTTGCCTGGGCTGGTTTTGAACTGGCCTCAGGGATCCTTATGGCTCAACCTTGGCCGTACAAAGTGCTGAGATTATAGGTGTGAGCCACTGTGCCTGGCCTATAGGCTTCTTAAGAGGCATGTTTGAGGACCCTACACTAAGGAATTTGGATACTGTAGATGGGCTTAGTAATGGATGTTTTAACAGGCAACCCCAGTGATTCTGCTGGGTTGCTCCTCGCCACACTTAAAAAATGTTGGACCAGGGCCTCAGAGAAGAAAGAGGTTTTGTTTGGTTTAAGAAATCAGAGAAAGTTTCATGTGTGCAATAGCATTTAAGGAAAGCCTTCGAGGTTAAAAAGATTAGAAGTGTAAGAGCATGAGGAAAGTTACAAAGGGAAGCAAGCTTGGTATTATTTAAATATCTAATAAGTAGTTAGAATATATTATTATTGATGGAGGTAATAGTTCCTATCGGTTCCCTATTGTTTCCTTCCATGTGGAGAAGACACCATCATCCAAACACTCATGGTATCTTTACTTCTTGTCCCACTTGTTCCACCCAGGGGAGGTAAAGTAATAAATGATGTCTGGGAGGAGGACCTGGGCTGTCAGCAGAGTGCATGTACTCTTAATTGCTATTCTAATACTATAAGTGAAGAACAGGCTATATTGATAAATGTTAGAAGGGGGATGGATATTTTTGGAAAATATATATAGAAATTTGTGCTATATGGGTTAGTACATCAAGAAATAAAAGAGGAATAAAATTTGAAGGAGCACAACATAGAAAGAGAGAGGCTTAATTGTGGCCATAGCTTATGGTTTCTGGTTTCAGACCTTAATGTATACGTAGGGAGCTTTGATCTTGGTAGTTTGTAGAGGCTTCTATTAGGGCTATTAATTTGACTTTGTAAGTGTGAAGTAGGCTTTTAGTTGCAGTTTTGGCAAGAGGCTTTAAGACTTAAGGCACGTGGGATTTTGACCTAAAAGTTTAGGATATCTTTGTCCAGAGAAATTGGTAATTTCTATAGAGACAATGTGCAATACTGGGCTTTAAGCACATATGCGCAGGCCTCAATGAAGCAGAGTTTGAGTGAGGGTGATGGAGACATATTGGCTTCAGCAAAGACAGAGAATCTGGAAGTGGGGCTCACCCAAATGCTGGCCTCATGGATGTCCTCACCAGATGCCAGCCCAAGGTGAGGCTTAGCAAGCTACTGTAGTGGTGCTGGCATCAACAAAGGCACTGGCATGTGCAAGTGGTCTCATGCAGGCTACTGCAGCTTGACCTTGGCCTACATTAAATATGCATGTGTGAGCAGCAAAGGCCTCACTCATCAGATGCTGCTAACTCGACACCAGAAAACAATTTTATTCGTGGCAAGGATTTAATGATATAAGAAGAAATATTCATAGCTATGCTAGATGTTAATGACTGTATCAGTATTTGCTACTTTTAAAGACATGTGCCTTGGTTGCAATATAAAGTTCTAGAAAAGCTCAAGGTCTAAATTGTTCTGAGAGTCATTGAAATGCTGTGTAAAAGAGAAAATTTTGAATCTGAAGATATTTGAACATACTGGGAAAAGATCAGGTCTCCTTTGACTTGGTGATTGGGACTGGACCACTCCAAATTCTATACTTGGTAAGATAGCATCAGTGTTTCAGATGTCACTTTCTGAAAGAGAAGATAGAGTACCATGCTAAATGCATGGTGAAAAGTTTAACTTGTTGCTGACAAATTTCTTCCAACTTAGTTTAAGTGTGCAGCTCATGTGACTGGCATTCTGATAAGGCTAAAGCCATCACCGGTTATCTTCCTTCCTACTGATTCATGAGTTCCTGCTATAGAGTTTCTGCTACATGTAGTCTTTGGCAATAAATACTACTGAGTTTTGGGAGCATAATTTTGTACAGGATAACTGCCTTTTAAATTTGGTGGGTATAAGGCAAGTATTGTAATTACCTTGGGTGTTTTATTGACTCTCCAGACCTTTTGTAAGTTGAGGCACACCATAGAGTTATTGAACTAATTTAACTTCTGAAGTGCCAAATGAATGTGTTGTATCCATATCCAAAAAGAGACAGCCAGGCTGCAGCTGCTGAAGGAATCCTGAGAGGCATTAAGAACATTTCTGCCTGTGAGTGAATCCAATAAGAAACTGGGAAGGGCTTTAATTTTATTGAACTTTTACCTTATTACAGTGAGAGAATTTGATTCTGGGTTTTGATTATTTTGGTCTTTGGACATTAACTTGAAAGGTAACTTAATATGTAGACTTAATTTTCTCCCCAGGAGTTTGATAAGAGGAAAGATTTATACTGAAAGGTGGGACATCTGCATTTTGCTGGCAAATTAACATTGGGTGCTTTTTATGTATTTGGATAATTCCCATTGAGAACACTTGATTGAATCACCCATGGAGCTGATAGAGAGCCCTGTGGTGGAAATGCTACTTATGGGCCTGATGACCTTGGGTTTTACAAAAAGATTTATTGAGGTATAATTGACTGAGCATACATAAAATGTTCAATTTGGTGACTCTTGACACTTGCATATGCTCATGAAACCATCACGGCAATCAACTACCTATCACCATCACTTCCTAACGTTTCCTCATGGCCTGTTGTAGTCAATCCCAGGCAGCCACTAATCTGCTCTGTCACTAGTATGCATTTTCAAAATTTTTATATAATCAGGATCATATACTATAAACTTTTTTGTCTGGGCCTCTTTAAGTCAGCATAATTATTTGGAGATTCATCCATGTTGTTGGATTTATCAAAAGTTTGCTCCTTTGTATTGCTGAGTGTTCTATTGTATGGACATAGACAATTTGTTTATCCATTCACCTGCTGATAGGCATGATAGGCATTCTTTTTTTTTTTTTTGAGACTCAGTCTCACTCTGTTGCTCAGGCTGGAGTGCACCAGTGCATTCTCAGCTCACTGCAACCTCCACTGCCTGGGTTCATATGATTCTCCTTCCTCAGCCTCTCAAGTAGCTGAGATTACAGACGCATGCTACCACACCTGACTAATTTTTGTATTTTTAGTGGAGACAGGGTTTTGTGACGTTGACCAGGCTGGTCACGAACTCCTGACCTCAAGTGATTAGCCCTCCTTGGCCTCCCAAAGTGCTGGAATTACAGGTGTGACCCACCACTCCTGGCCTGGCTCTTAAAAATAAAGCTATTATGAACATTTGTATATAAGTCTTCTACGGGCATACACTTTAATTTCTGTTAGGTAACTACCTAGGAGTAGAATGACTGAGACACATGGTAGTTAGTATTTAACATTTTTGGGAAATATGACACCTGTAAAATGACTGGGTACTGGAAAAGGAGCTTCCTGGTAAAACGGATAAGGAGCCTATGAAGTCAAATTAGTGGTCCAACAATGACACTCCTCTAAGGACCTCAGTAACACCCCATTGTCTGCTCTGTGTTTTATCTATTTGCAGGGTCGGCCTTCCAGTTCCTAGAGGATATGCATGCTGTATTTTCTACCTTAAATTTCACCACTTTATCTCAGTCTGTTCTTCAGAGAACAAATAAAATAACTGGGGAGGATGTCTCCAGCAAACACTGATAGGCTATGATTTTACCAGACTTGTAACTTTTCCCAGTTTCAGTTGTGTGAAACTAACTACAACTAACTTATTGCTCCAACTAAATTATTGCCACTCACTCTGTAATGGTGTTATGGAATTAAAGTACACCAGAAGGCAGCACATTGGAACAACCCAAATTACAGCAGATCCTTTGCATCTGTTGGACTCTCCTGGTGCACTGTTAGATCAGACTACTTCTAGTCTTCAGGCTAAAGATTCTACTGATGAGAGAAATATTTGCAATTGACCAAGTAAGGTTCAAATAAATCCTTATAACCCCCCACCAACGTCATTCCAATATCTACACAAACCTGAAGAAATCACAGGAATAAAATCTATTATTGAGTCTTTATAAGAATAAGGACAGCCATATCTCATCCTTGCAATCTTCCCATATAGCCGTTTAAGAAGCCTATCAAGAAAGGATACCCATTTATTCAAGAACTCAGGGTAAGCAATAAAATTATGATTTCTAGATTCCTGGTAGTTTCCAATAGGAACCTGTCTTGTCATCCAATTGCTGAAGAAGTAAATATTTATTTCATAGTGGTAGATGTATGTGCAGCATTCTTTAGTACACATGTAGATACAGTTAACATTTGTTCACTGTTTTTGTGGGAAAATTAACAGCATATGTGGCTATATACCATAGTTGCTCCACCCCCCACCCAACCCTCTGCATCCCTGGTTTTGCTTTTCAAAGTTTCAGTTACGTGTGGCCAACTGCAATCCAAAAATATTAAATGGAAAATTCCAGATTCCTAAGTTTTAAATTGTATGTTGTTGTGAGTAACATGATGAAATCTCACACCATCTCATTCTGTCCTCCCTGAAATGTGAATCATATCCAGCGTATCCCAGCAGTGTATGCTATCTGTCTTAGGCACTTAGTAGCCATCTGGGTTTTAGATCAAAAAATAATAATAATATGTATATAGAGTTTGGTTCTATCCATGGTTTTATGCATCCTCTAGGGGTCTTGAAACATATGTCCCACTGATAAGAGGGGTCTACTATACCACATATTGGATTTATGGACTCCTCATCAATTTGTTTTCAATCTAAACAAAATGACTTTTCTTTGAGGGTCCATTCTCACACAATATGTAGATGATATTTTGCAGTGCCCTCTTGATCTAAGTATTTCACAGAGACTCCATATTTCTTTTCAAGATTAGCTGAAAAGGGGCATAAGGAATCTAGAGAAAAGTGATTTTGCCAAGAAACTGAACAAATTATTTGAGTCATGATCTGTCAGTACATGGGTATTTTTCGTACACCAAAACAAAGAAAATTCCATTTTACTAAAGCTCTAAATTAAAAGACAATGAAAAAATTTTTAGGATTGACTGGTTATTGCAAGCAATAAATACCTATTTTTTTAAAAGTTGCTCAGTCTTCTTATGAACTTACTATGACAACAATTCCTGAGACTTTCTCGTGTGATATAAAAGTAGAAGAAGCTTTCTCATCTTCGAATTCTTCTCTTTAACAACATCCCACTTTGGGTATCCCTAAATCATCTAAAAACCTTCTCTCTCTTGTTCAAGAAAGACAAGATGATGCATTGGGAATATTAACTCAAGAGAAGCCTGTTTATTGTCTCTCTTAGCATATCCCTTGGTTTGGTAACTAAGATCTAACCCAATTTTCATGTTTGCAGGAGGTGGCAGCAGCTGCCAAACTGGTGAAAGCTTCTGCCAATGTGGCATTTACTTTTCATTAACTCTGTGGTTTGCATGTACTGGGCAATCACTGTTACTTCTAGGCAACACTCGACATTTATCTATCAACAACTTTTACATTTATGAAGCCCTTTTATTCTTTGTGCATCACTATTTACCATTGTACAAATTGTACTCTTATAACTGGAATTCTTCAAGATGAAGGGAAAACATGACTATAGCAATAACTCAGGAATTAAGCATACCCAGGTCAGACCTTACAAACACCTTTTTAGTTAATTCTGATTTAATATAGTTTATAGATGGGTTTTTACTTTAAAAAATGACAATGGCATCCTCTTCTTTCTGTATCCACTGAAAATGCAGCCATTAAAGCAGCTCATTACATTGTATTCTATCTTCCCAGGTAGCTGAATTAATAGCTCTGACTAAAGCTTGTATTGTGGCAAAAGACAAAAAGAGAACAGATGTGCTTTTAAGAATTGTTCATGATTTTGGAATGTTATGAAAACTGGAAGGATTTATGACCTCTTAAGATATTTTGACTACCAGTGGAAAAATATTAATGTTTTAGTGAAAGTGATTAAAAACTCACAAGGAGATCCTAGTTATTAAGATAGAAGTGCATACGCAGATCAAAATCTGAGGGCAGTGGTCTTGCAAGGTTACATCTAAATGAGCTGCTTTTCACATCGCAGCTAAAAGGGATGCTTTAAAATGGACATCTCTCTCCACCAAACTTTCAAAAGAAGTATTGTCTCAATTTAAACTGGCTATGGTTGACTTACAGTGATTAGCTCAACCTTCTGAAAGGCAAAGTTGGGGATCCCCTTTCCATAAAGATAGATTTTGGCAATTTTGGGATTTAGTGCCCCATAGCACCACAATCCCACCAATGAACCCAGGTCAGATTATTCTATGATTGTTCACGTTATAGAATTAAAAAAACTACTTTTGCATTAAATAAGTAATGGTAGATAACAAGCATAATCCAGGTACATCTGTTAAGGTGAGGCATGGTTCAGTTCCTCTACTCAAGACTCTTGAGGTTTTGCAGATAGGCTTTATACAACTGCCTAAATCTTTAGGCTATGTATACACATTAGTTATTGTTGGTAAAAGTTTCTGGCTGGATAGATGCTTTTCCTTGCCAAAGAGCTAACACTGTCACAGTTGTTAAAATATTAAACCATACATTCCCAAACGGAAATACTCATTTCATGAGAATAAGCATAAAGAAACTCTGTTAGATCTTTCCACTAACCCAGAAAATTCACTGTTAGCATTACCCCAGTCTTAAAGAGAAGTAGAATGAGTAAAGGAGACACTGAAGATGACACTGTCCAAATTTTCATAAACATTTAATTTTCCCAGGTCTACATTTTCCCACTATCATTAATAACCATGTAGTCCTCTCCTCAGAGCTCCCATGGGCTTTCTATAAGATCATTACAAGACACCTTCCACCACTAGGAAAAACTTTACTGATGCATGCAGACCTACCTGGATGGTGTCAGAAACTAACCTCCTTTACTCAGTCTTATGCACAGCAGGGATGAGCTACCTCTTCAAAGGAAACAACTCAACATTTTGCATGACCTCCAACCCAAGAAGTGTGTCATTTAGAAGACATATTGTATTAGTTTCCTAGGGCTACAATAACAAAGTACTACAAGGTCAGTGTCTTAAAACACAAAAATGTATTGTCTTACTGTTCTGGAGGCCAGAAGTCCGAAACCCAAAATCAAGGTGTAAGGAGGGCCATGCTCCCTTTGAAGATGCGTCACAGGGAAAGATTGGTTCCAGGATTCTCTTCTGGCTCTGGTAATTCCTTTGGCTTATGGCATCATAACTCCAGTCTTCACATGTTATTCTTCCTGTGTGTATGTCTCTGTGCCCAGATTTTCTTTTTTATTAGGACACCAGTCATTGAATTAGGGTCTACCCTAATTACTGCATTTTAATTTGATTTCATATGTAAAGATTATATCTCCAAATGAAGTAACATTCTGAGGTCCTGGAGGATATAACTCCAATGTATTTTTTTGAGGATACACAATGCATAACACATCAATGTAAAAATGCTTTACAACATTGCTGGGACACCGTTTTTGTTTCTTCTGTGTCACTGTGGAAACAACTGCCAACCCAAATCAGTAGGTTTCTTTCACATGAGATATTAAACTGAGGCTACATCAAAAGCCTTCAGAAGCAGACAACTTTAAGAGACAGTCATCCTGCCCAATAACCCTGAACCAAGGAGATGACAGTGGTATCATCTTCTGTCCCTGAGACAACAAAATAAAACACAGCAGAATGAATTCCTTAGGAAACCTTTCCCTTTTAATAATTATTATTCTGGCATTCTTTGGTGATTTAGCCTAAATATCATGAGATCATTCTTTTTTTCTCAGCACTTAACCACATTCAGTTCTTAGTACTGTATATTCAGAATACATAGTGACAGCCTGTGCATTTGTATTGCAAAAATGACTGTGTATATGAAAACTTTCTTTTTCATACACAGAATATCTCCATACTACCAGTCCCTTGTAATTCCAGTTATTCCACATCTGTGATGGCTCTAGTCCCCAGTGGTCATAATCCACTTGAGGTTTGTGAAACCTTTCTTGTGATTCTCTGAAGAGGCCCAATTTACCTGATTGAAAATTACACAAGTCATGTGGTCTGAATGGGGACAAACTTTGTTATAACTCAGTTTCAGGGGCTAAAAACAATAGTTCTCATCACAAATATGTCAGTTTCAGCAATATTTGAGAAACGAAAAATATCAAAGTAATAAAGGGAAATAAGACAAAAAGTCTTTAGTGCAAGTCTTAAAGATTGATTTGTAAGTAACTCCTTCCTCCCTATTCCAATTGGGTTTGTGGAACTGCAGCTTACTAGCTATTACCTGCTAACTGATTAGGCTTAGTCATTTAGCCTTCCTTATGTCAGTCTTGCAGATTGACAGGATCTATTAGAGATGGCAAAGAAATATTTTGTCCATCAAAAATAGTTCATCACTGGCCAGGTGGGTTCATTAGTTCAAGGAAAATTTCGACTTGTTTTGTTTATAGCAATACAATGTCGCTGTATACCTTTCAGAAAATTATTATCTCAATGAAACAACTCCATGGCTGAACTTCTGATATATGGTGATATTTAAATGATGATATATCCTAGAGTTGACTAAATTCTTTATGGTCAAATCTTCTCCTCTGGGATAGAGGAAAAACTACAGGAAGGAACTGATGAAGTTTGACGCCTTGGACACATCACCTACAAAGCAGAGTCAGCCAAATGCTATAATCCCAAATTAGGGAACTCACACAGCAGAGGAGCTTAGGTAGTATAAAATACCCCACACAAACAATCCAGCCAGCTCAGTATTTACTTAATCCACAAACTCAGATATAGCCATCCCCAGAACATCACTGAGAAACTTTACTTTCCTAATACAGAACAGAGATGGTTCAGGATCTTGGGGATATAGAGGATCTACTCTATCTCTCCTTCTCTAAGTTTCTTTTGTGGGAGCCTCCAATATTATATACATATGCATACATATATATGTGTGTATAGGTATATATATACACACATGCATACATACACATATATACATATATGTATATATACATACACACATATATACATATATATGTATATATACATACATATACACATATATACATATATACACACACATATACATAATATATATGTTTTATGTATCATGTATAAAATTTTACAACAGGAATAGAAAAACAAGTAGAGGAACCTTGCTTGGGTTAAAAAGTATTGAGTTTGTTAGATTTACACCTGAGTAGGCCTCAAATTATCTGTTCACAGCAGTGGAGAAAGTCAAGTGCATCTTTAATACCATTCATTCCCTCTTGCCATCCTTAAGAAAACATCTTTTGGAAATTCTACTTGAGTCACTGTGGCTATACATTTTGAAGGTTAATTTTTATGCTTTTAAATGTAGATTAAAAAGTGAATTTATTTTAAAAGCATTGGCATTTTTGTGTGACTAGCATTTTATGCTTGCATGTTGAAAATGGTATTTTGGATTTCTTTTGTCTTCATCTATGTACAAGTTGGCACTCATGTATCATCTTAAGTTATAAACATTCACAATGACTGTTTTCCCTAGTTAAACATGATAAACTACTGGTAAATTCATTCATTACATTCTTACTCCCAAACTGCATTTCTAGGCAAATTTATGTTTGGTATGCTTTATTAATAGAGTAAGAAGAAAATCAAAGTTTTGAATAAGAGAAAAGAGGCTTACAATTTACAATAACCCATTGCTAGCCACTTAAAAATTTTTGAGATGTATTCTGCAATATGAATAATTATGATCTATAATTATGGATATTCATATATTCCTTAAAGAGTATATGCTCTATCATCAATTCTGAAGTCTTATCTGCATTCTTCAATTTTATAGGGATATTTTTACATTAGTAGCCTAAAAAGTGGACCACTCAGATGAGTCATGCCTACAACCTTTTTGTATACATAGAAATTTTACCAGTAAGACGTATGTACTGTTCTAGGAAATTAGAAACCACTAATCTAATATGAAAAATGAGAATTTTTCTTTGCTGTTGGTTGAAATAGTTTATCAGTATGCAGTATTCTGCTGTTCCAATAATTACTGAAATTGAGAAACATTATTAATGATTTATGTAGAGTATGATAGGAACAAATATGTTTGAATTATTAACTTACATATTTACAGTTTGGCTAAGGATGGAATCTATGTTTAGAGTTGTGATTACAAAATTATTACTCAGTTGTCACTTTTAAAAAAACCTATTAAAGACTTTTTGAGAACTAGCTTAAACGTTTTATCTTGGAATACACTGAAGAAATGACAAATCTGAGTTTGGCTTCTGACACAGTGAAACTGGGACATAGAGCTTCAAGATTAGACACTGAAGTAATAATAAATACTACTCTAAGGCCTTCCTAAAAGTGGCTCAATTAACTAAACTCATATATATTTCTTTCATTTAGAATTCATGGTAACAGAATTCTAAATGTAATTTAGAATTTATAGTAACAGAATTCTAAATGTAATTTAGAATTTATACATGGAGAGAGATGAAGTAAAATACTTCTTAGTTATTTATTCAAGGTCACATAATAATCTGGTTTCTGAGCTAGAAACAGAAACTCAGTTTCCTAACTCCCATCCCAAGCTGCTATATAGATATCTCTAGAAATTCCATCTGTGAAATTTCAATCAAGACAGATGTCGTTAAGCCCGTTGAAGGTTTTGCTTGTTCTGTAATTCCAGATTTCAGACTGATTATTATATAGCAATTCACAGTGGGGTTTTTGAACAGTAGAAACTGGCACAGCACTTGGCACCCTGTCGGCGCAACCATGACACACATACACATTCAAATTAATTAATGTCCCAGCTTCAACCGACTTATCCGGGCTGACCAATGTGATCTCAAGACAAATGACTTTTTTTTTTTTTTAAGCTAGCAATATTGGGAGCAGTAAGCTGTTCTTTTTTTTTTAACTTTTAGGTTCAGGGGTACACGTGTAAGTTTGTTATATAGCTAGTGAGTCACGGGGGTCTGGTATATAGATTATTTTGTCACCTAGTTAGTAAGTATAGTACCCTATAGGTAGTTTTTCCTTCTTAAAATGACATTCATCTACAGGTGTGCATCTAGCATTCCATTTCTGAGATTCTGTAGTAAAGGAAAAAGGAAGGCAGATGGAAGAAACATTTAAAACCATATTAAATGTTTACACGGAAATAAATCACATTTCAACTGCTTACTGGCAGTGCAATTTTGCAAAATCATTTACCTTTTCTGTGCCCCAGTTTACCCATCTGTAAAATGAGCATGATATAGGTTCATAATATTTTTTCCCAAAACTCTGGAGTCTGGGGGTATTTCAGAATTCTGGATATTTAGGATTTTAAAAAATAGTTCAGTGGATACCATACATTTACATAACAGTCACAGCAGAGTCTCAGGCATATTAAAATTGCTGCAGCAAAATAAATAAATATTCAAACTAAGAGACATAATTCAAGAATATAAATAGCTTCATATCAATCCAAGTCAGATTTCTACCTGTGTGAGAATAAATGAAACAAAGTTTTCAGAAGTTTTTGGCTTTCAAAATAATAGGTAAGAAATTGTAGACCTAAAATAATATGTACATCATAAGAACTTAAGTGGTTGAATACAGTATTTCATGCAATGCACTTAGAACAGCAACTGGCACATAGTAAATGCCCATATATGTTAGCTATTATTGTTTATTATATTAACTCTGATATGTTATACATCAATTTTATATTGTTTGCAATGAAGTACAGTCAGTTAGAAAAAGTTTTCCACCAAATGTGTCATGGATGGATTTGGCAGGTTTGCTGATAAGATTTGTGTTGGATTAAAGGCCAAAAATAATAACTGCTTTAGAAAAAAGCCTATATGTGTCAACATAAAACACCTGTAATTACCTGTAATTGCAATTATTTCTCTGTAATATTATAGATCTTAATTACATTATATTTCATATAAATAATCTTTTCTTTATGCCCCAGAGAGGCAGTAGTAATAATCTTTAATATCATTTTTATATTGCTAAATTGAAAATCATGCAGAGTTGTCATTGTCACAGGATATAAACTTGTTCAATCAATGGCAATTAAAACCCTTAAAGGAGAATACAAAAATTCTCAAATGACACTTAAGAGTGTTGAATACCTTACAAATAATATCTCCCAATATTTTAATTACTTACCCTTGTCTCCCTGTTCCTGAAAACTTTTTAAACACTTAATGTTACTCAAAAAATAATATTTTGGCTGGGCATGGTGGCTCATGCCTATAATCCCAGCACTTTGGGAGCTGGAGGTGGGAGGATCACTTGTTCAAAGCCCAGGAGTTTGGAGACCAGCCTGGGCAACAAAAGTGAGATCCCACCTCTACAATCAATCAATCAATCAATAAGCAAGCCAGGTTTGGTAGTATGTGCCTATGGTCCCACCTACATGTGAGATGGGAGGCAGGAGAATCACTTGAGCCCAGGAGTTCAAGGCTGCAGTGAGATATGTTAGTGCCAGTGCACTCCAGCAAGGGTGACAGAGCAAGACCAAGTCTCAAAATAATAATAATTATTATTATTTTAAGTATATGATACAAATTAAACTTTATATTCCTCTCTGTTTAATTGCAGATACTTTTTAAAGTAGACTAATGCAGGCACCACAAAAAGGGTAATGATATTTTTCACTGAAAAAGCCCATTTTCAGAAGTAGATTTCTAAACATATTTTCATATTAATATAAGCTAAGAGTTTGGACATTCTGGACTTTGGAAGTACTTTGCCGAATGTTAAGCATATTATTTTTCCTCTCATAACACAATTGCCAAATATTTCAACATGAAAGATAGGCATTTTGAGGCCAATTAATAGCAAATTAGTAATTTGGGATCATGAAAGAAATAATGTTAGAGGAATATGTAGATATTGAGACACTATTAATCTGGTACTATACATATTTAGGAAGTAAAATTACTATTTTTATTGTTATTCATATAAGTACCTGTCACTGTGTAAGAGATTTGTGAATAGCATTTCATTTAATCTCACAATGAACCCTATGATTCCACTTAATCCTATGATTGGTTGAATAATAACATGAAAATTATAAAATAGTAATATTAAAATTGTCCAATACTGCATGTCTCATTTAATCCTCTTAACAATTATCCGATAGATACTATTATTGCTGTCATTTTTCAGTTGAGAAAATTATGCTTCACCATATTTAATAAATTAACTTATGTGCAATCCAGGATCCACACACTTCATACATAGAATAGTATGCATCCAAATTAAATTACTCAATATTTGTTTTTTGTGTACAGAATTTTCCAACTTAGTACCCTACTCGATTCGAGCATTTGGTTTCCAAATAGGAATGATATTCATTATCTATTAATAAAAGTTTCTTTCAAGCCAGTGATTCATTTCACAATTGCAAAAATGAAAAAAAGATATTCAAAACTTACCAAACTGGTGTATGTTTCCAAAGAAACTGTAACTAAAATACAGCTATATTTATCTTGTTTTCTAGTATCAAAGGTATATGCAAAATGATTCAGTTACCTGATAACCAAGAAATTTTTATACAGTATTAATTCTGCTAATGAATAAACTGAATAGCAGTATATTTTTAGGATGCATATGTATATAAATATTATATTTAGAAAAATATAAATGTTAGTGTCACAGAAATGGAGTTTTTTAAAAGAAAAATGATTTAGAATTATGAATGATTAATGCATTGGTATACATCTTCCCAATAGTATAGTGTTTCTTACTCTTTCTTTCTTTCTGTCTTTCTTTCTTTCTCTTTCTCTTTCTTTTCTTTCTTTCTTTCTTTTTTTTTTTTTCTTTTTTTTTTTTTTGGAGGAGGAGGAGTCTCACTTTTGTTACCCAGGCTGGAGTGCAATGGCACGATCTCAGCTCACTGCAACCTCTGCCCCCTGGGTTCAACCTATTGTCCTGCCTCAGCCCTCAGCCTCCCGAGTAGTTGGGATTACAGGTGCCCGCCACCACACCCGGCTATTATTATTATTATTATGTTTTTGTATTTTTAGTTGAGACAGAGTTTCACCATGTTGGCAAGGCTGGTCTTAAACTCCTGACCTCAGGTGATCCGCCTGCGTCGGCCTCCCAAAGTGCTGGGATTACAGGCGTAAGCCACCATGGCCGGCCGTTATTCTTACTATGTTAAAAACATGTTTTTACATCTTCAACTATTCTAAATCAGCATTCTAGTGATTCATAGTTGAATAATATTTATTATAATTTTGTGCCATAATCTTTTAATTCCAAATTTTGACTTTTCAATTATGACTATCCTAAAATAAAAAGACAATGTAATGAACTTTGTGTATATAAATCTTTAAACATTTTTCTAATGAGTTTTCCTTTAAAATTTTCTGTTTTATACTAAATATTTCTAAATAAATTTATATCACATGTGTATTTGGGAAGCTTTAGCATATTAACTATCATCATAAATATATATCAAGTGTATGTTGCAAAGTATTCCATTTTGAGATTTTTTAAAAACTCCCCTGGATAGCCCAAATAATCGGTTTTACTGAAAAGGAAATGCAGAAAAACAGTATTGCATGGTTCTGAAAGACAGTGAGAGAAAAATGATTATTTTCCAATTCCTTATTTATATTTATTTAAATATAAAAGTGCCTAATTAAGTTATCAAAAAGTTCCAACAATTTCCATGACTTCTAAAAGAAAGCATATTTTATTTTCCTAATTAACTTGAAGCAAAATAGCTGCCACATTTCTTTTCAATAATATCTGATATATTGTAGTATGCTCTTAGAAACTTTTAGTTCTCTAGAGGGTTTCGTTTTATTCAGATCTTTCAGGAAGGAAATATGCTTTCAGAAAATGATTTTATTTTTTCATTTAAAGAGATTAGCATTAGATATTAACATTTTGAGTTATGTTCCTATCCTTTAAAAAACAAAACAAAACAAAACATGGAAACCCGTATTGAGGAATCCAAGAATGTGGGTTTGATAAACAGAGGTTATGGGAGATTGGGGCCCTGGACTATGTATTTGTTAATTCTGCTTTTCCCCACCTCCTGTGCACATAAAGAGCCATTAACATTGCAATGATTAATTTCAGAATAGCAGAAAACTCTAGCTATTACTCTGACATTTATAAAGGAATCCTTTCCTTGGAACACATGAGGGACATTTGTTCTTTCTTTCTATTAGATACATGCTCTTTGAACCAAAGCTAGACAGTTATTAAAGCCTGTCTGGCCTGAAGAATTCTTTATGGGGCTTAGAAAAGAAAGGCAAATTGATCTTTCCACCTAGCATTTATTCTTATTTTACAAATGTCTTCTTCTGTACTGCTTTATAAAAACAGAAGATTCCATGGTCTATTTTTTTCTAGCAATTGAAGGGTGTTTAACATGGTGAAGTTGTTTCAAGTGTTCAGAGAGTTGTCTGTTCTATCCTATAGTGAAAATCATTCTTCAGAAATAAGTATGTCTTACGTTTTTGGATTAAATTGGGCCAGAGAGATGTTGTTGAGTGAAGAAAAACAGGATAAATAAATATAGGAGTGGGACATCATGCACGTAGATATTACTTAGTTTTTCTCATAGAGATCTCATAGAAAGTTACTTCTTTATCATATTTTATCTTTAAAAATGAATTATAATGAAATGATACCTTGTAGATCTTTTTAGATGACCAAAAATGACGAAGATCCATGAATTTAAGTTACACTTAATTTGCAAGTAATGCAGCCACCCACACTTTATATTAATAAATATTACTACAACACAGATTATGTAGGTAATACAAAATAAGCAGAGAGAACTACAGATATGCTTTGTCTTGAAACTTATTGTCAATAAGTAGTGCAGTAGCTGGGTGCAGTAGCTCATGCTTGTCATTCCAGCACTTTGGGAGGCCAAGATAGGAGAATCACTTGAGGCGAGGAGTGCGAGACCAGCCTGGGCAACATAGCAAGACTGTGTCTCTACAAAAAAAAAAAAAAAAATCAATCAAATTAGCCAAGGATGGTGGTGCACCCCTGTAGTCCTAGCTACTCAGGAGGCTGAGGTGAGTGGATGACTTGAACACAGGAGTTTGAGGCTGCAGCAAGCTAGGATCACACCACTGCATTCCAGCTTGGTTGACAGAGTATAACCCTGTCTCTTAAAAAAAAAAAAAATTGGTGCAGTAGTTCAGGTAGGGAGACCTTTGTATGTGTTGACGCTATCTATCTCATGTAAGGCAGTTTAATATTTATTCAGTGATACTAATCAAAATAAAGAATTCAGTAAGTCTATACATTGTCTAAATTGTGTTAAACTTAATAATTCCCAGGTTGTAACATAAATTAGGCTTTAATATAATGCGTTTTGGTTTCTAAAATGAGATGAGAACATATAATTTGCACTCTCTGTAGTCACAGCATGAGACTGCTTAAACTCTGCAGCTGGATGTTTATAGTTACTTCTTTCCTAATTCTCTTTGCAGTGCTATAACTGAATGTGCTACATATTAAAATCCATGTCTTTTGTGCTGATGTATTAATGCTTTTTCTAAAGCTGAGCATTTAACTGCAAAAACAAAAATATTATGGACATATAAAGGGCTCTGCTACCCCTATTTTTTTCTGTTGCTGTAATTTAAAGAAAAATGAACTTCTTATTATGACATAGAACCTACGCAACTTAGTTCCTTATTACACAACTTCTTCTGAGGCTCCAGTGTATACATTATACAATGAATGTTATACTAAAATTCTTATCACTCAGTAAGCATCGAACCATGATGCCACACTGCATGGGGTCACTGTGTTTAGAAGATATGTTAGGTGTATATTTAAGAGGTGAAATGGATGGGACTTGGTATTTAATTAACTGAAGTGGGATGCAGTAGGCAAGGGAGAATCTTGGATTACCCCCCAATTAATTTTTTTGTGAGAAACACTAAAATAAAGTCATAGGCAGAGTCTGTGTGTGTATGGGGAAGTGGGGAGTAAGAACCTGGAAATGTTACTGTAATCAGGTTTTGGCACAATCCTTGTGATTTCCCTATACCTCGTCTGTACCTGTGTAAATGGTTTATTTATGAACCTCTTCTCTAGTTGATTTGTGTCATCTGCTTTCTGCCAGGAACCTGATTGGTACAATAATTGTAATCAGAAGCAGCCCCAGGAAACAGAACTTCAAATTTAGGAAATGAATTGCTTAAATATTTGAGGAGTATTGGGAAGAAATGAGATATGGATAATTCATTATGTGTAGTGACATTACTATTACTCAAATGATTACAGCTTTTGTCATGGGATGAAATATATGAGCAGGCCGAGGGATTGGGATATTAAATGATTATGAAACTTAGCTGCAATGGCTAACAGAGTAATTATAAACTTTTTGGTGTCACCCGGCTTCTTCTGATAACACCAGAGAGTGTAGATGTAGAAATTGTGCTATTGAAAATTTAAAATATCTGGCATGGATGATCAGAAAGCCTAAAGAGCAGATTTGAATGAGCCTCTCATTTCCTACGGCCATAGAGAAGATATAGAAGAGAACTAAGTCCAAGGTTTGATTGTGACAATTGCGGAGTTTTAATTCTAATAAATTCTCAACATCTCTAGGTCTCTTATGCTGATAGAAAAGTATCAGTGGAAAAGGGGTGAAGTTTTAAACCACAAGACAGAGACGTTTGAGCAGCATAGATAAGGCTGAGAATTTTCATGTTCTTCCCAGTCCCACCATCAATTTCGTCAAATAGAAGATAGTAAAAAAAGAAAAAAAACCACAAAAACAAAAACAAATCTCTTCTGTATAAAAAATCTTTGAATGCATACACTTGCCTCAGAAACTCATTCTTCTCATGGTGCACCTATAATTTCTTCCAGACCTAGAATGGATGAAAAGTAGTGTAAGAATTTCAGCACTTCACCAATCTGTATTGACAAGAGAATGTGTGTGGGAATGGATTTTAAGGGATTATACCAAGGAAGATAAAATGTAAGGTGCAATTGTGTTGAACTCATTGTCATGGATGCATTCACCCATAATATGGAATTTAATATTTTGACTAACGCATGTAAAAATACATTAATAACCTGATAAGTTGACTAATTGAAGTGTGGACTCACCAATAACCTATGTTTTAAAAAGTGGAAATGCCTGAATTTTGCTGGCATTCTCTAAAGGATGAAGTCCAAACACCCCCAAAAATAGAAATGTTGGAATGAATCTGCCCAGCCCCTTTTTACTTTACCTTAAAGTGGGGCAGTTGAGGATACTTCCTTCTCAAGGCACTAAGAAATGTGTTATTGAGGAAGGTGTGAGCCTGGTAAGCATGGAATTTTGCAAACTGGCTGCTAAACACAGCTATCATTAAAAATTAGACTAATTAACTGAAAAGACTATTGTAAAAATAATTATTATTTCCCCAACTACATATCTGTGTGAAACAGGAATGTCTTCAAATACTTCAACCAAAACAACATATTGCGACAGATTGAATGCAAGTGCATATATGGTGGCCTGCACCTGTAGTCCAGCTATTCAGGAGACTGAGGCAGGAGGACTGCTTAAGCCTAGGAGTTTGAGGATGTAGCACACCATGATCATGCCTGTGGATAGCTGTTATACTCCAGCATGGTCCTTGACAACATTTTAAGACTCTTTCTCTTAAATATATATATATATATATGATTACATATATATGTATATATGTAATTTACATGTATATATATGATTATCATAAAATAGCAGATGAACACCTGTCAAAATTTATTCAGCTCATTAATGAGATAACTATCAGGAAGACTAAGCTGGTTCAAATAAACAGGAATTATATTCTCACTGGAAAAATAATACTGAGTGAGCATGCCAGTGAGACACAAAACTTGTTAATATCCTATAAAGCAATAAAACCATAATTTCTTGGATTATATTTTCTACTGAAAGGAAATACCAGACAAAGTTACACAAGTTAACATGTAAAATTACATAGTTTGAGTCTTTAATCAATATTAGATAATTCTTTAAACATAGCAATAGAATTATTGATTTCCCTAGATAAAGGACTATTTCTTGAGTTGATCAATGTTTGAATTTGACATTAAAAGGATATGCTGCTCTCCCTTTGCCTTATTTCCAAATTTTGGATAATTTTTCTTAAGTGTCCCCTTATAATGATCATAAGTAATTTATAAAGGTTGTTCCAAATCACAAAGCTGGCTAGTTTCATAATATTTTAACCTGATTATTTACATACGTACCTTGAGAAGTATTAATTAATATAAGCCTCATAGGGCATATAGGGTTGAACAAATTGCTATTAGAAAATTAACTATGGTCTGAATATTTCAGAAGGAAAACAGAGTTAGACTTTTAAATTTCTCTTTTTTGCGGTTTTATTTTGAGTCTAGAAAACAAAAAACAAAAGTCTTTTTATACAAGATTTATTGCAGTGCCTATAAATTTGAGTGAATTTTCTCTTTGCAATCACTCAAATATTCTTAGATTCCTGGCTAGGAAGTGACTTTCCTTATCACTTGCAAGACTGGGACTTTGTTAAGTCATATCACAGGTGACAGTCCAGTTTGGTGTGAGGATGCTCTGGGTATTTGCTCCATATGTGAATTTAAATACTTATCTTTTTAATGATGAGCTCTAGAGAGTTATGATCAAGTGTAATTCTATAATATGACCTGAGTGGTACTGTCAATTTGTCCCGGTAAAAGGAAGGATGGATTCTTATTGAACCTATGAAATAAATGTGTTGCCATGAATAAAAAGGCTCAGTACAGTCATCTGTTTCTGAATTTGGAGAGGTCTCTGAGAATCAGATATCATTTTTAAAAAGTTTCATTTCAAATTGCAAAACTATAATCTACTGAATTAAGGGTTAGAGATAAATTAATCATAAAAGGAAAGATTTCCTTTAAAATGCTTCATAAAATAGATTTATAAAAATAATACCAATAGCATGCCAAAAGAAATAACCACAATTAAATATGCTTTACTAATGTATTTGATTCTATGTAAGTAATTTCTGTTCTTCTGGATCTGTTTTCTTGAACCTTGCATCTGGACTAAAATGATTCCTGGAAATCATAATCCAGTCCTCTGGTGGAGTCTAAATGTTGTCTGAGCAATGTTCACATTAACTCCCAAACCTGAAACCATGAGTTACAGTTACAGGTTATTTTAGGAAAGATTACCTGGTACAGTCCTTTCAACAAATCTCTGAGACTGACTCAATCTTTTGCATGTAGTGCATAACAGAACCTTCAAGAAAACATGAAATAAAAGAAGAAATTAGCAGTTGTTGATAAGACCGAATGACAGTAGTTAATTTACTAGAACAACCAAAAATATCAGAATGGAAGAGGACATGGAATGGTCAGACAATAAAACCAGATTCCCATTAATTGATACCACAAATGAAAAATAACTTACTGACCCTGTGCAAACCAGATTTATGTACACATGTTCCCTGTCTTAATGTCCAAACTCTGTGACTTCTCATTTTGTTCAGCCCTTTTGAACATAATTTATACTTTAACTCCAACCTGCCATCTTGAACTGGCCTAACATAACAGTGTGCAAAGGACCTAGAATATGCAAAACAATTTTGAAAAAGAAGAAAAAAATTGAAAATTTAGCTATTTGATTTCAAAATTTGTCACAAAGTTACACTGATCAAGACAATGTGCAAGTAGCATAAAAGTAGATATAAAGATGAATAAAACACCATTGAGTCCAGAATAAACCCATGTACAGTCAATCAATTTTTTTCATTGTTAACAAGGTAATTCAGGAGGAAAAGCATTATCCTTTCAATGCATGGTGGTTAATCAATGTTCATATGAAATATTCAATTCTGCAATATTCATATACAGAAATAAAAGAACTTTGGCCTGTATAAAACTTAAAATGATTCATAGTTCTAAATATAAAAGCTAAAAATATATTTCTAGATGAATCTTTGTGATTTTGACTTAGGAAAAGGTTACTTAGATTAAACTATGATATGTAGGCTGGGCGCAGTGGCTCATGCCTGTAATCCCAGCACTTTGGGAGGCCCAGGTGAGCAGATCACGAGGTCAAGAAATCGAGACCATCCTGGCCAACATGGTGAAACCCCCATCTCTACTAAGAATACAAAAATTAGCTGGGTGTGGTGGCACGCGCCTGTAGTCCCAGCTACTCGGGAGGCTGAGGCAGGAGAATCGCTTGAACCCGGGAGGTGGAGGTTGCAGTGAACAGAGATCACGCCACTGCACTCCAGCCTGGCAAAAAAGCGAGACTCCGTCAAAAAAAAAAAAATATGATGCATAAAGTAAAACATTGATAACTATGACTTCGTCAACATAAAAAAACTTCTGTTCTTTGAAAGGCATCATTAAGAAAATGGAAACACAAGCCACAGACTGGGAGAAAGTATTTGCACATTACCTATCTGACAAAGGACTTGCTTCCAAAATATATACATCTTAAAACTCAATAACAAGAAAACAAACAATCCATTGTAAAA
This sequence comes from Homo sapiens, assembly GCF_000001405.40. Lineage (NCBI taxonomy): Eukaryota > Metazoa > Chordata > Mammalia > Primates > Hominidae > Homo > Homo sapiens. The sequence continues at coordinate 82,330,145 of NC_000012.12, read as the reverse complement.
TGGGGCCAACGATCTGAAGATACACATCACCAAAGAAAATATATAGATGGCAACAAGCACAGGAAAATATGCCTTGTATCATTCGTTATCAGGGAAATGTGAATTAAAACCATATCTCTTAGAATGGCCGAGATGATATGAAGGGTGGCTGTGGTTATGGAGAAACTGGAACTTTCTGTCAAAAACTGCAAAGGGTCTGAGATTTTACCCAACTTGCAAGCTAACAAATTAGCCTCCACATTTTATGAATACTGGTAGAAGAGACAAGATTCTTGACTCAAAGACAGAGAACAGTTTACTATTTACAACAATAGCAGTAGCCAGAGTATTATCATTTTTTTTCACCAGTCCCCTGAAACCTGATCCCCACAGGGTTCTTCAATAAAGGCCAGCTGGATGCTATAAATGCAGTAGGTTTTTATCACAGCAGGGGAACTCTGAGCTTAGAAAATCTGTATCTTTTGTGATTTGCCCAACCTTTGACCCAGAGGGAGGCATTGTCTTTATTATATTAGACAGTAAACAAACCTACTCTCAGCTCTCTCAGCGCTGTTCACTATACAAATAGTCCTTAAAAAAAAAGGTAGTCTGAAATAAAAAAGCAGTTAATTCCTTTGCTCCCAAAATGGGCAGAAACTTGAAAAAATAGATTCCAATTACCACCTTAGCACCAGGCTTGAGACCCTTACCCTGTTAATGTTTCCCAACACTCACTGTGCTTTTGAATCACCTGAAGAGCTTCAAAAAAAAAAAGAAAACGAAAAACAAAAAACAAACAAAAAACAGCACAGGAGAACCAATGCCTATCTCCAAGATTTTGATTCAATCAACTTGAGCACAATATTTTTTCTTTGTTTATTCTCTAATTTATTTTAAGGTGCAGCCAAGGTTGAGGAAAAAAAATATTGCACTACTTTTCTGGCATAATTTTGAAACTATATTGGGAATCAGTATTGCTGTCACAGGTGATCACAGCCAGCCCCTAATGAAACCTGTGGAAAACAAGTGGGGAGAACGTTTTATCATTTACCTAATATGTAAAGCCGTTGCTCTGAGCACAGGGTGGGCTTTGAAGAGGTGGTTTTCAACATCCATTGGGGAGTTTTCTGAAGTATGAGTGCTGGAAAATTCCCCTGCTGCCTCTCTCCTCTCCGCACCTGAATTTCATGGACATGACTGCTGGAAGGTTAGCATTTCTTTTACCTTTTGGGGGTAATAAACGAAAAATAAAGAGGAATTATGATAGAGCCTATGACCTAAAATGTACAGAACAAACCTTATGTCCTGAAAGATATATAGGAATACCTCATTTTAGCTGTCTATCTTTGAATTTTAATTTTTATTAAGATGTCCAATTATAAAAAATATTAATACCTATTTTAATTAGTAAAAAAGTTCAAAAATGTATATAAAAAAATTAAAATTTCCCCCCACCCTCTCCATTCCTACCTCATTGATAGCTGCTATAAAGGGCCTAGTCCTTTCCTTCCACAACTTCTTTTATGCTGACCCAAACATGAAAAATCATATACAAATGCCATATTGTTGTGACTGCTTTTTAAAATTATTTATCATGGTTCATCTTAATGATTCATCATTAGCAATACATATTTCTTTCTGACAAATATGTATATATTATATATTTTATTTAAATAATTATATAATAAAATGTACTAAAATGTATTCAAGTATTTTATATTTGATTACTATTAGAATGTTTCCTATTTTTTGCCATTACAAACAAATTACATTACGTGTCACCAGATGCATGTCCTTTGGTGTTGGTACTTTGTTTTCATTGGCGATATTCACCAAGTGAAATTACTTCAGCAAATGTTGTGTGCCTGTGTGTGTGTGTGTGTCTTTGATTTATTGATATTGCCGAAATATTTTTTAAATGATTGCAGCAACTTGCACTGGATGTTGTTATATTTTGAATTTTTGCCAATTAGCCCAAGGCTTAAGTATCCCGTTAATGACTTGTAATCCTCACTGTGCATTTTACTTTTATTCTCCTTGACTATTAGTGAGGACAAGCAGGATTTTGTATGTTTATTGACTCTTTAGATTTCTTTTGTGAATTTCCTTAGCATAAGTCTTTGCTTATTTTTCTATTGAGTTCCTTTTCTATTTCTCACCAATTTATAGAAGCTTTTTGTGTAGTAGGGAATTTATGCCTTTATCTATCATATCTGTTGCAATATTTGCCCCAATCATTTGCCTTTGATGTTGTTTATGGTGTTTTCCTTTTATGAAAATATGTGTGTAGATAAATATGACTATTTTTCCCTTATCACTGCTAAGCTTCCTGTTTTTTAGAAAGAACTTTCCCATCTAAAGATAGGAAATTCTTCAAAATATTGTTGCAATGATTATATTAATTTAATGTTTATATTTAAATTTTTAAAATTCCGTCTGGAGTTTATTTTGGTTTAGAGTATGAAGTCAATATATATCTTTGTTTTATTTTCGAAATATGACCAAGTATTTAAGTATACATTGATTGATAAACTCCTAATTCCCAACTTGATTCAATTGTCATGCTTGTAACAATTCCTTAAATTCCTAACACACTCTTTTGGATGCTCTACTCTTTACACTGATCTTTTTCTTTCTTTTTTAATTTTTCCTGTGCCTGCTTCTGTTTTTTTTTTTTTTTCAATTTTAATTTTGGTGAGTATATAGGTGTATGTAGTAATGGGGTATATGAGATATTTTGATACAGACATATGATGTGTATCATCCCAGCACTTTGGAGTGTTGAGGTGGAGGGATTGCTTGAGGCTGGGAGTTCCAGGCCTCAGACTATTTTGATTATTGTGATTTTATATTATAGTAATAGCCTTTCAGTATCACTTTTTATGATATAAGCTGTATTTTTTAGGGTTAAAAGAGGATAAGTATATTTTAACTTGAATTTTTATTATAGTTGAAGTCATTATGCAACATATAAAGTGTTTCTGTTTTTCGATGCTAGATTATTATACAAATATGTGAATGACTTTTTAAAGTTAAACTACCCTTATAAGGCCAGCAGAGGGAGTTCAAGGCACTGTTTTACTAGTGAGGAATTACAAATTGTTTAAGAATATATTCTTTTACTGATTAATGGAATAAAGTTAAGAATTCAAAATATTCACTCAAATATCTTGATTGGTCAAAGTTTACACATACATAATCAAAAAGTGCCTATATATTTATAGCCCTCCAAAAGTCAAATCATTTAGGAATGAATCTAAATTTCCTTTTGAAGGAGGGAAATTTTTGGCATATATTTAGTTTATGTACACAGTGCAGATAACATAAAATTGAAATGAGTATAGTAAATGTGATTTCTACTTACCTTTTATGACCAAAGTCAGAAAAAAATCAGAAGACTGTAAAATAGTTAATAAATATATATAAATATATATTCTTTTGTCTTATTTGATCACATGAGCATAGTTTTCAAATGTAAGAATATACATAGAAACAGAAGAAAACCTTGAATGAATAATACCTCTAAATATTTTTAAGTGCTTTTCCCCTTCAAGTGTAGGAAATTAGAAAAGGATGAAAACATGATCAGCTAAAAGGGGATTGACTATTTAGCAGGAACTTTATAAATGAACTAATCTTGGATATGTTATTCCAATGGAAGTTTTGTTTGCAGCCTGCTGCTCTTTGCTATTTATAAATACTAGAATGATGGAGACTGCTAGGAAGCAGAAAATGCTTCACTGAACTTCTCGGTGACAGTAATTCAATCAAGCAAAGGTTACAAAAGCCCTGTGGGCTGCTTGTTATGTGATAGCAGAGGTAGACCTGATTTTGTTGTATCAGATATTATTTAAGTCAGGAAGCTTAGTGTTAAATTTAATGCTCTATCAAAGTAAGTCTATTATTCTGAGTTTGATATATCCATTTCATTTTTGTTCTAGATTTTGTTCTGTTTGTTTTCTATATATATTATCTGCTGTGTGTGTGTGTATGTGTGTATATATACAGGCATACCTCACTTTATTGCCCTTCGCTTTATTGTGCTTCTACTGTGGGTAGAATGCTATCAAACAGCATTGCATGCTACAGGCTACAGAGAAATCTTTTCTGAAGAGAAAAATTGGTTGATGAGGCAAACTTCATTGTTATTGTCTTATTTTGAGAAATTGCCACAGCCATCCCAACCGTTAGCAACCACCACCTTAATTAGCCAGCAGCCATCAACATCGAGGCAAGACTCTCCACTGACAAAAAGATTACGACTTCCTGAAGGCTCAGATGATCACTAGCATTTTTTTAGCAATAAAGTATATTTAAATTAAGGTATATACATTGGGTTTTTTTAGACATAATGCTTTTGCACAGTTAATAGACTACAGTATAGTGTAAACATAATTTTTATATGCACTGGGAAACCAAAAGATTCATGTGACTCACTTTATTACCATATATACTTTATTGTGGTGATCTGGCACTGAACCCACAGTATCTCTGAAATAAGCCTATATAGATTTATTTATATAATATTGTGATGTGTAATTTATTTTATGAAACACAATATATTATAAATAAAATTGAATATTTAAAGGTATAATAATGTGTTGATAAAGGTTTTAAAATTTATTTTAAAACTAAAATTTCTCAACTATATGCTATACATAGTACAGCAATAATTAAATTTTGAAAAAATATTCAGAATGATATATTTAAACTCTTATCATTATTGAATTTTCCATGCTTTCATTTTAAATATTTTACATAAAATGAGCATTTAAGTTTTGAATTTTGCTAGGAAACACAAATATAACAACTTTTAAATTCCTAGTCATACTTCGCAAAAAGTTGTAGTATTCTTGTAAAATACACTCATTTTAAAACAGGCTTAGAAAACAATTGTAAATAATATATTTGATTATCCATCTTTTCTTGGAGATAAGAAATAACAGAGTATTACCCTAAAATGCATTATAAAGCAAAAAGTTATACATATTTTAGTATATAAACTTAAAAATATTTCTATATTTTTAAGTAAAAATAAGCAGTTAAAAGACAAGCTTCAAACTGGGAAAAGACATTTATACAATATATTAAAGACACAGATCACAGAATAAACTTTTCTGATTCACAGGATAAAGTTTCCCAATTCAATATTTTTTAAAAAGCAAGCATTTCCAAGTATAGGTATTTCTTAAAAGAAAAAAATAAAAATGATTTCTAGATACATTCTCACCAGAATAAGCAAATTTGCATAATGAAGTTTTTCATCTATGTTTTTTGCCTTTCAATTTGGCTAATAAAAACAATGATAATGTACAGTATTGAAATTTGGGGAAGCAGTAACTCAGGTGCATTTTCAGGGTGTCTAATTTGATGCAATTTTCCAGACAATTTCTTGACATTTATCAAGAGATTAAAAAATATCCACACACTTTGACCTGATAATTACATTTCTGATAATTTATCCTAAAGATATAATCTTTGTCATTTTACATTGACTCTCCCTTTTTCCTGGAAGCTCTTCCTCAGATAGCTACATGGCTAACTCCCCACTGTCTTCTCATCTATCTTTACTCATATGTCACCTATTCGATAAGGTCTTCCCTAACTAGCCTGTTTAAAATGCAGATCGAATCCTTCCAACTCATACTCCCTTATTCTGCTTTTTTTTCTTTACTCCATAGCACAGTACATCTTCCAACATACTTATAATTTGTGTACTTATCGTGTGTATTGGTTATCATGTCTTCCCTCAGTTGAATTTAGGCTCAACAGGGACTGAAACCCTTGCCTTGCTCCAAGATGTCTCATTTCCCCAATTTTCTGGAAGAGTATCCAGCATGTAGTAGGTGTTTATAATAAATATTTGTTGAATGAGTGAATGTCAAGGATATTAATTTTAACATCATTAATGATAGCAAAATTTTTTTAAAAAGAAAAAATTTATCTTAAAAATTCCTCTGGGAATGGTTAAGTAAATCATGATCTATCCATGTGTATTATTTTCCTAGGGCTGTCATAACAAATTACCACAATCTGGGTGGTTTATGACAACAAAAAATGTATTGTGTCACAGTTCTGTGGGCCAGTGTCTAGAATCGAAGTGTTGATTCCTTCTGGAATCTCTGAAGAAGAATGAGTTCCATGCCCCCTAACTTCTAGTGGCCACTGGAATCTTTGGTGTATCACTGCAATCTATGCCTCAATCTTCATAACACCTTCTCTCTGTCTGTTGCCACTTCTATACTCTCCTAAGGTCACGTACCATTGGATTTAAGGCCCACCCTAATCCAGGATTATCTTATTTTAAGATCCTTAACTTAATCACATTTGCAAAGATTCTTTTTCCCAAATAAGGTCACAGATTCATGTAGACATATTTTGGAGGGCCACCATTCAACCCACTATAATATGTTACATTGTTACAGCACTATTTAAAAATCTTAGTTTGGTTACTGTTTAAAATCTTTAAAAATGTTCATAATGTAATGTTTAATTTAAAAAGTAGGCTGAGCCCAGTGGCTCATGCTTGTAACAGAGAGATTTTGTCTCTGCAAAAGATAAAAAATTAGCTGGGTGTGGTGGTGTGTGCCTGTAGTACTAGCTACTGAGAAGGCTGAGGTGGGAGGGTAACTTGAACCCAGAAGTTTGAGGCTGCAGTGAACTGTGATTGCGCCAATACACTCCAGCCTGGGCTACAGAGCAAGACCCCGTCTCTAAGAAAGAAAAAGAATAAAAGGAGGATACAAAACTTTATTTCTATGTGCATATGTGTGTATGTTTTTGTGTGTGTGTGTGTATATATATGTGTGTATATATATGTGTGTGTGTGTATATATATATGTATATATATATATATATACACACACACATATATATTTTCACACAGAGAAAATAATCCAAATTTTGACTTTTTTTTTCTTTTTTTTTTGAGATAGAGTCTTGCTCTGTCACCCAGGCTGCATTGTAGTGGCATGATCTTGGCCCAATGCAACCTCTGCCTTTTGAGTTCGAGCAATTCCCATGCCTCAGTTTCCCAAGTAGCTGAGATTACAGGTGTGCACCAACACCACCAGCTAATTTTAGTATTTTTAGTAGAGATGGGGTTTCACCATGTTGGCCAGGCTGGTTTTGAACTCCTGACCTCAGTTGATTCCCCCACCTTGGCCTCCCAAAGTGCTGGGATTCCAGGCATGAGCCACAGCGCCTGGCCAAATTTTTGAATTAATAATGTGAAGGAGGTGCCGGGCACGGTGGCTCATGCCTGTAATCCCAGCACTTTGGGATGCCGAGGTGGCTGGATCACCTGAGGTCAGGAGTTTGAGGCCAACCTGACCAACATGACAAAACCCCGTATCTAAGAAAAATACAAAAATTAGCGGGGCGTATGGCAGCGGGCGCCTGTAATCCCAGCTACTTGGGAGGCTGAGACATGAGAATAGCTTGAACCCGGGAGGCAGAGGTTGCAGTGAACCGAGATCGCGCCATTGCGCTCCAGCCTGGATGACAGAGAGAGACTCTGTCTCAAAAAAAAAAAACAACAACAAAAATAATAATAAAATAATAATGTGAAGGAGGAAATATACCAAAGAAATTAAAGAAAGTCTAATGCTGGGATGCTGGTTGGTAGGAATATAGGTGGTTAATTTTTCTATTCATAATTTCTAGCATTTTCCAAAATTTCTATTACAAGCTGATTTAAATTTTTATATTTACAATTCTCTTACTATGAAAAAACTAAATTAAAATAGACCTCATAAAATGATTTATTGGAAAACTAGAAAAAATTAAGTTTCAAAATGGCACAGCAATTAACCATTTCTTTTATATCTAACACCATCAGTTTTACCGTCATGAAATTTTTATGTCAATCTGTTCAGGAGGCTACGAAGTCATTTGTCCCTAGGGGTTTTCAGGAAAATATGAGAGAACCATTCAGTTGGGAAGTTTAGAAATTCACCTTTCAGAGAACAAGTGAAGCTAACACACTCTTGGACTCCCTTGTAGCCTTATGATTTAGTCAGTTTTAGCATAGTATATACATTTTATGATTTACCAAAAGCATATTAATTAGATTAAAAGTTCTCATCTTGTCTTTGAACTTGTCTTCTTTGGCCTGCTTTTTACATTTGACCTTATTATGCTCAATTTCTTCAATTGCTCTGTTTTCCTAATTGATTAATTAATGTCATAAGTGTCACCATTCTGTGTTCTCTCTCTCTCTCTTTCTCTTCCTTTTCCTCTTGTTTTCCTTGCCTTACCCAGTGAGCTTGAATTTGTATTTGGGAGCATTATCAGTCATGAATGGGGAGCAGGTGCTTACACAGGAGGCTTGCATTTGGGCTGTCTGAAGAACTAGTCTCCCCTATCTACCTGCTTAATAGCACATACGAGGTTACTTCCGCAAAGCACAATAGGCACCACACAGGAGTCTGGTCTGTGCCAAGACTGGATGGAAGCCGTGGAGGGAATTGTGAATATAAATGTCACAGAGATTCCTGTGGTTTTGTTCTCATTTATTTGAACCTTGATTGACCCAATTATTATGTGCAAAAACAAAACAAAACAAAACAAAACTGTAGAGGTAGAGTCTCCAAGATAATTGGGTATATACACTGGATGATCCTGGGAGGAAGGTAAAGATAGGGAAGGAAAATAAATAATTAGTTCTGTTTTAATATTTTAATGATTAAATTATTTAATGCAATGTGCAATGTTCTTTTCTAGTGATACATATGTGGGAGATCTCCCAAATGTATATATAGTGTACAATAAAGTCAAATATACTTAATCTGTTCATATTTATTAATAAACATGAATTAATTAAAGCAGGGAAGAACTTGATTTGCAAACATTACCTATATTATCGGAGGCATAAATGAGAGCAGTTTCCTAAATTTGCTAATTGTTCTGTCCTGCTGTGGACATTAGCCAGTATTAGGCCTTTTAGCCCCAACATGAACACTTCCATTTTGAATCTCGTTCAAAAGATGATACCTCCAGGAATTCAGCAACCCTTTACTTTGAAAATCTATCCGGTGTACCTCTAGGGAAATCTACTGGATTGTCTCTCAATTAGCCAGCTAAGTCTAATTCTCTCAAAGCCGTTTAGCACCACATCAATGATCGGAGAAGCTACATTTTATCAGATTGCATTTAAACTGGTGAGGAGAGTCACCTCCCCTATTTTGCACATGATACTGAGTACATTCTGGTGATGACCACTCCTCAGGCTTCAAATGTGAGCATGTCAGTTACACACGAGGAAAGTAACCAAGTCCCTGCCAATGGTCTTTCTCGATCTTAATCTTTGGTTCTTCTATTTACCTTAGATAACATTTGTAAAAGGGAAGGGGTGGTTACATTTGAAGCTAAGTGACCTAAGTATTTTGTACCCAACCTCTGATGGCTTCTGGAGATGAGGGTCATCAAACCAGAAGAAAGACTGACAGTAAGACTCAGACTTTCTTCTAGTGTCGCCTGTCTTCCGAGAATTAGATTTTTTTTCCTTGGTTATTTTTAGAAGCAGCATGATTGCTGCTGCCCAGGGATTAAGAACCGCAAACCATGTTCTCTATGAAACATTTTCAAGTCAGGACTGTGCCATATTCATTTTTATAATATTTGTGATGTGCCAGCATCATCAAATTCCAATAAACTTTTCTTCAATGCACCTAGGTTCAAGTCTCTGCTGGGACACATAAACATGAGCCAGCCATTTAAGTTCCCTGAGGCTCATTTTCTCCATCTATAAAATGAATGTTTTAAGATGCTGCTATTGTCCATTTTGAGGAAAAAACAGGCTAATGTTAATAAATATATTTGTAATCTATGGCATTGTATGGGAAAATAATTACCATTTTCACATGCTAAAAGTGTTTATAGATAAATAAATGCTGTATTGTTGAAGCTCTAAGATAAGGTTAAAAAAAGTTGTTGGAATACCCAATTTGAATCTTGACAAGGAACATTGGTATACAATTTTTTTGTCATAATATCCTAGTTAATTTTTATCCATAGCACTTTAATCACATATTTACTTGTTTGTTTTAAATATTTTCTCGCTTGTTAATAACATTTACTGAGGAAGAGACCTTGGTCTACCATGTTCCCAGCTGAATCCTGAGCAGTTAAAAATAACGTCTGGCACCCAGTAGACACTCAACTATTTTTGAAATAGATCAATACTACTTCATTGCAGAGAACCACTCACCACTGGATCTCAGTCTGCTAATGTTTCTGTCTGCTTAGTATTTTTGAAACTTCTTGAGACTGGAGAATAGGAATGATTTTTAAGATCACAATTTTTGTATCTTATGTAAATTGAAAAGAAAAATATTAAAAAGCGTATGTTTGGAGAAATATGTTTTGCTGCTGAAAATTACAGGATTATGCAGGGGACAAATTATTAAACCACAGTCGTATGGCAGGCAATATATGTTTTACTTTAGATCATTAAACTTAACCTTTTGTGATTAATATCATACTCTTATGTGACATTTTCTAGGAAACAGATTTCAGCACTTGTTTTATGTTTAAAAGCATTACTGGCTTTCCTACTAACAAAAAAACATTTTTGAGTGGAATCTTATAATCCATAGCAAAATCTTGTCTTTAATCAGCATATACAAATATTGTTTCATGTTTATTCAAGCATGCACTAAAGTGACTGGCATATTTTTGGCAGTTCTGGTCAAAGTTTTTCCCCTTTTCAGAAATGTTAAACCAAACTGACAGTTTGGATTATCTGACAGCCTTCATCCACAATTGTCTAATTTTTTCACAATGTGAGCCAAATTATTTTCTTGTATATAGAGTACAAAAAAGATTGAAATGTTATTTCCTATGATTGTTGCTTTCCAATTTGAGAATTTATGGAGACGTTATAGCTACATGCAAAGACATAGATAGTTGATATGAAATATTCCTGAAAGAATCATGTTAAGGATTTTAGAAACTTTCTTTTATATTCCACTTGCTCTGGTGGAGGTAATTTAAATTTTATTCTGAATTTGAACATTTTAGTTTTGCTTCTTTCACTTGAACACTTTTTAAAGATGTCTGTCTTTCATTTCTCTCTGAATATCATTATACATTTTGATAATTTGTTCTTCTCTGACTGATAATGAAATTTATTTTAGCATTTTAAGTTCTAGATGAGAGTTGCTGGGTCAACTGGCACTTCCTCAGTTCTTAAAACAATTCCCTTACTTTTTTTTCTGTTTTGGCAAAAAAAAACCCCTTAATTAACAACTTATTTTAATTGGTGTTCACTTAATCTAATGATATTCAATATTTTAATCTAGAGGAAAATATCCAAATTCCTTATCACTGTCTTCCTTTATCTAATATTGTGATAGTAATTCCAATTTAAAAATAATTCTTATCAGTAGATAACACGCAGGGAAAATACAATAAGGCCCACTAATTTTGAGAGAAACTACTTCAATATACCATGTTAGAACCTATATTGTATTTCACTTGATAGAGAAATATTACAAAATTAATTAGTACCATTGCCTTAATCAAAACTCTGCTGACTGCAAGCAATAGAAACTAATATGAGTGAATTTAAGAGAAATAGGAAATTTAATAATAGATGTTGAGTTATCCAAGGAACTGAAGGGCAGAAGAGCCTCTCTTGAGTAGAGTCAAGACAAAGAAAATCATTAGGATTCCTAGCTATAATAATCTGTCTCTTTGCTCTGTTTTTCTCTGAACGTCTGTCTCACTACAAAGAAGTTTGTAGACAGACTTCTTTTGCTTCTTTATATCCATGACGGAAAATAATTACTAACAAATACTAAGTTTATTATCAACATTGTTTCATCTATTCAAATTGACTATCTGTGACCCTCAGTTTCAAGTTCTTGATACATTTTTTTTGTTCTCCTTTTTTTTTTTCTAATTTGACTTTGACACTCTGGTAATCATCAGTAATACCATTCACCAAATATTTCTGTCTTGGTTTCCACCTTGCAAGCATACGATAGGATTTTACTTCCTAGCTCCATTGCAGTTGGGTGAGTCCATGTGATTTATTCTGGTCAATGAGCTGTGAGCAGTAGTGATGTGTGTCATTTAAATATCAGGAAGGGACTCTATAGAGGCAGATTTTCCTCTGTTTTGATGATCAGTAATGTTACAGTTAATGGTTGCTTTATCAGCCTGAGTTCATGAATAAAGAGAAGGCAAATTAAGGTCCCCATCCATCCTTCAATGGAGCCAGAAATAAACTTTACTGTTTTAAGTCACTGGGATTCGGGGATCGTTTGTTTGTCTGTTTGTTTGTTTGGTTTTAGCAGACACAGCCAAGCTGTTTGGACTAATATATACATGGAATTGTGTTAGATTTGCAATATTAGCATTTAGACTTGATGTGTTATTTTAAACCCCTGGGCCACTATTTTGTTCCTCTGTTTACTCTGCATTCACACTATTTTCTTGCCTTTGGTTCAGTACCCATTTTCTTCTGTCATGTCCTGTTGCTGTTGTAAGAATTCTCAGAGGATAATAGACAAAGGCATTAAAGTGTATTGGAACAAGCACTGACCTATGAGTTACGATACATACATTCTTTTATGCATCTATCAGCCATGTGACAATGTGGCATTTTATAATTTGGGAGTTCAGTTTCTTCATATAAAAATATATTATACTCTGCCTACCTCAATCAGAGTGTATAAAGAGTAACATACTATATTATACAAATATATGTTCTATTGTCTATCAATCTAGGTATCTATCATCTATTTTTCTTTATATAAATTCCTTAGGTATATTTTCCCAAGGTGTAGCTGAGAATTATTTTATTTGCTCGGTTTAGCCAATAAATATGCAAGCATATAAATTTATAAATAATGACAATGATATGTAACAAATTGGTAGTAATTACTTTAAAATACTGTAATTGCTTCTAAACTTTTGTTTCCTTACTATTTCTGAAATTATGCTTGAATATAGTGATGAAACCAAATGATAATTCATATGGATCATGTCTAGGTGGAGATTTAACTGTGTTGCCCATTGAGTGTCAATAGATAGCACTAAGTTTATACCATTACATCTATGTTTCTGATTGCACACTGTGATCTATCAGTCAAGAGCAGTGGCATGAGATTTGGAAGACAGGAGCAGTCTTTCTGTCCTCTTTGAGTGTCATTCTGTGAGAAACAAAGTCCTGGAGAAGTGAAGTCTGTCTGCAGCTGCTTCTCAGCCTTCATTCTTCAGCTTTTGCTATTGAGAGGGACATATCTGGCATAAATAATAATATCTTTTTAACTTCAGCATCCTGACACCTTGCAGTTATAGCTTATGTTCTTGAAACCAGTTGTTCCAGTAGTAGATAAGGAGGTGGTAACTTTAGCAGGTCAGTTCTTTTTCTGTTCTTTATTTTTGGAGGCACGGTTCAGAGGTTGCTCTTGCAGCTTTCTCAATTATACTGTAAGCACCTAACCTGTATTAAATTTACTCTTACATAAAATATTTAGAGAAATAGTTCTAAAACTTTGATATGCCTCAGTATGAGGTGGTGGGCTTTTAAAAAATCATATTATCTGGCTTTGCTGCCAAAATTCCGATTTATTAGGCATGGAGTAGGATCCAAGAATATGGCTATATGAGAAGTTCCCAGATTGCTGAATCATGGACCACACTTGAAGAACCATCAACTTAGAGTATTTTCTGTTCCTATTCAGAATCTGTAATTAAATAGACCTTGTCCTCAGATGTATCAAATAATCTAGGCCAACCACAATTATTTCTGAAACATTCAATAATTGGGCTCATTATTAAGTGTTGCATCCTAAATAGACACTGTTAATTGAGTTTACAACAAAATGCTTATCAATAGGTTTCAATACAGATTTAATAATCATTAAGGAATTCTAGAATTACTTATGTTCAGTGTATATTTTAATTTTTATTCTTTGCAATAAATCTTGTTTCAGTGATGTCATACAGTAACAGTATCATACAGTGACATATACTTCTTTTTTTCCCCTGATATTTCTGCCATCTGAATATAAATTAAGCTCAGACAGGTAATATTTTTGTCACTATGGATATTTTTAATAACTTCTGTTTTTAAAATAGAAATTTAAACAGAGCTACCATTTAAAATTTTGTCATTATTTCATACTGTATATATGGTAAATATTCTCATTTTAAATTTTAGTTTAATCATGATATTTTAACTTAGTTCAACTCCATATATTTTATATAAGGATTTTGAGATCCAAAGATAAAAGAACTTAGAGAAAGAGTTGAAGCTATAAACTAAATCATTTCACACCTAGTCCAGTAATTAAAAATTAATACATATTAATTTTAGAGCAGTTTTAGATTCACAGCAGAATTCTGCAGAAAGTACAGAGAGTTTTCATATACATCAGCCCTTGACACTCCCAGTTTTGCCCACTATCAACACACCACATCAGAATTACCCATTTGTTACAATCGATGAACCTACATCGAAACATCAAAATCATTGTTTCCATTAGGGTTCGCTCTTGGCGTTGTACATCCTGTGAGTTTAGACAAAAGTATAATGACATGTAGCCACCATTGTGGAATCATACAGAATAATTTTACTGCCCTAAAATCCTCTGCACTCCACCTGTTCATCCCTCCTTCCCCTTTTCTTCATCTATTGATACAATCATTTGATTTTTTCTTCTTTCACCTGGTAATACGATAAGCTTATTTTTGAATTTTGAACCAGTCTGCATGTATGAGAAAACTCCCACTTCGTCATGGTGCATAATTCTTTTTATACCTTGATGAATTTTGTGTACTTATATTTTGTTTAGGATTTCTACATCTATGTTCATGAGAGATAATGGTCTGTAGTTTTCTTTTCTTGTAATGTCTTTGTCTGGGTTTGGTATTAGATTAATACTGGCCTTACAGAGTAAGTTAGAAGGCATTTCTTCGTTTCTGTCTTCTGGAAGAGATTGTAGAGAAGTGGTATAATTTCTTCATTAAATGTTTTATAGAATTCAATAGTGAACCCATCTAGGCTGTGTGCTTTCTCTTTTGGAAGGTTATTATTTATGCAATTTCTTTAATAGACATGGCCTTATTCAGATTGTCTATGTCTACTAGAAAAAATTATATTTCTTTTTGTGTAAATTTTGGCAGATTTTGTCTTTTAAGAAATTGATAAGGGGTCCGTTCAAAAATGGCCGAATAGGAACAGCTCCAATCTGCAGCTCCCAGCGTGATCGACACAGAAGACGGGTGATTTCTGTATTTTCAACTGAGGTACCTGGTTCATCTCATTGGGACTGGTTGGACAGTAGGCGCAGCCCATGGAGGGTGAGCCAAAGCGGGGTGAGGCATTGCCTCACCCAGGAAGTGCAAAGTGTCAGGGGATTTCCCTTTCCTAGCCAAGGCAAGCCGTGACAGACTACCTGGAAAAACTGTACAGTCCCATCCAAATACTGTGTTTTCCCCACAGCCTTAGCAACCAGCAGACCAGGAGATCCTCTCCTGTGTCTGGCTTTGCAGGTCCCACGCCCACAGAGCCTTGTTCACTGCTAGCGCAGCAGTCTGAGATTGACCTGCAAGGCTGCAGCCTGGCGGGAGGAGGGGTGTCTGCCAATGCTGAGGCTTGAGTAGGTAAACAAAGTGGCCGGGAAGCTCAAACTGGGCGGAGCCCAGCTAAGTCCAGCAAGGCCTACTGCCTCTATAGATTCCACCTCTGTGGGCAGGGCATAGCAGAACAAAAGGCAACAGAAACTTCTGCAGACTTAAAAGTCCCTGTCTGACAGCTCTGAAGAGAGACACACATAGGCTCAAAATAAAGGGATAGAGGAAGATCTACCAAGCAAATGGAAAACAAAAAAAAGCAAGGGTTGCAATCCTAGTCTCTGATAAAACAGACTTTAAACCAACAAAGATCAAAAGAGACAAAGAAGCTATTACATAACGGTAAAGGGATCAATTCAACAAGAAGAGCTAACTATCCTAAATATATATGCACCCAATACAGGAGCACCCAGATTCATAAAGCAAGTCCTTAGAGACCTACAAGGAGACTTAGACTCCCACACAATAATAATGGGAGACTTTAACACCCCACTGTCGACATTAGACAGATCAACGAGACAGAAAGTGAACAAGGATATCCAGGAATTGAACTCAGCTCTGCACCAAGCAGACCTAATAGACATCTACAGAACTCTCCACCCCAAATCAACAAAATATACATTCTTGTCAGCACCACATCACACTTATTCCAAAATTGACCGCATAGTTGGAGGTAAAGCACTCCTCAGCAACAAACAAACAAACAAACAAAAAATAAATCACAATAAACTGTCTCTCAGACCACAGTGCAACCAAATTAGAACTCAGGATTAAGAAACTCACTCAAAACTGCACAACTACATGGAAACTGAACAACTGCTCCTGAATGACTACTGGATAAATAACGAAATGAAGGCAGAAATAAAGATGTTCTTTGAAACCAATGAGAACAAAGACACAACATACGAGAATCTCTGGGACACATTTAAAGCAGTGTATAGAGGGAAATTTATAGCACTAAATGCCCGCAAGAAAAAGCAGAAAAGATCTAAATATCAACACCCTAACATAACAATTAAAAGAACTAGAGGAGCAAGAGCAAACAAATTCAAAAGCTAGCAGAAGGCGAAAAATAACTAAGATCAGAGCAGAACTGAAGGAGATAGAGACATAAAAAAACCCCTTCAAAAATTCAACGAATCCAGGAGCTGGTTTCTTGAAAAGATCAACAAAATTGATAGATTGCTAGCAAGACTAACAAAGAAGAAAAGAGAGAAGAATCAAATAGACACAATAAAAAATGATAAAGGGGATATCACCACTGATCCCACAGAAATACAAACTACCATCAGAGAATGCTATAAACACTTCTCCACAAATAAACTAGGAAATCTAGAAAAAATGGATAAATTCCTGGACACATATACCCTCTCAAGACTAAACAAGGAAGAAGTTGAATCTCTGAATACATCAATAACAGCTTCTGAAACTGAGGCAATAATTAACAGCCTACTAGCCAAAAAGTCCAGAACCAGACAGATTAACAGCCGAATTCTACCAGAGGTACAAAGAGGAGCTGGTACCATTCCATCTGAAACTATTCCAATCAATAGAAAAGAGAGGCTCCTCCGTAACTCATTTTATGAGGCCAGCATCATCCTGATACCAAAGCCTGGCAGAGACACAACAAAAAAAGAGAATTTTAGGTTAATATCCCTGATGAACATTGATGCAAAAATCCTCAATAAAATAGTGGCAAACCGAATCCGGCAGCACATCAAAAAGCTTATCCACCACGATCAAGTTGGCTTCATCCCGGGGATGCAAGTCTGGTTCAATATACACAAATCAATAAATGTAATCCATCACATTAACAGAACCAGTGACAAAAACCACATGATTATCTCAATAGATGCAGAAAAGGCCTTTGACAAAATTCAACAGCCCTTCATGCTAAAAACTCTCAATAAACTAGGTATTGATGGAATATATCTCAAAATAATAAGAACTATTTATGACAAACCCACAGCCAATATCATACTGAATGGGCAAAAACT
Organism: Homo sapiens; assembly: GCF_000001405.40. NCBI lineage: Eukaryota > Metazoa > Chordata > Mammalia > Primates > Hominidae > Homo > Homo sapiens. The sequence continues at coordinate 82,312,581 of NC_000012.12, read as the reverse complement.
GGAAGCATTCCTTTTCAAAACTGGCACAAGACAGGGATGCCCTCTCTCACCACACCTATTCAACATGGTGTTGGAAGTTCTGGCCAGGGCAATCAGGGAGGACAAAGAAATAAAGGGTATTCAACTGGCAAAAGGGGAAGTCAAATTGTCCCTGTTTGCAGATGACATGATTGTATATTTAGAAAACCCCATCATCTCAGCCCAAAATCTCCTTAAGCTGATAAGCAACTTCAGCAAAGTCTCAGGATACAAAATCAGTGTGCAAAAATCACAAAAATTCCTATACACCAATTACAGACAAACAGCCAAATCATGAGTGAACTCCCATTCACAACTGCTATAAAGAGAATAAAATATCTAGGAATACAACTGACAAGGAATGTGAAGGACCTCTTCAAGGAGAACTACAAACTACTGCTCAATGAAATAAAGAGGACACAAACAAATGGAAGAACATTCCATGCTCATGGATAGGAAGAATCAATATCATGAAAATGGCCATACTGCCGAAGGGAATTTATACATTCAGTGCCATCCCCATCAAGCTACCAATGACTTTCTTCACAGAATTGGAAAAAACTACTTTAAAATTCATATGGAACCAAAAAAGAGCCCACATAGCCAAGACAATCCTAAGCCAAAAGAACAAAGCTGGAGGCATCACGCTACCTGACTTCAAACTACACTACAAGGCTACAGTAACCAAAACAGCATGGTACTGGTACCAAAACTGATATATATACCAATGGAACAGAACAGAGCCCTCAGAAATAACACCACACATGTACAACCACCTGATCTTTGACAAATCTGACAAAAACAAGAAATGGGGAAAGGATTCTTTATTTAATAAATGGTGCTGGGAAAACTGGCCAGCCATATGTAGAAAGCTGAAACTGGATCCCTTCCTTACACCTTACACAAAAATTAATTCAAGATGGATTAAATACTTAAATGTAAGATCTAAAACCATAAAAACCCTAGAAGAAAACCTAGGCAATACCATTCAGGACATAGGCATGGGCAAATACTTCATGTCTATAACAACAAAAGCAATGGCAAAAAAGCCATAATTGACAAATTGGATCTAATTAAACTAAAGAGCTTCTGCACAGCAAAAGAAACTACCATTGGAGTGAACAGGCAACCTACAGAATGGGAGAAAATTTTTGCAATCTACCCATCTGACAAAGGGCTAATATCCAGAATCTACAAGGAACTTAAATTTACAAGAAAAAAAGGAACAACCCCATCAAAAAGTGGGCAAAGGATATGAACGGATGCTTCTCAAAAGAAGACATTTATGCAGCCAACAGACACATGAAAAGACGCTCATCATCACTGGTCATCAGAGAAATGCAAATCAAGGCCACAATTAGATACCATCTCATGCCAGTTAGAATGGCAATCATTAGAAAGTAAGGAAACAACTGACGCTGGAGAGGATGTGGAGAAACGGGAATGCTTTTACACTGTTGATGGGAGTGTAAATTAGTTCAACCATTGTGGAAGACAGTGTGTCAATTCCTCAAGGATCTAGAACTAGAATTACCATTTGACCCAGTGATCCCATTACTAGGTATATACCCAACGGATTATAAATCATGCTACTATAAAGACACATGCACACGTATGTTTATTGTGGCACTAGTCACAATAGCAAAGACATGGAACCAACCTAAATGTCCCTCAATGATAGACTGGATTAAGAAAATGTGGCACGTATACACCATGGAATACTATGCAGTTATAAAAAAGGATGAGTTCATGTTTTTTGCAGGGACATGGATGAAGCTGGAAACCATTGTTCTCAGCAAACTATCACAAGGACAGAAAACCAAACACTGCATGTTCTCACTCATAGGTGGGAATTGAAAGTGAGAACACTTGGACACAGGGCGGGAAACATCACACACTGGGGCCTGTTGGGGGGCGGGGGGCTGGGGGAGGGATAGCATTAGGAGAAATACCTAATGTAAATGACCAGTTGATGGGTGCAGCAAACCAACATGGCACATGTATACCTGTGTAACAAAGCTGCACATTGTGCACATGTACCCTAAAACTTAAAGTATAATGATAAAAAAAGAAATTGATCTATTTCATCTAGGCTATTAAATTTTGGGGCACATAGTTGTTTATAGTATCCTTTATTACCATTTTAATGTCCGTGGGATCTATGATGTACCCTCTTTCAATTCTGATATTAGTAGTTTGTGTCTTCTCTCTCTTTTCTATTTTCTTAGTCTGTCTGGAGGCTTACTGATTACGTTGATCTTTTCTAATATCAATTTGAATTAAAAAACCCACCAGTTATTTACATTGTCTATCTCTATTGATTTCCTGTTTCCAATTTTATTGATCTCTGCCCCAATCATTATTATTTATTTTCTTCTGCTTACTTTAATCTTACTCATCTTTTTGTAGTTTCCTAAGGTGGAAAGCTTTGACTATTGAGTTTTAGATCACTGCTCTTTTCTAATAGATGCATTCAATGCTATAAATTTCTCTCTATGCACTGCTGTGCCCTTACAAATTTTCATACTTTTTTTTCATTTTTTATTCAGCTTAAAAAGTTTACATTCCTCCTGAGATTTCTTCTTTATTTCATTTGTTATTTAGAAGTGTATTGTTTAATTTTTAAGTATTTTGGGATTTTCTGGCTACTTTCTGGTTATTGATTTCTAGTTTAATTCCATTGTGGTATGAGGGCAACTATTGCATAATTTCTATTTTTTTTTTTTTACTTTTAAAGAATTTTTTTAAAAAATATTTTAAATGTTATATTTGTTTAAATTTGTTAAATTGTGCTTTATGGCCTAGAATTTGTTCCCTCTTTGTGAATGTTCCATATGAGCTTGAGAAGAATGTATATTATGCTGTTGTTGGATAAAGTAGTTATTTCAATTATATCCAGGTGATTGATGGTTCTGCTGAGTTTGACTATGTCCTTATTGATTTTCTGCCTGATGCATATGTCCATGTCTAATTAAGGGGTATTAAAGTATTCAATTATGTAATAGTGAATTTGTCTATTTCACTTTGCAAATCTATCATGTATTTTGAGCCTCACATATTTTGATCCTCTGTAGTTAGGTGCATACATATTAAGGGTTGTTTTGTCATCTTGGAGTATTAGTCACCCTATCATTATGTAATGCCATTCTTTATCCCTTATAATTTGTCACTGATAACTTTCCTTGCTCTGAAGACTGTTCTGTCTGTGGTTAATAATGCTACTTCTACTTTCTTTGATTTGTGTTTGCATGGTGTATATTCCTCCATCCCTTTATTCTTAATCTATACGTCTTTATCTTTATAGTGAATTACTTGTATAAACGTAAAGTTGGGTCTTGTTTTGATCCCCTCTGACAATCAATCTCTGTCTTTTAATTGGTGCATTTAGACCACTGACTTTCAAAGTAATTATTGATATAGTTGGATTAATAACTACCATATGTGTTACATTTTCTATTTGTTAACCTTGCTCTTTGTTTCTATTTTTGTCTTTCACTTTTTCCCTGCCTTTTCTTGGTTTTAATCAATTTTCTCACATTTATTCACATATCCATTATACTTATTTTAAAACTCTTTTATTTATTTATTTATTTTTGAGACAGAGTCTCACTCTATCGCTCAGGCTGGAGTGCAGTGGTGGGATCTCGGCTCACTGCAACCTCCGCCTACCGGGTTCAAGTGATTCTCCTGCCTCAGTCTCCTGAGTAGCTGGGATTACAGGTGTGCACCACCACGCCTGGCTCATTTTTGTATTTTTAGTACAGACAGGGTTTCACCATATTGGTCAGGCTGGTCTTGAACTCCTGACCTTGTGATCTGCCCACCTCAGCCTTCCAAAGTGCTGGGATTACAGGCATGAGCCAACGTGCCCAGCCTTAAAACTCTTTAAGTGTTTTCCTTGGAGTTTGCACTGCACATTTACAAGTTATCCAAGTCCATTTTCAACTAATACTGTATCACGTCACAAATAGTGTGATTACCTTATAATAACAAGATATTCTTAATTTCTTCTCCCTGTACCTTTTATCATTGCTGTCATTCATATCTCAAATATTTATGTATCAGCATACATAAGCATATATGTACACATAAAGCATGTACATAAACATACATAATCAAATACACTGCTGCTATTATCATCTTGAACAAACTGTTATCTGATAGATCAATTAAGAATAAGAAAAATAAAAGTTTTTAATTTAACGTTCACTTAATTCCCTTTCTGATGCTCTTCTTTTCTTTATATAGATCTGAGTTTCTGACCTGTACATTTTCATTCTCTCTGAGGAATGTCTTTCAACATTTCTTGCAAGGTAAGTCTATTGGAAACAAATTCCCTCAATTCTTTATTTCTATTTCACTTTTGATGAAAATTTTTCAGGGTAAGGAATTCTAGGTTGTTGTTTCTTTTTTTCCCCCTCCCAACACTAAATATTTCACTCTACTCTCTTCTTACTTGTGTGTTTCCTGAAGAGAAGTTATATGTAATTCTTATCTTTGCTCCTCTGTATGTAAAGGTTGTTTTATTTTTCACCTTTGTCTTTTTTCAAGGTTTTTTCTTTGATATTCTGAAATTTAAATATAATATGCCTATGTATAGTTTTTGTTTTGTTCTGTTTGAATTTACCTGGCTTGATATTTTCTAAGCTTACTGGATTTGTGCTTCAGTGTCTGACTTTAATTTTGGGAAATTTCTGTCATTATTGCTTCAAATATTGTTTCTCTTTCTTTCTTGTTTGCATTTTCATTGCGCATATGTCACACCTATGTAGTTTTTTCATAATTCTGGAATATTATGTTCTATTTTATTAATTTTTTTCTTTGTTTTACAGTTTTTGAAGCTTTTTTTGTTATATCCACAGGCTCAGAGATTCTTTCCTTAGCTCCGTCCAGTCTACTAAGGAGCCCATCAAAGGCATTATTCATTTCTGTTACAGTGTCTTTGACTTCTAACATTTCTTTTTGGTTCTTTCTTAGAATTTCCATTTGTCAGTTTACATTATATGTTGGTTCTCACATGTCAGATTTTTCACCCTTAGCATGTTATTAACATATATAAATATATATAGGTGTATATTTTTAATTCCTTATTTGGTTATTCCAATACTTTTGCCACATCTGACACTAGTCTGATGATTGTTAAATCTCTTCAAACTATAGTTTTTTTTTTTTACCTTTTAGTATGACTTGTAATATTACGTTGAAAGATAGACATGATATACTAGGTTAAAGGAACTCTAGTAAATAGGCATTTAGTGGTGTGATGGTATATTTTAAGGGAAGGGGAAGCATTATATACTCCTATGATTATGTCTCAGACTTCTGATGAACTTGTATTCCTGAACTTTGAACTCCACCAGCGCTTCTAAGTTTTCTTTCTTTTTTTGTGCATGTGTGTTTATAAAAAATTAGTAGTTTTTTCTTTTTTTTTCTTTTTTAAAATTTTTTTAATTATTATTATACTTTAAGTTTTAGGGTACATGTGCACAATGTGCAGGTTAGTTACATATGTATACATGTGCCATGCTGGTGTGCTGCACCCATTAACTCGTCATTTAGCATTAGGTATATCTCCTAATGTTATCCCTCCCCCCTCCCTCCACCCCACAACAGTCCCCAGAGTGTGATGTTCCCCTTCCTGTGTCCATGTGTTCTCATTGTTCAATTCCCGTCTATGAGTGAGAACATGAGTTGTTTGGTTTTTTGTCCTTGCGATAGTTTACTGAGAATGATGCTTTCCAATTTCATCCATGTCCCTACAAAGGACATGAACTAATCATTTTTTATGGCTGCATTGTATTCCATGGTGTATATGTGCCACATTTTCTTAATCCAGTCTATCATTGTTGGACATTTGGCTTGGTTCCAAGTCTTTGCTATTGTGAATAGTGCCACAATAAACATACATGTGCATGTGTCTTTATAGCAGCATGATTTATAGTCCTTTGGGTATATACCCAGTAATGGGATGGCTGGGTCAAATGGTATTTCCAGTTCTAGATCCCTGAGGAATCGCCACACTGACTTCCACAGTGGTTGAACTAGTTTACAGTCCCACCAAAAGTGTAAAAGTGTTCCTATTTCTCCTGTTGTTTCCTGACTTTTTAATGATTGCCATTCTAACTGGTGTGAGATGGTATCTTATTGTGGTTTTGATTTGCATTTCTCTGATGGCCAGGGATGATGAGCATTTTTTCATGTGTCTTTTGGCTGCATAAATGTCTTCTTTTGAGAAGTGTCTCTTCATATCCTTTGCCCACTTTTTGATGGGGTTGTTTGTTTTTTTCTTGTAAATTTGTTTGAGTTCATCATAGATTCTGGATATTAGCCCTTTGTCAGATGAGTAAGTTGTGAAAATTTTCTCCCATTTTGTAGGTTGCCTGTTCACTCTGATGGTAGTTTCTTTTGCTGTGCAGAAGCTCTTTAGTTTAATTAGATCCCATTTGTCAATTTTGGCTTTTGTTGCCATTGCTTTTGGTGTTTTAGACATGAAGTCCTTGCCCATGCCTATGTCCCGAATGGTAATGCCTAGGTTTTTTTCTAGGGTTTTTATGGTTTTAGGTCTGACATTTAAATTTTTAATCCATCTTGAATTAATTTTTGTATAAGGTGTAAGGAAGGGATCCAGTTTCAGCTTTCTACATATGGCTAGCCAGTTTTCCCAGCACCATTTATTACATAGGGAATCCTTTCCCCATTGCTTCTTTTTCTGAGGTTAGTCTAAGATCAGATAGTTGTAGATATGTGGCATTATTTCTGAGGGCTCTGTTCTGTTCCATTGATCTATATCTCTGTTTTGGTACCACTACCATGCTGTTTTGGTTACTGTAGCCTTGTAGTGTAGTTTGAAGTCAGGTAGCGTGATGCCTCCAGCTTTGTTCTTTTGGCTTAGGATTGACTTGGCAATGTGGGCTCTTTTTTGGTTCCATATGAACTTTAAAGTAGTTTTTTCCAATTCTGTGAAGAAAGTCATTGGTAGCTTGATGGGGATGGCATTGAATCTATAAATTACCTTGGGCATTATAGCCATTTTCACGATATTGATTCTTCCTACCCATGAGCATGGAATGTTCTTCCATTTGTTTGTATCCTCTTTTATTTCATGGAGCAGTGGTTTGTAGTTCTCCTTGAAGAGGTCCTTCACGTCCCTTGTAAGTTGGATTCCTAAGTATTTGATTCTCTTTGAAGCAATTGTGAATGGGAGTTCACTCATGATTTGGCTCTCTGTTTGTCTGTTATTGGTGTATAAGAATGCTTGTGATTTTTATACATTGATTTTTGTATCCTGAGACTTTACTGAAGTTGCTTATCAGCTTAAGGAGATTTTGGGCTGAGACAATGGCGTTCTCTAGATATACAATCATGTCGTCTGCAAACAGGGACAGTTTGACTTCCTCTTTTCCTAATTGAATACCCTTTATTTCCTTCTCCTGCGTAATTGCCCTGGCCAGAACTTCCAACACTATGTTGAATAGGAGTGGTGAGAGAGGGCACCCCTGTCTTGTGCCAGTTTTCAAAGGGAATGCTTCCAGTTTTTGCCCATTCAGTATGATATTGGCTGTGGGTTTGTCATAGATAGCTCTTATTATTTTGAGATACATCCCATCAATACCTAACAAACTGTCTCTCAGACCACAGTGCAATCAAACTAGAACTCAGGATTAAGAAACTCACTCAAAAATGCTCAACTACATGAAAACTGAACAACCTGCTCTTGAATGACTACTGGATACATAACGAAATGAAGGCAGAAATAAAGATGTTCTTTGAAACCAACGAGAACAAAGACACAACATACCAGAACCTGTGGGACACATTCAAAGCAGTGTGTAGAGGGAAATTTATAGCACTAAATGCCCACAAGAGAAAGCAGGAAAGATCCAAAATTGACACCCTAACATCACAATTAAAAGAACTAGAAAAGCAAGAGCAAACACATTCAAAAGCTAGCAGAAGGCAAGAAATAACTAAAATGAGAGCAGAACTGAAGGAAATAGAGACAAAAAAAAACCCTTCAAAAAATTAATGAATCCAGGAGCTGGTTTTTTGAAAGGATCAACAAAATTGATAGACCGCTAGCAAGACTAATAAAGAAAAAAAGAGAGAAGTATCAAATAGACACAATAAAAAATGATAAAGGGGATATCACCACCGATCCCACAGAAATACAAACTACCATCAGAGAATACTACAAACACCTCTACGCAAATAAACTGGAAAATCTAGAAGAAACGGATAAATTCCTCGACACATACATTCTCCCAAGACTTAACCAGGAAGAAGTTGAATCTCTGAATAGACCAATAACAGGCTCTGCAATTGTGGCAATAATCAATAGCTTACCAACCAAAAAGAGTCCAGGACCAGATGGATTCACAGCCGAATTCTACCAGAGGTACAAGGAGGAACTGGTACCATTCCTCTGAAACTATTCCAGTCAATAGAAAAAGAGGGAATCCTCCCTAACTCATTTTATGAGGCCAGCATCATCCTGATACCAAAGCCTGGCAGAGACACAACAAAAAAAGAGAATTTTAGACCAATATACTTGATGAACATTGATGCAAAAATCCTCAATAAAATATTGGCAAACCGAATCCGGCAGCACATCAAAAAGCTTATCCACCATGATCAAGTGGGCTTCATCCCTGGGATGAAAGCCTGGTTCAATATATGCAAATCAATAAATGTAATCCAGCATATAAACAGAACCAAAGACAAAAACCACATGATTATCTCAATAGATGCAGAAAAGGCCTTTGACAAAATTCAACAACGCTTCATGCTAAAAACTCTCACTAAATTAGGTATTGATGGGATGTATCTAAGTTTTCTTTCTTGCTTAGGTAGGACAGGATGGCTACAGTGGACTGAAGTTGGGTATTTCCTTTCCTCCTGGTATGTTAGACTCTGATAAAACTCCACCATGTTAGCCTGTAGTAAAATAGTTTATCATGAGGACAGGCCTTGTTAAGAAGAACAGAATGCTCTGTTGTATTTTTTAAATGGTTACTTTTTCCCTCCCTCTTCTGGAAGCATACGAGAATTTTTCTCCAATATTTATTGTGAGGACTTGGTAGAGTTTCTAGAGGTAAAACTCACAAAAGGGAGAGGGCACCTTTGTGACTGCGTCCTTCTGGAGTTTTTAACACTCAGAGTTGTCCATAGTCAACCTCCAGGTATTTGTCAATTAGAGTTCAAGTTTTCCTATCCCGGCACTGGTTCTCATGGACATTTCTTCTGTGTAGTTCCTGCTTAATAAGTTGTGATTCTCCACTTCTATTTGTCTGTCTCTACAATTTTGGGGGCAGTGGTTTGCCCTGTGATCTCACTTCTCTGACAGATCTAAGAAGAGCTGTTAATTTTTCAGTTTGTTCAGCTTTTTACTTATTGTTATGATGTAGTGCTGACTACCAAACTCCTTTCCAGTGTTCTTTTCATTATTGCTACAAATCTTCTTGGAGTGTAGATTTCATCATTACCTATTTTATCTGTGTGTGTGTGTTCAAATTAGCAATAAAAAATTTGCTATGTTTGGAACAAACAGGTTTGGTTTTGTTTTGTTTTGAGATGGAATCTCGCTCTCTCGCCAGACTGGAGTGCTCCAGTTGCAACCTAAATTTTTAAAGCTTTTCACACCTTCATGAAAGGCTTTCACTGTGTTCCTGGTTCATCATGATGTTGCCTAGATCACCATGGAAGGATATTTTCCATGGACCAGAGCTGACAACAGAAGCAAGAATGAACCAAACACCTTTCAGTTGCCCAAGAGACTAGACTGTATTAGAAAGTTCCACATTATTATATGTTTTTTAATTGGATGTGAAAGCATATCAGAAGAGATTGAAAATCATCCCAAGTTGATTTAAAAATAACAAAGCCTCAAGAATAGTCAATTAATGGTGAGTTGTTTATTCTTTTCAATTGCTTTAATCATTGTAGAAAAGAAAAGCAATTTTTAAAGAAAAAAATAACGTTTGAGAAATGATAAATATGGGGAAAAAATAAAAAGAAGAAACTAAAATGTATTTTGTTATCCAAGACCTGGGGAGAGAAGCTATTGACTGCTGAGTTCAATTAAGTTTCAGAGAAGAAAGTCAGAATTAGCAAATCCTTAACAGGCCACTCTGGCAGGAAATTAATTTTTGATTAAATAACATGATTAAAGAGTGAGGGAGTTTAATTCATAGGGATATATTGGATGACTTCCAAATATATTACTTCTTTCTAATAATTAAAGAGTAACTTAAAATGGCATTAAATCATATTTTAAACAGCATAATAATAACAACTTAAGATTGGCAGCAGCAGCTAGTAATCTCTGTTTAATACTTAAATACTAGGTTGGGTTTGGCAATGTAATCATACTAGTGATTTTAAAAAAACTTTTGTTCGGGCTGGGCGCAGTGGCTCACGCCTGTAATTCCAGCACTTTGGGAGGCTGAGGCGGGCGGATCATGAGGTCAAGAGATTGAGACCATCCTGGCCAACATCTCTACTAAAAATAGAAAAATTAGCTGGATGTGGTGGCAAACGTCTGTAGTCCCAGCTACTTGGGAGGCTGAGGCAGGAGAATGGCTGGAACCCGGGAGGCAGAGGTTGTAGTGAGCCGAGATTGTGCCACTACACTCCAGCCTGGCTACAGAGTGAGACTCCTTCTCAAAAAAAAAAAAAAAAAATTGATATGTTTAGAGTTGGTATGCATTCTTTCCTCTGGCATTGTCCTTAGTCATACTATTGCTTGTATAATAAATATAAATTTTAAGTCTATTTAAAGTGTTTTTTGTAAATCTCTTCTTAAAGTTTAATTAAGTAAAATTGAATTCCAGAAATTAATCCTATCTTAATTCTTTTTGCCAATCAATAATTAGTAATGAAACTCATATTCCTTATTTAAAATGACAAATAAGTGTTGAAGGACAAATGAGAGCATCTACACCAAAGTCTGCAAATATGATATTGTAATTCATAAGTAAGCAGTAGATTCAAACTTTTTTGGGTTAATAGCATGAATCATAACCTCAAAAAAATTGGCATAATATAACCCAAACATCATAATATTAAGGTGTTCAGGGAGCATCTCATGGGACTCCATGTTAAGACCACTTTAAAACAAGCATTTCCACTCTTGTCCTCTAAGACAGGTGACAGAAGTAAGAATATTGGAAATATGTTAAAGACAAAGTGTACCACAAAAATTATAACAGAAATATACTCTTAATATCTTTAAAATTTAAAGATAATCAAAATCATAAGATAAAGACTCCAATAGGTAAGTGATGACTCTGATTTCATAATAAATAAAAGAAGAAACAGTGAAGTAAAACATGGAAAAATGTTTATTTTTTATACCGGGGCTGGGACTACGGTAAAGCAAGCAAGATACCTAGGACACAAAATATAAAAAGGGAGTCTCTCTCTAGGTCATGTTTGTTCAGAGTCGGCACACAAGGATGAGTACCTCCTTACATTTTGCCCCTTCGATGCTTCACTTGCGTCACTCTAGTCCCAGCTCTGCTTTGCACTAATCAAAGAAATTCAGATTACAGGTGGGCTAATCAGTCTACCCCTACTCCTGGTATTCATGGCTTTGTATATGGTATTCATAAACACATGCCATTCCATGATCATTAGAATATGCCTAAAGCGATGGCATGTGATAATTAGGCTACTGCCTTACTCTCACTTCTTGGGGAAGCTCTCACTCTGAGGGAAGCCAGATGCCGTTTTGTAAGGTCACACAAACAGCTCTATGCAGAAGTCTAAGAGATAAGGAAGTGAAGTCTCTTGCCAACAGCCATGAAGGAGCCATTGTGGAAGCAGATATTTTAGCTGCTGTCATGCTTTCAGATAACTGTAGCCTCAGCCAACATCTTAATTACAACCTCATTAAGAAACCCTAAGCCGTAATTTTTTATTTTGGCTACTCTTGAATTCCTAATGCAAATAAGCTTATAGATAATAAATGCTTATCATTTTAAGCATTAAGCCATTCTATCATTTGTACGTAAAGAGAAAGAAATTCTGTGTTGGTGTTACAGACTTGTCTTAGCACAATGGTTACAAATACAGACCCTTGAGCCAAACTGTCTCACTTTGAATTTTGGATTTGTTGCTTATTAGCCGTGTGTCCTGTGGAAAATTTCTGAACTTATTTGTATTTTACATTCTTCATCTATCTGTAATTAGGAAAAATAATAGTACCTCTGCTTCAGGACTGATGGGAAAAATTAAGAAAGTGAATGCATATAAAGTATCTACCAATTAATATACATTATACGTGTGTTTTATACAGTTAATTTTTCTGTGCTTATTTCTCATGCAGACATGTGTATTGTCACCAAAGAGTGAAGCACAGCTTTCTTTATGGGCAAATATATTTCACTAATACCTTCTTCACTAATACCTCAGATAGATGTGCATGGCTCTTGAAAAAGTATTTTGTATATTCAGAGGAGGAGAAGTGGGATTTCTCCCACTTTGGTTTTAGGTGGGGAAAATTTTCTAGATTAAGTACAGGAAAATTTTATTTTATGGTTATTTCCTTCTTGCCATATTAGAAATGCTCCCAGTTTTATTGTCCAAATATTTAATGCCTACAACATTTGCCATGCACTTCCCTGGAAATGAATCTTTTCTTCTCTCACATTCATTTTTCGTGTGAGTGTGTGTGACCTACATGCATTCTTTTCTCTTTAAAGGAATGTTTTTACTGCTCTGCAGACATCAAGTAGCCTGAGCTGGAGGTTACCATGGTGATATGGTCATACACGATGACTTCAAGTCTATATCTTGCTGAGTGGTTTTCAGGGAGAATTGAGGATTGTTGTCTTTTGCTGATAGACTCTACTTAAACTTGACCTTCTCTGCCATTTCTTCTAAGAATAATTAAATAATCTTGGTGTTAGTGGATGTCCAGGATGGCTGTTTTCAAAAGTATAAAGTAGGTAACATTTATAATCTTTACACTTTCCTTTTCTTGTAACCTTTCCCCAGCAACAGTATTATTCATTTTCTCTAGGCATTTGATGACCTAATATTACCTCAGACCTTTTTAACAAGAAATATGTGAATCTATTAATCCCATTTATACTGTGATTTAAAAATCAAAATCATATCACTATATTTGAGTTGCATTATGTAGACTCACCTCAGAAATCATGACTGTACAGTGAGTTACTTTAGAGAAAAAAAATTTGGGGGTAAGTGACACTGGTGGTAGAAATCTCTGTGTCAAAAATAGGCAATAAATTATTTTTAGTTTACAACTACCATCATGCATTGCTTGATGACAGATACACAGCCTGAGAAATGTGTTGTTAGGTGATCTAGTCATCATCCTAACAAAATAAAGTGCACTTACAAAAACCTAGATAGTCTAGGCTATGCTACACACCTAGGCTATTAGGCATAGCCTATTTCTCCTAGGTTACAAATCTGTACACCATGTCACTCTACTGAACACTGTAGGCAGATGGAACACAGTAGTAAGAATTTATGTGTCTAAACATATCTAAACATACAAAAGGTCTGGTAAGAATATGTTGTTACAATCTTATGGGACCACTGTTGTACATGCTGTATATATGGTCTGTCATTGATCAAAATGTCATTATGCAATGCTTGACTGTATAAAACATATAACTAGTTTTCAAATTATTCCCAGTATATACATATATATATCAGAACAACCAAATATATCCATTTCTACTCAAAACAGAACAGTTTTTTCTCTGTCCCAAACACTTACTCGACTTGAAAATGGCTTCAGTTTAATTATCTTTTCTTAGTAAGTATTGTTTACATTAAAACTTTTTTGAATTGTCTAACGTAGTTCTTTAGAGTTTCTCAAAGTTTTGTTACCAGATTATATATCAAGTTGGGAATCAAATTTTTTTAAAAATGCAATTACATTTCAATAATGAAGAAAACAGAAATAAATATTGCCAATAATTATCTTGTAACATAAATAGATTTGAATATTACAATAGTTCTTATTATGTGTATCAGTCATTTTTCTCTCATCTAACATTTACCACCAAGTATTTACTTAGCTTTTCATGTGTTCATTTGTGTCCTCATATAAAGGCACAACTTCTTGATTTTAGGAATCATGCCTAATATTTTGTTGTTTGTTTCCAGATAACACTTAATTAGCAATTTAGTAAACATTAATTGAATGGAAAATTTGTTTAGAAACAATTAAAGTATGAAAAGTTTCAGGGAAAGTGATTTCTCATCTTTTTTTTTTTGTTAGTTTGGCACTAGTTCTTCAAGTTTTATTTCTTCTTTGGTAAAGAGGGATAATGTGTTTATTTATGTACTTAACAAATTCTAACTGAGTACTAGGGTCTGTTCTTTGAGATGTGAACCTAGGTCAGAAGAACTCTACTTTTATGAAGCTTGCATTAGTGAGAGGAAACAAACAAATAAATAAGCACTTACACAATATATAATTCCAATGAATATAAAGAACTTCATGATACAGTGACTGTGGAGCTATGTTAGTAGACTCATCCTCTCTGAAGAGGTGACGAAGAACCAGAAATAGCTAGGTGCATGCAAACCAGAAGCAGTATTAGTTAGGGCAAACTTAAGTATGTTGAGTTTTAAGATAAAAAGAAGGCCAATGTTGCTGAAGTATAAAGGACAACTAATTAGAGAAGAGGCTAATTAGATAATGTCAAAGAAAGAGACTATGGAGTGTTCTTTGTAAACTGGGGTAAAGAATTTGGATTTTTTTTTAAAGTACAATGGGAATCCATTGGAAGTTTTTAAGGAAGAATGAAACAAAATCTAATTTACATTTTTAACAGTTTTTAAAGTACTAGGTTATGAGGTAGGGAGAAATTGGACAGCTAAGTCTGAAATATTTACTTGACATTCATGTCCAGATATCAGGTGGAAAGTTGTTGTCTAGGACTCCAGACAGGTTCTAGGTCAGGGCTGGAGCCCTTGATATTTAGTTGGTATTTAAAGCCATGAATCCTATGAGATAAGCTAGAAATATTACCTTGTGGGAACATTGAGAGTGACTTAAAACAGAGCCTCAAAGCATCCAGCTTTTAGCAGTTTAGTAGAGAAGAAAAGATCATAAAGGAGCAGTGTAGCAAGACAGAGCAAAGAATAAGATAAGAGGCAAGAGGAGAGAATAAAGTTAATACGGTAGGCAGACAGAAGCATAAGTAAGATATAAACAGAAAGGTGAACATGAGATTTGGTTTCACAGAAGTTGTTGGTGGCTTTGACATAAACAATACCAAATGGAGTAATGAGGACAAAACCAGACTAGAGTGAGTTTTCCTATGGCACTATGAAAACAATGAAAAGATCAAAATGTGATGTGTGCCTCATAACGTATGTAGTAGTAATAGGACTGCTAATTGAATAAAAACAGCAATTATGTAATGGGTGTTAGCTTTCCATCTGACATTTTGCTAAGCACTTTTCATGTATTATTTTATTTAATCCTTATAATAGCACTTTAAAATCAACATTATTATGTATCATCATTTTAGAGATAAGGAAATAGACATCTTTCCAAGGTCACATTGCTTTGTCACAAGCATAAGAGTTACAGAATCAGTCTTAATCTAAAGAAATAAAAGGAGCAGATAATTATTGTGTATATTTATTTTTTATAAAATTTTGTTTTTTAAAGTAGCATTTCACTTATGCTAAGTTCTGTTTTTAGAGTTTATTTGCATAATTGAATCACAGAAAAGTGATAATCTCCTCAGCAAGATAAACAATTGATGGCTACCGAATGAATGTGATGTTTCTGATTTTTTAGTTCTAAAATTCAAACCTGGAGGACTTAAAAATATCTCTAAAATGTATTTGTGTCAAAACTTACAGACATAAAGAATGTATTTCGGACTGAGAGAAAAAGTATAAATAGCTTCTTACTTAATTCCTTTTTTTCTGAGAATTACAGTAAAATAGCTAGAATCATCTATATTTAACCAGTTAAGATTCTTGAAATCAACATGAGTGATTTTAAGAATAATCAGGCTAAAAACACTTATAACTTGTAAAAAATGTATCTTAAAATGGAAGTGTGCTGTAATAATAGATTGTGTTGTGCTAATTAATGTAAAATAATTGGCTACTTATACTAATTTCAGAAAGATTATAGAATGAAACATTAAAACAAACACAATAGAAAATGTAGTCTTTTAAAAAATAATATAGGATTGAGGGCGACATGAAAGAAAATAAGAAAGTATTGACAGATTTGACTAAACAATTTTCTTCTTAAATCACCATACAAAAGTTAAAAAATAAGTGAATAACTGGGGAAAATGTGTATAGCATATATAAAAGACAAATGGATATTATCTACATGAATAGCCTTTGCAAATAAATGAAAGAAAAATGAGCAGTCCAACAAAAATAAAGCACAAATATGAACAGGCAATTCACAGTAGGCATGATGTCCAAAGAACTTATTAAAAGATGTTCAATCTCAGCAATAATGCAAAGGATATATTTGAAACAATGTTGAAGTAGTTGACTCCACTCCGTTTAACAAAAAGAAAGAAAAGGAAATTACTAATAATAACTAGTATTTGCCAGGGTGTGGGGACACAGACACTTTCAAACTTTGTAAGCAGGAGTGGCAAACATTTGTTTTAGGGGAATTTTCAGAAAAATCTCCAATTAATGAAAGCTGAGTAATTTCTTTTCTTCTAATGGGACTGGATAATACGAGTCCTACAGATATCAATTGTAAATGAGGTATTCCAGTTGTCACCGGAATGGAGTGCTTCTTCTCCAAGGTAGAGGTTCTCACTCTGGCTGCACATGAGAAACACATGGATATCATTTAGACAATACCAACGCTGGATACCTCCAACCAATCAGCTCAAAATCTCTGGAACTGGAGCATAGATATTGCTAATTTTTAGCATACTCCCAGGGGATTCTAACGAGCACAAGGTTGAGATCTCTGTCATTATTATCCTCACCTTTCCTATTAGGGAGAGTAAAAAATGTATCTAAAGCCCATTCTTGAGCCTCTAGTGTTCAGCAAACTTGCTAACTAAACTTAATGGAGAGAAAAGTATTTTATTTCTCAGCTGAGCATGTATAAAGAGATTTTGCTTAAATAGAGGCCTACAGGGAAAAACCCTGAGAGGCTGGCTACATTTCATTGTTGACATTGATCTCTGTCCAGGGAAAATGATCATGGACCAAAGCATCTCTCCTTCCTTCCTTCCTTTTTTTTTTTTTTTTTTTTTAGATGGAGTCTCACTCTATCACCAGGCTGGAGTGCAGTGACGCCATCTCGACTCACTGCAGCCTCCGCCTCCTGGGTTACAGCCATTCTCCTGCCCCAGCCTCCCAAGCAGCTGGGACCACAGGCATGTACCACCATGCCTAACTAATTTTTGTATTTTTAGTAGAGACAGGGTTTCACTATGTTGGCCAGGATGGTCTTGATCTCTTGACATCGTGGTCCACCCGCCTCAGCCTCCCAAAGTGCTGGAATTACAGGTGTGAGCCACCATGCCCGGCCCCTTATTTTTCCTTATTTACCTTTTAATATGTCTGGAATTTAGGACTCTTCAAAGGAGTACACTCTCACCTTCAGGGACAAGACTAAAATCAGAGTGGATAATATTCAAACATTTTAGGTACTCTATGTTTAATCAGGACTAAAAGGCAGATGAAGGCATTTAATTTCATTTTGTTCCTCTGTGCCTTGCAATTTCCTTTTCATTGCAATTATGAGAATCACAATATGATCCATCTGAGAGAGAGGCTGACTCAATTATGGCAGTCTCCAAAACAATATAGTTACAGTCTATTTGAAGACATTTTGGCAATAACTGCTTTAAAATTTTATATACCCTTTATGCTAGCATTTCCACTCCTAGAAATTTATTCTACAGACCTCTCACAATTGAAAAGAATTCTTGTTCAAGGCAATTCACTGCAGCATTGCTTGCAATACCAGAACTTGGAAAGAAATTATACAGCTATTAAAAATAATGAGAAAGATGTCCATGTATTGATTTTGAAAGATATCCAGGCTATGTTGACCAATGAAAAGAATAAGTACATTTTTGTGATTTCTAAAGTATCAATTTAATTATGTTCTCCCAACTCTTTTCATGAATGGTTTCAGGTTATAGTTGGTCAAAAGAGTAATTTGCTTGAGATCTGGAAAGCAGAAGCAAGCAATGGCTTCATTTTCTTATGGTCATCATGGTTATCTGAAATGACAGACAAATATAGAGGTGCCTGTTGGGCTTTAGCTTTTCCCTATGCATCTCAACTATGTGTCAAGCTCTTCTTTTGGACTCCTGGCCTTGCTGACCGTCAGTCTCAGACCCAGACAAGAGGTACACAAATGCTGGCAAGTTTCTGCTTGGCTTTGTTCCAGTGTCTGTCTAGTTCTTCTCTCCAATTGCAGGCCCTAGTGACCATCCGTGGCCCGAAGTTCATCACCAGATAATTACATGGGAACCCATAAAGATAACACCTTCCTGTAGGTATCTCCACCCACTCCTCTTTTATGATCCTTTTTTGGTGGTTGAATCTATGTGGCATCTCAGATTGACTGTGGATGACACCTCTGATCCTCCAACCTCCCTTTTCAGACTTTAATTTTCAAGCTTCTCCCACAATTGTTTAAGGTCTCATTCCTACAAAAAAAAATTCTTATTCTGTAACTATTCTACAACTTATTCTATAACTGTAATATTAACTATTAGTGATTCACTGATTGTGTCCTGACTGACACAGTTATTGGGACTGGGGTATATAATCTCCATATGTAGCTTTCAATAATTCCTCCCTTTGTTGTACATGCACAGACTCGAAGAAATTTGGTCTCCTTTCTCTTTCCTTGAGCCTGCGCTGGACTATCACTTGCTTAAACTAATTGAATACAGTGGAAGTAATATTCTTGGATTTCTACTCTAGACCTTAAAAGATACTACAACTTTTATTCCTTCTTCTTGGATCTCAGCAGCCATGATGTAAAGAAGTCCAGGCTAGATGATTTGATAATTAGAAGTAATATAGAAAGACACCTGATGCATGAGAAATCCACTTAGTACATTTGGTTAGTACGTTGGGACCTCCCAGCTGGCTGCAGCTAGCTACATATGAGTGAATCCAGCTACAATCATGTATAGTAGAATAACCACTCAACTGAGCATTGCCTGAGTTCTTGATCCATAGTCATGAAAAATAACAAATCATTGTTAAATTAATTTTTAAGCCACTACATTTTCAGTTGGTTTGTTACACAACCATAGATACATCCATTCATACACTCATTCATCCAGCACCTATAACATCAGGCATCATTGTATATACTGAGCACACAGTGCTGAACGAGATAGATAAGGTCCTTTTGTTTTGCAGATTACATTTTAGTGGAGATAAGTAAAGAAAATTATTTCAGGCAGTGAAAAGGAATTTAAATTTTTGTTGAGCTAGAGTTGGTTGAGTGGAAAAGACCATCTTTGATTAATGCTGAAGGAAGACTTCTCTGAGGAGATGCCCTCTGAGTTGAGATCTGGAGAATAAGGCTCTCATTCTGCAATGAATTGGAAGGTTTCAGACAGAGAAAATTGCAAAGTAAATGGGAATATTTCCCGAACAGAAGTAAAAATCATATGGCTGATATGCAGTGAGGAAGGGGAGATGAAGTTCTTTAGTAATCTCTTTAACATCTTATTATCCATATTAAAATGCTTTGATTTTATTCTAAAGTTTAAAACTATTAGGCACACTATAGACTTATTTAAAACATATTCAAGCATATGAATAAAGTGAGTTGGAATATGTAACAAATTCTTGACAGTAGTTGTTTCTGAGGGGCAGTTTTAAGAGGAATTTTTACTTTTAAAGGCATATTTTCATGATGTTTCAATGTTGTATAAATGTGGAACAGACTTTTTCCTCAAAATTTTATTCTCTCCTTTTATATTAATAGGATTATCATCATGAACATGTTGAGACTATATATTTCTAACTCCCTTGTGGACAAAGTATAGTTATGCAGCTAAATATGTGAATGGAAATGAAATGTGTTATTCTCATCTGAGGCTTTTACAGAGTGAGTAGGTCTCTTCCATGATTTCTTTTCCCTAGTTTTGGCTGCTTGCGGAGGCTGATGAGAATGATAAAGCCATAAGATGGGAGGAAATTCAGTTCAGATTTATTGCACGGAGGAGAGCCACGCTGATATATATGAGCCAAAAATAAATGTTAGTCCCCTGAAATTTTGGAATTTGTTACCATAGCTTAGTCTAACCTAACTAAGACAATGAATATATGCATTACTTTTGTAATCTGAAGAAAAAAAGATTAAAAAGATTTCATTTAATGTAATAATTTCTATTGTACTTCAAGTCAAGCCTGAAGCCCTCAAAAGCTTTTCTGCAAATAGGTCAAAGAATTAGTTGGAGTACTAGAGCAAGCATTTAAGCGTTTTTGTGAAACAATATTTAATGCTGCTGGTGACTCTGATCTTACAGTCTATAGTAGATACATAAGGATTCTTGATATTCCTACTCCATTACCTTATATGTCAAGAAGCTTCTACTTGTTTGTATCAAGGACTTAGGAAGTAGCATTAGATTATACCTTTTCAAACCAGATTTCACTCAGTGTATCACCAAAATGTGGTAAAATATACATTTGTTACATTGTCAGCTTTTGAGACCACTATTAGATTAAACTGAGAGAAACGCTCTTACTATTCAAATTAAGTAACTTGTGCTCTAAAGATCAAACATTTCTAACTATATTACTATGAACCTGGTACTATCTCTATTTACAACCTCTTATTAGCATCTGTAGCATCTATGCAGAGAACTTGAGGACATAATCTAAGTCTGCATGCCCATTTAGAAAACAATTTATTTAAGGTCAGGAAAATTGTAAAGATAATTCAAAAACAATTCTAGAGGTCAGGCAAAACTTGAAGTTTATTCTCCCTTTAATTTATAGTCTTTCTATCAGGCCCACCTAAAATGTGAAAGCCTTTTCTAACACCTGTCTGATTGCCTTTGGTAAAGTGCAACAAGCTATGCCTCTTTGTTCATTGTATGGAATTAAAAATATACATCCCCTATTGCTAACCTAATATTTCTGAAAATCACCTAATCTAGCTCTGTTACTTGTTAAAAAAATGTAAACATTGCTGTGTTGTTACCTCTAATATTAAAAACTTCATTTTAAAAATCCCGACAATTTAGCAAATTGTTGTATATCTATATAATGAAACATAAACACCATGAGAAATGTATAGTTTGAACACTATAACAACCTAGAAATATTTTGTATTAACTTAAAATAACCAATAGACTAAAAATTATATTTGCAATGCTGTGAGTAAAACTATGTATAATATTGTAATCATGTGGCTAAAGAGAAGAAAACATAATTTAAAGGCTTGATTTATTAGGATGGCAAAACTGTGGGTTGACATTTGTTCCTTTTTATGTTTTATTAATCGTGCTATAATGTTTATGCATTAGGTAATTCATTTACGCAAAGTCATTCTTCATTTAATCATACAGAATTATTAAGGACCTACTTTATCCTAGGTTCTTTTTTGGTAGTTGGGAATATAATGGTTCAGAAGACTAACAAACTCACTGCATTAATAAAACTTGCATTCTATTGAGGGAGACATAGAGTCAACAAATATGTGACATAGCTTGCTGTATAATTTGGGTCTTCTAGAAAGAACACACTAAAATCGAGGGTAAAATTTTAAAATTTTGTTGGAGTGCAAACCAGTGAAACCAATGAAGGGGAAAAACAGGCAGTGGGAATGAACAGAGGTCAGTTATGATGCTGTAATTGACAATGTATCTGGCAGTCCACAGAAGCACTCCAGAACAAAAAAATATCCATTAGAAATGGCTAGGTCTCTGTAGTAACACATTTCTCAGCCATTAGCTGATGTCACACAGAACAGAGTATCACCTATACTCGTGGAGTTAATGGCTGAGAACTGTCAGAAAACGCCATTGCTCATTTCTAGGCAGCAGATTATTTCTTGGAAGTGGGTCTGAGAGCAACATGTCTTTGTTCACTACATTTGTTATAGATGAAAATAAGGTAAGAAGAGAAAGTGATATGGGAAGTTTATTTTAAATAAGATGATGCAAAAGGCCATTGATAATATGATAGTTGAGCAGAGACTTGGAAGTTAGCTTTAGTCCACATGAAAATCTGGGCAAGGTCATTCTGGGAGAGGAGACAGAAAATAAGAATGTGATAACCTGGGAACAAGCCATGGCTGAAGTGAAGAAAATTAGTAGAAAGAGATAGGAGATGAGATTGTGAAGATAGACTAGGAACATAAGGGCTACGGTTAGGATATTTTCTGAGTATTATGGATGGCCCATGGAAACTTTGAACTAGAGAGTATCATAATCTGTTGTACATTTTTATAAAATTCACACTGGAGGATTGTGCCTTTCAGTAGAGTGTTAGTGGTAGGGCCATCAGAAGAGGTAGGAATCAGACATATATTCAAACCATACCTTTCTGATGAGTTGGATATAGAAAATGAGGGAAAGAGAGAAGTAAAGGATGGTTCCAGAGCTTATGACCTGAGGAAATGTACAGATAAAGGGGAAGAATTGAGTGAGGAACAGGTTTGTGATCCTGATGGGGAGATAGAATTCTGTTTTGGATATGTTAAATTTAAGGTGATCATAAGATTCTTTGTTGACATGTAAACAGTTAATGTGATATGGGTTTCTTAAAAGTCACAGGACAAGTAGAGTAACAATTCAGTTTAGGACTCACTAATGTACAGATGACATTTATTGCTACAGATTTGGATGAGATCACCTATAAAAGTGAGTATAAATAGAGAAGTATATCCTTGATTAAGCCCTAAGGCACTCCAAAATCTAAAAGTAGGTATGAAGAGGAGGAGGTAGCAAAGGAGATGGTGAAGGAGCAGTCAGAAAGGCAGGAAGAACATTAGAAGATGTGGTGTCCTGGAAAGCCAACTATTAAAATAAAAGGAGGAGAGGGAATAATCATCAATGTCAAATGCTTCTAATAAGTCATCTAAGATGAGGACTTGGTGTTGACTTTTGGAAACGGTAAAATGGAAGTCAATATTGATAGGAGAAATTTCATTGGAATAGAAGGGATGAAAGCCTTTTTGGAAAGCAAGGGTAAGGAAAAGGGAATTCGAGCCTGAGAAAAGAGAGGCAATATAAGTGTCTGTGTGTATGTGTGAGTGTGTTTACATTTTATCCCTAGAATAGGTTGATTTTTAAAAGGTACAATATATTTTGTTTTTTGTACTATATTCATCATATTCATATATCATACAGATGAGGGATCTGAGTTATAGTCGAGAGAGCTAGTAAAGCTAGTTGAATTTTATGGTGCTATAGTTAGAATATAGATAGTGGTAACCTCTTTATAAACACTGTGTTTTGGAAAAAGAGTTCAAAAAGTTTTGGTAATACAGAAGTTTCTACCTTCGATACCTAGAGCTAAATATATCAATAATCAATATAAATTAAAAACATCTTTTGAGTTTGGAGCAACATCCAATTTGCTTTGGATCTTTGCATCTACAATTAAACCAGTAAAGGAGAAATTGATTGGTAGTTATGTTATAGTAATTGCTTTGAGTTCATACATACCATTATTATTAGATGGTTTCCATACAAATTATCTCACTTTATATGAAAAATGATCCTATGAATGTCCTTTAGAGATGAGAATACTGAGGCTCTGAGCTTTAGGTAACTTGTGCAAAATCACGTAGCTAATTTCACACATGAAATTTGATTGCAAGTCTGACAGTTAGCTCTAGCTTATTCTAGTATGCAGTGCTACTTATTGCTTTAAAATTACCAAACAGCTTAAAAGAGGCAATTATTTATGCTCTGTGAGACATCAATCAAAACTTCTATGTACTTCAGAATGGATTCCAATTTAATAATTAAAAATCCAGGAATTATACATGTAAATTGAAGTCAAATTGTTTTTCAAGATAGAGGGTCGTTGGCTAACCAACTACATAACAGTTGATTTAATTAGTAGAAATGAATATCATGTTAAAAATCTTTTCAGGATTATTTATATTCTATATATGTTTGTATGTTTTTAGCATAGAAACATACTTGATGTTTCCTTTTTTGAAGACATTCAATTATATAGCTGTTAACATCTTTAAAACCAATATATGTACAATATACAATTATGAAATTGTATATAATTTTTTATCTTCCCTGTCTGGGGAAGAATAGATTTGAAATTGGTATTTGAAATATTGATGATAATGGAACATGTTAACATATTTGATATTGATGGATAATGCAAAGATTAACATATTTATTTATGACAGTCTATAAAATAGTGATCTGAATCTACACTGTAGGACCTATTATGAATATACTGTTAAACTGATAATGCATTCCAGAGCTATAGCAACTATTACCTAGGTAACCACAAAAATATATCATCTTGAATTGAATTTATTAAATGAAAACTTTTTTTTTTTTGGATTCGGTCTATTGCCATGTGTAAAATAAGAACAAAATTTAAAGTGATTTAGAATTGTGTAAAATAGATTTTAAACTACATTTTTACATCATTAGAAAAGATAAAATAATTACAACACTTGTTTCAATTAAATATTTCAAACACTATATAGTGATGATTTACACTTTACTGTACGTTTTCCCATAAAGACTTAAATTTGTTTTACATTCTGAAATTTGTTGTGTGAATTAGCTATTGGTAGACATTTTTATTTATACCTACTTTCATTCAGTGAGAAAAAAAGCAACTAGAAAACTTTTTAAAAATTTCAGGTTAGACAAATATACATCTTAATTCCCATTTCTCTTTTTTTATTAGTTATTTTAGCATGATTATGTTGCTTCAATATTGAGGCAAACTCCATCTAGGCTCACCTGCCCTGTCTTCGGTACACTGATAGCCCTATTTCCAAGTTTTCCAAGTTAAGTGTGGTCATGTGAGTAAATTCCGTCTAAAAAATACGTGAATGGAAATAATGTGTGCCACTTCTGAACCTACTCCTGGCTATGTTCCATAACACTCTCCTCTGCCTATTAGACAGAGGCAACCTTAATGTGGCAGTGACCCAAAACTCATACAGGTAAAGGGAAGGCACTAAAAAATGGCGAGAGAATGTGAAGAAAGGAACCTGGGTTTTTGAGTGAATGAAAATGAAATAGGCTGCATGAAATAAGGCAGCCTATTAATCCAGACTGCTCACTTTAGACCATCAAATGAGAGGGAAATAAATTTGTGTCTTCTTTAAGCTGCTTAATTATGCTAATTTTCTTTATTACAGCAGCGTAGCCTAAATAATGCACACCGATGAGGCCAGGTTCAATAGGATAAGAACGCTTTCTCAAATTCACAGGTTCAAGTTAATCCATTTATGCCTGGGTCATATTCTTCCCCATAATGACATCACTTATACTGATAGGATCTTTTTCACTCTCCCTAGCTGTTTTATCACTGAGACTATATTTGGCTGTACCTCTAATCAATGCTTAATTTGTTTGAGTTTTTTTTTTTTTTTCACTATAAGTGGGGCTGGGGATGATGTCTATTTTCAGGATGACCAGGAGGGCAATATGTATATTGCAATTTTGCAAGAAACATTTAATTCGACTTGTTTGGTTTCCTTGTGTGTTCTTGGCCTATTCTTGTGATGAAAATAATCCAGAATATTATGTAGTATACTTGTTTTCTCTGTTTTATTTTTCTATCTCTGGTGATTCACATTGATTCTGATGAAAACACCAACCTAATGACTTGATGCTTTTTTATATATACCAGTGAATAGTGTGTATTTTTCTATATGTATTTATATTACATATTGGTATGATTTGTCTCTGTGTCACCACCCAAATCTCATCTCAAATTGTTATCCCCACAAGTCAAAGGACGGACCTGGTGGGAGGTGATTGGATCATGAGGGTGGTTTCCCCCATGCTATTCTCCTCACAGTGAGTGAGTTATTTTGAGAGCTGACGGTTTTAAAGTGTAGCACTTCTCCTTTAGCCTTCTCTCTCTCTCTCTCTCCCTCTCCTGCTGCCATGCAAGTTGTGCTTTGCTTTCCCCTTGACTTCCACATGATTGTAAGTTTCCTGAAGCCTCCCTAGCCGTGTGGAACTGTGAGTCAATTAAACCTCTTTTGTTTATAAATTATGTAGTCTCAGGTAGTTCTTCATAGCAGTGTGAAAACAAACTAATACAAAAAATTGGTACCAGGAGTTTGGGAGACTGCTATAAAGATACCTGAAAAGTGGAAGCAACTTTGGAACTGGGTAATGGACAGAGGTTAGAATAGTTTGGAGGACTCAGAGGAAGACATGAAAATGTGCAAATGTTTGGAACTTCCTAGAGACTTGAACGGTTTTGGCCAAAATTCTGATAGTGATGTGGACAGTGAAGTGCAGGCTGAGGTGGTCTCAGATGGAAATGAGGAACTTATTGGGAAATGGAGCAAAGGTCACTCTTGCTATGCTTTAGCAAAGAGACTGGTAGTATTTTGCCTCTGCTGTGGAGATCTGTAGAACTTTGACCTTGAGAGAGATGATTTAGGGTATCTGGCAGAAGAACTTCCTAAACAGCAAATGATTCAACATGTAACCTATTTCTGAAAGCATACAATCATATGCATTCACAAGGAGATGATCTGAAATTAGAACTTATGTTTAAAAGTGAAGCAGAGCATAAAAGTTTGGAAAATTTGCAGCTTGACCATGTGGTAGAAAAGAAATACCCATTTTCAGATGTGAGGGCAATCTGGCATACAGGTTTTGCTGATGGAAAAGGTGGGTTCCCATGGTCTTGGGCAGCTCCACCTCTGGGGCTTTACAGGGTATAGCCTCCCTCCTGTCTGCCTTCACAGGCTGGCATTGAGTGTCTGTGGTTTTTCCAGGCACACAGTGTAAGCTGCCAGTGGATCTACCATTCTGGGGCCTGGAGGACAGTGGCTCACTTCTCACAGCTCCACTAGGCGGTGCCCCAGTAGGGACTCTCTTTGGGAGCTCCAATCCCACATTTCCCTTCCACACTGTCCTAGCAGATATTCTCCATGAAAGCCCACTCCTGCAGCAAACTTTTGCCTGGGCATCAGGTGTTTCCATACATCTTCTGAAATCTAGGCAGAGGTTCCCAAACCTCAATTCTTGACTGTTGTGCACCCACAGGCTCAACACCACGTGGAAGCTGCCAACACTTGAGGCTTCCTCCCTCTGAAGCCACAGTCCAAGCTCTATGTTGGCCCCTTTCAGCTATGACTGGAGCAGCTGGTACATGGGGTACCAATTCCCCAGGCTGCACACAGCACAGGGACCATAGACCTGGCCCACAAAACCACTTTTTCCTTCTGGACCTCCATGCCTGTGATGGAAGGGGCTGCCGTGAAGCTCTCTGACATGGCCTGGAGATATTTTCCCCTACGGTCTTGGGGATTAACATTAGGCTTCTTGCTACTTATGCAAATTTCTGTAACTGGCTTAAATTTCTCCTCAAAAAATGGGTTTTACTTTCCTACTGCATCGTCAGGCTGCAAATTTTCTGAACTTCTATGCTCTGTTTCTCTTTTAAAACGGAAAGCTTTTAACAGGACCCAAGTCACCTCTTGAATGCTTTGCTGCTTAGAAATTTCTTCCACCAGATACCCTAAATCATCTCTCTTAAATTCTAAGTTCCACAAATCTTTAGGACAGGGGCAAAATGCCACCAGCCATCTTGCTAAAACATAACAAGAGTCACTTTTGCTCCAGTTCCCAACAAGTTCTTCATCTCCATCTGAGACCACCTCAGCCTGGACCTTATTATCCATGTTGCTATCAGTATTTTGGGCAAAGTCATTCAACAAGCCTCTAGGAAGTTTCAAACTTTCCCACATTTTCCTGTCTTCTTGTGAGCCCTCCAAACTGTTCCAACCTCTGCCTGTTACCAATTCCAAAGCTGCTTCCACATTTTTGGGTATCTTTTCAGCAACAACCCACTCCTGGTACCAATTTACTGTGTTAGTTCATTTTCACATTGCCGATAAAGACGTTCCTGAAACAGGGAACAAAAAGAGGTTTAACTGGACTTACGGTTCCACATGGCTGGGGAAGCCTCAGAATCATGGTGGGAGGCGAAAGGCACTTCTTACATGATGGTGACAAGAGAAAAATGAGGAAGAAGCAAAAGCGGAAACCCCTGATAAACCCCCAGATCTCGTGAGACTTATTCACTATCACAAGAATAGCATAGGAAAAACCCACCCCTATGATTCAGTTACCTTGCCCTGGGTACCTCCCACAGAATGTGGGAATTCTGGGAGATACAATTCAAGTTGAGTATGGGGGGCGGTGGGGACACAGCCAAACCATATCAAGAAACATTAAGAAAAGAAGGCCGGGCGCAGTGGCTCATGCCTGTAATCCCAGCACTTTGGGAGGCTGAGGCGGGCAGATCACAAGGTCAGGAGTTGAGACTATCCTGGCTAACACGGTGGAACCCCGTTTCCACTAAAAAATACAAAAAAATTAGCCAGGCATGGTGGTGGGCTCCTGTAGTCCCAGCTACTTAGGAGGCTGAGGCACAAGAATTGCTTGAACCTGGGAGGCAGAGCTTGCAGTGAGCCGAGATCGTGCCGCTGCACTCCAGCCTGGGCGACAGAGCGAGACTCCATTTCAAAGAAAAAAAAAAAGAGAAAGAAAAACAGTTTAGGCTGGGTGCAGTGGCTCATACCTGTAATCCCAGCACTTTGGGAGGCTGAAGTGGGCAGATCACGAGGTCAAGAGATCAAGACCATCCTGGCCAACATAATGAAACCTCATCTCTACTAAAAATACAGAAATTAGCTGGGCATGGTGGCATGTGCCTGTAGTTCCTGCTACTCGGGAGGCTGAGGCAGGAGAATCGTTTGAACCAGGGAAGCAGAGGTTGCAGTGAGCAGAGATTGTGCCATTGCACTCCAGCCTGGGCGACAGAGCGAGACTCTGTCTCAAAATAATAGTAATAATAATAATAATAATAATGAAGAAAAGAAAAACAGTTAAAAAATCTAAGATGTCAAATATTTTAAGAAGTGAAACAAGGTATTTTGTGTTCTTTCAATATCTTTATTAAGAAGTGACAAGAAGAATTTATTGGAATTGTTCTGTCAGTAGCAGTGGCTAATATTTATAAATGCAGCTATATTAGGTTAATTAGGCTGCTGTAACAAGATAGCATATGCTGGGTGGCTTGACCAACAGAACATTTTCAAAAAGATACCTATTATAAACACTGCTAACCTTTAGAAAAGAAAAAGAAGTTAAATGAATGAAGTCAGTTGTGAAACTACCTTACTGAAAACATGTGAATAATAAGAAAATGATTTATTCTACTCAGTCTATGGAAAATGTCTTTCTCTAATCATAAAAATAGCATAAAAAGCAGAATAAATAAAAGAAAAGTCACACATTCAAGGTAAATTAGCAGCATTAAATGGCAGAAATTTATTTTTTTCACAGTTTTAGAGAAGTCTGGGATCAATGATTGGCAGGATTGGTTTCACTCTGAGGTTTCTTTCCTTGTCTTGCAGATGGCTGCCTTCTCACTGTGTCCTGACATGTTCATCTTGTGTGTCTGTGTTGTCTGTGCCCTAATCTCCTTTTCTTATAATGACACCAGTCATATTGGATCAGAGTTCACCTTAAGGACTCCATTTTAATTTAATTACTATTTTAAATATAGTTACTTTGTATTAGCCCATTCTCACATTGCTAATAAAGACATACCCAAGACTAGGCAATTTATAAAGGAAAGAGGTTTAATTGACTCACATTTGGAAGTTCCAAACCTTCTCACATCTTCATGATGGATAGGGAGGCCTTGGGAAACTCACAATCATGGTGGAAAGGGAAGCAAACATGTCCTTCTTCACATGGCAGCAGTAAGGAGAAGTGCTGAGCAAAAGGGGGAAAAGCCTCATTAGAACCATCAGATCTCATGGGAACTCATTCACTATCATGAGAACAGCATGAGGGTAACTGCCCCTATAAATAAATTACTTCCCACCAGATTCCTCCCATGACACATGAGGATTATGGGAACTACAATTCAGGATGAGATTTGGGTGGCGACACAACCAAACCATATCATTCCACCCCTGACCACTCCCAAATCTCATGCCCTCACATTACAAAACACAATCATGCCCTTCCAACAGTTCCCCAAAGTCTTAACTCATTCCAGTATTAACTCAAAAGTCCAAGTCCAAAGTCTCATCTGCAACAAAGTGAGTCCCTTCTACCTATGAACCTGTAAAACCAAAAGCAAGTTAGTTACTTCTTAGATACAATGGTGGTACAGGCAGTGGGTCAATACACGCATCCCAAAGAAAGACATTGGCCAAAACAAAGGGATCACAGGGTCCATGCAAGTCCAAAATCCAGCGGGGCAGCCAAACCTTAAAGCTTTGCGATGTTCTCCTTTGACTCCATGTTTCGCATCCTGGTCATGCTGATGCAAGAGGTAGGCTCCCATGGCCTTTTTCAGCTCCATCCCTATTGCTTTTCAGGATACAGCCTGCCTCCTGGCTGCTTTCACTGGCTGGTGTTGAGTGTCTGTGGCTTTTCCAGGTGCAAGGTGAAAGCCTTTGGTGGATCTACCATTCTGGGATCTGAAGGATGGTGGCTCTCTTCTCATAGCTCTACTAGGTAGTGCCCTGGTGGGGACTCTGTGTTGGTACTCTGACCAGATTTCTGTTCTGATTCGCCCTAGCAGAGGCTCATCAGGACTCCTCCACTCAGAAGACTTCTATCTGGACATCCAGGCATTTTCATACATCTTCTGAAGTCTAGGTGTAAGTTCCCAAACCTCAATTCTTGTCTTCTATGTGTCTGCAGGACCAACACCACATGGAAGCTGCCAAGGGTTAGGGCTTGCACCCTCTGAAGCAACGGCCTGAGCTCTACCTTGGCCCCTTTTAGATATGGCTGGAGCAGCTGGGACACAGGGCACCAAGTCCCAAGGCTACACATAGCAGGGGGGCCCTGGACTTGTCCTGGAAAACCATTTTTCCCTCCTAGGCCTCCAGGCCTGTGATGGGAGGGGCTGCTGTGAAGCTCTCTGACATGCCCTGGAAACATCTTCCCCATTGTCTTGGTGACTAACATTTGGCTCCTCATTACTTATGCAAATTTCTGCAGCTGGCTTGAATTTCTCCCCAGATATTGGGTTTTTCTTTTCCTTTGCATCATCGGGCTGAAAATTTTTCTAATTTTTATATCTGCTTCCTGTTGAATGCTTTGCCACTTAGAAATTTCTTCCACTAGATACCCTAGATAATCTCTCTCAACATCGCAGTTCCACAGATCTCTAGGGCAAGGGCAAAATGCTGCCAGTCTCTTTTCATAGTAAGAGTAACCTTTATTCCGGTTCCTCCAAAGTTCCTCATCTCCATCTGAGACCACCTCAACCCAGAGTTTATTGTCCATATGACTATCAGCATTTTGGTCAAAGGCATTCAAAAAGGTCTCTAGGGAGTTCCAAACCTTCCCACGTCTTCCTTACTTCTGAGCCTTCCAAGTCTCTAGGAAGTTCCAAGCTTTCTCACATTTTCCTGTCTTCTTCAGAGCCCTCCAAACTGTTCCAGCTTCTTCCTGTTACTCAGTTCTGAAGTAATTTCCACATTTTTTGGGTCTCTTTATAGCAGCACCCCATTCCTGTCACCAAAATCTGTATTAGAGTTTTCTAGAGGGACAGAACTAATGAGATATATGTATTTATGAAAGGGAATTTACTAAGGAGTATTGACTCACATGATCACAAGGCAAAGTCTCACAATACACCATCTGTAAGCTGTGGAGCAGGGAAGCCAGTCTGAGTCCTAAAACCTCAAAGGCTGGGAAGCTGAAAGTGCAGCCTTCAGTCTGTGGCCAAAGGCCTAAGAGCCCTTGGCAAACCAGTGGAATAAGTCCAAGGGTCTAAAAGCTGAAGAACTTGGAGTCTGATCTTCCAGGCCAGGAAGCATCCAGCATGGGAGAGAGATGAAGGCTGGAAGACTCAGCAAGTCAGCTCTTCCATCTTCTCTGCCTGCTTTATTCTAGCCATGCTAGCAGCTGATTGGATGGTGCCCACCCACACTGACCCACCCACATTGAGGGTGAGTCTGCCTCTCTCAGCCCACTGACTCAAATGTTAATCTCCTTTGGCAACATCCTCACAGACACACCCAGGACTAATACTTTGCATCTTTCGGTGCAATCAAGCTGACACTCAATATTAACCATCACACACTTTCTGGGGCCCTGGGAGTTAGAACTTCATCATATGAATTTTGAAGGGATACAGTTCTCCCACAACAGTAGCCAGCATTTAATAAATGCTAACTATGAGTCTTCATTATCCTAAACATTTTTCATGTGCTGACTTGTTTAATCTGTGAAACAAACTGATGAGCTAGATACTATTAGAAATTCCATTTTACAGATGTGAAAACTGAGGCACAGAGATGGTAAACAATGTTCTAGAAGTCACAAAGGTAGTTAGTGGCAGAGTGGGGTATAAATGGAGGTAGCCTGCCCCAGATCTGCCTTCTCAGCCACTGTGGTGTTATGTTAGTTGGACAAATAAAGCACGAATATATTGAGAGTGAACTCACAGCTCAGAAGATGACTTCATGCTTTGACTCCACCAACTATGCCTTTTGGAAAGCCATCTGATCTCTTTGGGGCATCCATAGCCTCCTTTATTTGTGAGGAAAAACTGACAAGATGATGAAAAGCTCTTATGCAAATAAGAAATACAATATAAATGTCAACAGTTGTGGTAATTTAATCAGTAGGAGTGTTCGTCACTTATATTTATGGCAGCCTAGCTACTCAGCTGAGATAGGACTGTGTTGAGAAAATAGATCTACGGCAATATGGATGAAAGAAGATCATATTGTGTGTGGCAGTAAACCTTTTTGGCTCCTCTAGTAAATTCCACATAGTACTAAACAGTCTCTAGCCTTGTACATGTGTATATTATAATTTTACAATTAAGTGAAAGGGTTATTATTTTAAAACGATTCAAAGGTGAAAAAGAACCAGGAACTGTTGTGCCAAAGCTCTAGCCTCTCCAGTGTCATTTGAAGCTGGCCTGGCATTCATAGCTGTTGTTCACCTATTAGATGTAAGAAATCTCATCAAACACCAGCATCAAAGTCACTCTGAGACTGTCCCAAAGCAAGACAAAACAAGGCCACTTAATTTTTTTAAAAACACAGCAAAAACAAGGTCACTGTGCTATCTGCAAAACGGCAAACATCCCCCTTTCATGACTAACATGAGTGACTTCTACTTCTTTACCAATTACAGCTTTAGCCTCATTCTTGTCTGCCTTACATATAGATGATACTTACTGAGATATCAGAACACAGAATTGCCCCCTGCTTTTTGTCAGCACTTAGAGTGAACTCCTGCTTATTTAGATTCTCCTCAAAAGCACCCAACCAAAGCACAAACCCTATAGTAGATTTTTTTTTCCTAACATTCTCTATATTAGTTTGCTAGGGCTGCT
Organism: Homo sapiens; assembly: GCF_000001405.40. Lineage (NCBI taxonomy): Eukaryota > Metazoa > Chordata > Mammalia > Primates > Hominidae > Homo > Homo sapiens. The sequence goes on along the minus strand of NC_000012.12, from coordinate 82,279,017 downwards.
GTAACAGAGTACCACAGACTGGGTGGTTTAAATGATGGAAATTTATTTTCTCACAATTCTGGAGGCTAGAAGTCCAAGAACATTAAGTGTCAGCAGGTTTGATTTCTTCTGAAGCCTCTCTGTTTGTCCTGTAGATAGCTGCCTTCTTGCTGTGTCCACATACGGTCTTTTCTCTGTATAAAAATATCAATCTTTCAATGTGTTAACATTTCTTATTATTAAAAAGCTAGTCGGATTGGAATAGAGCCCATCTTAATGGTTTCATTTTAACTTAATACCTGTAAAGGCCTTATCTGCAGATGTAATCACATTGTGAGGTGCTATGGTCAGGGCTTCAACATATGAATTTTGAGAAAACATGATTCAGCCTATGAAATGTCTTACTATGATGTCCCACAGTTTCTTATGTGTATTCTTCCTTACTGTAATAAGTAATAAACTCAACTTGTTCAACTGCAGGTATGTTTCTGGTGGTCTTTAACTGAAGGGCATTGACAAAAGTACTGCAATTGCCCAACTAAAATCTAGCTTTTAGTTACTAGCATTACTAGTATTACTAGTATTTAAAGTACTATTTTCCCAAGTGATAAAGACTTATAAAGATCTTTTTGGTTCATAAAGCTTAGGAAGAAAGGACATCCAAAATTGAAACTATTTCATTACAGACTATTTGAACATCTCCACTTTGCCTTTGGCTTTACAGATAACGTAGGCTTGAGGTAATGCTCCATTCACATATATTTCTAGTGTATCCTTATTTTTGTTTGCATAAAAGTGGGAGGTTGTGAATATCATGTATCCCATCTTGTCATAAATAGTGCCACACATGATTCAGTACAATGTTCTAGTTTTATATATTCTTATGTTCTTCCTACCCACGTGGAGGGAAAAAAAAGAGGTTTATACTGGTGTGAGCTGCCCAATTTAGTTACTAACTGTCCACCCACTGTTCTTTTCTTTGCACCCTATGCTTATTCTGCAGTTCGAATGATCAAATTAAATGGTAGACCTAATTAACTGTAAGAACTTTGTAAGCTTCTAACTAAAAAATCTGCTGCTTCTGGCTCACTTTCTTTTTTCCTCACAGAAAAACTTCTTTATACTTACGGCTTATTACTGTCTGATAATTTATACAGTATTTGCCTACACACACACATACACATTCAACTAATTTTATTCTAACACCTTAATTCATGTGCCCATATTCTGTGGCTTGAAATCTCCCTGTGGTTGCATAGCAACCTCCGCAAGTTGCGAACAGCAAAATGACTTGTTGTGGGGTACTAGGAGAGAGCGTTTCAAGTAACATTGAGCCAGCATTTCCATAAGTAACTTTTTTTTCTCTTATACTTTGATAGAAGCATGTTTAAAGGGGAAAGGTTAGAATCTGAGATTAATCAGAGAAAAACAAGTATTAGACACCAAAGAGAAATGTTTAGACAAGTTGATAAAGCAACTGGCTTGATGGGTTCAAAGGTTTTTGTCCTTTGTTGAAATGTGAGCTTCAATCTGTGACTTAAATTTTAAATGGTGTGAGCAAAGAGATTTATTTTTAACATAATGAGATTAATTCACTAATATATTGAAGCTAAAGCCAAACTATAAATGATGTCAGGTGCTGGAGGTAAAGCTGTTTGAGATACAAACACTATTTATTTATGTTTCATAAAATAATTCAGTTCTGTTTTCCACGACAGTCAACAATTTTTTCTGGCTTTTGTTTTAGACCTCTGATGTACTAGGGGTAGAGAGGTCAAAAGTCTCAGTGCCTTAGGACCTTATTCTTTCTGAATAAAATCTGTAGTCTTCCTATGGGAGGTCCAAACTGGAGGAATACTTTTTTTCCTCTTATTTAAGCAGGTTGCTATTTGTAGAATTTGTAGTGTTGACAACTCCAACCTTAATATCCATTGTCTGCCTAATGCACCTAATTAAAATACATGCACACAGAGAAAATTTCCCATTTATGATGTAGCACACTAGGGAATGTCTTCCAATACTATACTTTTCATTTGGTTGCATTATAGTGTGCGTTTTAAAGTCATTCTCTAGTATCCTATTCTTCCCATATCTATTAAAGTACTTTTTTTCTGTCTGAGCTGCTTATGATCATCTAAGTAGTTTCAGTGTGCCAAAAAGTAGTGGCTACAATAACTATTTTCATCCATTCTGAATTTAGGCCCTGTTAATTAAAGTTGTGATCAGAAAATCATTTTAGTAGTAATGGACTACTCCTGGTGTTCGGACACTGCACTCTCAATGAGATCCACATTTCGTATTTTGTATGCAGAAATATTCAAGAGAAGTACTTTTGCTGACTCTGGATCTGATGTCTATAATAACCCTAAGATCAATACCATATAAAGTCAATCATCTAGTGGAGGGAAAGCATAACTAATATTTATTGAGCACCAACCATGTCAGTGTCTATTTATATGCTGTTCTCAATGTGGACAGCAATAAGGTGGGTATTACTATATGACTTTTAAGTAATGAGATAACCAAGTCTCAAAGAAATTAAGAAAAATTAATCATGCCTCACATCTAAGAAGTAACAGACGTAGCACTCAAACCTATTCGTCTGATCTGTATACTCTTTCCTACCACCCCACTGTGAGATTCAGGGACCTAACATTCATTGACTACTCTTTGTCAGGCACTGGTGGGAGATTTATATGTATTATATGTATAATATATTCTATAAGGTGCTCTGGATCCTTCAAAGACTTCTAATCCATGGCTTCTGAACTCAAAGACCTTGTAACATATTTAAGAAGATTAATTTTATGAGGCAACATTAAAGTAACAGAAAAGAAGTGGAGATAATTGCTGCAGGAGCTGAGAGACTTCACTAATCCTCAGGTTGTAGCTTGGCATTCAGGAAGCCTATGTTCATTTTCTACTTTTCTGCTTTTGTCACAAATTGCAGGAGCTCTATATATTTATGACGTTTTGAATATTGAGTGATTGTGGAACAACTGGGTATAGCCTAGCTCTACCACTTACTACAGTGGATTCTAGGCAAATCAACTACTTTTTTGTGCCTAAATTTCTCTGTATGTAAAATGTACACAATAATAGCACCCAGTTTATGATATTGCTGTGATGATTAAATGAGATCTAGGAATGATGATTAATGATTAAATATGAGTTTAGAAAACTTTAAATTTTTATCATTATATAAATGTTTCAAAAATAGATTTCATGATCATAAAAGAAGTTAAAGTTAGGTTGGTGTTAACATGGTTAGAACTATAATAACAGGATTTGTGTTTGCATGGGATATGATTGCACATGTACTCATAAAATCAATGAAATTTACTTTAGTGAGTATTGAGCATTTACTATGTGCAGGCATTTGGTTAGAAAAAGCAAATGAAAAAAGAAGACAAAAATCCTTGTCCTTGTCAAAGTTATAGTCCATCAGGGAGTAGAGGAGACACGCAATAAACAATAAATGTAGTGAATAGGTAAATATTATATATATCTGACATGCATGTGAAAAGAATAATCTTAAAGAGTTCTGAGCAGAAGGAAGTTATTGTACTTTAAAAAGTGGTCACAAAAGCAATTGATAGCGTCATGATTGTCCTAACTTTAAGGTATCTTTTCATAACTGCTTACTTTAACGTTAATTAATGGTTAAGCACTTTTATACTTTGTTTTTGTAATTCTTACAACTTTGTAAGATAGGTATTTTCAGCCTTGCTTTTTAGGTGAGGAAAAGAAACTTGCCTATGGTAGAGTGCCTGTGGTGGTAGAGTGTGGATATGAATTCAGCTTCATCTGACTTTACAGCCATGTTTTTAACTACTAGGGAATTATGTCTATTCCTGCCTGAGAGCTATTTTTTTTCCCTTGGCAGCAAAGATTATTAGGTTCAGGTTACAGGTGTATGATTTGATACAGTATTCCTTTCTTCTTGTCATTAATGCTTTCTAGGTATTGTTGAAACTGATGGCAAAAAATGTTAGTAAAGGAAAGTAAGAGAAGACGTCTAATTCAGTCCATGATTTCAGAAGCAGAGCTGTATTAGAAATGTAAATTTTAAAAAATAACCCAGAAAATAGGAACTGGTTGAAAGTTATAATTGGATGCCCTCTCTCACCACTCCTATTCAACATAGTGTTGGAAGTTCTGGCCAGGGCAATCAGGCAAGAGAAAGAAATAAAGGGTATTCAATTAGGAAAAGAGGAAGTCAAGTTGTCCCTGTCTGGAGATGACATGATTGTATATTTAGAAAACCCCATTGTCTCAGCCCAAAATCTCCTTAAGCTGATAAGCAACTTCAGCAAAGTCTCAAGATACAAAATCGATGTGCAAAAGTCACAAAAATTCCTATACACCAATAACAGACAAACAGAGAGCCAAATCATGAGTGAACTCCCATTCACAGTTGTTCAAAAAGAATAAAATATCTAGGAATCCAACTTACAAGGGATGTGAAGGACTTCTTCAAGGAGAACTACAAACCACTGCTCCATGAAATAAAAGAGGATACAAACAAATGGAAGAACATTCCATGCTCATGGATAGGAAGAATCAATATTGTGAAAATGGCAATACTGCCCAAGGTAATTTATAGACTCAATGCCATCCCCATCAAGCTACCAATGACTTTCTTCACAGAATTGGAAAAAAAACTACTTTAAAGTTCATATGGAACCAAAAAAGAGCCCATATTGCCAAGACAATCCTAAGCAAAAAGAACAAAGCTGGAGGCATCACGCTACCTGACTTCAAACTAAACTACAAGGCTACAGTAACCAAAACAGCATGGTACTGGTACCAAAACAGATACAGACCAACGGAACAGAACAGAGCCCTCAGAAAAAATACCACACATCCACAACCATCTGTTCTTTGACAAACCTGACAAAAGCAAGAAATAGGGAAAGGATTCCCTATTTAATAAATGGTGCTGGGAAAACTGGCTAGCCATACGTAGAAGCTGAAACTGGATCTCTTCCTTTCACCTTATATAAAAATTAATTCAAGATGGATTAAAGACTTAAATATTAGACCTAAAACCATAAAACCCTAGAAGAAACCTAGGCAATACCCTTCAGGACATAGGCATGGGCAAATACGTCATGACTAAAACACCAAAAACAATGGCAACAAAAGCCAGAATAGACAAATGGGATCTAATTAAACTGAAGAGCTTCTGCACAGCAGAAGAAACTACCATCAGAGTGAACAGGCAACCTACAGAATGGGAGAAAATTTTTGCAGTCTACTCATCTGACAAAGGGCTAATATCCAAAATCTACAAAGAACTTAAACAAATTGACAAGAAAAAATCAAGCAACCTCATCAAAGAGTGGGCAAAGGATATGAACAGACACTTCTCAAAAGAAGACATTTATGCAGCCAACAGTCACATGAAAAAATGCTCATCATCACTGGTCATCAGAGAAATGCAAATCAAAACCACAACGAGATACCATCTCACACCAGTTAGAATGGCAATCATTAAAAAGTCAGGAAACAACAGGTGCTGGAGAGGATATGGAGAAATAGGGAAGCTTTTACACTTTTGGTGGGCGTGTAAATTAGTTCAACCATTGTGGAAGACAGTGTGATGATTCCCCGAGGATCTAGAACTAGAAATACCATTTGACCCACACATCCCATTACTTGGTATATACCCAAAGGCTTATAAATCATGCTGCTATAAAGACACATGCACATGTATGTTTATTGCAGCACTATTCACAATAGCAAAGACTTGGAACCAACCCAAATGTCCATCTATGATAGACTGGATTAAGAAAATGTGGCACATATATACCATGGAATACTATGCAGCCATAAAGAGGGATGAGTTCATGTCCTTTGTAGTGACATGGATGCAGCTGGAAACCATCATTCTGAGCAAACTTCACAAGGACAGAAAACCAAACACCGCATGTTCTCACTCATAGGTGGGTACTGAACAATGAGAACACTTGGACACAGGGCAGGGAACATCACACACTGGGGCCTGTTGTGGGGTGGGGGGCTGGGGGAGGGATAGCATTAGGAGAAATACCTAATAAAAATGATGAGTTAATGGGTGCAGCAAACCAACAAGGCACATGTATGTATATGTAAGAAACTTGCACGTTGTGCACATGTACCCTGGAACTTAAAGTATAATAATAATAAAAAAAAGGATTCAGAACTAGAGAAATGGCCAAACTAACAGGAAATTAGAATGAGGGGAACATATCTAAATTGATCCGACAAAGTCTGACAGATGTTGCAGACGTTTCAGTTTACAACTGGCTGTTTCAAAAACAGCCAGTTTTAACCTGTTCTACATATGGTATTATGCATGAAAGTTTCTTCAGGCATGCTTTATTTTAAATCCATCAATTAATGCAGTCTTCTCGTTCAATTGTTGTGTGGAAAAAAATGAAAAATGTGCAGACGGAATAAGCTAAGGCTGGCAAAAGGAGAATTAAAAGAATATTTCTACATGTTTTTGGTAATCACTTTTTTTTCTTTTTTTTTGGGACAGAGTCTCGCTCAGTCGTCCAGGCTGGAGTGCAGTGGTGCCATCTTGACTCACTGCAACCTCCACTTGCTGGGTTCAAGCAATTCTCCTGCCTCAGCCTCCTGAGTACCAACAACTGTCTTAAAAAGAAAACATTACAGATAACTTTGGAACCCCTGTGTATTCTTCTACAAACCTATTTCTTTCTCATCCTTTCTCTCCTTCACTACTTCTCCTTCCCCTGAGGTAATCACCCCTTCATTACTTCTCCCTCCCCTGAAGTTTTCCTCTAGATGTCCATCATCAACAGGAATCTTTTTTATATTTTACGATATATGTTGGTTTCCACAAACCATAAATTAAATTTCCAATTTTACCTATGTACAGGAATTGATGTCCTGAAAAAGTATCCTGACAAACGTCTGGAAAGACTGGTTAAAATATAAGAAACGTTTCTCAAACATGAAGTTAAACTCATGAGAAAGGAAATCACAAAAAATGAGGAGGGAATTGAGAGCCAAAATGATAAGGGACCCTGAGGTTGTAGCTCTCCTACTATTGCTTTTTATGTATTTAAAGTTATATTATTAGGGTAACTATAGTCAATAATAATTTAATTGTACATTTTAAAATAAAAGCATCTGGGTGCAGTGGCTCACACCTATGTTCCCAGCACTTTGGGAGGCTGAAGCAGGAGGATCACTCAAGCCCAGGAGTTCTCAAGACCAGCCTGAGCAACATAGTGTGACCCTGTCTCTACAAAAAAATTAAAAAATTAGTAGGGTGTGGTGACACATGCCTGTAGTCCCAGACACTTGGGATGTTGAGGTGGGAGGATTGCTTGAGCTCAGGAAGTCAAGGCTGCAGTGAGCCATGATCATGCCACTACACTCCAGCCTGGGTGACACAGCAAGACCTTGTCTTAAGAAATAAAAATAAATAAAAGACTATAATTTGATTGTTTGTAACACAAAGCATAAATACTTGAGGGGATGGGCACCCCATTTTCCATTATGTGATTATTACACACTGCATGCCTGTATCAAAGCATCTCATTTACCCCATAAATATATACGTCTATTATGTACTCACAAAAATTGAAAATAATTGTTTCAAAGTTTTGTTATTAGGTACATACACACTTATGGTGAATCTTTCCTTTTATCATTCAGTCATTCTTTTTGCCTAATAATAATTTCATATATTTTTCCTTTTGTTCATAAATTTTATATTGTTTTATGCCAACTTTTTTTGGAAGAATAGCTTCTATTAGTATTTGACAGTATTTGCTGTCTTTTAAAAAAATATCCTTTTACCTGCAATTGTTTGGGGTCTATATGTTTTTGGTATTTAGAAATTATGTTCATTGTAATTATTGTTAATTTTATTTCCACCACTTTTATGCTATTTTTATTATGTTTGTTTTTTCCTTGTGATGTAGTCCATCAGATTGATGGAATTTACTTTGTCTTTTATTCTCTCTAATCATTTGTAAATGATGTATTCTGTTTATATTCATTTAAATGTTACCCTTTAAATTTAACATATATAGTTAACAAAAGTTTAAAGAGATCGGAATTTCTGCTTTCTTACCCAATATATAATTGACTTAGTACATTTTCCTTTTAATAACCTCCATCAAGTTTTCCATATTATTGTGATGAAGTGTTCTGTAATTCCACCTTTATTTATCTACCCAAATTAATCGTTATTCTTATTTGCAGTCATTTCTTGTTTTCTTGGTAATTTTTTCAGAATCATCTAATAAGTTAGTAATCATCTGTTCAGTTTCATTTCATTTTCTATTTTTGCTGTCTATTAAATTTTTATTTTCTAGAAAATATATTTGGGTTTTCCCAAATCTGCCTGGGTATTTTTTTGTATTTATTTTTATATTCAGAGTTTCTCCTCCATCCATTAACTACTTAGTCATTTAAATAAACTTACTATTTTGTATAAGATTGTTCTATTTTCTGAAGTCTTAGGGGTGTACCTCCTGTTTGTAGCATCTGCTGATTTTGCTTTTGGCTTCCTTATGTGCTTTCTAATTTTAAATTGCTCATCTACTGTAGGCAATCCTCTGTTTTCTGGATTTAGGGTGCATCCTATAAGAATGATTTTTTGCATTTCCTTCTATCAAGAATCTTAAAGATTTACCAGCCTGCAGGCAACATTTTATATACATTTTAAGCTTTGGACCAAGCAGGTGGTGGGAATTCAAACACAAAACCTGATTAAAGTTAGGCCTATGGTCACATTTATTGGCTGAATTTCTTTTCTCCTCCATCACAGATCCAGACTGGAAAGAATAGATAAGCTATCTTTTCTTTTCTCTCAGTGAGAAAAGGGAACATTTTTATAGCTCACCATTTCATATGAAGGTACCCTGTTTAAGGGCACCAGGTTTATGTTTGGGATTGGGTAATGGTGTAAGACTTGAGGCAGTTAATTCATATAGCTTTTAGTAAGATCAACAGTGCACTCCACCAAAACATACGACCAACTTGGCATTTACAGTTCTGGATTTTAATTTACTCTTCGCTTTTGTCTGTGAAATTGTGTTACTTTCTTTTGACCTACTATGTATTTTTAAAATGTTTCTTGTATTTATCCAATGTGCTTAGGGTTTTTGTAGTTTGAGAGCTTTTAGATTTTCTAGGTCTCCCTATGCAAGAAATTAATCTATATTCATGGGCAATACAAAGTGGATTTAAAAAGCAGCAGACTGTTATTGTGGTAATAAGGAAAGTCCTGTAGTCTCATAGATTTTCTATATTTTGTCCATGCTATTCTTTCTAAATCACAAGTCCAATTATATCATAGCATAAAACCCCTTCAGTGATTTCCCATGCTCTTGGGATAAATTCTAATTTTTAAAGGATATCTTTCATTGACTTTTATTCTCTTGTCCCCACTTTATATCCAGTTCTCGCCATGTGATTTGTATGAAGCTAGAATGACTTCCTTAAGTTCTTCAGGTTTATCATTTTGTTTTCCACCCCAAGGCTTTTTAATGTGCTGATCCTTTTGCTTTAAACAGATTAGTTCCTACCTCTCACCTTCACCACAACTCCGTTGATGATTGTCTGTTTTTCAGGTCTCAATTTAAGTGTCACTTCTTCTAGAGAGTTTTTCTTGTCACCATCCCCCATGTACTCACCCACCCATCTTCATTATATACTCCTAGAGCACATGTACTTCCTTTCCTTCTCTCATGTCACTAAAATCACACCTATTTATACTGCTAATTTAATGAATATTTTTGCTATGCTATAAATTCCATGAAAATGTACACCAAAATTATTCCTTCACCATTGATTTTCTACATCTTAGCATGATGGCACATTACTCATCAATTAGGAAATACTGAATATTTCAAATTATAATTGCTAATGATAATTATTATTATTAATAGCTATCACTTATGGGCTAGTACTGTACAGAAATTATAGGCATTACAGTATTATAGGGAAAGCTTAATTAGGGGTTATTTATAAGAGCCTTTTACAAATGGAAAATGACCTGTATCCTGTAATGTTAATTAGCCAGTCTGGGAGGTTATATATTCAGACCTATTATAGCACATGGAGAACATTTTTACTATGGTGGCTACTTTGTTTTTATTTTTATGGATACATAATAGTTGTACATATTTATGGCAAATATGTAATATTCTGACAAAAGCATACAATATGTAGTGATCAAATTGGGATATCCATCACCTAAAACATTTATCATTTCTTTGTGTTGGGAACATTCCAAATCCACTCCTATGGTTATGTTAAAATATACAATAGATTATTGTTAACTATAGTCACCCTATTGTACTATCAAACTAAATCTTATCCCTTCTATTGAACTGTATTTTGTGCTCATTAACCAGTCACTCTTCATCCTTCCCCCTACTACTCTCCCTACCCTATGGTAACCACTGTTAGATTCACCACCTCCAGGAGATCAATTTTTTTAGCTCCCACATATGAGTGAGAACATGCAATATTTGTCTTTCTGTGCTTGGCTTATTTCACTTAACATAATGTCCTCCAGTTCCATACATGTTGCTGCAAATAACAGGATTTCATTCTTTTTTATGGCTGAATAATATTCCACTGCGCATATTTCACCGCATTTTAAAAATCCATTCATTCACTAATGAACACTTAGGTTGATTCCATATCTTGGCTATTGTCAATAGTGCTGCAATAAACATGGGAGTTCAGACATCTATTAAATATGCTGATCTTCCTTATTTTGGATAAAGACGTGGGATTGCTGAATCATATGGTATTTCTATTTTTATTTTGGGGGGGAACTTTCATACTGTTTCCATATTGGCTGCACTGATATACATTCCCACCAAAGTGTACTAGCATTCCCTTCTCCAAATCCTTGCCAGAATTTGTTATTCTCTTTTTGATAATAGCCATTTAACTGGGGTAAGATGATATCCCATTGTGGTTTTTATTTTCATTTCTCTGATTAGTCGTGTTGAGCATTTTTTTCATAAACCTGTTGGCCATTTGTTTGTCTTCTTTTGAGAAATGTCTATTCAAATCTTTTGCCCATTTTAAAATCAGATTTTTTTTTTGCTATTGAGTTATGTTTCTTATATATTCTGATTATTAATCACTTGTCAGTTGAATAGTTTGCAAATATTTTCACCCATTCCATAGGTTGTCTCTTTACTGTGTTTCTTTTGCTATACAGAAGCTTTTTAGCTCGATGTAAACCCATTTGCCCATTTGTCAATTTTTGCTTTGGTTGCCTGTGCTTTTGGGATCTTAACTCAAAAAATCTTTCCCCAGACTGATGTCCTAAAGTTTTTTCCTAATGTTTTCTTCTAGTAGTTTCAGAATTTCAGGTTTTACATTTAAGTCTTTAATCCATTTTGATTTGATTTATATATATATATAAAATGAGATATAGGGATCTAGTTTTATTCTTTTGCATATGAATATTCAGTTTTCTGAGAGCATTTATTGGAAAAGGTGTCCTTTCCCCAGTGTATGTTCTTGGCGCCTTTGTCAAATATAAGTTGGCTGTAAATGCAAGATTTATTTTTGGGTTCTCTGTTCTGTTCTATTGGTCTATGTGTTTGCTTCATGCTGTTTTGATTGCTATAGTATAGTAGTTATATATACTATATAAGTACTTACCTACTTGGAATTTTTCAGGGTAGTTCCTTTTTCCAGGCATGGACACTACACCTAAAGCATATTGAGTTCCCAGATGGCAAATACAGGTGAAAAGAAATCTAAACAGCATTTTGAAATCTAGACAGGCTGTGGCACAGAAAGAGTGTATTCCTGGGCCTTCCTGGAAGGGACGTACAGACAGAAGTGCAGTCACGAATGCCAACAATGAAATCTGTTTATGGGTACAAATAGGAGGTCATGTAAATATCAGCAAATCATCTGGGCAAATAGACCAGTTTATACTGCTGCTAGGTGAGGAAGATGAGGTTCAAGGTGGGCTGTATGATAATAAATTCCTCATTCAAAAATAGGGCAGAGGCCATTTTTAGTGATTTACAGTGCTAGCACGGTCAAATATTGCTTTTAAATTAGATATCTGTGTTGTAGTTCAGCCTTTCAGGCTTATTGATGATCTTCAAGTTGAAATATACAAAGAACAGCGATTACCATCCTTGTCACCACTTTAATTTCACAATTATCTGGAGTTGTTTTCAACTATGATGGTTGTTTGCATTTGTTATTTTGTGACATATCCCCATCCTTCTAGTAAAGAAGTTTAAATGTGGTTCTTGAAGTTTAATCACCCCCATGAAGTGAGTAGTTTCACTGAGCCCCTTCAAGTATTACATGCACAGGAATAACAGCCAAAATTGATTCATTTCTGGGTCTTTAAGACAGCCATGATCATTTCCATCTCAAACACAAATATCTGATGAAGTTTTCAAAATGAATTTATAGATTCTGAAGAATATATTATGGCAACAGGAATCAATAAAATGATGGATTCTTTTTTAAAAGGTGTGTGAAAAATACTGGATAGTGAAAGGATTGGCAAATAGACCCATGAGGAACCAGAGATTTTTGGAATCATTGGCTAAGTTCATTGGTAGTGTATTACTGTAACACTACACTATTTTTTTTTTCAGGAATGTTTGGACTCCCTTAAAGGAGCAGATATAACACTCAACACTAGGGCATTAAAACTCATCTTGCTCAAGTATTACATACAAATGATACTAACACAACTAGCCCAGGACAGATAGGCTGAAATTGTCTTTTTTTTTTTTTTTTTTTTTGAGACAGAGTCTCATTCTGTTACCCAGGCTGGAGTGCAGTGGCATGATCTCAGCTCACTGCGACCTCCACCTCCCAGGTTCAAGTGATTTTCATGCCTCAACCTCCCGAGCATCTGGGAGGTGCCCACTATTACACGCGCCTAATTTTTGTATTTTAGTAGACATGGAGTTTCACCATGTTGGCCAGTCTGGTCTCAAACTCCTGACCTCAAGTGATCTACTCACCTCGGCCTCCCAAAGTGCTGAGATTACAGACATGAGCCACTGCGCCTGGCCTGAAATGGTCTCTTGAATTAGGAGTATGTGGATATTTTACATTGTCATTCAGGGACCAGAAAACTTCTTGGCTTGGAAGTCTGTCAGAGTGTCTGTGTGTGTGTGTGTGTGTGTGTGTGTGTGTGGTTGAATGGAGACAACAACCCTTGGAGAATTGTGGGTACCTTTTTTTAGACCAAAGTTCGCCGATAGGCATTCAAATATTCCAATGTGTTTCTATAAGGTGTATAATTTTGTTTGCATATAATGAGCCCCAACTCATACAAGCTTATATAAAAAAAAATTGGAAGAATTCACAAACGTCCAACCTACTGTTGTGATGTTATTTGAATACAGGCCCACCTCATAACCCTTTCCATGCAATTTCCTCATTTTGCAATGCTCTGAAACAAGATCTTACTTCTCTGTGTCACTTATTTCCTGTTCAAACGTTACCTTCTTAGAGAAACATTCCCTGGATAGCTTATTTATAACATTCCCCTTAACATGCTTTAATTTTCTTCAAATATTTTTCACTATCTGGCATTATGTTATTTATTTATTTATATGCTTACTGATTGTCTCCTCATAAGAAATGTCTCTGATGACAGGACAATCTTTTTATCATTTTTATATCTACCATTCCTAATACCTAGTAGACTTTCAATAAATATTTGTTAAATGAATAAATCAATGATATTTACAGATTTACTAATTCTAAAAATTCATTTAAATTGTTCTCTGATTTGGGATTTTTATATGCATTATTTTTCTTTATATATCTTGTTATATAAAATATAATACTTTTGTTTCTTTTTAAAATAATTCCTCGAAAAGAATTTTATCATTAAAAAGGCACTAACATGGCCTCATTCTGAACATATTTTCAAGCACTGTTACATTGGAGCTTCAGATGATTTTCTAGATTGCTGAATTAGAATATAATATTGTCAAATGCAATATTGGACTATTAGATTGGTGCAAAAGTAATTGTGGTTTTCGCCATTAGTGTAATGGCAAAAGTTAAATAATGGTAAAAACCGCAATTACTTTTGCACCAACCTGATACTATTGTTAATTATACATTTACATTCCTGCCCATAGCAAGACCACATTTTGCTAAACAGAAGTGAGAGTATAACTCAGTAGTGAATATCCTTCAAAAAATGACATTGGAGTCTGCGGTAAAGTAAGACTTTTTTTTCACCCATGGAATATGAAAGATGAGAGTGCTTTTTCTTTTTCTTCCTCAATTTTATCATCCTCCTTCTCCTTGCTGCTCTTATTCCTCTTTCTCCTTCTCCTCTTTCTTTTTCTGTTCTCCTTCCCATTTCTTCCTTTCTTCTCTTCTTTCTCTAATCCTTTTGTGAAAAAATCCCACTGGGTGGAAGTATGGAGCTAGTTTTACCAGAAAACAGCAATAGAAAATAACAGTTAAAAATAGTGTTGCTGTTTCAGCACACCAGCATGGCACATGTATACATATGTAACTAACCTGCACATTGTGCACATGTACCCTAAAACTTAAAGTATAATAATAATAAAATAAAAAAGAGAGAAAAACATAGTATTGCTGTCTCAAGATATCAATGCTACTATTCTTAGAAAGTTTTTTTTTTGTATTTTTAGAACTTCTACAAATTGAAAAGAGATGAAAAACAGCATCAGGCAGTATATATATGTGACAGGTGGGCAAGACTTGTCTAGAGAGTACTGTTAATACTTTATTTTATTTTAAATGTGTAGTTTACAATAAAAGGTGAAAAAAGTGCTGTAGAATTAACTGTTTTGATGGCGTATTTCTTTAGCTTATTTATTAATTTCCTAGTCACATAAATTATACAATTTCAGCTTTTCCTTTATCTGGATTTGTGAAAAGTGATCATGGATTAGGGAAATAAGATATCTCAGATAAGTTAGAAACTGGATAGTGCTAAAATAAAAAAATATGATATATGGCTTTAAGTTTGTGCCTTAAGCAGACAATCATATTTATCTCAGAAAAAAATCATAAATGTGTTACAGAGAAGAGGATTATACTGTCATTTCTATTTTCATATAGTAAAATGCATCTTAAAAAATAATACAAATGGCATAGCAATAAAATATAAACTTATTATTTGTGTAAATGTCTATTAACTGGGACTCTTGAATATAATTAAGTGATAATCAGGCAGATGTCAGAATGCACATACAGTTTTAAATTATTTTTCTAAGAAAGCAAATGCAGATTTCATTCAATAAATTCCAGAGGCAGGTACCACCAAGAGAAGCTTGCCAGTTGATATTAGTTACTGTGATGGTGTGAATGTAGACAAACCGTCTTAATGGTTTCAGAGGTGGGAATAAACACCTTAAATTTGCTATAGATGTGAAAAACAAGTCACCATTTGCTCCGATTTATTTGGTGTGATGGAAGAGTAATTTGCTTTAATCCTTTGCAACAGCATCTCTAGGCTCCAAAAAGGGGAGATAGGGGATCACAGATAAGAAGCATGCAGAAGAGAGCTCCAAACTGCAGCCAGAATGATCTTTGAAAATACAAAATGACGAGTTAATGGGTGCAGCACACCAACATGGCACATGTATACATATGTAACAAACCTGCACATTGTGCACATGTACCTTAAAACTTAAAGTATAATAATAATAGAATTTAAAAAAAAGAAAATACAAATTTAATAATGTCACCACTTTGAATAAAACTCTTTATCGCCTTTTATTGCTTTTAAGTTAAAAACCAAAATCTTTATCATGATTTATATAAAGCTTTTTGGTCTCAACACCTCTACCCCTTCTTTTCCAGGCTCTAATGCTGCACTTCTTTCATTGGCCCAAATGATCTATGTCTCCATTAGCTCCTCCTGCTTGCTGGAAAACAGGGAAGATCCCTGTTCACTGGCCCACTTAAGACCATTCTTTCCTCAGATTTTAAGTCTTACTTCCTCAGGGAACTCTTCTCTGTCTGGCCTTTCAGACCATTTCAGGTTCCCCGTTACAAGCCCTCAAGGCATACTGTGCATTGCCTTTAATATATGATTATTTGATTAATGTATTTTTATCCAACTTGACTGCAAGCTTCACAAGGGCAGGACGGGGTCAGATGTTGGTCACCATTGAATTCACGCTCTAATATTTTGCCTAAGACACCATTCCCTTTCTCATCCCTTCATTACATCCTATTTTCAGATACTGATTTTTGAGGTTCTCTTTGTACTGTCAACCTCTAGCCACATCAGTTCTTCCCCTTCTGTATACAATCAGAGACTGGGTGTGTGCATCAGAATCTAAGAGGCACTGTACCTCTAAGAAAAAAAGAAGTGGTATTTGAAAGGAATTTTGGTAGCAATGCATGCAAAAGGCTGTAGTTTTTCATATACTTTCTTAGTTCAACCCATGAGAAGGCAGGGAAAAGATGTAGGAGAAGATCCCATTTCAAACTGAGAAAATCAGAGCATTTGAAAGCTTGCAAACCACATTTAGGACAGTGTGTGATATTGACTTTCATGCTGAATTTATAGTAGTTGCTGATTTTTAAGTAAATGCAAAGAGAATACATGTTAAGATTGGTATAAAACAGAGAAACTCTTTCTCCATAATTAATATTCAATACTTTTTCTTGGTTCAGTAATAAGGCCACCATCTGAAATCAAAATGAGACCCATGACAGAGTAATGGTCCCTTAAGTGTGGGGGGAAAAGTCTTCTGGTTTAATTACTAGGGCCTTCAATTATTATTCCTTCAGATGAAAATACTTTCCTCATCAATTTCTTCAAAGTCTCTAATAAAAGTAAATCGATTATAAATGCTTTTTACCTCCAAATGTGAGAACTTTATGCAATGAGAAGTTATTTCTTTTTTCTTTTAACAGCTTGCAAACTGCAGGTAATCATAACTCCTTATTGGCAGGTAAGAAAATAATACTTGTATTGTGAATACATGATATCAAGGTACATAGGTGATTTGTTCCATTTGGATTGTCTAGCGTGTGTGTCTGTGTGTGTGTGTGTATGGGTGTGATAGGTAGGTACATATGGGCATTTTTCTAGTGAGATAATGCATAGCTTACCAAATGCCTATAACCTTCTCCCTTGCAACCACTTCCCCTACCATACCAATAACCAGACATAGCTTTATCTGAATAGTCAGGGACAGAAAACTAAGGGAATCCAATAAACAAGGGGGGAAGACAAAAAGAATAATTAGAAAGACAGAAAAGTTGAAAATGCTGTGCAGTATGGTTACACATTCCCTCCCAAAGTCATTTTCATTACTGCCTATGAAATCTGAGATTTAGTCTATATTTTCTAACATTGCTATATTTGGATATTGATACAGTATGTTTTAGTAGAATGAACCAAGAAGCAGTTATATAAACTGAGAAAATAAGGAGGAAGTACAGCTGTGGACTGACATCAGGGTGGGAATAGAAAAATGTTCTGGACTTAGAAAAAGCTACAGATGGAATACCAATGATGGCTTGGACATGAGATATAGCTCACTGACTACCAATTTATGATGAAAACCACAGCTGTACTGAAAAGTTACTACAGTGATGCAATATATTATATATGGATAGCATTTTAAATTTTAGAAAAAAGTGAGAGTATAATTTCACATAATTGTCTAGAGCTATATTTACATTTCCTAAAAATTTATTCTAAGCCCATGAACAAAATGTGTGTGAATTTAACAGAAAATTATATTTGTTGACATTAAATTTTTTCCCCTTAAAACCAGCAAAGATCTTGATTCTACTTAGGGAGAGGTGAATAAATAGTTTCTGTTTTGCATATAGACTTAAATATATGTGTGAAAAATAAGGTTGAAAGGTTCACTTTAGTTACTGTAAAATAAGGATTATTTATAGTAAAGTTTATTAAGTCTTCAAACACATTTTGTTGACACTTGTCAATATTTCTTGATGTGAAGATTTTATGAATTGTTCTCAAAAATAAGGTCCAATGCACTTGTTTAGGATTAGGAAGCAGCGGTGGTAAAATAAATTACAGCTCTAAGGAGATCTCAAACATGAAATTATGGAAAATCCAGCATTAGGAGGTAATAGCTTGAGCTAACTCCAACCCCAAACATGAAATTACAGATTAATAGCGGCAAATTATATTGATAAGACATTAACTGGAAATTCATTTATCAGTCCAAGTAAGATTGAGATACTAGACAGGTAAAAGCAAAGTAATCAAAGTAATTAAACATAGTATGGCAGAAACGTCACGTGAGCTTGTTGAGAACTCACAATAAAATTACCATATATTACATTATGCTGTATTAGTCCATTTTCATACTGCTGTGAAGAAATATCAGAGACTGGGTAATTTATAAAGAAAAAGAGGTTTAATTAACTCACAGTTCTACATGGCTGGGAAGGCCTCATAATCATGGCGGAAGGCAAAGGAGGAGGAAAGGCACATCTTATATGGCAACAGGCAAGAGAATGTGTGCAGGCGAACTGCCCTTTATAAAACCATCAGATCTCATGAGATTTATTCACTCTCATGAGAACAGCACAGGGAATATACGCCCCCATGATTCAATTACCTACCAATGTGTCCCTCCCACCACATGTGGGGATTATGGGAGCTACAATTCAAGATGGGATTTGGGTGGGGACACAGCCAAACCATATCATATGCCTTATGAGGCTTGAGTACAAGCAAAGGAACTACCAATATTATATTATTGTATGGTAGCCCAGAGCATGGGCTCCAGATTCTGGATACTTTTATCTGGGGCAGGAAACTTGTCTACTCTGTGCCAAGGTTTCAGATTTACAGGGTTGCCATGAGTATTAAATGATTTGATATATTTAAAGACCATAGCAAAAAGCCTAGCACATAGTAGATTCCTTCAAAATATTATCTGTACTGTTACCACTGCCACCACTATTAGTATTTATAATCCATGGGGAAGATCAACGTCTATGATGTTGATTCTTGACCAAAAACAAGGAGGAATTACTGAAATAGTAATTTATGAGCAGCTAGGAAAGGAATAATTGGCCACCAGGAGCCAAGATGAATTCATTTCAAATGAATCATGTCAGTCTAAATTCATTTGGACAGAAATACTAGACTGATAAAAGACCTCACTCACTAAACATTAGGCATTTTGTTTCTGAACTTTAGTAAGTCAGTAGAAAAGCTCTTTAATCTTATACTTGTGAGAAAGACAGAAAAAAGATATTTGAATAGTTGTTTAGAAAAATAATTGCTTAGTAACTTTACTCAAAGAGTTCTGATTAATGAATTAATGTAAACATGTAAGAGAATTTCTAACTGTTCATTTAAGGTTCTAGCTTCTGTTGTGCCCTGTGGAATACATTTTATCAATTACCCAATTAAGAATAATAATAGAAATTTTAGAAGATATTATTTATTTCTAACCAAAGCGAATCCTCCCCTTCTCCTACTAACAAAACACAAATTTTGTTCAGCTATTAACTGTCTTTTGTGTAGCATGTGTTCAAGGGGGAAAAACATCAACTCTAGCTCCAGAGTCATGATTGATTTAAGACAATCCTTGTGCCCCTATAACGTTTTACCACTGGTAAGTTTAGAAAGAGAGAGGAGAACATTCTGACCTTTAAGGAAAGTTAACGAGGATGGGAAAGTTTCTGAAAGACAGAGGAAAAGAAAAGTTTATTAAGGTCTTCAAACATTTCCATAAAGAAGAAAATGGTTGAAGAGGCAAATATCATCTATAGACCATGAAGGGAAAAAGTCAACCTGGTAAGCATAGCAGGAAAGGGTAGAAATACTTCACTCATTCATAATGTCTTTGAACCAGTGAATATAATAAGCTGGAGCTTTCCTACCTTCAGAAGTGTGTGTAATGTAAAACTTCCTACTACTATGGCAGTTGAGGCAGGGTTCTTTTTTTTTTTAACTTGAAACTCAAAGTATTTGAACTAATGTATCCTGAGCTGTGCTACATGTCTTAAGCTCAGTCTCCTCTTTAAATACCTCAATAACGCTATGAGGTGAGTAGTATATTTATCTACACTTCATTGAGAAGTAAACTGAGGCTCAGAGAGGTGAAGTGGTTTGCCCAAATCATAGTGCTAGTAAACTGCAGGGTTGAGATATATGCATTTAGCATTTGCATACTTAGTTATTATAATATACAAACTTTCCAGTTAATATGTAGAAAAAAATGGTTATAAAGGTTTTAGAGGGATAGCAAATGTGTTGAATGGCTAATGAAGATCCCGGGAAATTTGAAAGCTAGGCTGAGGCCAAGAGCTGAAGTTACTCTTGCTCCATGGGAATTTTGTTAATTGGACCAACTTGAGTTTCAGATCTGATGGCCTGATCACAAATTGTGTGTGGAAATAAAAGACTGGGAAACAATAAAAAGGGTGTGGGGCAGTGCTAATGCAGAAACTCTGAGGCCCCAACGTAAATCTGAGACCTCAAAGGACTACAATCTCAGAATTTCTAAGTATGAACTAAAAGCTAAACGTGTTCCTACCCATCCCCTCATCCCTAGGATATTACAAGAAAAGTTTCTCTGGCACTTAGCGAGCAGGAGAAAAGAAAAAAATTCGTTAAGAAATTACCACCATATGTGAGATTTTGAATTGAACTGTGGTAAAAATTCTTATCACTTGGGTAGTAAAAACAACAACAACAACAACAACCCACAAGCCATAAATAATTTACCATGCAAACACTAACAACAAGAGCAACAACAAAACAGGTGCAGCTATATTACTGTTAGGCAAAATTGGCTTCAGTGTATAAAAGATTTCTGAGAGATGCAGACAGTCACTTCACATAGATAAATGGTTCAATGTCTAAGGAAGATAGAAAATTTATGTAAATATGGATACCTACTAGCATAGCCTCAAATATATGAAGGGAGAACATTCAGAATTATAGAAATAAATAAATACATCTTCAGTTGTGGTGGCAGATTTTAGCATACTTATTTCATTAGTTGATACAACAAGGAGATCAAAACGTAAGTAAAGTATGAACAATACAATTAGCATTCTTGACCTAATGAACTCAGATACTCAAGGACATACATATTTTATGTATATATGTGTGTGTGTATGTGTGTGTGTATATATATATGGCATATATGGAAAACTTTAAAAATATTGACAATGTTTCTCAAAGAAAGCTTCAAAAATCTAATAACACTTGAAATTATATAAAACATGTTCTCTTACCAAAATGCATTTAAGTTTTGAGAGGTTAGAAAGCAGTAACAGTTCTTATGTTATGTTCTTATGGAGAAATTCTATAAGATGGGAACTCATTAAACACAGTTATATATAATCCATGGTTTAAAGAAGGAATCATATTGGAAATTAGAAGATATTTTTAACTTCATAATAGTGAAAAAACTAAATAGATATTTCAGGGTCATATAGCTAAGCAATGATTAGATATTTGTGTCCTTAAAGATTTATCTTAAAGGATAATTAATGCCAACCATTTGTCTCAAAAATTTAGAAAAGTATAGCAAAATAAAACCCCAAAATGTATGAGGAAGAATATAATAAATGTAAGAGAAAAATTAATGATCTAGAAAACAGATATACAAGAGAAAGTATCAACCAAGCCAAAACTCTGCATTTTGGAGGGAAAAGAGAAATAAAATTGACAAACCTCTGGCAGGCTTAATTATGAAAAAAAGGAGGCATAAAAAATTCATATAAAGAATGTAAAAAGGAACATAACTACAGGTGCTGCATATCGTAACTAGATAGATGGCATTATAATTATGTCAATAAATTTTAAAATATGAAAAAAAGTTCAAATTCCTTGGAAATGATAACTTACTCAAACTGAATCAAGGCAAAACAGAAAATGGGAATTCTATATTCCTATAAACATAAAATAAATTGAGTGATCAAAATTTTTTCACAAAAAAACTTCAGATCTGGATGGCTTTACTTGTGACTTTTACCAGATAATCCAACAAGAAATAATTCTTATTTTATGCAAACTCTTCCAGAGGATAGAAAAGGAAATATAAGGAAATATGTATCCTAGTTCATTTGATAAGGCTTATGTGGTATTGTTACCAACATACCAATTTTCAGTAGATACTAAAAGCTTTCTCTTGGGCTTTGGAACCTGGATGCTGATAATACTAATCCTATTCAACATTAAATACATAATTTATGTAAAATTAACGACAGTTCAGTAAAGGTTCTGGATACAAAATTAATACCAAACAGTAGATTAATATACAATGCTATATGAGCCACAAACAGAAAATGAAGCTTTAGAGCATAACATTCACAGTAGCAACAAAAAATGTCAATGCCTAGGAACAAGTTTAACAAAAGTGTATAAGATCTCTATGGACAAAATGATGGCGTTTTTGAAGGTCATTAAAATATATAAATAAACAGTAATGTATTATAATCATGGATTGGGAAACTTAGTTTTAAAAAGATGACATTTCTTTCCAAATTGATCTGTAGTTATGGCACAGTTCCCACGGAGATCACTATAGATTTGGTATTGTTGAATTTACGAGGTTGATTACAAAATTTTTATGGAAATGCAAAAACTAAGACATTCTTGAAAGAAAAACATAATTGTTGGTGAAAGCATTCTAAAAGATATTAAGACTCCTTATAAAGCTATAAAATAGTTGCTGTACTGGGGCAGGTTTAGAGAAATAGACCAGTGGAACAGATCTCAGAGTCCAGAAACAGAACCAGGCATATATAACAGAGGTGGCACTGCAATTAGGTAAGAAAAAGATGGGCTTTTAAATTAATGGTAATGGCATAATTGAATATTCACCAAGAAATTAATGGATATTGTAAACTCCTTCTCATACCATGTACAAAAGTGAAGTGTAGGTGGATTAAAGTTAAGATTTTAGAATATCCAATCAGATAATGTCTTTATGATCTTGGGCTGAAGAAAGATTTCTTCATTAAAACAAGAAAACCCTTAAAGAAAAAGTGTTCAAATACATTAAAATTAATAATTTTTTTTCATCAAAAGAATAAAAAAATAGCAGAAGTTGCAGCACATATAACCAATAGGTTATCCATATCCTTAATATGTAGAGATTTCTACAACTCATTGAAGAAAATCAATAGGTTTATACAGATACTTTAGAAAACAAAAAAAATCCAAAGGGTGATTGAACAAATAAAAAGCTAATGCCTCTCATTTATTATTAAAGAAATACAAACTAAATTCATAGCTAGATATCCTTACTTAGTCACTAGAGGGACATGTGAAATTTAAAAATAAATACAATTTGGTATGAATCAGAAGTACACATGTTTTAATAAATATTTTGGGAAAGAGTATGACATTCTCTAGTAAAGCTGAATATATGAAAAACATTTATTCCTTTCCCAATATACTCTCTAGAGAATCTCCTGCATGTGTGTACCAGGAGATAGTTATAAGAATTAGATTTTAAAATTAGACAGTTATAAGAATTGAGATAGTTAAAAACATCAGATTTTAAAAATAACCACAAATAGAAAGCAACATAAATATTCATCCACAAGAAAATGGATAAAAATTTGTGGTATACTCATACAACGGAATGTCACACATCACTGATAAAATATCATGATAAACAAAAGAGCCAAGTTGCTAAATAATAAATTATTCTAATTATAGAAAGTTAAAAAACAAGAAAAACATTGCTAAAAGCAATAAATAATTGTTATAAATTTACAATATTGGGTATCTCAAGGCAGGAGGGAAATGGATGTTACAGAGGAAGACATAATTCCAGGTTTTCCAAAATGTTGTCGATGTCCTACTTCTCTACCTTGTTAAATCAGGTATTTGTTTTATAAATATAGTTTAAATTATACAGGTGTATTTTATGTAATTTTTAATGCATATCTTTAAAATCTATATTGAGAAAAAGACTACAAGTGGTATTTAAAATTTCTATTAATAAATATCTGTTATCTTATTGATGTATTTCTTACTTGTGTCTGAAGGTGTGTGTTTCAATGTTTCAATATATAAGATGTTAAAATACATTTAACTCCGTTAAAGATAATTTTACATTTTTTAAATGATGCTTAGTTTCATTATTTATAAAATATTAAGGTGAAATTTTATATACATGCACACAAATACACAATAGAGTATTATGCATTACATTAAAAACGATGTTGCTTACAGAGCTTTGTATACAAATATAGAAAGCAGCAAGGAAACTTAGAAATGTTACATATCTATAATATCAACGTGATCCAATAAGAACTAGTATTTGAAGTAAAAAAAATAATGTGAAGGACGCAATATTCTTAGTCTTACCTAGACTTTTCAGTCTATACTTAAAATAGTCACTTACAGAGTAAAGTAATGAATATATTGAAAAGATTTGACATTAGAATATTTAATAAAGAAATATGGATAAGGTGCAGTGTGGATTTCATGTAGACATAAGAGTTGTTTTCAAATATTTGAAGGCCCATTATATGGAATTTTGATTATTATTGTCAAAATGGCCCCAATAATACCAACAGCACCAATAAAAATATACATAAATTGGACTTCATCAAAATTAAAAACTCTTGTGCTGCAAATGATACCATCAAGAAAGTAAAAACACAACCACAGAATGAGAGATAAAATATTTTCAAACCACATATGTGATAAAAGACTTGTATCCAGAGTATGTATATATGAAACTCTTACAATTCAATAATTGAAAAGTAACCCATAAGCTAGTTCTATTTTTAATTTTTTGAGTCACCTTCATACTGTTTTCCATAATGGCTGTCCTATTTACATCCCCACCAACAATGTATAAGGGTTTTCTTTCCTCGGTAGTCTCAGGAACACTTTTATCTATTGACTTTTTGATATATCCATCCCAACAGGTGTGAAGCGATAGCTCGTTTTGGCTTTTTTTTTTTTTTTTTTTGCATTTCCCTATTGATTAGTGATGTTGAACCCCTTTTCATATACCTGTTGGTCATTTTTGTGCCTTCTTTGGAAAAATTTCTATTTGGGACTTTCGCCAATTTTTAAACTGGATTGTTCATTTTTAAAAATATTGAATTGTGAGATTTCCTTATATATTTTATATATTAATCTCTTGTCAGATTTATGCTTTGAAAATATTTTCTCTCAATCTGTAGACTACCTTTTCATTTTATTGTTCCCCTTGCTGTAAATAAACTTTTTAGTTTTATGTAGACCCTCTTGTTTACTTTTGCTTTTGTTGCCTGAGCTTTGGTGTGATATCCAAAATATCATTGCCAAGGCTAATGTCAAGGAGCTTTCCCTCTATGTTTTCTTTGTGGAGTTTTATGGTTTTAGGTTTCTTGTTTAGGTCATTTATCCATATTGAATTTTTGTGTATGGCATAAGATAACATACGCAATTGTCCAGTTTCAGTGTTTTGCACGTGTGTATCTAATTTTCACAACACTTATTGAAGACATTATCCTCCCCCACTGTGTTTTCTTAGTGGGCTTGTTAGCAAATAATCCCTCTGTTAAGAACATATCCAAGGAAGTGAAATCAGAACCTCATATAGATATATCTGTGTTTCCATTTTCATTGCAGCAGCATTATTCACAGTAGCAAAGATGTGGAAACAACCTAAGTGCCCACTGACAGACGAATGGATAAAAAATACACACACACACACACACACACAAGCACAGTGGAATATTATTCAGTTTTTAAAAAATAGATATAGTAATCCCTTGATATCTGCAGGGGATTTGTTCCAGCATGCCTTGGAGATATCAAAATCTGTGGTTGCTTAAGTCCCTTAAATAAAGTGGCATAGTATTTGCATATAATCTGTGCACATCTTCCCATATACTTTAAATCATCTCTAGGTTGCTTATAGTACCTAATACAATGTAAATGCTACATAAATAGTTGTTATGCTATATTGTTTTTTATTTGTGTTATTTTATTAATTTTTATTTATCTATTTAATATCTATTATCTGTAGTTTATTGAATCTGCATATGCAGAACCCACAGAAATGGAGAACTGACTCTACTTCCATTTTTGACAACATGGATGAAGCTAGAGGACATTATGCTAAGTGAAATAAGCAATATACAGAAAGAAAAATATTCTATGACCTTTCTTATATGCAGAATCCTACAATATAAAGTTGAATAAATAGAAACAGAGAGTAGAACTGTAGTTATTATGAGAGGAAGAAATGGAGATGTGGATCAAAGGCTACAAATTTGCAGTTAGGAAGAATGAATATGTCTAGGGGCCTAATGTACAGTATGAAGACTGTAGTTAATAATATTCTACTGTATACTGAAAAATCTGCTAAGAGAGTATATTTTAGGTGTTTTTACCTCACAGATGCACACACACACACACACACACACACACACACACACACACACACACCAGGTAAATATAGAAGGTGATGGATATGTACATTTGTTTGACTGCAGTAATCATTTATGTGTATGTATCTCAAAACATCATATTGCATATCTTTAATATAGACAACACAAATCAATTTTCAAAACAATTAAATAAACCAATTAAAAAAAGAGCAAAAGACCCAAGTATACATTTCTTCAAAGATGACATACAAATGGCCAAAAGCACATGAAAAGAGGATGAAGACTGTCAGGCATTAGGGAAATGCAAATCAAAACCAATGAGATACTAATTCACTCCTACCAGAATGGCTTTAAAAAAAAGATAGATAATAAGTGTTGATGAACATGTGGGGAATTTGGAACCCTCACACCTATTGCTGGTGGCAATATAAAATGGCACAGACGCTTTATGTTTTATGGAAAACAGTTTGGCAGTTCCTCAAAATGTTACAGGTAGACCTAGGTATGGAATTTCAAGAGAATTGAAAACATACATTCACAAAAAAAAACTTTGTATACAAATGTTTGCTACAGAATTTTCAACGTAGTGAAAAGTTGAAACAACTTGATCAACTGGGACATAGATAAATAAAATTTGGTATATTCATCCAATGAAATACTATTCTGCAATAAAAAGAAATGAAGTACTGATGCATTTTATAATGCAGATGAATCTTGAAAACATATTCTAAGAGAAAGAAGCCAGTCAAAAAAGACTACAGATTTTGTAATTTCATATATATAAAATGTTCAGAATAGGAACATCTATAGAGACAGAAAGTAGCTCAGTGGTTTCCTGAGCTGGAGAGATTGGGGCAAAAATGGGAGTGATTGCTAATAGGAGGGATGTTTCTTTTTGGGGTCATGAAGATGTTCTAAAATGGATTGTGGTGATAGTTGCTCAGTTCTGTGAATATACTTAAAAAGTTAGAATTGTACACTTTAATGGATGAACTGTATGGTATGTGAATATTGATGAACTGTTAAAAAAATGACCCCTAAGGGATAAATTAGGTTCAACAAATAGATTGTACAGGAAGACTTATTTGCCTCAATATATGGGAAAAAGCTAGGTATATGAGTTTTTGATGGAACAATCTGACATTGTACATGGCGATTTTCTCCCTACCACAGATGTTTAAACCTAGGTAGGGTACAATAAATGTTTTAAATATTTTATGTGTGGTTGGCAGAGATGATGGTCTGTTTCCTTCTTTTCCTTTTTTTTTTCTTTTTTTTTTTGAGACGGAGTCTCGCTCTGTCGCACAGGCTGGAGTGCAGTGGCGCGATCTCAGCTCACTGCAAGCTCCGCCTCCCAAGTTCTTTTGTATTTTTAGTAGAGACAGGGTTTCACCGTGTTATCCAGGATGGTCTTGATCTTCTGACCTCGTGATCCACCCCCCTCGGCCTCGCAAAGTTCTGGGATTGCAGGCTTGAGCCACCGCGCCCGGCCGACGGTCTAAGTTTCCTTCAACCTTATAGTTTATAGTTATATTAGGAGGGACCTAGTTTTATTTTATAATTAATATTGTATGAACAACTCAATTATTTGTGTGATAAAGTAGGACTTAAATACATAAAATAGTTAAATATATATGGAATGATTGTATAGTATTTGGTAAATTGCATCATGAATTAAATTGTCTTTTCTAAAACA
Organism: Homo sapiens; assembly: GCF_000001405.40. Lineage (NCBI taxonomy): Eukaryota > Metazoa > Chordata > Mammalia > Primates > Hominidae > Homo > Homo sapiens. Next base: position 82,251,002 of record NC_000012.12, on the reverse strand, counting down.
TGAAGATGACCCATTAGTTTCAAGGGATGGTGACTTATTTCCAGGAAGAAAAAGAAATATGTCAATTGCCTAATGTCAAATTAAAAAGATGTAATTCCCACCCTTTCTCTTGACCCATCTCTGTTTCCTTGGAAAAGAAGTAAATTTCAAATTTAAGTGGGAAAAATGTTTAGCTTTGGAAGAAAAGAATGCCTGATTATATGCTTCCATGACCCTTCTGATTTAAGAATTATTACGGAAAAAACAGTCTCAACCAAAGCCTCTGTGTTCTAGGTTTGTGACCTTCTGCAAATCACTAACTCTTTAAATCTTAATTTCTTTATCAGCATAATGGGGATAATAATAGGGCAAACTTCACTGGGTGTTTAGAAGAATTAAATTAAATGAGATAATCCATGTACACCACATAAAACAGTAGCTAGCTTATGGTAAGGGCTCTATAAATGTTTATTTAAAAGCCCAAACAAAAACAGATGGCTTCTGTCATCAGAATGGATAACATTTAAGCAAAGTTTCAGGAAAGAAAACTGGATTTAATCAGGAGAGCTATTATGGGATTTATTTATATTTTATCTCAGCACACTGCTTTACTCCTTCCAGTTGCACAACCTGTCCTCTGACTAGAGGTGTAGAGAAAGGATTGTCAAATGGGAACTTTCAGACATATATAAACATGTCACCTTACATATGCCCCTTGGGACCAGAGATGCATCTGCTTAGTGGACTGGCAGAAGACAATAGGGAATCATATGTAATATATACTTATCATAATGTATTACTGGTTTTCTGTGCACATATTTGGAACCTCACAGGTCACTTTAGAGATTATAATTTTGATATAAATGATAGACTCTGTCATTTCATTCTTAATGCTTAAAATACATCCAAGATAAATCTAACATAAAGTAGTGAAAACTTTAGTTTCACTGCTGACACTAAAAATATAAAAGTATGAATAAGTCATATCTTGGATGCATGTATATATTAAATTTTATTTTTAAATTCCTCCAACAGCCTTTTTTCAGACTGATGGAGCAATCATACGCTGAGTTTTGAATTTATAGCTTGGGTGAAGGTGAAGGTGCAGTGTTTTATATTAAGAGGCTAGATCAATAATGCTTTCACTGATTTTTAACTTGAAACAAAACGAAGAGTTTTTGAGACTAAGATAATGCTTATCCCAGTAAAGAGTTGTGATACCTAAATGACATATTTCCATTTTCTAAAAATTTTGATGTATTTCTAAAAATGAGAACAGGACACAATAATTCTAGAATAGCAATATATCTGTTTCCTTCTGGTTGTCTTATTTTGGCTTTCATTTCCCACTTTTTTGGATGTCATAGATCTAGCTGATAATAGACATTGAAATATATTGCACAATTTCAGTACAGAGAAGGCCACCAAAATTTATAAGTGTCTTGAGGGATGTCTTTCTTGTTATACCTTAGTGTAAAAGCAAGCATGCATTTCCTCCCACAATGAAAACTGAATTGTGTGAAAGAAGGAAACTTCCATCTATAGAATTTCTGTCTTTTTCTTTATCTCCACATTCAATACTCAAATTCAGGTTCTTAGGATTGCTCACCAGCTTTCTAACTGGTTATCTGTCTTCTCATCTTTTTTTCTCTCTCCCATCCTTTATGTTAAAATCATTACCCCTAAATCTTCCCCACTAACATATATGCACCCATTTTCAGAGTGTGCCTGGTAAAATGGCACTAATCCCATAAGAAAAAGCAGAGGGAGAATTTTCTCATTTTTGTTAATTTCTGTTGCTACCAAAACCAGAATTAATTTATTTCTTACATGAATCTTTTACTACCAAAATACTTTCCTTAAATTTAGTATGTGTCATATGATTTTACCATTTTAAAAATGCATGTGTTGGTTCATATTGTTAAATTGGGTGCTCTCTGAGGCTTGGGACTGTATTTTTTTTTCTATAGTCAACAAATCTCCCATGATTTTGTTTCTTTGTAGATGAATTGGGGTAGAGGTAGCAGAGATGAAGAGAAGTAAACAATTCCTAATATATATTAAAGGCAAAATTTTGGGGAAATGATAAAGAGTGAAATGTAACTAATGGAAGAAATAAATCAACAAAACAAATTCTTTGTTTTTGGTGTGGACAATTGGAACTATTTAGCAAGTGATATGATTAGGCTTTGTGTCCCCACCCAAATCTCATCTTGAATTTTAATCCCTGTAATCCCCATGTGTTGAGGGAAAGACCTGGTGGACGGTGACTGGATGATGGGGTGGTGTCCCCCATGCTGTTCTCATAATAGAGAATAAGTTCTCTCAAGATCTGATGGTTGTATAAGTGTCTGACAGTTCCTCCTTCTCACACTCACTCTCTCTTACCTGCCACCATGTAAGACATGCCTCTTCCCCTTCTGCCATTATTATAAGTTTCCTGAGGCCTCCCTAGCCATGCAGAACTGTGAGTCAATTAAACCTCTTTTCATTATAAACTACCCAGTCTTGGGCAGTTCTTTATAGCAGTGTGAGAATGGAGTAATAAAATGAGATATGGAAACATAAGGGATTCTGTGCGTGTGTGTGTGTGTGTGTGTGTGTGTGTGTGATGAATCAAGGGTACTGCTTGGAGTATCTCAAGGGAGAAGTTAATCAAAAATAAAATGTACATTTGGGAGTCATTAAAATGGATTTAATATTTAAGAAACATTATGTGAGAAAACATTTTGAGTGGTCTATTTTCAAGGCATGATAAATCTAAGCACCGGCAGCCAGCCTGCAAATGTAAAAAACCGCGTGGCTCATGCACCTAGAAGGTCACAATAAGCGAACAGAATTTAGAGGAGGGGTCAGCCCATAAAAGGAAGAATGTTTTGTTATTGGGAAATCGAAACTTAAGTGGGGAAGGGAATGGGGTATAACCTTACAAGGGGGATAATGGAATTTAGGCGATGTCCGGGAAGATTGTAACTCCATAGTCGTCAACCAGTGAGGAACTGGGGGAGGGACTTGCATGCTAAGAGATAAATGAGACCTGTTGTAGACTGCCCGGGATGTGCCTGCTCATTAGATACCTGATCTTGCAAGACCGTTATTAAAAAGCCTCACTTTTGCTGTTTTTAGTGCCTCTGGTCCATTCTTTGGGTCTGGACACTTGAGCATGTTTCCCACAATTGGAATGGCTGAGATAAAGTAGGAAGAGAGTAGAAGGAAAAAAAAGTTGTCTAGAAATAATCTTTGAAATCCTTCAACATTAAGGGCCAGGAGCGGTGGCTCACGCCTGTAATCCCAGCACTTTGGGAGGCTGAGGTGGGTGGATCACCTGAGGTCAGGAGTTCGAGAAGTCCTTCAACATTAAAAAGGTAGAGAAGCAACAACAACAATAAAAAAGATCAAAAAGAGGGAGCCAATGAAAGGAGAAAAGCCAGAAGTGTGATAGATTTATTATTGTGTCCGCTATACCTCTCCCTGTCTTAAAGAGTATTCATCCCTGCCCATTGCCAGGTAAGTTGCAGAGAATACTTTGACATCTCACTGACTTTGGGCTCAGTCATGTTATTTGGCTAATGGAGAATCTGCAGACATGACGCACAGCATATCTGAGCAGATTTAGAAGCACTACAAATTTCTGCCAAGGTTTTTGTTCTGGAGCCCCCTGCCAAAAGAAGGGTATGTCCCAGAGAGAAGCTGCTCCTTTAACCTGAGACCCTGTAAGTATGAAACCAGTGCATAATTTGGAGCAAAGCCATGCCAAGCAAGGCACAGAAACTTTGTAACTAGGCATGAGGCACAGAAAACATGTAATTAGAGTCAGAAGTAGTTGTTAGTTTTCTTAAGTCAACAAGACTTTGCAGTTGTTTGTAATATAGCAAACCCCAGCAAAAGCAGAATAATACACAAAGCAAAGAGAGAATTTCAAAAAGTGGGAGTGAGGCTGGGCGGAGTAGCTCATGCCAAAAAGCTAGTAATCCTAGCACTTTGGGAGGCCAAGGCGGGTGGATCACCTGAGGTCAGGAGTTCGAGACCAGCCTAACCAACATGGCGAAACCCCATCTCTACTAAAAATACAAAAATTAGCTGGGCGTGGTGGCACCTGCCTGTACTACCAGCTACTCTGGAGGCTGAGGTGGGATAATTGCTTGAACCCAGGAGGTGGAGGTTGCAGTGAGCCGAGATCGCACCACTGCACTCCAATCTGGGCGGCAGAGTGAGACTCCATCTCAAAAAAAAAAAACCGCAAAAACAAACAAATAAAAAAACACAGCAACAACAAATAACCTAGCATCCAAAACACTGTGTTCTATTAATTCTTTGATTTTTTTTTTTTTTGAGACAAAGTCTTGCTCTGTCACCCAGGCTGGAGTGCAGTGGCACAATCTCAGCTCATTGCAACCTCTGCCTCCCAAGTTCAAGCGATTCTCCTGCCTCAGCCTCCCAAGTAGCTGGAATTACAGGTGCACACCACCTCGCCTGGCTAATTTTTGTATTTTTAGTAGACACAAGGTTTCACTATGTTGGCCAGGCTGGTCTCGAACTCCTGACCTAAGGTGATCCGCCTGCCTCAGCATCCCAAAGTGTTGGGATTACAGGCATGAGTCGCTGTGCCCAGCCTATATCTGTTTTTAATAGATGATCTTTCTGAAAATACTCTCATGGAAAATTAGCCTCCCCCTTACTTAACTAGAAAGCTTAAAATTCAAACACTAATTTCTATAATCACAAATCATCACATCTACAGCATTTATTTTTAATTTTTAACATCCTATGAAACAGCAATTTCCCAGGCCATTTAATTTTACTAAATTTTACAGGTATGTAATTCTTATTAACTTCTGTATCTTTTCTTTAGGCTGGGTACAGTGGCTCACACCTGTAATCCCAGCACTTTGGGAGGCCGAGGCGGGTGGATCACCTAAGGTCAGGAGTTTGAGAACAGCCTGACCAATATGGTGAAACCCTGTCTCTACTAAAAATACAAAAATTGGCCCGACATGGTGGCAGGCACCAATACTCCCAGCTACTCGGGAGGCTGAGGCAGGAGAATCGCTTGAACCCAGGAGGTGGAGGTTGCAGTGAGCCAGCATCTCACCTCTGCACTCCAGCCTGGGCAACGGAGCCAGAACCATCTCAAAAACAAAAACAAAAACAAAAAACAAAAAAAATACAAAAGGGGTTGGTCAAAGATCAGATGGTGGTAGATGTGTGGCATTATTTCTGAGGCCTCTGTTCTGTTCCATTGGTCTATATATCTGTTTTGGTACCAGTACCATGCTGTTTTGGTTACTGCAGCCTTGTAGTATAGTTTGAAGTCAGGTAGCGAGATGCCTCCAGCTTTGTTCTTTTCTGTTAGGATTGTCTTGGCCATATGGGCTCTTTTTTGGTTCCAGATTTTTCTAATTCTGTGAAGAAAGTCAATGGTAGCTTGATGGGGATAACATTGAATCTATAAATTACTTTGGGCAGTATGGCCATTTTCACAGTATTGATTCTTCCTATCCATGAGCATGGAATGTTTTTCCATTTGTTTGTGTCCTCTCTTATTTCCTTGAGCAGTCGTTTGTAGTTTTCCTTGAAGAGGTCCTTCACATCCCTTGTAAATTGTATTCCTAGGTATTTTATTCTCTTTGTAGCAATTGTGAATGGGAGTTCACTCATGATTTGGCTGTTTGTCTGTTATTGGTGTATAGGAATGATTGTGATTTTTGCACATTGATTTTGTAACCTGAGACTTTGCTGAAGTTGCTTATCAGCTTAAGGAGATTTTGAGCTGAGACGATGGGGTTAGCCATACGCAGAAAACTGAAACTGGATCCCTTCCTTACACCTTAAACAAAAATTAACTCAAGATGGATTAAAGACTTTAAACATAAGACCCAAAACCATAAAAACCCTAGAAGAAAACCTCAGCAATACCATTCAGGACATAGGCATGGGCAAAGACTTCATGACTAAAACACCAAAAGCAATGGCAACAAAAGCCAAAATTGACAAATGGGATCTAATTCAACTAAAGAGCTTCTCCACAGCAAAAGAAAGTATCAGCAGAATGAACAGGCAACCTATAGAATGGGAGAAAATTTTGCAGCCTATCCATATGACAGAGGGATAATATCCAGAATCTACAAGGAACTTTAACAGATTTACAAGAAAAAAACAACCCCATCAAAAAGTGGGCAAAGGATATGAATAGACACTTCTCAAAAGACATTTATTTGGGCAACGAACATATGAAAAAAAAGCTCGTCATCACTGGTCATTACAGAATGCAAATCAAAACCACAATTAGATACCATCTCATGCCGGTTAGAATGGCGATCATTAAACAGTCAGGAAACAACTAATGATGGAGAGGATGTGGAGAAATAGAAACACTTTTACACTGTTGGTGGGAGTGTAAATTAGTTCAACCACTGTGGAAGACAGTGTGGCAATTCCTCAAGGATCTAGAACCAGAAATACTATTTGACCCAGCAATCCCATTACTGGGTATACACCCAAAATATTATAAATCATTCTAGTATAAAGACACATGCACGTGTATGTTTTTGCAACAGTATTCACAATAGCAAAGACTTGGAGCCAACCCAAATGCCCATCAATGATAGACTGGATAAAGAAAATGTGGCACATATATACCATGGACTACTATGCAGCCATAAAAGGGATGAGGTCATGTCCTTTGCAGGGACATGGATGAAGCTGGAAACCATGATTCTCAGCAAACTAAGACAGGACCAGAAAACCAAACACCGCATGTTCTCCCTCATAAGTGGGAGGTGAACAACGAGAACACATGGACACAGGGAGGGAAACATCATACACTGGGGTCTGTTGGGGGTTGGGGACTAGAGGTGGGATAGCATTAGGAGAAATACCTAATGTAGATGACGGGTTGATGGGTGCAGCAAAGCACCATGGCACGTGTAGATCCATGTGACAACCTGCATGTTCTTCACATGTATCCCAGAACTTAAAGTATAACAATAAAAAAATTAATTTAAAAAACCCCAAAAGGCAGAATGGTCATTTAAGTCACTCTTTCACAGCTGTGTGTAAGATAGGTATAGAAAGGTGTCCATTAGAGTTACGTCCTGAAGGTTGTTGTGAATTTCCAGTTCAAAGCTAGGGGGTTTAAGAGTAAACAGAAAGTGAGAAGTAGACACAGTAAATGTAAACATATTTACAGACAGTTTTATGGCAGTGATTCTAACAAATAAATTGGTAGCTGGAGGTTCATATATGTCAATAAATGTTTGTTTGAAGACAGGAAACAGCATATGTCCTGAAAGTAATGATTAATGTAAAGAGAAATTAGTAATACAGGAGAAGGAGAGAAGACAACCTAAGAAGCACAGTTTCAAGAAAGAAATCGTGTGCTTCAAGGCCTAGGTTAAAGAATTGGCTTTTGATAAAAGAAGGGACCCTGTAACAACGGGAGAGAAAGTCAAAGTAATGGTGCAGGTAGGCATGTAGATTAGGTGATGGAAAGATGGGGAAGTTATTGTCTGAAGGCTATTTTTTTCTGAAAGAGGTATAAAGTGAATTTATTCAGAGTAGGCTAATTAAAGGAATGTAGAGGATCTGAGGAGACAAAAGCACAAAATTGCTATTTCCAGAGTGAGGAAGCAAACTTGCTAGGGAAAGAGGGTTTGAAGCTTGAGCAGCTTTGAAAATTTCTTTGAGGTCTAGGATCATGAAATTTAAAGTGAAACTAGTCATCCCAGGTACATGTCATTTGCAAGCAACTTTTGGCTTCTTGAGTATATTTGGCCTCAACCAGACTTGGAGTTTTGCTACACATGTATGTCAGCAGGAGAGAAGAATGAAGAGTAGAGGATATCTTCCAGGGGAGCCTGTAATCATAGAACAGGAAATATAAGCTTAATGAGGAATGAAAGGAAGAGAGAATGAGGAATAGAACACAGAATTGAAGAGGAGTGAAAGAATTGAAGGTCTTGATGAATAATTAATGCCTGGGTATGTAGACATAGGCTGCTGGACATTAAATGAATAATTAGTAATGAAGGGGAACTACTGCTATACCGGAAGTTGATGGTGTTAGACAAGAAATATCATGAGGCCAGGTAATGTTTTCTTGGACACCAAGTAGGATGTGACTCATTGTGATAAAACACTGTTTTGTTTTGTTTTGAGATGGAGTTTCGCTCTTGTCGCTCAGGCTGGAGTGCAATGGTGCCATCTCTGCTCCCTGTAACCTCCACCTCCCAGATTCAAGCGATTCTCCTGCCTTAGCCTCCCAAGTAGCTGTGATTACAGGCATGCACCACCACACCTGGCTAATTTTGTATTTTTAGTAGAGACGGGGTTTTACCATGTTGGTCAGGCTTGTCTTGGATTCCTGACCTCAGGTGATCTGCCCGCCTTGGCCTCCCAAAGTACTGGGATTACAAGCATGAGCCACCGCACCCAGCAAAACACTTTTTTCTTTTTTTTCCTTAAATCTCTATTCCATTGCCAAAGTGTAGAGAATACTGGTAGTGGCAGGAGGAATTCAGCTTCCAGAAAAAAGTACAGAGACAGAGTATTTCAGATTAAAGAAAAAGTGTACTGTACATTTACAAAAGAAGCCAAACGTAATTTTGGAAATCATATTGAAGGGGATCAAGAACTTTATTTGATTTCACCTGAAAAAAGACTTAGTACCTGAAGTTGGTACTTTGAGCATTTATGCAATCAAATTCTAAGGGGAAATCTGCAGAAAAGACATGACTAAATTGCTACAACTTTGTAAAGAGTGATAAGAATATCTTCAAAAAATGTTGCTTAGCTCAAATTTTATAATTTCTCAAAAATAAATGAGTATGAATGAGAGAATGGAATATAGAGAAACACTTTCTGAAAACCTTGAACCATTATATATTAATTTTTAAAAAGCCAATAATCAGAAGCCAGCTGAACCCACAAACACAAAAATGAACTTTTGGAATCTAATTTATATGATACTTTCCTCTTTTTCTCTCCTGTAAGTACTATCAGAGTGGCCTCCTCTTCCTCTCATGACTAATCTCAAGATCGAAGTTAAATAGAAAGCAACTTCCCAAGATGCACTATTATAAAACTGAGATATTTAACATCCCCATTGATATTTCTGTAATTTATTTTTGTACTTTTTTGGTTTTAGCAAATGTAAAATTATTTTATGCATTTTATAAGTCTACTCATGATCTTATTTCTCTTAACATTACTTTTCTCTATAGGCCTTGGATTCCTCAACCATGATCTCTTCTATTAAGATTTTCAAAAATTAACGCTAATATATTTTCAAAAGTCATATTTGGTATTGGAGCCACAGTTACTGTTCACATTTGTGTAGGGGAGGAATGAGGATACAAGCTAGGTAAAATACAATGTACACACTTAAGTTTGAATTTCAGATAAACAACAAATAATTTTTGTGTAAGTATTTTCCAGGCAACATTTAAGATTCAAATTTTATCTGAAATCCAAATTAAACTGCATGTCTATATTTTTATTTGCAAACTGTGAAAACCTTCAATAGGAGAGACTGTCAGCAACTTATTCCTTTTATTCATTATCCCAGGACTACCTTAGGTTATATGACTAGGACACCCCAAAGCTACTAAATGTTAAGGAATGAGCATTATGGTCATTTCAGGAATAGACTGACACACTACTAAAGGACCAACAAAAGAAAAATTTCAGAGAAGGGGCTAGATCAACGGGTTGTAGCATGTGAAGAGCCTGGTCTCTGATGTCAGTTAGACCTGGATGAGAATCACTACTCCGAATCCTACTCTCTTTGCATCCCTAGGCATATTCCAGTTCCTCTGAGTCATTCTCATCACCATGTAAAATGGCAACAATAATAATTACTTTTATTTTTTATTGGATGAAATATAGTAATATATATAAAAATGCTTAGGACAGTGCCTGGCACAATGTGTATCACTGGCTGTTACCCAGTGATGGCATTCAAATGACAACTTGACAAATTCCTCATGAGATGGAAACAGAACAGCAATATGTTCCCCAAGAATCAAAAAGTTAGTTGTCAATGCTGTTTGTATAGTATATTTCTTTTAAAAATACATCATATTTCAGATTTGAAATCACAGCTACATGTAACCATTACTGTCTTTAATAATATTCTTTCAGGTACAAAGGATGGTAAATAAATATATCATTTATGTGTATACGTGTATCATATATGTCATATATGTATCTATATATGTATATAGTCACAAAGCTATGTTTTAGAACAAATAAAATTCAGTAAATTTGTAATATATGAATTCTTTACATTTATATTTTAATGTCATCTTTATTAGACTCATAGCTATCAACTTGATAAGAAACTCATAGTGTATCTAAATGATGCTAACTGGACGTGGAAAGGTAATAAATTGGGCCCAACCTAATTTCTTCTATAGAAGTTTACTATTGTTGATGTTTATATAATCTCAAAAAAGATTAAAAAGGGACTTGATTATGTAAACCCTAAGCATGGATCAAGTTTATTCAGGTAATTAAACTAAAGAGCTTCTGTACAGCAAAAGAAACTATCAGCAGAGTAAACAGGCAACCTATGGAATGGGAGAAAATATTTGCAAACTATGCATCAAACAAAGGTTTAATATCCAGAATCTATAAGGAACTTAATTTAGCAGGAAAAAAGCAAACAGCACTGTTAAAAAGTAGGCAAAAAGGGCATGAACAGATACTTTTCAAAAGAGATGCATGCAGCCAAGAAGCTTATGAAAAAATGCTCAACATCACTAATCACTAAAGAAATGCAAATCAAGACCACAATAACATACCATTTCACAGCAGTCAATATGGCTATTATTAAAAAGTCAAAAAATTACAGATATTGGCAAGGTTGCAGAGAAAAAGAAACACTTATATACTCCTGATGTGAATGCAAATTAGTTCAGCCACTAAGGAAAGCAGTTTGGAGATTTCTCAAAGAAATTAAAACAGAGTTACCATTCGACCCAGCAAGCCTATTACTGGGTATGTACCAAAGGAATATAAATCATTCTACCAAAAAAACACATGTATGTTCCCTGCAGCACTATTCATAATAGCAAAGACATGATGATATCAACCTAAATGTCCATCAGTGATAGACTAGATAAAATATGGCACATATACATCATGGAATACTATGCAGCCGTAAAAAAATGAAATCATGTCCTTTGTAGCAGCATATATGCAACCAGATGCCATTATACTGGGAAAATTAATGCAGAAACAGAAAACCAAACACCACATGTTCTCATTTATAAACGTGAGCTAAATGATGAGAACACATGGACACAAAGAGGGAAACAGTAGACACCAGGGCCTACTTGAGGGTGGAGGGTGAGAGGAAGGTAAGGGTTGAAAAACTACCTATTGGGTTCTGTGCAACTACCTGGGTGATGAAGTGATTTGTACACCAAACCCCAGCAACACTTAATTTACCCATGTAACAAACCTGTGTATATGCCCCTTATACACAAAATAAAAGTTGTAAAAGAAAAAAAAATGAATAAAATAATAAAGAGGCTAGTGTATTTAGCTAGATAAGTGAGAGTCACACAAATGTTTAAAATATTATTTTGCTCGTATTCTCCTTGTCATAATTTGATTGACCTTCACATTATGTTTTGTTGTCAGCAACACAAATGGATAGGCTAAAATATACTATATTTGAAGTTATATGTAATACTTAACATGGCTGGATTGAAGAATAATCTTGCTATTGAAGCAGTATTGATGGAAAAACTTTAGAAACTAGGAGCTGCATTAACATTTTAAAGAAAACTATTCAAATTCCTAAAGTAGTGTGCAATATTAGAACCACTAATATTGCACTATATTAATATTCCCACTAATATTCCCTAATTAATAAGGGAAGAATGTCACTTCTCTATCCTGTAATATTTTGGCTGCATCTCAAATAATACTGAGCTTTTACATTGTCATTTGAAATGCTAATTCGTAGCTAATTGTTGTCATTTTACACTTAGTTCTATTTGGTATTGTCAGAGGAATTATTTAAAAGTATTGAAATTCAAGATGCCTGGGGATTAAATAGAGGAACTAATAATTTCAAGACTCAGTAGGATTTTGAAATTTCTGGCAGATATTATTTCTAAAAGATGCATTGCTTTAATTGGAGATTTTCATTTTAAATGATTTTATGGCAGATTTTGCCCTGCGGTTTATAAATTCTTGAAGGAGAACAAAATCTTCTGTTTTCTTGGAGAAAAAAAAAAAAACTTAATTGAATTAATGAACTATTGGATTCCTCAGGTTACTTTGTTGTCATGGTAACCTAAGTTTTCAAAAATAAAGAAAATAAGATGTGTCATAGGTTTGAGTTTACTTTTATTATTAAAACTTTATCTTCCACAGCACTTAGGAATCCAATGTTCTTGTCTTTAATCTAGCATCTAATTCCATAGTATTTCTGGTAGACATTTTAATGAGATTTCTGTTTGCAGACACACAAACAGAAAAAAAGAGAGAATATTTGCTCAGACTCGACTAAAAATATATCAAAGCAGTGGGAGACAAAATATGCTTTTATCTTGTATTTCCTAAAAATTGTAACACTGTCCTATAGTGCTGGTTCCTGAACAGATTATCCTTTAATTTTATAATAATCACATTTTTCTAGTGTTGAAAGGCACAGTTTTCTCAAGTCTTTACATTTGCTTATCTAGGACCCCTAGATACCTAATGGAAGATCATGACAGATTATTAAAGGGTGTTTGGCTAAGCTAATCTGAAGAATTAATTTGGTTACAATGTTTTTATCATATTTCTTTAATTTTTTTCAATTGTAAACTTTAACTTCCTTTCTGAATTAACCAAAATGTCACCTCTTCATGAAGATACATGTCATGAATTATTCTACACAATGCCTCACACTAACAAAGCATTCAAAAATATAAAATTTATGAAAATATCTTAAATATTCAAAACCCTCAAGATCTAATATTTAGTGATAATGAACAATAGGTCAAACTCTGTGTTAAATATCCAGGAGTACATTAATGAATAAATCAGTTCCTGCTCTCAAGAAGCTTATGGGCCAGGCGCGGTGGCTCATACCTGTAATCCCAGTACTTTGGGAGGCCGAGGCAGGCGGATCATGAGGTTAAGACATGGAGACCATCCTGGCCAATGTGGTAAAACCCTGTCTCTACTAAAAAGACAAAAATTAGCTGGGTATGGTGGCATGTGCCTATAGTTCCAGCTACTCAGGAGGCTGAGGCAGGAGAATTGCTTGAATCTGGGAGGCGGGGGTTGCAGTGAGCCAAGATCACACCACTGCACTCCAGCCTGGTGACAGAGCAAGACTGTCAAAAAAAAGAAAAAAAAAAAGTTTATGGCTAAAAGGGAAAAAAAGACAATTAAAAGAGCCATTAAAACACTGTGATTAGTGATATAGTATTCAACCTCAATGCATGATGGAAGATTTCCCAGAGGGCACAATTTATAAGCTGAGTTCTAAAATGTAATCAGGAGAAAAACAAATGGTGCTGGTGGAGGGGTGTTGGAAAAGGAAATAAAGATCTTTGGTGACAAGCTCGTAAGGTGCATTAGAAACTTGTTTCCACATGTATTTAGAATCAATATCTTTCTTTTTTCTTTTTTCTTTTTCTTTTTTTTTTTTTTGAGATGGAGTCTCACTCTGTCACCAGGCTGGAGTACAGTGGCACAATCTCGGCTCACTGCAACTTTTGCCTCCCGGGTTCAAGCAATTCTCCTGCCACAGCCTGCCGAGTAGCTGGGATTACAGGCATGAACCACCACTCCTGGCTAATTTTTTGTGTTTTTAGTACAGACAGGTTTTCACCGCTTTGGCCAGGATGGTCTCGATCTCCTGCCCTCGTGATCCACCTGTGTTGGCCTCCCAAAGTGCTGGGATTAGAGGCATGAGTCACCCTGCTTGGCTTTAGGTTGTGATCAGCTTAAAATAATTGGTATAAGATAGTATTTGCAAGCCTCATGTTAACCTCAAACCAAAAAGCATACAATGGATATACAAAAAATATGAAGCAAGAAACTAAATCATACTGCCATAGAAAACAACTTTCACTAAAAGGAAGACAGGAAGGAAATAAACAAAGAAGAGAATGCCACAAAGCAATGAGAAAACAAATAATAAAATGGCGGGAGTAAGTCCTTACTTATCAGTAATAACATTCAATGTAATGGACTAAAGTCTCCAATCAAAAGACATAGAGTGGCTGAATGGATGAAAACCAAGATCTATTGATTTGTTGCCTACAAGAAATACACTTCACCTATAAAGATGCACCTACATTGAAAATAGAGATGGAAGAAGAAACTCCATGCCAATAGAAACCAAAAAAGACCAGGAGTAGCTATATTTATATCAGTCAAAATAGATTTCAAGACAAAAACTATAAGAAGAGACAAAGAAGATCACCATATAATGATAAAAAAGTCAATTAATTAAAAAGATACAACAATTTAAAATATATATGGTATCCAATACTGGAGCACCCAGATATAAAAGCAAATTTTATTAGAGGTAAAGAGAGAGATAGATTCTAATACAATTATAGCTGGAGTCATCAACGCCCCACTTTCAGCTTTAAACATATCTTTCAGACAGAAAATCAACAAAGAAACATTGGACTTAATCAGAGAAATGCAAATCAAAACTACAATGAGACAACATCTCACTCCAGTTAAAATGGCTCCTATCCAAAAGACAGACAATAACAAATGCTGATGAGAATGTGGAGTAAAAGGATCACTTGTACACTGTTGGTAGGAGTGCAAATTAGTACAAAACAGTTTGGAGCGTCCTCATAAAACTAAAACAGTTTGGAGAAAAACAGTTTGGACGGTCCTCATAAAACTAAAAATAGAGCTACCAAACAATTCAGCAATTATACTGCTGGTACATACCCAAAAGAAAGAAAACAAGTAGATCAAAGAGATATCTGCACTCCCAGGTTTGTTGCAGCTTTGTTCACAACAACCAAGATTTGGAAGCAATGTGTCTTCATTGACAGAATAATGGATAAAGAAAATGTGGTACTTAGACACAATGGAGTAAATTCAGCCATAAAAAAATAAGATTCGGTTATTTGCAACAACATGGACGGAACTGGAGTTCATTATGTTAAGAAAAATAAGCCAGACACAGAAATACAAATGTCACATGTTCTCACTTATTTGTGGGATCTAAATATCAAAACAATGGAACCCAAGGAGACAGAGAATAGAAAGATGGTAACAAGAGGGCTTGGAAAGGTAGTTGTGGGGTGTGGTGAGACAGAAGTGGAGACGGTTAATAGATACAAAAATAGAATGAATGAATAAGGTCTAGTGTTTGATAGCACAACAGGGACTAGGGTCAATAATAATTTAATTGTAACATTTTAAAATAACTAAAAGAATATAATTTGATTGTAACACAAAGAATAAATACTTGAGGAGATGGATACCCCATTTTCCATATTTGATGATTATGCATTACATACCTGTATAAAAATATCTTATGTACCCCATAAATATATACACTGACCATGTACTCACAAAAATTTAAAAAAAATTTAAAAAGTAAAATGAGTTGGTCATTCTTAGCAAAAGAGGAGAAAAGAGGGGGTATTGGAAGTTTTAGAAGTGAGGCAAACAATGAACAATGACACTGAAGAATGAGACTTTGATGGCCAACCAAATGAAGTAGTTTATGTTGAGTTCTACTAAATATCACCAAACAATCTATTAATAAAGGAAAGCAAAATTTACTAGAATTTTCTTCATTGGGTAGCACACCACCTTAATATAGTCTTGGTATTGTTTTGGGAAGGAGAGTTCAGAAGTGGAATATTTATAGGTCATTGTTATATAAGATGAAGTTGTTGAAGATGAGTCTGGAAAGATGGGGAACTAATTAGGTTTAGACAAAATTAATGATATAATAGTTTAGATTTGGTGGACACAGAGAAACAAGGGTGATGAAGCAAGTCTTGATAAATAAACTATGGGTGACAAACAAGTTATTCTCTCAGGTGAACAGTCTATTGCCTCTAATAAATTGATCTTTGGAAATTTACATAAACAAACAATGATTTATTGGTTTACATCTTTATTTTTTTCTTGGCAAAATTTCCTGGAACAAACAACTAACTCATGTTGACACAGGTAATATACAATCTCAACTAAGTCATAGTGACACACGTTGTTTCAATTCTTCACCTCTACATGTCATCATTTTCCAGCCCAGGCTAAAGGATAGACCATTATCATCTGGGGAAATGATCAGTTCAGGTCTATATAAATTCTTTGGAAAGTCATAATTACACAGCAAGTTTTTGCTGGTAGTCATTTCAACTGCTATATATGTCAGGTTTTCTTGTTCTTTTTGGCAGGTCAGTTTTTTGGATTACTTGATGGAGCAGTGGCTGAACAACAGCATTTAAACCATGCCACTTAGACAAATACTAGAATAATTATAATCAAGATTTGTAGCTGACTGCTAAACTGAAATCCAACAGTGCCTAAATTAAACCAAGATAACAGATTCCATCCCCAATATGAAGAGCCTGCAGAACAAATATGAGGCTATTAGTTAATTAATTTCATGATTTCCTCATTTATTTGTCATCTTCTTAGTAGTATTAAAGGTCTCATAAAAATCTGTAGGGATGCTATAACAATTATTCCTCTGAAATAGCACATGTGCCACCTCAATTATTCCTCTGAAGTAGCACATGTACCACCATGTCAATATTCTGTCTAGGACTGCTCTATTTTAAATCAACATGTTCCAATCTCATAAACTTCTTATGAGAGCAAATCTATGCGCTTACTGAGGTTGTTTAGCTTCTCTTTCAATTATTGAACTATGACAGATAAGAATTTCCTTATATTCTATATCTCTTTCAAAGAATAATATAAAAAGTCTTGAGGACAGAAAAAAGTTGTCTAGAATTTTTCACTGAATAAGTTAGGAATTGAACCTCTAATTGAGGCCAGTTTTTCTTTTCTTAAAGCAAGCTATTTTTCAAAGAAGGAGAACTAGAGGGTCAAAATGGAAACTGTGTTATTTTAGAGACTATCCTGCAGACAGATATAAGTATCCTGAGATAAGATCTTGTCAGGTTTTCTGGTAGTAGCCAATAACCTTTTTTTCGTGTGTGGGGGGGCACACAAATTCAATAATAGTCATTGATTTCTACTAAATGATGTGATCTTGACTGAAATAGCTTAATGGAGTATCTCGATTTCATTATATGGTTTCATTTCTATTCAGAAGTAGTTAGGTACTAGGCAGAAGACCATAAAGTGATGACATTATTAAATAGATTAATGATTCAATCTGATAGGAAATCAGTTTTTTAACTTACATAGGAAGCCTTCTTTGTAAGGTCTGTAAATGTAAGAGGTAAACTATAAAACATGTATTTCCTGTTTTTCATCTGAGCCTAATCCCTATAAAAGTTTGATTATCAGGTCTATTTATTACAAATGGATCTTGGCTGTTATTTTCGTGAAAACAGAAACCTCTTCTTGTAGGTATTGTACGACAGATGGTTTTACATTTTTGTTTACCTGAACTATTATGCTATTTGCTAGATAAAACTCATGTTATGGTTCAGTCTAATAATTAGTGTAAACAAATGTGTTTTAGGCATTAATACTTAAGAGAACTGATTAACATTCAGAGATATGTACAAATCAGTCAGTTTGATTGTACATTTGTCCAAATCATGAAAAGTATGCAGCCAGGGATTGGACCCATACCAAAGAGTAATTAAGAATGCATAAAGACGTATTATATATAAAATTTTGTAAGTATTACATTAAAAATAACAAGTGTTTATTTAAAATATAAAACCTTAACTCAGCAAAAAGGAAAGAAATCAACTAGGAAAACAAAAAACAAAGGCATGCATGGCAATCTGCAGCCCCAGTGAGCTAGATCTAGTTCTGTAGGTTTGGGGTGGATGTTTTCTACATCATGCTGTTGTCTTCTTGATCTGAAGCTCTTGGTTTGAAGACGTCTTCTTCTGACTATCTGCTTCTGAAACATTCTTAAGAATCCTTATGTTAAATCTCTCAATGGAATGGCAGTACAGTACAAAGGAAGTTTGAAACTTTGTGTGATTTTTAGCAAGGGCACATGAATCCAAGGATTTACACTATGGAGTTAAACTGCTGTGTTAGTGGTTAGAAGTACCTGACACCATTGTTCCCAATGTAGTTCCAAGACATTTTTTATCCTTTTTCAGAAGATAAAGTCTCTGAGTTTTATCACATAGAATTTGTTTAGGAGGTTGTGAAGGAAGAGCAATTTGTATATGTTGTTGATAAGATTAAGTATATTGCACGAGTTCTTCAAAGAACTTTGCTATGCCTTGATGTCTGATGGAAGTAATTTAGAGTCCAAAATTAGAAGAGAAATATTTAACCTCTTATGGTGATATGTAATAATTTTGATGATATTTTATGGGTCTCAGAGGTAAAGGATTTCATGGTTATGAGGACATTGTTAGGCAACAAGCCAAATAGTGATAGACAATTTTACTCATTTGAATTTAAGCATGACATTGTCTCTTTCTACTTTCCTGAGGATTGAGAGTGATCTGGACCATAAAGTTGTTTATGTGGCAAAGACTTTAAAGTTCTATAATAACAGTCCCAGGGAAATGAATATTTTTATCACTGGAGAGATAAGTTGGAATTCCCTGTGCTAGGTACATAAAATTAGTTAAACTTTTGCTACTGTCTGAGCCATAGCTCTTTGGTAGGAACAGCTTCATTTTATCCTGAGAATAATCACTGATCTGGACATATTAAAAACTCATTAGAAACTCAATATGGAACCTATTTGGAGTTTTTCAAAGGGACTGGGAAACTTGCGTTCTTGACCATGTCTTACTCTTACAGTTTACCATTATTAAACTGGTGACAGATAAGATAGGCATCAGAGACACACTAAAAAATGTCTGTAATATTCTCCCTTCCTCTAACCAAGCATTGACTGAGTACAAAGGCCAATCTGTCTTTGATCTTGTGAGTAATATCATGTAAAATTTTACAAAGTTCCACTTGAAGGTCTCTGGTACACCCAAGGAGTTATATTGAAAGCGCTAGGAGTGTCCTCATGTACTTTGCATACAGATTTATCTCAATAACCCTCTGTCATTAAGCATATGGTATATATCTCTATTTTTTTGTTTGGTGAGATATTTTTATTTTGGAATAAACAGTATCAGTAGCAATAAACTAAAAAAAAGAAAGTGCATGTATAATGAAATCTTATGGTCTGTCTCTTTCTCAATAAAGTTGATAAAGAATATTTAAGCTATATAAATATTTGACAATATTTATCATCCATCACAGAGGCCATAATATATCTCTGACCATGTGGAAACTTGAAAATCTAAGTATCCTGAAAAACATAAATCATCATCTGTTCCAAACTTTATTAGATACTTGAAGCTCCAGAAGGTAAATCTAGATTAAAAATTATTATTTTGAATTAATTTTGCTCAATTTTAACCCCAAGCTTTTTTTCATGTACAAAAAATGAAATGTTAGATATTAATGTATCAGAGCGATTAGCGGAATTTTGCAGGCAGTTAAATGATGCTAGTTTTCACATAAACATCATTAGATGCTTAAAATAGGAAATCAGTTAATTTCCATAATGATTCCCTTTTAAAAAACTTAATTTCATGGAATCAAAGTAAATCTTTTGGAAGCCGATTCTCTCATAGTTTATATGTTTAACATTATTATATTGCTATTGTAAATTTAGTTGACAAGTTTGAAACTCTATTTAAAATGGTTATTGCAGTGATACTGTAGCTAAAATTTTTTGTGTAGAGAACAGTATTGTCATTAAAAGACTGCTATAACTAAATTAAGAAAACGACAAAGTGAAAATTTACTTGGTATTTTTACGATACACATTAATTTGCCAAAATTTGATGAATATTTTAAACGTGTACACACTTAGAGTAACAACTGCAAGATGTCTGTGACAAAATTGATGTTGAGTACAACTAAACACTTCAGCCTGCCAATAAGTTTCTTTCTCTCTTTGCTGTCCAGCATTGTTCAGACTTCAGAAATGCTTGAGTCTTTGAAGAACTGCCTTGTCATTCAACCTAAGTATCTTACTGTGGTAACAAACTTTTTTTTTTTTTTTTTTTTTTTTGAGACGGAGTTTCACTCCTGTTGCCCAGGCTGGAATGCAATGGCATGATCTTGGCTCACTGCAACCTCTGCCTCCTGGGTTCAAGCGATTCTCCTGTCTCAGCCTCCTGAGTAGCTGGGATTACACGCGCATGCCAACATGCCCGGCTAATTTTTGTATTTTTGGTAGAGACAGGGTTTCAACATATTGGTCAGGCTGGTCTCGAACTCCTGACCTCAGGTGATCCACCCGCCTCGGCCTCCCAAAACACTGAGATTACAGGTGTGAGCCACTGAGCCCGGCCGGTAGCAAACTTTTAAATAATGACTTCCCTAAATCTTGGTTACATTTCCCTGAAAAATCAATGAGAAATCTTGAATTAAATATTCAACAAGTGGAATGCCAAGAGTCTCCATCTTTTGGAGAATAATTGAAAATAAATCTTATAAACAGAATTATTGAAAATAAAGCTTAAAAGCAGGATTGTTTGGAAATTTCTCAATATAAAAGCAAAGGAATAAATGAACAATTTAAATAGTAGGAGTTCAAACAGCAAGTAAGATTTAGTTTGAAGTTCTAGAATTGCTTTCGGAATAAGCTGATTTTGATGGAACTCCCATTTTCGTGGACTAATTTAGATTCTGTACAAGAATAGAATGAAGCTTGAGAAGGCCTATAATTTTGCAAGATCTAAATTTGGCAAAACATCTAAAACAATTATAAATAGCAATGAGTTACTTGATCAGTTTTTTACGTAAAATATTTTTCAGACAAATTCTCTGACTGCAGGTAAAAAAGATGTGCTTGCAAAATATTTGTGATTACTCATTTAAATACAAAATATTGAACTAAGAATGTCCTTCATTTGGTAGAATTCACTTTGGGTTTATCAGTTGTTCCATCCCTATAAAAAGAATATTTTCCTAATAAAAATCATTGTGATTACAGAAAATATTCTATTGATGATAGCAACAATTTCAAATTTATTCACATTATATTTGGTTTTGAAGAAGACTGCAGAAAATTTTACAAAAAAATAAATATATGACCATTGAAATACAGTATTTGGAAAAATGCCAGTGACATGGTTTTGGGATAGATACAACTAAGAAACTGATTAAAAGTACATGCATATGTACCAACAAGGTTTACACTGCTTATTTTATTTTTTAATATTCTGATAGCCAAGATAAAGTAGATTTCCCCCTTTTTGTACATTTTTATATGTTATTTTTACTTTCTAAGTAGAATTTTATTTTAAAATTAGTTTTAAATGAAAATATATAGGTCCACCAGTATAATAAAGCCGAACTTTAGCACATAAATATTTCAAATATTTATATTAGTTTAATTATTTTAGAGACCTATATTTACTGTTGGAGTTGCTTCAGTTCAGATAATAAATAATGTGGTCTCTCTAACTAATGGTGGTAAATAATAAGGAAATGAAATAAGAGATGGAGGCAGGAGGCAAAATATGAAACTGAAGGTGAGGGTAAGGGGTTTTGATTCTGTGGAACAGACAGACTAGGGAAGAGCTACTTCTCTTACAATTTGAGGTGCAGGAAATTGAGCTAAGATTGAGTTTACCTATGCCTGGAATATTCTATTAACACAATAAGGTTCTAGTTTGAACATGAAAATAATGACGATAATTATAATGTTCTTCCAAACTCTTCCAATACTTTTAATTAATGAGAAGTTTAGTAAGAATAAGCTTTTTGTCTGAAAGCTTACTATGCATCATATTTTAGTTCATTACAGCATTGCATTGCCAGCACCTTATCAGTAAATTAATCATAATCCCATACGATTTTGCAGTCTGATAAAGAACTTACATATGTTTACCCACAACGTGGTACTCAGACCTGAATTCAGCTGACCATCCTCCCTTCTTTTTCTATTTGTTTTATTGGACTTAAGGCATTTGACAATTCCTTTTTTTTTTTTTTTTTTTTGAGACAGAGTCTTGCTCTGTTGCCCAGGCTAGAGTGCAGTGGTGTGATCTCAGCTCACTGCAACCTCCACCTCCAGGTTCAAGCGATTCTCCTGCCTCAGCCTCCCGAGTAGCTGGGAATACAGGCATGTGTCACCATGCCCAGCTAATTTTTTGTATTTTTAGTAGAGATGGGGTTTCACTGTGTTCGCAGGATGGTTTCGATCTCCTGGCCTCGTAATCCACCCGCCTCGACCTCCCAAAGTGCTGGGATTATAGGCATGAGCCACTGCGCCCGGCCAACAATTCTTTTTCCTTATACTGTCTTAGCATAATCCTTCTCACTCAGGTGTTTGCTGCTTAATCTGTATTTGGTTTTAGAATGGCCTGGGCATAAATGTGACATTTATTCTTATCCAGTAATTTTTCAGCCAGCCTTTTGGCTTAATTTTGGCTCTACTGTTCTATGAGAAATTTTCAATATTTAAGCAGCAAAACAACAATTTCAATAGGTGAATTTCAACTTATTGCTTCTTGTCTCATTTTTTACCTTTCTTGCCACTGTTAAATACATTGGGAATCTCTTTTTTCCTTCCTTATTTTCCTAAGTATAGGCAGTCCCAGGGTATCCTGTAGTAAAAATAATTTTTATGACTTTCATATCCTAGGTTTGTCTTAAGTGGCTTCATGTTATATTAAATTATTGATATGTAATATTATTGAGCACTGTCTACATTCCAGATTATTTTCTATGAGTTTTACAGTTATTAACACATTTTACAGTTATTAACTCATTTTTCAAATAACACTATAAAGTAGATGCTGTCATCATCCTCATTTTACAGATAAGGAAACAGTTACCACTTGTTTAAGAAATTTCCCCATAGGCACAGATAGTAAATGTTCATGTCAGAATTTAAGTTCAGGAACTCTTGTCTAGTATACTATACTGCTTTTTACATTTAATTCAGGTAAAGAATGGCTAAAAAAGAAAGAATGGAGAATTAACAGAATGTAGAACCAAATAGGGCAGAAGCAGTAATCCCAGTGAAGGAGCTAATCATCAGTTATTTGATTTAAATAGGTATGTGTCGATTTTAGAACATTTTCTGGCAAATAATAAACATTCCAGAGAAGTGTCAAAATGGTGTAGAACTTTGGGGATCAAGTTTCTACACCGTGATGGTTTTAGAAGCATAATATTGGAAAGATCCCCAACCCAGGATAGGTGGTTTCAAAGCTAGAAGGGGAAAATGGGGACAGGCCAGTCCCTAAGCAATAGGGCTTAGAGAAAGAAGAAAAGAGAGCATGCATCATTCAGTAATCTGAGGTACCTATCAGGACCCTCTTTTTTCAAGGTAGAAATAACCTGGAAGACAAGAGTCAAGGAAAGCTCTGAAATAACAAAGGCCCATTCAGGAGGGGCTCAAATAGGTGGCTTCCTCTAGAAACATTCCAGTGAAACTACTACTTATTATCTATGTTCAATATTTGTTGGTATAGCAGGAAACTTCCACATTTTTGTTACTGATTGCAGGCTCATCATAATCAGCTAGGATAAGGCTCTGATTGTGATAATTATGATAATACTAAGAAAACTTTATTATGCATGCAAAATAATCATATTCCAGGCATCTCAAGTGTCTCAATATTTTGTTAATGTAAAATAATGTAAAATTCCAAGAAAATAGTAAATACCCTTAATAGATAATCATGCACATTTATTGCATATGCTAAAAACCAGATTTTCCATAAATGCTGACTCTTTATATATGAAGTTTTCAGTAAATTGAATATGTATGATAACTAATTGTACAAAAATTTCATTTCTAACCTTATAGAATATAAACCAATTTTAATCTCTTTGAATATATTTCAGCTCGTATATATAATAGAACAAATGGAAAAAAGTGAGATAAAGGAGTCTCAGAATAAAAAAACAATTTTTTCCTTAAAATTCAATTATGTAAAATGAATTTGCTTTGCAACAAGAAAATGTTCCACTTTTAGCCTGTAAGAGCTTAACATTTTGGCAATAATAGCTGTGGTGCACAAAATAATACTATTTGAGCAAGATCAAGAGAAGGGACATCCTCAAGGGATGTAAGGTTCTAAATTCTTTGGAAATTTTAGATGATTTCATAGGCAAAGTTTATTCATTGACTGTATGTCACATGTTTTCCCATTGTCTGAGGCAAGTAATATATATAATATTTGTGTTAAAATGGGTTTCTTTCGTATATATACATATTATATCTATTGTATAAGATATATAATAGGAAGAATGTTAATTATTAGGCTATAAATATTATTACAGCTTCTAAATACATATCATTATAATTTAAAGTCTTTCAAGTTTTTTGTTGTTGTTATTTTTAAACTAACGATATATTTTGGGAGCCGACTATCACTTTTAAAATACAATATGTAGACAGAAATATTTTTCTTCAGGTGAAGTGGCCCTAACAAAAATATAAATCTCTGTTCTTGGAGATTGAAATAATGTGAGATACCATTTTTCACCTATTAGATTGCAGAAACTAAAACTCTTAATGATACCCTGTATTGGCAGGGATATACTGGGCGAAAATTCACTCTTATATACTGTTTGTTTGAAAACGATTGGATTGGTACAATTTGTTGGAGAGGCTTTTGTCAACAGACTAATCACTTAGGAATGTTTTGGCTGCAAGTAACAGAAAATTTGACAATGTGGCTTGAATAAATAAGGGTTTTTAAAAAATACTTCAAACAATATGAAGTTAATTGCTGGTTCAGCAGGTTGATGATAACCAGCACCACCTCTTCTGTGATTTCATTAGCCTGCCCCTCATGCATGTCACCCCATGGGCTCCAAACAGCTGATTCACACATTTTGTTGACTCACACATTTTTCTCTGTTGCCAAAAACAAAGAAAAGGAGAAAGGGAGAAGGGCTATGCCAGCTTTTAGAAAAAGAAGGAGATCTCTAGACATTTCCCCTCAAAAGACTTTTGCTCATGTTTCAAGGGTCAGATAAAGTCCTATGGCCATTCCTAGATTTAAAGGAGACTGGGAAAGCAAGAATTTGATTTCCTGTTGCTCTAGTGGGAGGTGACAAAGGAGAAGTAGGTTGAGGATGGCTTTACAATGACCAATTAACAGCATCTATAAAATTATAAAAACTATTTTAAGAAATACATTTCCTTTGATTCAGCAATTTCACATTCACAAATGTATTCTTCAGATATATTTTCAAGGATATAGTACAAAATGTTCAATGAACGTTTTTCTGGTTGTTTGGAATTGTATAAAGCTGAACATTTGAAGAAAATTGATAATAATTACTTCAAGATGCATCATTTTTGCCCCAACACACACACTCATCAACAGAGCTTGAAAACATAAATTGTTCCCCTGGCTCTTGCTGTAGATGGGTTTTCTCTCTCATCCAAGAAAGAGGGCTCAAAAAGATTTACTTGTAATAGGAGTGACAGTAAAAATTATAGGAGAACAAGATCATACTTCATAGCAGGATGCTTGCTGAGTTGCAAAAATTTGTAGGCTTATATTTAAGATAGGCCTACAAAAATAAATTAGAGAATTAGAATCTCTTGAATTGTGGTGTTTGGAGCTCAGTGTGAAAGGTGTCATAATGAAACAATTGTTTCATTTATGCTGGGGGAATTCTGAATTATGGAATCTGGCTGATTGTAATGAAAAAATACAATCCTTTCTCCTTATGTTTCAAGGTAGGAAGCATTAAACTAGATCTTCATGGTCCAATATGGTAGCCAGTGACTTGTACCTCTCATGAGTGTTTTTTTTTTCTTTTTTCTTTTTTTTTTTTAATTATACTTTAAGTTTTAGGGTACGTGTGCACATTGTGTAGGTTAGTTACATATGTATACATGTGCCATGCTGGTGCGCTGCACCCACTAACTCGTCATCTAGCATTAGGTATATCTCCCGATGCTATCCCTCCCCCCTCCCCCCACCCCACAACAGTCCCCAGAGTGTGATATTCCCCTTCCTGTGTCCATGTGATCTCATTGTTCAATTCCCACCTATGAGTGAGAACATGCGGTGTTTGGTTTTTTGTTCTTGCGATAGTTTACTGAGAATGATGATTTCCAATTTCACCCATGTCCCTACAAAGGACATGAACTCATCATTTTTTATGGCTGCATAGTATTCCATGGTGTATATGTGCCACATTTTCTTAATCCGGTCTATCATTGTTGGACATTTGGGTTGGTTCCAAGTCTTTGCTATTGTGAATAATGCTGCAATAAACATACATGTGCATGTGTCTTTATAGCAGCATGATTTATAATCCTTTGGGTATATACCCAGTAATGGGATGGCTGGGTCAAATGGTATTTCCAGTTCTAGATCCCTGATGAATCGCCACACTGACTTCCACAATGGTTGAACTAGTTTACAGTCCCACCAACAGTGTAAAAGTGTTCCTATTTCTCCACATCCTCTCCAGCACCTGTTGTTTCCTGACTTTTTAATGATCGCCATTCTAACTGGTGTGAGATGGTATCTCATTGTGGTTTTGATTTGCATTTCTCTGATGGCCAGTGATGATGAACACTTTTTCATGTGTTTTTTGGCTGCATAAATGTCTTCTTTTGAGAAGTGTCTGTTCATGTCCTTCGCCCACTTTTTGATGGGGTTGTTTGTTTTTTTCTTGTAAATTTGTTTGAGTTCATTGTAGATTCTGGATATTAGCCCTTTGTCAGATGAGTAGGTTGCAAAAATTTTCTCCCATTTTGTAGGTTGCCTGTTCACTCTGATGGTAGTTTCTTTGGCTGTGCAGAAACTCTTTAGTTGAGTGTTTTAAAATGTGGCCAGTCCTAATGAAATGTGCTGAAAATGTCAAATGCACATCAAATTTTGAAGACTTAGTACAAAACAAGAGTATTAGACATCATTAATATTTGTATACTGATTATTCTATGAAATAGTAATATTTTGGGATACTGGGTTAAATAAAAATGTATTACTAAAGTTAATTTTACTTGTTTCTTTTTCCTTTTTAATGTGGTTACTAGACAATTTAAAACTGTATATGTGACTAGCACTTGTTGTTCATATTGCATGTATAGTAAGACAAAGCTGAACTAGATAACGTTTTGCTTCTCTCTTCATTTCTCTCATTTCTTTATTTGGAAAGAGGAGAATTTATCTGATGAGCCTGCACAAAGTTTCTGACTACACTAACTACTCTTTCTCCAGTCTTTGGGAACCAGCCTGCACATAAGATGCATGCCTTAGCATTTGCTCTTCTGCCAAGGACGAAGCAGCCTGTTCCGTGGGGGTGAGTACCGCAGTTTGCCAGCAATGCCTATGACTAGGTAAGAGTTCTGTTTAATTTGGGCTTGATGCATTGGCAAGTACTACTGGCACAGCTCTAAGCTATTTCCTTCAAACAAGCTTTCATTCATAATAATACTAATACTTAATCTCCATCTTCATCTTTTTCACTTCTACATGTATGTCAGTTCGCTTTGATTTCAGATAGGGAAAGGATTAATATTTATCAGGACTTTTTAAACCCTAGAGACTGGCAAAGAGAAAAGATAGCAGAGGAATAGTCTGTACTCCCAACAATTAGCATGTCATAGATGCATGCGTTTGCTGTCAATTAACTGATTGCTGTGGAAGGTAATTCAGTTTGAGTCATTTCAACCTAATATCAGTTAAAACAATCAGTTTTGGGGGTAAGAGGATTCTAACAATAAGAGGCTGTGCAGTGCACTACTTCCAAGAGCTGTGGCTATAGAGCCAGAAGATGGAGAATGATGGGGTGAAGAATTGTAAGAGGTCATGTGAGTACACTACTCCTGTCTTGGAACTGTGCAAATTAGAGATACCTGTGAAGGTCTTTCAAACAATCCACATTTGGTGGCTGCCTCATTAAAGAACCTGATTGTTAGATTACAACAGCACAAATCACCTAACAAGTGGTTTCTGTTTTTTTCCAACTCCTTTTTTTTAGGTCTTAGTTATTGAGAGAAGAGAGATCCAACAGTAGCAGAGTAAGATGAGAATAAGAAAGAAAAGCAAAAAAATAGATAGTCTCCCCCTTCCCTACTTGTAAGTCATGGTTCTAGTCTTGAATTGATTGTGAAATTGAAATTTCTATTCAATTTATCTATGACATATTTTAATGCCTGAAAGCAAGTAGTGAAATTGAATGAGACGAGAAAGCTAAGGGATTTGCCTGAAATGTCCTTGAGGAGTAGGAATGGGAGGAGTGTTGGCCAGTGATGATCAAACTTTAATATGCATCAGAATCACTTGGAGGGCTTGTTAAAACACAGACTCCTGGTCCCACTCCCCGAGTTTCTGATTCAGGAGGTCTGCGAGGACGGCCTGTGAGGTCTGAGAATTTGCATTTCTATGTTTCCAGGTGATATTGATGTTGATGTTGATAGTCCAGAGACCATACTTTGAGAACGACTGTTAAAGGTAGTAGGAAGATAATAACAAAACAATATCCTTGTTTTTATTCAATGAGTTCAGTGCATTCAATAAGCCAGTTTCATAAACAAAGATATGTGTATAAGAAATATTGCAGCCTGGTCAGGTGCAGTGGCTCACGCCTGTAATCCCAGCACTTTGGGAGGCCAAAGCAGGTGGATCGCCTGAGGTCAGGGGTTTGAGACCACGCTGGCTAACCTGGTGAAACCCTGTCTCTACTAAAACTACAAAAATTAGCTGGGCATGGTGGCGGGCACCTGTAATCCCAGTTACTCGGGAGGCTGAGGCAGGAGAATCGCTTGAACCAGGGATGCAGAGGTTGCAGTGAGCCGAGATCACACCATTGCACTCCAGCATGAGTGAGACAGTGAGACTCCGTCTCAAAAAAAAAAAAAAAAGAAAAGAAAAAAGAAAAGAAATATTGCAGTCTTAGTTGTAAAAGCAAAACATACCCATAAATATGGGATTGAATAAATTATGGTATATGCATAGAATGGAATATTATATAGTTATAAAGATATATGATTATATCAAATATATCTAATACATAATTTTAAGATGAAAATAAAGTACCCCAACAATGAGCATAGTATAATCCCATCTTTGTAAATAAATGTATGTTTGTATGTGAATTGAAATCAAACAGAATAATACATAAGAATTTGTTGGCTGGGAGCAGTGGCTCATGCCTGTAATCCCAACATTTTTGGAGGCTAAGGCAGGCAGATCACCTGAGGATGGTAGTTCGAGACCAGCCTGACCAACATGGACTAACCCTGTCTCTACTAAAAATACAAACTTAGCCAGGCGTGGTGGCACATGCCTGTAATCCCAGCTACTCAGGAGGCTGAGGCAGGAGAATTGCTTGACCTCGGGAGGCGGAGGTTGCAGTAGCCAAGATCGCGCTATTGCATTCCAGCCTGGACAAGAGCGAAACTCCATCTCAAAAAAAAAAAAGAATTTTGGCTATATCTTGGTATGAAGTCAAATAGTAGAGAATAAAGTAAGTTTGACTTTGAAATTTATATTGTTCTAAATATTATATCAAAGACATAGGAGTACTTTTAAAGACTGCGTGCCTTTGCATATATTAGTCCTTCCAAGCTTGACGTTCTTCTATCACTTCTTTGAAAAATAGTAGCCCATTCAAGTATCTCATCACCTTTGCCAACTATCTTTTTTCATGTAAGGTAATATGTTTACAAGTTGAAAAGATTAGGGCATGGGTACCCCTAAATTAAGGGCAATTTTCGTTCTTTGTTTTGCATCCTTAACCTTTATCAGGGCCAACCAATATGTTTTTAACCACATTTTTTAACTTGAATGTGTGGGTGAAAGCCAGAAGAAAGAAAGAGGATGGCAGTGGATACAGGGAAAGAGGAAAGAAAAAAAGAAAAAAGGCAGGAGGAAGGTAATAATATATCCCCAGCAAAACTTCACATTATCAGTAGAGCCTGTACCATGTCCAGTACATAAAAGTTACCTGCTTAGTATATTACAGCATACATATAAGACACACTTAAGAAATGTTTTGAATAGAATTGAATCATAATAGTTTTTAATTTAGCTATTAATAAATTCACCAGTGACTCATCAAGAGAGGTGATTATAATGAAGTTCAGTAAATTGTTACCTTGGATAGCTGAGAATAAAATATTTGGCTCATCAATTTTTCTGGTTAGGTTATAGTCCTTATGGTCCTTCCTAATTTTAATGTCCTAGAATAAAATAAAATAAGCGCTTTAAATAATTTAATTTTTTGATGATTAAAAAGAAAACCCTGAAAGTCTTGAAGTGAGTCATATTATCACTATATTTATTGTCCAGGATAATGCCACCTAACTAGAGAGACTCTTTTTAACAATAAACCGGATAAATCAAATTCTAATGTATGTTAGTTGGAAAAATTGGCTGTCTATTCTACAAACATCGTTTGACTTCACAGATGCCCTAGTCATTTCTAGATTTAGGTATCCTCTCCCTAGGACAAATATTAGAGGGTAAATGGAATTTGTTATGTATTGCTTTCAGAGCATACTGATGAGAAGATCATCTGTTTTAGTCATCTTGGTTGGGTTTTATGGGTATATCCTTGAATAAAATGCAAAAGACTTACTCAGCAGCAGATAATTACCAGAGCAAGATGGTTCACAGAACATATGAGAAAATGTGTTATCCTTGATGAAAACATTGCAGGATTTCTCAGCCAGTCAGGGATTATGGTCATAAAGTTGCTTTCTTGGCAGTTTTAGATTTTCTTCTACTAACAATGCTTGTAGATCTCTTTGTAGGATTGTTTGTAAGTTTAAAGCTTTTCCTGTCCGTTGTTGTTTTCATGGAAGACAATCTAAAAACTTTCACTTAAAGCTAAGCCCTGCAGCAATATATTTATTGGTAAGCTTTTTTTTTTTTTAATCTGAGAGAAACAGTCTTAGTTCCTTTAAGTTAGGATTTCAATTCCAAACGCACTATAGCAATTTACCTGAAGTGCTTCACTGCTATGGTAACCCACAATTCTAAAGTGCATAGATGATATTTGTCATGCTCTATTTCTCAGTTTGTGTACAGGAGTGTGCTTTGTGCAACCTCCTGAGAGTAAAGTTGGTGGGGCTAGACAAGAGGTAAGAATAGAGGATTGGGGATGGGTTGTCTGGCTTTCAATTTCCTCAGTTCTTACTCCTCCTCCAAATTGCTATGTCTGATTTGGAACATTTTTCTTAATGCCAAATAAAATGAAATATTTATCCAGTCTACCGCCGATGGGCATGTATATTGATTTCATGTCTCTGGTATTGTGAATAGTGCTGTGATGAACATACACATGCATGTGTCTTTATAGTAGAATGAGTTATATTCCTTTGGGATTTACTGGGTCAAATGGTAATTCTGAAGTTCTCTGAGAAATTACCAAACTACTCTCCACAATGGCTGAGCTAATTTCCATTCCTACAAGCAGGATATAAGTGTTCCCTTGAGATATCATCTTATACCAGTCAGAATGGCTATTATTAAAAAGTCAAGGCCGGGCGTGGTGGCTCACGCCTGTAATCCCAGCACTTTGGGAGGCCGAGGTGGGCGGATCACAAGGTCAGGAGATCGAGACCATCCTGGCTAACACGGTGAAACCCCGTCTCTACTAAAAAATACAAAAAATTAGTCAGGCGTCGTGGCGGGCAACTGTAGTCCCAGCTACTCGGGAGGCTGAGGCAGGAGAATGGCATGAGCCCGGGAGGCGGAGCTTGCAGTGAGCCGAGATCGTGCCATTGCACTCCAGCCTGGGCAACAGAGCGAGACTCCGTCTCAAAAAACAAAAAAAAAAAAAAAAAAAAAAGTCAAAAAATGACAGATGCTGGTGAGGTTGCACATGTACACCTGAACCTAAAATAAAAGTTAAAAAAAAAGAAAAAAGAAACACCACTGAAGATTACTAATTTAATCACAAATTCAATTTCCCCTCCCAACAATATTTAACAAATTGGCTGCAAACAAAAAATGGAATTATTTTCTTATCTCACTGTCACGATTTCTCTTTTTTTTCTTTCTGATAAATGGGCCCCCACATAATAATAATGAGGGAGGAATTTTCTGGATTATTCACAAACTGGACAATGTACTTCTGAACCACCTAGAGTGAGAACAAGATGAATAAATTTTCTACACTTAAAAAATGTGCATCACATGGTAATTTATTTTAATAACATATTTTCTTATCATAAATATTGTTCTTTGTATTACACGTTTTGCTCCTATCAGTTTGCCAGTAGAGATAATTGTTTGCCTCAGTGAGGAGGCAAAGAGCTAACTTTGGGAGATCGAGATAGAAGAGCTAAAAAAGGAATTAGAAACTCTTGATGGTGATTAGTACATAATATGACATGACAAAGTATGACTTTTGTATGACCTAACACTCATAGCATTTCTTTGCTCTTAAAGTTTTATCTGGATAAAACATCCTTGATGTTTTTATATTAAGAAAGAACAAATAGAATTGTCATTTTTATATTACATTTTGTTTCTGATTTCCTGTGTCATGTTCTGTTATGGTTCCAATATTTAGAGTCTGGTTTCTCTGTGAGTGGTCCCCAAACAATGAATTATTTCCTTCTGTAATTTTCTGACTTTATATTTAATGCAACATATAGCAAACAGGCAATAAGCTCCATGTCATGTATATACTGGCTGAGAAAAATTCTTATTTCTTTCCATTTCTCTTTAAAACTATAAGAGATTTATTTTCATTCTTAGAGGTGTCATTTCTATAACTGCAAAGTGAAAGAAGACACATAAATGCTATAGTTCTTAGAGAAAACTTGATAAACTGTTTACCAAAACATCTCTGGGGAGTCAAATTGCTACTTTAGAATATATTTGTCTTCAGGAAGTAGAATGTAATTTTAAAAACTTTTTTGTAATAATGGTCTAGTCTGCACTATGAAGAGTGCTTACATGGGTAGAAAATTCTCCTGTTTCAATTATCTATATGAATTTAAAGACAAAACAAAACTTGACTTGTTTATATCTTTCAGATGT
Source organism: Homo sapiens (assembly GCF_000001405.40). Lineage (NCBI taxonomy): Eukaryota > Metazoa > Chordata > Mammalia > Primates > Hominidae > Homo > Homo sapiens. The sequence continues at coordinate 82,217,916 of NC_000012.12, read as the reverse complement.
TTATTCTAACAAATATTGATTGATTGATTGGTGTATGAGAAAACAAATCATACATAAACCCTCTCCTCAAAGAAATTATATATGAGGGCCCTACGCCACGCACATAAATAACTAACATACCACATAGAAAGCATTAAATCAGAAGAGGATATAGGCAAAATGCAATGAAAATTTAGAGAAAGATGAACTCATTTTAGATAGATACCAGAGATTTTTATGAAGGAGACTGATTAATTAATTGAATATTTACCTACTATATTCCACAGAAGACAGGTACAATTCTTTCTCTTACAATTTGATTGAAGTTAGCAGTTGAGTTGGGCTTTTAACATCAAGTAGGACCTAGAAGCATACAGATAGAGGAAATGATAGTTACTTGACTTTTCTCATCTATCTATCTATCTATCTATCTATCTATCTATCTATCTATCTCTCATTTCCAAAGTTGGACTGCCTAGAGTTGAAACTTCAACTTGATTTTTTGAATATTTAAAAAAATATTGACAAAATGAAAAAGGGATTTATGATCTATCTTTGTCAGAGTCATAATTTCTAACTCCTGGGAAATGCTTGATCTATAGGATTAGTTCTGTTCTGCATATATGGAGAGGTGTTACCTTGTGGAATCAAGGATCACCTGATTGCCACCTTGCCTTCCCTGACCTTAACTACCACCAGTATTTTAGCAGGGGGAAATATATTTCTGTCACCTAAATCTTAACCTGAAATGTATGCTGCTATGAAAAAAGTATATAAATGGAGGCTTCATGAAGATGAAACAATGGTATTAGTATTGCTTTAGTCACACTGTAGTGAAATTCTCTTTTGTCAGATAGAAGCAAACATATAGCATTATTATCTTGAAAAAAGATAAAAGAAAGGACATCCAAATAGGAAAAAAGTAGTCAAATTGTCCTTGATGGTAGATGATATGATTTTATATTTAGAAAATACTAAAGACACCACCAAAAAACTATTAGAATAGAATATCAAATTTAATAAAGTTGCAGGATACAAAATGGACATACACTAATCAGTAGTATTTCTATATGTCAACAGTGAACAATCTGAAAAATAAATCAAGAAAGCAACACCATTTAAAATTGATACAGATACTTCTTGGTCACTTTGCCAGCCAAGGACCTCTGGCTGGTGACACCCCTGCCTGGGCATTGCTTGGCCATGCTACCTGCCACAGGCAGTGGCCTGCCAACTCGGCCCACCCAGGTTGCGTCTGGCTGGCACACTGGCTCAGGACACGACTGCCATGGATGCATGCTCACACCCTGGTAGGAGGGGTTGTGTGGGCAAGTGAGTGTGGGGTCCGGATGAGTGTTCCAAGTGCCAGCATAAAGCCAGGCTCCATGCAAGGCTTTCAGCTGGACCAGACATGTCACCCCACGGGGAACACAGTGGTGCCCAGCCAGCGATGTCCATGACCCCAAAACCCCAGAAGGGGTGTTACAATGTGCTAAGTAGCTCTTTTAGTTCCACCATCCACAGCCTGATGGATGGTGATGTGTTAACAGCTCTGTCAGTCCCTTGCCCCACTCTGGCTCATCGTTCTAAGGCTGGCTCAGTCCTGCTGCTGCTTCCCGTCATGAGGGACAGAGGGCCACAGTGTTTACAGCCTTCTCAGTACCCACGTTCGGTGGGTTCCGAGTTCTTATCCCGCATCCAAGAAGAATGAGGTTATGCTGACAATTGAAGGGTGATGAGGGTGGAGAATCTTACTGAGTAACAAAACAGCTGTCAGTGCAGAGGGGATGGGAAGGTGGTCTCTCACCTGAAATTGGGTTATCTCCCGCACTGTGACTGAATCTGGGGTTTTTATAGGCACAGGACGGGAGAGGGGTAGGCTGTAAGTAGTACTGGAAAAGATTCATTTGGATTCTATGAAAAGGATCATAGTATTGGAAAAGGAAAACATACAATTGGTTACAAAGCATTATTCAGAAAGAACCAATCGGGAAAGAACAGGCAAACAGGAATAGAAGTTCTAACTCCGGATTGCAGGTTTCATCCAGAACCAGCAGTCCGGTCTTTTAGGCTTCAGCCTGTTTTGGCTTGAAGGTGGGGTTTCACCAGGGACCCTCCCCTATCTGCCTAGGCATTTGTCTGCCTCACGCTGCTATCAATTTCTTCCTCTGAAGAGGTACATCTAACTGTCATTAGGATAGGAACGATGACCAATCTTAACTGCTTCCTGCTAACAGGGGGCACTGTTTTGGGAAGATGGCAGTCAGATCTCTCTCAGAGGCCTATATAAGGGTCCCCAGTAAAAGGGAGCCAATGTCCAAGTCCCCAGTTGCATGACCGTTTGGAGTTTGACAGCCTGAAGGTAAGAAGAGGTAAACTGTGTTATTAGATGACATGAATCAAAATGAAACAAGGAGGTAAGAACAGCTTAAAAATCCTGAGACTGCTGACATGGCCAGATAACTGGTGGCTATAGTTATGCCTGCTAAGATTTTGGCGCATGAAGTTTGGCTTTGGTCATCTTTGGTCTTATTTTTTTGGTCAAAAAAGAAACCATCAGGTTATGGGTACCCTATTTACTCCTAGCACCTGGCAGGATTTGCAGGATTGCCCAGAACTAGAATATTGGTCCAGATTTTCACATTATCCATCCTTTTTGTTTCTTCTGAACTGCAGCTGAAGATCACTGGTTGGTTCACAGGAATAAGCAGGGTTAGTCTAAAATGCAGGCAAAAACTTAAAAACAGCTAATGAGACTGGAGTTTAATGACAAGTGTGTGATAAGTTTTTGAGACATATTTTTTCTCTCTCCAGTCCTCATTTTTGTTAAAACTAAATCATGATAGGACTGAGTTGTTTGCAAAATAAACTTTAGTCTTATACTTTGTCTGATTATTTGCATAAAGTGCAGCAAGAATAATTATTTTCACATGGGCTTTTTTAAATTGGCTTTGATGGAACACTGTTCCATAAGAAAACTCAGATAAAAGTTTTTGAAGCTGAGCCCAGCCATGGGTTTGTACCCTCAAATACCTATGAGTTGGACAAATTTCTCTCTTCCTGAGGACCCAAGATAACTTAGGCTCCTGGCCCTATTAGAATGTGACATTCTTTACTCACCACAGGTTAGGAACCCTGTAGGAGACTGTGTAGACAAGATATGAGGCCAGTTTTCCCAATCGGTTTTTATTGGCTCTGCAAGTCAAACTTAATTCCTTAAAGGGAAACACTTCCTTCTAGTCAAAGTCTTGGTAAAACAAGTGGTTTCTCCAACTGCATCCTGTTGCAAAAGAAAATGGATTCTTATTGCACTTTTGCAAATAACTATATTGCCATAAGTTAAGAAAACTCATAAATAGTTTCCAAATTCTGGAGAAACCAAGAAGAGAGAAACAAATATGCTCCAAATTTTGTTCACAGGAGTATACCTTCCTCAATTGTTAAAAGCTGTAAATAGCTCAAAATAAGATGTTTTCCTGACTGAAAAACAAACAATCAGCATTTGAGAGCACCTGTCAAATTCCTATAGCTGATTATAAGCCAGCTTTTGAAAAGAATCAAAACAAGACAACCATTGTCTGTGAATTACAAAATGTCTTCAACTAGTCACAGTCAAAAACATGATTGACAGAGAAATTTGGTTATTTCTGTGGTTTACAATAATGTAACATACTCAGACATTAGAATTTTAGAAATCTCACACAATTTTGGAACACATATTAGTATTATTCACTAAAGTATAACCCAAAGAAAGTTAAACATTATTTTTGTTTTGGCAATCCCATGTAACTAAACATGTCAAATAATCATGTTTACCTCTCTTTTGGATGCCCAGGGCCCCTCTGTAGCATTCAAAATTTAGGGATCAGAAAAACAACCTCGAAGCTGAAGTTTGATTTCAGGAAGCTAAAGATTTAAAACACTTGATACTATGAAATAGAATTCCAGGTTATCATGAGTCATGTATTTAGCCAAAGTGATGACTAAATTTTTTTTTAAAAAGGCAAAATCCTTTACTCATTAAGAGGGAAGACATAGCTTTCGAAACAATCTGTCTCTTGTCTTTCCCTTCTTTTTTTGGTAGTTTATTTGCAAGGCAAATAAAAGTCTTTCATTATCCTCTAATATTACATGAAAATCTTGTTTGAGAGAGAGCAAATTTCACCCTTGTATTAGTCCACTACTAATATCAATCCCAATATTTTATTTTTTAATGAAACCTTATAGACAAATCCATCCAATCTTAATCAATTTGACCATAAAGTGGGATTCTCATAGTCCCCTTACAAATTTTTGTAAAGAGCAGATAAGTGCCTTAAGAAAACCTTGTCATGCTTTTATTTCAATATTCAATTAGTGGAAAAACCAGATAATACCCTTGTGAATTTAGCCAATATGTTTATGCCAGAATTTCTTTTACAAGATTAAGTTTTGTAAACATTCCACAACTTGTTTAAACCTTTAGTTTTATTTTATCTAATTTAAAACATTCCTCTAACCCTTTAAACTAGGCAAAAACTTACATTCCCATGCCTTCTTATAATGTTTACTAAAAACACATTTTACATTCTTTAAGCCCTTTGCATGTAAATCTATTTTGAGTAGGCTCAATTATGTGTTATGATGGTGACTGTTAGCAATTTTTAATCTTAATGTAAAACTTGGTAAGTTATTTTTATTATGTACTAGGCACAGATAAGGTCTGACTCTTTCCAACATACTTAGGTGTGTGGTTAATTCCATATGTCCCTATGCCTTACAAAACTGTAAAGCAGACAAGTCAAATGATTTTCAAAAGCCAAAAAATCAGTTTATGACCTTGAACCATTTAGCAAACTTACAATCTGACCTGCATAACTTAGACCACATATTTACATTTTGAAGACATTTGTATTTTACCAATAATCTTTAAAACTTTTTATTTCTCAAAGATTAAAGTGACATGAAATAAAAGTCATTACAACTTTTATTCTTTCTTTAAAAATATTTGGTCTAAGGGCTTCTATTTTCTTCAAGCCAATCAACTGGAGCTCTTTTTTTAATATAAAATTACACACATAACACATATAACAAACAGAAGAAGATTCGGTGATTTGTAAGCTTTTTCATTTACCAACCTCCTAATTGGATTACTTCCCTCAGGGTGGAGCCCTTCAAGAAACAGGGCTAGAGCCTACTAAGCAGGTATAGCTGGAAGACAAAAAAAGATTTTGAGAGGGATATATCTTAATTCTTGGGGTTCCAAAATGGGGTCCATGGCACCTTCTCTGTTTTGCCCAAGCAGTCCCAGGCTATCAGAAGTTACCTTAGGGCCTCTCATGCACACATTAAGAGTGGCAAAACAAATGGAGAAAAATACTTTAGTTGACTGAGAAGAAAAAAACATTTTTTTCCAGTAAAACAATATCCAAGAAGATAAATGACATAAAGGCCTTTTAAATATACCTATAACTTGGATATCCAATTTTAATTAAGCTGACTTTTAATCAGAATGCTCTTTTAAAAAATCCTTTTAAATCCATTATTACCCAACTTTAGCCATGCCAAGTGGCCAATATTTCTGGCTTTTGAACTTTACCAAAAGTAACCTCACAGGTGAAACCAACAAGCCTCAACTAAGGTTATGACTTAACCATGAGTGTACAAGATATTTTCAAAGCAGTAGTAAGCAGTTATTACAAAATCTAGAATCTTCAAAGGTAGCTCAGAGAAAGGAATATTTAAGAAAGGAAGCTAGAAGTTGTTCATGGAAGGGAAAAGAATCAACAAATCATAAAATTTACACATATATTAACCAGGAAGTACTCATTCCCTAAGCCAGGACTGAACCCAGGCCACCACTGTAAAATGGCAGAGACCAAAAGAAAGTACTGCCACATGGTTACAAGGTCAGGCTCCCAAGGACATAAAACAAGATGGAGACCTCATCCAGTTTTCTTTTCTTCAGAGACCTGTAGCAAAGTTTGTAACTGACCAGTTTGCTGGTCTGGCTCAAACAGTGGGCTTATGGGGTCCTAGGCCTATGTTCTATTTTAAGGTAATCCCCCTTATGACAGAACCATACCGAAAGACACACAAAGCACACCAGATTCACTACATCTTAAGACTAGCCACTCAAATTATTTTTTCCGTTAATCAAAACTTTACAGAGGATATAAACAGTGGTTTTTACCATTAATTCAAACGGTTTACACAGAGAGAGAGAGAGGACAGAAGCCTGGTTGTTAAAAATTTTTACCCATGCTAGCTTCTTGGTTTTCCCCCAAGCTATAGAGCTCTATTGACCCTGGAGTCCTGTGAAGGGAGAGCAGACAAAGAAATTATTTGTATACTGTAAAAGTTGTTTCTCCTCAAGTGATTTGCTCAATTAGATTTGTAATTTCTTCCGAGTTTAATTTTAAGCCAAGCAGTTTAAGGTTGGGGGAAATTAAACTTTTCCCAGTTTGGGGGATGCATCCAAGGGGAGTTTCCTGTGGTACAGAGATGTGATTACCCATCTGCAAAGGGAGGACAGAGAGGAGGTAACAGGAAAAAGAAAGCTTTTTGTTTTTTCCCAAAGGAGTCCCAGCGATTCGGGATGCATTCAAGAGAAGTACAGACTGAAGATTGTTGGTTACCCAACTGGAAATAGGGGTAAAAGTGTTCCTTAATTCCTTTCTCTTCCCAGCAAATACCCAGAGTATGTGAGGGACAGAAAAAAAGGCATCCCATTTTTTCTTCTGTCCTTATATCCCTGAGTCACAGTGACCTTAGCAGATGCTTCTTATGGATGCCAATGCAGCCTTCATCCATGTAACAGGGAGGCCTAGAGTGTAGGAATATCTGCACTCACCTATGCATTGGTGTACCCTCCCTGCTGTCGGTAACCTTAGAGTTCCCTAGACCTCATCTATGCCATAGGTAGGGGCATGACCTCCATTCATGAATCAGGGAGGGGGGTGCTAATGGGCAGTAATTAGCCATGCTCACCAGCACTGCACCCCTTGACTTCCATTGTCATCTGCCTCTGGATCCCTCAGATCCAGTTTTCATTTCTAGGGCTTCAACCTGAAGCTTGGAATCAAGTTTGGGATAAAAATGTGCCTCAGAATGGTGCATAGACTCATTAAATTAAGTCCCAGTTGGCCCCCACGAAACTGCAGTCAGTGACCAGTGGGGGCAGTTGGGGCTGTTCCTCCATTACTTCTCTATCATAAGCAGAGTGCTAGGGTGAATCTGTGGAACTAGGTCCTCCTCAAACAAGGGAGAGAAGGGTATCCTGAGAACTGGGGACCTGGCCTAGTAAGATGCCTCCCAAAAGGAAAAATCCTCTCTCATAGAGAAGCTCTCTGTATTCACAGGACTGTGTTAACTCCTGACATAGTGAAAAAAAAGAAAGAAAGAAAATAAACAGCTTAAGTGCAGGGAGGGGAAGGTGTCTGTGGGAAAAAGCCTCTTGCTCTTATGCAAATGGGTTCCTTCAACAGGAAGAAAAAAACAAAAATAAAACACTTCTTAATCGCTGCCTCCTCCCTGCTTCTAAGAATAGATGGAAACTGCATTGTTCTGAATTACATTTTTGATGACTGGTCCAAGTGCCCATTCCATCCAGTAATATCTCTGTAGTTTGCAACAACACCGTTAACATTATAAAAGAGGAGATAGATGTCATAACAGCCTCAAGAGATGGGTGCCATTACAGCCCCACTGTTCATCCCCAAAAGAAAGAAGGAAATACCAAGGAAGACTGGATTGGAACAGAACCAACATTCCCAACCCCCGAGAGGAACATGGGAAGGAATGACAGGGTCTTCTCCAGTGTCGTGTGCTCTGTAGCTGCACCATCCACTCTTGACTGGCTAATCAGATATTCAGTGCTTCATCTACTTTCAGAAAAATCTGAGGGCAAGAAGCCTTGAAAAAAGTGAAGAGTCATAAATCTGCATTCACTTACCCTCAGACAATGAGGGTAAGTGACAAGCCCCCAGAAATGAGGCATTTTTCTCAGTCACTTTGCCAGCCAGGGACCTCTGGCCAGTGACACCCCTGCCTGGACCTCACTCAGCCACACTACCTGCCTGAGGTGGCCCACTTACTTGGCCCACATAGGCCGCACCTGGCTTGTGCATGGGCTTAGCCCATAGTTGCTGTGGCTGCGTGCTCAGCCCCTGGTATGAGGGGATGTGTGGGCAAGTGAGTGTGGGGCCTGGCCGACTGTTCCAAACACCAGCGTGGAAGTGGACTTTGTGCACGCTTGCGGCTGGACCAGGTGCGTCGTGCTCAGGGAAAGGTGATGATGCCCTGGCAGGGGTGCCCATGATCCTCAAGCCCCAGAAGGGTTGTTACAATGTGCTAATTAGCACTTTTAGTTCTGCTGTCTGCACCCCAATGGACGGTGAGGTGTTAACAGCTCTGTCAGCCCCTTGCTTTGCTCCAGCCTGCCCGCAGGTCTGGGACTAGCTCAACCCCACCGCTGCTTCCCATCATGTGAGGCAGAGGGTCACAGCGTTTACAGCCTTCTGAGTATCTGTGTTCAGTGGATCCCAAGTTTTTGTCCTGTGTCCAAAAAGAATGAGGTTGTGCTGACAATTGAAGGGTGAAAAAGGCAGAGAATTTTATTGATCAACTAAACAGCTCTCAGCAGAGAGGGGATAGGAAGGTGGTCTCTCACCCAAAGTTGGATTGTCTCCCCAAGTGTGACTAAGTTGGGTTTTTATAGGCACATGATGGGGGAGGGGCAGGCCACAGATACTATTGGAAAAGGCAACATTTGATTGGGTAAAAAGCACTATTCAGAAAGAACCAATCAAGAAACGGCAGGCAAATAGCAATAGATGTTCTCACTCCAGGTCACATCTTTCATTTGGAACCAGCAGTCTGGTCTTTCAGGCTTCAGGCTGTTTTGGCTTGAAGGTGGGGTTTCACCTGGGACACACCTCTATCTGCCTAGGCATTTGTCTGCCTCCTGGCACTATCACAATAGTTACAAAAAATAAAATACCTAGGAATAAACTTAACCAAAGAAATGAAGGATCTTTACAGTGAAAACTATAGAACACTGATGAAAAAAATTGAAGATACAAGCAAATGGAAAGTCATCTCATGTTCATGAATTGGAAGAATTAATATTGTTAAAATGTCCATATGACCCAAAGATATCTACAGATTTAATGCAATTCCTATCAAAATACCAATGACATTCTTCACAGAAATGGAAAAACAATCCTAAAATTTTTATGAAACCACAAAAGATCCCAAATAGTCTGAACAACCCTGAGCAAAAAGAACAAAGCTAGAGGCATCATATTATCTGACTTCAATATTTACTACTAAGTTATAGTAACTGAAACAGCATGAATTCTGGTAGAAAAACAGACAGACCAGTGAATCATAATAGAGAACTGAAAAAGAAAACCATTGTGATGGTTAATACTGAGTGTCAACTCGACTGGATTGAAGGATGCAAAGTATTATTCCCAGGTGTGTCTGTGAGGGTGTTGCCAAAGGAGATTAACATTTGAGTCAGTGGACAGAGGTAGGCAGACCCATCCTCAATCTGGGTGGGCATCATCCAATCAGCTGCCAGCAGGGCTAGAAAAAGCACGGAAGAAAAGGTGGAATAAGCAGACTTGCACTTGCTCTGTCTTCTGACCTTCATCATTCTCCCATACTGGGTGCTTCCTGTCCTTGAACATCAGACTCCAAGTTCTTTGGCCTTTGGACTCTTGGACTTACTGTGGTTTGCCAGGGGCTCTTGGGCCTTTGTCCACAGACTGAAGGCTGCACTGTTGGCTTCCCTACTTTTGAAGTTGTGGTACTTGGACTGGGTTCCTTGCTCCTCAGCCTGCAGATGGCCTATTGTAGGACTTCACCTTGTGATCATGCGAGTCAGTACTCTTTAATAAACTCCCCTTCTTATATACATCTATCCTATTAGTTTTATCCCTCTAGAGAACAGTGACTAATACAGATTTTGGTACCAAGAGTGGTTCTAGAGGAACAAAATTTTAAGAAAGAATTTCTTTAGTTGGTTTTGGGGTTTCTGGAGTTGACCACTTAATCTGATTAGACCCCAAAATGCTAAGGACTCTACTCCTAATAGTATGGAGGACACTGATAGTCTTTGGCATGAACTATTTAGAGAGTTATGCAAAACAAATGCATTTCATACTCCTGATTCACTGCCCTTGAGTGGCAAGGAGTTTAGTGACTCTATACATAACAACTTCAACCATATGTGGAGAACCAAGGAATATAATGAAGTTGGTTGGTGGCTCCTGAGTTCACTGGACAAAGTGATGAAGGAAAAGAATGAGCTCAGAGATTCTAACTCCTGGCTGCAGAAGCAAATACTGAGCCTCAAATCTTCTAAGATTGCCCTGAGTGAGTGTCTTATCTCCTGTAGACAAAAGCCTAAAATTGCTGACAATCAGACACAAGCTCTTATCATGCGAGTGGCTGACCTGCAATGAAAGGTGCACACCCAGCCTCACCAGGTGTCTACTGTTGAGGTGAGGGCATTGATTGGAAAAGAATGCGATCCTGCAACTTGGAATGGGGATGTGTGGAAGGACCCTGATGAGGCTGGGGGCACTGAGCTTGTAAACTCTGATGAGCCTTTTTTGCCAAAGGAAGCAATCTCCCCAACCCCAGTGGTGGCAACATCCCCTTCTCCACCCAAGCTGCTTTCAGCCTTTCCACCTTTGTGTGAGGAGATCAATCATGCACTGCCTGAGGTAACAGTGATGGCTCCCCCTGACGCAGTTGCCAGGCCAAAAAAAAATGCTGATTCTCCTTAGGACACATCCTGAACACCCCTGTTTGCTTCTAGTCCTATAACTAGATTCAAGTCCCAGCAGGCCCCTAGAGGTGAAGATCATACTGTGACCCATGAGGATCTGTGCTATACTCCAAAAGAACGGCTTGAGTTTTCTAATTTATATAAGCAGAAATCTGGGCAAAATGTATGGTATGAGAATGGATAATAGTGGAAGGAACATAAAGTTGGATCAGGCTGAATTTATTGATTTGGGCACACTAATTGGGGATTCTGTATTTAATGTTGCAGCTCAGGGAGTTTAAAAGCTTCTAATAATTTATTTGCTTGGTTAGCTGAAACGTGGATCAAAAGATGGCCCACTGTGAGTGAATTGTAAATGCCTGATCTCCCTTGGTTTAATGTAGAGCAAAGGATCCAAAGGCTTAGGGAGATTGGAATGCCAGAGTGGATTAGTCACTTTAGACCTATTCATCCAACTGGGAGGGTCAAGAGACATATCCTTCACTAACACCTTGTGAAATAGATTTGTAAGGACATCACCTTCATCCTTGTAGACCTCTGGATTGCTCTTCTCTGTATGCCAGATATTACAGTGGGAACCACAGTCACTCAACTGGAAAACTTAAACCCAATGGGAATCATTGGATCCTGAAGTGGCAGGGGCCAAGTGGCAGCACTCAACCATCAAAGGCAAGATGGGCATAATTATCATGATGAACGGCAAAGGCAAAGCAGCAATCAGAAAAGTCTGACTCATGTAGAGCTCTGACACTGGCTAACTAATCATGGTGTTCCTAGAGGTAAAATTGATAGAAAGCCTACTGCATTCTTACTTTATTTGTATAAGCAGAAAACTTCCAGGTGAAGTGGACAAAAGACTAATTTGAATTACAAAAATAGAGAATCATGGGCCCTCAATCCATTCCCAGACTTGAACCTGTTTACATGCCCAGAACCCCTTGAATGAAGGGAAGACTGTGTTCCCTTGAGAAAGGACCTCACTACACTACTGACAATTTATACTGTTGATCTTTCTCCCATCCTTCCCCAAGGAGACCCGTGGCCATTTACCAGGGAAACTGTGCATTGGGAAAGGGGGAATGACCATACCTTTGGGGACTACTGGACACTGGCTCTGAGCTGACATTCATTCTAGGGCACCAAAAATGCCACTGTGGTCCTCCAGTTAGATTAGGGGCTTATGGCAGTCAGGTAATTAATGAAGATTTAGCTCAGATCCAACTTACAGGGGGTCTGATGGGTTCCTGGACTCATCCTGTGGTCATTTCCCCAGTGCCAGAATGCATAATTGAAATAGCTGCCAGTTAGCAGCTGGCAGAATCCCCACATTGGCTCCCTTACCAGTAGGGTTAGGACTATTATGGTGGGAAAGGCCAAATGGAAGCCATAAGAGCAGCCTCTAACTAGAAAATCATAAATCAAAACCAATATTGCATCCCTGCAGGGATTGCAGAGATTAGTGCCATCACCAAAAACTTGAAAGATGTAGGGGTGGTGATTCCCACCACATCCCCATTCAACTCTCTTATTTGGTCTGTGCAGAAGACAGATCAATCTTGGAGAATGACAATGGACTGTTGTAAACTTCACCAAGTGGTGACTCCAGTTGCAGCTGCTGTACCAGATGTGGTTTCATTGCTTGAACAAATTAACATATCTCTGGTACCTGGTATGCAGCATTGATTTGGCAAATAGCTTTTCTCCATTCCTGTCCATAAGGCCCACCAGAAGCAATTTGCCATCAGTTGGCAAGGCCAGCAATATACCTTCACTGTCCTACCTCAGGGGTATATCAACTCTCTGGCTTTGTGTCATAATCTTGTTTGCAAAGATATTGATCACTTTTCCCTTTCACAAGATGTCACACTGAACTGCCTATCATGAACTCAGTGCTTTCTAACCCATCTACCAATAAAGAGCAGGCACAGCAGCATTTCATCATTAAACGGAAGTGGTAGATACATGATTAGGCTTGAGCAGGCCCTGAAGGCACAAGTAAGTTATATGAAAAAGTGGCTCAAATGCCCATGGTCTCCACTCCTGTCACCCTGCCTTCTCTCCCCTAGCCTGCAACAGTGGCCTCCTGGGGAGATCCCTATGATCAGCTGACAGAGGAAGAGAAGACTAGGGCCCGGTTTACAGATGGTTCTGCATGATATGCAGGCACCACCCAAAAGTGGACAGCTGCAGCACTACAACCCCCTTCTAGGACATCCCCTAAGGACAGTCTCAAAGGAAAATCTTCCCAGTGGGCAGAACTTCAAGCAGTGTACCTGGTTGTGCACTTTGTTTGTAAGGAGAAATGGCCAGATCTGCAATTATATACTGATTTGTGGGCTGAACCGAATGGTTTGGCTGAATGTTCAGAATCTTGGAAGAAGCATGATTGGAAAATTTGTGACAAAATATTGGGGGAAGAGGTATGTAAATGGACCTCTCTGAGTGGTCAAAAACTGAAGGTATTTGTATTTCATGTAAATATTCACCAAAGGGTGACCTCAGCAGGGAAGGATTCCAGTAATCAAGTAGATAGGATGTCTCATTCACCGCTGAACCTCTTTCTCCAGCCACCCTTGTCATCACACATTGGGCCCATGAACAAAGTGGTCATGGTGGCAGGCATGAAGGTTATGCATGGGCTCAGCCACGTGGACTTCCACTCACCAAGGATGACCTGGCTACAGTGACCGTGAATGTGCAATTTGCTACAGCAGAGACCATCATTGAGCCCTTGATATGGCACCATTCCTTGGGGTGATCACCCTGCTACTTGGTGGCAGGTTGATTATATATGGTACTGTTTCTCCCATAGCCAGGATTCATGGGTCAAGGAATCAAGGGGTGGAAGTGGAAGTGGCACCTCTCACCATCACCCCTAGTGACCCACTAGGAAAATTTTTGCTTCATGTTCCCACAACATACATTCTGCTGGCCTAGAGGTCTTAGTTCCAGAGGGAGAAATGCTGCCACCAGGAGACACAACAATGATTCCATTAAACTGGGAGTTTAGATTCTCACCTGGCCACTTTGGACTCCTCCTACCTCTAAGGCAACAGGCGAAGAAGGAAGTTACAGTGTTTGCTGGGGTGATTGACCTGGACTATCCACATGATTTTAGTCTACTACTCCACAATGGAGGTAAGGAAGAGTATATATGGAATACAGGAGATCCCACAGGGCAGCTCTTAGTATTACCATGCCCTGTGATTAAGGTCAATGGGAAACTACAACGACCCAGTCCAGGCAGGACTACAAGTGGCCCAGACCCTTCAGGAATGAAGGCTTAAGTCACGCCACCAGGTAAAATACCACAACCCACTGAGGTGCTTGCAGAAGGTAAAGGGAATATGAAATGGGTAGTAGAAGAAGGTAGTCAGCAATACCAGCTATGAGCACATGACCAGCTGCAGAAAGGAGGACTGTAGTTGTCATAAATATTTCTTCCTTATTTTGTTAAGAATATTTCTGTGCATGTATACACTAGTACTAAGAAAATATCTTCATTTATTTCCTTTCTTTTTCCTTTATTATATAAGATTTATTGATTTCATATCAGCATTTAAGTGTTGTTAACTTTATGTAATAGCATTTAGGTTAAAGGTTAATGTGCTTCCAGTTGTATGAAGAATAGCTGTATTATGTTCAGTGTAATTATGATCTTATCATTGTCTTTATTTGAAGATTATGCATGATTTCAGGACATGTGCCTGTGTTCATGTTGACAAGGGGTGGGCTTGTGATGGTTTATATTGAGCGTCAACTTGGCTGGATTGAAGAATGCAAGGTATTGTTCCTGGGTGTGTCTGGTAGGGTGTTGCCAAAGGAGATTAACATTTGAGTCAGTGGACTGGGAGAGGCAGACTCACCCTCTATCTGCGTTGGTACCGTCTAATTAGCTCTGGGTGTGGCTAGAATAAAGCAGGCAGAAGGAGGTGAAAAGAGCACACTTGCTGAGTCTTTCAGTCTCCATCTTTCTTCCATGCTGGATGCTTTCTGCCCTCAGACGTCAGACTACAAGTTCTTCAGCTTTTGGACTCTTGGACTTAGACCAGTGGTTTGCCAGGGGTTCTCAGGCCTTTGGCCACAGACTGAAGGCCGCACTGTTGGCTTCCCTACTTTTGAGGTTTTGGGACTTCGACTGGCTTCCTTGCTCCTCAGCTTGAGGACAGTCTATTGTGGGACTTCACTTTGTGATCGTGTGAGTCAATATTCTTAATAAACTCCGCTTCATATATACATGCATCCTATTAGTTCTGTCCCTCTAGAGAACTCTGACTAATACAACCATGCATTTGCAGCCAACTCATTTTTGATGAAGGTGCCAAGAATGTACACTGTGGAAAGGATACCTTCTTCAATGAATGGTGCTGGGAAAACTGGATATCCATATGCAGAAGAATGAAACTAGACTGTTGTCTCTCACCATATATAAAAAAAAACAGAGCAAATGGATTAAAAACTTAAATGTAATATCGAAACTATAAAATTACTGGAAGAAAACATTGGGAAAATACTCCAGGACATTGGACTAGGCAAAGATTTCTTGAGTAAGGCCTCAAAAGCACAGGTAACTAAAGCAAAAATTGATGAATGGGATCACATTCAGCTAAAAAGCTTTTGCAGAGCAAAAGGAAAGAATCAACAAAGTGAAGAGAAAACCTAGAGAATGGGTGAAAATATTAGCACACTATTTATCTGACAAGGGATTGAGAACCAGAATGTTTAAGGAACACAAACAACTGAATACCATAAAACAATCTGATTTTAAAATGGTCAGAAGATCTGAATAGACATCTCTCAAAAGAAGACATACAAAGGGTCAACTGGTATATGAAAAAAATACTCAATATCACTAATCATTAGGAAAATGCAAATCAAATGCACAATGAGATATCACCTCATCTTAGAATGGCTGTTACCAAAAAGAAAAAAAATAAGTGATTCTGGCAAGTTTGCAGAGAAAAGGGAACACTCATATACTGTTGGTGGGAATGTAATTAGCAGAGCCACCATGGAAAGTAGTATGGAGGTTTCTCAAAGACCTAAAAATAGAGCTACCATGTGATTCAGCAATTCCACTACTGGGTATCTATCCAAAAGAAAGGAAATCAGTATATTGAATAGACTTCATTCCCATGTTCATTGGAACACTATTCACAATAGTCAAAATATACAATTAACCTAAGTGTACATCAACAAATAGATGGATAAAAAATGTGGTATATATACATAATGGAACATTATCCAGACTTAAAAGAGAATATAATCCTGTCATTTGCAACAGCATAGGTGGACGTGGAAGACATTATGTCTTCCACATTAAGCCAGTCACAAAAAGAGAAATATTTCATGTTCTCACTCACATGTTGAGGCTGAAAAATGTGTTCTCATGGCGGTAGTAGAATGGTGGTTACTAGAGGCTGGGAAGGGTAGTGGGATAGGATGAAGAGAGGTTTGTAGATAGAAAGAATAGCATCTAATGTTCAAAAGCACAATATGGTAACTATAGTTAACAATAATTTATTGTTTATTTCAAAATAGCTAGAGGAGATTTAGAATAATCCTGACACAAAGAAATAATAAATTTTTAAAGTGATGGATATTCCAATTACCCAGATTTGATTTCACATTGAATGCATGTATCAAAATATTACATGTACCTCATAAATATTCACAACTATTATCTATCCTTAAAAATTAAAAATAAATTTTAAAATTTTGAAAAAAATGAAGTTCTCAATAATCATGTTGCAAACAAACTTTTAGAAAAGACATAATTATAAATGGTGGGCTGCATATATTTTTCAAGAAACATTTTGCTTTGGTAAATTTACTTGTATGCTATTTTGCTTACAATAAAAACTGAACCTTGAACAACAATGAAATATCTAAATATAAACCATGAGGATCTTTTTTATCCCTGCAAGAGACTTGTATTCAATAGTCAAAGAAAACAATGACATTTATTTGTTGTGATAATTGTTTTAGCAGCTTCAAGCTTGATGTAGCACTTAAAAAAATTTCCTTTATGTGTAACTCAATATGGTTCTTTTACTTGAGGCTCACACAAAACTATAAAAAAATGTATAATGTATAGAGAATGTGTTTATAATTTCTTCCTTTAGAACAATTATTTCATCAATTATTGAAAGTTTATAATCAATGTTGATTATTTGATAATGGACTAAGAAAATTAGGAACTTGGTAAATACACACTGCAATTTTTGTATTGGGGGTATTGAGGAAGATTAGTATTGATTAGGAGGAAGTTAAAGTACTTAAACAGGGCTTTGAGGCTTATCTGTAATTTCAGTAAGCCTTTGATGTTTGAGATGGAGATACTGTAGGAATACAGTGCGGGACAGGATTAGGGATATTGTGAGCTGGTCTATTAGCGGATGGCAAGTTAATATTGGAGCTAGGGTAGCCAGACTTATTAGCAAGACCAGAAAGAATGAAATGACCAATATCCTCATGAACCATGTGGGGATATGGCTAAGCATGGTGTTCTAGAGGACCAAGAGGATTAAGGCTAATGTTAAAGGGCAGGTGGTTCAGAGGGAAAGGAATTAGCCTTGAAGACGTTTGTGGAAACAAAACAGGGACATGGGAGTTTCAGGGAACCTATATCCAACATAAGGTCATGTCACACATGAGTGTGCAATCAGGAAAACAAGGCAGTGTTGCAATAGCAACACAGTAGCAGCAGCAAGAGTAGCAATCAAAAGAGCTGGAAGGGTGGGAAAAAAAAGAAAAAGAAAAACAACAACAACAAAAATTATTAATAGGGACCAGTATTGAAAAATTAGCCTCTTGAAGGTAAAAGTGTAAGTAAATATTGCAAGCACAGTGTATTTAGCAAATAATATTTGTAATCGAATCTGAAATTCAGAGGGATTCTAACAATCTGTAGCAGCTAACTTGCAAGGACTGCTGTTGTATTAAATAAAAGAACAAAAAAAAATGTGTGGGGAAGAGACGTTCTAGCTTCCAGTTATGACTACCTAGAAGACCTAGTTATTATGATAATGAGTTGATATTAAACTGTATTTGGGGTATCCTTTTAATAAATTGAGTTCATTTGTGAAAAATTATGTGATATTGCACCCATAAATGTTTTTTCCTTTAAAAAGTATTAGTTGGTAATAAAGACTACATTTTTATTGATCCATAATAATTGTACATATTTATGGGGTACATGTGATATTTTGATGCATGCATACAATGTGTCATGATCAAATCAGGGTATTTAGGATATCCATCACCTAAAACATTTGTTGGGAACATTTCAACTGTTCTAGAGATTTTGAAATATACAATAAACTGTTGTTAACTATAGTTACATTATTATGCTATCAAACACTAGAACTTATTCCTTCTGTCTAAATGTATGCTTGTACTCATTTACCAACCTCTCTTTATCCTCCCCCTCTCCACTCTTCCCAGCCTCTGGTAATCATCATTCTACTCTCTGTATCCTTGAGATAAACTTTAGCTCCTACATATGAGTGAGGACATGCAATCTTTGTCTTTCCATGCCTGGCTTATTTTGCTTAACATATTAATCTCTAGTTCCATCCCTGTTGCTGCAAATAAGAGGACATTTATTCTTTTTATGACTAAACACTATTCCATTGTGCCTATATAGCACATTTTCTTTATTCACTCATTTGTTGATGGACACGCAGGTTGATTCCATATCTTGGCTATTATGAATAATGTTACAGTAAACATAGGAGTGAAAATCTTCCTTTGATATACTGATTTGTTTTATTTTGGATAAATACGCAGTAGTGGATTGTTGGATCAAATGGTAGTTCTATTTTTAGTTTTTTTGACAAATCCCCATACTGTTTTTCATAATATCTGTACTAATTTATATTTGCAGCAACAGTATTTGTGTTCCCTTTCTGTGCAACCTTGCCAACATTTCCTATTTTTTCTCTTTTTTGAGACAGAGTCTTGCTCTGTCACCCAGGCTGGGGTGCAGTGATGTAATCTTGGCTGCCAGCAACCTCTGCCTCCCAGATTCAAGTGATTCTACTGACTCAGCCTCCCAAGTAGCTGGGAACACAGGCATGTGCCACTGTGCCCGGCTAATTTTAAAAATTTTTAGTAGAGACAGGGTTTCGCCATGTTGGCCAGGCTGGTCTCGAATTCCTGACCTCAGGTGATCTGCCCACCTCAGCCTCCCAAGGTGCTGGGATTACAGGTGTGAGCCACCGTGCCTGGCCTATTTTTTCTCTTTTTGATAATAGCCATTCTGAGATGAGATAATGTCTCATTGTGGGCTTTATTTGTATTTACCTAATGATTAGTGATATTGAGCATTTCTTCATAAACTTATCAGCCTGTTGTATGTCTTTTTTGAGAAATGGCTGATCATATCCTTGCCTGCTTTTTAATGGGATTTTTTGTTATTGAGTTTAATTATTTGTATATTATTGATATTAATCCCTTGTTGGATGAAAGTTTACAAATACTTTCCCCCATTTCTTCATCTTGTTGATTGTTTACTTTGCTGTGCAAAAGCTTTCTGGCTTGATGTAATCCCATTTATCAGTTTTCATTTTAGTTACCTATGCTTTCAAGGTCTTACTCAAGAAATCTTTGCCCAAACCAATGTCCTAAAAAAATTCCCCAATGTTTTATTCTAGTAAATTTATACCTTCAAGTCTTACATTTAAATATTTAATCCATTTTGGTTCAGTTTTTGTATATGGTGATGGGCAGGGGTCCAGTTTCATTCTTCAGCATATGAATATCCATTTTTTCTAGCACCACTTATTAAAGAAGGTGTCCTTTCCTCAACGTATGTTCACGGGATCTTTGTCAAAATCCAGTTGGCTGTAAATATGAAGACTTATTTCTGGGTTCTCTATTCTGTTCACTTGGTCTATATGTCTGTTTTATACCAATACCACGTTGTTTTGGCTATCGTAGTTTAGCAGTATATTTCAAAGTCATGTAGTGTGATGCTTCCAGCTTTTTATTTTCCTCTGCATTGCTTTGGCTATTTGGGATTTTTTTATGGTGCCATATGAAATTGTGGATTGTTTCTTCTTTATTTTAACTTCTATTTTAAGTTCAGGGGTATATGTGAAGGTTTGTTATATAGGTAAACTCATGTCATGAGGGTTTGTTGTATATGTTATTCACCCAGGAATTAAGCCCAGTACCTGATAGTTATTTTTTCTGCTTTTCTTCTTCCTCCCATCCTCCACCCTAAAGTTGACCCCAGTGTCTGTCGTTTCCTTCTTTGTGTTCATAAGTTCTCATAATTTAGCTCCCACTTATAAGGGAGAACCTGTAGTATTTGGTTTTCTGTTCCTGCATTAGTTTTCTGAGGATAATAGCCTCCAGCTGCATCCATGTTCATGCAAAAGACATGATCCCATTTTTTTATGGCTGCATAGTATTCCATGGTAGGCATTTGGGCTGGTTCTATATTTTTGCAATTGTAAATTGTGCTGCTATAAACATGTGTGTGCAGGTACCTTTTTCGTATAATGACTTCTTTTCCTGTGGTTAGATACCCAGGAGTGGGATTGCTGGATCAAATGATAGTACTACTTTTAGTTCTTTAAGGAATTTCCACTGTTTTCCTCAGTGATTGTACTAGTTTACATTCCCACCAACAGTGTAAAAGTGTTCCCTTTTCACCACATCCATGTCAACATCTATTATTTTTTATTTTTTATTATGGCCATTCTTGCAGGTGTGAGGTGGTATCACATTGTGGTTTTGCTTTGTATTTCCCTGATCATTAGTGAAGTTGAGCATTTTTTCATATGTTTGTTGGCAATTTGTATATCTTCTTTTGAGAACTGTCTATTCATGTCCTTGGCTCACTTTTTGATGGGGTTATTTTTTTTTCTTGCTGATTTGTTTGAGTTTCTTGCAGATTTTGGATAAAAGTTCTTTGTCAGATGTATAGATTTAGAAGATTTTATCCCACGCTGTGGGTTGTCTGTTAACTCTGCTGATTATTTCTTTTGCGGTGTAGAAGCTTTTTAGTTTAATTAAGTCTTATCTAGTTATCTTTCTTTTTGTTGCATTTACTCTTGGGTTCTTGGTTGTGATGTCTTTGTCTAAGCCAATATCTAGAAAAGTTTTTCCAATGTTATCTTCTAGAATTTTTAGGGGTTTCAGGTCTTAAAGTCTTTGATCCATCTAGAGTTGACTTTTGTAGAGCGTGAGAGATGAGGAACCATTTTTATTCTTCTACATTATTATTCTTTTATTATTATTATTCTACAGCAACATTTGTTGAATAGGGTGTCCTTTCCCCACTTTATATTTTTGTTTGCTTTTTCGAATATCAGTTGACTGTAAGAATTTGGCTTTATTTCTGTGTTCTCTGTTATGTTCCATTGGTCTATATGCCTATTTTTATACCAGTACCATGCTGTTTTGGTAACTATGGCCTTATGGTATAGTTTGAAGTTGGGTAATGTGATGCCTCCAGATTTGTTCTTTTTGCTTAGTCTTGCTTTGGCTATGCAGGCTCTTTTTGGTTCCATATAAATGTTAGTATTGTTTCTTCTAGTTCTGTGAAGAATGATGATTTTGATAAGAATTGCTTTAAATCTATAGGTTGCTTTTTGTCAGTATGGTTATTTTCACAATATTGATTCTACCCTTCCATGAGCATGGGATGTGTTTCCACTTGTTTGTGTCATCTATAATTTCTTTCAGCTGTGTTTTGTAGTTTTTCTTGTAGTGGTCTTTCACCTCCTTGGGTAAGTATATTCCTAAATATTTTATTTTTGCAGCTATTGTAAAAGTGATTGTCTTGATTTGATTCTCAGTGTGGTTGCTGTTAAGGTATAGCAGAGCTACTGATTTGTGTACATTAATTTTATATCTTGAAGATTTGCTGAATTCATTTACCAGTTCTAGGTGCTTTTTGGATGAGTTGTTAGGATTTTCTAGGTATATGATCATGTTATCAGCAAGCAATGACAGTGTGACTTCCTCGTTATCAATTTGATTGCCCTTTATTTCTTTCTCTTATCCTATTGCTCTGGCTATGACTTCGGTAGTATGTTGAATAGAAGTGGTGAAAATGGGCATCCTTCTCTTGTTCTAGTTCTCAGGGGGAATGCTTTCAACTTTTTGTCGTTCAGTATAATGTTGGCTGTGGGTTTGTCAAAGATGGCTTTTATCACCTTAAGCTCTGTCCTTTTATACTGATTTTACTGAGGTTTTTAATCATAAAGTGATGCTGGATTTTGTCAAATGCTTTTTCTGTGTCTGTTGAGATGATGATGTGTTTTTTGTTTTAAAATCTGTTTATGTGGTGTATCACATTTATTGACTTACGTATGTTAAACTATCCCTGCATCCTTTGAATAAAACTCTCTTGATCATGGTGGATTATCTTTTTGATATGCTGTTGGATTTGGTTGGCTAGTATTTTGTCGAGGATTTTTGCATCTGTGTTCATCAGGGATACTGGTCTGTAGTTTTCTTTTTTTGTTATGTCTTTTCCTGGTTTTGGTATTAGGGTGATATTGGCTTCAAAAAATGATTTAGGGAGGATTCCCTCTTTCTCTGTCTTCTGGAATAGTGTCAATAGGAATGATACTAATTCTTTGAATGTCTGATAGGATTCAGCTGTGAATCTGTCTGGTCCTGGAATTTTTTGTTTTTGTTGATAACTTTTTAATTACCATTTCAATCTTGCTGCTTGTTATTAGTCTGCTCAGAGTTTCTATTTTTTCCCAGTTTAATATAGGAGGGTTGTATATTTCTAGAAATTTATTCATCTCCTCTAGGTTCCTAATTTATGTGCATGAATTAGTTCATAGTAGCCTTCAATGATTTTTTTGTATTTTACCACCCCTATGTCTGTCAAGTTTTTGATGGTGGCATTAATCTCTGCAATCCATGTAGGGATGCAATATTGTTTTTGATTTACTATTTTCTAGGTAGAGGCAGCTCTAATGGCTTCCATTTGGCCTTTCTCAACATAATAGTCCTAACCCTACTGGTCAGGGAGCCAATGTGGGCATTCTGCCAGCTGCTAAGTATGTCTATTTCATTTATGCCTTTTGGCACTAGGAAAAATGACCACAGGATGAGTTCAGAGACCCACTAGACCCACTGTAAGTTGGAACTTAGCTAAAACTCCATTAATTACTTAACCTCCATAAGCCCCTACTCTAACTGGAGGACCACAGTGATGTTTTGGGTGTCCTAGAATCAATGTCAGCTCAGAGCCAGTGTCCAGTAGATCCCAAAAGGTATGATCATTCCCCTTTCCCCAGTGCACAGTTACCCCAGTAAAAGGCCATGGGTCTCCTTGGGAAAGGATGGAAGAAAGATTAACAGTATAAATTTTCATTAGTGTAGTGGAGTCCTTCCTCAAGGGGACCTGGCCTCCCCTTCATTCAAGGGGTTCTGGATCTGTATACTGGGTCAAGTCTGGAAATTGATTGAGGGTTGTGATTTTCTGTTTTTATAATTCAAATGTAGTCTTTTGTCTACCAGACCTGAAAGTTTTCTGCTTATCCAAATTAGGTAAGAATGTGGTAGGCTTTCTATCAATTTCACTTCCAGGAACACCATGACTAATTAGCCAATGCCAGATCTCTACACAAGACTGACTATTCTAATTGCTGCTTTGCCTTTGCTGTCCATTATGGTAACTACATTGACCTTGCCTTTGGTGCCACCACTTGAACCCTGCCAGCTCAGAATCCAATTATTCCCATGGCATCAAAGTTTTCCAATTGAGTGACTGTGGTTCCCACTGTAAGATCTGGCATACAGAGGTGAAAAATCACAGAGCACTTCAAGGATGAAGGTGCTCCTCTGAAAAATCTATTTTACAAAGTATTGGTAAAAGGTATGTCTTCTGGACCCTCCCAGCTGGGTTGAGTAGGTCTAAAGTGACTAATCCACTCTAACATTCCAATCTCCCTAAGCCTTTGGGTCCCTTTCTCTATATTAAACCAAGGGAGATCAGGCATTTCCAGCTCACTCATAGTGAGCCATCTTTTGATCCATGTTTCAGCTAACCAAGGAAATAAACTATTAGGAGCTTTTTAAAAGCTCCCTGAGCTGCAACATTAAATGTAAAAACTCTTCTTAGTGTTCAACTTTATGTTCCTTCCATCATTATCCCACACCCTTAATATTCATTCACATGCCTGTTCTTTAGGTTTCTGTTTATATAAATTAGAAAACTCAAGCAGTTCTTTTGGAGTGTAGTGCACCTCCTCATGGGTGATACTTTCAACATCACTTCTAAGGGCCTGCCAGGACTTGAGTCTAGTTATAGATCTAGAAGCAAAAAGGGTGGAGGGGGTGTGTCCTGAGGAGAATCAGCATTGTCTTGTCTGGCAACTTCTCAGTTGGGGCCATCACTGTTGTCTCAGACAGTGCAGGGCTAGTCTCCTCAGATAAAGACGGAAAGGCTGATGGCAGCTGGGGTGAGGAAAGGGAGGTTGCCACCACTGAAGTTGGGGAGACTGTTTCCTCTGGCAAAAAGAGTCTCATCAGACTTTACAAGCTCAGTGCTCCCAGCTTCATCAGGGTCCTCCCACACATCCCGTTCCAAGTTGCAGGGTCCCATTCTTTTCCAATAACTGCCTTCATTTTAGACACTTCACTGTCTACTTTAGCAGTAGACACCTGGTGAGGCTGTGCATGCACTTTTCATTGCAGGTCAGCCATTCACATAAGAGCTTGTGTCTAATTTTCCACAATTTCAGCCCTTTGTCTACATGAGATAAGACTCTCACTTAGGACAATCTTAGAAGATTTGAGGCTTAGTATTTGCTTCTGGAGCTGGGAGTTAGAATTTTTGAGGTTAGTCTTTTCTTTCATCACTTTGTCCAGTGAATTTAGGAACAACCAACCAACTTCATTATATTCCTTGGTTCTCCACATATGTTCAAAAGTATTATGTATGGAGTCAGTAAATTCCTTGCCTCTTGTATTAGTTGGTTCTCATGCTGCTGATAAAGACATACCTGAGACTGGGTAATTTATAAAGAAAAAGACGTTTAATGGACTCAGTTCCACATGGCTGGGGAGACACAATCATGGTGGAAAGCATGTCTTACGTGGCAGCAGACAAGAAAGCATGAGAGCCAGGGGATAGTGGAAACCTTTATAAAACCATCTGATCTCATGAGACTTATTCACTACCACGAGAACAGTATGGGGGAAACTGTCCCCATGATTCAATTATCTATGGCTGGGTTCCTCCCACAACATGTGGGAATTATGGGAACTACAATTCAAGATGAGATTTGGGTGGGAACACAGCCAAACCATATCACCTCTCAGGAGTGGTGAATTAGGAGCATCGAATGCATTTATTTTGCATAGCTCTCTAAACAGTTCATGCCAAGGACTATCAGTGTTCTGCATACAACTTGAAGTACAGTCTTTAGCATTTTTGGGTCTTCTTAGATTAAGAAGCCAACTTCAGAAACCCCAAAACGAACTAAAGAAATCCATTCTTAAAATTTTGTTCCTCAAGGACTACTCCTGTTATCAAAATCTGTATTAGTCAGGATTCTCTAGAGGGACAGAACTAATAGGATAGATGTATATACAAAAGGGAGTTTACTAAGGAGAATTAACTCACAAGATCACAAGGTGGTGTCCCACAGTAGGCTGTCTGCAAGCTGAGGAACAAGGAAGCCAGTACTGGCTCAGTCTGAGTCCCAAAGCCTCAAAAGTAGGGAAGCCAAAAGTGTAGACTTCAGTCTGTCTACAAAGGCCCAGGAGTCCCTGGCAAACCACTGGTGTAAGTCCAAGAGTCCAAAAGCCAAAGAACTTGGAGTCTGATGTTCAAGGGCAGGAAGCATCCAGTATGGGAGAAAGATGAAGGCTGGAAGACACAGCAAGTCTGCTTATTCCACCTTTTCCCCCCTACTTTTTCTAGCTGTGCTGGCAGCCGATTGGATGGTGCCCATCCAGATTGAGGGTGGGTCTGCCTCTCCCAGTCTACTGACTCAAATGTTAATCTCCTCTGGCAACACCCTCACAGACACAACCAGAAACAATACTTTACAATTCTCAATTCAATCAAGTTGACACTTAATATTAACTATCACAGTAGGTATTGTACATGGGAATGCTTTCTTGATTTCTTTCAGCTAGTTTGTTATTGGTATACTAAATTGTTAATCATTTTTGTATGTTGATTTTGTATCTTGAGTTTTAATAGATTTGTTTGTAATTTGTAAGAATTTCTTGGTGAAATCTGTAGGTTTTTTGTATATAAAATAATGCCTTCTGCAAAAGAGATAATTTGACTTTCTCTTTTCCAATTTGCATGACTTTTATATCTTTCTCTTACCTAATTATTTTAAGACTTTCAGTGCTATCTTAAGTAAAACGTGATAGTTGGCATCCTTGTCTTGTTCCACTTCTTAGAGGAAAGGCTTTTAGCTTTTCTACATTCAATATGATGTTAGCTGTGGGTTTGTAATATTTGGTCATTATTATGTTGAGGTGTGTTTCTTCTATTCCTAATCTGTTAAGAGTTTTTATGATAAAAGGATGTTGAATTTTACCGGTTGCTTTTTCTGTGTCAAATTAGATCATCATATGTTTCTGTCCTTTGCTTTGCTGATGTGCATTATCACATTTGTTAGTCTGCATGTGTTGAATCATTTTTGCATTCCTGGATTAAATCCCACTTTATCATGCTATATTATCTTTTTGATGTGTTGTTGGGTTTGCTTTAATGGCATTTTGTTGAGGATTTTTGCATCTATGTTTATCAGGGATAGTAGCCTATTTTTTGTTGCTGTGTTCTTGTCTAGTATTGTTATCAGGTAATACTGGCTTGGTAGAATGACTTAGACATTTTACCTCATCAATATTATTGGACTACTTTGAGAAGAATTTAGGTTAGTCCTTATTTAGTAGAATTAGGCTGTAAAGTCATCCAGTGCTGAGCTTTTCTTTGTTGGGAAACTTTTTATTACTAATTCGATCTCATTACTCATTATTGGTCTGTTGAGATTTTCTATGTCTTCTTGGTTTAATCTTGCTAGCTTGTATGTGTCCGGTGGTTTATCCATTTTCTCCAGGTTTTCCAATTTCTTAGTGTACAGTTGCTTATAATAGTCTCTAATAATTCTTAGAATTTCTGTGGTAGAATGTCTTCTTTTTTGTTTATTATTATATTTATTTAGACCTTTGCTTTTCTCTTTTTGGTTATTCTAGCTAGCAGTTTATCAATTTTGTTTATCTTTTCAAAAACGAACTTTTTTTGTTCTGTTGGTCCTTTGTATTTTTTAATCTCTATTTTATTTAGTTCTGTTCTGATCTGTAATATTTCTTTTCTTTTACTAATTTCGGATTTGGTTTGTTTTTGCTTTTCTAGTTCCTTGGTGTGCATTATAGTTTGTTTATTTGAAATCTTTCTACTTCCTTGATATAGCATTTATTGTAATAAACTTCTCTCTTAGCACTGCTTTTGATGTATCCATAGGTTTTGGTATGTTGTGTTTGAATTTTTATTAGTTTCAAGGAATTTTAAGTTTCCTTCTTAATTTCTTTATTGACTCACTGGTCATTAAGAAGCATGTTGTTTAATTCTCATGTATTTTTACAATTTCCAAAATTCTTCTTGGTATTGATTTATAATTTTGTTCCATTGTTGTCTAAGAAGGTACTTGATATAATTTAAGTCTTTAAAAATTTGTTAAGAACTTTTTTGTGGCCTAGTGTATGTTCTGTCCTGGGGAGTGTTCCATGTGCTGATGAGAAGAAAGTGAATTCTGCAGCTGTTTGATGAAATGTTCTATAAATGTCTGTTAGACCCATTTGGTCTAAAGGACAGCATAAATCCAACATTTCTTTTTTATTTCTGAATAGATGGTCTGCCCAATTCTTAGAGTGAGGTGTTAAAGTCTTCAACTGTTACTTGGAGTGTATCTCTCCCTTTAAGTCTAATATTTGCTTTGTATTTCTGAGTTCTTTAGTGTTGAGCATACATATATATTTAGAAACATTATATCCTCTTGGATTGATTCCTTTATTATAATATAATGACTTTTTTGCCTCATTTTACAGTTTTCGACTTAAAGTTTGTTTTATTGATATAAGTGTAGCTACTCCATATGTTAGGCTTAGTTCTGGTTTCCATTTGTGTGGTATATCTTATTCCATCCCTTCACTTTTTATCTTTATGTGTAAAGTGAGTTTCTAGTAGGCAGCGTATAGTTGGGTTTTGTTCTTTCATTTGTTCAGCCAGTGAATATCTTTTAAGTGGGGAATTTGATCCATTTGCATTTAAGGTTATTATTGATAAGTGAAAACTTATTCCACTCATTTTGTTAATTGTTTTCAGGTTGTTTTGTACATTTTTTCTTTCTTTCTTCTTCTCTTATCATTGTGGTTTGGTAGTTTTCTATAGTGATAGTGTTTGGCTTTTTGTCTTTCTGATTTGTGTATCTGCTCTACCAGTGAGTTTTATATTTTGGTGTGTTTTTATGATGGTAGTTATTGTCCATTTATTTCCAAATGTAGGAAATAAGTATCCTTAAGTGTCCTTAATTATTTCTTATAGGGCTGATCTAATGGTTATGAATTCCCTCAGTTTTTCTTTGTCTGGAAAAGACTTCACCTTCATTTTTGAAGAAAGACTTTTCTGAGTTGCATATTCTTGGCTTGCAGTTTTTTTCTTTCAGCACTTTGAGTACATAATTCAATTCTTTCCTGTCTTGTGAGGTTTCTGCTGAAAAATCTTGTTAGTCTGATGAGAATTTTCTTATATGTGACTTGACACTTTTCTCTTGTTGTTTTTAGAATTCTTTTTTTTTTCTTTTGACATTTTGAATATAATTTGCCTTGGAGGAAACCTTTTTAGGTTCAATGTATTTAGGGATCTTTGAGCTTTGTGTATCTGGATGTCTATATCTCTCACAAGACTTGGGAAATTTTCAGCTACTATTATTTTTAAATAGGGTTTTTTTTTTTTTTGTCTTTACTTATTTCTTGTCCTTCTGAAACATTCAGAATTTTAAAAATTTGGTCATTTTATTGTGTCCAATATGTAACATAGGCTTTCTTCATTTTTGCTCTTTTTTCCTATATCTTCTTCAGACTGGTTTATTTAAAAAATAATAATACTAATAACTATCTCCGAGCTCAGAAATTCTTTCTTCTGGCTTGATCTAGTCTACTGTCAAACCTCTCAATTGTATTTCTTATTTCACTCATTGAATTCTTCAGTTTTAGAATTTTTGTTTTTTAAAATGTTATTTATGTCTTCATTAAATTTCTCATTTGAACAGTAAATTGTTTTCCTGATTTCTTTATATTGTTTTACTGTGTTCTGTTGTATCTCACTGAGTTAAAAAAATATTATTTTAAATTTGTTTTTAGACATTACACAAATTTTCTTTTATTTGGGAGAATTATTGTATTCCTTTGAAGGTGTCACGTTTTCTTGAATTTTCATAATTCTTGCCTCCCTACACTGATATCTATTCATCTTCTAATTTTATGAACTGACTTCCATAGGGACTTTTTTTCAGATGTATCTCTAGTGTTGGTTGGGTGGGAGTGCTTTAGCTTTGATTCTGGGTTGGCAGTGTAGTATAGTCTCATTATGATTTCTTCAGCAGTCATTAATGTCAGTCATCTCTGTAACTGCAGTTTTTATTGGAGGCTGTGGTGAGGCTTTGCTGAAGATAGAGACACCAATGCTGGAGGCTTTCCTCGGCTGGTCCTCAGGCACCAGTGGTGGCAGCTGTGGGCAGGATAGGCCTGTCCTCAGGTTCCCAGATAGCATGTGTAGGTGTTGGTGGTGATGGGCAGGTTGGATCAATCCCCAGGTCTCCCAAACTAATTTAACTTACAGTTTTCGAAGTCAACTTTAAATAACTCCGTATGTGTTGAAATTAGAACTCTATAAAACAGATACAGTTAAGCACTAATTATTTGATTTTCTCTCTTATTTATTCAGCAATTATCCGCTAAGTGCCTTTTAAGTTGTCAGACATAAGGTTTATCTCTGCCCTGGACTTCTCAGAAAGGTTTACTCAGACTTATAAACAGATAACTGACAGTACCCTCTATGAGCTATGAAGGAATGGAAGAAGCAATTAATCATCCTTGGGGAAGACACTTCACATATGAGCTGGAATTTGCAAGGTAAGATGGTGGATCAAGGACCTTCTAGGGCACAGGAGGATTAGTTTACAGGAGATAGAAAGATACAAGATCATCTGATGTGTCTGAGGAAAAGGTGAGAAAAATGGTCTTCTGGGAGTGTAGTGCTCATGAAAATGTGATTCATTTGTATTGGATGATGAAGCCCTGAGCTGTTATGCTAATAATTTTAGGTCTAATTCCTTACTATCTGTCAAACAGAAATTTTGAAAGACAGAAGTGACTTGATCTATATTGTTCTCTGAAACGTAACTCTAGCTGCGCTTGACTTTGGATTGATGAGAGGAAATACTAGGTCTAGGTAGGAGAAAACAGACAGTAATTCCAGTTTTTGAAGTAAGAATAAGTGCTTGAATGTAAAGGCAATAAGATTGAAAAGACAAGCTACATTCAAAGGTATTAAATAAAACTGATGGGATTTTTTTTGTCTGGTTGGACATGAGAGGTGAGGGAGAAGAAGTAATTGAGAATGGTTTGAAATGAGAATGGTTTGAAAATACTAACTGTGAGAAACTAATTCATTGGTGATATAAATGAAAATTAAGAATAGAAGAGGCTTCCCAAGGAGGAGAGAGAAAGCATTCTGGATTGGCCATGCTAGGCCACTAATCAGGTATAAAAACATTTTTGTTCAACTAGTATCAAAATAGGGATCAATACTGGCAGGGTATTACTTAGTAACCCAGACTTAAACATAAAATAGAAATCACACATAAGAGATATGTTAAACTACTTATGCTTTGGCACCAGTGGCAAGCAATTTTCTTATGCAGTGGTATGAGCAATGGCAACATCACTTGTTTCTATATTTTTTCTTTAATGTTTTCCCATGCATGGCAAGTTTTCCATATGCTATGCTGGGTAGACTCTTGTTACCATATGGCAGCATATAATATGAGAAAAAAATCATGAAGAAGCTTCTAATTGTCTAAAGGAATTGCTCCTGAAAAACCATTATTCCATGCTAGACTGCAGAACTGTTTATATTAGGCAGAATGTTTGGATTAAGAAGTTGGCCGGTGCAAGAGGTATCAAGGTATGGATGCTGAGGACCTGGTAAATGTCCTATTTTTCATAAAAAGCAAACAGAGAAAGTCTACACTAAATAAAAACAATATTGATCACCTTGATGGACTTTAAGGGAACAATTTTACTTTTACTGTAGAAGAAACGTAGTTAAAGAGGTAAAGTGGCTGCTTTTGCTAACTTATCTCCTGATGAATTGTGTACCTGTCCACTTTCGATTCGACTCAGCAAACATTTTTATGAATATGTGGGTATTTGGAAGTATTAAAAGAGAAATGATCTTAGGGCAGTGTGTGAGTTGTGCTGTGGTCGTGATGTCAGACAAATCGTTTTTACTGAAGCCCTCGTTTAGTGGATACGTGTTCTCATACAGATCACTTCACACCTCCTCAAGCTTCAGTATCTTCAGCTCTAAAGTAGAAATAATAATGTCTCCTCTGCAGAGCTATTGAGAACACTAGAAATCATGTACACAAATGCCTTATGATGCTGCTTGTCAGAGTAAACGGAAATCACTGTTATTTTGGCGTCAATCCTATACCTACAACAGGTTTGACAATTGATTTAAATGATAAACAACTTCTGTATTTTGATTTTATTCTTTTGTTTTGTGTATATTGAATAAACACCTTTAATGTGACTTTGCTGTTTTTATCATGTGATGTTTGTTTACTCACTGGTGCTTATAAAACTAAGTAGTTTAAAACATAAGCATTCTATAATTATGCAAAATTTTTTTTTTATCCTTCAGAATG
Organism: Homo sapiens; assembly: GCF_000001405.40. NCBI lineage: Eukaryota > Metazoa > Chordata > Mammalia > Primates > Hominidae > Homo > Homo sapiens. The sequence goes on along the minus strand of NC_000012.12, from coordinate 82,186,224 downwards.
GCTTAGTTTGGAAAGATTGGATTGATATAAGTGAACTTTATTTTATTAAAGGCAGAATAAATAAAGGGCTATAAAGAAATATTGACCTGCTTTTAAAAATGAGTGTACAAATTCCAAAAAAAAATTCTTTCACCAAAATTAAAAATTAGTGCTGAACTATTTAACATTGCTGAGGGCATCAGCAGGGAGCCCTGCCTATTTTTTAGTACTATTTTTGGTACTTTTGAAGTACACTTTGTCATTTCTCATTTTTTTCTTAACTGAGATAATGCTGGTAATAAGCAACCCAATAATTTCAATGGCTTCTAACAATAAACATTAATTTTTCTCACTCATGAGTCTCCAGATCAACTGCTGCTGGGTTTGTCTTGGCTGAGCTCCTCTGTGCTTGGATGTCCCTAGGCTGGATTCCTAGCTTTGGTTGGATTTAGGTCTTCCTCACATGCTGCACTTCCGCATTCAGGCTGAACAGAAAATAGACACATAGGCATATTTTTCTCATGGCAGAGGGTAAAAATTCCAGAAGCCTAAGCCAAATGTCATAATCACCTTTTCAGTTTTTCATAGCATTCGATGTACGTTTCTCCACTTCTGTCCTACCTGCCCTGGCAGATCAATTAGCTGAGCCAAACTTTAGCAGAGTGGAAACATATGCACCGCATCAAAGGAAGGTACTGAAAAACCACATAGTATGGATGTTCTATTGCAGGGTATTACCATTACAGGGTAATACTGAAGAATTGGGAACAATGACCCGATATACCACATTGAATAGAAATAATGTTGACTCGAACACACACTAAATCAAATAAACTTTACATTATTCCATTTAGAAAAAGGCCAATTTAATAATTTAATAATTTCTGCCCTTTTGTATAATGATTGTGTTGTTTTTATTTCATTTAATAGATATTTACTGAGGGCCTATTCTCAGGACCGCTTTGTAAGTTAGTGTGAGTTGTGCTCTAGGTTATTATGTAAATGGAGCCCCCTGAGGTTATACCATGAAATTGCCCTGCCTAATGATGTCAATATATAAAGAATTGAGGAAAGACACAACCTAGAATTCTACAGATGTCATTCCTGGTCTGCATAAAACTCACATTAGAATCTGGGGGTCACAGATCTAATGTCTAGCAGAAACCACCTGACAGTAATATATATGAGAAAGCAGATTTGTTATTGTGCAATAGGTATATCAAGCTGTTTGTATTGTTATTTAAAAACAACATTTACATCTGCCTAATTTATCACTTTTAAAATGTTGAATTTAAGCAAATGTTTCCATAGAAGACCAGTTTGCCAGATTTGTCCAAGACGGTGGACAGACATTACAGAAAATAATTATGTGAATTAATATGTAATTATGATATGTACTACCAAGAAAATCATTGTGAAAAGTGAAAGTGAATAATGGATTCTCGTCTAGCCTGCAGAAATTTATTCAAGTAGAAGCAAAACTTAAGCAAAGCCTCTGGGGTGGAAAGGAACTTGGAGCTATGATAGAACTAAAGGAAGAGCAGTGGCAAGGAGCATTTTTGCTTTCTTGTAGTAAACCATGCTTTCAGTTTTAAAAGTGGCACTTATAGTTGCTGGCTAATTGTCATTATGAATTTTAATGTATTGATAGAATATAAAGCATTCTGTGAACACACTGCTTATAGGCAAACAAACTAGGTGGCTGGAACACAAAATGGGAGAGAAAGTTTTAGTTTTTTAAAAATTAATAAACTTTATTTTAAAATTTTTTTAACTAAAAAAATACCCAGACTTCAAGGAGAATAAACTTTATTTTTTAAAGTAGTTTCAGTTTACAGAAAAATTGTTTGGAAAGTATACAAGGTTCCCATATGCCATTCACTGCAACCAGCAGCTTCCCCTATTATTAACATCTTGCATTACTGTGGTACATTGGTTACAACTGATGAGCCAATATAGATAAATTATTATTAATTGTAGTCCATTATGTACATTATGGCTCACTCTTGGTAGTGCATTCTATAGGTTTTAATAAATGTGTAATGACACGTATCTCCTATTACAGTATCATACAGAATAGTTATACTACTCTAAAAATTCCATGTGTTCTACCTGTTCCTAACTACCTCCTTGCCCCCAAATGGAAAGTTGTTTTTTATCATACATATTTTTGGCCTATTGTAAACAGTGCAGGATGGGCATACATAACCTAATTAAGATCATAATTAAATTTTTTTTCCTAAGGCTTCTTACCATAATGGAATGTAAATTTCACAAACAAGTACCAGAGAATTATATAACAGATCAAGACTGGTGCTAGAAAAGGTAAGGAGCCAGATACATGACATTAAGCAAGAACATACATAGCCCATAGGTCAGACTTAGAGATGGTAGATCAGAAGTCAGAATACAAAGGCAGAGTATCAATTTTACAAAAGGATGGAAAATGGAAAACTAAAAATGTGGGGCCAGAGTATGTAAGTATGAGTCATTCAGGTCAACGATAAAGGCTATTGAACTCAAGTGTGCCAGAGACGCTGCATCTCATCTTATAGGATCTATGGTTTCTGCACTCTAGGAAGACTTAGATAAACCAACACTATCATGCCCTATGCCCACATGTGTTAGAGATGTCCTTATGGTGCTGTAGGACTACAGATAAGGGCATACAGTTAGATAAAATAGGTCTCAGTGAGAAAGTATGATGAGACATTGGACTCCACTGATGGTTGTAAATATCAAATGAACCTATAGACGTTGAGTTCTTCAGCATTATAAATAGAAGACAATGGAAGAACTTTCAACTGTTAGAACATTTTACTTATTTTTACTTAATAGTAGGAATAAGTAATTCCTATTCTTCTTCTATTACTGATAATTGGATTTCATTGCTGAGACACAGTAAGTGTCAACCAAGCTGATTCTCAACCCTTTTATTTATATAACCTGTGAATGTCTTTTGTACCTTTCTAGAACCAATTAATGCCTTCAGCTCTTTCCCCATTGCAAGAAAAAAAGGATTAAATTGATGTTGAAGAGATGACACAATGTTATAATGTACCAAAGAATGACAGCATAAAACAAAGAGAAATTTAATCTATTAATTTTGGGCTAAGAGAACAGTAGAAATATCAGCCTGTATACTAACTATGTGCTTCCCCTGACTACATTTGGCTGAGCAGAATATATGCAAATCAAATCAGCCACAAATACATTTATATTGAAATTTCTCCATCTGTCATCCACTTTCGTTGAACAAGTAGCAAGTTGTTGTGTAAGTAAAACGCTCTACTCTTACACATCTGACCTCTTGCCAAAGACTATTTTATTTCACAGCATGTTTGAAATCCAGCTATTGATCTGCACTTCCACAGTCATTTCCTTTGTCTAGCCATAGTAATTTCAAACATACAGTTTCCCATCTTTGAATCACTTTTTAAAATGTAATGTTATCATGCTTTGTGCATGCTTAAGATTCTTTAGTGACTTCTCATTGTTAATCCTTTTCATGGCCGCAAGGCCCTGCCTTCCCTGGTCCCTGCCCATTGCACCGGCCTCATCTGTCACACTCTCCCTCACACCTACCCAGGATGCTTGGGCTGCAGCACACATTCACTCTGGCCTCTACCAGGAATCTCTTGTTCACTCTCTCCAACTTCTTTGCCTAATTGTAAATAACAAAATCCAACTCTAAATTAAGAAGAAAAAAATTATTAAAAGATGTTAGGAGGCTCATAGAATTATTGGGAGATCTTTAGAGGTTAAAGCTTGTGGCCATGCAACGAGGAACCACATCTCCAATCACTCTAGACTCTCTGAAGAGTAGACAACGTTGTCCTCAACACCAAGCCCCATATGTGCTGTTTACCCTGCTAAGCCTGTTGCCCAAGGAATTTGTTATTGCTGAATTAGCAGATACCTACACAACATTCCGTCTAGTCCCTATTCATTTTGTGGCACTTGCTCCCCATTCGGTCTTTTATGGTTATGTCTTGATGGCAGAGCCTGTATAAATGTAGCCATGCTTTAACCATAAAAAATGTTGGGAAAATGAGTATCTGACATTTTTAGTTTCTGTTGGCTGCGGTGGAGTCGGCCACCTTCACAACTCATTAAGTGGCAAATTTGTCAAATAAATAACAGAGATTTAGATGCTGTCTGGCCAAATAACATTAATTAATTTTTACTAATTCCTCAGGTCTCAACTGAAATACAACTCTCTCAAGATGCCTGGATAAATCACCTCCTCCCAGTCCAGGTCAGGTGTCTTTCCAATAAACTTTCACAATGCTCTCTACTTATCTTCCATAGGATTAACACTATTTTCACAAAAGATTGTTTTAGAGACAGAGTTTTGCTCTGTTGCCCAGACTGGGGTGCACTGTTACTATCATAGCTCACTGTAACTTCAAACTCCTGATCTCAAGTGCCTCACCCTCCTGAGTAGCTGGGACTAAAGGTGTGCACGCACGCCTTGCTTTTTTTTTTTTTTTTTTTTTTTTTGAGACAGAGTCTTACTCTGTTGCCCAGGATGGAGTGCAGCGGTGTGATCTCAGCTCACCTCAACCTCTGCCTCCCAGGTTCAAGCGATTCTCCTGCCTCAGCCTCCCAAGTAGCTCGGATTACAGGTGCCTGCTACCATGCCCAGCTAATTTTTGTATTTTTTGTAGAGACGGGGTTTCACCATGTTAGTCAGTCTGGTCTCAAAATCCTGATTTTGTGATCCGCCCACCTCAGCCTCCCAAAGTGCTGGGATTACAGGCATGAGCCATAGCACCCAGCCCTATTTTATTTTTTTTTAATAGAGATGGGGCCTTGTTATGTTGCCGAGGCTGGTCTCAAAGTGATTCTTTTTTTTTTTTTTTAATTATACTTTAAGTTTTGGGTACATGTGCACAATGTGCAGGTTAGTTACATATGTATACATGTGCCATGTTGGTGTGCAGCACCCATTAACTTGTCATTTAACATTAGGTATATTTCCTAATGCTATCCCTCCCCCAACCCCCCACGCCACAACAGGCCCTGGTGTGTGATGTTCCCCTTCCTGTGTCCATGTGTTCTCATTGTTCAATTCCCACCTATGAGTGAGAACATGTGGTGTTTGGTTTTTTGTCCTTGTGATAGTTTGCTAAGAATGATGGTTTCCAGCTTCATCCATGTCCCTACAAAGGATATGAACTCATCATTTTTTATGGCTGTATAGTATTCCATGGTGTATATGTGCCACATTTTCTTAATCCAGTCTATCATTGTTGGACATTTGGGTTGGTTCCAAGTCTTTGCTATTGTGAATAGTGCCACAATAAACATACATGTGCATGTCTCTTTATGACAGCATGTTTTATAATCCTTTGGGTATATACCCAGTAATGGGATGGCTGGGTCAAATGGTATTTCTAGTTCTAGAAATCCCTGAGGAATTGCCACACTGACTTCCACAACGGTTGGACTAGTTTACAGTCCCACCAAAAGTGTAAAAGTGTTCCTATTTCTCCACATCCTCTCAAGCACCTGTTGTTTCCTGACTTTTTAATGATCGCCATTCTAACTGGTATGAGATGGTATCTCATTGCGGTTTTGATTTACATTTCTCTGATGGCCAGTGCTGATGAGCATTTTTTCATGTGCTTGTTGGCTGCATAAATGTCTTCTTTTGAGAAGTGTCTGTTCACAAACAGACAGCCAAATCATGAGTGAACTCCCATTCACAATTGCTTCAAATAGAATAAAATACCTAGGAATCCAACTTACAAGGGATGTGGAGGACCTCTTCAAGGAAAACTACAAACCACTGCTCAATGAAATAAAAGAGGACACAAACAAATGGAAGAACATTCCATGCTCATGGATAGGAAGAATCAATATCATGAAAATGGCCATACTGCCCAAGGTAATTTATAGATTCAATGCCATCCCCATCAAGCTACCAATGACTTTCTTCACAGAATTGGAAAAGACTACTTTAAAATTCATATGGAACCAAAAAAGAGCCCACATTGCCAAGTCAATCCTAAGCCAAAAGAACAAAGCTGGAGGCATCACACTATCTGACTTCAAACTATACTACAAGGCTACAGTAACCAAAACAGCATGGTACTGGTACCAAAACAGAGATATAGATCAATGGAACAGAACAGAGCCCTCAGAAAAAATGCCACACATCTACAACCATCTGATGTTTGTCAAACCTGACAAAAACAAGAAATGGGGAAAGACTTCCCTATTTAATAAATGGTGCTGGGAAAGCTGGCTAACCATATGTAGAAAGCTGAAACTGGATCCCTTCCTTACACCTTATACAAAAATCAATTCAAGATGGATTAAAGACTTAAATGTTAGACCTGAAACCATAAAATCCCTAGAAGAAAACCTAGGCAATACCATTCAGGACATAGGCATGGGCAAGGACTTCATGTCTAAAACACCAAAAGCAATGGCAACAGAAGCCAAAATTGACAAATGGGATCTGATTAAACTGAAGAGCTTCTGCACAGCAAAAGAAACTACCATCAGAGTGAACAGGCAGCCTACAGAATGGGAGAAAATTTTTGCAATCTACTCATCTGACAAAGGGCTAATATCCAGAATCTACAAAGAACTCAAACAAATGTACAAGAAAAAAACAAACAACCCCATGAAAAAGTGGACAAAGGATATGATCAAAGTGATTCTTAAGTGATTATCCTGCCTCAGCCTCCCAAAGTGTTGGGATTACAGGCATGCACCACTCAGCCAGCTTTAACACTATTGTTATGAAATGACTAATTGAGTAATTATTTGTTTCATATCTGCCACTCTTTGCTATAAGATCTATGAAGACAATAACTGTGTCTACGTGAGTCAAACATTTACATCTATGCATTAGGCATATAATAGATGCCTAATAAATGTTTTCAATAAATAAATGATGCATTGAATGACACATTCTTCTTCCTAGTGCTTTTCAAGCAGCATTGTTTGCAATTTAAAGAATCTCCTACTTGATAGCAACTTACAAGGTGCCCATTTCTCTAGGCAAAAAGCTAAAGATGGGAGGAAAACCCTACATGTATTAAATTTTCAATGACATTTTAGGTTAAGAAGATTCCAGTTGAGCATGCATATAAAATAATACTTTGGTTTGGGCTATTATTTGTATCTTTATTATTCTAAAGTTTGCAAGATAGAACTCATTTGTACTGCTTTCTCAACCCACATTTTCAAGCTATGTTTCCCAAGTTTCATGTCTCTCTCTGAATTTCCAAAATCATGTTCTCTACTCATCCTTTCCCTAGTCATACTGTCACTGGTGGAGGGTGTCCAGGTTCTTGGCGTCTTGAACAAAGAGTTGGACAAAAAGCACAAACAAAGCAAGGAAGGAATGAAGGGCTTTATTGAAAATGAAAGTATACTTCACAGGGTGGGAGCCAGCCCAAGCATAGGGGCTCAAGGGCCCCATTACAGAATTTTTGGGGGTTTAAATACCCTCTTCTTGGGGTACAGCCTATGTAAATGAAGAGGATGAAGTGAAGTTACAGTCATTTACTTGGCCTATGCCCTATGGAGAGAATATTTCCTGTCATAGCTGAAGTGTGAATCAGCCTTATGTTCCCTGCCTCCAGACCCTATTTTACTGCCTCAATACCTTTGTTTAGGCTCCGAAGGGCTTTGCACTAATTTATGGTTGACAATCTGCATTCTTACCCATAGACAAGTTCTTTCTATTCTTCCCAGAGAATCCATGGGGGACCATGTTTTCATACAGATTACAGTTATGTAGATCACAGATAATTTTTTTAGAGAAGCAGTGTCATAATTGTGGGTCTCCTTCTTGACCAAGGGCAAAAAAGACACTTATAACCTGTAAACTCAATAATATATGCAACTGTAAATTTCTGTAATCATGCAAATAAGAAAATTATGCTCTAAGCCCTGTAAAATAAAGCTCATTTAAAAAGGGACTCTGATATATGGTAAAAATCATAAAGGGGTTTAATAGTAAAAAGGGGTTTAATAGTAAAGTTTAATAGTAAACCTCTTTACTATTTTTTTTTTTACTATTTTTACCATATACTAGCCATTGAACTGACAATTATACAAATACAAACGAGTAAGTGAATCTGGTTTTCTTCTTTATCTTATTGGCTCTTATCTCTCTTCCATACCTCCACTTCTCTCTCAACTTGAGAATTATCCTTGGAACAAGCTCAATTATTCGACAAGTATGTATTCATCCACTCTGCAAGATGCTGAAGTAGTGTCAATCAAAACACACCTTTCATTGTTTCTCATAAAGCTTACAGTCTAAAAAAAAACTCAGGAATTTTATTGAACGATTGGCAGATTTTTTTTTTAAATTACATTGGTATACAATTACCATTTCCAATTGCAAAATTATATAATGACTATCAGCTGTGGAAGACAATTATGGACATGATCAAAGCATTTAGCAGGGGTTTGTTGTCCAGTCTGTGAGGGTTAGGGAAGGCTTACTTGAACGATGTTTAAGCAGGCAAAGGTGGATACAGGTATAGGGGTGGGATGTGGTGTGGTGAATGTGATAAGATAAAGGCATTGGCACTTGATGACATTGAAAGGTGTCTCTGAACTGAACAAATAGGAGTCTGGTGTGTGTGTGTGTGGTTATGTACTTCTTTTGTACCATTTCTTCAGCTGTCTACCTTGTTTCTGGCTCATCACCAATAGCTTATGAGGCAAAAATTGCCAAATATGTAAGTAAAGTTGGCACTATGTAGAGAATAAGTATGGCATAAAACAAAACGAATAAGGGGGAAAGTGAAATACAAAGTAGCGAACTGCTCCAGAGCTGTAGATGAAAAAGTTCTGATATCTCCCATTTTCCTGGTCATTATTTATGTTATTCCTAATGAGATGGGTGCTGCTTTTGAGTAAACTAAATTCCTTGATCCATTCATCCCACATCTGCCTATGATTATCTCACACACTATGCCTGGAATGCCCTCCTGGCCTGATTATGAAGTGTTTGCCTTCATATCAAATAGCAAGTCTTTCAAATTCAGGGATTTTTTTTTTTTCCTCAAAGCTCATGATATTTCAACTCTAGCAAGAGGTTGAGTCTCTTTATTGCTGTCCATTGTAGTATAAGCTCTAAGATGTTTATGTTTCTTTACATAAACTATAATCTCTTATATTTTTATTTAAATTGTTTGGCATCCACAATCCCTTTGTCATTCATACCGTAAGCTCTTAGAAAAAACTACTGTTAACGATTTAATTTGCTTGTTGTGGGTTGCTTGCCTGAGACTACTGCCAAATGTATCCAGGAGCATTAGCAATTAGCAGTAGTTCCAAACCACCATCATTTACAAGACAAAAACAAAACTGCACTATGGTGACATAGAAATTAGGACAATCAATAGACATAATGCTTCTCTCCACAATACATATGACCCAGTGGATTATAAAATAGCATGTTAGTATGTAACGTTGTACTCCTATTATGTTTTATTTTTTGTTAACATACACATGAACTATATACATGCTGGCCTACAAGTAAGCTTTCATTTTCAGCTTTCACTTCTTTTTATTGCCTTTTTTGTCTTGCTTGTAATAATATAAATCTGGTTAGACTAGCTGGTGTGTCAAATCTTAAGAAAATAAACCATCAATAAACCATGTAGGTCAGTATACATATGAACTACATAGCAAAGTATGGTAAAAAGAGAACTGAGTAATAACGCTAGTTCTGATTCTGTGTAAGTCCAGCCTTCTGATCTTCATCGAGACACCCACATCCTATGAATATCAGCTTTCCCAGATGTGAAACAGGAGTAATCATACCTGCTCTCATAGGGCTATTTAACAGATGTAAAAATTCTTTGGAAATGCAAAATGTAACATCTGATAATAGTTATTAAATGCAGTAACATAGACATACAAGTAGAACATGTTTAAGACAGTATTGATGTTGCATACATTTCCTGCAATTGGATGTAATCATCTTTACAAGAGGGAAAAAACTTAAGCTCGCTGTGTGGTTTTCTCCTCGGCAGCTGTTGCTATGTGATACACATTGTTCCGTTGGGAAAGCCTCAGAAAGTTGCACGTTCATTTTAGCTTTAGCTGTGTGAGATACTGGGGAAAAGATTAACTCTCTGCAAGAAAAATGCTAACAATACATCCAACCTGTAAAGGCTGAATCTATCAGACCTAATTTCCAGAATGTTTGATTTGTCTTGCTAAAATTTGTGTGATACTGTAATAAAAATAAAAATAAACATTTAAATAAATATGTTCCTTGCAAAAATTAACATTGATTTAATTGAGTTGCATTCAAGGTTTTCCTTCAGAAGTTTTGTTTACCAATGGAAAAAATAAAATAAATTATAATAAATTTCAACAACCATTTAAAAAAGAACAACTGATTATCAAAGATGGGATGGCTGATTCTTGGAAGAATTTCAAAATGACTTTTACAAAATGTATCAATACAGATAAATAAAATAATTCATCCCTTCACCACTCTAGCGATAAACTCAAACTAATAAAACATATAATCCCAATTTTCTGCATAAGGATACTAAAGTAGAAAGGTTATTACATGCTGTAGGCAATTCTGAAAAATCAATGTCTGAACAGGAAAAAATATAACTTTGGCATTCTGGCTCCTAAGAATAAAATAAAGTCACTTATTTTTTCTACTTAGGGGATCTAATGTGATTTATTTCTTCCATTATACAAGTCATCTGTATTCACTTAATTCTCCTCTGCTGAAATCACTTAATTTCCTTCCAAATAATATTTAACATAGGAAAACAACTTCATCTGCATGTGGAATCATTTTTATAGGCTACCTAATCTATATTATTTGATTGAGTTACGAATAGTATAATAAAAGAGAAGAGGCAGATTCTTTCTTTTAAAATGAAGAAATTATTTAATTTGCTATTTCTCTTTACTTGATAGGCCATCAAAATCCTGACTTCCTAAAAGGGACCTGATGTCCATTTCTGTTTTGCTTGTTTAATACTATTCTCCTCACACAGGCTGCTATTTTGTTTGTTTTTAGGTGATAATGTCTGTGTTTCAGTGCAGCGAGTAGGTGGAGCTCCTGCTGCATCTGTTAGATTATCACCTGGTGTGCCTGGTCTCAGAGTTGGCTTCATTCCCAAAAGGCAGTTGGGTAGTTGATCACACAGCTGTTCTACATGGGTAACAAAAGAGCCTGCTCCATTCTCTACCATCTCATTCAGCCTTTGCAGGATTATTACACATTTTATATGCTGTTGTGTTTATCTATAAAAAATGTGCTTCAGCGAATTGTGAAAATATATTCTTACATTTTTACATGACGGTTAGTTCTTAATTGAACATAGTTTATAATAGTATTCCCCATGCCTACCCTGGTGTTTTCTGTATGTGTATATTATACATATATATAATCATTCAAACATTTAATTGTATAAATTGAGCAATAATACATAACATTGGGTAAATGCTCCCTACTGGTTTAATGATGTGAAAACATATGTTATGAGAAGAAATGGTTTATTTTATTAACAGGAATTGACACACCAGCTAGCCTAACCAGATTTATATTATTACAAGCAAGACAAAAAAGGCAATAAAAAAAAGTGAAAGCTGAAAATGAAAGCTTACTTGTAGGTCAAATGAGGTGAGGAGAAAAATTTTTATTATGTTTCAGTCCATTAAGTAAACAATCTCTGTATTAGTGCATGGTGAACTGAATCTGGGCCATCAACACTAGCTTTAGAGAGGAACAGATTGATTTATAAAGAAAGGTTATAAGGGAATTTTCATGACCACACTAACCAGTTCATTTAGGTCTCGAAAGATGGCAGTTTCATGAAAAAGGATGCAGAAAGAACAAAGAGCAGCAAGGAAAAGAAACTAAACCATATTTAAAAAAAGGCAAAACTAAGAATGAAAGCAAAAAATAAAACTTAGAGCAAATGGATTTTGACTTGAATGAGAAAATGGAACACAGGATACCTTTGGTTTCTTCGAGAACTGATAGTGAGGAATATCTGTCAATCATTGATGGGACCCCTAAGCCAAAGCAATACATAATTGTACCTATGTATACATAACTTCAGTAGGTGATTTTGATTATGTAAAAGAGTCAACTTCAGCACTGGATCCTGAGTATATTTTAAGAAGATTCTTTAAAGAGAGCTCGATCCTTTGACTTGGTTGAGTATTGGTTATATTTCAGCTGCTTAATTAATCATGCTATGATAATGAGGCCATCGTGTTACATTTGGTCCTCAAGTGGACTAGGAAACACTGTAGCATGTGGTTTTTTCAAAAACATTTTACAAAATTGTATTATGTTTATTATACAAGTTATGTTAATTGTAGGTAAATTAGAATAAAAGAGAAGACAAAAAATTTGTCTGGCCCTTTATTCTGTGATATTCAATATTACTATCTTATATACTTTCAAACTTTTATATTTCGTATACAAATACACATTCACACATACACACACATTGGAAAATATTATACATAATTTAACAATAATTATTTTTATATATTTTAAACTTCTTTCAGCATCTGAACATATTTCTGTTTTAAGTACTCATCTTGAGTAACAAATTGAACCTCTTTCCAGCTTGATTTTGTCAACTTCATCCATTGTTTGTGCAAAATTTACTGAGTGCCTACTGTGCTCCAGGTAATAAATAACACAGACTAGGTCTCTACTCTCATGAAACTTACATTGTAGACAAACAATAAACAAATTTAAAAAAACTCCAACAAAAAGACAGCATCAATTCAGAGAGTTATAGTTGCTAAGAAGGAAATAAAAGAAGGCAATGTGGTAGAAAGTCATTAGTGTGAGAGTTTTAATAGTATTTAGAGATATTGTGGAAAGAATGTATATAAAATAATTAGTATGATGTCTGGTGGATGGCAAGTACTCAATAAATATTAAAACTAATAACACCAGTGATAGTAAGAAAAATACATTATGGTAGTGCCTACATTGGAATATCATGTAGTTGTACTCATTCTCCAGTCTCCTACTCTCCCTGCCCCAGTTACTCATCTTTTGATTGATGCTTTCTTTTTCCTGATACTCTTATTATCAATTTTGGTACGTTTATTAACTATTTTAAATTTCTGGAGCATCAAAAATAATGTTACAAGTAAAAAAACAAAAGCTAAAACAACATTATACCACTCATTATAAGTGCCTTTAAAAACTTCTATTTTTTAAGTGAGTAAAAACAATTGGACTTGTCTGTTATAAACAGTAAAATTATTAAACTTCATAACAATTTAGAATTTACATTTTTTCTATAGTAAAGTAGAAACATAGTTGCATCAAGCAGTTCTCAGAGGTTTATAGGGAAAAACTATCTCCTGCACCAACCCTTGGTCCTGCTGCTCAGAGAGAGCTGGTTACAACTCTTTCCCACGTTTTAATTTTCCTTGGTACTTACCTGTTTGGTTCCTCTAAATATTCTCATACCACTCTTAATTTCACGTGTTTATCAAAGATCAAAGATCTCTGGTTGTATAGTTGAGGAGAGACTCTGTTGCGTCATCTTTCTTGACACATTTATTTCCTTTCCCTTCTTCTTTTTAATAAGGTTACATTACAGTTTAGGTTATGCCATTCATTACTGTTTATATTTAAGGACTAAGTAAATATTTTCACTGCAGGGTCAAGAAGTGCAACTTTTGATTTCTTAGAATTAATAATTTTTGTATTTGCCAATTTTTTTGTTATTGTTATTTCTCCAATTTTCCCCATTATTTGCATTATATTCAACTTTGCCCCCACTTGAAAATGAGTTCCTTTCATGATACCACAGTTCAATTCATAACTCTTTATCACTTTTAGTTATTAGAACAGTCTTACATCTTTTCTCTTAGACTCAATATTATTCAGTTTGTGTTTTTTTTTCTTTTCTTTGTAAAAAATAATTACAACTTTTATATTAGATTTGGGGGTACCTCTACAGGTTTGTTATATGGGTATGCTGTGTGATAATGAGGTTTGGAGTACGATTAATCCCATCATCCAGGTAGTGGGCATAGTACTCAATAGTTTCTCAACCCTTGTCCCCCTCCTCCTGCCTCTAGTAGTACCCGAATTCTATTGTTGCCATTTTTATGTCCATGTGTACCGAATGTTTAGCTCCCTTATGAGTGAGAACATGCCGTATTTGGTTTTCTGTTCCTGTGTTAATTCACTTAGGATAATGTCTATTTGCCTAATTTGCTATGTATTTATATTTTTCCCTGTGCTTCACTGAAGCCATATAAGCATGTTAAAAGTGTTTCCAAAATGTCAGCATATAAAGTAATTATCAGTTTGCTGTTTCCATGGTGGCCAGCAACCCAGAGAACTCAGTCCTGCTCCTATCTGGACTGGTAAATTTCCAGACCAAATGCACAAATGCCATTTTGGGACTCCGTTTCCCATATTATGGGAATTCTTTTTTTCTTTTTTCTATGTTAGTATCTCTCCATCCTGAGAGGCATATCTCCTAGTGGGTTTCTAAGAAAAAACAATGAGAAAGAAATTTGTTGTTTTACATTTGATTGGTGCATTTAGATGCATTTGGACTTCTAGACTAAAAATTATTTTCCCCTAGAATTTTGAAAGCACTGCTATAATGTCTTTGCTGTGTTGTTATTAAATCTACTTAAAAACTGATTTGTAAATTCTTTTGGTTGCCTATTTTAATTTTTAAAGCATTTTTAGAATTTTTAAAATCTATCATGTTCTGAGATGTTATGATGATGCATTTTGTCCTTGATTATTATTATTTTTCGCTCTGTAGAAAATTATGTTAATCTTTTCAATTAGGAGGCTCTACTCCTTCAGGTTTGGGGAAATTTATAAGTTATCATTTCAATAATTTCTTCTCAATTTTTTCTCCATTTTCCCTTTCTTTGCTCTGCTTATTAGATGTTGAATCACTATTGATTCTTTAATTTTCTATTTTTTTCTCTTCTACTTTTCCTTCACTTTGTTTTTTGCTCTACTATTTTGGATATATTAATGTGATTCTCAATCTATTATTTTGATTAAAAATCACAAATATACACACATGAGTACATGTATATATTTCTTTAATAGAAGTTTTTTCTTACACTTTGCTTCTTAATCATAACATCTAGTTCTTTCTTTAAAGAAATGGATTCCTATTATCTCTCTGAGAATATTAGGTTTGGTTTGATTATTCTTTCCTCCTCCTCCCCCTTGCCTTCCTCCTCCTCCTCCTCCCCCCTCCTCCCTCCCTCCTCCTCCTTCTTTTTCTTCTTCTTCTTCCTCTGTATTCTCTACTTTTCAGTGATTTTTTTTCCCTTACATTTACTTTGGTCTTTTTCTTTCAGACTACTCCTGTTCAGGCACACATAACAACTCAGTTTCTATAAGACAAAGCGGTACATCTATTCTGAGAAATTTGACATCACCTTTCATTGCATATTCAGTAGTTCAACTAACAGGGAGAGAGCTTCTCTAGAAGCTAGAAGCCTAACATATCCCAGGCTCACTGACACTTCACTTTCTACATTGTACCCAGAGACTAGCCCATATGACTGAAGGAAAGACATTCTGTCAAAGGATTGCTGGAATTGTAGAAATACTATGATCAGACACACTATTTGTCCAGTGGGAAGTAAAAGGGTCAAAGGAGAGATCACAGAAATTTGTCTCCCATCTCAGGAACATGCTGGGATGCATTAATTCTTTGCAAGGCGAAGAAAACAAGGCAAATCTGATTTCTTACCATCCAGGGGAGAGAGGAGCCTGCCATTTTGGTCATACTTTTGGAAACTAGACACTCTCAGGAAAAGTTTTCCAAAGACCACTGTTCCACAGTGAGCAGGCATATACAAATCTAACCCCAAAGACTGCGGGAGCTGAGAGTCCAAAGAAAGAGGCTAACACATCCAGCTTCTGGGAATGAAACATTTACTAGAGAAAAACAGAAGCAATAATAACTCAGGCAGTTGTGACATGGTAGATCCCCACACTCACCTTCCAAAAAGTGTTCTGTGTATAGCAAGTTTTTAGGGTAAAACATAGGCAGCTGACCATGTCTTCAGACTTTCTTGCTAATGTTCGTGATCATGGGGGAAGTTGGATAAGTGTTTTTACATGGGTTATCTATACTACAGACATTGTTTATAGATTTTTATGCCGAACACCTTGGTATGTGGAGGTCAAACATCAGTAATCATGGTGGTTTTGCATCAAGATGGCATCACTCATGCCATGCAGCAGGCTGTTTTCCTACAATCATGCAAATGACCAGCAGAGGCACAGTTTTCTACATATGCTCCCATGGAGTCAAGTAGGACCTGTTCTAGGCTTATGTGTCTTTTGCCCAAATAGCCATCACATTTCAGGGACAGATCGGTTTATCCTAAAGAATGAGAAGTAGTTTGGTAGTTTAGAGTAGTCCAGCATGAGACTGTTTGGATATAAAGCCATTGGTTAACACCTGTATTAACTTGGGCAAGAAATACCAAGTCTAAAGACCTCAATTTATCTGTTTCTAAGATGGGGATAATAATATCTAACTCATAATATTGTCAGGAAGGCTAAATAAAATAATCTATTGAAAGTCTGTTACAACAGTGCCTGTGTAAAAAATTCAAAAGTTTATGCAGCCAACAGACACATGAAAAAATGCTCATCATCACTGGTCATCAGAGAAATGCAAAACAAAACCACAGTGAGATACTATCTGATGCCAGTTAGAATGCTGATCATTAAAAGTCAGGAAACAACAGATGCTGGAGAGGATGTGGAGAAATAGGAACGCTTTTACACTGTTGGTGGGAGTGTAAATTAGTTCAACCATTGTGGAAGACAGTGTGGTGATTCCTCAAGGATCCAGAATTAAAAATTTCATTTGACCCAGCAATCCCATTACTGGTTATATACCCAAAGGATTGTAAATCATGCTACTATAAAGACACATGCACATGTATGTTTATTGCAGTACTATTCACAATAGCAAAGACTTGGAACCAACCCAAATGTCCATCAATGATAGACTGGATTAAGAAAATGTGGCACAAATAAACCATGGAATACCATACAGCCATAAAAAAGGATGAGTTCATGTCCTTTGCAGGGACATGGATGAAGCTGGAAACCATCATTCTCAGCAAACTCACAAGGACAGAAAACCAAACTCCGCATGTTCTCACTCATAGGTGGGAATCGAACAATGAGAACACATGGACACAGGAAGGGGAACATCACACACCAGGACTTGTTGGGGGATAGGGGGCTGGGGGAGGGGTAGGATTAGGAGAAATACCTAATGTAAATGACGAGTTGATGGGTGCAGCAAACCAACATGGCACATGTATACCTATGTAGCAAACCTGCACATTGTGCACATGTACCCTAGAACTTAAAGTATAATAATTTTTAAAAATTCCAAAAGTTATTAAGTGCCTAGTAAAAATGCAAAAGTTATTAAGTATTAATTTATATATTAAAGGCTATAAATGAAGGTCAGGGTGATTCCAAGTTAAGTATAGAATCTGTCACTTAGCTTGTACTTCAGTTCATTCTCTAAGGATTCAGGATATTATAAAGATGACCCTAGGCTAAAGAAAGCATTGGTGTTTGAGGACTATGCAGCTATATAAGACTGCTGTAATGTTTTCCTAAGTGATAAGCACTACTTTGGATGTGACTAGATTTAGAATGATCAGTTCTCTAGATACGGGGCATTTACAGCCAAGTAGAGGCACCACCAAGCAATAGAAATAAAGATTCATATGGTTTTGAATGTGACAAGGACATCACCACAGTGTGTCAGAGCAGAATGGGAGAAAAACATAAAATGCCTTGGGCTTGTTAAGACTAGTCCAACATAGAAACATAGAAGAGCTATCCTGTGGGAATTCCAAGATCTATTTGGGAGGCATATTAATGCTGGTGGTGGTGGTGGTGGTGATAAGGCGAGAGTATTCAGAAGGGTATGTTTGGAAACACTGTGTTTCTTTGTGATTATTTTATTTCACTCCTAGGATGAGGTGATTTGGTTCATGAGGATTATAACTAAAATAAATAGTTGTCTCTATCCACAGTCAGTTTGGAGGAAATGAGTTGTATTTCCTTCTTACTGTCTTTCTCTATATCTCTGAAGTCCTTGCCTCTTTGGTATGAACTTGCTTATTTTGAATAACTTCATATTTCCACATTTTTATGCATCATTGTTATAGACCTTTGGAGTTATAAGGTCAATACTAAGATCTGAATGTTGACAATTATATACATTTAAGACCAAATTTGAAACATAATTTTTTAAATTTCAATGTTTATTTTATATTCAGAGGGTATAGTGCAAGTGTGTTACATGGGCATATTGTGTAATGCTGAGGTTTGGGGTAAGAATCCTGTCACCAAAGTGTGAGCACAGTACCCAGTAGGAAGTTTTTCAACCCATACCCTCTTCCTTCTCCTCTCTAGGAGTTCACAGTACCTATTATTCCCATGTTTATGTCCATGTGTATTCAATATTTTAGCTCCCACTTATAATGAGAACATGCAGTATTTGATTTTCTGTTTCTGTATTAAATTGCTTAGGATTATGTCCTCCAGCTACATCGATGTTGCTGCAAAGGATGTGATTTTTTTTCTTTTTTATGGCTGCATATTATCCCATGGTATATATGTAACACATTTTCTTTATGCAATCCATTGTTCACAGGCACCTAAGTTGATTCCACATCTTTGCTATTGGGAATAGCATAGCAATGAAGATGTGAGTGCATGTGTCTTTTTGGTACAATGATTTATTTTTCTTTGAATATATACCCAGTAAGGGGATTGTTGGGTCAAATCACAGCTCTGTTTTAAGTTCTTTAAGAAATCTCCAAACTGCTTTCTACAGTGGCTGGGCTACATGTCCACCAGCAGCGTATAAGCAGTCTTTCTCCACACTCTTGCCAGTCATTGTTATTTTTTGACTTTTTAGTAATAGCCATTCTGACTGATGTGAGATGGTATGTCATTTTGGTTTTGATTTGCATTTCTTTGAGAATTAGTGATGCTGAGCATTCTTTCATATGTTTGTTGGCTGCATGTATGTCATCTTTTGAGAAGTGTCTGCTTATGTCCTTCGCCCATTTTTCAATGTGGCTATTTGTTTTTTGTTTGTTGATTTGTTTAAGTTCCTTATAGATTCTGGATATTAGTCTTTTGTAGGGTGTATCCTTTGAATCAGGAAAAGATTGAAACACTGAATAGACCAATATTGAGTTCTGAAATTGAATCAGTAATAAAGAACCTATCAACCATAAAAAAGCCCTGGACCAGATGGATTCACAGCTGAATTCTACCAGTCATACAAAGAAGAACTGGTACCAATTCTACTGAAAATATTTCAAAAAAATCAAGGAGAAATGGCTCCTTCCTAACTCATTCTATGAAGCCAGCATCAACCTGATGCCAAAATCTGACAGACACACACACACACACACACACACACACACACACACACACACACACACACAGAGAAAACTTCAGGCCAATATCTCTTATGTACATAGATGCAAAAATCCTCAACAAAATAGTAGCAAACTGTATCCAGCAGCATATCAAAAAGTTAATTCACCACAATCAAGTAGGCTTTATTCCTGGATGCAAGGTTAGTTCAACATAGGCTAATCAATAAATGTAATTCATCACATAAATAGAATTAAAAACAAAACCCATATTATTATCTCAATAGACAGAAAAAGCTTTTGATAAAATTCAATATTTCTTCGTGTTAAAAACCTTCAACAAACCAGGCACTGAAGGAACATACCTCAAAATAATAAGAGCCATCTGTGACAAACCCACAGACAACATCACACTGAACAGGCAAAAGCTGGAAGCATTTTCCGTAAGAACTGGAAAAAGATACGAATGCCCACTCTCACAACTCTTTTTCCACATAGTAGTGGAAGTCCTAGCCAGAGCAATCAGGCAAGAGAAAGAAATAAAAGACATCCAAATAAGAAAATAAAAAATCAAACTATCTCTCTTCACTGATGATATGAAAACCCAAAGGACTCTGCCAAAGGCTCATAGAACTGATATATGACTTCAGTAAAGTTTCAGTATACAAAATCAATGTACAAAAATCAGTAGCATTTCTATATACCAGTAATATCCAGGCTGTGGTCATTTTGGTATTCAACAACATAATGGATTACACTAACTTTTGTAGACCTAATCACTAGAAAGGGGAAACTTATAGTTGGCATTGTACTTATACAATTTGACTAAGGCATTGTTAATATTTGAAGCCTTGTGGAATGGGATTTATTTACTTCATTTCCCTGATTATGCTTTGAAAATCAGCCCATCATTTGGGGTGCAGGAAAGTATAACTCGTGATATTTTGCCTAAGGGGTTCAGGATCTCAGTTTCTGGTCTGGTGGTTTCATGCTCTAATCCTGAACTTTGGGCTATTCTGCCTTCTTGCAAATTTAATCAACTTGTACATTCTTGCTGTCTGAGAACAGTTGCATGGTCAGCAAACATTTTCTTTTTCTTCTTTCATGAGATTGAATATAAAACTGTTTTATAAGAGAATTTTGATAATATAACACTGTCAGAAAAATCTAGGCGTCATCTTCAGTTTTCACTTTCCCATCTCCTTCCATCTCACCACTTACTACCATTCACTATTAATTAGTTGTCCATTACTACACATTCTAATTTTTTCCTGCTACCACAGTCTCTATTATAGTACAGGCCCTCATTATCTCTTATTTGCATTATTATAAAAACTTCCTAGGCTGTCTCCTTGCTTCTAATGTCTCCCTTTTTCAGTCTATAACAGACAGTCATCAAATTGTAGTCTTACAAAATACTCAATATTTAATGTTTATAATTTCATGCAAGATATAGTCTAAATATCTCATGGTGGCTTCTAAAACTCTTAATAATTTGGACCCAATTAAAATTTTTGATATTGTTTCTTACACTTTGTTTCCATTCATCTCCCCTTAAACACTAGCAACTTTTTATAGTGACTCTCATCTTCCCCAAATATGGTGAAAATAATCTGTTTTTTGAGCTACAAGATGTTGGATATATGTGTTAATAACCTGTGTGTCTTTTAAGAACCTGCTGAAATGATCTACCACATAAGATTTGCTCTCACCTGTAACTATTATTTATATTCTTTTATACCACAGGACACCTTGTTTTATATGCTGAAGGTTAGAGTGATGCAGCCTGATTGTCCTACCTGTCTCACTGAATACTGAATATCTAGAGCTAGGAACAATACCTTATGTATCTTGTGTACCCTCACCATGCCTAAAATGTTTCTCGATAAATACTTCTTAAGTTAAATTGATTGTGTTGATTTGAATTACCTTTTCATTTTAAATTTCCCAAAAAACATGGTAATATTTTAAGTTTCGTATTGCAATCTACAAAGACGTTTCTCATTGCCCTTGCTTGAATTTCCACAGAGAAAACTCTGCAAAGCAGGACGCAATTTTAAGGTCATAGATTGGCCATTTGACAGAATTAATACAGAATTTTTTAAATCTAAAAATATAAAATAGCATAGACTTAACTGGGCAACGAAACATGTATTGAGAATTTAATATGTATCATACATTAGGATAGGTGCCAGATATTCAATAATGAATAATCTAATTCCTTTGCTCAATAGCTCACAATATAGGGTGTGAGAGAGGTGAGTTTAGTTTAATAAAAACATGTTGAACACCTGGTATACCTGTGTTATAAAGGAAGAATCCACAAGGGGGTTTTGAGAGACAGAAGAGGATTGATTGCCAAACTCACTTTGCGGTGTTAATGATAGCTTCTTATATAGATGTGTAAACTCATAAGTGGTTTAAATACTATGTTATTTATGGAAAATTTATGTATAATATGCTGTACATAGAATCAGACAAGGTTTCAAGGAGACAAGGTGGAAGTCAAACTGTGCCCTAAAAATGAGTAGTATTCAGCAAAAGAAGGGAAATTTAAACCCAAGAAAAGGAAATAGAAAATACAAATTCATGGGAATATGGAAGTATGTGACCTGTTTTAGAGAAAAGTGCTTAGAAGTCTGTAATGGTATAGTGGGGAACATGGCAGAATATGAGGCTAGGAAAACAGAGTGGAGTGTAGTGAGATTGAGTATTGCCATGGTACCAAGCTAAATAATGTAGATAGTGATTTTGTGGGATAGGAATCTTCTAAATAATTTTTTCAACCTTAACTGTTAATAAAGGTATAATATACTCCAATAAATACCATATGTAATAAGTGCATGGCTTAATCAATTTTTGCAAACTCAAATTTAAACCAGCAACAAGATAAAAAGATAAAGCATTCCAGCACCTCAGAAATTTCCTGCTTCCAATCAGTAGTCCAAGAATAACTATTATCATGACTTCTAACAGCACTGATTAGTTTGACTTGGTTATATATTTTAAGTATAGGATCACGCAGTATCTTTTGTGTCTGGCTTTTGTTTTTTTAATATTTGAAAGACTAATCATTTATGTTGCTGCAGGTAGTTGAAGACTATTTTCATCTCTATAGAGTATTCTAATGTATAAATAAACAATTAATAATAATTCTCTTGGTAACAGATATTTGGATTGTGTACAGTTCAGGGCTGCTTTGAATAGTGTGGCTTTGAGCATCTAGTATATGTTTTTTGATAAACATATGTAGGCATTTCTGTTGGGTATGTAGTTATAAGTGGAATGATCGATGTTTGCAGACACTGCCACACAGTTTTTCAAAGTGGTTTCACTAATTTAAACTTAATGAGTGTTTTGTTGCTCCTCACCCTCAACAAAACACACTAAAATGTGTAAGGGAAAGGGAAAATATATGTACTAATCAATTATTAGCAGTTTTTATACATTATTGGGGTATTGGGATAGATATCATCATACCATTATTCTCCTGTTACTAACAAGGAAACACGAAAATTAAGAAAGTAGCCCACAGTCTCATGATGTAAATAATAATTAACATTGGAACTTATTATAAGCTAGAGTCTTTTGGTAGACTGAATAATTACCCCCCCCATGTTCATGCTCTAATACTTGGAACCTATGAATATTACATTTTATGAAAAAGATTTTGCAGTTGTCATTAAGTTAAAGATCTTGAGATGGGCAGATTGTCTTGGATTATTTAGGGAGGGAGGAATTCAATGCAATCGCAAATGTCCTTTAAGAAGCAGGTGGAGGGAAATTTCAGACAAAAGAGGAAAAGGCAATGTGACCATGCAGGGAGAGACTGAAGTGATGCAGGCACAAGCCAAGGAATGCAAGCAGCCGCTGAAAACTGAGAGAGGGAAGGAATATATTCTCCCCTAGAACCTTCAGTGAGAACATGGTACAACTGACACCTTGTTTTTGGCCCCGTGAAACTGATTTTGATTTCTGGTCTCCAGATCTGTGAGAAAATAAAATTCTGTTGTTTTCAGATACCAAGTTTGTGGTAATTTGTGACAACAGCCATAGGGAACTCATATAGTTGATGAGTAATGAGCCCAAAAGTTTTCATTCATTATGTCACCTAATACTGTGAGGTAGGTATGATTAGCCCTATTTTATAGAGAAGGAAAGAGGCCTTAAATAACTTGTGCAAGGACACAGAGCTAGCAAGAATCAGAGACAGGATTTGAAAACCAGAGACCATATGACTTCAAAGATAACACTGATGACCAATAAAGTAATTAGAAGAATCAGCCTCTAATCCAGGTTTCTGGCCCCCAAAGTCATAATTTCTCTATAACATGCCATGTAATGAATTTGTGCTTTAAAAAATGCTTCAGAAAATACAATAAATCATAGATTCGAATGAGAGAATCAGGTGACAGGGAGAACAGTCAGGAAACCAACTGAATTATTTAAGCCAAAAATATTGAAAACCTGGACCAAGTTTATATGAGAATCTGGATCAGTGATGGAATAGAATCATTTTTCAGCTATAGAATCATCACTGTTCAGGACTGAGGGTGCATTATTTTATGTCCATAAATCAATGACTGAATGAGTAAATAAGTGAATGAATGAATGCCTTCTCAGGACTATATTACTCACGAAATTGCTACAAACTATATGCAAATTTTCTCACCTGATTGTAGAACCGTATATGGAATCCTTGAATCTATAGAAATACAAGTGTGTTTTTAGTGTCAGTTCAGAACCTTGAATAAGGAAAAGAAAATAGGACGCAAAAGAGGTTGCTTATCCCATTCTATAAACCCTAGTGTTTTCAATATGTGTATACATTATAAAATTATCGCTACAATTAAACTAATTAACATATCCATCACTTCTACATAGTTACCATTGTGTGGGGGTGTGTGTGTGTGTGGAGAAGATTAAATTTAAGACCTATCTTCTTAGCAAATTTCAAGCATAAAACACAGTATTGTTAACTATCGTCACCACACTGTACATTAGATCTCCAGAATTTATTCATTTGCATGATAGAAACTTTGTACTTTTTATCAACATCACTCCATTTCTCCCTCCCGTCAGCCTCTAGCAACTATGCTCCATGTGTACATATATCAAAATATTAAGTTGTATACATTGTAGGTATATTATTTTTATATCAATGATATCTCAATAAAGCTGTTTTCTAAACTCTAGTGGTTTTTAGTCTCCTATACAGAAAATGTGCTGGAAATCACATTAGTGTAGAAAGTCCAAACTTCATAATATTAATGTAAGTGATTCTAAGAAAATGACATGGCTCTTGTGAGAAGTAATTACTTTTTAACCCGCATGACTCTAGAAATTTTAGTTGTAAAAGTAATACATACTTGTTTTCAAGACTGTGAAAAACAAAGTAAAAAGAGACAATATAAAATACTCACTAACCCACCACTCAGAAATATTTGCAGTTAACATTTTCAGTTTTTCCCTTTAGTCTGTTTGCTATGCATGTGTGTTAACATAATTGGGATCACGGAGTATCCAAATACTGTTTTTCTTTTTTTTCACCTATTCTTTCACTGTGAAGAATTTTCAATGTCATTAAATATTTGTCAAAAAAATTTAAATAATTATGTATTTGATGAACACTGATTAAACATCTATTATGTGACAGGTATTATACACTTGATGCTTAAGATCCATTGGAAAATCGCACCTGAGATCACTCCTCTCAAAAATATATTTATCTGGGGGAGGAGATGAGAATTTTTGTTTGTTTGTTTGAGACAAGGTCTCGATCTGTAACCCAGGCTGGAGTGCAGTGGCAGCAATCACAGCTCACTGCAGTCTCCACCTCCCCGACTCAAGTGATTCTCCCACCTCAGCCTCCTGAGTAGCTGGGACTACAGGTACATGCCACCACGCCCAGCTCATTTTTAAATTTTTTCAAAATTTTTTGAAGAGGCAGGGTCTCCCTGTGTTCGCTAGGCTGGTCTCAAACTATAGGGCTCAAGTGATCTGTACACTTCAGACTCCCAATTGCTGAGATTACAAGCATGAGCCACCATGCCTGAACCAGGAGATGGGAATTCAACAGGGAATTTATGGAGAAATCTTTATTCACAGGATTCCCTAAATGACATTCTTGAGAGTTAACTACAGGTCATTATAAAATTATAGTTGTCACCATTAATTCTCTAGCAATCTCGTAGCTACTTTCTTTTTACTTGCATGAAGTCTCTCACGGTTTTCCTGCATAGACACTTGAATCATAGCCTGCCTGAATTCTACAGACTGACATCTGGGAACCATTTTACAATTTTCTCCTTTAGCTCATTCTGGGAGATTTTCTTTGAGGTGCTGAGAGAGCCGTGTCTCAGGAATTACTCTGTTTGTTCTTCGAATAGTGCTCTCACTTCAGGAGAAAGGGATGGGGGAGATATCTCTGTTTCACCATTATTTATCATGTTTATGTTTTTAAAAGCCTTATTATACCAGGAATGTAGTTGATATCCAATAGTTGTGACTGATCAAATACAAAAAATGTTACTTCATCACTGTGGTGTGCACCAGTGATAAACATGATTGCAGTTTACTTTCTCTGTAATATCAATGAGTAATCTGTAACTTACTGTGGGTATGTATGCCATAGGCCAGGCTGCTGCAGTGCTGGTTCTCCTGTTTTTAATTTTTTTAAGATGTCTCTGATTTAGTTTTGTGTCACACGTACCTGTACCTATATGCATGGAATTGGCAGTGTTGTGAAATTTAATGTTTGTCTAAGGCCCCAATAATATATAGTTACAAATAACACAAAGTCAAATATTACCCCTATATAGAAAATTAAAATGTCTAACCAGATTGTACTTGTTCTTATTTAACTGAATGGAAAGAAAAAATACCTTTCCCATTCATCCTTTCACTATTAAAACCATTTTTCACCAATGGGATCTAATTTCCTAACATACTTTACCATTATCTCACAATAAATGGATCCCCCCCAAAGAAGAAAATATTTCTTAAGGCTTCTGGCTCTGGCTCTCCTGCTTCTTTTTAAATCTACAACAATCCAACAAGTACCTCCATAAGATTGTCTTGACATTTTGAAGACCAGGGAGAGGAACATTTGAAAACTCTGATCTTTATTGTATTCTTTTGTTGGGGCACACACTTTTTCACTCCAGGCTAAGATATCCCCTCTGGCCTCCTTTAGCATTATATGAGGTTCCTCTGTTTTAGCATTGTTCAGTGATGCATTAATTTCCTATTGCTGCTGTAACGAATCACCACACATTAGCAGCTTGACACAGAAATTTATTATTTCATAGTTGTGTAGGATGGAGGTCCTACACTAATCTCAATGGGCTAAAATCTAGGTGTCAGCAGGACTGTGTTCCATTCTGGAGGTGCTAGGAAAAAATCTGTTTCCTTGTTTTTTTCAGCTTCTAGAGGTCTGTATTAGTCCGTTTTCACACTGCTATACAGATGTTACCTGAGACTGGGTAATTTACAAACAAAAGAGGTTTAATTAACGTACAGTTCTGCATGGCTGGGGAGGCCTCAGGGAATTTACAGTCATAGTGAAGGCGATGGGGAAGCAAGTACCTTCTTCACAAGGCGGCAGGAAAAAAGAGCGAGAAGGGAAAAGCACCAGACACTTATCAAACAACCAGATCTCGTCAGAACTCACTCACTAACGAGAGAACAGTATGAGGGAAGTGGGCTCCCATGATCCAATCACTTCTCACCAGGTCCCTCCCTCCACACAGGGGGATTACAATTCAAATTACAATTGGAGAGGAGATTTGGGTGGGAACACAAGGCCTAACCATATCAAGGTCATTCTGATTCTTTGGATTCAGGCGCCTTTCCTCCATCTTTGCATCTCTGCATGCCTTTTTCGGTCACGTCTTCCTCTGACGGTTATCTGTGGCCTCCTTCCCCCGCCTTAAGGCCCTTGTGATTACACTGGACCCATATGGATAATCCTGGCTATTCTCTCTATTTTAAGGTCAGTTTATTAGCAAACTTAATACTATTTACAATCTTATTTCCTCTTGTGCATATAACCTCATATATTCACAACTTCCAGATATTAGTACATAGATGTCTGTGGCCAGCCTTTAGTTTGCCAACCATAGTTGGGTATTGTAATTAAATATTTACTTGTGTGTACCTTCTGTGAGTACATGAAATCTTTCGAAGCAGATAAGGGTTCTCACCCTCTTATCCCAGCCCCAAGCACGGTCCCTGGTACATAGTATTTGTCAGTGAATAGCTGTTGAGTAACATGAAGTGTTATAAGGAAGAAGAAAAAAGGTATAAATATGTAAAGAGAAGCATAAGACTTGTCAATGGAAGTGTTAAACATATGTAATCTTGTAGTAAGGGTGGCATTATTCTAGTTTCATTTTAACTTTTTTTTAAATTTTAGATTTATAAAATTGATGCGTGTAAATTAAATGTTACAAACTCTGGGAAGTATTCTATAATATATCATTTCAGAAAGAAAATCAATATAGGCTTAGCTTATTATAACTACTAAATAGGTAATCCAACAAAAGCAATTTCTTAACCTTTAAAGAAGAGAAAAAGTGACTATGGAAATAGATTTTACATTTAGAAGTTACTTGCTGTGGCCTTTAAGGTTCTTCTCCTTTTTCATTCTGCCAGGTTAAGCAATCTTACCCCATAGATCTCAGGGAACAGGCAAAGATTTCTGCATGTTTATATGGAGGTTTCAAAACTTATGAGCTAGGGAAATGAAAATGGTGACTCTAGCTCTCAGAATAATTAAATATTGAGTTTGTCAAATGTATGACTACCCTAGAACATTCAAAGAGGAAAGATTAAAAAAGAAAAATCTCTGGGAATATTTAAACAATACAAACCTGGCTACTCTCAAAATTACTTACCCAAAAAAGGAGAAATTTAAACTTTGCTGACCCTGCAATAGTAATCTTTATGAAGTCCACAAAATTTAACATGTTTTTCATTTTAAATGGAGGAGTCAGTTATATTTGGACACCCAAAATAACTTTCAGCAGGTACTGTCTTCTGGGTTAGACCCTGTTTGCACATGACAAGAAGGATGGAGAATGTGGCTCTAGAGAGAGGCTGCCTGTGATCTACTTTTTTTATTTGTTTTTGAAACAGGGTCTCACTCTATTGCCCAGGTTGGAGTGCAGGGTGTCACTGCCACCTCTGCATCCCTGGCTCGGGTGATCCGCCTGCCTCAGCCTCCCGAGTAGCTGGGACTACAGGTGCACACCACCGTGCCTGGCTCCTTTTCTTTGTATTTTTTATAGAAGCAGGGTTTCGCCATGTTGCCCAGGCTTGTCTCAAACTCCTGGGCTCAAGTGATCCACCAGCCTCGGCCTCCCAATGTGCTGGGACTACAGGCATGAGCCACCACAACTGGCCCTGTGATCTACTTTTAATACAGCTATTTTTGATTTGTGTGACCTTGGGTAAGCTTATTTTCATTCCTTTGTCTCAATTTTTTAATCTGCAAACGAAGGTAATAGCACCTTCCTGATAGGGTTATTCTGAGGATTAAATGTGCAAAGACATGAAAGCATAGAAGAGTGCTCCAATTAAGCCATACAATGTGTTATCTGGTTAGACTAGCTAGTAGTCAAGGAACAGCTATGAATGTGTCAGCTCTGTACCCTGCAGCAAACTATTGCCATAACTAAATGCTATAGTTTAGCCTGCTTGCTAACACTCCATAATGCAAAATATTGCACAGTAGAATCACTCAATCACTTACTTTCTTTATGTAAAGGAGTGTAACAGTATAGCCCTTTATTTGCCCTAAAACATTACTTTTTCTGACCTAATGGGTTTATATCTAATAGTTCTGTGCACGTACAGACTAAACTCACTAATGCCAAATATGAATCTAGGCCAGGTGCGGTGGCTCATGCCTGTAATCTCAGCACTTTGGGAGGCAAGGTGGGTGGATCACTTGAGGTCAGGAGTTCGAGACCAGCCTAGTCAACATGGTGAAACTCTGTGTCTAAAAAATACAAAAATTAGCTGGGCATGGTGGCGCACCTGTAATCCCAGCTACTTGGGAGGCTGAAGCAGGAGAATCGCTTGAACCCAGAAGGCGGAGGTTGCAGTCAGCCAAGATTGCACCACCGCACTCCAGCCTGGGTGACAGAGTAAGTGAGACTCCCTCTCAAAAAAAAAAAAAAAAATATATATATATATATATATATATATGTACACACTTATATGTATGAATCTAAATTAAAATTCAATATGCTTGCCTTATTAAAAACATTCCTTAAATTTAAAATGGATGCAAAATGACTTGTTATTTATATAACATGTGAAATGACACCTGGGTAGAAGCTCTCAATGCAACTTCTTCCCTCTTCTCAATAAAAGCCTATAAAGTCAGAAATGCAAAATTAAAATCTGTAATACTGAAAACAAAAACTAGCCAAATGACAATCTCCAGATAACCTGAGGTAGATGAAATTAGCTAGGGAAATATTATTAGTTTTCCTTCTTGGCACACCTAGGAAAAAGGAGAAAATGAATAATAGGTACTTTGAATAAACGTGTGTGTAAATATTTCATGTGCATATTTACTGCACAGTGTATAAATAATACAATAAAAGAGATGTATACAAGAGGTGGCTTTGTGAGAGCATTTCAAAAAGCCAATACAATTGATTTTGCTCAATTCCAAATAACATTTGAAAAATTCAGAATTGCATTTGTCATCTATAGTTTTTCATCTGTGATTTTTTAGTTGCACATTTTAAATACAGATGCTCCTCAATTTGACATTAATTTACATCCCAATAAACCTATTGTTACATTGAAAATATCGTAATTTGAAAGGCATTTGATACGCTTAACTTACCAAACTTCATAGCTTAGCCTAGCCTACCTTAAACGTGCTCAGAACACATACATTAGTTGGGAAAAATCATCTAACACAAAACCTATATTTTACAATAAAGTATTGAGTATTGTATATAAAGGGTGTTTTGTAGACATGATAGGATGCGAAAACACAAAACACAATATCCAAAAAACGGTGGCAACACAGAATGCTGTAGAGTATCAGTTATTCACCCCTTGATTGCATGGCTGACTAGGATCTTGGGCTCAGTTCTGCTGCCCATCCCAGAAAAATATCAAAATTTAAAATTCAGGGTATGATTTCTACTGAATGAGCATCATTTTCAAACATAATAAAGTAAAAAAAAATTCTTAATTTGGAGACTGTCTTTAGTTAGTGCCAACTATTCAGTGGTACTTAAATGTTTAACAACAAGCTCTCCAAAAATAAATAAATAGGCTTTGTAGGGCATGTTGATTTCTGTACTAGTGAGTCAAGTAAATATTGTTGCTTTGAGCCGGTAAGTTTTGGGATGGGCTTGATGTAGAGCTCCGGTAACCAGAACATTTTTTTATCTCCCTAGTAGTCTAAATGGTCAACACAGGCTGCTTTCTTATTCATATTTGTGACCCCAGAACTTTGCACAGTGCTTGTCACAGTGTAGGTATTTAATTAATGTTTCTTGATGTAATAGCAAGGAGAGACAACGTTCTCTTAATTTACAAAAGTAAATGAAGAGTTTTATAATCCTATCTAAGAATTCCAAGATACTTCAACTAAAAATGTGACACACCTCAGGAATCAATAGTAGGAATATATAGACTAAAAGCACATAGGAAGAAATCAATATAGAAAAGTATTTCAGAACCAGCTTTCTTAATCATTATGTCATTATTGTGATTTACCAAAATTATACACTTAGAATTACTAACATCCAAATGATATGGGGATATAAAATAAATCTGTTCTTGCTTTTTGTCTTTCATGGCTGAGAAAGAAATTGATATAGCATTCCTTTGAGGCTCAGAATTTTTTTGTTTCTTGATGTTTGAATGTAATTTTTGGATTCAATAAAACAAATTTTTAATTGGTAAATTAGGGTGAAAAGTACGTATCCATTTTCGATTTTTATAGACATTGCCAGATTTTCCTCCAGAGGATTTTTACACATATGCCCTCCTACCAGCAATGAAACAATAGATTGTATCACCAAGTTTGCAATGTTTGCCAGTCTGTTAAACAAAAAATGGTGTTTCTGAGAAGATGTAATTTTCATCTATCTTATTGGGAATAAAGTTGAATATATTTTCATACGCATTTTTTTCCTGAGCTGTATGTTCATATACTCTGTCAATTTTTTTATTGGTATTTTGAAATTAATTTTTTGTGCTGTTTAGCATTTTGTGATATTAGATGTAGTTTCTCCTCCACCAAGTTATCACTGTATTTCTGCTCTGATGACAGTGATTTTGCCATACAGAAGTATGTTCTTTTTAATGCAGTCAAGCTTACCAATTTTAAATGAACTCTAGATTATCAGTCATGGTTAGAAACACTTTACACAAACCGAATCATAAAATAATTGTTCCTTATTTTGATTTATTGTTCCATTTGGAATTTATTCTGGTATAGACCATGAGGTGCTATCTTCTACTGGTTCTATATCTACCCTTATCTCTTCTACTCTCTTCTCAAATCTAGGAAGCGAACTTGTGGGGGAATATCACTTGCCTTCTGGTTTCTAGTTGTATTTGGCCAATTGAGATGAGTGGCAGGAGTTCAGAGGGAGAGGAGGAGGACTGTCTTGTTGTGGGGTCCCTGTGGCCTGGCTGCGTTTTTCAACCTAAGGTCACAGCTGTTGTCTGATGTCCCTTTTCACACATCCCTCTCTGTCTCTTGGTGTTAGCACTCTCTCCCCTTCAGGCCTATGTATGGTAAGAGGATCCTTCTGCTACTGTCTCAGTATGATTTTTCCCACAATATCTCTAAACCTTTATAAATAGTCCCTTTATTAAATTCCTCATATTACTGAATCTGAGTGTGCTATCAGTCCTTCTGTAACCATGTCAGATAGTGGACCCAATAGTATTTTCTTTCCAGATGGTTACTTAATTGTCCCATTAGACTTTATAAAATAGTCCATCTTCCTTCACTAATTTGAAATACTAAATTTTGTCATATATGACGTTTTTGTGTGAATTTGCATCTACTTCTGGAATTTCTATTTTGTCCCATTGATATTTTTATCTCTGTGTGCCAGTACCAGACTATTACTACTATTTATATGTTGCAGTGTGTTTTAATATCTAGTAGAAGTGGAGCATCTTCATTGCTCTTTGTGTTCAGGCTAAGATTTTTTTGTATGCCTATATGAAATGTAGGATCAGACTGTTTGTACATCCACTACCATAAAAAGAAAGGAAGACTACACCAAGAAAGGAAGGAAGGAAAGAAAAATAAAGACAGACAGACAAGAAGAAAAAAAGAAAGAAAGAAATCAGAAAAAAGAAGCCTGTTAGTGTTTTTATTGGGATTGTGTTGAATTCTTTAAGCTTCTACTTAAATGTATATATTTTTGCTTATTAGTCTCACCTCTATGAATGTATCCTATAACTTCATTCTCATACATGCAAGCAAATATGGAATAACCAAAATTGTGCAAAATAAAAATGATAAAATTTATAGAATATTACTCATTTGTAAAATTTGAGGTACTTGTCTCCGTAATAATATGTAAATATTTTGAAACATTCACTATTAAGTAAAAGGCAGAGTTCAGAGCACTGTGAATAAAATACTATCAAGAATACATACATATTTGTACTTACTTATAGATGAATAAAGAATATCTGGAAGGATATATACAATACTAATAGATGTGTGACAGGAATGAAGAAAACTGAGTCAAGGAAAGACTGGGATGTGAAGAACATTTTTCTCTAAACTTTCCATTTGTATTTTTGACTTAAACCATATGTGTATATTAATTTAATTAAATTTAATTAATTTAATTTAAATAACTATTTTAAAAATGTGTATTTACTTGTTTCCTACTTATAAAACATGACCTCCTGCCAAATTTGTGCCTAATATTTAGAAGAAATAGTACAAGTAAAGTTTGTGAAACAAAAACATTGTCCAACTTTTTATAACATGCGTCTGTTAAGTTCCAAATGTGGGTTAAGGCATGGGCCTTAGGTATCTTCTCACTGATTTCTCTGTCAAAGTAACTCATCAAATCTCTTTCACCAGCCAGCTCTGATACGGGTGTCCTGATTTACTGAAACCCAACTCATTTTTCTGCCTTACAATGTGCTGGGCATTCATTTTATTTCTATTACCTCAGGGCCCCTGATGACAAGTTATTCCTGTTTTGGTTGCAGATGTATGAAATCCGTATAACTGCTTTTTGACCCCTGGCTTCTCTTCCTAGAACTGGTTCAGTTTTAACTCAATGGGAAGTTGTATATGTTGCTCAGACTTGCCATCTTTAACAAAGCCTTTGTACCCAGCATGCGCTCTTCAAGCACCTTCTGGAATCCACTGCACATCTTCTGCCACTTTCCTGAACTGTCATTTGGTGAAAACCTTTGGGTGTCAAATTCATCTCTTAGTTTATGGCAAAAATTTATGCCAACAAAGATTCAAGAAAACTGCACTTCAACTTTTTGAAATTATATTGGAACCAGGGGCAACTTGCAAAAATTTTGTAAAATTTCTAAAAAATAAAAATATATAAATGTTAAGTTAAAATTTAGGAGTAATTTAAGAAAATACAATTGCCGTGACCTACTGATGTGAATCCTCGCATCCTTGGGCTCCTGCTCCTTTCCTGGTCTTCGTTTATATAATCCATTTCATCCTATTTACCTTTTATTCCCTTCAGGAAACTTTTTTTTAATTTTAATTTTTTGTTTTATTGGCTTCTTAACTTTTAAAATTGTTTTTAAATTTTTATTTCAATAGCTTTTGGGGTACCAGTGGTTTTTGTTGCACAGATGAATTACATGGTACTCAATTACCTATCTACTTTTTTGTCGTTTCCCACCACCCTAGTCCAGGCTTTTCAAGCCAGAATTATAATATCATTTGGTCAGGACTTAAAGGCCTCAGTGTTCCATTTCTTCCTACTCATAGCTGAAAAATTAATCATTATGTTATACTATTTATTCATATTATTCTTGTATTCAAAAATCTTCTAGGGTTCTCCTGTTGTTTACAAGATAAAGTCTAAAGTCCTCAGTGATTTTATGATGCCTGTGCTATGGAATCTTTAAATCTCATTTCCCACCAGTCCTCCACTCCATTAGGTTTAGTTTTCTCCCTGGTATCCTATATATGTCTAACTTGTATTATGTCTTGTTTTCCTCTTCTTTCCATGTATTTGCATTTTCATTTTTAAATGAGACTCAAGTAGTTCATTGAAACTGCAACTTTTAACTCTATTTTATTAACATTTTTAGTAGACACTATTGATGCCTCCTCATATCTCCTTTGCATTTATCATTCCAGTAGATGCTTACTGCATTCCAGTTCAAGCACTTTTGACTCTACTGGAAGCCTATCAGTCCAGGTAGGCCAGGAAGGAAGTCCTGGGAAGTGGTGAATATTCCCAGCACCCTTAGCCAATGGTGGATGGAAGTTGAAGGATAAATACTCCATCTTTCTTATCTCTCTGAAAAAATAATTCAGTTATATTTTAGCATCTTTCTCAGTTCCCCAGTTGTTCACAGTGGTAACCTGCCATGGGAACCTATTAGATAACATACCCCTTATTGGCTTCCCTCTTTTCTTCACCTTATTTCTCTACCTCCTTACCAGTGCCTTTGTGATCATCTCCCAAAGAAATAATTGCACTTAAATCCTTGTCTGTCTTAGGGGAATCTAACTTATAGCCCATTTAAGCTTAGCGTTCCATTATTGGAACACTAAGCATGTGGGAGTTATTTATATCCTGCTGCTCAAGGTCATTGGCAAGGTCTGATTGCAAAAATTCAAAAAATTGCAACCTCAGGCATAAATGGGTTAAGACAACACTGCAGCATAGAAAGATCATCTTTTCTTCTAGACTGCTGCATCATTCACTCTTTGTATCAATCATTTAATATATAATTATTCTTTTCATGAACAATATTTATCAACTGTGTGTCTGGAACTGTTCTAGATACTAGGGATACTATGGTGAGCAAGACTGGGAAAAATACCTTCTTTATGTTTCTAGTGATGGGATCTGATAAAACAACATCATCATATATAAGCATATTGTATCATGTGCTGCCGGGTATTGAGATGGTTTGTTACACACTGATTAAAGCACTGTATGGCCGAGTAAATAGAAGTCTATCTGTAGTCTCCCTTATTGACAGCCAATGTCCTATATTATGTTTTCCTCAACTTGAGTAGCCCCTTTCAATCCATTTGGTTTGGTTAGTCTGCTGTGCTCCTTTTTATTTTTCTTTTTTGACAACTAAAATCTTATTTTTTTGTTTCTCAAGAGAGCTTTTAATTCAAGTCAGGTTGATAAGGCTGGTGCCCTAGGCCTAACTGGCTCTATTGTTTGAACAATTCTAAAACATACTGAAAAGATAAAACCATACACCAGTAGAATTCTAATCTCTTAATTGGAGGATAAACTGTCAGGAATAAATCTCAAAGGGGACTACGTAATAATGAACCCTTGTAGAGCTGATTGAATTAATGCTCTCATTTTCTGGAACACCTGAAGCCTTTTGCTGATAGTTGTATACCCTGTTGTTACTTATATTTTAGATGGCCATCTGTCCAACTAGAGTTTTAGTTTAAAGGATTACGTAGTATCTTTATACTTTACTTTCCCACCACAATATCTGACACAGTCTTTCTTAAATAGGTCTTATGTATGTACTCATTAAATATTTTAGAAAGAATGAGTAGGTGAATATATGAAAATATGAATTCTATAGTTGAATTACATTAGGAAATTTTAATTGATAGATAGTATTCAATCTAATTTATGTTTATAGAGAGACATAATGCCTAATATAGCTCTTTAAAATGTATATTGTTTATTTGCTTATTTCAATCTCACCTACATTCAAATGACTTAGATATGGAATACACAGTTTTTAATTATGTTAAATTCAATAAGAGAATAAAAAAGAATAGATAAGCCTTAGAGAAACATGAAGAGTTTATGCCAATAGATTTCTCATATGACCTCATTTCTACTGCTGGGCACACAATTTGGCTTAGTTTTCTGGCAGCTAAGGCAAAAAAGGAATCACACTGAGCTAAGTAATATTCATATTTGATATAAGAGACATACAAATTCCTCTGCAGGGGCAAATTATTTCTTGGATATAAATTTAGTGAGACATATATTATGTAGATCTACATTTAAGGGAGCAGCCTGTACAGTTCATAATGTCTTCATTTTTGTTTGTACCAAAGTGGGGAACCACTGTTCAAATAACAATATATATTTTTGCCTATTTAAAAGTTGAGTACAGAGTATTGAATTACAGGGCATAGCAAATAGTCAAGTCATTCCTGTGGGGCCTTGAATAATACGGCTGTTCATGTAACTCGTGTCTAAATTATTACAGAGATAGAATCTACCAAATCCAGATGAATAATACCATCTTATGAAACTGTGATTCTCATATATCCATATTTTAAGATAGTCTTTAACAAGTGCCCTTCACAACTTTAGTCATCACATGTGACAGGGAATAGCTGTCATTCTCCTACAATGCTAAAACCTGAATTTATATTCTTACTTGAACAAAGAGCCAACTCACTCATCATGGATGTGGGTAGCAGGCATGTCTACAGAGTCAATTTTCCTCTACAAAATAACTTGGTGTATTCTTACTGACTCTCAAGAGCTCTGAGTCATAACATGCAAGAAAGAATACGGGTTAGAAACATGTTAATTATATCATTGACTGATTTCATCATTCCAAGAACTTAAGGGTGGTCCCTACAGAACAATCTGATTTTCAAAAGAACTGTCTTTATACACAGATCTGCCGATTTTCTAGCTGGCAGATACTAATATTGTACATTTGGGTTGTTGACATTAATTTTCACCTTTGCTCACTTAATCCTATGCTGGTTAAAAATTTTTCTCCCTTATTTTCCATTTCATTTTTTTTGTCTAGAAATATCTGACCAATAAAATAAATCTAATCAATGTGACAATTCAATCATTCATTCATCATTTACTGAGCTTCCAGTTTGTAGTGCTGAGCATATAGCAGTGAACCAGACAGCCCAGTTGTGCTCATGTAGCTAAAACCAAGTGGGGAAAATACACACTGAACAGCAACCACACTTCCGTTTCCAGCAATATACCTCAGATGCCCAGAGAAATCATCTTCATATGCAACCTAAAATTTAGGAATAAAATATTTTAAAGAATGTAGACCTTTGGTGTGGTCTATTGGATAAAGAAAATGTGGTACATATATACCATTGAATATTATGCAACCATAAAAATGAATAAGACCATGTCTTTTGCAGGAACATGGATGGAGCTGGAGGCCATTATCCTTAGCAAACTAACACAGTAACAGAAAATCAAATACCACAGGTTCTAACTTATAAGTGGGAGCTACATGATAAAAACTTATGAAAACAAAGAAGGAAACAACAGACACTGGGGTCTACTACTTGAGGGTGGAAGGTGGGAGGAGGGAGAGGAGCAGAAAAGATAACTATTAGGCCCTGGGATTAATACATGAGCAATGAAAAAATCTGTACAACAAACCTCTGTGACACGTGTTTACCTGTGTGTATTAGTCTGTTTTCATGCTGCTGAATGATAAAGACATAGCTGAGACTGGGCAATATACAAAAGAAAGAGGTTTTTTGGACTTACAATTCCACGTGGCTGGGGAAGCCTCACAGTCATGGTGGAAGGTGAAAGGCACATCTCACATGGCATCCAACAAGAGAAGAGAGCTTGTGGAGAGAAACTCCTCTTTTTATATAACCATCGAATCTTGTGAGACTTACTCACTATCATGAGAACAGCACGGAAAAGACCTGCCCCCATGATTCAATCATCTCCCACCAGGTCCCTCCCACAACACGTGGGAATTATGGGAGCTGCAAGAGGAGATTTGAGTGGGGACAGAGAGTTAAGCCATATTATTCTGCCCTGGCAGCTCTCAAATTTCACATCTTCACATTTCAAAACCGATCACCCCTTTCCAACAGTCCCCCAAAGTCTCAACTCATTTCAGCATTAACTCAAAAGTCCACAGTCCAAAGTCTCATCCAAGGCAAGTTTCTTCCACTATGAGCCTGTAAAATCAAAAACAAGTTAGTTACTCCCTAGATATGATGGGGTACAGGCTGTTGGTAAATATAGCCATTCCAAATGGGAGACATTGGCCAAAATAAAAGGGTTACGGGTCCCGTACAAGTCCGAAATCCAGTGGAGCAGTCAAATCTTAAAGCTCCCAAATGATTTCCTTTGACTCAATGTCTCGCATCCAGGTCACACTGATGCAAGAGGTGGGTTCCCATGGTCTTGGGCAGCTCTGCCCCTGTGGCTTTGAAGGGTACAGCCTCTCTCCTGGATGCCTTCATGGGCTGGCGTTGAGTGCCTGTGGCTTTTCTGGGCACATAATGCAAGCTGCCAGTGTATCTACCATTCTGGGATCTGGAGGATGGTGGCCTTCTTCTTACAGCTTCACTAGGCAATGCCCCAGTAGGGACTCTGTGTGGGGGCTCCAACCCCACATTTCCCTTCCACATTGCCCTAGCAGAGGTTCTTTGTGAGAGCCCTGCCCCTGTGGCAAACTTCTTTCTGGACATAGGCATTTCCATACATCCTCTAAAATCTAGGTGGAGGTTCCCAAACCTTAATTCTTGACTTCTGTGCATCTGCAGGCTCAACACCACGTGTAAGCTGCCAAGGCTTAGAGCTTGCACCGCTGAAGCCATGGCCGGAGCTCTACATTGGCCCCTTTCAGCCAAGGCTGGAATAACTGGGGCACAGGAAACCAATTCCCTAGGCTACACACAGCACAGGGACCCTCTGCCCAGCCCATGAAATCACTTTTTCCTCCTAGGGCCTCTGGGTCTGTGATGGGAGGAGTTGCTGTGAAGACCTCTCACATGCCCTGGAGACATTTTCCCCATTGTCTTGTGGATTAGCATACTGCTCCTTCTTACTTATGCAAATTTCTGCAGCTGGCTTGAATTGAAAATGAAAAGAAAATGGGATTTTCTTTTCTATGGCATTGTCAGGCTGCAAATTTTCTGAACTTTTATGCTTCAATTTCCTTACAAAAATGAATGCCTGTAACAGCACCCAAGTCACCTCTTGAATGCTTTGCTGCTTAGAAATTTCTTCCACCAGATACTCCAAATCATCTCTCTCAAGTTCAAAGTTCTGCAAATCTCTCGGGCAAGGGCAAAATGTTGCCAGTCTCTTTGCAAAAACATAACAAGAGTCATCTTTGCTCCAGTTCCCAACAAGTTCCTCATCTCCATCTGAGACAACCTCAGCCTGGATTTCATTGTCCATATCATTATCAGCATTTTGGTCAAAGCCATTCAACAAATCTCTGGGAAATTCCAAACTTTCCCACATTATTCTGTCTTATTCTGAGCCCTCCAAACTGTTCCAACCTCTGCCTGTTACCCAGTTCCAAAGTTGCCTCCACACTTTTGGGTATCTTTTCAGCAGTGCCCCACTCTACTGTTACCAATTTACTGTATTAGTTCATTTTTACACTGCTGATAAAGACATACCCAAGACTGGGCAATATACAAAAGAAAGAGGTTTATTGGACTTACATTTCCACATGGCTAGGGAAGCCTCACAATAATGGTGGAAGGTGAAAAGCATGTCTCACATGGTGGCAGACTAGAGAAGACAGCATGTGCAGGGCAACTCCTGTTTTTATATAACCAGTGAATTTTGTGAGACTTATTCACTATCACAAGAACACCATGGAAAAGACCTGCCCCCCATGATTCAATCATCTCCCACCAGATTCCTCTCACGTGGGAATTATGGGAGCTACAAGTTGAGATTTGGGTGGGGACACAGGGTCAAACCATATCACTATGCAATGAACCTTCACAGGTACCCCAAAAACTAAAATAAAAGCAAAAAAAAAAAAAAAAAAAAAAAAAAAAGAATGTAGACCAGAGGCCAGCAGGAGATTTACCCCAAAGCTAATAGAAGTTTAAGTTTTAGGGCTCCTTCCAAAGTCCCAGCAAGTTTGCATTTATTATTTTGTATGCTTTTTCTTAAAGAGTCTCCCCCAAACTATTTAAGATTCAGGTCCTGCAAAGTGATTCTTGCCTTCATAAATTCATAGATGAATAAATAAGAAAGTAAGACAAAAACCTCAGAGATAATACTTAAGGATAAGCTGTGAATCCAGAAAAGTAAGGTATTATTGAAATAGAATTCATTTTGGTAACATCTATCCATCCTCTGTAGCCTGGGTGGGAAAAGAAACACAGGCAGGTGTTAGACAGGGAAAGCCCTTCATAAAGCCAGGATTCCAAAAGATGACAAACCTTCGTTGGGTGAACTAGAAACAAAGAACATATCACATAAAGGTGCAATGACTATAGTTGCCTGCCATGGATTTTTTTCTGGTGGAATGTGAAAAACTATTCCTTAAGAATTTCTAACTACAAGCCTGACATCAGGAGAATATGGGGCCTGAAATTCTCTTTCTGTAGCCTCCAAAATTCCATGCTTGCAATGTAGTTAAAATGGGTACTACAATCTGCTTATACAATCAACCTAAATCCTCAAGTTCATTAGAGCATTTTGTATATTAGAGTTACTGTTGGCAATGGTTTTGCTCATTGTTTTGCTACTGTAGAATACAGGTTACCATGGTTTTTTTTTTTTTAGTCTTTAGCATTGGTTTCCTTTTGATCTTTTTTGCTACCACGAAGGCCTTTGC
This sequence comes from Homo sapiens, assembly GCF_000001405.40. NCBI lineage: Eukaryota > Metazoa > Chordata > Mammalia > Primates > Hominidae > Homo > Homo sapiens. The sequence goes on along the minus strand of NC_000012.12, from coordinate 82,145,052 downwards.
AGCCTTTGCCCATGGCTGAGTCTCAAAACTATCACGTTCTAAATTTTCCCGATTTCCAGTACCTAATTTTTTTATCAGTAATCTTTGCTTCATACAAATAACTTCAAATTGTTGTGGCTTTATATTGTAATTTATTATTTTTGATGATTCTGTGGTTCAGCTGGATGGTTCTTTTCCTAGTTTCTTGTGGGTTCACTCACATAGGTGCATTCATCTGAGGATTAATTCAAGGCTGGTCCTCTCTCTGCATGATAGAGGCAATATTCCAAGAGAGAAAGTTCCACACATAAGCACTTAGTAAGCCTCTGTTTGTGTCACGTTTGCTGATATTCTATTGGCTAGAGCAAGTCATGTGGCCCAGCCCAGAGTCAATGGGGGAGGGGACCTTATGAATTTGGAAAGTGTTACTCATTGAGGGTGGCTGATGTAACAATCTATCCCAATGAGTTGCAGCTTTTATATGGATATATAGACAAATAGTTTCAACTTTTCAAAACTATTCCTAGTCAGGGGAGGTAAGGCTAATGAAAATAATTTAATGAATAATTGGATCCATTATATGTGATAAATGATAAACGTTTTGGTAGAAATTAATCTTTGGAGAATTTTATCAATAGTAAAGGAATGGTAGAATAATCTACAGTACCTGACTTCCCAAAACACAAACACTTGAATTTGCAAAACATCATTTTATAGTGAAACATGCAGAATTTTTTTTGGTCACTGGTGGCCATTTGAGCTCCATTCTGCTTAGCACGTTGCAAAACTGGAATGAGAAGCTTCTGTTATATTTCTCTGGCAGTGGCCATGCTTAGACAGTCTCCTCCATATGGAATTTATTTTGTCCCCCCAAAAATCTATGGTATCTCATTATAGTATGTTCTGACCTCAATGAGTCTTTGATGTTTTGAATTGTTTTTTCTCCTTTTTTCTTTTCTCTCTCTCTGTTTCCTTCCTTTTTTTCTTTTCTTTCTCTTTCTTCTTTTAACATGGTAGCCCACATTTACATATAAGAACATTGACTCTCAAGAATTTTGAATCACACTTGGAAGAAAGAATGTGGATTGGAAACATGTTGAATGTATGATTGACTGACATCATTGTTTCAAGAGCTTAAGGGTGTCCCCTGTAGAACAATCTGATTTTCAAAAGAACTGGCTCTGGACTCAAATCTGCCAACTTTCTAGTTCTTACTAAGATTCAACCCTTTTTCTGGAATAAATGCTTCTTAAATTATTGCAAGGCTTTGGTTAATTTCCAGAGTTCTGAAAAATCAGATTTTGACTCATTTTTTTCTTTTTCCAGTTTCCTCATCGTTTTAATAGAGGGGTGGATTTTGAAAATTTCTTCTGACATTCTGAAGAGCTTCTTCTGTGGTCATTTTTTTATGAAGTAATTAGAAACTGAGATACTTCTCCAGAATAAATTGTTGGCTTTTGGGATAGTGGAATGGAAGAATGGAAGAATCCATTACAGCAAGTGATTCCTGAGGATGCCAGAACCTCCCTTTTATGAAGCCTTCTTCTTCTTCCATCTGACTTTATCTCTACAAGGATAGAACAGATGAGCTAAACTGGTAGGCTTTTTTCCCTACGATTTAGTTTAATAAAATTACTTATACATTAGAATTGGATAGAACTAAGTTGATATTATAATCTCACTACTTATTAAGTATTCTTAAACAAATAGTTTAACATTCATTAATTTTAATTCTTTCATCTAAAACTTGGAGGCTGTCCTGGAAAATCATGAGATACAGTAAACACCGTAAAAATGTTAGCAATTTTAAATAATAATTAAATCTAAGAGCATGCTTTTCTTCAGTTAGAGTGGCAGATGTTTTGATGTCTTTCTTATAGAAGTTCAGCAAATATTTAAAATTACTACAGACAATCACTGTTTTTGGTTCAGAATGGGCATCATGACTTGATAAAGGATATACTTTCTGTAAATGGTGAATTTATTTATTAAAATGTTTTTAAGTGTCGAAACACCTGGTAATTAAATGGCCTTTGTTCTAAATAAATACAATTTAATAGAATTAGGACAATTGTGGACACTCCAGGATATAAAATATTTACTGACAAATATGGGTGGTGCTTCAGTGACCAAAAAAAAAAAAAAAAAAAAAGATTACAGAATCTACCTAGTATTTTCTCTGAGTCTGCTTAACTTTCTTACTTTAAACTGAACTTTAAAAAATAAAAATAAAAACCCAAAACAAAACATCTTTTTTGAACTTGCTAAAGAATAAAAAAATAAAAAAAACTTCCATTGGACGTCTCATATTATGCTTTATGTTTTAAAAACTAACAACTCAATATTTACTTAATTAAATATTTTTATACTTAAAAATATATAAACATAAAGAATGAAGAACAACACAAACGCACAGATACACACAATAGTTTTTTCTTTTCTGATACAAAAATATAATTTTATTATGTACATTTTCTTCATATTATCTCATGTTAGAGTACATAGTACTTTTGTACAATGATAATCCATCTGAGCAAGATGAAAATGATTATAGAAGCGAATGCATTTTTCTGGTATTGGATAATATTCTATGACATACATTTATGACAATGGTACACATTTGGCAATATTTAGAGACATTTTTAATTGTTATCACTGAAGAGAGTGGAGAGGCAGTGCTTCTGGCATCTAGTTGGTAGAGAACAAGGATGCTGCTAATAAACCTACAATGCTGAAGATGGGCTCCATTAACAAAGATATATCTGGTCCACAGTTGGACCAGATGTCAATAGTGTTGATCTTGAGAAATTCCAGTCTAATCATATATTTTATTCTCTTTTTTTCTTTTCAATTTTTTTGGTATCAAGCTGTAAGATATCCATTTCCTATTGTGGTTATGAAAGTTTTTTCAAACACTAGATTTGAAATACAATCTTAAATTGGCACTTAATATTTTTTATTCTTTTCATAGTTAAGTATTTAATCCATCTGGGCTTATTTTTATTTTTTATTTTTTTACTTTTTCAATCCTGTGATTTGTGGTGCCAAGGGAAAAAGCCAGTTGTGCGAACACCACTAATTAAATAACCTATCTTATTTCTCCCTGAATTACGACACTCTATGTGCATGTAAACGATATGTTTTGAGATCTCTATTTTGTTTCACTCATTTATTTGCATAATCTAATGCAAATACCAGATAGTTTTGATTATATTTATTTTAATATCTGATAAGGCATTATAATCATTTTGATACAGGTCAGGCTATTCATCTCTTATTACTGCTGTTTAATAATTCCTTTATTAAACAGCTTTAGCATTTATTTTCCATATGATCTTTAATATGATTTTCTCCAATTTAAAAATAATTATCATGCATTATGTTTTATTAATTTTAGCTTTCTTATTTATCCTTTTATTTTGCTTTTAATTTATCAAAATAAATATTGAGTTGCTTAAATTTAGATTTTCTTCTTAATAACAAGTGCTTTTTAGTCTATACATTTTTGCTTGAATATGACTTTGGTTACGCCCCACACATTTTAGTGATTTTTTACATTTCTTCCTCGCTCTATCTTTCTGTCTCTCTTGCTGTCTACGTGTATGTGTATATATATATATATATGTATGTGTATATATATATGTATATGTATATATATTTGTATGTTATCTATATATAACATATACACACAAACATAAAACATTTACATGAATATAAAATATACACATGTAAATATTTAAAAATATAGTAATATTAAAATGTTATGAACAGTCTATGATCAATTTTTTAAAATATGTATTTGTGCATTATATAATTTTTTTATTATTCAATTCTCTTACATGCTTGTATTTCGTCTAATTATCCCTGTGAAATACTCCAAATTTTGAAATATTGAAGTATGATTGCACTCATTAAACATAACACAGTACAGAATGTTGCACAAATAAAATATGTGTGGCTTGTTTAATAATCACACATGAATGCACCCATTTCCTATCACCCAATTCAAGAAATAAAACATTATCCGAATCCCAGAAGCCCATCTATTGCTCTTTCTCACTCAATAACTCCCTCCTTATCTTGAAATGAAATCATTATTCTGGCTTCTCAAATGATGAATTACTCCTGCCTGTCTTTGAAATGGATGCAATTGTAATTGTTAAACAGACAGTAATCTTGTACAAGAACAGAAAATATTGTATACAGTATAAAATATCTGTATGTAACTAGATAATATTTTAAGTATATTCATATAATATTATAAAACATACTTTATTGTTTTTAACTTCTTTTAAAATTTTGTTATACAATTTTTCTGTTAGTTTACCTTTATTGCTGTCTAGGATTCCATTGGACAAATTCACTAAAATTTATTCATTCTACTATCGTTGGATATTTGAGTTGTTTCCAGTTTGGGGCTCTTAAAAATAATATTTTAATGAACATACATATGTTATACATGTCATATCTCTTGATGCATATATGTATGAATTTCTTTTGGGTATATATTTAGTAGTGAAATATCAGCATCAGAGGACATGCCCATGTTAAACTTTAGCACATACAGCCAAATAGTTTTCCAATATGTTTGTACCAAAATACACCTTACCAGCAGAGTGTGAGAGCTCCTCTTGCTGTATAACTTTGCCAATACATGGTATTGTCAGTCTTTCCAATTTTACTCACACCAGCATTTGTGCAGTTGTATCTCATTTAGTTTGCCTTGCCCTGAAGACTAATTTTCTGTTTATTACGTATTGTATGTTGTATTTCTGAATTGTCTTACTTTTTACTGATTTGTAAAAGTTTTTTATACATTTTAGATACAAGCCTTTTGTCATTGATGTGACACATTTTTTTCATTGTTTGTGCTCCCCCCATTTAAAAAGTCTTTTCCAGCCCTATTTAAAAAATTCTTTTACTTTTATTCTAGAAAAGTTATTGTTTGTCCTTTCATAAGTACATTTCACTTAAAATTAATTTTTGTATATCTGACAAGTAGGGAAGGATTAAGTATTACCTTTTCATGGACATTCAATTGGACGGACACTATTCTACATATTTGATTTTTTAAAATATAATTTGTTTTTAGAGCAGTTTTCAGTTCAATAAAGTTGAGCAGAAAGAACATTGAATTATCATACAATCCTTACCCCCATACTTCTACAATCTCCCCCACTATTAATATATCTCACCAGAGTAGTACATTTGTTACAATCAGTGAATCTACATGGACACATCATTATCACTCAAAGTCCATAGCTCACATTAGGATTCAATCTCAATGTTGTACAGTCTATGGGCGTATTTGATTTTTGATGCTGATGTAAGTAGTATTATTAAAAATTATTTTGCAAAGTTTGATAATGGCACATAGATGTGATGATGGCACATAGAAACACAATGACTTTTTAAATGATTTTGTGTCCAGCATCTTGCTAAATTTACCTATACATTAAAAAAAAGTTCTGTAGACTCTTGTGGAATTTCTAAAAACACAACCATGTTATCTGCATGTTAGGTTATTTTTTCTTTTTTTTTTTTTTCATTCTTTACATCTTGCAATTACTTTTCTTACCTTAGTTCACTGGTTATATCTGATAGTACAATGTTGAATAGAAATTGTTATACGTTTTGTTTTTCCAAAAATTTTTTGTGACTTGAACTTTCATTTCCAAAAATTATTTTTGAGAGGAGTGTGTGTAGTGGGGAGGAGGGGGAACTAAGATGATACTTTCGTCCTCCAACAATTTGGTTTACTTAAGCATCAGTTTGTTTTGTCTGTCTGCATACAGTGCCACTTTTCAGTGTCAAGTAACTGGAAGGCTTTAAGCTTCACTGATACTTCAGAGGCACAGGGGTTGCTACCTTCATGGGTTAGTGGTTCACTGGTAAGCAATTTATTTGTTTCCTGTTTTTTCCCTAGTCTTCTCAAAAGGTGGTATACTTTCAGCTACAATAATAAAGAAAGAACTCAACTCGTCTATTTGACTTCTCCTAAGTTCTTCTGGAAACTAGCTTGCCCTTTGAGGAACAAACATTTCCATTACTAGGTGCAGTCCTCTTCAGGCCAGGCTCTCTTTACAGTCAACTGTTGGTTTTGATTCTCAGTTCAGTTCTCTTCTGCTCTTATCTTGCCTGTTGTTCATACCATCTTTCTTCTTCCAGTACCCATCAGCGCCCAAGGCCTTGCTCACCTTCTCCAGGCACTAGAACCTGCTGGGCTTGAGAGAGGTAAAGTAGAGAGATTACAGTTGATGGACAGAGCATTAAAATATTTTAACAGCCATCTTATCTTTCATTTAGAAAAAATTATGACTACTTTCAGTTTGCATAAACATATAGTGAATACTCTCTATTAAGTTGTCTACCTGGCTTATTTTATTTTTAGATATTCTGAAATAAAGCAGATTTTACGCATTGCAATAGGGGACAAAAACTATTTTAAATAATATCTTTTTTCAGAAAGTTAACTGCTGCAGTTCTTTGAAAGAAGATATTACAAGCAACTCATTAGAATGCTGAATAGAGGACTAATAATTATTTATAATGGAGGCCATGTTGAGATACTTCCTTGAATTTTTTCTGAAAGCAATGTTGGTAGAATTCTTATTAGGAATATGCTTTCTATGAGACTTTAATAGTAGTTCTATTTTTATCTGGGAAGAAATGAACCTTACAATACTAATTTTCTCAGTTAACAGGGTTCCTTCTCCTAAATAAGCCCAATTCTTTAATTTAGGATGGGTAGCAGCTTTCCTTAGTCTTTGTGGAAAAGTGCACTTACATTACAGATGGGAAGAAAAATTAAAGTAAGATATGATTTTAACCTTTCTTTAGGAATTGAGGAAATCTATTCTTAATTTTCTTCAGTACCTAATTTTGGATGTTGTTTTTGCAAAATCAAGGCTTTTTAAATTACTCATCAGGTTTTTTCTAGGATCTGTAACTTCGTGGAAAAGAACACAGATTTTTAAAAATGCACTAGAAAACATAAACAAGGGATATATTTTCATAGATTTAGTAAGAACTTCATTATATGCCTACTCTGTGCTAGGCACAGGTCTAATAACAAGAAAATCTGCAGTGGGCAAGACACATGAAGTACCAGCCTTCAGTCAGCTTAAATTTGCATTTATGGAAAAGATAATGAATAAATGTTAATGATGCTAATACATGTATAGCAAGAGTAAAGATATATATATTTATGTATGTATTTTTTTAAAGGAAATGATTGATTTGAATTTGAAATTTGTTATACTTACATGAAGTATTCACTCATAATTTTATCTCTTCTTTATATGTGATGATTGTGTATTTTCTTTGTTATTCTTGTACTTGTCTACTTTTTCTCTCTCTAATTTTTAAAGAATTGATCGATTTCTTTGTCTATATTACTGCATTTCTCAAAAACATATAGTATGAGTTGGTGGAAGTTGTCTCCCTGGTTAGGAGAAGAAGTTTATTATTAAGTTGTATATAATTGTCAGAACACAGTTTTAATAATAAAAAAAGAACAACTTTTAAAACATTTTCTTGCTATTTTAAAATTCTTTATAAGCAAAGCACCCCTTATTGCCTATACCTGGGAAAGATTGCTCCCCTAGCACCCACCCTCTACTTTGGTGCAAGACATGTAGAAATTAGTTAAATAAGGAGTGTGGTGGTGATGGTGGGCTGAGAGAGACTGCTCAAAGTGAGGGAACAGCGTATGTGAAGGGGTAGGAGATAGCCTGGCCTTCTCAAAGACATGAAACAAATCCAATATTGTTAGAACTTAGAAAGCAAAGGAAGCAGGAGTGGGGTGTGTTGTGGATCATGTATGAGTTGATGCTTGGCAGTTGGAAAAAATCATGTCCTGTAGAGCCTTGTAACTCATTTTAAGAACTGTATTCTTTAAGCTAAACACAATAGAAAACTGTTAGAAAGTTCCAAGGAGAGACTTTTCATGCCCATATTGGCTGTATTAGTCCATTTGCATGCTGCTGATAACGACATACCTGAGACAGGGTGATTTATAAAGAAAAATAGGTTTAATGGACTTACAGTTCCACATGGCTGGGGAGGCCTCACAGTCATGGCAGAAGGCAAGGAGGAGCAAGTCACATCTTACATGGACAGCAGCAGGCAAAGAGAGAGAATGAGAACCAAGCAAAAGGGGTTTCCCCTTATAAAACCATCAGATCTTGTGAGACTCGTTCACTGCCACAAGAACAGTATGATGGAAACTGTCCCCATGATTCAATTATCTCCCACTGGGTCCCTCCCACAACATGTGGGAATTATGGGAGCTACAATTCAAGATGAGATTTGGGTAGGAACACAGCCATACCATTTGATTGGCATTTAAAAAAAAAATCCTTCTCTCTCCTGTATGGATAGCTAATTGGGACGCAGGGAGAACGGGGAGAAAGATGTTAAGTTAGATCAGCAGTAAGTTTCTTAAAATTACTTTGATGAGAGATGATAGTAGCTTGGACTATGATGGTGGCAGGGAATATGTAGAGAGGTAGATAGATTCGAGATGTATTTATAGGGCATGGCTTGTTGTAGAGGGCAGTGAAGGATAAAATAGGGCTAAAGATGACTCCTTGATTCCTGGCTCGTACAGTTCTAGGTGATGTTTACTGAGTCATATTGAGACTGGAGAAATAAGTTTGTTTTCCATTCACTAATTTTCAGTTGTCTCAGAGACACTTCCATTTCTGGTGGCTGCTTGCTATTGTACATGCGGTTTCTTCTTTGCGAAAGACCTTTCCCTCACCAGAACTATTTGTCTCCTATAGCTTTAATTGGTAGCTCCAGGGAATTAATTGCTCACTTATTTATGATCCTATGATAATTTATGCATAACTGGATTGTAGGAGTAATTACACTGAACAGTCTGTGTACCCAGTAGATTATAAACATCTTGAGGACAGTGACTCTCTCTTATTTATTTTACCTCTAACATAGCACAATGATCACAACACTGTGTAGAAGGAAGTCATTTACAACACCCTTAAGCATAAGCTCTTATTCAGAATGCTGGAACATCAGAAATACTCCAAGAAGTGTTCTCTTTGGGAGTAGAAAAACATAGTTTTCATAGATTGTTAACAAAAGGGGTTAGCTAACATTCCAATAATTTCCAGAACATGTGGTCAGAAACGGTTCCTGAGGGAGAGAGAAATTATTCTTTCGGTTTAATATCATTAGTTGGGTAACGAGTTTAGCAAGAGGGGAGAGTGAGGACAGTTGAGGCTAAGGTCATCAGAGGACCGTGGAAAAATTTTCAGTCCTTCAACATCTCTCAAATTATACATATTAAATTGTGTTTTGAATGAATAAATAATAACTCTCATATTTCTCTTTCCCTAGACCTCAAAATTTCTCCACAGATGGAGAAAAGTTTCTTGTATTAGGAAAGGCAATACGTAGTTGCTACACCAACTAAAAACCCTGACATCTCTTTCTTAACATAATAAAAGTTTATTTCTCATTCAGGTCTTAGATTGTAGTTAGCATTCCTATCTGTATGACCTTCCATGTGGTCATTTGCCTTGAAATTTGAGACTCCTGTTTCTTCTGTGTCTGCAGATTTGGTCCTTGGGTTGAGAAAGAAAAATGGGATCATATATGGGAGTGGACTACATCACTTCTGCCCACATGCCAATCACCAGAACTCAAGTCATATGGTCACATCTAAACACAAGAGGATCTGAGAGATACTTAGCTATGTATCCAAGACGAGGAGGAAATGAGGGAGCATGTATCATTTTTTGCCAATTTTCAATAAGTTTTGTGTATAAATGAGTGAATGAAGGAATGAATGATGCTTTTAAAATTATTAGGAAAAGGTGGACAAATCTAGGAACGTCATCTCGTCCTTCTATGAGGGTGAGCATTTTCTTGGTATTTTGTTTGATGGTGTTTTGGAGTTTTTAGTTCACTGAGATATTTAAATCAGACAAAGAATGGAGAATGTCCAAAGACAACTATTTATTGACAGCAAACACAAAAAAAGTAGGTACTTATATTTTGCCTCTTTTCTCCTGCCTATAATGTAAAGAATGCAAAATAAAAGTGATAGGACTTTTTCCTATCTTTATACACAAATTTGGGCTTGGATTATATTATCCTGTTGTATAGAATTACTTGTAACCAGAACAAAAGAGCTGAATTGTAGCCACAGGCTGAAAGAGAAAAGTGGCATATGACCATCTATGTGAATATAATTGTATCATTTAAATGCCGACAAATCATTAAAGTTAATCTTCCATTAGAAGTTACATGATTTTGTTTTATTCATTCTCTGAACATAATACGACAAAACTACAAGCTTTTCATTTAAAAAATAAGATTACTTTAAATTAATATTTGGGAATATTTGCTTTAAAGAAATTGTATATTAAAATTCAGTTTCTTTTATACATCTCTAACAAGTGCCATTTCCTGCATAATAATTACATTTCTAGTCAATTGAAAACAGGAGTTTTACCTAAAATAACCAAGTAACAAGAAAAACATTCTTTTTTTTTTCTAGGAAGGATCATGTATCCTTTCTTTTCATAATACTGTATCATTCAGAAAATAAAATCATCATTTTGACTCCCTGTTCCATGCAAATGTCATTTTGTCTTTGATTTGCAAAGTATGTAAGATTTTTCCACACTAGGTAACGAAACACCCACACATGTTTAAAATTTAGTTTGCTAGTTGTTATTCATACTTGGTTGATTTTAAACTCAAAATGCTAATTCTCTAGGATTCAAATATATAATTTGAAAATAGACATTTTATGTTCCCTTGATAAGAATCAAATAATCTGAAAACTAGAGGGAATAAAAGAAATCAGCTAGGTAGAAATGCTCATTTTATAGATTAGGAAAATTAAATATAGAAGGTAAAGTGTTTGGAATGAGGTTCTTGGAACTCTCTAGCAGCAAAGTGGGGTTTGACCATACTCATGCCCAGGTCCATTATAATTTTCATTAACTCGTCAAATTTAGGCTTAATATATGTAAATCCTCCTATTAAGTGTATTTTAAGAGTTTCTTCCTTGATATACGTGCACATTCTGTTCTGTTCTAACGTCCATCAAATATTCGTTTCATATTGATTTAATGAAGTTTTAGTTTTAGTAAAAAGGAATTTAAAACATAACATTATTTCATAATACAGAAAACACAGTTTTAGTTAAGCATTAACATCTCTTTGTTTTTTTGTTATTAAGCAAAGTAGCCTATTTGAGATTGGCATTAAATATAAACAATTGATAAAGAAAATAATTACTTTTTCACAAAGGATCAAAGCATACTGTTGTTTAGGTTGTTTGCTGAAGCCAAATGAGCAGTGACTTTTTTTTTTTTTTTTTTTTTTGAGACGGAGTCTCGCTCTGTCGCCCAGGCTGGAGTGCAGTGGCGGGATCTCGGCTCACTGCAAGCTCCGCCTCCCGGGTTCACGCCATTCTCCTGCCTCAGCCTCCCAAGTAGCTGGGACTACAGGCGCCCGCCACTACGCCCGGCTAATTTTTTGTATTTTTAGTAGAGACGGGGTTTCACCGTTTTAGCCGGGATGGTCTCGATCTCCTGACCTCGTGATCCGCCCGCCTCGGCCTCCCAAAGTGCTGGGATTACAGGCGTGAGCCACCGCGCCCGGCCCGAGCAGTGACATTTTTACTGAAATTCAGACTGTGTCTTCCTGCAGGAAAAAGGATGTTTTTGTGTTTTGCACAAAGGTGGTGAATAAGTTAACAGTGTCACAGCCTTGAAATATACTCGTGTTAAATGAAAAAATGTGCATGTTAAATAAAAACTATCTAGAATTAGGCCGGGTGCGGTGGCTCATGCCCGTAATCCAGCACTTTGTGAGGGCGAGGGAGGCGGATCACTTGAGGCCCAGGATTTCAAGACCAGCCTGGCCAACATGGGGAAATCCCATCTCTACTAAAAATACAAAAATTAGCCAGGCGTGGTGGTGCACACCTGTAATCCCAGCTACTCTGGAGGCTGAGGCATGGGAGTCGCTGGAACCCGGGAGGCGGAGGTTGCAGGGAGCTGAAATTGTTCCACTGGCACTCCAGCCTGGGTGACAGAGCGAGACCCTGTCTAAGAAAAAAAAAAAAAAAAAGAAAAGAAAAGAAAAAAGAAAACTGGCTAGAATTACATATACCCAGAATTATATCTCTTTGAATTCCTCCAGAAATCTTTATTCACAAAGTCTACAAAAGTTTATTTAATAAATGAGTAAAAAGGCAGATATTCCAATATTTGGAGGGGAGTGAAAATGCTCAAGATTTGGAAGTATTTAAATGAACTGATCTTACAGAAAAAGAGACCTAGCAAGGTATTAACAATCAGTTTTTGTGAAGGGTAGATTGGGTCTTCTCTTTTAGTTTAAGAGAAACTAAAGAAGGTTCTCCCGAAAACTTAACAATTTCAGAAATTCAGAGAAAACTCTAACTAAAAAGTTCTTTCTTGTTTTGTTTATTGTACTTTTTGTCATATCAGCAATAAAAAAAACCTTAGAATTCTTTTTGAGTGTTTATTTATAAATACCACATTCTAGTGAAATACAATATGGGATTGCACCTATACGATGTATTTGCAAAACAAAAACAACGTTCCAGGTTATTCTTTCAGATATTTGGAGCAAGCCTGATAACCCTGTATGTAGAAAGCACTGAACTCCCAGGTGCCTATGAGCAATTCAGTTCTTTATGGCGGCCTCATTATAACAGTACTAGGTGTGATATTATAGGAAACTCGAAAAAAAAGAGCATACAAATGAAAAAAAAATTTTTTAAATTATTTGGTCTGGGCCGGGCACAGTGGCTCATGCCTGTAATCCCAACACTTCGGGAGGCTGAGGCAGGCAGATCACAAGGTCAAGGGATGGAGACCATCCTGGCCAACATGGTGAAACCCCGTCTCTACTAAAAGTACAAAAATTAGCTGGGCGTGGTGGCGTGCACCTGTAGTCCCAGCTACTTGGGAAACTGAGGCAGGACATTCGCTTGAACCGGAGGCAGAGGTTGCAGTGAGCCGAGATCACGCCACTGCACTCCAGCGTGGCGACAGATGGAGACTCTCCATCTCAACAACAACAACAACAACAACAAATTATTTGGTCTGTTATTTTTTTACCTGACATATTAAGTTGTCTTAAAATTTATTGAGGTTTTGATGCAAAAAAAAATCTGCTAACATGGACTTTTTTTAGAAAAACTTTTGGGTTCATGGGTACATGTGCATGTGTGTTATTTATGTAAACTGCATGTCGGGGGGCCGGGGGTTGTATGCAGATTATTTTGTTACCAATAAGTGTAGTATCCAATAGGTAGTTTTTTGATTCTTACCTTCCTCCCACCCCTCACCCTCAAGTAGGTACTGGTGTCTCTTGTTCCCTTCTTTGTGTCCATGTGTACTCAGACATTTCAGTGATGTAATCCTATTTCCAATTCTTTGAGAAAATGGATGAAAAGCAATTACTACCAATATACTAAAAGTAATTGAAAGGGCAAATGTCCTTGCTTACCTCCACCACCCTTCTCTCAGTCACTTTCAGTCATTCTGAACTATTATAATTTTCCCAAACACCATAGCTTTGTAGTTTTGTGCACTCCCTTCTTTCTGTCTGGAATTCCCTCTATTTTTGCCACTTGGAAATATAGATTCCAAATATTCACTGATGGCATTCAGGAAATATTCACTGATGACCCTTTAACCTCTATGGGAGGAGTCTACTTTCGCACTCCATTGAACTCAGGGATGGCCATGTGCCTTGTTTTGGCTAATGAGATGTTATAAAATAACATGACAGTGAAAAAATAATTTTAACTAATAAAGGTACAACATACCAAAACTTGGGCATGTATGGGATACTGTTAAGCATTTCTTACAGGAAATTTTGTAGCTTTAAATGTATATATTAGGGAAGAAGAGAGGTTGAAAATCAATGAATTTCACAAAGCTAGAAACAGTAATTGAAATTTTCTGCTCTTATATCCATATTGTTACTCAGGACATACAACTTTATCAATGTCTACTCAAAATTATTTCTGGGCAACTTATGTGGGTAACTCTCAAATGTTTCTTGCTTGAGGAAACATTTGCTTGCTCTGTTACAAAGACTTCCCTTATTTCTCAACTCTCTATGTGGGTAACTGAAGGTCACTTACCATGGCAACTGTTGGGGTATTTTTCCATGGATTTTTGACAAAATGAGCTTCTTGGGTTATGTTTTGTTTTTCTTTTTTTTTTTTTAACAGCTTTATTAAGTTATAATTTATATACTGTATTATTTACCCATTTTAAGTGTGCAATTCAGTGATTTTGGTATATATACAGAGTTATGCAACAACCTAATTTTAGAACACATCCATCACTTCTAAAAGAAACCTTATACCTATTTACAATTACTCTCCTTTGTAATCCCTGTCCTAGGCAATCACTAAATTTTCTTTTCTGGACATTTCATATATGTGGAATCAGGCAACATGTGATCTTTTATATCTCACTTCTTTCCTTAAACATAATGTTTTCGAGGTTTCCATGCCATAGCCTTTATCAGTACTTTGTTCCTTTTCACAGCCTAATAGACAGATGTTGAGATTCTATGGAAGGGAGAAATTAGATAAGGGGACTAAAGGAGCTGACTTCTTGAGATAACTTACAGAACTCTGGGGAAAAGCAGTGCTACTTTACAGCTCATGTGAAAAAAGCACATAAGTGAATTAAAGTGAGTGTCTTCCCCGCCATCTCTGCCTAGAAAATACCACCTCGACCCTTCAAGTACTGACAGAATTCAAAGTACCAATGTTGGTGTTGTCATATCAGTAATAAAAAAGGTAGAAGTGTCTGAGGTAGAATCTCAGACACTTTAGGTAGCTTGCTCAAGTAAGCAGCAAAGTCTGAATTGCAACTTAAGAAGTATGGATCCAGAATCTTTAACACTGGGATATAACTGGTATGTATGGCCAGAGTCAACAGAGACAAGGTGCAGTCATGACCCCAATGATGGGAGCATCTTCTCTGGTTGCCATCACTCACTCCAATAATTTTCAAACTTAACCGCACAACAAAATCAATAAGAGAGCTTCCTAAACCCCAAGCTTTAAAAGTCTGATTCAGCATGTCTGGAGAATGTCTGTGAGCCTGAATTTTAGTCAAAATTTCCAGTTAATTCTTTTAGAGCAAGTCAGTAACAGACAAATCTAAACGTCCACTTTTGGAGGTGAGAAAATGAAAACCTTCAGAGATGAAGTCACTAAATAACCAATGGCCATTTTGACTACAGGCAGTTAGGCTGCTTTTTATATTTTTAATTTTAGGATTCTCCTAAATAGGAATGTTTTGATATATTATGGCCTGAAATGACTAATGGCCATGCAACATCTTACATTTGGACAGAACAAATTGAAATGATAATTTGAAATTATAAATATTATATTACATGTTTTCACACTGGAAAACCTGAAAAAAGTAGTTTTCTAAGCAAATTAATAATAGTACTCTGTAGTTTAAAGGGATTTTTAAAATAGAATCTATTGAATTCTCATTAAAACTAGTGAAGAAAGTGTGACAACCAGCATCAAGTACTTTATATGTGCCAGGCACTATTCCGAACATTTTAAATGTATATCTGATTTAATAACCATAGCAATTCTGTGAGGAACTACTATTATCTTCTGCATTTTATTTATCTATTTATTTATTCATTATTTTTGGAGACAGAGTCTTGCTCTATTACCCAGTGTGGAGTGCAGTGGCACAATCTCACCTCACTGCAGCCTCTGCCTCTTGGGTTCAAGTGATTCTTATACCTCAGCTTATGGAACAGCTGGAATCACAGGTGCATGGTTAATTTTCATATTTTTAGTAGAGAGAGGGTTTTGCCATGTTGGCCAGGATGGTCTCAAACTCATGGCCTCAAATGATCCACCTGCCTCGGCCTTCCAAAGTGTTGGGATTACAGGCATGAGCCTTGGTGCCCGGCCTATTTTCCGCATTTATAAATGAGGAAAATTAGTCTCAGAGAAGGAAGTAGCTCATGTAAGGCCTATGACTACAAGGTGAGAGATCTGGGGTTGGAACTACGTGTCTTTCCTTCTAGTCTTTTCATTGTCTTTTACTTTGGAAAAGGTAAATGTCCCACAGCTGATTAAAAGGATATGGATATCCACACAAAGCTGTGAAAATATTAGAATGATTAATTCTACCACTGTTGTGTTCTTTATGAATTTTTCCCCATATAAGATATTTGTGTTATGTCTAGGTAAAGCTATGCATTGCACTGTATTGAATTTACTGGAAGGTTAATTTTATCTAATCAGCAAATATTTATTGGGTAGCTATGATTAGGTTACTGGATTACCATGCTAATGCTAAGTTAATAAGCTAAGGGAGGGAGAGAGGAGGCAGCAGAGAAAGAAAGAAAATGAGAGAAACAATAATTAAAACTGCTCCCAGGTTTCTGTCCTTTCTTTGAACCCTAAACTCATTGGTTATGTAAATTCAATCTTTTCTAACATAACTGAGTTTAGTCATACCGTATTGTATATGTAAGGATAGACCAAATTTCTTATCTTGCAAATAACATGAAAATTAATTTGGACATAATATTCTGTGAGACAGAGATTCAGAGTCACTAAATATTAGATCTGTGAGAAAGGCCTTAAAGCTCATTTAGTTCAGTGATTTACAAACTTGACTGCATAAGAGTATCAACCAGAAAACTTCCGAAACCCCAGCCTTTGAGATTCTAATTCAGCACATCATGAAGTAGGTCTTGAGTTTGAATTGTTAATCAAAATTTGTAGTTGATTCTCTTAAAGCAAGTCAGTAACAGACCTGTACCTGAGCCTCTGGCAGACGTTAATCTAAACATGTACATTAGAGGTGAAAAAATTGAAACCCTAAGAGATGAAGTGATTCAATTAGGTTCAGCATATATTTCAGACAGACACGGGTAGCTTAATATTTTGTCAAGTATGTTGTGATGAGGCCTCCTGAAGTGACTGCATATTACTTTCAACCATACAGAATTTAAATGAAAGATGTAGCAACTTGTTTGATTTTCTAATCATTGTAATGAGAATATAAAAACATCTCAGAACATTAGCTTCAATACTGGATTGATCTGATCTGAGATAAAAGTTATTTAATAGTTTTATTTTGTCAGATAGCACTGATCAATTTCAGATATATGCAAAATTCATTGGCTAAGGTTATCATTTTATAGAAAATCTAAATTTATCTTGAAATAGCAACTTTTAAAATGTTGATAATTTTATTATTTTGATTAATTTCTGCTTAAATCATTGCATGTTATAAATCAGATATTCATATTATGATTCTCATATTTGATCACTAAATTTCAGGGCAATTAGATTAAAAAGTGTTAATACAATATAGCCATACATTTTTTGCTTAGACTAATCTTCAGCAGGGTATTTTGTAGGCTTTGTTTTTGGATTTTTATAGTTTGAGGTCTTTCATTTAAATCTCTAAATCATCTTGAGTAATTTTTGTATATGGTGTAAGGAAGAGGTCCAGCTTTATTCTTCTGCATATGGCTAGCCAGTTATCCTAGCACCATTTATTGAATAGGGAGTCATTTCTCCACTGTTTATTTTTGGCAACTTTGTTGAAGATCAGATGGTTGAATGTGTGTGACCTTCTTTTTGGGTTCTCTATTCTGTACCCTTGGTTTATGTGTCCGTTTTTGTACCAGTACCATGCTGTTTTGGTTATTGTAGCCTTACAGTATAGTTTGAAGTCAGGTAATGTGATACCTCCTACTTTGTTCTTTTTGATTAGAATTGTTGTGGCTATCTGGGCTCTTGATTCCGTATGAAATTTAAAATAGTTTTTTCTTTACAAAAAAACTTATTTTAGGTTCAGGGAAACGTGTACAGGTTTGTTATATAAGTATACTCGTGTCATGAGGGTTTGTTGTATAGATTACTTTGTCAACCATATACTAAGCCTAGTACCCAATAGTCATTTTTTTTTTCCTGATCTCCCTCCTTCCACCCTCCACTGTCAAGTAGGCCTCAGTATCTGTTGTTCCCCTTTTTGTGTCCATGTGTTCTCAATATCTTGCTCTTACTTATAAATGAGAACATGCAGTATTTGGTTATCTATTCCTGCATTAATTTTCTCAGAATGATGGCCTCCAGTTTCATCCATGTTCCTGCAGAAAACATGATCTTATTATGTTTCTATGGCTCCATGGTGTATATGTACCACATTTTCTTTATCCACTCTGCTACTGGTGGGTATTTAGGTTGATTCCATGTCTTTCCTATTGTGAATAGTGCTGCAGTGAACATAAACATGCATGTGTCTTTATGATAGGATGATTTCTATTCCCATGGGTATATACCTAGTAATGATATTTCTGGGTCAAATGGTAGTTCTGTTTTTAGCTTTTTGAGGAAGCACTACACTGTTTTCTACAGTTGTGCAGCTAATTTACATTCTTGTCAACCGTGTATAAGCATCCCCTTTTCTCTGCAACCTCATCAGCATCTGTTATTTTTTTACTTTTTAATAACAGCCATTCTGACTTGCATGAGATGGTATCTCATTGTGGTTTTGATTTTCATTTCTCTAATAATCAGTGATATTGAAGTTTTTTTCATATGTCTGTGGGCCACATGTATGTCTTCTTTTGAAAAGTGTTCATGTCCATTGCCCACTTTTTAATGCAGTTGTTGTTTGCCTGCACATTTGTTTAAGTTTCTTATAGATTCTGGATATTAGACCTTCGTTAAAAGCATAGTTTGCAAATATTTTCTCCCATTCTATAGGTTGACTCTGCTGATAGTTTCTTCTGTTGTGCAGAAGCTATTTATTTTAATTAGATCCCATTTGTCAATTTTTGCTTTTGTTGCAATTGCTTTTGATGTCTTCGTCATGAAATATTTGCCAATTCCTATGTTCAGAATGGTATTGCTAAGGTTGTCTCAAGAGTTTTTACAGTTTTAATCCATCTTGAGTTGATTTTTGTATATGGTGTAAAGAAGCAGTCCAGTTTCAATCTTCTGCGTGTGGCTAGCCAGTTATCCCAGCACTGGTTATTTAATAGATAATACTTTTCCCATTGCTTGTTTTTGTCTGCTTTGTCAAGGATCAGATGGTTGTATCTGTGTGGCTTTGTTTCTGGACTCTCTATTCTGTTCCATTGGTCTATGTGTCTGTTTTTGTACCAATATCATGCTGTTTGAGTTATTGTAGCCCTGTAGTATAGTTTGAAGTCAGGTGGCATGATGCCTCCAGCTTTGTTCCTTTTCCTTAGGATAGACTTGGCTATTTGGGCTCTTTTTTGGTTCCATATGAATTTTAAAATAGTTTTTTTCTAGTTCTGTGGAGAATGTCTTTGGTAGTTTGACAAGAATAGCATTGAATCTGTAAATTGATTTGGGCAGTATGGCCATTTTAACAATACTGATTCTTCCCATCCATGAGCATGGAAAGTCTTTCCATTTGTGTCATCTTTGACATTTTTGAGCAGTGTTTTATAATTCTCATTTTAGAGGTCTTTCACCTCTCTGGTTAGCTGTATTCCTAGGTATTTTATTCTTTTTATGGCAATTGTGAATGGGATTGGCTTTCTGATTTGTCTCTCGCCTTGGCTTCTCTACGTGTATAGGAATGATAGTGATTTTTATATATTGGTTTTGTATTCTGAAACTTTGCTGAATTTGTTTATCAAATTCAGGAGCTTTTGGGCCAAGATTGTGGGGTTTTCTAGATATAGAATCATGTAATCTGCCAACCAGGATAGTTTGACTTCCTCTCTTCCTATTTGGATCCCCTTTATTTTTTTCTCTTACCTAATTGCTCTGACAGGATTTCCAATACTATGTTGAATAGAAGAGATGAGAGACAGCACCCTTGTCTGGTGCCAGTTTTCAAGGGAAATGTTTTCAGCTTTTGCCCATTCAGTATGACATTGGCTGTGGGTTTGTCATAGATGACTCCTTTTATATTGAGTTATGTTCCTTCAATACTTAGTTCATTGAGAGTTTTTAACATGAAAAGATGTTGAATTTTATTGAAAGTCTTTGCTGCATCTATTGTAATAATCATGTGCTTTCTATTCTTAGTTCTGTTTATGTGATGAATCACATTTACTCATTTGCACATGCTGAACCAAGCTTGCATGCCAGGGATAAAGCCTACTTGATCAGGGTGGATTAGCTTTTTGATAAGCTGCCAGATTCGGTTTGCTAGTATTAGGATATTTGCCTCAAAGTTCATCAAGGATATTGGTCTGAAGTTTTTTGTTGTTGTTGTTGTATCTCCACCAAATTTTGCTGTCAGGTTGATGCTGGCGTCATAGAATGAGTTGGGGAAGAGTCCCTTCTCCTAAATTTTTTGGACTAGTTTCAGTAGAAGTGGTACCAACTCTTCTTTGTGTATCTGCTAGCATTTGGCTGAGAATCTATTTGATCCTGGGCTTTTTTCATTTGGTAGGCTATTTATTACTAATTCAATTTTGGAGCTCATTATTGGTCTGTTCAGGGATTCAATTTATTCCTAGTTCAGTCTTAGGAGGGTGTGTGTGTCCAGGAATTTATTTCTTCTGTATTTTCTAGTTTATGTGAACAGAGATGTTCATGGGTGTCTCTGATGGTTATTTGCGTTTCTGTGGACTCAGTGGTAACATCTTTGTTGTTTCTAATTGTGTTTATTTGGATCTTCTCTTTTTACTTCTTCATTAGATTAGCTAGCAGTCTATCTTTTTAATTAATTTTTTCAAAAAAACAACTCTTGTCTTCATTGATCTTTCAAATGATTTTGTGTGTGTGTGTCTCAGTCTCCTTCAGTTCACCTCTGATCTTGGTTATTTCTTGTCTTCCACTAGCTTTGGAGCTGGTTCATTATTGCTTGTCTAGTTCTTTTAGTTGTGATAGGTTGTTAATTTGACATCTTTCTAACTTTTTAGTATGTGCATTTAGTGATAAGAATTTCCCTCTTAACAATGCCTTTAGTTATGTTCCTGAGATTCTGGTATGCTGTATCTTTGTTCTCGTTAGTTTCAAAGAACTTCTTGATTTCTGCCTTAACTTCATTATTTATCTGAAAGTCATTCAGGAGCAGGTTGTTTAATTTCCATGCAGTTGTATGGTTTTGAACAATTTTCTTTGTCTTGATTTCTATTTTTATTGCTCTGTGGTCCAAGAGAGTGGTTGGTATAATTTCTATTCTTTTGCATTTGCTGAGGATTGTTTTATATCCAATCATGTGGTGGATTTTAGAGCACATGACGCATGGCAATGAGAAGAATGCATATTGTATTGGTTTTGGGTGAGATTTCTATAGATGTCTATCTGGTTCATTTGGTCCAGTGTTGAGCTCAGGTCCTGTATGTCTTTGCTAATTTTCTGCCTTGATGATCTATTATTGTCAGTGGGTAAGTAGGGTGTTGAAGTTTCCCACTATTATTGTGTGGGAGTCTAAGTTTCTTTGACAGTCTCTGAGAACTTTCCTTATGAATCTGCGTGCTCCTGTGTTGGTTGCATATATATTCAGGATAGTCAGATATTCTTGTTGAATTGTACCCTTTACCATTATGCAATTTTCTTCTTTGTCTTTTTTTTAATATCCATTGGTTAAATGTCTGTTTCATCTGAAATTATTATTGTAACGTATGCTTTTTTCTGTTTTCTATTTACTTGGTAGATTTTTCTTCATTCCTTTATTTTGAGCCTGTAAGTGTCACTGCATGTGAGATGGGACTCTTGAAGACAGCATGCCATTTGGTCTTGCTTCTCTATCCACCTTGCCACTCTGTGCCTTTTAATTGGGGCATTTAGCTTGTTTACATGCAAGGTTAGTATTGATTTATGTGGATTTGATCCTATCATCATGTCATTAGCTGGTTATTATGCCAACTTGTTTGTGTGGTAGCTTTACAGTGTCATTGGTCTGTGTACTTAAGTGTGTTTTTGTAGTGGTTAGTAACAATCTTTCCGTTCCACATTTAGTGCTTCTTTCAGGTGTTCTTGTAAGGCAGGTCTGGTGGTAATGATTTCCTTCAGGATTTCTTATCTGAAAGGGATCTTATTTCTCTTTTACTTATGAAGCTTAGTTTGGCTGGATATGAAATGCTTGGTTGAAATTTCTTTTCTTTAAGAATGTTGTATGTAGGCTTCCATTCTCTGCTGACTTGTAGGGTTGCTGTTGGCAGGTCCACTATTAGTCTGATGGACTTCCCTTTGTAGGTGATCTGTCTTTCCTATTTTGCTGCTTTTAACATTTTTTCTTTCACTTCAACCTTGGAGAATCTGATGATTATATGTCTTGGGGATGATCTTCTTGTGAATGAAGTATCTTGCTGGGGTTCTCTGCATTTCCTGAATTTGAATGTTGGCCTCTCTAGCTAGATTAGGGAAGTTCTCCTGAATAATATCCTGAAATATGTTTTCCAAGTTGTTTCTATTTTCCCCATCTCTTTCAGGGATGCCAATGAATCATATATTTGGTATTTTTACATAATTTCATGTTTCATGGAGGTTTTGTTTGTTTCTTTTCATTCTTTTTACTTTATTCTTCTCTGACTGTCTTATTTCAGACAGCCAGTCTTCAAGTTCTGAGATTCTTTCCTCTGCTTGGTCTATTCTGCTGTTAATACTTGTGATTGCATTATGAAATTCTTGTGGTGTGTTTTTTAGCTCTAGTAGGTCAGTTACATTCTTTTCTATACTGGGTATCTCATCTGTCAGCTCCCTTGTTGTTTCACTGTGATTCTTAGCCTCCTCAGCTTTCAATATTCTTCTGAATCTCAATGATGTTCCTTTCTATCCATATTCTGAATTTTATTTCTATCATTTCAGGCATCTCAACCTTGTTAAGAACCCTTTCTGGAGAATTAGTATGGTCGTTTGAAGGAAAGAAGGCACTCTGGCTTTTTGAGTTGTCAGAGTTCTTGTGTTTATTCTTTCTCACCTTTGTGGGCTTATGTTCCTTTAATCTTTGAGGTTGCTATTTTTGGGATGAATTTATTTTTCCTTTATCCTATTTGATGACCTTGGGGATTTGATTGTGATAAAAGATGGGTTCAGCTGATTGAATTCGCTTCTGGAAGATTTTAGGGGGACAAGGCTCAGCTCAGCACTACTACTGGACTGTGTGCTGTAATGCTTGGGGACTGATATTGGCCCCAGCTTTTTTCTTTGGCTCCTCAAGGTTAGGTACTTGCTGCACTGGAGGAGCTGAGGTACTCCTGAGCTGCTGGTCAAAACACTCCAATGGGTGGTGCCAGCAAAAGCCCTTCATAGGGTGGTGGCAGTGGAATCAATCCTAGTTGGCACATGCCAGCAGTGGTGGCAGCATGGCAGGGTGCATGCTTGTTGGCTGCAGCAGGATGTTAGCAGGTGCCTAAGTGCCAGTTTCCATGCCAGCATTTGTAGCAGTGGTGGTGGCAGCATGGTTGTGGAGCAGGAGTGGACAGGGGCCTCCATCATTGACTAGGCACACATTTGAGCCAGTGTTTGTGATAGCATGTGGGTGGGGCACTAGTGGACTTTGTGTTTCCTCTGTGTGCATTCATGTGGGTGGCAGTGGCTGCTCAGGGTGGGGGCAGGTTCATTGCTTTTCATACCTAGTTTCATGCTGGTGGCAGTGTTGGTGCAGGGGCAGAATGCTGGCAGGGGCAGAGCTGGTGAGCTCTGTGCCCACCAACGCTTGGACAGCAATGGTGATGCAGCAGTGGGACAGGGAGAAGGGTGCACTCACACAGACTCCAGTGGCATGGAAGGGTGCATGTGCACATGCCTGCTGATAGGAAAGGACAAAACAAGGTCCTCCCATGAACACACCAGGAGGTAAAGCAATATCAGGGGTGGCAGTGGGTAAAGGCATGCAGGTAAAGCGGCATGGGGGAGGCTGTAGTGGGGGAGGGGACAGCTCTGCTGGAGTGCTCTGGTAAGGTGCTGTCTGCCAGTGCAGGAGCTATGATGCAGGCTCCCAGGAGCTACCTACCCTGTCCCCGCCAGGCACCCAAGGCTGCACTGCAAACAGGCACTGCCAGGCTGGGGCCCTGGGAGAGGCCAGCAGACTGAAGCGTGCTCAGGATCTGACTGACCCTATCTCATGCGCAAGATTACTTTGCAGGGTTCAGCTCTGATATTTCCCCTAAAGACAAAGTCTCCTATGGGAGCAAGTTGACCCTAGGGAAATGGGTGTCCCTGGCCATACACCACTAAAGATGCTCCCGCACAAAACCCTCTGAGCTCTGCACTGGCTGGAGTTCTGCTTCTACCACTTCTCTAAGCAGCTTTGCCAGACAACTCAAGTGTCCACGGCAGTCATGGGGCCTCCTCTTGGCTGGAATTTCAGAGGCCCATGGCAAGAGCTGGTTGCTCCACTCTCCCCTTTCATATGAGTTGTTGGGGGCCAAGAATAAATCCTTGTATGTGGTAGCCCTGAACAGGGTTATTAACTTTCTCCCTCCTCAGCCCAGCATCTATGTCTTCCTTCCATCCAATCTCAATGCCTTCCTTCTGAAGATCTGCAAGAAGTGTGTCAGTGTGTTCCATGTCCTGTTCCTTTGGTGGCTGATGTTCCTCCTGGCTGCATCTAGTTGGTCATCTTGCCCATTTTTTCTAATTCTGTGAAAAATAACATTGGTCATTTGATAGGAATAGTATTGAATAGCAGTATGGCCATTTTAATGATATTGATTCTTCCAATCCGTGAGCATGAAATGGTGACGAGTGGTACCTGAGTAAAGAGCTTCTACACAACAAAATAAATCATCAACAGAGAAAACAGACAACCTACAAAATGCGAGAAAATATTCACAAACTACACTTCTAACAAAGATCTAATATCCAGAATCTATAAGGAACTTAAACAGATCAAGAAGCAAAAAGCAAATAACCCCATTGTAAAATGGGCAAAGGACATGGACAGTTTTCAAAAGAAACATAAAAGTGACAAATAAACATATGAAAAAATGCTCATTGTCACTAATCATCAGAGAAATGCAAATCAAAGCCATAATGAGATACCCACTCATATCAGTCAGAATAGCTGTTATTAAAAAGTCAAAAAATAACAGATGCTGGCGATGGAACACTCATACACTGTTAGTAGGAATGTACATTAGTTCCGCCACTGTGGAAAGCAGTTTGAAGATATCTCAAAGAACTAAAAACAGAACTACCATTCGACCCAGCAATCCTGTTACTGGGTGTAAACCAAAAGAAAATAAATCATTCTACCAAAAAGACGCATGCACTCACATGTTCACCACAGCATTTTTCATAATAGAAAAGACATGGAATCAACTTAGGTGCCCACTGGCAGTGGATTGGATAAAGAAAATGTGGTACATATACACCATGGAATACTATGTAGCCTTAAAAAAGAACAAAATCATGTCCTTTGTAGCAACGTGGATGTATTCGGAGGCTATAATCCTAAGCAAATTAGCACAGTGACAGAAAACCAAGTACTGCATGTTCTTATGAGTGTGAGCTAAACATTGAGTACACACGGACACAAAAAGGGGAACAATAGACACTGGGAACTACTAGAGCAGGGAGGGAGGGCGGTATGGGCTGAAAAACTATCTACTGGGCACTATTCTCACTACCTAGGTGATGGGACCATTTATGCCCCAAACCTCAGCATCACACAATATACCTAAGTAACAAACCTGTACATATCCCTTCTGAATCTAAAATAAAAGATGGAAATATTTAAAATAAAGAAATAGATAAAAAGTGTTAATAGTATTTTCTCTGAAGTACATTAAAGCTTCCCTCAATCATTTCTTATTTTGAGATAAAAACATAATGTCACTTTTTTTGGTGTATTCATGTTTGCAGTGAATGTTTACAGTGGTGAAAATCAATATTTACAGATAATTATACAAATATTCCAATGGGTATTATTTTTATTCTTTTACTATTAAGATCTCATACTGAAATGTGAATTTGTTTTATGGTATAAGAGGCTTGTGCCTTTGGACGTAACAAGGACTAAGCAGGGGTTATTCAGAAAATGAATATCCCAGAGAAAACTGTTATAGTTCTACAATTCATGTAACTAACACACACACACACACACACACACACACACACACACACACATACACATTTGTTGCCTTGTGGGTCAGTGATGCTTATCAATTACAGTTATCACTATTAGTACTTTAATGTCCACCATTCAGTCATTCATGCATTTACTCACTTAATAAATGCATATTAAGTATGTACTATGATATGTGGGGTGTTAGAGGTGCTAGTGGAGCTTTTAGCAACTTTACAGAGAGATTGAGATATATATTAGAGTCCTGGGCATACTTACATACACATTAGAAATTCTTAGGGCTTTAACTGTACATATAAGGATAAAGTAGAAACAAAGAGGTCTTTCAGGAAGTGCAGCTTATATTGAATTATCTTAGTCTCTGAAGATGCCTTAAGGTAATCCCATTGTGCCTGTGCCATAGGAGACTAGAAATAGTATACTTAAATCTTGCCTGGAGAAAGAAAGATTTTAGGATCCAAATTATTTCTACCGACAATTTTTCAAATATAATTCCTAGCACAATTCAACTTAAACAAGAGGAACTAATGTGAAGAAATAAGACAGCAAGAACACATATAACAATCAGGCTCTATGATATTAAGAACATGAATGCTGAGGAAAGATGTCCTGTCAAACCTATGGGAAGCTCTAGTTGGAGAAACATGATACAGATTCCTAGAGTTCTAGAAGAAGGTCATGCCACCTGCAGTGGATAATTATATGCCTTTGAAAGATAAATTTCTAAAATGTGTATGAGCCCTGGTACAAGTAGAGTGTCTGACCATAAGACAACAAATGACTGTTATCTAGAATTGTCCATCATGAGACATATGAAATCTAATAAGTCATAAAGTCAGGCAAGACTATTTCCAATATATCAGAAGATGGAAGGGCTATGAGCAGGACCAGATGACATGAACAAGCTGTAAGAGAAGGTAGTTCAGAACTCCGCTTTATCTACCACTGTTGTCTAATCCTTTTCCCCAGCTCATACCTATGGAGTTTATGGGGATCCTTTGTAAGCAACTGATAGAGAAGAAAAAAACCATTCCTGAGCATGGTTTCTATATAGGTTGACTTAGTATCTTGGGTTCTAGAAAAGAAATAGATAACTGTACAATAGTCTCATTCAGGGTGGCTTTGAAAAGCAGTTGCAAGAAAAAAATCTGAATTGTCAGAGCTTTGTACAGTGCACATTAGTGTAGCCCAAGATAAGAATATCTATAGATCCATGGGAAATGGAAAATGGTCTGGCCAGTTGGTCAGGGCCTGAAAGGAGACAGGAAAATCAGAGACAAAAAAGGAATGTAGTAGAGGCATAACTATGGTTATATGGGAGTTGGAAAAAAAGTAAAGATCTTTATATCACATGTTATCCCTGTAAGAGACCATCTACTATGGATGGGACATTAAACAAGTGAACACCAAGTAGGTAAAATGACTTGGCCAGTTGGTACAAGCCGTGGTTATTGGTTAATTCCAGTGCTATACCATGAACACATGAATAAAAAAAAATGAGTATAATTTTCATGCCTTAACCAACACCACTAACTGAGAGTTTATGGAGTATTTGGCTTCTGACATAGGATCCCACATAACATTGTATCAGACCAACGGCACCATTTTATTGCAAAAAATGACCATAACCATGGGATCCACTAGTTTGATCACATACTACACAAACCTGAGCATTTCAGAGCATTGGAATAGACTGGGGGAGGGTCACTTGAAGCAGCAGCTCAGAGGTGATACCTTTTGAAGATGGGATACCATCTTCCAGGAAAGTACATGCCATAAATCAAAGATCTTTATCTGGCACCGTCTATACTTACCTAATTCCCAATGACCTGTTTGAGAGATTTATGCTTCCTACACCCACAACTATGAGTTCTATATTATTATGGGTCCTGGTCTTTAAGGAGGGAACACTCACCAGGGACCACAGCAAGAGAAGCATTAAAATTTAAGATAAGGCTGCTATTTGGCAAGTTTTGTATTCAGGACTAGCAGGCAAGAAGAGGAGTTATTATCTTTTAGGGGTTATTGACTCTGATTATCAAGAAGAGTTAAGGCTACCATTATGGCATACCAGCATGGCAAAGAACATGTTTGACAGCCATGTGGTCCAGTTAGGTGCCTCTCGTTACTCTCTTGCCTGCTGTAATGGTAAATGGACAAGTTCAGCATCCCCAAACTGAAAAGGACTTTGATGACTAGGGTCTCATGCCTCTCTGGATGAGGGTCAGGTCTGGATTGTGCCACCATATAAACTAATTAGATTTGCAGAGATACTTAATGAAGGTAAGGGGAATCTAGAACAGATGGTGATGGGAGGGAGGTTGCTGTCATGAGACCAGCATCGGTGGTGTAATGTGTAGTTCTTCCCACTATCTTCCCCTTATATATTCTCCTCAGGAAGAGAGACCACTTGAAATCCTGGAGGAGTTACTCCCAAATATATATAAGTTGATATGAGAACACAAGAGTTGGTTGTGTTTTGGGTTGATGGATAAAATACAGAATACTACATTAAATTTAAATTTCAGATAATCAACAAATAATTTTTGGTATAAGTATTGCATAAGAAATGTTCATACTTACAATACAAAAGTGTATCTGAAATTCAAATTTTACTAGGTATATTAAATTTTTATTTGCTAAAAATGGCAATCCTAACTGTGCTGGACATGGGTATGCCTAGATGTGCCTTCCAGATCCCTCTTTAATAAAGGACTTCTTGTCCCAGGTGCTGAGAATGCTGTCAGTAGATGCGGTCAGCTGTTGGCCCTTTTAGAGACTGCTTCAGTTATAGAGTCAGCTCATCTAAGGCCACACTTCTCTGGGAGTATCCCACATCCCATGGCTTACTGGAGTAGAGATACAAAAGTTTGACTACTTAGACTCAATGGGGGACAATACTGATAGGACATTTCAGCGTGAGAGGTCCCTGTGGGGTCAGATGATACTGTTGAGCCTGCACTACATTCAGATTCTCCTGTTGTTCAATTCTGCTTCTTCCTTTTCCCTTCCACCGGTGTAGATCCCAAATAAACACTTTGTACACTAAACTCTGTCTTAGAATCGGCTTCCTGGAGAAAGCAAATTTCTGCATTATGTTTTCTTTGAATCCTGTTATATAAGAAAGGGAGGGAAGAGAAATCTGTTTAATTTTTTGTATATTAAGATATAATGTATATGCAATGAAATTCAGTGATCCTATGTGTACAGTGTGATCAGTTTTGACACATTTATACACTCAGGTAACCTATACCACTATCAAGATACAGAGCATTTCCATCAACCAAGAACGTTTCCTCTTGTCCCTTCCCAGTGATTTTCCCCATCTGGCTTACTGATTTCTGATCAAACAGACACAATCAGAAATGATAAGAAGGATATTACCACTGACCCCACAGAAATACAAACAACCATCAGAGATTACTGTAAACACCTCTATGCACATAAACTAGAAAATCTGGAAGAAATGGATAATTTCCTGGACACAAAACATCCTCCCAAGACTGAACCAGGAAGAAACTAAATTCCTGAATACACCAATAATGAGTTCTGAAATTGAGGCAGTAATAAATAGCCTTCCAGTCAAAAAAAGCCCAGCACCAGACAGATTTACAGCTGAATTTTACCAGAGGTACAAAGAAGAGCTGGTACCATTTCTACTGAAACTATTCCAAAAATGGAAAAGGATGGACTCCTACCGAACTCATTTTATGAGGCCAGCATCATTCTGATACTAAAACCTGGCGGAGGTACAACAACAACAAAAAACTTCAGGCCAATCTTTAAGTCTTAAAGAGACTGCCAAGCAGTTTTCCAAAGTGGTACTATTTTTCATTTTCTTTTTTTTGTATTTATTTATTTATTTATTCATTTATTTTTTGAGACAGAGTCTCGCTCTGTCGCCCAGGCTGGAGGGCCGTGGCGATATCTCGGCTCACTGCAAGCTCCGCCTCCCGGGTTCACGCCATTCTCCTGCCTCAGCCTCCCGAGTAGCTGGGGCTACAGGCGCCCGCCACTACGCCCGGCTAATTTTTTGTATTTTTAGTAGAGACGGGGTTTCACCGTTTTAGCCGGGATGGTCTCGATCTCCTGACCTCGTGATCCGCCCGCCTCGGCCTCCCAAAGTGCTGGAATTAAACAGGCGTGGCCACCGCGCCCAGCCCTATTTTTCATTTCACCAGCAATGTTGGGGGGGTTCTGGTGGCTTTCCAACATTTGATATTGTTAATACCTTTAATTTTAACTGCATTAGTGGAAGTATACTGGTATCTTTAGTGGTTTTGATTTACATATAACTTATATCTAATAATGTTGAACACTTTCCATGTGTATTGGCCTTTTGTGTATGTTCTTGTCTGAAGTGTCTGCTCATATTTTTTGCCCATTTAAAAAATTAGAATTTTGTTCTTAATATTTTTTAAAGACAGACAATTCAATTTTTAAATGGTCAAAAAATATATATCTATATTCTGGATGTGAGTAATATGTCAAATAAAGGTATTAAAAAATTTTCCCCCAGTCTGTAATTCCTCTGCTTATTCTCTTAATGGATTTTAATAAGCAGAAGTTTTAAAATGTTGTTAGTGTTCAATTTACCAATTTTCCTTTATGGTTAGTGTGCTCTCTGTGTCTTTTAAAAAGGCACTTTTATTTTGAATTTTCTAACATACACAGTAAAATTAATTCTAGCTGATATACTGTTTCATGGTAACAAATTGTTTGAAAATCTGTCCATTTTTAGTTTAAAATAAATATTGGTGTTCTTTAAATCTTTCTTTGATTTTCTTAACATTTTAAGAAATCAATTGCTAAGTAATACATGTAAATTCAAATTTTAAGCGTATTTCATATCATTAAGCCTCATAAAATGTGTGTAGCATACTTAAATAACTAACCAATGGATTTTACTACTTGTATAACTACTTGAGTGCTATCTACATCATCAGTGTTTTAGAAATTTTCATGAATGATATACTTTATTTTATTGTTAGCCTTTCCCTATAATATAAATGCAAATAGATTTTCAATATTATACACTCCTTCATAATGGCAATGTGTGTGTATGCGTGTGTTTATGTATTTTGAGAACTCCACTGAAGAGGAGCTTTTCAAACAATTAATTTATTTTTTCATACAATGGTAAAAAAGGAAATCAGACTGTCTAAAATTATGTTCTTCAAATAAGAGAAGCAAGAAACTTGTGTTCATTTTAACATTATGCAGAAGAAATCTGTTTACATGCTAAAAATAGAAGGCATGGTATTTAGCCGGATAATGTTTTCCTTTGATTTAATATTCAACACTTGCATTTGTGCTGAAATGGGAAACACAACAGTTATTAGATCTAACCACCGAGTTTACCATTATGAATTAATTACAAGGTGACATCTATGGCTGATTCTTAAGAACACATATAAAAATCTTTTCCTTATGTCTCATTTTGCAATTTTTAAAAAATTTTAAATATATATTTTGATGGTGAATAGCTTATTTACACCAATTTTTTTCTGTTTTTTTTTTTTTTCTTTTGACCATTGTTTGTTAAACTTACCTGTTTTCTCTCTTTTGTTAAGTTCAAATCCTGGTTTCACTACATATGAGCTATGTGAATGTAAGCAATTACTTAGTATGTGGTATTGATATAATAATACTATATAACTTACAAAGTTATTGGGAAAGTTAATGAAATTATGCATGTAACTAGCTTAAAATAGAACCTAGGGCATTGGGTAAGCATTAAATAAACGTTAACTATTGTTACTAGTATTACATATGCATACATATATTTATAACATATCTATCAGTTATATTTATTTTATGGAAAAATTGATATGTATATAAAATATATAAATATGTGTACATGTATTTAGTGTGTGTGTGTGTGTGTGTGTGTGTGTGTGTATATATATATATATATATATATATATATATATATATATATATATATATGTAAATACAAGCATACCAAAGAGATGTTTTCGGTTTGGTTCCAGACCACCTGAACAAAACAAAGCATAAAAAACCAAAGTTTTTGGTTTTCCAGTACACGTAAAAGTTATGTTTACACTGTGTACTGTAGTTCATTAAGTGTGTGATAGGAAATGTCTAAAAAGTGTACATACCTTAGTTTAAAAATACACTATTGCTAAAAAAAAAAATGCTAACAATCACCTGAACCTTCATCGTGTTGCAACCCTTTTGCTAGTGGAGAGTCTTGCCTCCATGTTACTGGCTGCCGACTGAGCAGGGTGGTGCTGGCTGAAGGTTGGGGTGGTTGTGGTAATTTCTTAAAATAATACAATGAAGTTTGCCACATCAATTGACTCTTCCATTCACGAAAGAGTCCTCGGTAGCCATGCAATGCTGTTTTACAGCATTTTATTTACAGTAGAACTTTTAAAGTTGGAGTTGATCTTTTCAAATCCTGACTCTGCTTTATAAACTGAATTTATGTAATATTCTAAATGCATGGTTGACATTTCAGCATTGCATAGCAACTTCACCAGGAGATTGAATCTCAAGACTCCACTTGCTTTGCTCATCCATAAGAGGCAACTCCTCATCCATTCAAGTTTTTTTTTTTTTTTTAACTTTTATTTTAGGTTCAGGGGTACATGTCCAGGTTTGTTATATAGGTAAATTGCATACCACGGGCATTTAGTGTACAGATTATTTCATCACCCGGGTAATAAGCCTAGTACTTGATAGGTAATTTTTTATCCTCACCCTCGTCCCGCGCTTCACCCTCCAGTAGGCCCTGGCATCTGTTGTTCTTTTCTTTTTTTTCCACATTTTCTTGATTTTTAGCTCCCACTTGCAAGTGAGAACATGTGATATTTGGTTTTCTTTTCCTGTTTTAATTTGCTTAGGATATGGCCTCCAGCTCCAACCATCTTGCTGCAAAGGATGTGATTTTGTTCTTTTTATGACTGTGTAGTATTCCATGGTGATAGCTGAAAGCAATTGCAGCAAAAACAAAAACTGACAGATGCGACCTAAATAAACTAAAGAGCGTCTGTACCATATAAGAAACCATTACAGTTTTATCATGAGATTGCAGCAATTCAGTCACATCTTCAACCTCCATTTCTAATTCTAGCTCTCTTGCTATTTCCACCATTTCTGTAGGTACTTCCTCCACTGAAGTACTGAACCCGTCAAAGTCATCATAAAGGTTTTGTGAGTTTTTTTCCCCATGTAATTTTTATGATTAAAATCAGGAGAGTAAAATATTTTATCTTATGGATATATTGGAAAAGTATGAAGTTAATACATGCAATACCTTGGAGAGAAGAAATATAGGTGACAATAGTAGGAGATCTAAGTTCTAGAGTTTTATATTTTTATTTTTTCACTTTTTTGAGACAGAGTCTCTGTCACCCAGGCTGGAGTGCAGTGTTGAGACAGAGTCTCTGTCACCCAGGCTGGACTGCAGTGGCATAATCACGGCTCACTGCAACCTCTGCCTCCTGGGTTCAAGCAATTCTCCTGTCTCAGCCTCTGGAGTAGCTAGGATTACAGGCACATGCCACCATGCCCTGCTAATTTTTGTATTTTTAGTACAGATAGGGTTTCACCATATTGGTCAGGCTGGTCTTGAACTCCTGACCTCAGGTGAGCCACCCACCTCAGCCTCCCAAAATGCTGGGATTACAGGCATGAGCCACCATACTCGGCTTAGTGTTTTAGATTTTACAGGAATCTTATTATTTTTGGACAAAGTAGTTTGTGGAAAGCTATGTAAAAAAATATTTTTATCTGTCTACCACATTTATTAAATGGCAGTATAATAAGGTCACATCACATGAATTATGTCTTGGCTTTGGTCCTCATTACTCTATCCCTTGATTTCCTCATCTATAAAAGTGAAACAAAATAGTACTTATGTATTGGGCTTATTGTATTATTTAATACTTGAGATTATACTAAGAAATATGTCCGACATTAAGTAAATGTTAATGTTACTTATTTTTTTCTCTTTTAAGACATGTTTCCTTCACTCCCACTTTTCTGTTAAACCTAGTAACAGGAATGAGTGATACTGACTCTGGCCAATCAGAGGATCCCAAGTTTCATGTTGCAGTCATAGATTTGTTTGGACATATGATCTAAGATGAGCCAATCAGAACTTCCTGTGGACTTATTTCTTGACTTTATTTTTCTTAAATTGAGATTCAAGTTTTAAAGATAAAGTAGGTATTGTGTCACCATTGTTTATCTTGCAAGTAGTGCCAAGATGATAGAGAAATATAGATCAATAGCTAGCTAGTTAGATAGACAGCAATAGCAATGAGGGGAGGAGAGAGAGAGAGAGAGACAGACAGAGAGACAGACCAACCTGATATCTGAACATCTGAATTAAACTGTGATGGTTAATTTTATGTGCCAACTGGACTGGGTTGCCCAGATAGTTGGTAAAATATTATTTCTGGGTGTGTCTGTGAGGATGATTCCAAAGAGATTAACATTTGAATCTGTACGGTGAGTGAAAAAGATCATCCTCACCGATGCGGGTAAGCACTATCCAATCCTTTGGGGGCCTGCATAGAACAAAAAAAAGGCAGAGGAAGGGAAAATGTGTTCTCTCTGTTTGAGATGGAGCATTCACCTTCTCCTGCCCTTAGACATTGGCGCTCCTGATTTTTCACCTTTGGGCTTGGACCAATGCTTACAACAATGCCCTACCACCTCTATGCATTTGTACTCAGACTGAATTACACCACCAGCTTTCCTGAATTCGTCAGCTCCCATAATTGCATCAGTCAATTCTTATTTTTCATAAACATATGTGTGTGTGTGTGTGTGTGTGCCTACTTGTTCTCTTTCTCTGGAAAAACAGAAATTAGGACACATACACCAACTATGCCTGAAGGGCAAAAATCTACTCCTAGACAACGTAATTATTGGCCAAGTAGTGCTCTCTCTCCCTTCCTTCTTCTCTCCTCTCTCTCTTTCTTTGCCTCCCTCTCTGCCTCCCTCCCTGCCTTACTTTTTCCCTCTCTTCCTTTCTTCATCCTTTATTTTATTTACTCCAGTTTGAATTGGTTTTCTGTCACTTGCTATTTTACCAATATAAAGGCTTTCTCTAATGAAGAAGTTAGAAAAATAATCGTTTTAATATAGATTTAAAAGATTTGAACATGGACTAATACAGACACAGATTCGGATCTGAGGTAATTGGTTCTTTGTGAATGTAATATTGAGTCCATCCTGTGAAACAGTAGTACATGTTGTATATATTTAACCTTAATACAAATAATAGGTAGGAAGAAAATCACCCTAAAAATTATCTGCTTATACAACAAAATTTGTGTTGCTTTTTGAACATATTTCTGCTTATTATAAAGAAAATCGCTATGTAATAAATATTTAATCAAGGAATTCACTTATTGTATAATATACATATTGAAGCTTAATGTTATTAATTGAATTTTAGTACTTTATAGCTTCTTATTTAGAAGAGAATCAATCATTGCAGAAAAAAGTCATTGATTTTTTTCCCTGTAAATACCAGATTAATGTTTATAAAGACAAATGAATACCAAGTTTGAAATCTTGCAGGCTTGGACTTGTGATTAAAAATACTTGGCATACTTAACACACTCACAGCAGCCAAATGAAGTGAGATGATGATCTGATACCAGTTTAAAAAAAAAAAAAAAAAACTTCGGCATTTACCAAGTTTTATGGAAAACCTACTAGAATGATTATTATTATGGCAGTGAATGCAGAACATGACATTCAAAATAACTAACTAACTTCTATTTTCTTTGCATACTTCCAAGTGAAACTTTTATATATATATATATATATATATATATATATATATATATATATATATATGGCCTTCCACTATCATATTCTAAGGAAGGTACATGTAAGGAATAAACCTTACAATGGATCAGATTGAGTATTTTAGAATGTTGTTAGTAAACAATGGCGTATCAAATTTCATTCAAGGTCTGTTCATTTTCACATTGTCCAGTGAAATACGTCTGTATTTGCATAGATCTCCCACTTATTCAACATAATGTTTCTAAGCCATCGTGAAAAATAATGGTTTTGTATTACACAGAATCCAGGAAACTTACATTTGAGGACCTAACTTTAAAGAGTCTCACAACCTCTGGATTAACTCATTAATGTTTCCATATCTCTCATGTCTTTGTTTCATTAAGAAGGTATAGTTGCAGAAAAATTATTTGCTGATACAGCAAATACAGATACAGTAAATAGAACAGACACAGTAAAAATGTTTATCACACTATTTAAAATTCTAAATATCATTTATCTTTCAAATCTCAGGTTGTCTTTCCAAATAGTTAACAGAAAGCCACCTGTTTAAAAGGTACAATGACAAGGTATAAGACTACTGGATCTCTGAGTATTGCTGAGAATTCAGTAGCCCTGGAGAGCTGCTGATCCAAAACAGACTTTGCTATGTGAAACCACTGAGATTTTGTTACCTCATTGTTGCCTAACTCAACATAACTAAAACACATTCCTACCTAGTTATTTGGTAGAGGCGGAATCTCCTACATACAATTTATAGAATAGAACAGCAGAGTGGAACACGTTGTCTGCAAAGAAAAAAGAGCAAATAGCTGGGCTAAATGTGCCCAATCACTTTTCACAAATTCATAGATCATCTGTGGGGGTGGAGTGAATGAAGAGATGCAATGATATTGGAGCTCCTGTGATGTATAAACATCAAGAGTGTGAAGCAGAGTCCAATCCTCTTAACATTTTAGCTTTTCTTGTTCTTACAGTCAACTGAGTTTAACTAATATACCCATAGATTACTACTGTTGTGGTTGTACCCCTTCGAGGAAAACAGAAGCAGCCTACCAAGACAGTCATGCTTCTACCTTCATGAGGCCACTTCCCCAATATAAATCCATTGTTTCTTGGGGCATTTTTCTGGAACCACCAATAGACAGTATAATTTTGTTGCCAGAAGTCTCTGAAATTGGGCAAAAAAAGTCCAGTATTAAATTAACACTTAGATCATATTTGTACAAACACTGAAAATTCATTACCATATCTCTTTACCTTCTTAGGTTGTTTACAGCCATGTTGTTTCACATAACCTATCTGTAGTTCATGACATCAGATGACAACACTAAAATATGCAAATAATAAACTGTCAGTATAAATATATCCCAATTTCAACATAAACTCCTCTCACATGATCAATTATTGAGGAGAAATTGACATTCAATGGAATTAAATCCTCTTACAAGTTAAAGTACTAAATATAAAAATACAAAGAAATTGTAATCTAATATCAAACGCTCTTGTACCTGGTTGTTAAGTTTCAAAGAAATTAAAGTCTGAAGTTTATCCTTCTCTTTTTCTCTATCCCTAGTGGGATTTCTTGTGTTTAGTGTAATTTGGGATTTCTTCAGCAGCTGCACCCAGGGGAACCTCAGAAGTTGAGTAAATTGAATGCTGACTCTTTAATGTGACTACTTTTCAAATGTCCAAGTATCTTGTAGAACATACATAAGTATAGCTCTGCTTTCAAGCCCATTGAAATTAGAAAAGTGGCTATTCCCCATTAAACAAAATTTATTCCAGGTAAAATTATATATTGTCAAAATCATTGAGAAGCAGTCAGTTATTTGGGTGAAGGAGAGTAGAATAGAGAAGCTTCTATGGTTTAGTCTCATTAAGATGTTAGTTAGTTTATACCAGTGGTTTGAAATTTATTACTGTGAATCTATTCTCCAATAAGGAGAGTTCCCACATTAGAAGGCAAATTTTGGCATTATATGACTATCATACTTTGAGGAAATATGCTTATCCTTCCTATTTATAAATGATGAGTGATATGTCAGACAAGGTGTCTGTGCTGTATCAAACTCCCCCACCATCTTAGTGGCTTAAAAATATCATTTCTTGCTCTCTCTCTCTTTTTTTTTTGAAAGCTGCTGGTCACTTCAGATCACTTGTGGCTCTGTTCTACATTTTCTTTTT
The DNA here is from genome assembly GCF_000001405.40 of Homo sapiens. Taxonomy (NCBI): domain Eukaryota; kingdom Metazoa; phylum Chordata; class Mammalia; order Primates; family Hominidae; genus Homo; species Homo sapiens. Next base: position 82,107,043 of record NC_000012.12, on the reverse strand, counting down.
CAGTGTAGGATCCAGGCTGAAGAATCTTTGCTTACTCAGAACACAATATTCTCATAGCAGAGGGAAAAGAGAAGGAGAGCTGGCAAGAAATAAACAATGGCTGTTAAACCTGTTGCCTGGACACAGTGAATTTCACATTTGCTCACATGCTGTTGGCCAAAGGAAGTGATATACCAAACCCAACATCAATGGCACAGATCTGTATATTCCTTCACTGGAGGCACCACACATTTTATGGCAATAATGAGATGAATAATTCACTTACAAGAAGTGGGAGTAAATATTTTGGGGCAATAACACAAGCTGTGTTTAATCTGCTGTTCACAGATTAAACTAAGTAGTTTAATAACTACTTAGCTGTGTTTAATCTGCTGTTCAGTCTAACCATTCAAGATTTTAAAAAATTTAATTATTATAATTTTTAGTTTTGAAAGATCTAGCTCTTTTTAGTAGTATCACCTTATTGATTTTTGTGATTCTATATTTTATTTTCTTAATATTTTCTTGCATATTTCTATTTATTCTTGTGGACTATATTTTCCAAAGATGGCCACCACAATATATCCCATCCCATGTGCCCTTTTGCAATGTGACCTTGCCACTTCCTGCAGAAGTGAGTCTATCTCTCCATCCCTTAAATCTGGGCCGACACTGTGATTGTTTGACCAATATTATATGGTGGAAAAGACACTATTTCAATTCCAAACAAGGCCCTTAACTATACCAGTAGACTTCGGCTTGCTTTCTTTTTGAAGTAGGGTTGCTAATATTTTTTCAGTGTAAATGTCCTGGGTAATATTTGAAACACTTTATGCTAAAAATATTTTTTTTTGTTTTTCTTAAATTCAAATTTAAGAGGGAGTTCTGTATTGTCATTTGCTGAACATGGAAACCTTACTTGGAAGCCAACTGTCATAAGAGAAGTGTGATTACCCTGAAACCACAATGCTCTGAGAAGCCCAAGTTGAGTGGCGAGGCCTTTGAGGATGAAACGTATAGAGAAAGAGAAGTCAAGGAGCATTGAGGCACCAGCCATATAAATAAAAAACACATTTTGGAAATAGCTTCTTTAGCCCCAGCAGTCCCACTGATATGAGACTTTCCCAAACTCATGAACCACAAAAGTTGTGAACAAAATAAAATGGTTGATTTTAATCCACAAAATTGTTGGGCAGTTTGTTATGGAACAATTGATAAAATAAATCTGTATTTGAAAAACAAAATAATACAAAACAAAACCAAAACAGAATGTTTTAGTAGGTCTAATTATGTTTTTGTTGTTCTTTTGTTGTTATTCCTGCTGATTTCTTCTGAATTTGGTCATCTTTGATTATAAACTCATATTTGATTGATTTTATTTTTATTTTTATTTCTTTTTTAAAATTTTCCATAGGTTACATGAGTAAGTTCTTTGGTGGTGATCTGTGAGATTTTGGTGCACCCATTACCCAAGCAGTATACACCATAGTCTTTTATCCCTCGCCCCCCTCCCACACTTCTTCCAAGTCCCCAAAGTCCATTGTATCATTCTTATGCCTTTGCATCCTCATAGCTTTTCCCCCACATATCAGCGAGAACATACGATGTTTGCTTTTCCATTCCTGAGTTACTTCACTTAGAATAATAGTCTCCAATCTCATCCAGATTGCTGCAAATGCCATTAATTCATTCCTTTTTATGGCTGAGTAGTATTCCAGCATATATATGATGGAATATATATATATATATGATGGAATATATATATATATATATGATGGAATATATATATATATATGATGGAATATATATATATGATGGAATATATATATATGATGGAATATATATATATGATGGAATATATATATATGATGGAATATATATATGATGGACTATATATATATGATGGAATATATATATGATGGACTATATATATATGATGGAATATATATATATGATGGAATATATATATATGAGATGGAATATTTATATGATGGAATATTTATATGATGGAATATTTATATGATGGAATATATATATATGAGATGGAATATATATATGATGGAATATATATATGATGGAATATATATATGAGATGGAATATATATATGATGGAATATATATATGTGTGTATATATATGTGTGTATATATATGTGTATATATATGTGTGTGTGCATATACATATATATATATATATATATATATATATCACAGTTTCTTTATCTACTCGTTGATTGATGGGTATTTGTGTTGGTTCCACGATTTTGCAATTGCGAATTGGGCTACTATAAACATGTGTGTGCAAGTATCTTTTTCGTATAATGACTTCATGTCTTCTGGGTAGATTCCCAGTAGTGGAATTGATAGATCAAATGGTAGGTAGTTCTACTTTTAGTTATTTAAGGAAGCTCCACACTGTTTTCCACAGTGGCTGTACAAGCTTACATTCCCACCAGCAGTGTAGAAATGTTCCACACCAACATCTACTGTTTTTTTCTAATTTTTATTTTTATTTTTATTTTTTGATTATGGCCATTCTTGCAGGAGTAAGGTAGTATCACATTGTGCTTTTGATTTGCATTTCCCTGATCATTAGCGATGTTGAGCACTTTTTCACATGATTGTTGGCCATTTGTGTATGTTCTTTTGAGAATTGTCTATTCATTTCCTTAGCCCACTTTTTGATGGCATTGCTTTTTTTTTTTCTTACTGATCTGTTTGAGTTCATTGTAGACTCTGGATATTATTCCTTTGTCAGATGTATAGATTATGAAGATTTTCTCCCACTCTGTGTGTTGTCTGTTTACTCTGCTTACTGTTCCTTTTGCTGTGCAAAACCTCTTTAGTTTAATTAAGTCCCAACTATTTATTGTTGTTTTTATTGCATTTGCTTTTGGGTTCTTGATCATGAAATCTTAGCCTAAGCCAATGTCTACAAGGGTTTTTTCCAGTTGTATCTTCTAGAATTTTTATGGTTTCAGGTCTTACATTTAAGTCCTTAATCCATCTTGAGTTGATTTTTATATAAGGTGAGAGAAGAGGATCCACTTTCATTCTCCTGCATGTGACTAGCCAAATATCCCAGCACCATTTGTTGAAAAGGGTATCCCTTCTCCACTTTATGTTTTTGTTTGCTCTATTGAAGATCATTTGGCTGTAAGTATTTGGGTTCATTTCTGGGTTCTCTATTCTGTTCCATTGGTCTATGTGCCTATTTTTATACCAGTACCATGCTGTTTTGGTGAATATGGCCTTATAGTAATAGTTTGAAATCAGGTAGTGTGATGCTTCCAGATTTGTTCTTTTTGCTTAGTCTTGCTTTGGCTATGCAGGCTCTTTTTTGGTTTTATATGAATTTTAGAATTGTTTTTTCTATTTCTGTGAAGAATGATGGCGGTATTTTGATGGGAATTGCATATAGATTGCTTTTGGCAGTATGGTCATTTTTCACAATATTGATTCTACCCATCCATGAGCATGGGATGTATTTCTATTTGTTTGTGTTGTCTATGATGGAGGTGGCAGGGTGGATGTAATGAACTCTGTGAGGGTTCTTAGCTTTGGTGGTTTAATGTCCTATTTTTGGGCTGTTTGGCCTCCTGCCAGGAGGTAGCAGTTTCCAGATAGCATTAGCTGTTGTAGTATGGAGAGGAACTGGCTGTGGACGTGGCCCTAGAACTCCCAAGATTATATGCCTTTTGTCTTCAGCTACTAGGGTGGATAGGGAAGGCCCATCAGGTGGAGTCAGGACTAGGCTTTTCCAAGCTCAGAATCTCCTTGGGTGGGTCTTGCTGCATGTGCTGTGGGGGATGACAGTGAGGTTCCCAGGTCATTGGAGTTGTGTACCTAGGAGGATTATGGCTGCCTGTGCTGAGTCATGTAGGATGTCAGGGATGTGGGGGAAAGCCAGCAGTCACAGGCCTCACCCAGCTTCCACGCAAATTGAAGGGCTGGTCTCACTCCCACCGTGCCCCCCACAAAAGCCCCAAGTCTGTTTCCAGGTGGTGGACGAGCCTGGCTACCCACCTCCCAGCTGTGAAAGAAAAGGGCTTTGTTCTTCCCCCACCTGTGGAGTCTGCACACCGGATTCGGATTCGTGGCCCTCCCCTGAGTTCTTGCCAGGAGGCTTCTCGCCCGGTTCAAATTGTTACAAAGGTCAGCTAGAGAATTCCCTCTCCCTGAAGTGTTTTACCCTCTGCTCCTCTGGCCACACTACCGATGGATCCCTGTGGTACCAGGCAGGAATGATTGGCTTGGGGACCCAGCAAGCTCCAAGGGCCTTTCTTGCTGCTTCCTCTACCCTGTATTTCACTCCGCTCTATAAATTGACTCAGCTCCAGGTAAGGTCGGAAACTTCTCCGGCAAACAGACCTTCAGTTTCTCCAGTGGGGATGTATGTTTGGGAGAGTAGGATCTTCTTTTCCCACTTCTGTAGTTGGGGCAATCACAGTATTTGGGGCGTCTCCCGGGTCCTGCAGGAGCAGTCCACTTCCTTCAGAGGGTCTGTGAGTCCTCTGGGCATTCCTGGTTTGTTTTTGCAGTGGATCGGGAGCTAAAATTCAGGATGCGAGCCTTCGCACGCTGCTCTGTCCGTTCCAGTCAGAGCTGCAATATAGGCCTGCCTCCCATCCGCCATGAACTGAAATCCATGTTTGATTGACTTTAATAATCAGAATTGAAGATACTCGCCTTAGGAGAAAGGGAAATTGCATTTTGTTCTGCTGGAACCAGATTCCAGACTTAATGAAGAAATCTCAATTTCAGCTCCCTCATCTCGTCAGAGATCCAAAATTATTCTGGTCGGGCAATTATATAGACAATCCCACCTTTCACCATTGCTTACCATTAACCACTCCCTCTTCAGGTTTCAGCTCATGAGTTGGTTTTATTTCGACAGAGGAATGGTGTCTTGGAGATTTCTCCTCATTCCTATAAATTTAAAAATGTACTAAAAAGTGTTTTATCCAGAAGCGTTTGTGTTTTTTTAGTGGAGAGCCTGTCGGATATCTATCAGCCACACTGCAGGATTTCCTTGTTATTTCTTTGGAAATTTTTAAGTGGTTCCTTTGAGAGATATGGTTCTGAGGTCCTAGGGAAGCTCTTTCATTTTCTTTGAAGACCCCCATTCTGTGGCTATGGAGTAAACCCAATTCCATAGAATCAACAAGAATCCTCTCTAAGACTCAGCATAATAAGATGTTTGGGAAGAATTTTATTTCTTGAGGCTTAAAAAAAGCACTTGATGGTTGAATCTGAGATGTTCATTTGGATTTTGAAGCCTTTTGTTTGTAACAGGATTTAATCTTTGTATTTTAATTTCTTCCTTGCAATATAAAAATTAGAGAAGATATATTCCAGATTTGGAAATCTCCTGTTGGCATATTATTATTGGACTATCCTAATTTGACTTTTGCTCTTATTTCAGAATCTTAGATAGTTTATGTTGGACAACATGAGTGGACATAATTTGAAATAGGAAACAAGTGAGAGTGTACTGTTGGCTTTAGGGACAGAAAGGCCTTGCAGTTAATTCCTAGTGGAACAGGAAATGATCAATCCTCCATGATAATTAGCTTGTAAATAAGGAGAAAATCCTCAGATACAACTTGTGATGGTTCTGTGGCTTCAGTTTGGAGAGGGCACAGTTTTATACAGTTATGTAAACAACTGCAGGTTTTACAGTTTCACTCATCACATGAATTATTGGACTGTTAAGAGTATTTTGTACCATAGATAATTTCTTTGGTTTAATTAAAAGAAAAAAAAGAAGAGTAGTTGCTTGGCCAAGTAATTCATTAGCTAAAATTCTTCAAGCTGAAATCAGATCCTTGAAATTTGATTTGTATGTTAGGCTATGGGACTTTTAGATAAATCCTCTGAGTTAAGTTTTTTAAAATTCTGGAGATAAGTATAAAGATCCTTTTCCTCATCATTAAAAGCATTCTGTAAGTAGCCGTGTACACTTCATAATTATCAGTAACAGTTCTAAACTTCATTTTGGAAAGGCCAGTCATAATTCTCAAAATTTTCTCAACAAATTTAACTAATTGGTATTGAAAGTCATTTTAAAAACTTCAAGACACAAAGTCTACACTGTCCACCAATGGTCCCAGGAAGGTGCTAAAACAAGGAAAGTCTGGTAAGGGGTAGGGATGGCCTCATGAAAGAGGGAGCAGAATTACCATGATTCTTTTGTAGTTTACATCAAAGGGGACAGGTAAGCCTCTATTTAACCATAGGCTTAATGTTTAAACTCAATGGATTAAGAGAACCAATAGCTGAAAAAGATTATAGGTAGATGCTTCTGCTCCATTCTTGATAGTTCCTTCTATCTAGAGGAAGTTTCAATGGTGTATCCGTCCTACCCTCTCTCCTATCCCTCCTTACTCACTTCTCTTCATAAATATGGAATGAACTGAGGAAAAAGAAACATGCATGCATACCTTAGCTCCTCTCCCTCTCCCCCTCTAAAAATGTAGTGATTTTTAAACTTCAATGTGATTCCAAATCCCTAGAGATATTCTTAAAACAGATAGCTTGGCCCCTTGCACAGAAATTTGATTTGGCAGGTCTAGAGCAGGCCTATAAATTTGCATCTTTAAAAAATTCTCAGGTGATGCTGATGCTACTGCAACTGGTTTTTCAGTGGCAGCTTCTGAAAGGGGCAATATAAGGCTACCTTTAGCAAGGTTGGTAAGTCTGTCTAATTTTGAGTCAGTATAAGGGAGGCCTACTTGCTCACAAATAGAACTGCTCTTCCTGATTTGGGTTTTCTGCCTGCCTTACATCTTATATGTGTTTTAATTGATCAGAATTTGAGAAAAGAGTTGGGGTGCAATTTACCTCATCTTAAAACCTCAAAATGAACATAGATGCTCTCATATTGTCAATTAACATACATATCGGTTTATCTGCCTGGATTGTAGGACATTTAGAGAAGGATCATATGTTCAATAACACTGTAAAGCCAAGTGCTGTCCTTTGTTTACTTGAGTCCAATTATGATTAAATAAAAAATAGATCATATAAAAATATTGTTTGCTGGGCACAGTTATTCATGCGTGTGATTCCAGCACTTTGGGAGGCTGAGGCAGGTGGATCATTTGAACTCAGGGTTTGAGATCAGCCTGGCCAAGATGGCGAAACCCTGTCTTTACAAAAAATACAAAAAATTAGCCAGGTGTTGTGGGATGTGCCTATGGTTTCAGCGCCTATGGTTTCAACCCAGGTGTTGTGGGATGTGCCTATTGTTTCAGGAGGCTGAGGTGGGAGGATCACTTGAAACCAGGAGGTGGAGGCTACAGTGAGCTGTGATTGTGCCACTTTACTCAAGCCTGGGTGACAAAGGGAAACTCTGTCTCAAAAAATGTGCATGTGTGTGTGTGTGTGTAATTGTCACTTCCTAGCCAATAAGACATTTCATTTTCAGCTAGAATTTAGAATTTAAAAAGTTATTTTGAATAAATAAAACTCCTGATCTCTAAGGTGGACTTCAGCTGTCTGTTTTAAAGGGCTGATGCTGCTGAAATCATTATGGGATTCTCAGGAATGATGTCTAATGTTCAGTGAGTAATCTGTCTTGATATATGCTATCCCAGGAAGTTGATGTTTCAAGTTTGATTAATCATCCACTTTATTCCTTCAAGGTTTTCTATTTCATGCTGGGTGGATTACAGTCCAGTGACTACTACCTCCATCTAGCCAGCTGGTGATAATTGCTGTTAATTTCCTGGTATTTGGCAACAAGTTGTTTCTTGATGACTAGAGGGAGATATCATGAAAATGTGTCAGAAGGGAATTGCAAAAATAACATTTATTGTTTTTGCTTGATTATAAAATGTGATACATGTTCATTGCTGAAAATTTTAAAAATATAAAAAATAAATTAAAAAATAAGAATTTAAACATAATGTTTCTATTCATAGAAACCATGTGCATAATTTTAGTGAATTTCAGATCTCTCATCTATCTGTCCATAGTCTGTTTCACTATAACAAAATACCTGAGACTTGGCATTTTTTATAAAAAACAGAAATTGATTTTCTCACAGTTCCAAAGGCTGGAAGTCCAAGGTCAAGGTGCCAGCAGGTTCAATGTCCGATAAAGGCCTAGTCTCTGTGCTTCCAAGATGATACCTTGTTGCTGTGTACTCACAAGGCAGAATGTTGAAAGGGCAAAAGGGTACCTAGCTAGTTTCCTCCAGCCGTTTTATAAAAACATTAATCCATTGATGAGGGCTCTGCCTTTATGATCTAATCATTTTCCAAAGGCTGTACCTTTTAATACTGTTGCATTGGGAATTAAGTTTCAACATTGATATTGGAGGGGACATAAACCATAGCAATCGTTATATATTCTGATATAACAAACACACAACACCCACCACTGGCACTACTTCCACTGAAAAAAACTTAGCATCATTCTACTTATCCAGCTTTGTATTCTATTTTTTCTTTTAAAAAATTGACAGACCTTTTACAGGAAGTGGGTTGCTGTTGCTGGCTCTGGGAGACAGCTGAAAAACTATGAGTGCCCAAAGTGTGAAAGTGTGAAAGGGGGATCATCTGCCCCTGAACACACATCCTCACTGGGGAAACTGGAGGTCCAGATCATGGGAGAAGGATTTGACCTTACCTGGAGCTGAGATGAATTTAGAGTACTGAGTGAAATACATGGATAGAGGAAGCAGTGGAAGAGCTTGGTGGGCACTCTCGGTCCCCAGGGAAGCCATCTCTGACTTTGTCTCACAGGGGTCCTTGGAAAGGCTGCCAATAGAATTGGGGAAAGATCACAGCAAGAAGGAAACTTTCAGCTGAACTTCATGACAATTTCCACCAAATGTGAAGTTTCTTGGATAGAATCTGGGGGAGGGGGTGAACCAGGAGTGCAGACACCAGCACAGAAGCCACGACAGGGAGGGAAGCAGGAAACCTGAGAGCCCTGCTTGTTCTTTCAGCAGGGAGGCTTGTAACCTGGGGCAAGTTCTGAGCCCTGCTCACCAGCTGCCTGGAAATAAACTCAGTGCTGGTGGTGGGGGCATGGTGGGAGTGAGATTGGCCTTTCAGCCTGTGTGGGAGCTGGTTGAGGCCTGTCACTGCAGGCTTTCCCCCACTTCCCTGGTGACCTGTACAAAGCAACAGAGGCAGCCATAGTCCCCCTGGGATCATAACTTCATTGGCCTGAGAATCACACTCCCATCCCCCACAGCAGCTGCAGCGAGCCCCTCCAAGGAAAGTCTGAGCTCAGACCTGCCTAACCCTGCCCCCTCCTCAAGGTCTTCCTCTAAGCACCCTGATAGCCCAAGACAAAGGACATAATCTCTTGGAAACTCTATGGACCTGTCCACCACCTCAGAAACCCCAATACTTATCCAGGCAACCTTAGGGCAAGATTGTGTCCTCCCTAGATTACCACAGCTGGAGATCTCTTGAAAGTGCCACCTCCTGGCCAGGGGCCATAAGACACAAAATGAGCACAATAAACAAAACTTCAACCAAGGACCCTCACAGAGTCCACTTCACTCCCTTGCTACCTCCACTGGAGCAGATGCTGGCATCCACAGCTGAGAGACCTGAAGATGGGTCACATCACAGGATTCTTTGCAGACACCCCGCCCACCACCCCTGTACCAGCCCAGAGCCCAGTAGCTCCACGTGGTAGCCAGACCCAGAAGGGAAAAAACAATCACTGCACTTTGGCTCTCAGGGAGCCCCATCCCTATGGGAAGAGGGAAAGCGTGACGAAAGGGAGCACCTTGTGGGACAAAATCTGAACAGCAGCACTTGAGCCCCGGATTTTCCCTCTGACATAGTCCACCCCTAAATGAGAAGGAACCAGAAAAACAATTATGGTAATATGACAAAACAAGGTTCTTTAACACCCCCAAAAGATCACATTAGCTCACCAGCAAGGGATCCAAACCAAGATAAAAATCTTTGAATTGCTAGAAAAGGAGTTCAGAAGGTCGATTATTAAGCTAATCAAGGAGGCACCAGAGAAAGATGAAATCCAAGTTAAATAAATTTAAAAAAAAGATACAGGATATAAATGGAAAAATCTCCAATGAAAAACATAGCATAAATAAAAAACAGTCACAACTTCTGGAAATCAAGGGCACACTTAGAGAAATGCAAAATGCACTGGAAAGTCTCAGCAATAGAATCAAACAAGTAACAGAAAAACTTCAGAGCTCAAAGACCGGGCTTTCTACTTAACCCAAACCTACAATGAAAAAGAAAAAAGAATCCAACAAAATGAACAGAGCCTCCAAGAATTTTGGGATTATGTTAAATGACCAAACCTAAGAATAATTGGTGTTCCCAAGGAAGAAGAGAAATCTAAGAGTTTGAAAAATGTTTGAGGGAATAATTGAGGAAAACTGCCCTGGTCTTGCTACAGATTTAGACATCCAAATACAGGAAGCACAAAGAACACCAGGGAAATTAATCACAAAAAGATAATCACCTAGCCACATAGTCAGGTTATCTAAAGTCAAGATGAAGGCCAGAATATTAAGAGCTCTGAGGCAAAAGCATTAGGTAACCTATAAAGGAAAACCTATCAGATTAACAGCAGATTTTTCAGGGGAAACCTTACAAGCTAGAAAGGGATGAGCTCTATCTTTAGTCTCCTCAATTATCAGCCAAGAATTTTGTATCCAGTGAAACTAAGCTTCATAAATGAAGGAAAGATACAGCCTTTTTCAGCCAAACAAATGCTGAGAGAATTTGCCACTACCAAGCCAGCACTACAAGAACTGCTAACAGGAGCTCTAAATCTTGAAACAAATCCTCAAAATACATGAAAATAGAACCTCCTTAAAGCATAAATCTTGCAGGACCCATAAACCAATAACACAATGAAAAAAAAAACACCCAAGTTATTCAGGCAACAAATAGCATGATGAATAGAATAGTATCTCATACCTTAATACTAATGTTGAATGTAAATGGCCTAAATGCTCCAATTAAAAGATAGAGAATGGAGAAACAGATGATAATTCACCAACCAAGTATTTGCTGTCTTCAAGAGACTCACCTGACACACAAGGACAAACATAAACTTAAGGTAAAGGGGTGGAAAAAGATATTCCATGCAAATCAACACCAGAAGTGAGCAGGAGTAGTTATTCTTACATCAGACAAAACAAACTTTAAAGGAAAAGTAGTTAAAAACCTGGGACATTATATAATGATAAAAGGACTTGTCCAACAGGAAAATATAACTATCCTAAATATATCATATATGCACCTAACAATGGAGCTCCCAGATTTATAAAACAATTACTATTAGACCTAAGAAATCAGCCAGACAGCAACACAATAATAGTGGGGCACTCAATACTCCACTGACAGCACTAGACAGGACATCAAGACAGAAGTCAACAAAGAAACAATGGACTTAAACTATACCTTAGAACAAATGCACTTAGCAGATATTTACAGAACATTCTACCCAATAACTGCAGAATATACATTCTATTCATCAGCACATGGAACATTCTCTAGACAGATCATATGACAGGCCACAAAAGAAGCCTCAATAAATTCAAGAAAATCAAAATTACATCAACTGCTCTCTCAGATCACAGTGGAAGAAAATTGGAAATCAACTCCAAAACGAACTCTCAAAACCATGTGAATACATGGAAGTTAAATAACCTGGTCCTCAATGATCGTTGGGTCAACAATGAAATCAAGGTGGAAATTAAAAAATTATTTGAAGTGAACAATAATAGTGACACAACCTATCAAAACCCCTGGGAAACAGAAAAGGTGGTGCTAAGAGGAAAGTTCATAGAATCAAATGCCTACATCAAAAAGTCTGAAAGATCACAAATAGACAATGTAATGTCACACCTCAATGAGCTAGAGAAACAAGAACAAACCAAACCCAAACTTAGCAGAAGAAAAGAAATAACCAAGATCAGAGCAGAGCTATATCAAATGGAAACAAACAAACAATACAAAAGATAAATAAAACAAAAAGCTTGGATTTTTAAAAGATAAATAAAATTGATAGACCATTAGTGAAATTAACCAAGAAAAGAAGGGAGAAGATCCAAATAAGCTCTATTAGAAATGAAATGAGAGATATTACAACCGATACCACAGAAATACAAAAGATTGTTCAAAGCTGCTATGAACACCTTTATGCACATAAACTAGAAAACCTAGAGTCGATGGATAAATTCCTGGAAATATACAACCTTCCTTTATTAAACCAGGAAGATATAGAAACTCTGAACAGACCAATAACAAGCAGCGAGATTCAAATGATAATAAAAAAAATTGCCAACAAAAAAAGTCCAGGACCAGGTGGATTCACAGCTGAATTTTATATCAGACACTCTAAGAATGTCTGGTACAAATCTTATTGACATTATTCCAAAAAAATACACAAAGCAGGAATCCTCCCTGAATCATCCTACAAAGCCAGTATCATCCTAAACCAGGAAAGGACATAACAAAAAAAGAAAACTATAGACCAATATCCCTGAAGAACACAGATGCAGAAATCCTCAACAAATAGTAGCAGCTGATTGAATCCAACAGCATATCAAAAAGGTAATCCACCATGATCAAGTGGGTTTCATGCCAGGGATGCAGGGATGGTTTTAACATATGCAAGTCAGTAAATATGATACATCACATAAATGGAATTTTAAAAAATCACATGGTCATCTCAATAGATGTAGAAAAAACATTTTACAAAATCCAGCATCCCTTTGTGATTAGATCCCTCAGCAAAACCAGAATAGAAGGGATATACCTTAAGGTAATAAAAGCCATCTGTGTCAAACCCAGAGCCAACATTACACTGAACAGGGAAAAGTTGAAAACATTTCCTCTGGGAACTGGAATAAGACAAGGATGCCCACTTTCACCACTCCTCTTCAACATATTACTGGAAGTCCTAGCCAGAGCAATCAGACAAGAGAAAAAAATAAAGGGCATCCAAATCAGTAAAGAGGAAGTCAAACTCACTGTTTGCTGTTGATATAATCATATACCTAGAAAACCCTAAATACTCATTCAAAAAGCTCCTAGAACTGATAAATGAATTCAGCAGTTTCAGAATACCAAATTAATGTTCCCAGATCAGTAGCTCTGCTATACACCAAGAGCAACCAAGCTGAGAATCAAATCAAGAACTTAACCCCTTTTACAATAAATTACTGTAAAAAAAATAAATTAAATACTTAGGAATATACCTAACCAAGGAGGTGAAAGACCTCTACAAGGAAAACTACAAAACACTGCTGAAAGGAAATCATAGATGACACAAACCAATGGAAACACATCCCATGCTCATGGATGGGTAGAATCAATCTTGTGAAAATGACCATACTACCAAAAGCAATCTACAAATTCAACACAATTCCCACCAAAATACCACCATCATTCTTCACAGAACTAGAAAAAACAACCCTAAAATTTATATGGAACCAAAAAGAGACCACATAGCTAAAGCAAGACTAAGCGAAAAGAATAAATCTGTAAGCATCACATTACCCAACTTCAAATTATTATATAAGGCCATAGTCACTAAAACATCATGGTACTGGAATGAAAATAGGCACATAGACCAATGGAACAAAATAGATAACCCAAAAATAAAGCCAAATACTTACAGTCAACTGATCTTTGACAAAGCAAACAAAAACATAAAGTTGGGAAAGGACACCCTCTTCATCAAGTGGTGCTGGGATAATTGGAAAGCCACATGTAGAAGAATAAACCTGGAACCTCATCTCTCACCTTATACAAAAATCAAATTAAGATGGATCAAAGACTTAAATGTAAGAACTGAAACCATACAAATTCTAGAAGATAAGATCAGAAAAACCTTTCTAGGCATTGGTTTAGGCAAAGACTTCATGACCAAGAACCCAAAAGCAAATGCAACAAAAACAAAGATAAATAGTTGGGACTTACTTAAACTAAATTAAGTCTGGACAGAAAAATAATCAGCAGAGTATGCAGACAACTCACAGCATGGGAGAAAATCTTGACAACCTATACATGTGACAAAGGACAATATACAGAATCTACAAGGAACACAAACAAATCAGTGAGAACAAAACAAACAATCCCATCAAAAACTCAGCTAAGGACATGAATAGAAAATTCTCAAAAGAAGATATACAAATGGCCAACAACCTGAAAAAATGCTCAACCTCTCTGATAATCAGGGAAATGCAAATCAAAACTACAATGCAATACTACCTTATTCCTGCAAGAATAGCCATAATTAAAAAATCAAAATTAATAGATTTTTGCGTTGACATAGTGAAAGGGAACACTTTTACATTGCTGATGTGAATGCAAGCTAGTACAACCACCATGAAAAGAATGTGGAGATTCCTTAAACAACTAGATTTACCATTTGATCCAGCAATCCCACTCCTGGTTATCTATCCAGAGGAAAAGAAGTCATTATACAAAAAATACTTGCAAGAGTATGTTTATAGCAGCACAATTCGCAATTGCCAAAATACGGAACCAGCCCAAATGCCCATCAATCAACGAGTGGAAATGTGATATATATATATGTGTGTGTGTGTATATATATGTGTATGTATATGTGTATATATATACATATGTGTATATATCTGTGTCCTTTATATATGTATATATATATATAGATATATATCTATTCATGTCCTTTATATATGTATATATATAAAGAAAATGTGTTACATATATATATATACACCATGGAATATATCTACTTATCCATAAAAAGAAATGAAATAATGGCATTCTCAGCAACCTGGATGGATTTAGAGACTGTTATTCTAAGTAAAGTAACTCAGGAATGGAAAAATCAAACATCTTAAGTTCTTACTAACAAGTAGTAGCTTAGCTATGAGGACACAAAGGCATAAGGATAATACAATGGACTTTGGGGGCTTGGGGGAAAGGGTGGGAGGGGGGTGAGGGATAAGAGACTACACATTGGAGACAGTGTACACTGTTTGGGAGAAATCTCTGTAATCTCCCCTAAAGAACTTATTCATGTGACCAAACACTACCTGTTCCCCCAAAACCTATTGAAATAATAATGAAAAAATTAATTACCTGAGATTAAATAGCTAATAAAGATTAATAAATAAATAAATCTTCAGCATTTCCTATCATCAAATTGTTTTCAAAATAATTATTTTGCATGGAATTACAGTATTCCATAATATGGTTGTGGAATATATTTGTTTAAGCATTAAACAGGAGCAAAGAGCCTACCCAACTAGAGGTTTATCCTGAAATTTATTGTAGAATCCAGGAGGAATGATCCTCAAAAGCAGTCAGATGATGTAATGTCATTTGAATACTCTAGCTCAGTGAAGTCTTAGGCAGACAAAAATACAGGTCTAGAGTTGTAGGACATATGCTATGTTGTACTGTATATATTAATCAGTTAAAAAACTCAAAATAGTTTTTGATTGACTAATACATACAATAGAAACATAGCATATTTAAAAGAAAATTAACATTTATTTTTTAATAACTGAATCTAGGTCTAACCGCTTATCTTCCTAAGTTATGGACACACTTTCTTAGTCATTACTGGAACTTTCTCTTTTCCAAGGTATAGAATGTTTTCATAGTCCAATGCAGTGTCAAGATTCCCGCTTTCTTTAAAGGCTTATTAAGGTACACTGCTTATTGTTCCAGCCTACATGGGCTCCTCTAATTTTTAAAAATTACCTTTAAAGATTAGAAATTGTTAGTAACAGTGGGAGCTCACTAGGTGCCAATTCTTTAGGTGTATAATAGAAGCTTTTCTTCAGAGTTTTACCAACCTCCCAGCCTACTACTCTCAGATATGTAGGGATGAAATTCCCCCTCCAGTCTCCAACTTTATTTAGTCTCTGGGAAATATCTTCTTTTATTTTTATGCTCTTTTACAGTATAATAGTTTTAATGAAATAGGCTATTGATTAAAATACAAAAAACACTGTTTTTAATTGTTTATATTTCAATGAAGAAAAATTTCTAAGACAAAGAAGTATCAAAGTCCCAAATACCTGCTCACACTAGAGTGAAAAGAAAATTATATAGAATTTAATGTATATATTTAAATATATAAATGGATGAATAAATGAATGAATAAGAAGTTACTAAATTATGAATGCCAAAGATTTCTACATTGTGTTATGTTTCAAAAATTACATACATTGTCTTATTTTGTCTCAAAACAATTCTGAAGTGTAGAAATTATTTCATTTTTTTAAGAGAAATTATCAAAACCACTATGACTTGGGCAGGGCCACATTTGTACAAAATATCAGGCCTGTGTAGTTTTGATCCTAAGGTAAATGTTTATTCTGCCAAACATGATGGCTCCCATACAGTCAAGTAACCACTAGAGAAAAAGGAAATTGAATGAGAGTCTAAGGGAATTTAATATATAAAAATCCATTTCAAGCATTCAGAGACTAGAGATGGGTGACTCAGGAATAAAAAGGAGAAAAAACTGTAGCTTTCTAATTAATACATATAACGCTTATTGTGTCAATTGTGACAAGATGAAAATACTAAGTGAAATAAGGATGAGAAAATACTAAGTGAAATAAGGATGAGAAATATTTGGAAATCAAAACACAATTAACACAGTTACACAGTTTAGAAGACTGATATGAGCAGGAAGTGGAGCAATAAACTATTCTACTGGAGCTCTGAAATCAATAAGCATATCCTATTACAGAAAAGCCAGATTTCTGGGAAAAACAATGACATAGTGTAATAAATACCCTGAATTCTAATGCTTCCAGGAACCTACTATGGGTTCTGAAAAGACATGAAGGTTGGTTTTGACTCCCTACTGAGGATTATAGACCTAATGTGATTCACTGGGAGATGTATGTGTTTAATATGGGATTACAACCTGCTGCTATTCAATTTAATCAGGTGTATGCTGTTCTTTGCTGCTAATTTGTAAAGACATGTTTTACTCCTAGAAGAGGAATTTCTAAAATCTTAGAATACTGTGTCATTTGATTTTGAACAGAAAATTTAACTTCTGCAAGGGAACAGCGATGTTTTCAAGTAAATTCAGGTATCTCAGGTGGCACTGAAAAGGAACGTTTGGAATCTGAGTCATATTATCAGCTGCGCAAATATTTGACTAAGAAATAAGCTCACCTCATAAGAACCACGAAGAATGTGTTTTCTATTTGCCTGAAGACTACATGACTTGTCCAAAGATACACAAAACTGAATACAGAAGAGAGACCCAAATTATAAGATTAAAAAAAGTGTTGACTACTTCAGGAATTCCATGAAGAATAGAAAGACTGGCTATTAAACACAAACTATTTAGAAGAGGCTAAAAAATAAAACTTGTGGTTTCTGATGTCTATTATATACCAATTTTTAGCATATGGATAATAAATAAACTAAACATGAGATTATTGCATAACATGCAACATTACTGATGTTCTGAAGAGTTGTTGAAGTGGATTCAGAATGGAAATAAGCAATTAGGACTAGTAAAAAGGAAGTTACGTCAGGAAGACATACGCAAACATATGTAGGATGCCTGAATTGACGAGGGCTGTTACTAATACACAGATGTGGATACACTCTCCTTTTAATATAAGTATATATTTCATATCCATTAATCTTCATGGGACTAGTTTTTGTAGCAAATGACCACCACAAAACAAATTAAAACAAAATAAGCCTTGACTTTTTCAGTACTTAGCTTGTAGATTTGGCTATGAAGGTATTACAGGTCAATTGAGGCAGAGGGAGGCATTGGAGTCCAAATTGTAATGAGGTAGAGGTGGAATGGACTGTTTGACACTGGAAAAATAATTCTTTGAAAAGAAAAAAAAATCTTAGCATCAAAGAAAAGCAGTTGTTTTGACTATAATTGGGAGCTAGAGGAAAACTGAGTCTGTAACTCAGTTTCTCCCATTTTCCTCAGGTCAGGCAATTTTGACTAGACTACATCTTCTTGTGAATATACTGATGGAATTCACCAGCTAAGAAGTAAATGAATGTCTTCTCCAAGTTTGGGACTTATAAATAAGCCTACAATTTTATGGATTTATAAGACATCTGTCCTAGGGAATAGAAGTTAATTGCATAATCTTTGTAGCTACATGATTGGTAAGAACCCCAAACTAAGTAGCTTTCCTGTAAAATTTGTAATGGACATAGAGCTGGTCTATCAAACTCAAAATGCACTCAAGAATGGGAGTGTATTCTGGATGTTAGTCTCCTATTGGATGAATATTTTGCAAACATTTTCTCCCATTAGATAGTTGTCTATTATTTCTTCTGCTGAGCAGAAGCATTTTAGTTTTATTAAGTCCCATTTGTATATATTTGTTTTTGTTGTCTGTGCTTTTGAGTTCTTAGTCATACATTATTTGTCTAAAGCAATGCACAGGAGAGTTTTCCCTAGATTTTCTTCTAGTATTTTTATGGTTTTAAGTCTTACATGTAAGTCATTGATCCATTTTGAGTTCATTTGTGCATATGGTAGAGATAGAGACCCAGTGTCATTCTTCTGCACATAGCTATCTAATATTCCCAGCACAATTTATTTAAGAGGGTGTCCCTTCCCCCATGTAAGTTTATGATGGCCTTGTCAGAGATCAGATGGCTGTAAATATGTGGCTTTAGTTTTGGGTTCTCTACTCTGTTCAATTGGTCGATGTTTCTATTTGTATACCAATACATGCTTTGGGTGATGGATACCCTAAATACTTTGACTTGATCACTACTCATGATATACATGTAAAAAAATTCTCATATAACTCACACATTTGCACAAATAATAATAAAGAAGAATGGAGTTATTTTAGAAACCTTAATCTGATTGAATCATGGCATCAAAGATTTTGATTTGGTGTTAATTGTGGCTCCTTTCTTTCATTCTTTGTGAGTTGGTAGTAAAGCTTGGTGCAGACTAAGACTTGTTTCGTGTGAGCCTGATTGAGAATTGAACACTTTTGAGGAGGCCAGTAGCTATTACTTGAACTAAACTGATCTGTGCACTCTGGATAGGACAGAGACTACATAGAAGTAATGGTATTATCTCACTATATTTTCCATTGCAGTATGACAAATGACCACAAACTTAGTACCTTAAAACGACACCCATTTATTAACTCACAGTTCCATGGGGTCAGAAATGCAGGACATCATGGCCAAATTGTCTCTTCCAGGTTTCACAGGTTGAAATCAGGTTGTCAGCCAGGTTGATTTATTTTCTGGAGGCTCTGGGGAAAAATACGTTTTCACTCTCATTCTTGTTTAAATTCTTTGTTGTTAAAGGACTGACTTCTCCTTTTCCTTTCCTAGCTCTCAGTCAGGGGTCACTCTCAGCTCCTAGAGGCCACCCAGCTTCCTTGACACATAGCCCCCTCCAGCAACAAAAATTCTCGAGTCCTGAATCTTTGTCTTTTGGAATTTCTTTGACTTTCCCTTCTCCAGTGAGCTGAAGGAAACTTTCTGCTTTTAAAGGATTCATGCAATTGGCCCAGGCCCGCCCAGACCTAATCTGTTTATTTTAAGGTTTAAGTTCTTAATTATTTCAGCAAAATCCCTTCACAGCAGTACCTAAATTACTTCTTGAAGCAGAATATCTTCTGTGGGTTAATGTCAATATCTTCAAGTCTATTTTACTAGTTCACTAACTTAACCAAATCAAATTAAACATTTTAAAATAGACAAAAGGCAAACACTCATTAGTGTGGACAAATAGAATAGGCAGAGATGGCACCAATGACCCAGATTCCCATTTCCCACACTTATTCTTAGGTGGTTGGGAGGCTATCACAAATTTAGGCATACTTCTTCTTTGGAGTATCTGTAGTTCCAAGAACACAATGTAAATGGCTTGTCGGCTCAGCTAATTGCATACCCATTTAATCTATTGCAGGAAGAGTCAGAGAAATATGGTTTGGTTTCAAGAAGTCCTTTGAGTGTGATGTATACAACAAAAGATGCAGCTTCCCTATTCCGTAACAAAGCCTTAGTCCTTTTTTGCGTGTTTCTCTGTTCTTTATCAGTAGAGCAGATTGAGTTTTCACCTGTCACATTTCCTGAAGATGTTATATCAGAAGAGATATGGGGAGGGATGTGGCATTGGTGGGAAGTGCCAGATTGTTTCCTAATATCCAGGCAGAGAAAAGTTTTAACTACTTTTATCCAGCAACATATTTTACTTAGAAACAAAAATTTAATAAAACAGAATATTCCCAGCCAGGTGCTAATGAGTTTCCTTTTGATTCATGATGTATTTTGAGATGGTGTACACTCAACAGTGTGAATACTGGTCATTAGTATGGCTTGATTTTTATATTTTCTGCAAAGATAAAGAACTATCTATTTAGGAAAATTCCCCCATATAGGAGGAAATCTGATTCCCTTTTTCTGTTGTAATACTCGAAAGCTAGCAATCATAAGCAAACATTTAAGCCCTTCTGTACTTTCTAATCCTTGTATAATAGCTTTCTGGGGATCCCTGTAAAGGAATAGAATGTAGAGGAGGAGGATACTTCTCTATAGACCAACACTATTGAATAGAACTTACTGCAACAAACTGTGAGTGTTACCCTGTGCTGTCCAATGTGGTAGCCACTGGCAATAATTGAGTTGAGTAGCTGAAATGTGGTTAGTACAACTGAGGAAGTGAATTTTGAATTTTAATGTATTTAAATTTAAATTTAATAGATATATGTGTCCGTTAGGTACTAGATTAGACTACAAACTGCTATATACTATGGACTACAATATTAGCTATAGACTTTGCAGAAGAAGTGGTCAAGCTGTGGAAGCCTTGTGTAGTGCTCTGGGAATTGGCCAGCAAATGAGTAGAGTGGCAGAGAGAATCAGGCTGTCTAAATAGAGAGTCAATAGTGGTAATTAAAATTAAAGTCAAAGCATCATGATCAGAAGTAATTAGGACAGATTCCTAAATGTGTTAGAGATAGCTTTGAATTCTCCTAGAAATGTCAGGGAAAGCAAAGTTAACCCAGAAGAGGGATTGAGGTCCCACAGCCAGACAAGCAGGCTAATGAGCTAGCAAATTCCAGGTCTCTATAATAACATTAAAATGACTTCAAAATCCTCAATAAAAATACCAGTAAACTGAATATAACAGCACAGTTAAAGGATAATTCATCATAATCAAGTGGAATTTATCCCTGGGCTGCAAGGAGAATTCAACATACACAAATGAATAAATGTGTTACATCATTACAAATGAAAGACAAAAATCCTATAATCATCTCAATATATACAGAAAACCTTTTGACAAAATTCAACACTCTTCCAAGATAAAAACTGTCAAAGTATTAGATACAGAAGGAATGTAAATCGATATAATAAAGGCCATGTATGACAATCTGACAGCTAATACCATACTTAATGGTGAAAAGTTTTAGGCTTTTACTCTTTGATCAGAAACAAAACAAGGATGCCCACTCTTGCCACTCCTATTCAACATATTACTGAAAGTCCTGGTCAGATCAATTATGCAAGAAAAACAAATAAAAGGCATCCAAGTCAGAAAAAAAGAAATTAAATTGTCGCTGTTTATAGACATTATGTCTACTTATGTCTTACTAGAGAAAACCTCAAAGACTCCATGAAATAACTGTTTGAACTAATAAACAAATTCAGTAACATTGTAGGATACAAAATTAACATACACAAATCAGTAGTATTTCTACACGTCAACAATAAACTATCTGAAAAAGAAATCAAGAAAACAATTCATTAAGAATAGCTACAGAAAAATAAAATGCTTAGAAATAAACTTAACCAAGAAGGTGAAATATCTGTACACTGAAAACCATAAAACATTGATAAAAAAATTGAAAAAAGCACAAAGAAATTGATTAGAATAATTAATATTTTTAAAATGTCCAAACTACCCAAAGTAATCAGTAAATTCAACGCAATTCCTATCAAAATTCCAATGACATTTTTCATAGGATTAGAAAAAAAATCCTAAAATTCATATGGACTCATAAAAGACCTTGAATAGCCAAAGAAATCTTGAGCAAAAAGACCAAAGCCAGAGGCATCATAATTACCATATTGCAAAATCAACTACAAAGCTATAGTAATCAAAACAGTATGGTACTGACATAAAAACAGATACATTGGCCAGTGGAAGAGGATAAAGAACCCATAAATAAATCCACATATATAAGATCAATTGATTTTTGACAAAGGGAACAAGAGCACAAAACAGGGAAAGGACAGTCACTTCAATAAACAGTGTTGGGAAAACTGGATATCCACATGAACAAGAATAAAATTAATCCTTTATCTCACAGCACATAGAAAAATCAACTTAAAATGGAGTAAAGACCCTTTTCCTGTTTAGAAAAACAAAGTGCAGCTCACTTTAATGCTGATTTAATTTTACATAAACACACTTTTTGAGGCTGAAGCAAATCTGACTTATTTTCAATGTGAAAATAAAATATAAAAACTGTTATTGGAGTTATTTCTAAACAGAATTAACATTAGAATTGTCAGAATCATCAGAATCATCTATTTTTCAAAAATCAGATTCATCAAATGAATCTTTGGCCAACAACTGTTTGAGAACAATGTTAACATCATGCATAGAAAAGCTATGTTTTCTAGGATTTGACATTTTCAGCAATCAAGAATTACTATATTATGTAAATGGTATACCGCTACTAAAAACAGAATGCTATAAACAGAATGATATTCTTTGTTTCCAAAATCGACATAATAGAGCAATGCAAAAATCGTAATAAAAGCGAGATATTTCATGGCAAAGTTATTTCTGGGTAAACACTGCAGCCTCAAGCACAGTCGCTGAGTATAGTCAGGGTATACAGGAAAAGGGTTCAATGTAAGACCTGAAACTGTAAAATTTCTATAAGAAAGCAAAGGGGAAAAGCTCGATGACATTGATCTAGGCAATAGACTGGTTTTTTTTTGTCTAGGCATTTTCGAATTTGACCCCAAAAGTACAGCTAAAATAAACACATAGGATTAAATCAAATTAAAAACTTCTGCATAGCAAAGAAAACAGTCACAGGGTGAAGAAGCAATGCATGAAATGAGGAAAATATTTGCAAATAGTGCATCTTGCAGGTAGTTAACATCCAAAATATGTAAGGAACTCAACTCATTAGCAAGAAAACAAATAAAACCTGATTTAAAAATGGGCAAAAGACCTGAATAGACATTTCTCATAAAAAGACATACAAATGGCCAACAGACATATGAAAATATATGTCTAATATCACTAATCCTCAGGAAAATGCAAATTAAAACCACAGTAAGATATAACTCCACATCTGTTAGAATATCTATATTCAAAAAAAAAAAAGAAAGATAATAAGGGTTGATGAGGATATGAAGAAAAGGTAACCCTTGTATACTTTTGATGGGAATGTAAATTAGTACAGCCGTTATGAAAACCAGTATTAAAGTTTTTCAAAAAAATTAAAAATAGCACTGCTATATGATCCAGCAATCCCACTTCTGAGTATGTAGCCAAAGGAAATAAAATCAGCATCTTGAAGAGATACTTGAACTCTGATGTTCAATGCATCATTAAATTCACAATAGCCAATCTATGATATCATCCTAAGTGTCCATCAATGAACAAATAAAGAAAATATGCTATATATGCATAATGGAACACCATTATAGTATTCACTTTTAAAGAAGGAAATCTTGTCATTTGCGACAACATGGATGGAACTGGAGGACATTATGTTAAGTGAAATAAGCCAGGCACAGAAAGACAAATATCACATGATGACATTTATATGTAGAATATAAAAAAGTTGAACTCCTAAAAGCAGAGAGTAGAATAGTGGTTACCAGAGGCTGCCGGGGTGGTAGGAGTGGGGAGATGTTGGTCAAAAATATAAAATTTTAGTTAGACAGGAGGAATAATTTCAAGAGACTTGTTGTAGATAATGGTGATAATAGTTAATAACAATGTCTTATATACTTAATAGCTAAGAGAGTAGATTTTTAAAGTGTTCTCATCACACACACAAAATAACTTTTTGAGGGAATGCATGCGTAAATCATATTGACTTAACCATTCCACAATGTACACATATCAAAACATCATGTTTTATACCCTAAATACATATATATATGTATATATACTTAAAAATGACTTCAAAGGCAACATTTGTGAGAATGTAAAAAGAGAGATGCACCAAAGTAACATTAGTATCATCCCAGAGCCAACTACATAAATGTTGCTTCTTTATAATTTTTAAATTTGAAGGTGACAGACTAACAGATGGAGGGAATGGATGATGTGTTCCTGACACAAACTACAGAACTGGCACGGAGGCAAAATGAAAGACTTTCTGGACATCTGCTGGAAGTCTCGGTTGGCTAAAATCAGAGTATCTGACAAGTTCTGGACTTGCCTTGCTGATGATTTCATCTCCCAGGAGACAGGGAGAACAAATACAGAAACTACTATTCTAATTTTGACCCTTTCCTGAAAAGAATTGGTATAACAGGAGAGATGGAAAGCCTCGAGGAAGAGAAATAATGCCATTTTGGAAGTCAGAGAAGAGATAAGAGGATGCCTGGGTTGTGCTGATATATAATTTAGATATTCTGAAGGCCAACTTAATAAAAGTAAGGGAAAAGACAGGCTCACTTCCATGAGATGGGCTCTACAAGGGAGGAGAATTGTGAGTGGTATTAATTTTCTATTCCTGCTATAACAAATTACCACATAATCAGTGGTTTCAAACAATGCCCATTTATTATCTCAGTTTTGTGGTTCAAAAGCCTGGACACAGTGTGGCTAAGCTGAATTATCTGCTCAAGGCCTAACAAGGCCAAAATTAATGTTTTTTCTGGACTAAGATATTATTTAGATCTCATTTAGGTTGTTGACCCAATTCATTTCCTTGAGTTTATAAGACTAATTTCCCCATTTCTTTCTTAGCCATCAGCCAGGACAGGGTTGTCCTTTGCTCCTAGAGTTTGCCTATCATCATTCTGATGCTTTCCATGTCACTTTCTCCAGCAATAGCTGATTGAGTCCCTCCCATAATGTTAACTCTCTCTGACTTCTTTTTTTTTTTGCTGCATTTTTATCTAGGAAAACACCCTCTGCTTTTAAATGCTCATGTGATTAGATTGGGTACACATAGATCATCCAAGGTAATTGCCCTATTATGAGATATGTAACTTTAATTATATCTGCAAAGTCCCTTTTGCAATGTAAAAGGGCACGAACATCTTTATGGGGGTCATTTTGCATATCACACTGAGCATTTTCTTGATAAGATGGACTATACAAAGGATCCAAGTAAGGCATGAATGGACAGATGAAATTTCTCTTGATGTAAACTTTTAGTCTATATAAAGTTTTAAGAACAAATTTTAAGAATAGTGTCAGGAAGAATAACAATTTAAATGAGCTGATGCTTCCAAAAATGTTCAGAAAAATTAGAAAGACCATTATATTTAGATTTGCATTAAGAAGATAAAGAGAATTTTAGGCCTAGGGCTGGCCAAGGGAAGAGTATTAATGAATATCCAAGAGATAAAGAAACTTTTTTTCCTTAAGATAACTGATTTTCAAACTGAAAAAAAAAAAATCCATTCAGCAAATGTGAGAAGTAATTAGTTTAGCTGCTCAAATAAGTTGTGTCTTGACCTTCTCTAGCTGAATATCATGTTAGGGCAGTGAGGTGATTTCAGAAGGAAGGCACCAAATATAATCCTTGAGGAATCATGTTGAATAGGAAAGATTCAGAAAATATAAGGCATAAAAGCATTGACTCTGTCTTGTTCTGTTTAGTGATTTAGACAAAGAATTTGACAGGAATATAGAAGAGATTGCTCAGAAGTATCTTGTTCTTTAATTATAAAATAAATTAACACATATTACAACTTCCTAGAATTCTGATTTGAATGTTTATTATTGCCTACTAAATAGGAGTATTCATTCAGATGTTATGAATTTGATGTTGACACAAATTGTGGCCAGATAATGTTCTTAAAACTATAAAGAATTGACAGTACCTGAAGACTCTTTTGTGTGTGCATGTGAGACAAAAATACAAAGAAGATATAAAACAAGTTCTCATATGAAGCTCCAGTTTATCCACATTAAGGAACCAAAAACTTAACCAGCATGGAAAAAAGAAATTTTATTTGGTCTTATTTGTAGTTTTTTTGAAAATTTCAGAATCTGATAATTACTTTTAAATTGTGATACACTCTTTTCATTCTAAAATTTGTGCTGCAATAACCATATTTTAATTTAAAGTCATATGTAAAAATGATGTATTAGTTTTCTAATAATTCGAGCAACCGTTATGAATCAGAGCTGACTCCAGGCAGAGATAGTGCCTTTCTTGCATATCTGCCTATTTGTGGAATCAATTTTCTTCTTGAAATGCATTCCTAAAAATAATTTTTTTCAGTGAGTGTCTGATGAGGGTAAACTTCCACAATTCTTATGTGTCTGAAAATGTTTCTATTTCATTCTTATTTTTTGATGATCGTTTAGCTAGCTATAAAATACTAGGTTAACTATTATTTTATTTCAATCACTAGAAGGTACAATTTGTCTTTTGAATTCTCTTGTTGCTGCTGTATTCTGTCATCTATAAAATTGTTATCAATTTTTTTCTTGTAATTTGTCTTTTCTCTTTGGTTGCTTCTTGTTTTTAGCATTCTTCAGTTTCATTATGATATGTCAAAGTATAAATTTGATTTTGTTTCATTGTCAGGGAAAATACAATAAATGTATTTATACTTTGTGATCTGAAATTTGATATTCTTCATTAGTTCTATATATTTGTTAGCTATTTTTTCTTCAAAATTTGCCTCTCCCTTACTCATTTGTTGCTTTTCACTTGATATCTTTACACTATCTTTTAGAGTTCTTAATGCCTATTCACAAAACATTTATTTCCTCCTTCCACATTCCAGATAATTTTTTCATTGCTAACTTCCATTTTACCAATTATCTCTTTAACAATGTCTAGTCTAGTATTTAATCAACCCATTGAAGTTTATTTTTATGTCAATTATTGCATTTTCAATTTCTACAAGATCTTTGGATTCTTCCAAAGTTGCCTGGTGTTGTTTTCTATAGATTTCCTTCTGACAGTATTATTATGTGTATAATTATTTAAAATACATATTTAATAATTTTCAACTAATAATTTTAGTATCCAAAGTTTTCAGGAATATAATTAACATAGCTATAGCTTCCACTGACTCCCACTCACAATGTTTTATTTTCCTCGTCTATTATGTAAATTTGCATACTATGCTTATTTTCATCAGAAATTTACCTGTGGAAACCCTATGAAGCCTCACTTGAATATATTTGCTTATTTCGTGCACCTATGAGATTTTAAAAATACCATACCAAGAAGAATGTGGAAATCCACACCCTAAACTTATATGATAGCAGGACTTGCAGAATTTTTAGGGGGAGATTTTTATTGTTGTTGTTATCAAAATTCTAGTCTAGACAACTTTTAATTTTTTTAGGAATCTTGAAATCTTTTTGTGGTGAATGTAAAAATATAGGCTAGCTTATACAGGAAAGTGGGTTTTAGTGACAGGATGCAGTATTGTTTCAGTGAAAACAAGAAACATACATTATAGAAATATCATAGAATCAAATATTGTCAGATATTTACCACCCAATCCACATCTCTCATTCTCTCTGTCCCTCTTCCGTTACAAATTATTGGAAAACAGTATTATTGGATCAATTTATATAACTAGGGGCTAGTTCACATCAAACAAAATGGATTCTAAAATACCTGCTCTTTAGATAGGTCAAAAATTAAGAGAGAGTTAATTATAAGTGTTAAAGATT
This sequence comes from Homo sapiens, assembly GCF_000001405.40. Lineage (NCBI taxonomy): Eukaryota > Metazoa > Chordata > Mammalia > Primates > Hominidae > Homo > Homo sapiens. The sequence continues at coordinate 82,079,220 of NC_000012.12, read as the reverse complement.
TGAAAATAATTTTAGGTGCCATCTAAGCTGAATAACAGCTCTCAGTTCTCAAATAATTGATGATAGAGGTAGACAGCAAGTAAACAGACCTACCCAATTAACATGAATGTTAGAAGGCAGAAACATATTTTAAATTATAAAGCATAAAACCTAAGAGAAGAACAGAGAATCTGTAATCATAAAAGTCATTGTAAATGCCAGATACTATAAATAAATAGTGTTTAATCCTAAAAGTTGTTATGGGGAAGTGGTATCAATGTTTTCTAGATCTACAAAATTGACTGGATGTCAGCAAGATGACTGATAGAGATGCCTGGCATTCATTTCCCCGAAAAGAAAAGGGCTAAGGCAATAAATGAACAGCTAAGATTTGACTGGAGTGTCGAAGGGAGAGTGCTGGAGTGCAGTGGGAAAGGAGATGCACCTGTGGTAACTGGAAGTCCAGGAGGGAAGCATGGAGGCATGCAGCCTCCGCAGCCCCATCAACCCAATTGGATGGGATCTACTGAAGGTAGGAGGGACTTCCTATTGAGGGGAAAAAGTTAAGTAGGAGATCCCCACCAGCCCTCATTGCCATTAAAAGCACCTTCAGTTCTTACAACAGAATTACACAGTCCTCACAAATCCTAAGTTCAGTTTGCTGCCCACCTGAGGCAGCCCATGGCGTGGCTGGTGAACTGCCAGGAGTTCACACAGACGCATTGCCCTAAATTAAGAGCATGAGATATGCACTCCCCATCCCCACCTCACCCTCTGTGAGCCAAGCTGCTTCAGCGTGATGCTATCCTGAGATCAGAAACACCTCTGGAGCTCACCCTGCTCTGGGGGCCAATAGCCACTGCACCTCTCCACCACTGGGGCTCCATCTTCATTACGCCAAGCCCACATGGGTGACTGAATGCCATAACCCAACCTTTGTGGTACCTGGGCCAAGAACTAACTGTGATTCAGTCCTGCATATCAAGGAAACCAACCCAGCACCTATAGCCAGAGGACTAATCTGCCAGTCTGACGCAAGGTGAACCTGCCCTTGGTTGGCCAAACTGCTGAAAGCCCTTTCCCAAGTAGGAGAGGCCCATGAGCTTCCAAGAAGCTGTTACACCCCCTTGCCAGCAAAGTGGTTGCACAGTCATACTTGGGACCTGAGAAAGAACCCCGCAACATCCCAGACCCCACTGCCCTGTACCCCCAATAAGGCCAACAGTCCTGGTTTCTGGCCCTCACAACATCCCTATGCCCCCCCAATAAGGGCCTGAGAAACTGCTCCATGGGCTGTCTCAGGTGGGCATGCCCCCAGGTCAGATGAGCAACCATGCACCTGTGCTCCTGGCCATAGTAACAACACTGTAGACCCAACCCCAGTGAGCCAGACCCCAAATTGCCTGACCCACCATATGCACACATGTTCCCCCAACCTGAGAAACTGCCTGGAAAACTCATTTGAGATTTAAACTGAACTTTAGACCAAATGGACCCAACAAAAATTTACAGAACATTCTATTCAACAATTCCAGAATACACATTCTTCTCATCAGCACATGGGACATTCTCCAGGATAGACCATATGTGAAGTCACAAAATAAGTCTCAACAAATTTTTAAAAATCAAAGTCATCCAGTATCCTCTCAGACCACAAATGAAATAAAACTAGAAATCAATACTAAGAAAAACTTTGGAAACTGTATAAATACATGGTAATTAAACAACGTACCCCTGAATGACCACTGGGTCAATGAAAAAAATTCAGAACAAAATTTAAAAATTTCTTGAAACAAATAAAAATGGAAACACAACATACCAAAACCTACAGGATACAGTAAAGATAGTACTAAGAGAAAAGTTTATAGTAATAAAAGCCTACATTAAAAAAGTAGAATGACTTCAAATAAACAACCTAATGATGCATCTCAAGGAATTAGAAAAGCAAGAACAAATCAAACCCCAAATTAGTAGAAGAAAAGAAACAAGATCAAAGCAAAAACCAATAAAATAGAGACAAAAAATAAAAAGATAAACAAAACAAAATGTTTTTTGAAAAGAGGCAAAATTGACAAACCTTTAGCTAGACTAAGGAAAAAAAGGGAAGATCCTAATAAAATCAGAGATGATAAAGGAGACATTACAGTTGATAATACAGTAATTCGAAGGATCACTAGAGACTACTATGAACAACTATATGCCAATAAAGTTGAAAACCTAGAGGAAATGGATAAATTCCTGGACACATGCATGCAACCTACCCAGATTGAACTAAGAAGAAATAGAAACCTTGAATAGACTAATAAGTAATGAAATTGAATCAGTAATAAAAAAGCTTCTAACAAAGAAAAGTCCAGGACTGGATAGATTTATTGCTGAATTCTACCAAATTTTTAAAGAAAAATTAATACCAATTCTTTTGAAACTATTCAAAAACATTGAGGCAGAGGGAATTTTTCCTAACTCATTTTAAAAGGCTGTCATAATCCTGATACCCAAACCAGACAAAGACCCAATATAAAAGGAAAGCTATGGGTCAATGTCTGTGATAAACATAGACACAAATGCCCTCAACAAAATACTAAGAAGCCAAATCCAAAAATACGTCAAAAATATAATACACCATGATCAAGTAAGATTCATAATGAGAACACAATGATGGTTCAGCATACACAAGTCAATATGCATCAAATATCAAGTCAATAGAATGAAGGACAAAAACCATATGATAATCTCAATGGTTGCAGGAATTTTTTGATACAATTTAATATCTCTTTATGGTAAAAACTCTTAGTAAATCAGGTATAAAGGGAAAGTATCTTAACATAATAAAGGCACATTATTTGACAAACCTATAGCTAACATCTTACTGTTCATTGCAAAATTATTCACAGTAACCAAAATATGGAATCAGCCTAAGTGTCCATCAATTGGTAAACGGATAAAGAAAATGTAGAATATACACACAATGAAATACTATTCAGCCATAAAAAGAAATGAAATCCTGTTATTCACAGCAATATTGATAGAACTGGAGGGCATTATGTTAAGTGAAATAATCCAGGAACAGATAATTAAACACTGATGTTCTCATTCATATGTGGGAGCTAAAAAGAGTTTATCTCTGGGAAGTGAAAAGTAGAAAAGAGGATACCAGAGGATGGGAAGGATAAGGGGAACAGAGAAATAGGGAGATATTTGTTAAAGGTTACAAAATTATAGCTAGATAGGAGGAATACGTTGTAGTGTTCTATACCACTATAGGATGATTACAGTTAATAATATATTGTGTAGTTTCAAATAGCTAGAAGGAAGATATTGAATGTTCCCAACACAAAGAAATTATAAATGTTTGAAATGATGAATATGGTTCTGACCCTGATCTGATCAATATACATTATATGTATGGAAACATCAATATGTACCCCATGAATATGTATAATTATTATTTGTCAATTAAAAATATAAAGTTAAATAAATAAATAAATACTTTGAATTCAGATTGACCAAATGTCATACAGTTTATTAACTGTCATACAGTTTATTAACTTAATGTCATACAGTTTATTAAGTTCTACTTATTATTATAAGTAGAACTGACATATGAATCCAGGTCTGACTTCGAAGATTATGCTTTCTCTAAGAACACACTCTGTTTTATTGTAAGATTATACAATGAGAGCAACACACAATTACAGGAGCCAGATGTGCTTAAATAAGCCACATTCTTTCAGTTTTCAGGTGTGTTTTTTTTTTTTTTTTTTTTTTAATTTGAGACAGGGTCTTGCTCGGCCATCCAGGCTGGAGTGCAGTGGTGTAATCATAGCTCACTACAGCTTCCAACTGCTGGGCTCAGGGAATCTTCTCACCTCAGCCTCCCAAATAACCAGGACTACAGGCATGTACCACCACTCTTGCCTAATTTAGTGTAAAATTTTTTTGTCGAGACAGGGTCTAGCTATGTTGCCCAGGCTAGTCTCAAACTCCTGACCTCAAGTGATCCTTCCACCTCCACCTCCCAAAGTGCTAGGGTTATAGGTGTGAGCCACCCCACCTGGCCCTACTGGTTGAATTTTTATTATCTCATGTAATCCTTTCTCCTGAATTCACATTCAGGTAAAACTTTAATTTATATGATTTTCTTCCCTGTCTCCACTAAACTTATTTCATGTTCTCAGACTGGTAACTCAATCAAGAACCTAGGCTCTAGAGTCAGAATAACTGATGTGAATCCTGGCTTCATTGTTTAATAGCTGTGTGACTTCAGGAAAGTTTTAAAATTACTCTATGACTTAGCTTTTTATCTAAAGAAGAAAGGAAATAACAATAGTAAATATCTCGCCATATTTTTTTGTGACACACAGTAAGCACCTCAAAAATGTTAACTTTGGCCAGGCGTGGTGGCTCAAGCCTGTAATCTCAGCACTTTGAGAGGCCAAGGCAGGCAGATTTTTGAGTCCAGGAGTGCAAGACCAGCCTGGGCAACATAGCGGAACCCCTTCTGTACCAAAAATAAAAAAAAAAAAAAATTAGCTGGGCATGGTGGCAGGCACCTGTGCTCCCAGCTACTTGGGAGGCTTAAATGAGCAGACCCCTTGAGATGGGGAAGGGCAGGTTGCAGTGAAAAAAAAAAAAAAAGGTAACTTCAGCAATATCCTTGACTGGAGGAGGGACAACACACGTGTTCAGTGTGATATGCAAAATATCTGTATGTTTGGCTTGCATGTAAACCAGTTAGGAAAGACACTGGCCCTAGCACTGCAGCAGAATGCTGGAAACATTTGTGTTTTTTTTTTTTTTTTTTTTAACTGACATGTAACTGGGGAGGTTCCAGGGCTCCTGGGAAGGGAAAAAAATAGCTTGAGCAGTGAGAAGGCACTAAGAACTCGGTACTAGGCTATTTACCATTTAATGCAGTGAGGTTCTAATCGATTAACAAATGGCACAGCCCTGCTAGTACATGCTAATTTGATATAGCTCTGGACATATCCAAAGAAAAAGAAGGTAATGAGAGAAACTAGACTTTAATTACAAAACTAGCCAGGCTCAATGTCCATATTAGAACATTGGTCATCTGATGTGGAGGGTGCCTTTAAATCCTGTTCCGTTGGACTAGCTAAAGAGAAAAATAATAGCCAATGTTGACTGAGTACTTTTCTAGTGTCATGCATTGTGCTAAGTGATTTACATGAAATAATTAATACAATCTTCATAATAACATTTTGAGGTTGGCTCCACTAAAATCTGAAATTTACAGATAACAAAGTGAGGGGGAGAGAGAGTGTGTCAAGACCCATTCAGGAAAACAGAACCAGTAGGTATTTTAAATAGAGTGTACTTAATATGAAAGACAGAATAAAACAGTGATGGAAGCCTGAGAGAGCAAAGAGGAGATGCTGGAAACATATAAAAAAAAAATAAAGGCAGGCAGAAACTATACCATTCCTAAAGCTAAAGAAACAAAAGGGCATAGATGGTGTTAGATCATGGGAGATGGGAGGAGTTACCCTATAGCGCTAGAGTTTGCACTTCTCTGGGGAAGCTCTGCTCAGCTGGTGTTAGACCTCTGTAGAAGGGGAATACCTGGAAGATGTTCAGACCATCAAGGAATCATGGACTGTGAATACTTGGATAGTCTACAGCCCAAAGGGTAAGAAAGCCATACCTATTACTCCCATCACATGAAAGAAGCAGGTCCAGGTTTATTTTCAAATCACTGAGTGAACGTAGTGAGGCTAATGTTGGAAGTAAAAAAATAAGCTCCAAGTGATAGCCATCAACTTGCTGCTGTTGAAGCAATGCTGATGAAACTGAATAAAAAGTGGTGCAAGGTCTTTCTCCCTTCCACACACTTTTCAACTTCTTTTCACTGCTCCTCATAGCAGAACCTAACAGGAATCCAGCTGACAAAGGCATCTGGGAAATGTAATTTGTATAGTCTCAGCCCTAGCATGCCAAGTGGATGGGAAGCTATGATTACACCACCATCCCATGGGGAGCTATGATCACGTCACTGCACTCCACTCTATATGTCATATAGAATGGTGCATTTGGAGCTTAAAGGTGTGGGGGTTATATAGTATAAAGTATAGTGTAGGTAAGTATAGTATACAGTGGAAAGCTAGAAATTGTGTAGTTTATTTACCTTCACAGAGATTAAGTGAAAAGCACCACACCTGGGAGCCGGGTTTCTCCCTGTTGGAGTATGAGTTTACAGAAAAGCGAGGGGAAGTGGCCAGGATATTCCATGTGGGAATGGGTTAGAATTGGAGATACCAATATGAACTCATGTTTAGTGAGATGAGTTTAATTAGATGACAATATAGCTGCATATGGTCACATATAAAAGCATGTATAGATACGTATATATACATGGTTTAGTATATACACATATATTTCCTCACTGTGTCAGCTAGAGAGTCTGAAATCAATGGTACCCAGTAGCAAGGAGCGCACCTAGCATTCAGATCTTGGTTTCTAATGCCATTCTCCAATACCAGGAATTAAGCTCCTTGGATAAATGGCTAATTCAAGGGCTGGAGCAAGGAAGAGATAAGATGAGCATGAAGCATCTTATAGTGCTTAGAAAGTCAGAAAGTGCTAAACAAACAAAACCATGTTAATATAGGTATGTCAAAGAGGTACAAAAGTCAACTGAAAGAGCAACCAATAGCCAAAGCCAGAAAAAATTGTGCAACAAAATAAAGTAGTAATAGGTTATAACACAAAGTATAAAATAAATATACAAAAGCTCATATTGATATAAATAAATAATTAAACCCATAATGGAGGGAGAAGAGATTAATATTCCATGCAAAAGAATTCCAAGTAATTTTTTTCAAAACACTGCCATTAAGAAGTAGAGCATAATTCCATACTCCTTAACTGTGGTCTGTGCATAGTGACTTCATTAAAAAGAGTACAATATAGAAAGTGGTTGGGAGATAGCACCTTTACAGTGGAGAAGCCTTATAAACAATATTTTTAATCAGGTTATCAAGGTCAATGTCAACAGTGACAAATCATGTTGATAGCAGGTGCGTTTGTTATAATGTGATGAAAATGACACTTTAACCCCATGGTTTTCTATCCATAACCACAGTCTAATTATGAGAAAACAATATGAACAAATTCCATTGGAGGGTAATCCTCAAACCCATCAATGCCATCAAAAGAAGGAAAGTCTGACAAAATCAAGGTCATTAAAACCGGGAATGTCTGAGATACCATCACAAACAAGAGGAGCCTATGGAGACATGATGACTGCCTTGGTTTGGGCTGGGTGGCTTATAAATAACATAGACCGCAATAGACTGGGTGGCTGATAGATAACATAAATGTATTTCTTATAGTTCTGGAAGCTGGGTATCCAAGCTCGGTGTGCCAGCATTGTTAGGTTCATGTGAGGTTGCAGACTGCCTACCTCTCCTTGTGTCTTCATAAGGTGGAAAAAGGGCAAGAAAATTATCTGCAGTCTCTTTTATAAAGGTACTAATCTCATTCATGAGAGATCCACCATCATGATCTAATTACCTCCCAGAGGCCCCACCTCCTAATACCATCACATTGTGGGTTAGATTTTAACATATGGATTTGGGGAAGACACATTCAGTCCATAGCATCCTGCCCCTGGCTCTTTCCAAATTAATGTCCTACTTGCATGTAAAATACATTCATTCTACTCTAACTCCCAAAGTCTTAATTATTCCAGTATTAACCCTAAGTTTCATAGTCTCATCTAAGCATCCCTTCTCTGTTTCATTCTCCTTATCACTTGCCACTTTCTAAAATACTGTCTTAAAATACTAAATGTTTAACTTACATGATTTCTCTGATTTTCACCCTCCATTCCCCCACCCTGACTTGAAATAAAAGCTCCATGGGAGGAAGGAATGTGCCTATTTTGTTCAGTGTTCTATCTTTGGCACCTAAAACAGTGCTTGGCATATATTCAGTGCTCAAGAAATACTTGTTGAGTGAATGAATGACATTTGCTATGTAGTTTCTTTAAAACTGTAGCTTTATTTCAGTCTTTTAACTCTGGCCACCAAAACCTCTATAAAAACAAAGTCCACAGTTATTTGGAAAATAGTTCCCTGAAGAAAGTGACATGGAAACAAAAGTGATTTGCAACAAGAACATCTACCCCAACTTTCTGTGTCCCCACCCAAATTTCACGTCAAATTGTAATCCCCATGTGTCGGAGGAGAGACTTGGTCGGAGGTGATTGGATCATGGGAGTGGTTTCCGCCTGTTGTGCTTGTGATACCATGTAAGTTCTCAGGAGATCTGACGGTTTAAAAGTGTGATACTTCCTTCTTAACTCGATCTCTCTCTCTCCTGATGCCATGTAAGAAGTCCCTTGCTTCCCCTTCACCTTCCACCATGATTGTAACTTCCCTGAGGCTTTCCCAGTCACGTGAAACTGTGAATCAATTAAACTTCTGTTCTTTATAAATTACCCAGTCTCAGGTAGTCCTTTATAGCAGAATGAAAATGGACCAATTCACAAAATTGGTACCAGTAGTGTGGGATACTGCTGAAAAGATATCTCAACATGTGGAAACATTAGAACTGGGTAATGGGCAGAGATTGGAACAGTTTGGAGGGCTCAGAAGAAGACAGGAAGATGTGAGAAAGTTTGGAACTTCCTAGACTTGTCGAATGGTTTTGGCCAAAATGCTGATCATGATATGGACAATGAAGTCCAGGATGAGGCGGTCTCAGATTGAGATGAGGAACTTGTTGGGAACTGGAGTAAAGGTCATTCTTGCTATGAAAAGAGACTGGTAGCATTTTGTCCCTGCCCTAGAGATCTGTGGAACTTTGAATTTGAGAGAGATGATTTAGGGTATCTGGCAGAAGAAATTTCTTAGTGGCAAAGCCTTCAAGAGGAAGCAGAGTATAAAAGTTTGGAAAATTTGATGATGCAGCAGAAAAGAAAAACCCATTTTCTAAGAAGAAATTCAAGCCCACTGCAGAAATTCCCATAAGAAACAGGGAACCAAATGTTAATCACCAAGACAATGGGGAAAATGTCTGCAGGGCACATCAGAGACATTCTCGGCAGTCCCTCACATCACAGGCCAAGCCTAGGAGGAAATAAATTGTTTTGTGAGTTGGGCCCAGGGCTCCCCCTGCTCTGTGCAGCCTCAGGACATGGTGCCCTGCATCCCAGCTGCTTCAGCTCCAGCTGTGGCTCAAAGGGATCAAGGTAGAGCTCAGGCCATTGCTTCAGAGGATCCAAACCCCAAGCCTTCATGGCTTCCACGTGGTGTTGATCCTGTGGGTGCACAGAAGTCAAGAACTGAGGCTTGGAAATCTCTGCCTAGATTTCAGAGGATGTATGGGAATGCCTGGATGTCCAGATAGAATTTTGCTGCAGGGGCAGAGCTCTCATGGAGAACCTCTGCTAGGGCAGTGCAGAAGGGAAATGTGAGGTTGGAACCCCCACACAGAGTACCCACTGGGGCGCTGCCTAGTGGAGCTGTGAGAAGAGGAGTACCATCCTCCAGACCCCAGAATGGTAGATCCACTGATAGCTTGCAGTGTGCATCTGCCAATGTCACAGACACTCAATGCCAGCCCATGAAAGCAGTCTTGGGGGCTGTGCTCTGCAGAGCCATAGAGACGGAACTGCCCAAGGCCGTGGGAGCCCACCTCTTGCATCAGTGTGACCTGGATGTGATACATGGAGTCAAAGGAGATTATTTTGGAACTTTAAAGTTTAATGACTGTCCTATTGGATTTCAGACTTGCATGGGGCTTGTAGCCTCTTGGTTTGTGTCAATATCTCCCGTTTTGGGTATATTTACCCTGTGCCTATTCCCCCATTGTATCTAGGGAGTAACTAACTTGCTTTTGATTTTACAGGCTTATAGGCAGAAGGGACTTGCATCCTCTCAGATGAGACTATGTATTTAAATTTTTGGATTAATGCTGGAATGAGTTAAGAGCTTGAGGGACTGTTGGAAAGGCATGATTGTGTTTTGAAATGTGAGGACATGAGATTCCCGAGGGGGAGTGATATAGTTCAGTTGTGTCCCCACCCAAAATCTCATCTTGAATTATAATCTGAGTTATAATCCCCATGTATTGGCAGAGGGACCTTGTGGGAGGTGATTAGATCATTAGGGTGTTTCCCCCATGCCATTCTCATGATAGCGAGTGAGTTATCATGAGATCCGATGGGTTTTTATGGGGCTTTTCCCCACTTTGCTCTGCACTTCTCTCTCCTGCTGCCAGGTGAAGAAGGACATGTTTGCTTCCCCTTCCACCATGATTGTAAGTTTCCTTAGGCCTCTCCAGCTATGCATAACTGTGAGTCAATTAAACCTCTTTCCATTACAGATTACCTAGTGTCAGGCAGGTCTTATAGCAGTGTGAGAACAAACTAATACAATCATTTAATTTCAAGTCAGATATACTAGGATTTGGGGTCATACAGTGTGATATATACCATTGCCTTTTTTTATATCTTACCTTAGATACCTTAAAACTCCTCAAATTTAAACTGTCCAATACTAAACTTGTGGTCTCCACCTGAAATCTGCTCCTCTTTCAGTGTTCATATCTCAATGAATGATACCACAATCCAACCAAATATACAAACTATACATCTGGGAATTTCCCTTTTACCTTTCTTTCATCCCCATCTGCTATGGAGTCCATTAACAAATCTTACACAAATGTATCTTAGTTCCATTCTTTTCTCTCTATGTCATAACTACTCCAATCTGAGCATCAATAATCTATTATCTCAGTTACTCCCAATAGCCTTTTAATCATCTTCCCTGAATGCATTCTTTCTTGTGTACAATCTGTTTTACAATCTGAAAACAGAATCTTTTAAATCTTAAAAACACAAATTTGGTCATGACACTTCCAGTAGGTTCGTATTGCTCTTAGGATATGTGTTAACTGTTTAACATGGTCCTCAAGTCCTTGTCTGCCCTAGCCACTGTCCAGCTGCCAAAATCACTCTCTCTCTCTCTCTCTCATTTCTTGCCTTTCAGGCACACTGGCCTTTCCATACTCCTGTATTTACAGCATTGCATATATGGTTCTCATTTTTTCTCTCCTTTGCTGGATAAAATCCCATTTACCTTTCAACTCTCAGGTCAAACACGATTCAGAGACCCATACTCCAGCAGATACCAGAAAATTCTAATGCTTCTATTGTTTTCTTCCTTATTATATATCACAATATTGTAATCTACTTTGTGGGGAGCATTTGTCTCTACCCAGACCATATCTGTAATGTACAGAACTCTGGAAAATGTTTTAGTTTCTAATTCCTGAACCTATGCAAACAAATTGGTTAAAATATACATTACAAAATTCTTGGGTCTTTTTGCAATGCAGGGATTTATCAGTAAAAATTTAAAATAATGGGTAGAAAAAAAGTGTTTATTCATTATTGTACAAGTGGGTATTCTTTGTAGTGACTAGTCACCATCTTTTCTTGTTCTTAATTTTTGCCATGAGAATAGGATAGCAACACTGCCATTACTCATAATGCAGAATCACCTTGCTTCTGCAATTTCCTAATAAATTTATTTAATGCAAAGTAGATCATCACTGAATATTTTGTGTATATCATCCATTGTGCTACTGTGAATACTTGCTTCCAATGACCCTTTTAGGAGTTGTTACTGTGCTCTGCTAGTGATATTCACAAATGGCAGTCTTACATAGAGTATGCAGAAAAGTGTGAATGATAATTTGTTTTCTGATAATATTAAATTAGGAGTCTTAGAGCATAAGAGTAAGACAACACATTTTCTAACCATGTCTTCTCTTAAACTCTTTAAGTTTAAGTCTGGTATATAATATCTTTCAGTGTTGAGCATACTCTTGCCTTTCCCATATTGCCAACAGCAGGAAGAATAGGAGAGGAGCCACTGGCAAAATGAGAAGAGTGGTACCACTTGAGCAAAGAGTTTCTGTCCCTTGGTCCACGTGGTTAAGACTGACCTGGAAGAGCATGACATCATTCATCACCATATTTTTGAGAGGCAAACGAGGGCATTGATCAGAAGGGCCCTGTGGTTTCTTTGGTGCAACAATCTCAAAAGCTTTTGGATGAGATGGGTACAACTACCCTAGAACGCTCCTTCTCATGTGGCATTGAGCCTACCTGGGGTGCTAGTAATAGGGAGCTCACAGAGGAAAGTTTGTTTCTCATCACTCTCAGATACAACAGACCAGAGGCAACACTGTGGTCAGAACACAGATATATGAGATCTGACACATGATTTCAACATGAGACTCAACACCTGAGCTCAAGCTAGATGGTAGGCAGTGCGCTAATGGTAGCCTAGAGCCCTGAACTCACCCTGCACCTGAACCGAGTGAGCATAGCATACAACTAGGTTGCCAGGTTATTCTGAAAGACTAATTGTATGTAATTGTGAACAAAATAAGACATTGGCTTGAAGGGAGCAATTCTCTCTACAGGTCAACCTCCAGGAAGCAAGGCCCAGCCTCAATGTCCTGGGATGACCTCATAGGCATGAATCCTGGAGCTCTATGGAGCCTTTATTTATCTCCATGCACATGACTCAAATTTGGAAAGTGCCTGAAAGAAAGACACAGGCAAAGGGGCCGCAGGAATCCCAGTCTGAGTCTGAGACTCTCTTCTTGGGCAGTACTGCTGGTCTCAGTTATTCCCATGCACAGGAAAGAGATTGACAATTTTGAAGAAGGCCTTTCAATGTCTAGGGCACTGTGAAGAGCAGAGACTGACTGGATCTGAGGGAGTTACTGGTCCACTATGAGCTCCAAGAGGACAGGAATGAGTCTATTTTACCACTACCAAACACTGAATAAATACTGGAAACATGAGTGGATTGGAACTTGACTGCCACAAACATGACAGATTAGTCAATTATAACAGAAATTTAACTTCTGGGTGTTCCTCTTCCTGAAATTTAAAGCATACAGATGATCTACAATTTACTATAGTTTGACGTACAATTTTTGGACTTTTCAATGGTGTGACAGTGATACACATTCAGGAGAAACCGTACTTCAAATTTTGAATTTTGATCTTGCAATCAAAAAATCAAAATTCTGGGCTAGCAGTATGCCGTACGATACTCTCTTGCAATGCTGGGTAGCATCAGCAAGCTGCAGCCAGCCACACAATCTTGAGTGCCAGCAACCAATACTCAACAATGTACTGTACTGCCAGATGATTTTGCCCAATCGTAGGTTAATGTAAGTGTTCTGAGCATGTTTAAGGTAGGCTAGGCTAAGTCATGATGTTCTATAGGTTAGGTGTATATTAAATGCATTTTCAACTTAAAACATCTTCAACTAATTACTAATTTTGATGTTTTCCTCATAAGTTGAGTAGCATCTGTATATCACAATTTTCTTATAAGATTTTTAAAAGTGTTAATGTGATAAATTTTATTAAGTGCTTAGATGAGTGTCTGACTCAGAGGTGCCCTTAACATACATTTGTTGAGAAAAATGAATGAATGAATGAATGAATCCCTGAATAAAAAATGTGTTTTGTTTTTGTTTTTTCTCTGCTGGCAGACCTTTAGTTTATTATTTAATTTTATGGTTTATGACTCTATCATGATTTTAAAAGTTAATTTTAGAAATGGTAGATTCTGGCTCTGTCTGGTTGGTCTGCTCGATAATATATCGATTTCATCTCCTATACTTTTTTCTTTTTTTCTTTCTTCCCCACAAAATGGCACCTCTGGAGTTCCAGGCACTAGTATCTAGCTTAGTGTCTATATGCAATAGCTACTTAATAAATTTGTGGAGAACTTGATTGATTTTACTGAGATAGTCCAACTAACTGGTTTTATTGGCAGTACCCTAATCTTAGAGCTTGCAAAGTTCTGAATAGGAGTTCCTAGGATTTTTAATCTTCCGTAAGTGTGCAGAGACCTTGAATTCTGACAAACATCTGGGTTCCCACTAAAAGACCTAAGCAGTGAATGTGGAGGAGTTAATTTCTTTGTAGTCGTTTCCATTTCTTTCATCTACTTCTTAAAAAAGCACTCTCAGGCTCAAAGATAAGAGAAAGCATAACTTAAGTATTTTGAAACATGTAAAAAATGATCTTTTTTTCCTGAAGTTATCTATATTCTATAACAAGCAGTAAAATACTGTATGTTTAATTTATCTGTAAGATTCTAATTCATATTAATAAAAATATACTGAGACTCCTTTTCATATCATAGCTTACCTTGGAAAATCTTTGAGGGTAAGATTTTTTTTTATACATATATAAAACCCTCAGTCTCTGAAATATTTTGTTTTAAAATAACAACCACTGCTTGAAAAGATGTATAATTCCTTGGTAGCTAAAAGCTAGAAATATCTCTGCAGAGGTTTAGCATATTCCAGAAGAGAATAAAAGAAAATATATAATCTTATTTGAACTTGAGGTGAAAATGACCAAAATGTGTACTCTTTTTAATTTGTTTTTTTTGTATTTAAAATGCCATTGGTATGTGAAGGCACAGTACTGAATCAAAACTCCAGCCACATGTTTCTCACCTTGCATATGACTGGATTAGGATGGCAGCTGTCAGCATGATCTTCTGAAATAAATTCAGGAGTCTGATAATCTCCACTGTATTTCCAGCTACCCACAAAGATGGTGTCAACTTCAATAATAAGTGTGAAAGTTGCTCCTTCTAGCTGAATGTCCTCTCCAGAGGATGTCATGATTTTCTTCAATGTATCGCCATGATTCAACCTGAAAATGAACATCAGGCTAATTGGCATAGTATGGTGGATATTAGAGTGTCTACTTTGTTTCCTTTTCTAAGGAAAAGTGGAATGTAAACAGATGTGAAATGAAAGTTTCATTATGAAGGATACATAGTTGAACAACAGTTACAATTTCCTTCATTAGTGATGACAAATAAGTAGCAATTCCTGATCTACTAATTTAAAATCACCATTTAAACAATAAAGTTTTTTTTAAATAAATCTCCTAAAGTATACATTACTTAGAAATCCTTGAAGCAGTGGTAACCGCCCTTATGCTTTGGATTGTTATAATGTCCCTCTGTTTCAGATTTTGTTAGTCCTGAATGGTCTCACCATCAAACTTGTGAATAAAACCAAATATCATGCACTGAATGATCTGGTAAAGGCAGACCATACTCACAGGGTGAGGGAGGATTTGCTTTAACTCTTTTTTGCCTACTTTCCTTTTTTTAATTGAATTCTGATAGAAAGTCTCCACATTTAAAATGTTTGCAATTGTCAATTGCTCTATGCTGCATGCTTTTGTTATATCTTGAAATTGTAACTGGTTGTAATCTCATTAACAGACTTTTAGTTCATTTGTGCTCATTTCAGCTATTTTGATGCTATGTGCATGTGATTTACATTATCAATGAAGAATGCAAAGCAATGATCTCATTAGAAGATCTTGCTCTTTGAGTTCCATTGCTTTTAAATGCAGTAGGTTTGTGTGTGGCAGTCAAATCAGTAAAGAAAACTGTTATTGTTGATGCCATTCTTCTGGAATAATTTCATCAATTCAACCCAATTCATGTTACCCACATCTAGACATAACTATTGTTAAAGATATATAGGCATTTACAAAAAAAATTAAATATGAGTGAATAGCAGAAAAATTAGTGTCTATTTAAAGCAGACTACTAGATGACATGAAAGTTCTAAGCAGGTATTGGAACCCTACATGACCTACAGATTTCTGGACTATATTATTTTTAGGAAATGTTCTCCATTATTTTGAGGCATTTATCAGAGAAATAAGCAAAATTATACACAAAATTCAGCTGCTGTGACCTAGTTTAGGCCTAACATATATTGAGGTTTAATTTATAAGGATTTAAAAACTAAGATTGCCTTTTTTGCATCTGATATTGGCATGTGTGAGAATTAGGTGGCTCTCTACTTTGATGCCTGTTCAGTTATATCTGTACGTGTTTAACATACCCCCGATATTCTGTCCCCTTCCTCGAGCTCCACTCCTCTCCTTAGCAGAAGATATTTAAGAATCTTTAGAGCAGCAACTTAGCATCTATCTGGTTTTACTATTAGTCATGCTTTGATCCTTGCCCCAGATCCAATAATGGAGATCTTCCCAGGAATCTATCTCCATTGTGTGGGGCCCTGTCTCAGCTCTTGCCCCAGTTCCTTTTATATCAAATTTAACATAACTCTTCTATAAAATATTCTGGTCTTGTGGTTTCTCACCTTTTGGTCCTTGTATTAGTTAGCTAGGGCTGCCATAACAAAGTATCCAGTTTAAGACTGGATAGCTTAAACACAGAAATTTATTTTATCACAACGCTAAAGGGTAGAGGTCTGAGACCAAAGTGATGGCAGGATTAGTTTCTTCTGAGGCCTCCTTCCTTGGCTTGCAGATGGCCATCTTTTTTCTGTGTCTTCACATGGTCTTCCCTCTGTACATGTCTGTGTTTTAATATTTTCTTCTTATAGGACACCAGTCATATTGGATTAGGGTCCACCCTAATGACCTTATTTTAACTTTATTTCTTTAAAGACCCTGTCTCCAAATACAGTCACACCTGTGGTACTGAGGGTGAGGAGTTCAAAACATGAATTTTGGGTGGACTAAATTCAACTCATAACACTTTCCATCTCTTCTTCCTGTTACAACAGCAAGAACAATTGTTATTACTTTCATAGCTAACATTTATTGGTTGCTTATTATATGCCAGACACTGTTCTAGTTGCTTCACATCTATTGTGCCATAAAGAAGAGACCTCTGACCCCATACCTCAAATCCCTAAACTTGTGACATGAGTCCTGCTTTCTACTGCCAGATTCTCTGCTGTCATCTGACTTTGCAGACACAGAATTTCTCTTAGTTTGTTCCTGCTGCTGTAACAAAATATCTGAGACTGCATATTTTATAAGGAACAGAAATTTATTCCTCACAGTTCTAGAGGACGGAAGTTCAAGATCAAGGCATCGGCAGGTTTTGTGTCTCATGAGGGCTCTATCTCTGCTTCCAAGGTGGTGCCTTGTTGTTGCATTCTCACATGACAGAAGGGGTGAATGACATTCCCTCACATAGTGGAAAGCAGAAGAGTGAAAAAGGGGTCTAGGTAGTTCTCTTCAGCCCTTTTATACAAAGGTCTGTAATACTTATCATGAGGATGAACCCTCATGACCTCACCACCTTCCAAAGGCCACACCTCTTAATAGTGTTACATTGAAGATTACATTTCAACATGAGTTTTGGAGAGGACACAAACCTTCAAACCATAGCAGGGTTACCTAGTGGTTATAAGGCTGGGCTTCAGAGTTGGGCAGTATGGACTTTAACTCTGCCTTGTATTGTGGTTGTTTGATCTTGGGCAAATTACTAATCTCATTGTACTTCACTTTTTTCATCTGTGCAAATTAGAATAACAATACTACCTGTAGAGTTATTGGTGATGATTCAATAAGTTACTGTACTAGGCAAAGCACTTAGAGGTTTTCTGGATGTGTGGTCAGCACAGTGAAACACTGAGATAATGTACCTTGCAATAACGCAAATTTAGACAGAATGTGATTAACAATTTTGCTCCCATTCTCTGCAGCAGCCTTATCCCAGTCATGTTGTTAATTTACTGTATTATAACTTCATATACTATAGGTTTTTGAATCTCATGTAGAGAAATATGGTGAAGTTTCACTATGCTTGCTGTATTTGAACTCCTGTTACTATTTCATTTTTCCTGCCACCGGGCTTCCTGCTTTTGTTTCTTTTCTTGCCTTTAAGGACATCTGTTCTTACCTCTTATATAGGCATCACTTCCCTGAATTGCCACCTATCTGTTACTATTTGAATACTCTACCAGCCTGACTGTGCTTCTGACTACTGCTTGTAATGGGCTTGCCCTGCTCCACCGAATATGTCTAATTCCTTTCCTAGTTTGGCATCTAAGTGCCTACATTCCATACCTGGAATAAGGCATGAGTACTTAAGATTCACCATCTGCTTCAAAGAATTTAAAATCCTCATGTTCACTGGAGTGCTGACATTAGTTTACTCTATCACTCAGCAATATATGTGTTCAAAATCTGTACTGTCTTTCCACGTGTCATGCAATAGTTTAGATTTAATAAAAACTCTTATTTTTTTTTGTTGCCATGCACAAGAGATTACAGGTATGGTAGATGTGGAAGGTGTGATAGTTTGTGAGTTAAGTCTACTGCCTCCAGAGTCATATTAATGGGTCTGAATAACAACTCCATCATTTTTACTAGCTCTATGATTTTGGTCTCAGTTTTCTCATCTGTAAAACTAGGATATGTAGTCTTATGGGGATGATTCAGTGAAATAATTAACTGAAAAATGGTATCTGCCAAATGCTCTACAAACATTATCTTATTTGATGCCTACAACTACTGTCTATACTAGGTATTATTATCACCTTATAGAGATGTGAGAATTCAATCAGTGTAGCCCTGTTATTTTTTCTATGCTTGCCTGCCATTTTCCTTTAAAATATTTTCTATTATTTGGATGTTTAGATCTTGTTTATAAGCTCCCTTGACTCAGTGAATGTGTTAGGCTTATGCTCAGGCTAAAAACCAGCTCTTACTCCTGGTAATTTAATAATAAATGTAAATTAATACATTTCCCAAGGGTGATTTTATGATAATCCTATATCACATAGAAACCTGTCATGGAAATTAGAAATAATTATATTTTCTCAACTTGTCTAATAGAGCACTCAAATTTGGGAAAGTATCCCAAGAATCTGATAAATGACAAGGATGATAGCAAAAGACATTATTGACTGTCAAAGATTATTGTTTTCAATAGGCCATCTTGGGCTTTCTTTTCTAGAAAGAAACTTGCATAGTTTTTTGTTATGTTTTGTTTCGGAAAGGTCATTAGTTGGTTGGCACATCTTATATTGAATTTTGTCTTATTTTAAAAAATGACTTAATAGAAATCCTTATAAAAAGCCACAACCATAATTGAAATACCACACATTAGAAAAAGGCTATAATATAATTGACATCAGAACCACAGGCTGTTGGGCTAAGAAGAAACTTGAGCAATCATTCAATCAAAACTCCCCAAGCCGTAGGTGAGGGAGTTGAGCTCTGGCTACATCACATGACTTGCTCAAAACACAGAATAGCAGAGTTAGGATTAGAACCTTCATCCTATGTCCTTAAAATATATGTAAAATATTCGTGGATGATGAAAAAATGGCTCCTAAGACTTGGTATATTTTGTATAAAAATATTCTGATACAACAAAAATGTCAGGCTTTCCCCTTACGTCAGTTCTACACTGTAGGTGCTTCCTTGAAACACTCTCATTTATGGTCTGGACAGCCTTTCAGTTTGCTATTGGATGCATTCATTGAATACATGAATGAATAATGTTATATAAAGATAGTTTCACTTTGAAATTGTTTCTAATAAAACCTAATCCCAAGGGAATCTGCCATGACAAATGGAACTGGAACTCCTGACCAAGTTATTCTGAAGAGGAACTCATTTTCTTCAGAGGATGGTGGTACTGTATCCAATTCTTGGTGGAGACAGTAAATTGCAAGGAAGACCCTACATCTTGTCACCACTGCTTTTCTTTTTCTTCTCAATATCATCGTAGGATAACATTTCAGTGTATCAGACTCCCCTGAAAATGTGGGGAGATAATGGGGTTAATATTATACCAATAAAAATAGCTTAGAATTAAATATTAAATGCTCCGTGTTCTAAAGCATTTACTTTAGCCACTGGACCACAAGAAAATTATCCTCTGGTTACCTTGTTGACATGTGTATGTGTGCGCCTCTGTCTCTCTTCCTGTCCCTCCCTTCTTCCCTCCTCCTCCAGCCTCTTCCTCTCCTTCTTCCCTTCTTCTTCCCTTTTCTTCTCCACTCTTCCACCATGAAATTCTCATTGATTTGTTATGCAGTAGTTTAGCTATGCCTTTTGTCTACTTCATTATTGTATAACTAGGATTCAGCTTCCTCCTTAATAAGGTTCTATCCCTCTAGCAAATTTGGAAACAAGGAGTTTTGCCTCACATCTGCTGCTGAATCAGTTTCATACTGCAGCTGCTAATTTTATTGCCTAGCCCTCTTCTTCCAAGTGATGTATCAGGTAGGCATTATCCTACACAAAAATGCTACCTTATTTACAAGCATCTAGACTAAATGTGTTGAATTATTTTTTTTATCTTGATAGACGTCTTTTATAATCTTGTTCTATTTTCTCTTCACATGTGTCACTATTTGACTTTGGTGTTATCCAATCCAATGCTTGCTTCTTTGTTTACTGAATCAGGATGCATCTGACTGTTATTCTATTTTCATACCACCATAGCAGGTGGTATGTAATATGTGTTTATATATCTCGTTAAGGAAAAGCACAGAAGATTTATTATATGCTCCTGGTATCTTTGTTTTACCTCCTAACCTTTGGCTTTGTCAAATAGCATCAGGATTTAGCAATTATAAAAAAAAAAGTTTAACCATACAAAGAAAATAGGTTCTTTGCTAATAATTTCTAAATGTTATGTCTAATTTTATACTTTTATTTCTATTTTAGAATTACATGACATCTTTAACATCTTTTGAAATGAAAAGACCCTAAGGACTGAAATAAATTCATGGTATTAATCTGGAGACTTCTCAAATTCATATCCAGACACAATTCATCTTTTCCAATCACAGGTTGTTTTCCTCCCTGGTTTCTGTGATATAACCATACATGACCAGTCATAACACATAGGAATCACCGTTGCTTTTGCTCTTTCTTTTATTTTCTACATCCCAATCTTTGCCAATGTCTGTCTACGCTAACTGTAACCATTAAATATCCCTTGAGTCATTTCTTTTCAGTCTGCCTATCCTGTCAACAACTTGCAACAGCCTCTTAAACAGTTTCCTTGTTTCTAATATTGATTCTGCTGACTCTATTCTTCACATTGCAGAAAGAATATCTCTAACACAGAAATTTTAGTGTGTTATTCCTTTGCTTAATTCCATGGCTCCTCGTTGCTTTTGTGATACAATCTAAGGTAACATGGCAAATACAACAGTCCAGTTACCGTGCATTTATTTTTCCTTTTCCCATTGCCAAGAGTCCCTGGTTTCTATTAGCTCCCCATGGTTTCAGGAAAGCTGATTCCATCTGGGCTCAGAGATTGAGCAGGAGACCTGGGCTAGGCCATTCCAATACCTGCCTTTCATGTGGTTTTTGAGTCATTCGAAATGAATCTCAGGCTTTTTGCTATAAGTAGGAATCATCTTCCTTTTTTTTTTTTTTTCTGTGCTGGGTGAGAAAGAGAAGGAAATAAGACTGAAAGCTGCTGACAGTCACTTTCAGATCATTATTGTGGAGGCTGGGATACCAAGAATACAGTGGCTAGAAATTGGGTCTGAGAAAAGGAAAGAATAAACTAGGCCTTGGTCTGAGTGTTTGCACAACCAGCTCAGCTCAGGATTTAGAGGTGATTTTCTGTTACGTGGTGCTGAAAATATCTCCTGATAACATCTCAACTTAGACCCCTCCTCCATCATTTTTAACTCTAAAATAGAATTGCATAGAATTTCTTTCAGGCCATTCTTTCTCTCATTCCCGGGCCTTTGCACATACAGTTCTCCTTACATTGAGAGGTTTTCGTTTGTTTATGCCTTCCTCTCAAAAACTTGGCTAATCTCCTGACATCGTTCAGGTCTGAGTTTCGACTTCAGAAACCTTTCTTTGATTTCCAGAATTAGCTACTGCTGCTTTGCTCCCTCTCACAGTATTTGTTACATTGGTCTTTTCTGCTTGCTTGCCTGTATCTTCAGTTAACTATAGACTCTGTCATGTAGGGACCAGGTCTGTATTGTTCATTACTGCATCTTCAGCACCTAGTTCATGGCACATGATAACCATTCATTTATTCACTCAGTAAATATTATAAAACACCTAGTATGGACCTGGGGCTGTTCTAAGATCCAGCTATAAAACAGTGTATATTATAGAGTCCTGTCATGGAGTTCATATTCTATTGGGGAGATACAGACAACACACCAATAAAACAAAAAATATATAACAGGTTAAGGGGTGGTGATTGTTATGAAGACAAATAAATCAAGAGAAAAGCAGAGTAAATGAAAGAATTAACTTCAAAAATGGTTTTATTTTTTAGTTTTATACTATGATAAATTTTGAGAAACTTAATTGTTCTGGCCACTTAAACTCTTTGTAGCAATTATGTTCTAAAGATAATGCTTTATTTTTTTAAATAAATGTTTAGCAGTTGGAAAGACTTAGTTTAACCATTACCTACCAATGTTTTTATTAAACCTCCCTTCACTCCCTCCACTATTTTTAATAGAATAAGATCACAAAGTAATATTTTAAAAAAATCAGTTAACCACCCTCTTAGCTTTCTAGTCGTGTTTGATAGCTCAGATTATTATTAAAGTATAGGTTACTATAACATAGAATAATAAAGCATAAAGAACATTTATGAATATTTAAGTTCCTCAATCATATCTTAGAATAATTTATCAGCTTAAAATTGCCTTTAAAATGATTTCTCAAAGTCACTTTCTCATTTTCTTGCCAGAATCATGAATTATAAATTATAGTATGGAAGTACCTATGAGAAAGACTGAAAAAGAGGTAATTCATGACATATTTGAAGTGGTTTTAAATTACCCTAATTTCAGTTTTTGAGTCCTAACAACTTTCACTGAAACTACATACATATACTATAATAAAGGCAAGAGGATTTTGTTGTTATGAATACTTATTGACCTTTTGAAAAGATGCAAAAAAACTTTCATTTTTTTCTTCAAATTACGGTCATTTGGAAATCCAACTTTCCAGTCTAGCAGAAACATTTTACTTCTCTTATATGTGCTTAAGATTTTGGACATTCATGGATTTTTAGTTTTCTCTAATGCCTACTGACCCTTGCAATATTTGCACAAGTATCTGACATATCACAGGCATTTTGCATAAAGAGTGGTAAAAATAGTGTACTTAATCAATAAATATTTACAATACCCATTATGTACGAATCACTGTGTGTCCATTACTGTCAATTATTTGAAACTGAATACAAATATAGTATTATTTAGAAATGTGAGCAAGAGAGTTACATCAAATTATGTCATTGAGATGAAAATTCCACAAGTTGATTTGTAAATCTCGCTGTACAACTGCAATGAATTCTGTAGCTCAGAGCCTTCAAAGGTAGGAAGGGAAAGGATGTTTCTCTTAGAGGATAAATATGACTAAACTGGAGAACCCCCAAAGTATTTAGACTTAAGCAGACATGAGACAGCATAAGAAGTTTGCTTAAATATTTCAGACCATTAGGTGCCCTGTTGGAAGCTGACTATCAAACAGGAACTGCCAGTATACATCTTGTGAAACTAAACCCTCCTTATCCTGGTGACCCAGGCAATGTGTGCTAAGTAAGAAGAAAATTCTAGAAGTGTAGATTTTATGCTAAGCCAAGATTATAGGGCAAAACAGTAGCAAGTATTTGAAACATCACTGTTTTAAGGTGGATGGAGTGGAATACCACAAAATGCCAGTATTGCCCCAGTCTTTTCACACACTACCAATTAAATAAATATTTAAGCAAAGCTGTATTTGTATCATGTCCATGTAAGTCTAGATACACTTGGGGGTTCCCCAGCTTAGTCATATTTACACCTTTGTGTAGTGCCCTCCCACATTGTGCCAGGGGGTTGTCTGTGTGATCAAATGGCAGAAGTGTGATCAAATGGCAGAAGTGTGAGCAAATGGCAGAAGTGTGAGCAAATGGCAGAAGTGTGAGCAAATGGAAGAAGTGGCCTTCTTGTGTCACTCCAAGAGTAGGTTCTACGAGACTGAAGCTTCCATCTTGATATCTGGCTCTCTTGAATCACTTGTTCTAGTGAAAGTCATCATGTTGTCTGGGTAGCTCTGTGGAGAGGCCCGTGGAGGGTAGAACTTCAGTGAACTTGGACATAGATTCTCAGCCCCTTTATACTACTGCAACCCTGGCTGGCTTGACTGCAGCTCATGAGAGATTCTGAGCCAGAACCAATCAGCTAAACCCTGTTTGATGTCTGACCCTCATCAATTGTCTTGTGAGATAATAAGTGTTTTTTAATTTAAGCTGCTAAATTTGAGGGTCTTTTGCTATACAGCAGTAGATAACTAAAATGCCTGCAAAGTATTCAATTTTGTCCTTTGGTTTTACAAACTAGGCCAAGGGTTTGGTACAATAAATTTTCCGTAACTAAAATCTATTCTTAAGGCAAACATGGGAAAACTTGCACAGACTTGCCATTTTTCTTTGAAGTAGAAAATACTTGTCATCTTATTTTTTCAGGATTCCTTTCTCTTAAATCCATACATATGTCTTTAAGGAAGGAAGGGAAGAAGAGAGGAGATGAAAGAGGAATTGTTAGGAAGCATATTGGGTGCTTGCTATATTCCAGGCCTTGTGCTAGGCACTTTACATATGGCAACCAATTTAATCTTGTCAACAATGTCAACAAATCTTCGCAAATTCCTTTTTACTTAGAGAAGTTAGATGATATTATGCAACTAAAACATTTTACAGCCAGAATGCAAATGTGGGTCTGTTTGATTCCAGTGACTGTGATTTTATATTACACAAAGTTGCTAAATAAATCTATCAAAGACTTAAGTCCGTATGTAGAGATACTATCTTCTCCAGTTTAATTGGAGTCTCTGTTAAAAAGTTTGGGGAATTGATCATAAATATATATATATATATGTGTGTGTGTACGTGTGTGTGTGTGTGTGTGTGTGTGTGTAGACAGCTTTGATGTGAGGATAAAATGAGAAAGCAAGGGCAAACAAAGCTTTCACAACTGTAAAGCACCATGTAGATATAAGACTTGGTCTAATTTTTATAGATCTTGCAGTGGATGCTAAATATGTATTTGATCAAGAATAAAGCTGCTGAACGGGAGTGGAGTTTATCCTTCTGTATGCAAAATGAGTCTGAATACATTTTTTAATAGTCTGTATTTTATAAGGTAGCATGGATTTAAAAATGTTTCTATATCATAGATCTGATTATTGTGGACTACATGTTTGTGTCCATCAAAATTCATATTTTGAAACCCTAACCTTCAATGGGATGATGTTAGGCGGTGGGACTTTAGAGAGATAGTTAGATTATTAATATGGAGCCCCCATGATGACACTAGTGATCCACATGACAAGAGGAAGAAAAGTAATTCTTGGTTTCCTCTCTTCCATGTTAGTATACAAGGAGAGTACAGCCATCTGTAAACCATGAATTTGGCCCTCATCAGACATTTTGTATCTGCTGACACCTTGATCTTGGGCTTTCCATCCTCCAGAACTTTGAGAAGTAAATGTTTATGTTAAAGTTTTCCAGTCTATGGCATGTTTGTTATAGCAGCACAAACTGACTAAGACACTTATATATACTTATTTTTTGCATTGAGAATCTATTTTTGCTTTCTATATAAGCTTTGTGAGAAAAAAAAATTCTTCAAGTCATAATGTGTTGCCATCCTGCATCATCTGAAGTACAAGACTGTGGATGAAATAGTTGTTTTAAATTGTTGAAAACATATGTTAACCTCAATTGTGTTTGCTTTATCATATATGAAAATTTGTTTTAAATGTATATATTATTTTATTAATGCTTAATGTTAGCTGAGGCATTACAATGTGCATTTCTGTGAATGGTTTGCCTCAATTAATATCAAAATTATTTTGCTTCAGTTGATATCAGAGTAGAATTGCAATTGTTCCTCTTAACTGACTATATTGTTGCTGTTATTTGTCCTACTGCTTTCCTAATGTCAGCTCTAAAAGCAGCTACATTTACTGACAAACTTTGGTTACTTATGTTTACAGTTACGTGAGTAAACCACTGAATAATTCTATTTGCAACCTTTAGGTTTCTTATAGAGAAATTTAGATTCAAATAAGAAGGCTGAGAATGGAGGTTTGGAGACTGGCCCTCAGTACTCACTTGTGTAATTTTAATAAGCCACAGATTAAATCTCAGTATGTTTATAGGTCATAGAAATATTTATAAAACAAGAGTAATTCTTTTTGAAACTATTTTGACTTACATGATACAGAAGATCAATAATTTATTTTTTATTATTTTCTACACATAATGAGTTAAGACTAGAGCTTAATCAGCTTACTGATAAAGTTTCTAAGATAGGCTGAAGGGCAAGGTTCATGCTTCATTCAAATAATAGGTCATTTCTTTCTTTCAAAAGAAAATTACACTAGAAAGAGAATTATGTTGGCTCCATATTTACTAAATCTTTTATACATGTATAATGAATAAATACTATTTAAATTAATAAATGAATCAATGAAGCTAAAGAGGCAATCAATGTGCCCATTATCCAGGTTACTTTATTACAACAGATTTGGGAGCCACTGAAAGATTTTAAAGCGGGTGTTAATTGATGAGTATTGGATTATAGAAAGATCATCTGATGGCAAATTGGTTAAACTGGAGGAAATAAAGCTGATAAGATGGCTAATATAGATAAGAGGTGCTAGTTTGTTAACAAGAATGGTTAGAATGGATAGAATTCTGAAGAGTTGCCATATATTTTTAGCAAGATTTTGGCTGCAAATAGTAGAAAGCCCAACTTGCAGTGGTACATTATTAGAGTTTTTTTTTTTTCACATAACAAATGTTCTATAACTAGATGGTGGCTGAAGTTGGTGCTGTAAGTTGTAAGGACGAGTGTCATTGTAGTTCTTTGGGAAATCTTTTGCTATATTGAATAAAATAAATTGACATAAAATAATGGCAGAAGGATAATGGTCCTTAGGTACACATGTCCCTTTTTACTGGGATAAAAAAAGATTTCCCAGAAGCCCCTTCAGCAGACTCCCCCTTAAGTCTTTTTGACCAGAGCCAGTGGCCACAGACACCCCAACTTCAAGGGAGACCGAGATATCAAGGAAAGGCATGGCCATGGTCCATTATCATGATCCATCACTAGGATGTCACATTGTTTCCCTAATTTAAATTATGATTCTCTTAGCAAAGAACATAAGGAGAGTAGATATTGGAAAGTAATTAACAGTATTGTCTACAGTTGTCCATTTCAGTCCAAGTGGTACAGTGTAATAGGTTGCTCTAACTATCTGTACTTAGGTGTAAACATGCTGCTTCATTGGCTGACTGCTGTCCATGATTGTTTATGACAACCTTAATTAGTGAATACGTAACCTAAAGGAATGTGAAAATTAAATTTATTTATTTATTTTATATATATATATTTTATTATACTTTAAGTTCTAGGGTACATGTGCACAATGTACAGGTTTGTTGCATATGTATACATGTGCCATGTTGGTGTGCTGCACCCATTAACTCGTAAATTACATTAGGTATATCTCCTAATGCTATCCCTCCTCCCTCCCCCTACCCCACAACAGGCCCTGGTGTGTGATGTTCCCCTTCCTGTGTCCAAGTGTTCTCTTTGTTCAATTCCCACCTATGAGTGAGAATATGCGGTGTTTGGTTTTTTGTCCTTGTGATAGTTTGCTGAGAATGATGGTTTCCAACTTCATCCATGTCCCTACAAAGGACATGAACTCATCATTTTTTATGGCTGCATAGTATTCCATGGTGTATATGTGCCACATTTTCTTAATCCAGTCTATCATAGATGGACATTTGGGTTGGTTCCAAGTCTTTGCTATTGTGAAAGTGCTGCAATAAACATACATGTGCATGTGTCTTTATAGCAGCATGATTTGTAATCCTTTGGGTATATACCCAGTAATGGGATGGCTGGGTCAAATGGTATTTCTAGTTCTAGATCCCTGAGGAATCACCACACTGTCTTCCACAATGGTTGAACTAGTTTACAGTCCCACCAATAGTGTAAAAGTGTTCCTATTTCTCCACATCCTCTCCAGCACCTGTTGTTTCCTGACTTTTTAATGATCGCCATTCTAGGTGGTGTGAGATGGTATCTCATTGTGGTTTTGATTTGCATTTCTCTGATGGCCAGTGATGATGAGCATTTTTTCATGTGTCTTTTGGCTGCATAAATGTCTTCTTTTGAGAAGTGTCTGTTCACCTCCTTCGCCCACTTGTTGATGGGGTTGTTTGATTTTTTCTTCTAAATTTGTTTGAGTTCTTTGTAGATTCTGGATATTAGCCCTTTGTCAGATGAGTAGATTGCAAAAATTTTCTCCCATTCTGTAGGCTGCCTGTTCACTCTGATGGTAGTTTCTTTTGCTGTGCAGAAGCTCTTTAGTTTAATTAGATCCCATTTGTCAATTTTGGCTTTTGTTGCCATTGCTTTTGGTGTTTCAGTCATGAAGTCCTTGCCCATGCCTATGTCCTGAATGGTATTGCCTAGGTTTTCTTCTAGGGTTTTTATGGTTTTAGGTCTAACATGTAAGTCTTTAATCCATCTTGAATTAATTTTTGTATAAGGTGTAAGGAAGGGATCCAGTTTCAGCTTTGTACATGTGGCTAGCCAGTTTTCCCAGCACCATTTGTTAAATAGGGAATCCTTTCCCCATTTCTTGTTTTTGTCAGGTTTGTCAAAGATCAGATAGTTGTAGATGTGTGGTATTATTTCTGAGGGCTCTGTTCTGTTCCATTGGTCTATATCTGTTTTGGTACCAGTACCATGCTGTTTTGGTTACTGTAGCCTTGTAGTATAGTTTGAAGTCAGGTAGCGTGATGCCTCCAGCTTTGTTCTTTTGGCTTAGGATTGACTTGGCAATATGGGCTCTTTTTTTTGTTCCATATGAATGTTAAAGTAGTTTTTTCCAATTCTGTGAAGAAAGTCATTGGTAGCTTGATGGGGATGGCATTGAATCTATAAATTCCCTTGGGCAGTATGGCCATTTTCACAATATTGATTCTTCCTATCCATGAGCATGGAATGTTATTTCATTTGTTTGTATCCTCTTTTATTTGTTCAGCAGTGGTTTGTAGTTCTCCTTGAAGAGTTCCTTCACATCCCTTGTAAGTTGGATTCCTAGGTATTTTATGCTCTTTGAAGCAATTGTGAATGGGAGTTCACTCATGATTTGGCTCTCTGTTCATGTGTTATTGGTGTATAAGAATGTTTGTGATTTTTGCACTTGATTTTGTATCCTGAGACTTTGCTGAAGTTGCTTATCAGCTTAAGGAGATTTTGGGCTGAGATGATGGGGTTTTCTAAATATACAATCATGTCATCTGCAAACAGTGACAATTTGACTTCCTCTTTTCCTAGTTGCATACCCTTTTTTTCTTTCTCCTGCCTGATTGCCCTGGCCAGAATTTCCAACACTATGTTGAATAGGAATGGTGAGAGAGGGCATCCCTGTCTTGTGCCAGTTTTCAAAGGGAATGCTTCCAGTTTTTCCCATTCAGTATATTGGCTGTGGGTTTGTCATAAGTAGCTCTTATTATTTTGAGATATGTCCCATCAATACCTAATTTGCTGAGAGTTTTTAGCATGAAGCGCTGTCGAATTTTGTCAAAGGCCTTTTCTGCATCTATTGAGATAATCGTATGGTTTTTGTCTTTGGTTCTGTTTATATGCTGGATTACGTTTATTGATTTGTGTATGTTGAACCAGCCTTGCATCCCACGGATGAAGCCTACTTGATCATGGTGGATAAGCTTTTTGATGTGCTGCTGGATTCGGTTTGCCAGTATTTTATTGAGGATTTTTGCATTGATGTTCATCAGGGATATTGGTCTAAAATTCTCTTTGTTTATTGTGTCTCTGCCAGGCTTTGGTATCAGGATGATGCTGGCCTCATAAAATGAGTTAGGAAGGATTCCCTCTTTTTCTGTTGATTGGAATAGTTTCAGAAGGAATGGTACCAGCTCCTCCTTGTACCTCTGGTAGAATTTGGATGTGAATCCATCTGTTTCTGGACTTTTTTTGGTTGGTAAGCTGTTAATTATTGCCTCAATTTCAGAGACTCCCACACAATAATAATAGGAGAATTTAACATCCCACTGTCAGCATTAGACAGATCAATGAGACAGAAAGTTAACAAGGATATCCAGGAATTGAACTCAGCTCTGCACCAAGCGGACCTAATAGACATCTACAGAACTCTCCACCCCAAATCAACAGAATATACATTCTTCTCAGCACCACACTGCACTTATTCCAAAATTTACCATGTAGTTGGAAGTAAAGCACTCCTCAGCAAATGTAAAAGAACAGAAATTATAACAAACTGTCTCTCAGACCACAGTGCAATCAAACTAGAACTCAGGATTAAGAAACTCACTCAAAACCGCTCAACTGCATGGAAACTGAACAACCTGCTCCTGAATGACTACTGGGTACATAACGAAATGAAGGCAGAAGTAAAGATGTTCTTTAAAAACAACGAGAATGAAGACACAACATACCAGAATCTCTTGGACACATTTAAAGCAGTGAGTAGAGGAAAATTTATAGCACTAAATGCCCACAAGAGAAAGCAGGAAAGATCTAAAATTGACACCCTAACATCACAATTAAAAGGGCTAGAGAAGCAAGAGCAAACACATTCAAAAGCTAGCAGAAGGCAAGAAATAACTAAGATCAGAGCAGAACTGAAGGAGATAGAGACACAAAAAACCTTTCAAAAAATCAATAAGTCCAGGAGCTGGTTTTTTGAAAAGATCAACAAAATTGTTGGACTGCTAGCAAGACTAATAAAGAAGAAAAGAGAGAAGAATCAAATAGATGCAATAAAAAATGATAAAGGGGATATCACCACCGATCCTACAGAAATATAAACTACCATCAGAGAATATTATAAACACCTCTACGCAAATAAACTAGAAAATCTATAAGAAATGGATAAATTCCTCAACACATACACTCTCCCAAGACTAAACCAGGAAGAAGTTGAATCTCTGAATAGACCAATAACAGGCTCTGAAAGTGAAAATTAAATTTAAAAATAAAGTGGCTTGCTGGGCATGGTGGCTTACACCTATAATCCCAACACTTTGGGAGGCCAAGGAGGGCAGATTGCTTGAGCTCAGGAGTTTGAGACCAGCATGGGAAACCTGGTGAAACTTTGTCTTTTAAAAAAATGCAAAAATTAGCTGGGTATGGTGGAACATGTCTGTAGTTCCAATTACTTGTGAGGCTGAGGCAAGAGGATTGTCTGAGCCTGGGGCCTCGAGGCTACAGTGAGCCGTGTTAGAACCACTGCACTCCAGCCTGGTGACAAAGCGAAACCCTATCTCAAAAATAAAAATAAAAAAATAAGATGGCTCAAGCAATTTATAATTTTCCTTATCTTCCATTTTTATTTAATGATATCCATAAACACACGCTGCACCAGTCAAAGCATCTCTCCCTTTAGCCTGGCTGTGGTGAAGCATTTTACTTCCATGACAGTAAAATGCATGCGAAGGAATTGAGATGGAGGCTTTATAACTAGAATGTCATGGAATACCATATCACTGACCTGCGTTTAAAATTTGTCAGTATCTGGATATTTTATAATTGTAAATTTTTTTTATCAAGGCAGTTGACTTTTCTTATAGCAGCAATTCCCCAAGAAGAATGAGATCATATGATTCTGCAGGCTTGCACAATCTGCTTCACTTCTTTGGCAACAACTGATCAAAGGACACGAACTCCAGGGAGCCTTCATCAGGCTTGAAGAGCTGTGGCATCTGGCATGTTAATCAGGGATTTTTATAAAGATGGTGAAAACAAAATAACTCCTATTTGTTTTTAATTAGTTTAAGAAAATTGAATACCATGGGTCTTTAAATGTTGGCAATTTACAATTTAATAACAAGAATTAAGCTCTTTGCCCATATAAATGAATGTATTATTCAATTCCCTAAGGTATAGAGAAAAGATCTTGATTCCTTGCTGTGTAATAAATACTACTTAATTCATCTTTAAGGTAAATTGGACTATCCTGAGCAGTTTGGTTAGGGAGCACTTTTTTGGATGGAAATTACAAAAACATTCACCTAAAATTTGTAATCAGGAAAAAAGAAGAGTTATTTCAGTCAGTGCAATTCCATTTAGGGCATATTTTCTAAAGTTATATTTTCTATTTTCATATTTTATATTTTCATATGATATATTTTTATTGTTGTATGCCATAAATAAAAATAAAGATAAAAATAAGTAAGTCTTATTTCATAAAGTGCTTATATGTTAAATTATATGCTAAATGAAAATATCCCAATCTCCTTTCTTTTTTTTGAAAATTTCTATTTTGCTTTTAATCTTTATTTTATGTCAGTAGCTTTTTGGGGAAAAGGTGGTTTTTGGTTCCATGGATAAGTTCTTTAGTGGTAATTTCTGAGATTTTGGTTCACCCATCACCTGAGCAGTTTGCATTGTACCCAATGTGTAGTCTTTTATCCCTCGCCACCCTCCCACCCTTCTCCTTGATCCCCCAAAGTCCACTATACCATTCTCATGCCTTTTGGTCCTCATAACTTAGCTCCCACTTATAAGTGAGAACATATGATATTTGGTTTTCCATTCCTGAGATACTTCACTTAAAATAATTGTCTCCAACTCCATCCAAATTGCTGCGAATGCCATTATTTTATTATGGCTGAGTAGTATTCCATGGTGTATATATACCATGTTTTTCTTATCCACTCATTGGTTGAAGGGCATTTAGGCTGGTTTCATATTTTTGCAGTTGTTAACTGTGCTGCTATAAACATATGTGTGCAAATGTGTTTTTTTTTTTCCATATAATGACTTCTTTTCCTATGAGTAGATACCCAGTAGTGGAAAAAATATTCCATTCTTCTGGAAAAGGAAAACAAATCAACAATGTAATTTCTAGAGTCATCGAAGTTAAATTTACAGAGGTGATCTGAGAGACCAACTATCTAGCCGTACTTCTCTTACAGATGAGGAAATGCAAAATCCATTTCATTGAGTTACCTGCTCATGATCTCACAGCTTACTAGGGACAGTCAATAGTAAGATCACAATCTTCTAATATTCAGTGTTTCCTGTTGATCCCAGATTCATTTTCCTTAACATATAGATATAATCATTACTTGAACCAGGCAATCCATTAACTGTATCTAACATCAGATAGTTGAGATTGGTCTATTAAGCACTCTTTGGCCCCTTGGATAGTTACTCTTAGAACCTCAGTTTGTAGAAGAATGGGATCTATGAAAAAGTGAGAAGCTGTTGATAGGACATCTTAGGGTCATATTTCATTCATTCATTCCTTTGTTCATGTAATACTAATAGATATTTATGGAATATTTGCCAAGTACCATGCACTATTTGAGAAACTGGAGGTATATCAGTGAATAAAATTGATATAACTCTTGTTCTTATAGTACTTACAATTAGAGAAAACGTGGAGAATAAGCAGGTGAAGGAATAAACAAGAAATCTGTGTACTTGAAAATATTCATTTTCAACAGTCTGCTATGGTGCGATTTTTCCATTTTGAAAGACCCTACACATTCTTTGAAGGAAATGCAAATTCGGTTATACATTAGTATCTTTTAAAGTCTTAAAGACAGTGGGCAACTGAAGGGAAATTTTAGGGTGGAATGAGATAGTCGGATGTGGATAGAAGAGACAATATTTTACTTTAGCTGCACTTTGGAGGATGCACTGGGTTAGGAAAGGTGATATAATCAGAAGCAGAGAGCACAGTTAAGTAGATGAATAGAAAAATACTGGAGGTGGAACTGGCAAGACCCTGTGATTGAATCAATGCAGAGGTTCAGGAGTGCAGAGACTAAAAGCGGGGGACCAGCCATATGTAATCTGAAGCTATGATTTTTTTGAAGAAAATATTGAAGCATAATAAATGCAAAGATGATTATAATTATAGGTGTTATTTCCTGTTGCTATATAGTGGAAATGCAGTATTTTATAAACAGTATTTAAAGGTAATTTCTAGAAAACACATCATACATTAAGATAGCCTTCAGATATGATCAACATGTAAGGGCTGTTTGGGATTTTTGAAGTGCCACAATTGCTCCGTGCCTGGTTTTATTTACAAACAATATTTTTTTAGATAAAGATTCTCAGGAAACCAGCAGTCCTTCATTCTACACAGTAGGCTTGGCTAGTTCAAACCTAATTAGCTGCTTCTATAAACATTTACCTGAAAGGTAGAATGTGATATAGTAATTTTTCAAATATGTATTACATTGCTATCATGTATTCTTGCTGTTATATGACATTAGTGCTACTCATAATCTTTTTATCTTATTTATTATTCATTTTCCCATTGCTATCTAACCTTGGATCTTTCCATATTGTTGCACTAACATTTTCTTTTTCCTATCAGATTCTTCTGTCATTCCCATAGGTGGGGAAATGTACAAGATCAACATTAGATTAGAATTAAACATAATATTATCAAAACATGACTTCACCATAATTTAGTATATATTCACTAATGAATGGAAATCTTTTGCCTTATTATACATTAATGTCCAAGAAATGAAAGTGAACAGAAGAATTGCCAATAAGAAAAAGGGGAAACAAATGAACTAATTGCAGTGAGTGGATGAATGATTAATCTAGGAATATTTCTATGTTATTTGATTTTGGTGCATTCTTGTGGTGCCAATATTACTCAGTTATTTAAACTAAGTTACTGTTAATTTGAAGTAATGCTTATTCCAGAGCACAATAGATGACAAACATCAGTGATACTGTAACACTAATTAAAATTTTTGCATCATCTTTCTGGGTTAATGTTTTTGATGTTTTATTTCTATTTAACCATGTTTCGAGAGTATTTGGATACTGCATTTTACAAAACATCTTCATATTTTCTGTATTTTTTATTCTCTCAACAATTTGTTAGAAAGCTATTTTAATCCTTCTTTTATATAAGAGAAAATTGAGACTTACTGAGGTTAAGTGACATTTCTGACAACATCATACTGGTAAATATCAGAGTTTGCACTCAAACTTGGGCATACTGACTCTAAATCTTGCCATTTTCCCATATCATGATCTTGTTCTAAAAATGTAATGAGATATGTTGTAGTGCATAAGTTTCAATTCCACTAACATTCCTTGAATGCTACTTATGTGCAGCACTGTGCAAAGTTCTGAGGCTAATACAAGCATCTTAGTGTCTCAGATAGGGATAACTTCAATGTATTATGGGATATGCTGTCTGATCCATTGTGCAGAGTTAGTATATCCTTCAATAAAGAATGTTCTCTTTTTATGAAGTTTATAAAAGTAAAATGAATGTCATCCCCTGAAAAAAGTGGGAAGAGTCAAATTCCAATCCAGATTGTTTCATGAGGTGTCTCTGGTGGAATAGAAAATAACAGTCTCTATTGGTAAGTAGTCTGTACACACAGAGGTCTTCTCCTCTGTGGTATTGAATTTGCAATAAATTTTATAAGCATTAATACCTGTGTACAGCACTATGCCATTCATTTGATTCTTCCCAGCTTTATTCAGCCAGAGAAACATCATAGAACAGCTCATTGCCATATACTACATTAACTAATGGAATATTACAACTCTAATAGTTACCTCTATTTAAATGTAGGAGACATATCTTTAAATACATATCTTTTGAGTGCTTTGAGAGATGAAATGTGAATATCTTTTTGCAAAAAAGAGACAAATATATATATTTATTATATATAAATATTTATATAAATATACATATATAAATATCTGTATAACTGGCTTCTATATAGTTTGGGGACAGGTTATTTCTGAACTAGGAGTGGGACTTACTTTTTTGGTCCTCTAAAAGTAGTCCTAAAAGAAACTATGATTTTTAAGACTAACTTTTAGATTTTTCTTATTGGAGATTAGCTTTAAATCTAAAATACATATGAAAAATTTGAGAAGGATGACAATAATTATTTAAATGGTTGTTAGAATTCATCACTAAAGTTATCTGGTCCTGGGCTTTTCTTTGCTGGAACGTTTTTGATTACCAATTTAATGTCCTTACTCATTATTGGTTCTGTTCATATTTTCCTTTTCTTCAAAATACAGTCTTGGTAGGTGGTTTGTTTCTTGAATGTATCAATATCTCCTAGGTTATCCAATTTGTTGATGTATAAAAATTTATAATATTTTTTATGATTCTTTGTATTTTTCTGGTATCAGTTGTAGTGTCTCCTGTTTCATTTCCAATTTCATTTATTTGATTCTTTTCTTTTAAAAAAAAATTGCCAATTTTATCTTTTCAGAAAGCCACATTTCAGTTTTGTTGATATTTTCTATTGTTTTTCTAGTCTCTATTTCATTTATTTCTGCTCCAGTCTTTATTTCCTTCCTTTTATTAGCTTTGGACTTACTTTGTTCTTTTTCTAGTTCCTTGAGGTATAATGTTTAGTTGTTTATTTGAAAATTTTTCTTCTTTCTAAGTGTAAGCATTTATGGCCATAAACTTCCTTCTTGGTACTGCTTTTGCTGTATCCCATAAGTTTGGGCATGTTGTGTTTTCATTTTCAGTTGGCTCAAGATATGTCTTAATTTCTCTTTGGATTTCTTTTTGACCCCTTGTTTCTTTAGGAATATGTTGTTTAATTTCCACATATTTGAGAATTTTCCAATTTTCCTCCTGTTACTGATTTCTAGTTTCATGTGCTTGTGAAATAATTAAAATAAAGATCTTGAAGAAGTATCTGTACCCCATGTTCATTGGAGCAACATTCATACTAGCAAAGATATGGAAACAATGCAAATGTCCATGTGCATAAGAATAAAGAAACTGTGTTATATACATAGAAGAATATTACTCAGCTTTATAAAGAAAGAAATTCTGTCATTGTGACAACATGAATGAACCTGGGGGATATTTTGCTAAATGAAATAAGCCAGTCACAAAAGGACCAATACTACATGACTCTTCTTATAGGAGGTATGTAAAATACCCGAACTCAGAGAAGCAGAAAATAGGATGGTGGCTGCCGAGGGCTTGGTGGGGAGGAAGAGAGAAATGGAGGTTTTTTTTTTTGGTGGGTACAGAGTTTCTTTTGCAAACATAAGTAAGTTACAGAGATTTGGTAAACAACATAGTATCTATAGTTAACAATACAGTATTGTAAATTTTAAAATATTTTAAGATGGTAGATCTCATGTTTTGTTCTTTTGAAAAAGAAAAAAAGAAGCAAAAAACAAAACCCACAAAAGAACACAAGAAAAGTTTTGGAGGTGATATATATATTTACTATCTTTGTTATGGTCATGGTTTCATAGGTCTATGCATATGTCCTAACTCATCAATTGCACAGTCAATGCGTGCAATTTTTTGTGTATCAACTACATCTCAATAGATAAAATGTGGGAAAAAATCCTGTTATATAAGCTTGAGTCTTGGGTGAGTTTAGACAATGTCTTCAACTGCAGAAAATTATTAATTAGGAATTTATTAGAAATGAAATAATTGCCAACAAGGCACACAATACCTTCAGCTTTCTGCAAGTTGATTATTAGTTAATAAGCTGTAAGTAGAACTCCTCAGAGGCAGAGGGTCAAATACAAATTATTATGCTCTATGTGAAATTATCTTGGGGGAATGTGAATGAATATTTCAGATGCTTGCAATTTTTATTTGTAGCAAATTTTTAAGGTTACTTCTTTTCATAGCCAGAGAGGAAAAAAAAAGTGCTTCTTCTTTTCATAGCCAGAGAGGAAAAAAAAAATGTGCTTGTTGATCTCTGGACCTTAACTATTGCTATCCATTGCTGAGATTCTGCTAGAACTGATTTAAATCTCACAGACTATTGAAGATCTTTACTTTCTGTATGAGCACGAGTTTCTAAAGCTGCAAGAAACTACCACATAAATTCTAAATTATTGAACTAAAGCCGGAAACTCCAGTTTCATATCCTGAGTAAATTTTATGTACTTTGTTAGGATTTTTAGAAGCATCTAATCCTGCTAAATACCAGTGTATTTACTCTACTTTTAGGTACCTACTTTAAAAGAAAAACCTTAGACAAATGAAACTTAAGAGTTTAACTGAGCAAAGAACTATCCATGCATGAGCCAATCTTCTGAACCAGAGTAGGCTCAGTGAGTCCTGCATAGCCATTTTGCAGAGGAACATTTATGGACAGAAAAAGGGAAGTGATGGTACAGAAAATGAAAGGAAGGTACAGAAACAGTGAGATTGGTTACAGCTCAGTGTTTGCCTTATTTGAACACAGTTTGAACAGTTGGCCACCTTTGGTTGGCTGAAACTTGGTGATGGTACAAGAGTAGGTTGAAGTCTGTTTACACATCCAGTTAAGTTCACTATGTATGGAGAAATCTTTAGGCTGAACTTAAAATATGTAAGGAGGCAGCTTTAGGCTAAAGTCAGTTTAACACCATATATGGCCTGTATTAGGCTGACAAAAGATTTGGGAGTGTTTAACAAGTTGGTAAAAAGCGATCTTAGGAAGCAGCTGAGTAGATTACTCAAGTTTGCTCACAAAGAAGACGATGTTTGAGAAAACATGGATAAATGAACCCTAATTGTCTTTATTTCTTTTGTAAAAAATCACAAAAATAGAGTGATTATTGATCCAAGCTTAACAGAGCAATTTTGTTATGGCTATTGTACAATTGCGTAGTTATGTGAATAGTTAGGGGCTTCGGAGGCCGCATGCCTTATGGAGGTACTTCATAAAATTGGCCATAAGTCTTTACTTTTATAATTTATTAGTCATCTAATGCCTAATGAGTGTGAGGAAAGCTAAAGAGTTATGTAGACTAACACAATTTTCAGTGGAAATATGGTTTTAAACTTACATGAGAAATATATTTTAGAAAACCTTTGTGTTCCACTCTTCCTTGACTCTGACAAACCAAATCTTTCCGTTACCTTTGCATTTATATATAAATAATGGGAGGCTATAAAAATCCCCTAAAACTTTTCCAGATATTATTAGAACAACTCAAATAAATATGTAAAATTCTATTTTCCGTATAATATAAAAAATTAAAAGATCAATGATTTAAAATTTAATTAATTATTTATATAACAATTAAGTCATTTGTAGGTATATTTTGGGGAGAAATTCAATGGTACTATCTGGTAGTAGGTACAAGTTACATTATCCTTTTTTACTGCAAAGGATTTATAACATAATGTAATATAAATAAATGATTAATGAAATAACATTTTAAAGACTCACAATGAATATAAATACATTTAGCAAAATAAAAAAACTAAAGGCTAAAAATTACATCTCCTTATCAATTGAGGGAAGGTAAGGCTTGATGGTGAGAGGATGGAGATAGAGCTTATAGTCATTGGTGCTGATGAGTGATGAACAAGAATGAGCTCGTAAATGAGCAAGTAATAGTAAAAAAAAGTAAATAAAAAAATAAAATATAATATAATAAAAATAAAAATAAAATAGAAAATTAGAAAAAATAGTAAATGCCAAAGGTTCGTCTGTGACTGAATTCAAAGATCTGGTGGACAATCATTTTTCCTGGGTCTCAAGATTCTTCTAAGAGAATGTCTATATATTAGCCATCATATTAAACCTTAAAAAAGGAACATGATTTTCAAAAATTAAAATAAATTTCTTCTTAAGACCCTTTTGCTCATTAGATGCAGGTCCTGATAAACAGAACGTATTTGCAATTGCATTTTTGAAAATAAGTGTCTAGGTTGTGTCATGGTCATACATGATTTTCTCTTTAAAATATTTTTTTCCTCTAAGATTTGATAGCAAGTATAGCTGTTTCTTTACATCAACAGTGAAAATTAAGTTGACTGAGTGCCTTAGTAACAAGCATTAAAATAAATTTTACACTATAACTACTTTATCAAAGTTTGTTGCAATCCATTGGCAAAAACCTCCCCTGTCTCACTATCCATGGAATGTACTTTATCTGATATTCAAGTTATATACATTTGCACATTTCTTAGTACATTTGATCAATCCAGTGTTTCCATTGAAACTCACATTCTTCACCTCCTAAACTCCCTTCTCTATTATCTTCTTCTTCAGATTTTTTAACATGCTCAACATATTCTGTTACATCAACATTATGCTTAATGGCATTCTATACTAATTGATAGCCACTTGATCTATGGCACAAGGTATTCTCTAGTTATTTTTAAAAGATTATATTGTACTTTGGTAATATGGTAAAGCTTTCCAGAATTGAACACACATTTTTTAAACAAAAAATAATTTTTTGCTCATTTTCTTGTTCATATGTATGTCTAAATTTACAACTTTTATGTGTTTTCTTTTATACATACAGTTTATAACTTTTAACTTTTCTAATGAATGGGCTTTTCTAGGGGTTTTAAGTTCAATTACCTTCTTCAAAGCCTTTTACCTATTTTTGAAGACTATTTTTTTTTTACTTAATAATGTAGGTAATAATGTAGGAAAGGTAGTCACCATAATACACAATACACTTAAATGACAGGCACACAAAACATGACTCTGTTGGAAGAAAAGTTGATATATGATGACAAGTTAATTTTATATTTTCTTTCCAGACTCACAGGCAATTTAAGTGTTTTTGTTTCCTCATACATATAGATTCATTGTCCTGCTTTTTGATTTGGATACAGACTTTTGAGTACACGTGATTGCACTCAATTGAAACATGTCTTCAGATGGAGTCACTTCAGCTAGGGTGGATGTGGCAGAGTGCATTACTGTTCCAACTCTTTACTCCCTCTCCAGTAGTAGAATTACATCCACACTCTGCCATCTATCTTTGAAGTGCCCTCCTACTATTGGGATAACTGTAGCTCTCCATCACTTGGTTCTAGGTTTAAAAGGACCTTGCTTTGGCTAGATATTAGAAAATGTAATGTAAACCAAGGCTTGAAAAGCATTTGTGTAATTGGGTCTTCTTTCTTGGCCTCTACATTGACATGAGAAGAACATGCAAGGCCAGCATTCTGTACTGTTCCCAGGAGGAGAATCATAAATGCATGGATCAGATCCAACCCAGCCAAACTGACTGCAGATCAGTCCACTGAATAAAGCTAGTTGAGATCAGCAGAGGCAACGAGCCTGGTTGAAACTCAGCTAAGTGTAGACTAGAATGAACAAATCCTAGACTACCCACCAACTTGTGAGCTAATTAAAATCTTATTGTTCTATGTAGCTGACATTCAATGTTTTCATTTTTTTAAATACAACATTATTGTGACCATACAGAGTTAACTGATACTGAGGGATACGTGTATAAATAACCAAAATATAAGTTTCACAAAACAACTATTTTTAGCTTAGCTCTATTATATACTAATGATTTTTTCCTATAATTATGCTATTATATTCTAATTTTCTCCTCAGTTTCCATTTTATTATTTAAAAGTAATGATTATAATCAACTAAGATGGATTATATGACCACCAATAGATCTCCATTCAAACTACCTTAATTTGTTTATTGTTTCAGTTCTCCTGGACTCTTTCTATATGCTCCATGCTATCTCATGTAGCACACTCAATTTGCAGATACTGTTACTGAAGCAAACACACAAGACAGGCAAGGCCAAACCTGAGGCCTGAATTATTTGGTAAAGATACAGTGAGACAATTTTAGATTTAGACAGTTTATTTCTTATATAGTCAGTGAAAACAAGATTAGGCCAAGGTACCAGTTTCTTGTCCCACACACTGAAAAGGATAAATTAAAACAACAGGAGCCAGATGAGTGCAGTGCCATCTGTGGGATGCATCATTGCTAAGGAGCCAAATATAGCCTGCACCTAAGTATTTTTATATTCTGACACTCTAATCTGAGGGGAGTGGGGCAGAAAGCTTCATAACTTATCAAAACACAGAGGTGGTGAGAAACTTTCTCATGACAGCCTCTCAGGGAAGACAGGGAGATGAGTAGAAGATGGCCTCATAGTAGCTCTTTTCAGGCCTCTTATCCCCTCCCTATTGTAAGATTATTGATTATCATAAGATGTTCTGCCAAGACTCAAATAAGCTGTGAATCAAGTCTTTGGCTATATGGATATGTACAAGGTAACGAGAACACCATGGAGGAGGTAGTTTCCTGAAGTTAGCACCTTTTCTGTTTTTCTTGCAACAAATGCTCAAAGTTCACAGACTTTATAAAAGTGTGATATGCCTCCAATAGTCTATGCAAAAATAGTAATTACTTTACTTGTTATCTCAAATGGCTGCACAATATGTCAACATCTTTCTTATAAGAGCACTTAGTAACTATTTTTCCCCTCTGACATAATTATTTTCTCCCTAGCGGTCAGCATTATGCAGACACTGAGGATTAAAGGATTATTTAAACCTCTTTTGGAAACAAGAGTTATTTTCTGCTTGCAGTCAGAGCTAAATGTGAACTTACATTGCACAGTGCCATGAAATTTCTTATGTAACACCATAACTTTCATCTAGAAGCAATTGTTCAGAGGTCTTAACATATAATAATTTCATGCCTTAAATCTTGTAGTCTAAAAAACAGCATGTACTCTACCAAACGGTACTAATTTTAACATATTATGACTTTAAAAATACTAAATTCCTATCCCTAGAAAATATACTGTAATACATAATACAAATTCCATGATTGGTGTAAAGGAAATTTTGGTTTGGCTTTGAAAATGTATCATGATATTGTCTTATGATTATGCATTATAATTTTCCAAAAACAATCAATATTTTGTTATTTTTAAATACTATTGAAAAGCTCATGCAATTCAGGTTCAAGAAGCTATTCTGAGCAACATATTTAATTACATTAGCTCTGAATAACTTTTTTAAGTGGAAATAAATTTATATCAACTTTCTCAGTGAGACTAGAAAGGCTGTACAATAGCAAACAGGTGAATCCGCTTTACTGATGAGGAACCAGAGACACAGACAAATACATCTATTTAAAGGCATTGGAGAGGAACTGAGAAATTTACTAGTTCAAGAGCAGAGGCTGAGACGCTGAGCAGTAAGCAGCAGCTAGGAAAAATGGGAAACTAGTTCAGGCAATTTTAGTCTTCCAAAGGCCTTTAATCTAGAGGAAAGAGTGAAGTGGAAATTGACTAGCTCTCCAAAGATTAAAGCCTAGTTTCAAATCTATTCAATTCATGATTGGATTAAGACAATCCACCTTGTCTTAATTTAATATAAAAGCAAAGATTGATGCAAAAATCTGGATGTAAATAGTCTGCTTAAGACATTATTCTGGAAGCAGAAAGAGATAATGGAGAGAAAATATCAGAGGAGGAGGCAAAAATCAATAAGGAGTGTTTTATTGATCTTGTCACTACTGAAGGCAATTGGGTCTCAAACCAACAGGTAATTCTCTGAGGAACCACGCAGAAATTACTTCAGAATTATCCCTTACTGAAGGATGTGAAAGCTCGAGCATTTATTTACTGACTCCTATCCTTTGTTGATTAAAGATTATTCCCCAAAGCACTACTTCCTCTGCAGTTCAAGACCATGGCTATGTATAGTTTTGGAGCAGGCTTCTATGGTATTGAAGAAAGATTTTTAGGTAAAGAGGCACCAAAATGCTGATGTTTACCGTTAAAGAGAATACTGACATTATACCTGCAATTGTACACCTCAGCTGTACTGAAGTCAGGTGGTCCAAGATAATGTGGTACCAGGCACCTCAAATATTTTGTGCACTAAGTGGCTGCCAAAAACAAAGAGAAAAACCTTTCTGAAAGACGATAACATCATCAAGAGTTTCAAATTATTTCTACAATTTTAGTTTTAGCATTTAGTCAATATAACTCATGCAAAAGAACAAGACTTAAATGAAAATCAAGAGGAAAATAGATAAAAAAACAGTTATCGGAAGAACTAGATATTGTAGTTAACCCACATAGAGTTCAAAATTACTTTTTAGATGATGATATGAAAATTTCATCAGATGAAGAAAAACAAAAATAAAATTGTAGTAATAAAAATATAATAATTGAAATTTAGATATCAATGGATGGGTTTAAACGGTTTAGACATGGTTGAAAAGTGAATTAACTGAAATGTAGAAGAAAATATTTAGACTAAAGTACTAAGATAAAAAGATGTAAAGTACAGAAGAGATATTAAAACATACATGGAATACATCTAGAATACTTGAATTTAGAGTATCAGAATGAGAAAAGAAACAGAATGGAAGTAGATATCACATTTGAAGAGATAATTGTGAAAATATTTTTGGGAACATTTTATATACTGATAAAAAATATCAAGCCACAGATTCAAAAAGCTCTATTAACCAACCACAAGCACAGTACATAAAAATAAAACTACAGCTAGGCATACCATGGTAAAATTTCTCCAAAACCTATATGAAAAAGCATTTTAAAGGCAGCCAAAGAAAAAGATTGCTTTTAA
Source organism: Homo sapiens (assembly GCF_000001405.40). NCBI lineage: Eukaryota > Metazoa > Chordata > Mammalia > Primates > Hominidae > Homo > Homo sapiens. Next base: position 82,034,993 of record NC_000012.12, on the reverse strand, counting down.
ATAAGGAACAATTAGAAATTCAGCTGATTTTTCAGCAGTAACATTGGAGGCCAAATGACAATGGGATCATATCTTTACAGTGCTTAAAGCAAGTAACCATCAACCTAGAATATTTATAATCAGTTAGAATATCATTTAAATATAAAGGTGAAATAAAGATGTTTCAAAAAAACAAATCCTGAAAAAATTAATCAGTAAATTGCAAGTAATACCTTGTGAGACTGAAAACATATAGAGAAACAAGATATATGAAGGGTACAAAGGCAGGAGGCAGTAAATGGAGTTAAAGGAGTCTAAGGTTCTAATATTTCTTACCCCATTCTCCCAATATCCAGCTGAATATAATTTAGCACATATATGGGGAATTTCTTGGTGATTATGTGCTGAATTACTGATAAATAAAAAAGATCATGTTGCCATTCCAATTGTATTTACTTTGCTTTGAAAACTATGTATCTATATTACTTTGTTTTTGAATCCTCTGTTAAATTAAAAATAATACAGCAGCAGGTCTTACTTTGGTTCCTTCGAAAGAGAGTTTATTTAAAAGCTAACTGAAAATGAAAATATATAAAGTTTTTACACTTTATATTATTAATCATTATTCTACCATTACCATGTTAGAGAAAGATACTGTTTAAATAAATAATAGTTTAGAAGTTGTATTTTAAATACTATTGTTAGATATTAGTTATTCATGACCACAGTTTTCAGAAGATGGAAAATATTATAGCTGACCCATTATATTTTGCATATTAGAAAGTAGTTTGTTATTAATCATCAGGGAAATGAAAGTCAAAACAAGAATGAGATATCATCTCACTCAAGTTAGGATGGATGTTATCAAAAGCAAAACAAAACAAAATAACAAATGCTGGTGAGAATGTGGAGAAAAGGGAACTCTTAGACACTGTTGGTAGCAATGTACACTAGTACAACCACCATGGAGAACAGTAGTGTGTGTTCCTGAAAATACAACAAATAGAACTAACATATGATTCAGCAGTTCCACTACTGGGAAATTATTCAAAGGAAAGGAAATCATTAAGTCAAAGAGACATCTGCACTCTCATTTTTATTGTAGCACTCTTCACAATAGCCAAGATATGGAATCAGCGTAGGTGTTCACCAACAGATTAATGAATGAAGAAAATATGATATATGTACATAATGGAATACTATTCAGCCATAAAAAGAATGAAATCCTGTCATTCGTGGCAACATGAATGGAACTGGAGGACATTATATTAAGTGAAATAAGCCAGGAACAGAAAGTTAAATACCACATGTTCTCACTCTTAAGTGAATGTTAAAATATGTTATAAAAAAGTTGATCTCATAGAAGTAAAAAGTAGAACAGAGAATATTAGGGACTGAGAAGGAAAGGGAAAGGTTGAGGTAGGGAGTGGTTTGTTGAAGAATACAAAATTACATCTAGATAGGAGAAATAATTTCTAGTGTTCTCTACCACTGTTGGATGATAGTTAACAGTAATATGTTACATAGCTTCAAATAGCTAGAGGGAGGATATGGTATGTTCCCAACACAAATAAATGATGAATGTTTGAGATGACGGATGTGTCAGTTCACCTGATCTGAACACTATCCATTATAAGTATTGAAACATCACTATGTATCTCATAAATATGTACAATTATTGTGTGTCAATTAAAAATAAAATAAAATAATAAAAAGTAGTTTATTTCAAAGTAAATTTTATATCTTTAGAAGTATAGAAAAATATGAATTAGACCATTAGATTTTCTGTTCAATCAGAAGACAGCATCTTTTTCCAGCATTGGCATAATTATAAAATTACTGAAATAATATAGTTTTAATAAACAAATATGGCTTGAATGGTCTGAGAGAGACAAACAATTAATTCTGCACAGTTTCTGTAAAATATTTAGGATAATGAATTTAACAAAATAGTAATTTATATTTCTTAACTTACTTTTTATAGAAGATAACTAAAAGTAAAAATATCCCCCATTATTAGTGCTAACACTAACAATTTAAAATAGCTATCTTTGAAGAAACTTTGCATGACAAGTTTAAAATTAGATAATGGTTGATGCAAATATGTTAAAAATAAAAGATAAAAGTGTGTTTTTAAAATATACATTGACAACAGTTTTAACACTATAAAAAGAAAGCTATTTCACAACTTTCCAGGAAATTGCACTAGAATACACTGCTATTTTTTGTTTTCTTTCTCCTGTGAATAAAATCGTACTCTTTGTTCTGGGATCCCCTGCTACCTTGAACCACAGACATCCATTATAACCTAGTGATAAGTCACTTGCATTTGTACCAAACATACTTTGACTCATTGATGTCAGAGATAAAATGGTAAAGGCTTCCTAATATAGCTTTCTGATTTGTAAAACTATATACTTTAAAATAATCTAAAATAGAGAATACTCCTTTTGATAAAGTGCACTGGTTTTCATCTTGTTCTGGCAGGTTGTCAATGAATAAGGTGTTCCCCTGCACTACCTTACAACAAAGTGAAGCTAATGCCAAAATTAAAAAGCTCCCTTAACGTTCATACATAATTCAACGCATGTCTTCTGATTCCTAATTATGCCTCCTGTAGCAAGAGAAAACAATTTCATTGAAACAGAAAATACGTATGATAATTCAAAACAGACAACTCTATATGGGAAAGGAACTATTTTTACATATTATTATACTGAAGTGCTATTAGAACCTCTAGTAAAAAAATTATAACATGAAAGATGATACAGTAAAAATTAAGTCTCCTCCCATTACACACCTACAATATCCCCTTCCTCAGAGGTAATCATCATGAATAGATTTTTGTACCTTTTCTGAAGTGTTCTATTTGCTTACAAGTGTGTGTGTGTGTGTGTGTGTCTGTAGTGTGTGTGTCTGTGTATATCTACTCATTTCAAAAGGAGTATATTTTAAAGCAAAATATGGGTATACCATGATAATTATTTTTAAATAATATGCTATATATATAGGTATTAATTTAAGTTGTGCTAGTGGCCATATTTCTAATGAATACATTTAAACATTTTACTGTTAGTAGCAAGTTTCTCCTTATAATCAGTTTACTGAGAATAATTTAACATTCTGCAGTTTATTTTAATACTCTACCAGATTCCTGTAGGGGGCATATTATTCAAATAAGATATTCTTCGTGTGAATAATAACAGTAATAAAATTAATTGAGTGTTTACTGTCTACCATGCCCTCTTCTAAATGAGTTGTATATGTTAACTTATTTAATAATAATAACATAAACCTACTAATTTTATCCTATTTTATAGATAAAGAAACTGAATCACAGAAAGATAAGTAACCTGTGAAAATTCACATAGCAAATAAATAGCAAAGTCTGGGTTTTATTTCAAATAGTATGACTCAAGAGTCATGAGCCTACAGATTCTCCTATATCGCCATCAATATTTAATAACTACTTTTATGCTGTTAATCTGAAAATATTACCTTTAAATACATTATATAGTTTCTTTATATTTTATTATTTATTTTATTTATTTTTTCTTTTGAGACAGGGTCTTGCTCTGTCACCCAAATTGGAGTGTAGTGGCATGATCTTGGCTCACTGCAACCCCTGCCTCCCAGGTTTCAAGTGATTTTCGTGTTTCAGCCTCCTGAGTAGCTGGGATTACAGGCGTGCACCACCATGCCAAGCTAATTTTTGTATTTTTACTAGAGACAGAGTTTCCCCATGTTGCCAGGCTGGTCTTGAACTCCTGACCTCAAGCGATCTGGCTGCCTCAGCCTCCCGAAGTGCTGGGATTACAGGCATGAGCCACCGCACCCAGCCCATCATATAGTTTCTAAAGAAAGTTTGTATTACGACATAATTTTCCCTTTATGTTTCCTTGTGTGTCTCTGTGAATTACTCTCCACAGTCTATATTGCTGTTATTCCTAACTTCTCCAATAGAACTCTAAGAAATATCACTTCCTAGCTGGGCGCGGTGGCTCACACCTGTAATCCCAGCACTTTGGGAGGCCGAGGAGGGCGGATCACGAGGTCAAGAGATCGAGACCATCCTGGCCAATGTGGTGAAACCCCATCTCTACTAAAAATACAAAAATTAGCTGGGCATGGTGGTGCATGCCTGTAGTCCCAGCTACTTGGGAGGCTGAGGCAGGAGAATCTCTTGACCCCGGGACGTGGAAGTTGCAGTGAGCCAAGGTTGCGCCACTGCACTCCAGCCTGGTGACAGAGTGAGACTCTGTCTCAAAAAAAAAAAAGAGAAAAGAAAAGAAAAAAAGAAATATAATTTCTTTGGAGTCATCCTGACAGCCTTGCAGAGAGTGCTAGATTCACCTTACATATCTGAGGTTATAGCATGAAACTTCCCATCTTATGCAGATCTAACTGGAAATTGACTTTCTGTCTCTCTTGGCATTGCATGCCTCAGCTGTGTGACATTGGAATAGCTATAGGGCTCTTCTTTCTGGCTTCTCTTCTACTCTGCTTATCACTCCATTAAAACAAAAATCCTTTAGTGATATATTAACTCTTCTGGGAGTAAACTTCCTTTTAAAGAAGTAATCATGGTTTTTTGGAAATGTTGACCCACATTATCTTCCTTAATAACAACATTCTGCTAACCTTGTCTGAGTGCAGCTGTGCATAACACATAACCAAAATACTTCCATATACACTTTTTATTTGTCCTTACACAGCAAAAGCTAAACAGTCTTTCTGACAGAAAAATAACTAAGATTTTGAATGTTTTGCAGGAAGATCTCAACTTCTTCTTTCTGAAATCATATCTAGTTCTTATCACTGTGACTAGACACTTTTTTTTAAGTCCTGTATCTCAAATTGTGAAACCATTAGATTATATCTAAAAAGAAATTTTAAGAGTCATATGAGAGAAAAATTAAAAAGGGAAGTGCAGGGTCAGGGATAATGTTTCTAAAATTTTTCCAAGAAAAATGCTGGCCTAGATGCCCAATTTTGTCCCTCTCACCTGACTGGGAGGACTCTGTATATTGAATTTTACAATCAGTTTTATACAAGGGACGATATTCATCCCTTGAGAATTATGAGCTAAAGGGTATGACTATGTGGTAAAAGTTTCTAGATTTTTCAGAAGGTGCAAGTCATGACCTAGTGTTACAGATTTTCGACTACTTAGCTGAATTAAGTCTTTTTACCTCTCAAACACTTATTATGCATATTTATTTTTCAAAACCTTTTTTGCGACTTAATTGGTTTATTTTATTAACATCTTGTGGTCATTATGGCTACTCATAAATATTCTCTTTCTCTTTCTTTATTGCTTTGGCTAACAAGTTGTGAATAGATGTGATAGGTATAACTTCTAGGTATTATCATGCTAGTGTGGGATGAAGACTCTATCAGCCTGGGTCCTAGAGCAACCACAGTGAACATCCACTCTGCTGTCCTGCGATGGACATCGAGTGTGAGGAAGAAATAAACTTTTATTGTGTTGTCTACTAAAATTTGAAGATTGTTACCACAGCCCAATCTAGCCAGTCTTACCTAACCCAACACACATTATTTCTTTCCAGAATCCCTGTGGACCCTTGTCTTACTCTGTTCAGGCTGCTATAACAAAATGCCATAGACTAGGTGGTTTATAAACAATGGAAATGTATTTTTCATAGTGCTGGAGGCTGGGAAGTTCAAAATCAAAACATCAGTAGATTCAGTGTCGGCTGAAGACCTGTTTCCTGGACGACCACCTTTCACTGTAAGCTCACATGGTGGAAGAAGCCAGAGACCCCTCTGGGTTCTCCTTTAAAAGGGCACTAATCTCATTCACAAGGGTTCTGCTTTCATGACCTAATTACCTCCCAAAGGCCCCAACTCCTAATATAATAATACCATGGCCTGTGGTGTTAGGGTTCCAACATATGAATATTGGGGCTGACACAAACATTCAGATCAGGGCAACCCTGAATGATTTAAAATTTGTTAACATTTTTATCACAATACATTGTTGGAGCACATTAGTTTTGTTATTCCGATTGTCATATATTGTTATATCAGCAAATTACATTGCTATAATTATCATACTTTCTTCTGCTCCTAAGAGAGGTCACACATGATTCTCCATGCCACTATTTTTCTCTTTCAGCTCACCTTTTTATCTTCTCTGACTTTATTGTCTTAGTTGTAATGCTCTCATATAACCTTACTAATTACCATTAAAGGGAACCTCCATATGTTTAAGACTCTTAAAATTAATGAGTCTTATTAATTTTAATAATAATTAAAATTAATTTTAATTATTGTGGCTTGTGCCTGTAATCCCAAGTACTGGAGAGGCTAAGGTGGGAGGAGACCTTGAGCCCAGGTGTTTGAGACTGCAGTGAGCTATGATCATGACACTGCCCTCTAGCCTGGGTGACACAGTGAGACCTGTCTCTAAAGAAAATAAATTAAAAAATGTCTTGCTTATATTGGTACATCTGTACATAGTTACATTACTGCCTGTAATAGGGGTATCTATCAGTCTTTTGAGAAGATGCTCTGACCTCATCTACTGGGAAAGAGTTTTTTCTGCTGTCTTAGCTTATTTTGTGATGCTAAATAAACTAAACTTAGGTAATTTATAATGAATATACATTTTTGTTCTCACAGTTCCAGAGGCTAGGAAGTGCTCAAGGTGCAAACATTTGGCAAGGAACAAAGGTATCACATGACAGAAGGGCAAAGAGAGAGAGAGGAAGGGAGGGGGAACCCACTCTCACAATAATATCATTAGTCCATTCATAAGGGTGGAGCCATCATGAACTAAACACCTCTTATAGGTGTCACCTATTTATGAATACTGTTACAGTAGCAATTAAATTTCAACATGAGTTTTGGAGAGGACAAATATTCAAACCACAGCACCCTCCTCTCGCTCCATTTATAACATGGAGACTTCCTGTTTCATTTCAGTTCCCAACGCTTACTATAAGGTGGAAGTCGTGTAGTGTTTTATTTAATATTACTTAAAAATAAGGTCCAGAAATGATCTATTAAGTCAGCCTTTGTTCAACAGTAAAGCTTTAAATTAAACTAAAATTGGGAAACACAAATTTTACATCAACTAGTTTCTTTATTAGAACCTATAATGGTAGAGATGACACCTATTTCTCAAGAATGTTAACTCCTGTTTTGCAGTTCCTCTTTTGTGACTTAATTTGGAGCAATTTAAATATACATGTAAAGAATATCTCCAACACCTTAGCATCTCTGCCTTTGACCGCCTCTCCTCCATTGATCTTGTCTTTCATCTTACCTCAGCCACTCATTTACATGGAAATATCCTAGAAATTATGTCCATAATGATAATCATTCCAAATTTTAATGCATATATTCTGCTCTCTAACCTCATCTTCCTCTTTTTAAAAAAAAAAAAAAATTTCACCTGAAGTGCGCAGACTTCAAGTCTTATTCAATCTAACCAGTACATGTGCTCTATTCAATGGCCATTATTTCACTATCTTTCACCTTCCCGATATGGTTTTTCTTACACTGAACTTAAAATCATGGTCTCTGATTTTAATCCTTGTATATACTCTCTACTCCCTTTCCTTTAAGCTACTTTTATTTCACTCCCTTTGTAAAACACAGATCTTGTTTAATTAAATTATTCACCTATACCAGGCTTATATCCATGCAAAGTAAGGCTGGGAATAAAAGCAAAACTACACTAACTTGTCTCACTTTAAATTCATGAGTTGGAATACTTCATTGGAAAAATTGTAGCAATCAAGAGCAAACTTTCGCAGAAAGACATTACTACCTCCACTAATTTACCGATGTTACTACATTCATACCAACCATATATATATATATATATATATATATATATATATATATATATAAACACTAAGAATTATATATATTTAAATATATAAAAACTATATATAATATATATTTATATATAATTTATATATAAATTTAAATATAAATATATATTTAAATATATATATAAAAATTTAACATATACCTTTTGGGGGTGGACATTAATTTACAAAGTCGTGTAGAGTTTTATATAATATTACTTAAAAATAAGGTCCAGAAATAATCTATTAAGTCAGACTTTCATTCAACAATAAAGCTTTAAATTAAGCTTTATTATATTAATATGTTAATATATAAATATATAATATATAAATAAATTATATTTAAATATAAAATACAAATATATAGATATTCTATTTAAAAACAGCCACTCTGTTGGAACTAAATCGCATCTTCTGTTATCTACTGGATTTAATTGTACCAGGAATCCTCCTCTTTTCAATATCATTTTTTCCACTTCGTATACATCAGTGTACAAATATTTTATTTCTTTTATCAGAAATATATATATATTTTTTGACAGAGTCTCTCTCTGTCGCTCAGGCTGGAGTGCAGTGGTGCCATCTCGGCTCACTGCAAGCTCTTCTCCCGGGTTCACACCATTCTCCTGCCTCAGCCTCCCGAGTAGCTGGGACTACAGGCTCCTGCCACCACGCCCGGCTAATTTTTTTGTATTTTTTAGTGGAGACTGGGTTTCACCGTGTTAGCCAGGATGTTCTTGATACCCTGACCTCATGATCCGCCCTCCTTGGCCTCCCAAAGTGCTGGGATTACAGGCGTGAGCCACGGCGCCCGGCCCAGAAAGCATTTTTTTCCTTATTATCTCCCATGCCATTCTTCTCTTTTGCAGGAAAACTTATCAGAATATTTGTATATAATTGCTGTCTCCAATTTACTTGGTCTCTTAAAACCACTCCAATCAGGTTAGCCCCAAATACTCTACTGAAACTGCTCTTTTCTAGTTCACTAATGACCACGATGACAAATACAGTGATTTATTCTCAGTTCTCATTTTGTTTGTTCTATCAGCAACAACAAACACAACTCGTCACTCTTTTCTTCCCATTATATTTGCTTCTATTGGCTTTGAAACAACACATTTTATTGGTTTTCTTCCTATCTCACTAATATCCTTCTCATCCCCTTTGCCATTTCCTATTTGTCTTTAACTCTTGACATTGCGGAATTCAGTTTTAATTCTCTCCTCTTTTCATTCTACACCTGTTTCACTGTAGATCACAGACAGTCCCATGGTGTTTTAAATGTTTTATTTGTATAAATTTAAGGTGCACAAGTGCAGTTTTGTTGTGTGGATATATCGCATAGTGGTAAAGTCTGGGTTTTTGGTGTAACCATCACTTAAATAACATATATTATACTCACTAAGTAATTTCTCATTCATCAACCCCCTCCCACACTCCCACCGATCTGAGTCTCCAGTGTCTACTTATTACTCTCTCTATGTCCGTATGTACACGTGATTTAGCTTTTACTTCTAAGTGAGAACACGTGGCATTTGATTTTCTGAGTTGTTTCACTTACGATAATGGCCTCCAGTTCAATCTCTGTTGCTGCAAAAGACATGAATTCAGTCTTTTTAAGGGCTGAGTATTCCATTGTGAGATATATATAACATTTTCTTTAGACAATCACCCGCTGATGGACACCTAGCCTGATTCCATGTCTTTACTATTGTGAATAGTACTGCAATAAACATATAACTGTAGGTATCTTTTGATACAGAAATTTATTTTCCTTTGGGTAGATATCGAGTAGAGGGATTGTTGGATTAAATGGTGGTTCTATTTTTAGTACCTTGAGAAATCTTCGTACTGTTTACCATAGAGGTTGCACTAATTTACATGCCCACCAACAGTGTATAAGCATTCCCTTTTCTCCACATTGTCCTCAACATCTGTTGTTTTTTGACTTTTTAATAATAGCCACTCTGACTGGATGATATCTCATTGTGGTTTTAATTTGTATTTCTCTGATGATTGGTAATGTTGAGCATTTTTATATATACTTATGGGCCATTTGTATGTTTTCTTTTGAGAAATGTCTGTTCATGTCATTTGTCCACTTATTAATGAGGTTATTTGCTTTGTGGTGGTGGCAGTGGTGGTTGAATTCCTTGTAAATTCTGGTTACTGTAGCCTTGTAGTACAGTGATATCAGTCACCTGTTGAATGCATACCTTGCAAATATTTTCTCCCATTCTGCAGGTTGTCTGTTCACTCCATTGATTATTATTATTATTATTATTGCTTATTGGAAGGTTTTTAGTTGTTTAAGTCCCATTTGTCTATTTTTTCTTTCTGTTTCTTGTGCTTTTGAGGTCTTAGTCCTAAATTCTTTGTTTAAAGAAGGTCTAAAAGACTTTCCCCTAGGTTTTCTTCTAGTATTTTTATAGTTTCAGGTCTTACATTTAAGTCTTTATTTCGTCTGGAGTAGATTTTTGTATATGGTGAAAGATAGGGGTTCAGTTTTATTCTTCTGCATATGGCAATTCAGTTTTCCCAGAACCATTTATTGAAAAGGGTGTCCTTTCCCTGGTGTATGTTTTTGTTGACTTTGTCAAAGATTATTTGTCTGCAGATATGTGTCTTTATTACTGGGTTCTCTCATCTGTTCCATTGACCCATATGTTTATTTTTATACCAGTATCATGTTTTGGTTATTGTAGTCTTGTAGTATAATTTAGAGTCAAGTAATGTGATGCCTCCAGCTCTGGTTCTTTTTGATTAAGTGTTCTTTGGCTCTTTGGGTTCTTTTTTGTTACCATATGAATTTTAGGATTACTTTTTCTAATTCTGTGAAAAATGATGTTGGTATTTTGGTAGGGATTGCATTGGATCTCTAGTTTGCTTTGGATAGTATGGTTATTTTAACAATATTGATTATTCTAATCTATGAGCATGGGATAGGTTTCCATTTGTTGTGTCATCTAAAATTTCTTTCATCAATGTTTTGTAGTTTTCCTTGTAAAGATATTTTACCTCTTTGGTTAAATATACTTCTAGGTATTTTTTGTAGCTATTGCAAATGGAATTGATTTTCTGATTTTGTTCTCATCTTGATTGTTATTGGTGTATAGATTGTTATTTCTGAACATTGACTTTGTATCCTGAAATATTACTGAATTCATTTATCAAATCTAGGAGTCTTTTGAAGGAGTCTTGATGGTTTTCTAAGTATAAGATCATGTCATGAGCTAACCAATAATTCGACTTCCTCTTTTCCAATTTGGATGTCTTTTATTTCTCTCTGTTGCATGATTGCTCTGGCTAGTACTTCCAGCAATATGGTGAATAAGAATAGTGAAAGTGGGCATCCTTGTCTTTTTCCATTTCTCAGGGGGAATGGTTCCAACTTTTGCATATTCAGTATGATGTTGGCTGTGGGTTTGTCATAGATGGCATATTTTGAGGTATGTTCCTTGTTTGCCTAGTTTGTTGAGGGCTTTTATTATGAAGTAATGCTGAATTTTAGCAAATGTTTTAAATAGGAGTTTCTCCTCATTTTCCTTCTACTATATTAGAAGTATTTATTCAGAAGTTACCTAGAATTTTAACATGCATGCTTAACTTCAAAAAGTTTAATATAATCAACATCATTCTCCTCCCAAACAACATAAGGATTTTAGAGTAATTTACCTCTAATCATATCGTTCACACCTATTCTATTTTTTCATTTAATTCCATTTTAACTCTTCAAATTAGATATTATAATCATTATTTTATGCAGAATGTTAAAACTGTGTTTATCATTATGCTTTCCAAATCCTACTTACTCAGACTATTTTCCTTCTTCCTGATATTCATCCCATGGAAACTATTTAAATGAAAGATTATTGGTAGTGATTTATCTCAATTTCCTTTATTTATTTGTCGGAAGTTTTTTTTTATATTATGGCATCTTAAAGCATGAGATGTTAATATTGGAAGTGATATTGAGATCTATTTAACTCCCACAAGATGTCATGTATTATTTGGGACAATAAGTATGCACAAGTGAGTGAAACAGAACTAGTCCCTGCTCTCATGAAGCTTAAAATAGCTTTATATTTACTATTTCAAATTAATTGCTTTTATGGTATAAGATAATCTGTCCCAGATTTAGCCAAACATTTATATATTTTTACTTTCTAAGTTTTAACAATTTAATATAGTTTTCTCATAAAAATTTATTTTATGCTTTGATTTCATATTAAAAAACTAATTATTATTCAATAGATTAATTGGAAAACCTGATGTTGCAAACTTACATGGTAAAATTTACTTTTCAAGGAATGTTTTTAAAGACACCACAAACATATTTTGTTCCAGTTGTTATTTCTGTCCTCATATGTCCTTTTTAATACGCTATTATGTGTTCTAGATTCATCTGTATATTTGTTCAAGAATTTTGTTAAATATAAAAAGGAAGTTGATCTTATGAAGTACTATAAATGGCACAGCTTATTCTATAGAGAAGAAATATCTCATTTAAGTCATATGCCTGCTTATTCTATATATAATTCAAAGATATCTTTGGTCAGCTCAAAATAGAGTCCTGCTAACTCACAAACTAAAAGTTAAAATGGTAAAAAAAAAAAATAACAGAATGGGCAATTCCTATATAATGTTCATGATTGTCTGTTGAAAAGTTTATTTGAATTTTTTAAATCTTATTTTCTTTATAGATTACATTCTACATATATTAAATGTGCTTTTTGCAACATTTAGTTTACAAAATGGATACCATGACTTACCTTTATATCTACATCATGGATACTATGAGTTACCCTTACATCTATTTAATAGAAGTATATTTACTTACCTGAGAAATGTTCTAAAATTTTTATGTTTTATTAGGATATAATTTATAAAAATTTAAATTATTTTTATGTATTTATGTAAATGATGTATCACATGTAATATTTATTTGGACATATTTTTTATATTATTTTTAGATTCTAGTTTATGATGAAACTACTATATTTTATGAAACTGGTACTCATTTGAATCCAATGAATGGAGCTATAATTTACTTCATTTCATTGGATTTTAGGTTTCATATATATTAGAAAAACCATGAATGGAGAACATATATAAAATACATACGTATATGTGTATATGTATATTATACACATGCATATAACTATATGTACATATAGTCTCTATTATATAGTATGTATATATGTATAGATACATGTATACATGGAAAAGAGAGCCAGTCTTCCTGTAAATCTTTGTAACTCACCTAATTATAAGCATTATTGGACTCTTTCAACAATCACATGTGGTTTTATTTGTGATCCTGAATATTGTTCTTAGAGAAGTAGACTAAGTGAGAAGATGAGATCATAAGACTTCTTACACTAAAATAAAATAGCTACTTTGAGTTTTATCTTCAAAAATAATCACTATTGGTGATATGAATTTATGTAAATAATGGTATCATATTTCAAATACGTTACAGCACCTTTTTCTAACTGTTTTTAAGATCCAAATTTATGAATGGTAAAGAATTAGCTTATTGTTGAACTTCTTATATAATGAAAATGCAACTGAAATTGTAACCATATTTTTACAATCTAAACAGCACTATAAAATATTAGCCTGGTGGCTTTGAGCTGCATGTCAACTTGAACTAAGAAAGCTCCCAAAGCCCTCAAAAAAGAAAAGAGTAAGGAAGAAAGTACAATATTTTATTTAATTTATTGAATTAAAGTTCCCATCATATTCTACTAATTTGTGCTATACATTGCTTGAGGGGAATAACTGGGGAAAACTTATTAGGGAATATTGTCACACATTTAAGAATTACTAAACATTATAAGCTAAATGTATCCTAGATCAGAACCAACCCATCAGATGTGCCTTTAGTTCTTTTCAATGTACCATAAGTTTGAAAGACATAAATTATCTATAGGCATTATCTATTGATTTCCATTGTCTAGAAAAAAAGTAAAATACTTGAGTGGAGCCAGTTCATCAATGCTGAAGTTATTTTCTTATCGAAAACTAGACAATATTCATTCTGGCTTGTTTAGGAAACCAATTAAAATAAACTGTCAAACTCATTGCTGATCTCCTTCTGTTGTAGTAAAGTCAACACCATAACATTCCCCTTTTACTTTTTAGTTTTTTTTCCATTAGAGTAGCCCTAGAGAATATACTGGTTTTTCTGTATTTTATTTACATCCCAGATCCGTTGGATTTAGTAATCATGAAATAGGGAGTACCCAAATGGTTAGTAAAACATGAATGCTAGAGAATGAGAGAAAAATTCCTCCATAAAATTTGGAAGATGTTCATATCTTGATCCTTAAGTCCAGGAAGTCTGGGGCATGCCAGAATACTCTCTAAAGTAAAAGGCAAATTTCTGTGTCATATGCCACTCAACCATGAACAAAGAAGAACAACCCCTGTTGAGCCTCTTTGGATTTTGGCAATAATACAGGCCACATGTCAGTGTGCTGCCCTGACCTGTTCGCTAAGTAATGCATAATAAACTTTGAGTGGGTTTTAGCAGGAGAGGTCTCTGTGGGAAAGGTGTATGCTGTAGTGCCCACTATCCTTTCCTTGGGCTTTGTGACCCAAAAGATCCAATAATAATTGAACCTCTGAGGCACATATTGCCTCATTAATACAATTTTTATATCTTGCATTTGTGTAACTGTGTGAGTTAAATTAAACACAAGATGGCATAAACAATGAAAATGTTGATCAAGTGCAGAATAAAAAGCACAAGAAAATGGAACCCTTATACACTGTTGGTGGGAATGTAAAATGGTCCAAGCACTATGAAAAACAGTGTGGAAATATGTATCTGAAAGAAAAAGAAAAAATCAAGATCTTAAAGAAATATGTGTGTTCCCATATTCATTATGGCATTATTCATAGTAACAAAATATGAGAACAACCCAAATATTTACAGATAAATCAATAAGGAAAATGTGGTATGTGTGTGTGTGTGTGTGTATACATATATATATATATATATATATGTATACACACACACACACACATTTGCAATATGAGTGAAACTGGAGGACATTATTTTAGGTTAAATAAGATAGAGAAGGACAAATTGTTCATGATTTAGATACACTTATAGGAGTATAGCCATTATACTTATAGGAGTATGACCATTTTAGATACCTCCTATAAGTGTATTTAATACACTTATACCTCTTAGATACACTTATAGGAGTTATCTAAAATGTTCAAACTTAGAAGCAAAGGATAGACTGGTGTTTGCCAATATATTAGTTCATTCTCACACTGCTATAAAAATACTACCTGAGATTGGGTAATTTATAAAGAAAGGAGGTTTAATTGACTCACAGTTCTGCATGGCTGGGAGGCTTCAAGAAACTTACAATCATGGTGGAAGGCAAAAGGAAAGCAGGCATCTTCCACACAAGGTGGCAGTAGAGAGAGAGTCTTCAGGGGAAACTTCCACTTTTAAAACCATCAAATCTCATGAGAATTTTCTTACTATCATGAGAACAGCATGGGGTAAACCACCTCCATGATCCAATTACCTTCCACCAGGTCTCTCCCTCTACATGTGAGAATTACAATTTGAGATGAGATTTGGGTGGGGACACAGAACCAAAGCATATCATTATGCCCCAGCCCCTCTCAAATTTCATGTCCTTTCACATTTCAAAACCAATCATGCCTTCCCAACAGTCCCCTAAATTCTTAACTCATTTCAGCATTACCCCAAAAGTCAAGTCCAAAGTCTTATCTGAGACAAAGCAAGTCCCTTTGGCCTATGAGACTGCAAAATCAAAAACAAGTTAGTTACTTTCAAGATACAATGGGGGTACAAGCATTGGGTAAACATTCCCATTTCAAATGGGAGAAATTGGCCAAAATAAAGGGCCACAGACCCCATGCAAGTCTGAAACCCAGCTGGGAAGTCTTTAAATCCTAATGACTCCATGTCTCACATCCAGGCCATGCTGATGCAAGGGGTAGCTTGGGTAGCCACCACTGCTTTCATGGGCAGACACTGAGTGCCTGTGGCTTTTGCAGGTGTATGGTGCAAGCTGTCAGTGGATCTACCATTGTGGTGTTTGGAGGAGGGTGGCTCTCTTCTCACAGCTTCACTAGGGAGTGCCCCAGTGGGGATTCTCTGTAGGGGCTCCAAACCCACAGTTCCCTTCTGCATTGCCCTAGCAGGGGTTCTTCATGAGGGCTCTGCCCCTGCAGCAGACTTCTACCTGGACATCCAGGCATTTCCATACATCCTCTAAAATCTAGCTGGAGGTTCCCAAAGCTCAACTCTTGTCTTCTGCACAACTGCAGTCACAACACCAGGTGGAAGCCATCAATGCTTGGGACTTGCACTCTTTGAAGCAATGGCCCAAGCTGTACTTGGGCCCCTTTTAGCACTGGATGGAGCTGGAGTGGCTGGGACACAGGGCACCATGTCCCAAAGCTGCACAGGGCAGTGGGACCCTGGGCCTGGCCCATGAAGCCATTTGTCCTTCATAGGCCTCTGGGCCTGTGATGGAAGGGGCTGCTGTGAAGGTCTTTGTCATATGCTGCAGACATGTTTCCCCATTGTCTTGGCTATTAACATTTGGCTCCTTGTTACTTATCCAAACTTCTGCAGCAAAATTGAATTCCTCCCCAGAAAATGGGTTTTTCTTTTCTACCACATGGTCAGGCTGCAAATTTTTCAAACCTTTATGCTTTGCTAAGTTCCAATTCAAAGCATCTCTTTGTGAACGCATATAATTGGATGCTTTCAGCATAAGTCAGGTTACCTCTTGAATGCTTTGCTGCTTAGAAATTTCTTCCACCAGATACCCTAAATTATCCCTCTCAAGTTCAAAGTTCCACAGATCTCCAGGGCAGGGGCAAAATGCTGCCAGTCTCTTTGCTAAAGCATAGCATGAGTAACCTTTACTCCAGTTCCCAATTAGTTGCTCATCTCCATCAGAGACCATGTCAGCTTGGACTTCATTATCCATATCACTATCAACATTTTGGTCAAAACTGTTCTACAAGTCTCTAGGAAGTTCCAAACTTTCCCACATCTTCCTGTCTTCTTCTGAGCCTTCCAAATTGTTCCAAACTCTGCCTGTTACCCAGTTCTAAAGTTACTTCCACATTTTCAGTTTATCATTATAGCAGTACCCCACTCTGCTAGTACCAATTCTCTTTATTATTCTGTTCTCACACTGCCATAAAGATACTACCCAATACTGGGTAACTTATAAAGAAAAGAGGTTTAATTGACTTACAGTTCCACATGGCTAAGAGGCCTCAGAAAACTAACAATCATGGCGTAATGAGAAGGGGAAGCAGGTACCTTCCTCACAAGGTGGCAAGAGCCACAGAGCTTTCAGGGGAAACTGCAACTTTTAAAACCATCAGATCTCGTGAGAACTCACTCACTATCCCAAGAACAGCATGGGGGAAACCACCCTCATGATCCAATCACCTCCCACCAGACCCCTCTCTCAATACCTGGGGATTAAGATTTGAGATGAGATTTGGGTGGGGACACAGAGACAAACCCTATCAGCCAGGGCCTGATGGGGGAGGGTAAAATAGGGAACTGTTGTGCAATGGTTGTAAAATTTCAGTTATATAAGATGAATAAATTCTGGAGATTTGCTGTATAACATAGTACCTGTAGTTAACAATATTTAAAGTTCAAGGGGGTAGATCTCATATTAAGTATTCTTCTTATCCCTTCAAAAAAAAATCACACAAAAATCAAAACATGCACAAATCCAAACCCATAAAGCAACACAACGTTATTCTTGTAGGCAATGGATATATTTAATATCTTGATTGTGGTGATGGTATCATGGGTGTATGTAGATGTCCAAATTCATGTGCTTTTTTGTGAGTTTTTGTATATGTGTGACTCAATAAACCTGTTGATATGGTTTTTCTCTGTCCCTACCCAAATCGCATCTTGAATTGGAGTTCCCATGTATTAGTCCATTTTCTCACTGCTGAGAAAGACATAATAAAGACTGGGTAATTTATACTGAAAAAGAGGTTCAATGGACTCACACTTTCACATGGCTCGGGAGGCCTCACAATCATGGTGGAAGGCAAAAGGCATATCTTACATGATGGCAGACAAAAGAGAAAATGAGAGCCAAGCAAAAGGGGAAACCCTGTACAAAGTCATCAGATTTCATGAGAGTTATTCACTATCAGGTGAACAGTATGGGGGGAAAACCACCCCCATGATTCAATTATCTCCCGCTGGGTCCCTCCCACAACATATGGGAATTATGGGAGCTAAAATTGAAGATGAGATTTGGGTGGGGACATAACCAAACCATATCATCCCATAATCCCACATGTCTTGGAAGGGACCTGGTGGGAGGTAATTTAATCATGGGGGCAGTTACCCCCATACTGCTGTTCTCATGGTAGTATGATAGTGAGTGAGTTCTCACAAGATCTAATGGTTTTATAATAAGCTTTTTTCTCTTTGCTCAGCACTCTTCTTTCCTGCCATCATGTGAAGAGAGAAGTGTTTTCTTCCCCTTCTGCCGGGATTGTAAGTTTCCTGAGGCTGCTTCAGCCATGCACAACTGTAAGTCAATCAAACCTCTTTCCTTTATAAATTACCCAGTCTTGGGCAATTTTTTATAGTGGCATAAGAATGGATTAATACACCTGTGAAAAGTTTTTTAAAAATTCTAAACTAGAAATGGACTTGCTTTTTAAAAATTAGCCTATCATAAGGCATATGAGACAGATACAGGAAGAAGAAAACTCATAACTTCCAATTACAGTCATGCACTGCATAACAATGTTTTAGTCAATGACGGTGGTCCCATAAGATTTGAAAGAAGCTGAAAAATTTCTATTGCCTAGTGTTATTGTAGCCATAGTAAAATCATCGCATACTTTATTTTTTATGATTTAATGTAGCCTAAGTATACAATGTTTATAAAGTCTACAGTAGTGCACAGTAATGTCCTAGGTTTTCACATTTACTCATCAATCACTCACTGACTCACCCAGAGCAACTTCCAGTCCTACAAGCTCTATTCAAGGCAAATGCTTTATACAGGTGTGTTCTTTTTAATCTTTTATACTGTATTTTCATAGTACATTTTCCATGTTTAGATCCACAAATACTTACCACTGTGTTACAATTGCCTACAGTATTCAGCAAAGTAACCTGCTGTACAGGTTTGTAGCTTAGGAGCAACAGGCTATACTATATAGTCTAAATATGTAGTACACTATACCATCTAGGTTTGTGTAAGCATACTCTAGAGTCTATGGGGTAACCACAATGACAAAATCACCTTACCAAGTATTTCTCAGAACAATCTCTGTCTTTAAGCAACTCATGACTAAAGGTAATTAGTTCATAGGATCACTAAACAAATAGTTGAATATTAACCAGTTTTAAGTTAAAACTTTGTCACTCATTCACAGGTCATTTGAGCAGTACATGCTGGATGTAGGTTGCTGCAAAAGTGATGGTGGTTTCTGCCATCAAGCAAATAAAAATGAAAAAATTTCTAGTGACAGAGATTTCAGATATGGACATTTTTTACACTTTTCTCATGCTACATAACTCTTTTGGTTGTAATTTTTATTGCGAGCTATAAGGTAGTATGGTATACTCTTTAAGAATTTAGTTTCTTAAACTATGTAAATTCAAATGTTAATTGAATGTTAATGTGAAAACCTAACTAACGTTAAGTTTTGTGGCATTTAATAGGTTTCTTGAGTTCTCTGAATCCCTCTAAGTAAATCCAGTATTGGTACTGGATCAGAAGTTGATGTGAGGCTTAATAAGAGAGAGCCTGTTAAGTGCCAGCCATAAAGAAAACCTTCCACAAATATTAAGTATTAATATTCAAGAGATTGCCATGAGGTTTCTCAATTGTAAAATTACAACTCCTTTCCAGCATTAAGATGGTAGATTTCTGGGGTTTTTTTAGACCATATCTATATAAAGTGAAATGGAGATTTATCAGTTATTAATTAACAGGAAAATACCCACTATATAATCAAGGTTTATGAACAAATTGTATTAATAAAAACTGGTTGTATATTAATGACCCAATGAACAAATACTCATTTTTTAACCGTAAGAAGTCAATCTAATTAAACTATCTTTTAATGGTGATTAATTGTGCTGCAGCTCTAGTTATATTGTGCTCAGTTGTGCAAAATTGAGCCTTAGCCCCCCGCTACCTCATCCTTTTTTCCAAATTATATTTTTCATTGCATGTTTTTTTCTCACATTAAGGATTTTGCAATGTAAACAAATAATGTATGCAATTAGCAACTTAATTTAGGTCGAAATGGCATTTTCATCTGTGTTTGTGAAAAGGCACAGCTTTTTTATTTAAAAAAACATCAACCCCATCAACAAGTGGGCGAAGGATATGAACAGACACTTCTCAAAAGAAGACATGTATGCAGCTAACAGACACATGAAAAAATGCTCATCGTCACTGGCCATCAGAGAAATGCAAATCAAAACCACAATGAGATACCATCTCACACCAGTTAGAATGGCAATCATTAAACAGTCAGGAAACAACAGGTGCTGGAGAGGATGTGGAGAAATAAGTACACTTTTACACTGTTGGTGGGACTGTAAACTAGTTCAACCATTGTGGAAGACAGTGTGGCGATTCCTCAGGGATCTAGAATTAGAAATACCATTTGACCCAGCCATCCCATTACTGGGTATATACCCAAAGGATTACAAATCATGCTGCTATAAAAATACATGCACATGTATGTTTATTGCAGCACTATTCACAATAGCAAAGACTTGGAACCAACCCAAATGTCCATCTATGATAGACTGGATTAAGAAAATGTGGCACATATACACCATGGAATACTATGCAGTCATAAAAAATGATGAGTTCATGTCCTTTGCAGGGACATGGATGAAGCTGGAAACCATCATTCTCAGCAAACTATCACAAGGACAAAAAACCAAACACCTCATGTTCTCACTCATAGGTGGGAATTTAACAATGAGAACACTTGGACACAGGAAGGGGAACATCACACACCAGGTCCTGTTGTGGGGTAGGGGGAGGGAGGAGGGATAGCATTAGGAGATATACCTAATGTAAATGACGAGTTAATGGGTGCAGCACACCAACATGGCACATGTATACATATGTAACAAATCTGCACGTTGTGCACATGTACCCTAGAACTTAAAGTATAATAAAAATAATAATAATAATAAAAATCTTAATTCTCTTCTTATCAATACTGTTAGAGTACATATTTGTTGAAGATAATAATGTTAGTGGAAATATGGTTTCACTTTCTCTCCCAATAGAAGAGTGAAAAACAAAACAAAGTAGAAAAAAAAAACTTTTTTGCCTTTTGCAATTACAGATGATCTCACAGCAGAAAATAACTGCGTAATTGTTTTCTGTGTAGAGATCACAGAATTGTAGCATTTGTTTCACTTTACTCTTTGTGTTGAATTGATAGAATATGCTATTTGGGGAAGATTTTGGTTTCAAAGTACATTGTGAAATGTTGCCATCAAAATCAATATCTCTGAAAAAGACGTACATGATGAATGGGATTTTGTACCTTTAATAATAACCTCCACAGTTCTCAACTATTTCTCACTGTGAAGGACAAAGTAGTTATCATAAAATAAACTTACATCAGGCTTTCCATTGTTTTCTTCAAACTGTGGATTGATTTCTCACGTTTGGATTTCACTGACTGCTTGGCCTAAAATTGGCTCATTGATTGTGAAACATCTTTCTGTGCTTCTTCTAGTAATTGTTTGCCAGGGAATGTGACTTAAAGTTAAATGCTAAATAATTTGTGTAGGATCAGAAGACATCAATAATAAACCCAAGAATTAAATGTTTAGTATATAATGAAGTACTGATAATCTTCAAGAAATAAATAACACTCTGAGTAGCAATATCCATTAAAACCCATATATATGGTTATTTCATATATATATATATATTTGAGAGAGTATCTAGCTCTGTTGCCTAGTTGGGAGTGCAATGGGACATCATGGCTCACTGCAGCTGTAACCTCCAAGGCTCAAGCGATTCTCCCACTTCAACCTCCCAAGTAGCTCGAACTACAGGTGCATATCACCATGCCCAGCTAATTTTGTTGATTTCTAGTAGAGACAGACTCTCCCTATGTCGCCTAGGCTGGTCTCGAACTCCTGAGCTCAAGTGATCCTCCTGCCTCGGTGTCCCAAAGTGCTGGGATTCAAACGCTTCTAATTTAAAATGGCCTTACAGCATAGATGTTCATAATTCTAATACTGCTCAAAATTGTTATCTGAACTATGGAAAATATTAATGTGTTTATTAATGATGAAGGAAAACATCACAGACATGCTGTTCTTGGAAAATCAACTTTAACTGAGGCAGCAAGGGAAAAACATGTGACCTCTCCTCTCTAATTCTTCTGTTACTCCTAAATTTAAACCAGAGCCCACAAACTTAAATGGCTGAAAGAATTGTACCATTAACATACATGCATAAAGAGAGATGGGTATCAGTCAATAAGTATATTTTGAATGCCATCCATATTATCTGCTTAATTTCACTGCTGCTTATAACAACCAAACAGGTCACACATCGGTTTAGAGCAGTGTATGAAACTTGGCTTAGACCATATCCTCATTCTGGCTCACTTGTAGCATACGGTGTCTCTGTCTTTCATCTGCTATAACTCCAGTACATCTTACACACCTCTATATTGATCTTCTAAATATTAGGTTGACACTACTTTTAATGACAAAAACCGCAATTACTTTTGCACCAACCTAATACCTAAACTGATTATGTCATTTTTCTGTTTAAAATGTCCTTTGTCTTTCCTTTGTTACTTGAAGCAAACACATCACTTTCCAATATCATCTTCTACCTCTCATTTCACTGTGCAGCCTGTGCTCTGGCCATACTAAATGTCTCACTGTGGCTCTTCAGTGTCAAGATTTTTCCGTGACCAACATTATCCCCTAATATCCTTCATTTCCCTAAATTTACATAGTTTGTGAATCTTTCCTTTAAAATCAGCAATTTTTTTTTTTTTTTTTTTTTGAGACGGAGTCTGCCTCTGTTGCCCAGACTGGAGTGCAGTGGTGCGATCTCCGCTCAATGCAATTTCCGCCTCCCAGGTTCAGGCGATTCTCCTGCCTCAGCCTCCTGAATAGCTGAGATTACAGACATGCACCACCACACCTGGCTAATTTTTGTATTTCTAGTAGAGACTGGGTTTCACCATGTTGGTCAGGCTGATCTCAAACTCCTGACCTCGTGATCCACCCACCTTGGCCTCCCAAAGTTCTGGGATTACAGGTGTGAGCCACCGTGCCCGGCCAAAATCAGCTATTTTTTTTTTTAAATCTAGGACCCTGGTTCTATCTATACCTATTCCACTTCTCATATAGTACTTCAATTTGCCATATATGTATGTATTTCTGCTACTTGACTTACAAGGCAAAGAAAAATGCTTTTATCTCTACATCAAACCTCACAAGATCTAGTGCTCAAGAGGTTTTCAATTGTGTGTGTGTGTGTGTGTGTGTGTGTGTGTGCGTGCTGGACAATTTCAAAAGGCATGCTTCCCCTATTTTCATGTTAACTGGTATTATTCTGTACACAATCCATATATTTACCATTATTTCCTAGCCTTGACATAAGTTCCTTCCATATCTGTGATTATGATTTGCTGCCTTTCTGTAGAGCTTTCATTTGCTTTTTATTCAAGTAACAGAATAACAGTCCTTGAAATTTGAACGTTTCTGAAGCAACTGAAACTGTTTAGCTGTCTGCTTTTCACCTAGCAGATTTTTCTATGACATCATGTACCTGGGTCTCAATTAGACTTCATATGACAAAATGGAAAAAGCACAATAAACTTACATTTGGTGTGTGCATGTGTGTATGTGTGTGTTTAAATAGCAAGGACTGGAACTAGTGATTTGAAAAATTCACGCTATGAGCCAGGCGCGGTGGCTCACGCCTGTGATCCCAGCACTTTGGGAGGCCGAGGCGGGCGGATCACAAGGTCAAGAGATCGAGACCAGCCTGGCTAACACAGTGAAACCCTGTCTCTACTAAATATACAAAAAATTAGCCGGGTGTGGTGGTGGGTGCCTGTAGTCCCAGCTACTCAGGAGGCTGAGGCAGGAGGATGGTGTGAAGCTGGGAGGCGGAGGTTGCAGTGAGCCGAGATCGCGCCACTGCACTCCAGCCTGGGTGACAGAGTGAGACTCTGTCTCAAAAAAAAAAAAAAAAAAAAAGAAAGAAAGAAAAATTCATGCTGTGGTATTCCAGAACATACGTTATTATTTATATATCCATAAAAATCTCTATTTTCTTTATTGGACTTACAATATTGTTAATGCCTGTCTTTGTGATGATTTTGCTATTATTGTAATATTCTTTTAATTAGGCTTCCTTTAAAATTGATTTCAAAAACTGATGGAAGAGCATATAGTCATTATGTACCTTCTTGAAGAAAGAAAATTATATATATACATACAAAATGGAGTTTAAGGCTTTATTTTCTCAGATTTTGGTATTTTTCCTGATCTCTTTAAAAGCATCACCTACATTTTTATTAAGCCATTCTTTTTTACTGATAAATGTTATAATTTCTTATTGTTGAATTATTTTAATATTGCTCTGTCCTCTTCCATTTATTTGGCATAGTACAAAGTTCTAAAATTGTTCTCTGATTTCCATGTTCATCTGAGAATTCAGGTTATGAATTCAGGCTTTGATGACAAATCTAGTTTGAAGAACATTTTTGCCAGTTATTACCTCCATCTTGATCAAGATACTTAACCTTTCTAAGCCACAGAGAAAATGGAAATAATACTAAAATCCAGGCCACAGAGTTGGGAAATTTAAATAAGAAAATGCATGTAAAACAAGCTGCAAATTTTTTAGAATATAATAAGCATTCAGTAAATGTTAGTTGTCGTGATAATGATGATGATAATATTTTCTCTGTGTCCATTTACACTGTACCCTTTTTAGTCTAGCTTCCACATATGTTGTTTCACACTATAACAATTGCTCTCTGTAATGATAATGATTCATTAATTCATTCAATAAGATCTTCAATGATGTACCAGGCACTATTCTAGTGGTTGGAGATACAGCAGTATACGAAGAAAAATCCAAGTCCTTTTAAACCTACATTTGTGTTAGGGAAAGAGGTAATACACACATAAGTGAATTATGTTGTGCTTTAGGTGATAATAAGCACCATGGAGAAAAATAAAGCATAAATTAAGTACAGATAACCAGGAAACAATGATGTTTTAATAAAGGCATATTTCAATGATACTTGAATAAAGGCAAAAGAGGTGGGAAGGCACTTGTGCTAATATCTTGGGAAAGAGCATTTCAAGTACAGGGCAAATGTTTACTACGTGTGGCAACTAGAATTAGGTCAGAAAGCTATACGGGTTAGAGTGTGGCTAGAGATCAGTTCCACTGTGATAGTATAAGCCATTGTTATACTTTGCTTTTCCTCAAGTCAGTGGAGGTCTTGAACCTTTTGATAATCATACCTTTCTCATTTTAAGTTTACTGTATATGTCTGTTCACAGTAAGAATAGGGCAAAGGTGCACCACAAGGTACCTAAGTGGAACATCTGTTTTCCACACATACTATTCCCCGTCCTCATTGTGCAGAATGAGCTCTACCTTCTGCTGATCAGGGTCATCACTACTCCTCTTCCCAGGTGGTCCCTTGTAGTGTATCCTGACAAGAATGTTTCTTGCCTGGGCAGTGGGATCTCTGGCACTAAAATACTCAGAGTGATGGGGCCAGAAAGCACAAGATCTTTCAATGGCTGTTTGGAAGGATTGATAAGTGGAGTCACTCATGCTTCCACCCTTTAAAGGAATGACCTGTGTACCTGTATATCTTTCCTACTGCGGATACAGCACTATACCATGGTCTTTGATTTGGTGAATATACTATGTCCTGTAGGACAATGCGTCATCTCTCCAGGGTGCTTCTTTTAGTTCCACCTTTAGAAGACTGGTACAGCATTGTGTGCAGCTAGCTGCTTCTGGAAAGTGTGGTACAGGATTTGGCCAGTAGATTCTATGGACATGGGTTTACCCTCATACCTTCTATATTGTAAGAAGAATCTCCTGGCCAGATTTTATGCTGTGTGGGATTCCATACCTACGCATTAGGCATTGCATAAGCTCTTCAGTGATAATATTGACTGATGCTCTGCAAAGAAGAAAAGAAAACCCACCCCACAATAAGTATGTTTCCCTGTGAGAACAAACCACTGGCCCTTCCAGGATTGAAGTGGGTGGATGTAGCAATTTGCCACAAACTTGCTGGACAATCTTCTTAAAGAAGAGTGCCATATCTGCAGCTCAGTTTTGGTCTGTTGTTAATAAGTTGCACAATCAGAGGTAGATTTACCTAGGTAAATGGAGTCTATAATTTTGATGTTCATATGTCTCTTTCTATCTGCCACTGTAGCCCCTCTAGTCCAGCCTTAGGCTTGATTTCAGTTGTGTTATTTCCATCTTGTGATGGACTGCTGATAGGGCTGTTTTATTTGGCAGGTCTGAAAGAAGCTAACTCATAATGAGTAGTTCTGGACATATATTCACTTGAAGCCACATTGGTTAAACATGCAGTTTCTACCAGTTCCCAAAAGCATGCCAAGTGTTGCTTCTCAGCTTATCAAAACATATAATTATCTCCTCTGGATACTTGGCCTTGCTCCAGAATTCCAGTGGCCTGCATCTGATTCTTATGAATTTGCCGTAAGCTCCACATTGCATCTTCTCCCATCATTGACAGCTCCAATACTATAATGTCTGCCAGACTGCATGATACAAGTTGCAAGGCTGATTGCATCAAGACATGCACCTCCTACAGCATCTTTTCCTTCTCCAGGCCCTATGCAATGTTGGAAGACTTAGCTTCACCTGGTGTGTGAGCCAGAGCAAAATTCCTAAATGTGGAATGTGTTGGCTCCACAGCTTAAAGAGGTCTACCAGACAGACACTATGGCTTCATTCTTTTTGGTAGGAAATGCAATGTCTTTTTATTTGTGGAGAAACTCAACATGCCTTTGACCACTAGACCCCTGATAATTTCACAGGAGTGAAACGTCTCTGAAACTGCCTAGGATTGGTTTCTCATACTCTGGAGTACATGTGTCTCCCCACAGCTTCTAGAATACTAGCCTTCTCATGCTCATCCTATCCAATCAACATGATATCCATTGGTATAAGAGAGGAGTGAGATGTTCTATGCAATGTCCTGGTGGTACAGGTCTCTTCAGACTAGATTATGACAGAGAATAGAAGAGTTAACATAGCCCTGAGGCAAACACATAAATGAAAATTGTTGTCCCTTCTGTATGAATGTCAACTATTTCTTATTCTTTTTCCTAATTGGAATGGTAAAGAACATGTTCACCAAAGTAATGGCTGCAAATCATATACCTGAGGCTTTAATAATTTGTTCAGCAATGATAACACATCAAGAGCAGCAGCTGCTATTGTTGCTATGACTTCATTAAATCTAAATATAGTCTATAGCTATTCTCCATAACTATCCATTTATTCAGCGGCCAGGCTTGTGAATTAAATAGCGATATAACATGGAGCATCCCACTTGTATCCTTAGTCTTTAATTGTACTGCTAATCTCTGCCATAACCTCATAACCCCTGGGATATGATGTTGGTTTTTATTTTACTATTTGGCTGAAGGTTGATGAGCGGAGGGTGGAGAGCTTCAGAAGTTTCCATTTGGCCTTTCCTGATATGATAGCTCTTACTCTCCAAACTAAGGACTTGCATGGCCAGTATGCCCAATATAAATATTCCCTAGGGACTGGGGAACTGACCACTGGGTTGGGTTCCTAGGCTCCATGGGCACACTGTGAGTTGGAATTTAGCCTGCACTCCATTCTTTACTTGCTCTCCATACATTCCTATTCTAATAAGAGGATATGGTGGAACTTTGGACCTAGTTTGTGCTAGCAAACTTGTGCTAGAAAATTCCTTAAATATTCGGTGAATAGTGCTTTTCTGGGCTCTCTAGTGGGTCTTCTGCCCTTACATAACATATCCATTTTAGCATGCCCACTTTTTTTAGCCTCTTAATTCATTTGTCTACCATCTGCCAGGGTAACACGGTATACTTCACTAAGTGTTGGCTAAAATTCCTTAGCGCCCTACAAGCTTCTAAGAGCTACTCAAGAAACAATTTTGTTTCTACTGATGGTGTCCTTGATTGAGTATTCAATCCCAAATTCCAAGAAAATGTCATACTTCCTCAGTCAATGAACTCTTGCTTATCTATACTTAAATTCTGGCACTCTTAATCAAGCACTCTTAAAATTCTATCTCAGGAGAGCTCTCCTGGATCCTGTTCATTAATGACAGCGAATTCTTGCAATTCCTTATTGCATACTGTCTTTATCCTCCCTTAAAAGACTCAGCACATCTTCCACTGGGTTATGCTAGGATTTAACACTGGTCAACAGCTTGGTGGCCAGGAGAGGAGGTGGAAGGACACTTGATGCTTTATGGGAGAGAGGTTCCTGCAACATATTTCAGCACAGTGAAGTGCTAACTCTTACCAGAGAAGAATGGGTCCCTCTTTTGCTAGACCAGAATCTGACCAAGTAAGTAGTCTCCATCCAGATGTACTCGAACCGTATGTAACTTCTCAGGTTTTCTCTACCAGGGCCCTTTGTATAACAGACCCTTTCTTCAGGAAATCAGTACAATTTAGCAGTACTCAGCCAACTCTACTGTCTTTGTAGGCATTTCTGCCAATATTTTTCAAATGCTTACATCATTTCACCTGCCAAGGAACTCCTTTCCATTGAGACTACCTCCCCTCCCCCCCCTCCCCTCCCCTTCCTCCTTCCCCCCTTCCCCCTCCCTCCTTCCCTTCTTCTCCTTTTCCCTTCCTTCCCTTCCCTTCCCCTCCCCTCCCCTGCTCCCTCCCTCCCTCCCTCCCTCCCTCCCTCCCTCCCTTCCTTCCTTCCTTCCTTCCTTCCTTCCTTCCTTCCTTCCTTCCTTGTCTTTCTATCATTACAGGTAACATCATTGGCAATGTGCTAGCACTTTGTGCCAAGGAGTATCCATTTCTCATTTATAAAGGAGAATGATGTTCCTCTCCAACTGTTGAGTGGCGAGTGAGTCAGTCTCTTTACCCATTTAATGGCCTGGTTTTTTTGGATCACTCAACTTATGTACCTCTTATGTTTGTCTAGGTCCAACAAGAGGTAGACATTAAGGCGGGCTTACAGGCAAGGCTTTTATTGGAAAAAAAATGCCTCTGTGACAGAAATGGGGAGGGAGCTGGATAAAACTGGGGGATGAAAATCTGACCCCTTGTGAAAAGAGGTTGAAAGGAAACAGTTTGCTCTGCAATGTAAGAAGGTTCAGCATGATCATCAGAGAGTCCTAGAGCCAAAGCTGGGTATAAGAAGAGACCTATGTTCTTCAGGAATAATCTTGTTTCAGGATCCTCGTGTGCTCAGTCATTGGCTTGGAGAAGCCAATAAGAGGCACACCCTTGGTGAAAATATGGTAGATTCAGAGTGCAGCAGGCTTTGGCCAGTTAAGGTCCTTAGAGTTGAAAGTCTGAGGTGCACCTCATGCCTGTCACACTTGGTGAATAAAAATAATATGTTAGTCCAGGGTTTGGGGTGGGCCAGCTTACAAACTCAAATGACTATAGGAATGAGGCAGGTAATATCAATGAACTAGGCAGCCTGGCTAGTGGAAAGAAACATTGCTCAAGCTTGAAGATAACCCCACCTCAGTGCTGGAAAAACAACAGAGTTTGGTGCTGTGAGGGTATGACTGTTTCTTAGAAAACTCAGAGTCTAGCATTGCCAGATCTTCTGATTTTATTTTGAAGAAGCATGAAATGTAGGTATTTATGTAATGTACACATTTCAAATAGTGATAAATAATTTTTAAAAATGTATTGTATTTGCCAAATGTATTAAGTTGATTTTGGCCTAAAGAATTGAGTTTGTGTTTCTCAATTTAACTCTTAGTAGAATATTCGTCCTTCTTACCTTCCTCTCTGTGTACATATTGCAGGAAGAATGCTAGGTCTCAGATTATTCACTCTGTACTTCCAAACACAAGATCCAGTAACTTTACCCCCTATCCTTTCTTCTCTGTACTTGTATTCTTCATAGTAATTGAATTCTTGGCATTGCTGCATAAAAAAAAAAAAAAAAGCAAAGGATTGAGATAGCCAGTGGAGGCAAATTCTGCCTCCTTGTGCTGTGCCAATGTCATAGTCTTTGATAAGGATCCCTCGAACCCTTCTTTACCAGCTGCCTTTGATACACTTGCCAATATCCTTAGCAGACCCATTGCTGCTATAGCATAGCCATCACCATTTCAACTCACCTTCCACACATAGGCATCTGCCATTTGCCAGCTCCCTCTTATTTTTTAGATTGGCAAAGCAAGAAAATAGGATTTCAGATTTTTTTTTCCTTGCTGTAAAACCTCGGCATCAACATTTTTCTAAAGCCAGGGTGGGCTGAGAGCTAAGGTTTGACACACTTAATCAGTCAATGGATATGTAGTAGTTTTCGTCTGAATCTTAAAGGAGTCCTTGACCCAGGTAATAATATGAACATTTGTGTTCTTTGTTTTTTTCTTATCTAGAACCTCTTCTATGAAGGAAGTGGAATTGGCCCCAAGCACCCTTCAGAGCATGTTTCTATGCTTTCTGTTTCAGAGTCATCATTTTCCCATTCACTAATAACAGAAACTTAAGGAAGTAAATCTGTCTCCCACACATCCCTCCACACTGTGATTATTCCTTTCTTTGAATTAGTCTCATTAAATATATTGTTGTATCTTTTCACCTTTGCTGAAGTGTCCATCCTAGTAAAGAGCATTTCGAGAGACTGGGGCCGATTCATAGACATTATTTTCAACCCTGCGTGGCCTCAAGCTGAACTGTTTATTTATTCTTAATGTTAAAAAGCAGTTTAAAATAAGAAATAAAATATGTTATTATTTACTCCAGTCTGGGCGACAGAGTGAGATCCTGTCTCAAAAAAAAAAAAAGAAGAAGCAAAGAAATATTATTATTGAAGCATGTATAGATATAGAAGGCTTATTAATCCATCTTCTTATAAAAACAATGCCATGAATCTTACATGTGCTGTTAGAATGTTATTGAGAATGTCATTCAGTGCATTAAAAAGGATCTTTTATAAGAGTCTGCAGGATACGTTTTGCTCTCATCTCGGAAGAGTTATTGTTCCCCTTGAGAAACTATTACCAGAAAGGGGTCCTGATCCAGACCCCAAGAGAGGGAAGAGAAGGTCTTTGAGTCTTGCACAAGAAAGAATGAAGGAGAAGTCCAAACGGTACAGTGAAAGCAAATATTTTAACAAAGTAGAGGAATAAAAGAATGGCTACTCTATAGGCCACTGTATAGAAGGCTGCTGGATCCCCATTTTTATGGTTATTTCTTGATTATATGCTAAACAAGGTGTGGATTATTCATGCCTCCCTTTTTTAGACCATATGGGGTAACTTCCTGATGTTGCGATGGCATTTGTAAACTGTCATTGTGCTGGCGGGAGTGTACCAGTGAGGATGACCAGAGGTCACTTTATCACCATCTTGGTTTTGGTGGGTCTTAAGCTGGCTTCCTTACTGCAGCTTGTTTTATCAGCAAGGTCTTTATGGCCTGTATCTTGTGCCAACCTCCCATGTCATCCTGTGACTTAGAATGCCTATCCTTCTGGGAATGCTGCCCAGTAGATCTCAGCCTTATTCTACCCAGCCCCTATTTGAGATGGGATTGCTCTGGTTCAAATGCCTCTGACAAAGCTAGTTGTTTTTTTGTCTTAAGACACTAACAATTATGTAGCTGAATAAATATCATTCTTCTGGAAAGCTTGGAGCTAATTTGTGAACCCTCCATAAAGGTTAATGCTATATATTTTGTGTTAAGCTCATGCTGGCTCCATTTTACTTCCTCATCCTTATTTTCTCTTTACTTTGTTTTTCTTGTCTTTTTTTAAAGCTAGTTTTACCTTGCTGTATGGCCTGTGCCTTTCACAGTATATCTTCTTGAAAGTTCTTTCTGGACCAAAGCAACATATAAACAAATCATACATAAAGTCAGCACCCCTCCAACTAACAAGTTCCAAATGACATAGAATGGCTACATTAGAGATGTAAATACCATATAGGAGTCCATGGGAACCTTTAGCCTGTCTGACTCAAAGATACCCTACCATAGGTGGGATTCATTTTAGAGTTGTTTCCCGAGTATATGGTGACATTTTTTGAAAGCACATTGCAGAATGAATGTATTTTGTGTCAATCAGAAGAAAACTTAGGAAGTATGGCTGCAGATGTTAATATTCTTTTTTTTTTTTTTTTTTTTTTTTTGAGACAGATTCTCACTGTCGCCCAGGCTGGAGTGCAAATGGTGTGATCTCTGCCCACTGCAACCTCCACCTCCTGGGTTCAAGTGATTCTGCTGCCTCAGCCTCCTGAATAGCTAGGACTACAGGCACCTGCCACTGTGCCCAGCTAATTTTTGTATTTTTTTTTTTTTAGTAGAGATGGGATTTTACCATGTTGGCCAGACTGGTCTTGAACTCCTGGCCTCAGGTGATCTGCCTCAGCCTCCCAAAGTGCTGGGATTACAGGCGTGAGCCACCGCACCTGGCCTGATGTTGATATTCTTAAATCCTTGTTTCTCACAAGCATCAGGATAATCCTGTGAAATGTGACTTTCCAAAAAAAAAGAAAGCAAACAAACAAATTGGACCTTCTAAACCTGGACATTTCTAAAGGAGACAATACTTTCTGCTCTGCTCTTTTATCCAGATAGAGGTAAAAAGAAGGTTATGAGCAGGATGGTTTTTCATTTAACATCTGAGGCTTAAGGCTTTCTTTTAAGGCCTTTTTTAGATCAATAACTTCTCAAAAGCAAACTCAAAAGTCTATCTCAGTTGATATTGTCTTTAATATTTTTTCATGCAATATGATCATTGAATTCTATATTTGATCATTTGCAAACTTTGTTGCTTTATTTTGATGATACATAAATTTATCCTTATTATTTATATACTGAAATTTAAAATACTGGTCCCGTAACTTAAGTTTTGTCAAACTGCTAAAGAGTTAAAGTGTTGTGGAGGAACTAACTTCTCCAAAATGGTGGATAAACCATTTCCACTGCCTAGAACCCTCCAATAGCTTCCCAGTGCATTTAGAATAAACTCTAACTCAGTGTCATGACTTGTAATTCTTCCCTGGCCTGATACCTACCTCCTCCTCTGACTTCACCTCCTGGCACTATGTCCCTTGTTATCTGGGACTAATAGAGTTCTTCCTTCTATTCTTCTAGTAGCCAATATTTGTTCCCTCTCAAACATGTGCACTTACTCCTCCCTTTCATGAAACCTTCCCCTTGAATCTTTAAATGGCTAGTTCTTTCTCCTTATTCAAATTTGGCTTAAATACACCTTTTAAGAGGGCTTTGCTGAACATTTAGCCTATATTAGACTACTTTCCTGTGACCTCATGCAATCGTTCTCCATCACATTATTCTTTTATTTATGTTATAAAACTGATTACAACAACTAGTTTATTTCTTAGTTTACCTATTGACTGTTTGGTTTCCTCTGATGAATGTAAACTCCTTGAAGGAGTGAGCTAGTTTGTCTTTTGATTGCCTCATCTCCTGTTTCTATGACAGACCTGTTCTGTTATAATCGGTTCTCAATCAACATTGCTTATTTTAATGAATGAAAAAAAAAGTGCACTGACTTACAGAGACAATTCTAGATATGAATCTCAGTGGTGCTTTACCAAGGTGGTGAGTGGCCATCCTGGGAAGGTCTTCTTCCTCTACTCTTAAGCAGCTGGGATAATGAGGACTGAGAGTGCCAAAATCTTCTTCACTCAGTGATAGTGGGGTTTTTCCCATGGAAAATTGGAATCCTGGAAATATATCACTCTTAGTTTTAGAAAGCTCAACTATATAGCACAATAGGGCATTCTGTAAGATTTACCTTTCACTTTGTCAAATCTCAACAGTTACACTTGAAAACCTTGAGTACTTTCCAGTTGAATCTCTTAATTGAAAATTATATAGATTTTGCTTGTCTATATTATTTTAAAGTTTGTTTCAAAACCATCAAACCCTGAAATCTGGAGTTACACAATGTGATTATATAAACCAGAAAATCATTAGAATGAAATTGCCTTCCAAACTCAGTATTATTGTCTTTTTTCCTGTTTTACCACATATTTGATAGAAAAACTACTTCATAATTTAACCTCATATTTTTTTCAAAGTAATGAGATAATTTGTGAAAAACCATGATGAGAAAATGATAACATGAATTGAGTTTATATTGTGTGCCAGGCACTTTTCTAAGCACATTGATCTTATTTATTCCCAAAACAAATTTCTATGGCAGTGCAGCTATGGTTCCATTTTACAAACAAGGAGACTGAGGAAAAGAACGTAGCGATAGTTAATGTGGAATGAGGATTTGAATGCAGATAATATGATAGGTGGACTTTGTAGCTTTCATCTGGGAGAAAGAAGAGTATTTTCTACCCTCTCAGCAGAGGACCCAGGTGGACATTGCTCTATCTATTGTTTGCCTGAATCACAGTCTGGGCAGATTGGAAAGTATTTTGCCCTAGGGCTATCCCCTAGAATCTTCCTTCCCCTCACCTAAAATTCTTCTGCCCATGGGTCTTTGGACGTGCTGTTCAATCTTTCTATAAACATTTCTATTCCATGGATTTATTTAATTACATAAATATTTGCTCTCTCTAGACAATTTTACAAGGAGTAAAAATATATAACTGTGTAAAAATCCCTTATAATCTCTATTGTTAATCATTATTCCTTTTCTTGCAGTCTCTTATTATCTTTCTTTTATGACTAGACACTTTGTGTCAACATCTCCTTATATGTTTTCACACATCTATCCCTCCATGCATGTTCCAGGAGCAGCTCCTCCATGGTTCTTGTAGGCCTAGGCCTGTCATACCACAATCTTTTAGATTTTAGAGACATCTAAAATAAGAAAGTTAGTAGTTTGAACAATAGGCTGTATCCCTGCTATTGATCTAGAGGCAATAACTAGTCAACCTGTCCTCCTCCACTCTTCATTCTGAATCCCCCGCACCCTCAGATACTACCTCATCAGGCCTTGGTGGCTTACTGGATTGTGTGACTCAAACCTTCATTCTGAGGGGTCTGAGTTCTTGATAATTATACCCTCCCTAGGCTGGAGTTGCTGCATATGTTTGATCACAGTTATTAAGGGGCTAGGGAATACCAGAGACACCTGGGTTCCATATGTATTCCAGTTTGTCCCCATTGTGTAACAGCATCCCTACCTCCTTCTGATGAACACAATTATCCTTGCTGAAACAATGACTTCTCTTCTTATTTGCTTGTTCTTGGGCACAAGAAATCCAAAGTTCCTTGATAGCAGGCATATCTTGTTCAATGAGACCTTTGCTGTGTCCTTTGGCAGGACCTTTGTGGACTAGAACAGCAAACAATACAGATTTCAGAGTGGACTTCAACAGGAATAAAAATTCTCCAAGGAGTCATTGGTAGTGATGGTAAGGGTCATGGTAAGATGGGCCAGTCATGTTTCTACCCCTTGGTTCCCAGACCCACGCAATCTTCCTATTAATGACACATTATCATATAGAGTTTCCTGATTTCATGCACATACAACATCATGAAGGATGCCCTACCCCCACACGTCTTCTTCAAGTGTTGCCTCCAAGCTAGAGCTTCAGTCATTCCATTGTTCTATGAAGCTTGTTATTTCTGGATGATGAGGGATGTGTTATGACTAGTCAATCCCATGGGCATGGTACTACTCCCATATCTCCTTGCTGTGAAGTGTTTCTGCTGGTTGGATGCTGATATGGTTTGGCTGTGTTCCCACCCAAATACATTAACATAATACGTTAACATTTACATAATATATTTAGAATCACATGGTTTCCAGTGATTAGGATTTAGTCATGCCTTGAAAGGAACAGAAGTCAGTGGCTAGGCAGCACATTCCTTATAAAGGATACATTAATGATGTACTTAGGATGACTAATATTAAGAATTTAAACACAGTGAATTTTTTTCCTCAGAGGAAGGAATTTTATTTTCCAAAAAGCATTTACCTCTGACATGTCAATTCCTGATTTCAGTGGCTGCAGACTTATGTACTTCTGTGCCACCCTTAGGGCAAGTAAAGTACATGTCAAGTAATAAACTACTTTTAGCACAGAAACACCAGAAGATATGCTCACATCCTGTGGTGTGAGGCACAGTGGGACAATCTCCACATAGAGAGCATTCTTTGCCACTGGTGGCTAATGTATTGTCACTATTGGGAACACCAGTAAGAGGGATACACCATGAAGATAACTTGGCTTTCAACTTCTGGACATTGATAAGTGGTAGAGAAAAATCAGAAATTCAGCAAAGCCATGCCAGAGAATGGCATCTCTGAATTCCCACATGTTGTGGAAGGGACCCGGAGGGAGGTATTTGAATTATGGGGGCAGGTCTTTCCCATGCTATTCTCATGATAGTGAATGAGTCTCATGAGATCTAATGGTTTTATAAAGGGGAGTTTTCCTGTACAAGCTCTCTCTGTTTGCTTGCTGCCCTCCATGTAAGATGTGGCTTGCTCTTCCTTGCCTTCTGCCATAATTGTGAGGTTTCTCCAGCCATGTGGAACTGTAAGTCCATTAAACCTCTTTTTGTGTGTGTAAATTTCCCTGTCTTGGTTGTGTCTTCATCAGTAGTGTGAAAATTGACTAATACAGTAAATTGGTACAAGTAGAGTGAGGTGCTGCTGTAAAGATAACCAAAAATGTTGAAGCGACGTTGGAACTGGGTAGCAGGCAGAGGTTGGAACAATTTAGAGGGCTCAAAAGATAGGAAGATGTGGAAAAGTTTGGAACGCCCTAGAGACTTGTTGAGTAGCTTTGACCAAAATGTTGATAATGATATGGACAATGAAATCCAGGCTGAGGTGGTCTCAGATGAAGATGATGAACTGGTTGGGGACTGGAACAAAGGTAACTCTTGTTATGTTTTGACAAACAGACTGGCAGCATTTTGCCCCTGCCCTAGAAATCTGTGGCACTTTGAACTTGAAAGACATGATTTAGGGTATGTGGTGGAAGAAATTTCTAAACAGCAAAGCATTCAAGAGGTAACTCGAGTGCTGTTAAGGGCATTCAGTTTTAAAAGGGAAAGAGGGCATAAAAGTTTGGAAAATTTGCATCCTGACAATGTGATAGAAAAAAAAAATCCCATTTTTTTTTTAGGAGAAATTCTAGCCAGCTGCAGAAATTTGCATAAGTAATGAGGAGCTGAATGTTAGATCTCCAGGGCACGTCAGAGACTCTTATGGCAGCCCTTTTCATCACAGGCCTGGAGATTTAGGAGGAAAAAATGGTTTCATGGGCTGGGCCCAGGGCCCCTCTCCTGTGTACAGTCTAGAGACTTGGTGATGTGTGTCCCAGTTGCTCTAGCCGTGACTAAAAGGGGCCAAGGTACAGCTCGGGCTGTTGCTTCAGAGGGTGGAAGCCCTAAGCCTTGGCAGTTTCCATGTGGTGTTGAGCCTGCAAGTACATGGAAGTCAAGAATTGAGGTTTGGGAACCTCCACCTAGATTTCAGAGGATGTATGGAAATGCCTGGATGCCCAGGCAGAATTTTGCTGCAGGGCTGGGGCTCTTATGGAGAATTGCCTTCCACCATGATTGTGAGGCCTCCCCAGCCATGTGGAACTGTAAGTCGATTAAACCTGTTTTTTTTTTTAATTGCCAAGTCTTGGGTATGTCTGTATCAATAGCCTCAGGCTGGTGGTGGCAACTGAGTCACAGCAAGCAGGAAAGGCAAATGCACATCCTAAGTAGGTGTCTAACCCTGTGAGAATCAACCACTGCCCTTCTCAGGATGGAAAGGGCCCAATGCTGTTGATTTCCACCATGTGGTCAGTTGGTCCCTTGAGGAATAGTGCCACACTGGGATGTCTGGAGCTGTTATACACTGAATTGTGCCTTTCCAAAATTCATATTTAGAAATCCTAACTCTCAGTGTGACTGTATTTAGAGATAGGGATTTTCAGAATATAATTAAGTTTTAATAAAATCTTAAGGTAAGGTCCTAATATGAAAGGACTGTTGTCCTCATCTGTGGAGGAAGAGACACCAGAGTTCTCTCTCTTTCCCTCTCTGTACATCCCACAAAAGAAAAGCCATGTGAGAACACAATGAGAAGGTGCAGTCTGCAAGTGAATGAGGGAGGCCACACCAGAAACCAACCCTGCTGGCACCTTAATTTTGGACTTCCAGGCTCCAGAACTGTGAGAAAATAAATTTTTGTTGTTTAAACCACCCAGTCTGTAGTATTTTGTTATGCAGCCCTAGCAGACTAATATAGTTGCTGACTAGATAGAAATTCAAAGACATAGTAGCTGGATGTGTGTGTCAATTATGCTCTCTCCAGAGGAGGCGCTGAGTGAGTGGCTGCCACATCTTATTATTTTATTAATCAATTGGCAGGCAATTTTTTAAAGTTGGAATTGTTTTAAATATAAGAATTAACTACAAAATTTTAATAAAATGCCTTCTCCATTCAAATCACTTTTTTGTTTTTCATTTATTTAAATCGAGATAAAATTCATATAACATAAAGTTCAACACATTAACAATATTAAAGTGTAAAATCAGTGATTTTTGGTGTATTCACAATATTTTGCAATTATCACCACTAAGTCATTCCAGAATGGTATAAACAACACCCAAAAACCCTACTCTTATAGAGCACCTGAATATTTCAGTTAAGAGTGCTAGGGAAGAGATAACTAATACTATATCTCAGCCCTTAGAGCTTTCAGCAATCTGTGAAAAATTCCAATAACATGTATTTCTGCAAGAAGGTATATTTTGCCTTCAGTTTCAAAAGGCATGTTATTGAAATTGCTAAAAATCGAAAGTAGAATTGTCTTAAACATCTTTTTATAGTCCATTCATTAAATCTTTAGCATGAATAGAAGTGAATCTGACTTTTTTAAATCTCAAAATAAATCCATAAAAAATCATTTCCCACTTATTTGGAGTTGGCATCTCTGAACCACTACATACATTTATAAATAATGTGGCATATTTTTATTGTACATCTTCTATGTTTAACCCAACTAGGTGGTCAGGATAAAACAATAAAAAAGACAGGTGCTCATTCATGCTCATCCTACTCTTAAGGAAATTATAGAGTAATGTGTTCCTTATCGGACCTTCACTTAAGATGTTAAGATCAAAGAAATTTTACATCTTTTGATGCAGCTTTGGAGGCCTGTGTATCTGTTTTACCTCTATTACCATTTGTATGGTCAAGTAGAGCATAATGAGAGGAAACACTGGGCAGAGTATCTGTCATTTTATTCAGTTGATACACACTGTGAAGATAAATGTTTCTAATAAGGTAAGCAAAAATGAGCATTGTCATACAGTGCATAGCCAGCTGGAAGTAAAAACATTAAATGCAAATGAAGGAAACCCAGTCCAAATCAAATTCATGAGCTACAGAAATGGGACCTGGGTATGTTTTAAAAATTGTTTTGTATGTATTACTATTTTCTTAAATTATATGTTACAGATCAGGAGTGTCCAATATTTTGGCTTCCCTGGGCCGCATTGGAGGAAGAAGAATTGTCTTGGGCCACACTAAAATACACGAACACAGTAGCTGATGACCTTTTAAAAGTGGCAAAAAAAACTCATAATGTTTTAAGAAAGTTTATGAATTTGTGTTGGGCCACATTCAAATTTGTTCTGGGCCGCATGCAACTCACAGGCTAGGGGTTGGACAAGCTTCTTATAGACCCTTTCTATAATCTGTTCTATAAAATAATAATTTCCAGTGATGAAATTATTTTCTTCATTATTTACCAAAGATATCTTAATCTTTTAAGGTATTTAAGGTATCTACTATTTCTGCAGTGAACAAAATTCTTCTGTGAAAAAGTGGCCTACAGCCTGTGGGTGTGTGTCTTTCTCTACATGTGTGTGTGCTTGTGGGTGTGTGTCTATGTATGCACCATTGGGTGTAATCCTTATATTTCTTACTACCTAATCTAGTTCTTTATTTACACTATACATATTCTGGAGTTTACGCTAAATTACTCTTCTATATTAAATTACAAATCCTCATGAGGAAATGTCTCTTCGTTCCTTTGGAAGTTAAATTTAATATAGTCATAGTAAAGTTTATTCTCAAGACTTTTAGCAATATCTAATAAATATGTCTAAGTAAGAACATGCATTATTTTTATATCATCAAACTCAAGGACAATATCACTGGGGCAACTTTATAGCATTTTAAAAATTAAATACATATAATTCTTTTGTTGAAGTTGCCTAGGAACACATTGTATTTGAAAATGCTTCCAAGAATCACAGTAAGGTGGAAGGAGTAGATTGGAGCCAAGAGAAGATTTTACTTTACAAATACAGTTTACACTAAACTCCTTTCAAAAAATACAACTGGAGTTGTGGTGGTAAGTTTGCTTCTGAGTTAGATAGAAAATGTCTACCTCTTAATTAGTCATATTTGTTAAAATATAAAAAATTGTCACATCTTCTCTCACATGATTTGGTTGCTAGACTACATAGTTAATGATGTGTAATTTATGAATGTGTAACTACTCCCTTCATAACCCGAGGAAACATTTTAGTTGCCTTATTCCTCCTAATAATTTAGCTTCAATTTTGAAAGTGCTTCCAGTTTATGAATCAAAAAAGGGTTATGAATAAAATAATCTTTGTGATATCATTTTGCTTTCTGAGTAAGGAAATATTGGGGTCTGGGAACAGCAAAAGCAAAATAATACCCAGCGTTAGGGAAGGCATGAAGAAGGCAAGTTGTGCTATTCAAAAGTGGGCTGTTTTGGCTTTTTGCAAAATATAAATGTGTTCTGTTCTTTCTTATTACTTTTTTCCATGGGTCTAAGCTTATTATTTTATCACAATTCACTAAACACCACTTCAATTGGTTTATATTTTGTATAAAGTACCATATTAACTAGTATGCCAATTACAGGTATAAAATGCAATCTGAATGTGACCTTAATGTAATTCAAGAATTGCATAATCATATAATTAGAGTTCTGATTGGTTTTATTTGAACAGGCAGCGATCTGCATCTCAAAGACGTAGGAAGCACAAGGCATTCCTGCAGCAAATATATTATTGCCTGTGTTTTATGTCTCCATAATATGTGACAACTTATATTTGTTCTACATATTTATCTAAAATGGCAGTTCAACAAATACTGTGGATAAAATAACCCAAAACATCAAACTTCTTTATATTACAGGTTGAACATTCCTAATCTGGAAATTCAAAATCTGAAACACTCCAAAATCCAAAACTTTTTTGGTGCTGACATGATGCCATAAGTGAAAAATTCCATGAAGACCTCATGTCATATTCCTGGTCAAAATTTTGCTTCATGCATAAACTTATTTAAAATATCTCATAAAATTACTTCATGCTATGTGTATGAGATATATATAAAAAATAAATGTTATGTTTCGATTTGGCTACCATCTCCAAGCTATCTCATTATGTATATACAAATATTTAAAATTCACCAAAAAAATCTAAAATCTGAAACACTTCTGGTCCCAAGCATTTCAGATAAGGCATATTCAAACTTTATATCAATATGCTAGATATTCTCTGGGTAGAAGTCTCCTGCTCCTCTGAAGTCACTTGAGATAGGTTCAAACCTCCAATTCCATGATATGTGGAAACATAAGCCTTTTTTCCAAGTGTTGCATGAATTTACTGGGGCTTCTGTGGTTATGGTTTCTCTATCCTTGAGCTCAGGTTTCTGTACATGCTGTGTTTCACCCCACCCAACTTACCACCATTCACAAGACTTACAGGGAAATATCCTACAAGAAAACACTCATAACTAAAGTAGTTCCATAGAAGATTGATTGGGAAGGATATTATAATGAGGTGCTGAAGTTGGAGGAGGTAAGGCTGAAGTAATAGAAATAACTAGAAAGGAGACAGTTGCTGTTGGATGCTTCTTAAAAGCCTCCTGTTGCACACCGTCTCTCTGGTTCTTCTGACTTTCTTGCTGTTCTGTATTTGTCTCCATACATTTATCTCTCAAGAGCTGAACAAATTCCTTTCCGTGTCTCCTAGAGAAAAATTTAGTCACAATTGTTTGTTTCTTGGTTTTTCCTGATCCTAATGTCTATAGTACCTAACCTCTGCAGAAAGTAGCTTAGCACAGTAGTTACCCAAAGACATTTTTTTTTCCTTAGGTAAGTTCTTATTTTGTCTTGTCCATGTGACTTTTGTGAAGGAAATGTTCTCATGTGAATGAAGCAGAAATGGTTTACTTGCAATAGCTGAGGTTTACGTTCCCAAGTTAGGACTGCAGGGGGTGTCCTGAGGCTGATGTGTGTACCCAGCTCTTCACAGTGATGGCCATATCAGTTGCCACATTCACTCTATGATACAGCTACCTCTGCAAAAGTAGAACAGCGTTTTCATAGGCAGGGACATATTTCTCTAGTTTCAAAGGAACAGATTTACTACTTCCAACTTTATAAGAAAAGTGAGTCTTTTCCTTTAGTTTAAGAAGTGACAAATATAACCTCCAAAAGCACTGAAAAAGAAAGAAGTGACAATTGTGTTACTGGTTTTTGCGGTATTAGCAAAACCCGACATTTTTTATATAATAAATTACTGAATTTGTACTGCTGTACCTTCATAATAAAATTACATTTATTATACAATAATTTATAAGTTATAATATATATTATCAAGTCAGAGGGTAGCTTCTTGTCATATTTTTGCAGAAATATTATCTGTAAAAGACCTTATTTCCAGAACAGGGTCATTAATCCAGAATATCTGAATAGTTGTCTTAGAAATGCCTCAGGAGTTACAACAAAGAAACCAAAAGTAATTAAAAACATTTTATATCTTGGCAGGTGAACAGGGCCAAAATGGAACTGAAAAATTAAAATTAACCCAATGGTGGTTGAGATTTTGCTTTCTATTTCATCCTCAATCCATCCACTTTCTGTGAATACACCAGCTCACACACACATAACCATTTTTGAAAGATAATACAGAAATATTTATTTTTGCAAATAATATGAGCTGAGTCCACAAAATGCCCAGACATTATCATAGGCCTGACATGCTTATACTTTAGACATGTCTCCATATCTAAGAATTGTTTTACACTGTTGCTTAGCAACAATCTGGTCATTTAATTCAAAAGCTATTTCTAAACTACAAAGCCTTTTGTGAAAAAGAAATCAAATAATCTGATTTTTTTGTGTGTATAGAAAAAATGCAGAGAAGGTCTTATATTTTGCATAAAGGGACTATAGTCTTAAATCTGGAAAATAACACTGACTGAATTATTTGTTATAATTTTTAAGTCTTTGTATTTAAAATATTAAAAATAATGAAGTCAAGTGTACTTTGCTCTGCTTATTCAGTTGCTGGTTAATGTGACATCCAATTTATATCCTAAGTTAAATGTGTCTGGGAGCTAATCTTTTAAGGAAAGCCAGTTGAAAATGTGGTCCTTTGGGTTTTGTTTGTTTTGTTTTGCCTGAAGAAGAAAAGATTAAGGAGGTACTTAATATTTAAAACACATAAACATGTATTATAACCATAGTACTTATGCATCTATTATAGAAACTTGCTACATTCTACCTGGTATTAGAGTTTTCTACATATTTTATCTCCCACACTATTGACTGTACTCTATAATCAGCTATCCTTTCTTATTTCAGTTTTCTATAATCTATTATTGTCTTGTATAAAACAGGCAC
The DNA here is from genome assembly GCF_000001405.40 of Homo sapiens. NCBI lineage: Eukaryota > Metazoa > Chordata > Mammalia > Primates > Hominidae > Homo > Homo sapiens. The sequence continues at coordinate 81,991,245 of NC_000012.12, read as the reverse complement.
TTCATAAATATATATCAAGTTTAATATATTAATAATAGTTATAATAATAATAACAATGACATTTTTGACCAGTTATCTATGTGCCATGCATTTTACTAATGATCTATTTTAATGGTAAGAACAATTATGGCTATTTTTTCTGCTTCTATCAAGGACAGAGAAGAAGAAAATCTTAAATTATAGCTACTGTAGAGGTTGGGAAACACTAAAATAGGTGACCAAGAACTTGCATTCTTTCACATTGTGATAATAAGGTAAAGTTAAATGCTTATATTTTTGGATACTAATGGGTTTCCATAATTGTTTTTCACAAACTTAGATCTCAGGCCACATCAGGAATAATAATTTATATCATAGTGCAGTGGATATTTGTTGATTTGACCTGTGTCAAATTTTGTGTCACTGTTTTTGCTGTTTTCTTTTTAACCTACGAAGTCTTGTCTCCATTCTCATTTTGTGTAGTTTCAGTGGGACAATCCCAGCCCCCAACTTGAGAAAGAGTAACATAAGCCAGGCCTTGTCTATGACAGTGGCCTTCCCTTTGGCTATGGTAATCGAGTTAGCACTGTATAGTACATGCCCCCACAAAGGAAACAATTGGTAGCACCATTGTAACTGGGGAAAAAGGTGTGATCTTTTTATTGGGATTGCTGAGCTGGTTGAACTAAAGTCTAGAGTTACTTTTGGTCACTATTTCTTCAGCAATGTCTTTCTGAAAATGAATCTAGGGCAGAAGAAACATTGCCAAGGCAAACATCACAGAATAATTGTTGCGGTTGTGAAAGGAAAATAAAAACATGGGAAACAATTCACTATGTCTAAAGGAAAAAATTAAGCTGAAAACTGAGTCACACAAAAACTGCTTTTCCTTTTGTTGCTAAGCAGATAGCTACAGGTTAAAGGTTAAATCTCTCCACAGGTAACTACTCTATGTTCACCCTATCTTATGTAAAGTGCCAATTTACTAAGTACTAGAGGAATATGTAATTGATTATTCCCCTGCCTGCTCCCTTTCTATTGCACTTGTGGATTACCATACACTCCCTCCTTCCCCTCCAGCCCACTTTTCCCCCTTTAAATATTGAACTTCTCAAATTCATCTTTGGAGAAAGTCACAGACCACAGACAGTTTCTGTGATTTTATGTTCTTTTCTTCCAGGCATGTCTTTAACCTTGGCAAAATAAACTTCTAAATTGATTGAGTCCCATCTCAGATACTTTTTGGTTTACACTGTCAATATTCACCAATCGATGTTAAAATCATTGAGTGAAAGTTTGAAGAGAAAAATGATATTAACATAGTCTCAAAGTGTCTCCCTTTAGTTATCTATCAATTGCAAAGGGGAAAATGTTAATTTTACAATGGAAAAACCTGGTAGAGAAACCTTAACCAAGTAATCAAGGTTAACATCGACAGGAATAATATATATTGGCACTGTGTTCCCCCAATAATATGTACTTATAGGGGAAAAATAATTCTGTTATTCATGCCAAAAGTGCAAAACCTCAATCTAATCATAAAGAAACATCAGACAAAGACAAATTCAGGCACATCTACAGAATAATGGACCAGTACTTATAAAAAGTACCAAGATAATGAAAGGTAAGAAAAGACGGTGGAATTGTCCCAAATAGAAAGAGACTAAAAAGACACAGCATTAAATGCAATGTGGCAGCCTTGATTGGATCTTAGAAAAGAAAAAAAGACTTTCAGGGAAAAAAACTACCTGATGAAATTCAAATAAGATCTGTAGTTTAATAGTCGTGTTGTAACAATGTTAATTTCCTGGTTTTAAAATTATGGCTATCTAAATTTTTAACAGTAGAGAAAACTAAGGAAAGAATATGTGTGAACTCTTTGTAATATATTCCTGATACAGTTTGGCTGTGTCCCCACCCAAATCTCACCTTAAATTGTAATAATCCCCACATGTCAACGGTGGGGCCCGTTGGAGATAATTGAATCATGGGGTGGGGGGTTTCCCCCATACTGTTCTCCCAGTAGTGAATAAATCTCATGAGATTTGATGGTTTTATAAATGGGAGTTCCCTTGCATACACTCTTTTGTCTGCCACCATGTAAGACGTGACCTTGCTCCTCCTTTGTCTTCCAACATGATTGTGAGGGCTCCTTAGACATGTGGAACTGTGAGTCCATTAAACCACTTTTTCTTTATAAACCACCCAGTCTCGGGTATGCTTTTATTAGTAGTGTGAGAATGGACTAATATAATTCCCAATGTTCTTATAACTTCTAAATGTATTTTAAAATAAAAAGTTAAAGAAACTGAGTCAAGAGATTAACAAAAATAGACTCCTGGTAATTGTATGTACCTCTGTCCAGCCATATTTGAACACAAACCTACCACTATACTTTTCAGGTACATGGGTCAAAAAATTATGTAATCATTTTAATTGGGTTTCTTCTCACTTCCATGCAAAAGAGATATGACTAATATATATTTCTTTTTTTCTCTGGTGAATTTACTGTGGCCTGTGTAGAAAATACCTCATTACCAATGAGGTGCTTCACATAAGGGAATTTTCCAGATAACTTCTATACTCAAGGCAATAATTTTTTCAGTTTAATAATCTTGCATGGAGGCTTTTCTATAATGTACTTTTCACTTTCCTGGCTTTGCTGTGGAGTACACAGAAAATGATTTTTTATTCATTCAATGACTTTGAGTCATCACTCTGAACATAAATCATCTTATATAATAATAGCATGTGATGGCATCATGATCGATTGAGGTGTGGAATTGTATGTTTCTCTTCTACATTAATTGGCCTCTGCTAAGGTTTTTTGTCTATATTTATAATTTTTGTGACTGTTTCTCAGCTTATATGGTTTTATACACATTTTTCTGCTCTTAAACTATATTTAGCAGATCTTCCCCCTGTAGAACTTGCTGCTACGTATCTGCCTTAGAGAACACGATCTTAATAAAATCATCTAAAATAATAGTCGTGCTCTGAATGAAGATCTCTCATATAATCAAAGTTCCTGTATTTTGTGCTGTTGATTTTGGCCAAAGAGGTTGGTTGGTTTTGTTTTCTTCATACTAATAAGTATGGACTATGATCTAGAAGGGTGAATTTAGTTAATGTATGACCTTGGAATATGAGAGTATAGTTCTATTAGAAACTAAGGTTTGTAGTTTACATTATTATTAACATTTTTAAGCATTTTTTTCTCAATAAGTCATCAGTATACTGTTCACTATGATACCTTTTCCAAAATGACCTATGAAAAATGAACATCACATATAACAAGAACTAAAGGTAGTTCCCTTGGACAGATTAAATGTTTCTCCATGTGCCAGGGCCTGTGATTACTTTGATTAGTTCTTCCTGCTTATAGAACTATTCATGACATGTCTCTTATGACAGGTCTTTTGTCCTTGCTGATGTGAATTTAGAGGCTTTTCTTTTTCTTTCTTTCTTTTTTTGTATAAATTTATCCATTCCCTACAGCCAGCTTAAATGCCCATCCCTTTTTATCTCGGTCACCTTCAAAATTTGTCCCTTGCACATGTACTGAACTTGTAATTAATCTGAGCTGATTGCACTTTTCTTCACTGCCCATATGCATCTATTATTATCCATTCTTCTTTTTTTTTCCTTCCTTCAAGTCAGCACCAGCTATACTGTGCTGTCATTTCCTTGGCTTGGAATCAATTCTCTTTTGCTGCCAAGTGCCATAGATCCTATAAAGTGCTTCTGTTGCAGTAGTAATTTTGTTACCTAATATAAATGAAGAGCAAAACTTCAGAGCCGTTACTATAAATAGCATAGAGCTTCTCAAAAGTCTCCCACTGATTGTTCATCAGGCTGATTTAATCTCTACTAATAGTCTTAATTCATAAATTGACATTTTAGCAATCCATTCTGGATTTTTTCCCACCACAGTGCAAATTAATTTTTCTTATTGTATGTAGAGAAATAGCTCTTCATTGTTTGTTTGTTCATTTTAGAACATTTATATGTAAATATGTCTAATCCCAAACAGAAAAAAGGAATTAAAAAGAAAATCCAGGATTTCCCAGTATTTCTTATCTTTGTGAACTATTTGCCCCTTAACCTTTTGAACAGAATATAATTTGGAGGGCCTCCTTTGGTACATTTTGTCAATTAGGATCATCAGTTGGTAAGCAAATATATGGACCATTGACTATGCTTAGGGTGTAGTGTTTAGTAAAAGGGAAATGATGCACTGATGTAATGGAGACAATCCTGGGCTGGGAGCCAGAGAGGTGAGTTTTAGTTCCAACCATGCCAATATATTTCTGTGCACTCTTGTGAGTTTACTGTGGCTTGTCTAGAAAATTCTGTCTTCTGAACATAGCTAGGTATGACTATGTGAACTTAAGTTGCTTCCATCTCTAATAGTTTATGAGTCTAGAATACTGTGTTCCTTTAGAAATTCACAATTTGAGATGGAGAATGATGAGTTCTGTTGTCCGCAATTCCTATGAGAATTTGTTGTCTGCAATTCCTATGAGAATTTGAAGTAAAGGAACCATGTCTTATCCTGTGTATTGTCCCAACTTCCAGCATAGTCTGAAACAGTTGTTTCCCTCTAACACACAAATGACAGACGGCATTCATATTCAAGACATGTTCATAAGTCTCCATGATATTATGAACTGTTCCATGATGGTAACTTTCACCTTTTTTCTTTCATATTAAAATCCAATGATACTATTGAGTCTGCTTTTAAAAATGTATTAAAACATCTTTTTCAGATATTATTAAAACACAATATGTCTTTCACATATTTAAAGTGTAAAATTTAATGTGTTGACATATGTATATCGCTAAAGAATTATCACCACAATCAGGATAATGAACACATCTATCAACTCTAATTATTTCTCTGTGCTTCTTTATAATCTGTCTCATCTGCTCCTCCATCGTCTTTCTTCATCAATAAGCAAATACTGATCTTATTTCTCCCATTAGAGATTATTTTATGTCTTCTAGAAGTTGAAACAAATTGAATCAGTAAACAAGAAGATATTAACACTATGGCAGGGGGTGGTCTGGCTTCTTAAGCTGCATAATTGTTTTTATATTCATCCACCTTTTGTGAGTTCATAACTTTTTACGAAAATAGACTTTGTTTTTTACAGTGGTTTTAGGTTCACAGGAGTATTAAGCAGAAGGTACAACAATGTTCCATATCCCCATCTGCCCTGACACATACATAGCCTCACCTATTATTAAGATCACCCATCAGAGTGGTACACTTATTACAACTGGTGAACTTACGTTGACATGTCATTATTACACAAGGTGTATAGTCTACTCTAGAGTTCGCTCTTGGTGCTATATATTTTATGGCTGTGGATCAATTTATGTTGATATGTATTCATTATTATGATACAGAGTAGTTTCACTGCCCTGAAAACCCTCTCTGCTCTATGTATCCCTCCCTTCCCACTAACTCCTGGTAACCAATGTTCTTTTTAGTGTCTCCATAGTTTGACTTCTATAGAATGTCATCTGGGCAGACAAGTCAATCTTAAGCCAAAAGAACAAAGCTGGAGGCATCACGCTACCTGACTTCAATTATACTACAAGGCTACAGTAACTAAAACAGCATGGTACTGATATCAAAACAGAGATATAGACCAATGGAACAGAACAGAGCCCTCAGAAATAATACCACACATCTACAGCTATCTGATCTTTGACAAACCTGACAAAAACAAAAAATGGGGAAAGGATTCCCTATTTAACAAATGGTGCTGGGAAAACTGGCTAGCCATATGTAGAAAGCTGAAACTGGATCCCTTCCTTACACCTTAAACAAAAATTAATTCAAGATGGATTAAAGACTTAAATGTTAGACCTAAAACCATAAAAACCCTAGAAGAAAATCTAGGCAATACCATTCAGGACATAGGCATGGGCAAGGACTTCATGTTTAAAACAGCAAAAGCAATGGCAACAAAAGCCAAAATTGACAAATGGGATCTAATTAAACTAAAGAGCTTCTACACAGCAAAAGAAACTACCATCAGAGTGAACAGGCAACCTACAGAATTGGAGAAAATTTTTGCAATCTACTCATCTGACAAAGGGCTAATAATCCAGAATCTACAAAGAACTCAAACAAATTTACAAGAAAAAAACAACCCCATCAACAAGTGGGCAAAGGATATGAAGAGACACTTCTCAAAAGAAGACATTTATGCAGCTAACAGACACGTGAAAAAATGCTCATCATCACTGGCCATCAGAGAAATGCAAATCAAAACCACAATGAGATACCATCTCACACCAGTTAGAATGGTGATCATTAAAAAGTCAGGAGACAACAGGTGCTGGAGAGGATGTGAAAAAATAGGAACACTTTTACACTGTTGGTGGACTGTAAACTAGTTCAACCATTGTGGAAGACAGTGTGGCGATTCCTCAGGGATCTGGAACCAGAAACGCCATTTGACCCAGCCATCCCATTACTGGGTATATACCCAAAGGATTACAAATCATGCTGCTATAAAGACACATGCACACGTATGTTTATTGCGGCACTATTCACAATAGCAAAGACTTGCAACCAGCCCAGATGTCCATCAATGATAGACCGGATTAAGAAAATGTGGCACATATACACCATGAAATACTATGCAGCCATAAAAAATGATGAGTTCATGTCCTTTGCAGGGACATGGATGAAGCTGCAAACCATCATTCTCAGCAAACTATTGCAAGGACAAAAAACCAAACACTGCATGTTCTCATTCATAGGTGCAAATTTAACAATGAGAACACTTGGACACAGGAAGGGGAACATCACACACTGGGGCCTGTTGTGGGGTGGGGGGAGGGGGGAGGGATAGCATTAGGAGATATACCTAATGTAAATGACGAGTTAATGGGTGCAGCACACCAACATGGCACATGTGTACATATGTAACAAACATGCACATTGTGCATATGTACCCTAGAACTTAAAGTATAATATATATATGTATATATATATATGAATATCATCTACGCAGATTCAGACAGTATGTAGTCTTTTCATATTGGCTTCTTTCACTTAGTAATAGGCACTTAAATTTATGCCATGTCTTTTCATGGCTTGGTATTTTACTTCTTTTTAGCACTAAAAATATACCATTGTCTAGATGTAACATTTTGTTTATCCATTTACCTACTGAAGGACATTTTATTTGCTTCCAGGTTTTGGCAACTATGAATAAAGCAGCTATAAATAGTTGTGTGTAGATTTTATGTAAATAAGTTTTCAGCTGTTTTGGGTAAATACAAAAGGGTGATTGCTGGATGGTTTGGTAAAAGTATGTTTAGTTTTGTAGAGAAACAACCAAACCATCTTCCAAAGTTTATTTTGGAACCATTTTTCTTTCCCACCAGAAATAAATAAGAGTTATGATTGCTCCACATCCTCACCAGCATTTGGTATTGTCAGTGTTCTGGATTTCTGCCATTTTAAAAGGTATATTGTGGTATTTCATTGTTGTTCTAATTTGCATTTTCTGATTATATATGATGTGGAGCATCTTTTCATATGCTTATCTTCCGTCTGCATATGTTCTTTAGTGAAGTTTCTGTTAAGGGCTTTGGACCATTTTTTAACCTGGTTGTCTGTTTTCTTATTTTTAGGTTTCAAGAATTCTTCATATATGTTAGATAACAGTCCTTTATCAGATATGTCTTTTGCAAATACGTTCTTCCTATCCGTGGCTTATCTTTTCATTCTCTCAAAAGTGTCTTGCTACTACTAATGAAGTGCTGCTTATCACCTTTTTTCTTTTATGGTTTATAACTTCAGCGTTGTATCTAAAAGTTTATCACCAAACACGTGGTCATTTAGATTTTCTCCAATGATCTCTTCTAGGAGTTTTTGGATTTTACATTTAGTTCTGTGATCCATTTGAGTTAATTGTTTTGTGTATAGATTCATTTTTTGTGTATGTATATTCAGTTGTTTATTGAAAAGGTTATATTTTCTCCATCGTGATGCATTTGCTCTTTTGTGAAAGATCAGTTGACTATTTGCATAAGTCTATTTCTGGGCTCTCTATTGTGCTTTGTTAATCTATTTGTCTATAATTTCACCAATATCACACTATCTTGATTACTGTGGTTTTATAATAAGGCTTAACGTCAGGTAATGTCAGTCCTCTAACTTTGTTCTTCTCCTTCAATATTGTGTGGCTATTCTGGGTCTTGTGTCTCTCCATATAAGCTTTAGAATCAGTTCATTGGTAGCCACAAAATAACTTCCTGGGAATTTGATTAGGATTGCATTGAATCTATAAATCAAGGAAAAACCAGGCAGCTTTACAGTATCTAATCTTTAAGTCCATGAATATGTAATATCTCTCTATTTAGTTCTTTGACTTTTTTCATTAGTGTTTTGTGATTATCTTCATATAGATCTTGTACATATTTTGTTAGATTTACATCTAACTCTTGCATTTTGAGGGGTGTTAATTAAATGGTTTGTGTTTTTAATTTCAAATTTCACATGTTATTGCTAATACAGCCATCAGTATTGGTGGGGGATTGGTTACAGAATTCCTTATGGATACCAAAATCCTTGAATATTTAAGTCTCATATAAAATGCTGTACTATTTGCATATAACCTGTGCATATCTTCTCATATACTTTAAATACTCTCAAGATTACTTATAATACCTAATACAACGAAAATGCTGTGTAAACAGTTGTTATATTTTTTAGAGAATAGTGACAAGGAAAAAAATCTGTACATGTTCAGTACAGACACAACAATCCATTTTCTTCAAGTATTTTTGTCTATAATTGGTTAAACCCATAGATGTGGAACTAGCAGATGCAGAAGGCTGACTCTGTATAGGAAAGTGATTAATCTTTTTGTATTCTGCAAACATGCTATAATTAATTTTTAGTTCCCGAAGGTTTTTTTTTATTTAAGCTTTTGGATTTTCTACATGGACAATTATATCATCTGTGAATAAAAACTGTTTTATTTTTTTCCTTCCCAATCTGTATACATTTATTTCCTTTTCTTGTCTTATTATTTTGGCTAGAACTTAGAGTACAATGTTGAAAAGCAGTGGAAGCATGTAGTGCTTACAGTACGATGTTGAAAAGCAAGGATAGGAAATATCCTTTTCTTGTTCCTAATCTTAGTGGGAAAGCTTTGAGTTTCTTAACATTAAATATAATGTGGGGCTTTTGTAGATGTATGATAGATCTCCATAATTTATTCATCATACCTCAATGAAACTTTGTATTCTTTGATCAACATCTCCCTATTTCCCTTCAAACCCTAGCTCCTGACAACCACCATTATACTCCCTGCTTCTAATGGTTCAAGTTTTTTAGATTTCACACAGAAGTGAGATCATTAAATATTTATCTTCCTGTACCTAGCTTATTTCACTTAGCATAATGTCCTTCCGGTCCATCCCTGTGTCACAAATTACAGGATTTCCTTATTTTTCAAATCTGATTAGTATTCCATTGTTTATATATGCCACATTTTATCTCTTCATCTATCAGTGAACACTTAGGCCAATTCCATTATATTGTCTGTTGTGAACAATGCTGCAATGAACATGGAAGTGTAGATAGCTCTTTGAAATACTGATATCATATCCTTTAAATGTATATATCCAGAAGTGGAATTGCTGGATCATCTGGTAGTTCTATGGCTAGTTGAGGAAACTTCGTACTGTTTTCCATAATGGCTGTACTAATTTACACTTCATCAACAGTGTACAAGGGTTCCCTTTTCTCTCTATCCTTCTTATCTCTTGCCTTTTTATAGCATTCATTCTAAAAGGTGTGAAGTGATATCTCACTGTGGTTTTTATTTGCATTTTCCTGATGATTAGTAATGTTGGGCATTTTTTCCTACACCTGCTGGCCAATTGTGTATCTTGTTTTGAGAAATGTGTGTTTAGGTGTGTTGCCCATTTAAAAAAAGTCAAGTTTAATTTGCTTTATTGCTATTAAGTTGTTTGAGTTCTTTACATATTTTGGAAATCACCCCCTTATCAGATGTATGGTTTGCATATATTTTTTCCCACTCATGTGTTGTCTTTTTGCTCTGTTAATTGTTTTATTTGTGGTGCAGAAGCTTTGTAGTTTGATGTAATGCCATTTGTCTATTTTTGTTTCATTGCCTATTCTCTTGAGGTCATAGCTGAAAAAATTATTGCCCAGATCAAGGTCAAGAAGCTTTCCTCTGTTTTTTTTTTTCCTAGCATTTTTACAATTTCAGGTCTTAATATTTAAGTCTTTAATCCATGTTAAGTTGTGTAGGTAGGGTGAGATAAGGTTTCAATTTTATTCTTCTTTATGTGGATGTATTAGTTTATTCTTACACTGCTATTAAAAAACTTCCTGAAGCTAGGTAATTTTAAGGGAAAGAGGTTTAATTGACTCACAGTTCAGTATGCCTGGGGAGGCCTCAGGAAACTTACAATCATGGCAGAAAGCAAAGGGGAAGCAAGGCACCCTCTTCACAAGGTGACAGGAAGGAGAATGAATGAAGGAGAATCTACCAAACACATAAAACCATCAGATGTCATGAGAACTTACTCACTATTATGAGAACAGCATGGGGGAAACCACCCCAATGATCCAATTACCTCCACCTGATCTCTCCCTTGACATGTGGGGATTATGGGTATTATAATTCAGTATGAGATTTGGGTTGGGACACAAAGCCTAAACATATGAGGGGATATCTAGTTTTTCCAGATCAATTAATTGAAAGTATTATCCTTTCCCCATTGGGTGTTCTTTTATCAAAGATCAATTGACTGTAAATACTTTTTATGAAATGATTTTTATATAGCAATTACTATGTTCCTTGCCTTCATGTTTATTACTCACAAAGTATAGATAATGGTTTCCAAGACAGAATGGTTTATTCCAAAATAACATTCAGTCCCAGATTGTGAAAGACAGAGAAATAAAAAAGTCATGACATACAGATTCTTTGCCCATTCATAGAAGTAAAATTCCTGATCATGATAATGGGAAGCATGGATTTGGAAAATCAAACTAAATTCCTTTATGGTTAATTTGTATCTTTCTATTTCTTCCATATTTGGTGTTAGAATCTTCAGTATGCTCCAATTAAATAGAATTTTAAATGAAAATGTTCTTTAAAATGTAATATAATATGTGATATAATTTGGATATTTATCCCCACCCAAATCTCATGGTGAAATGCAACCTCCACTGTTGGAGGTGGGGCTTGGTGAAAGGTGTTTGAATCTTGGGGGCACATCCCTCAGGAATGGCTTGAACCATGCTCTTGGTGATAAGTGAGTCTCTCTCTGAGTTCACATGAGATCTAGTGGTTTAAATTAGTGTGGCATCTCCCACCCCACCGTCTCTCTCTTTCTCCTGCTTTTGCCATGTGATGTTCCTACTCTCCTTTCATCTTGTGCCATGATTGGAAGCTTCCTGAAGCCTCCGCAAAAGCAGATGCTGCTATGCTTCCTGTATAGCCTGCAGAACCATGAGCCAATTAAACTTTTTTTCTTATAAATTACATAGTCTCAGGCAGTTCCTTACAGAAATGTGAGGATTGCCTAATATAATACATAGTCCTTGAATATGTAGTATTCATTATCTTTACATTATATAATAGAAGTTAATTTAATCTAAGTGTTTTCTAATACCTATATCAAATCTGACCATTAAGGAAATAGTAAATTGGAGGGGTGTGACAAAGAAAGAAGTAATTTTTTGATATATTGAATACATTGAAAATAAGTGAATAAAAACACAATAGTTTACTAAGTAGTAGGAAGATATGGCACAGAACTTATGACAAATACTAGAAGCCCAACAATATCTCTTCATTACCTCATTCTTTAATATTCAAGCTTACAGGTTCTAGCTGGCCATGTGGTTGTATATACAGGCTACATTCCCAGCTTTCTCTGCAGTTGATGTAGCTGTGTGACTAAGTGCTGGCCAATAATCAGTTTGGACTGTTATAACACATTATCATAGACTGGAAGGCTTAAACAACAGAAAAGTATTTCTCAGGTTCTAGGGTCTGGGAAGTCCAAGATCAAGGCACGCACGTATCCAGTGTTTGGTGAGATCAACTGTGCAAACCACACAGAGTTTAGTTTGCAGAAGAATCCTTGGAAATAATAGGTGATTTAGTTTTGTTCCAGCTACGAATGTAAAATCTCGATTTTTGTTTTATGTGTGATTAAAAGACATTGCAGGACTTGAGCAGAGAAGTGTCATGATCTGACTCACGTTTTGAACAGATGGCTCAGAATGCCATTTAAAACCAATTACAGAGTGGAACATGAGTGGAAACATGGGAAACCATTAGAAGATGATTATAGTAGTGCTATTTAGAGATCATATTGGCTGCAATGGGGTAGTAAAGGTGGAGGTGGTCAGAAATAAGATTTGTGATATATTTTAAATAGAGGTTGATAAAACTTGCTAATTGATTGAGATCTAGTTTTAGGATATAATTAAAAGAGAAGAATGGAGGATTACTTCTAGTTTTCTGACCAAACCTGCTTAGTGAATGATACCATCATTTTCTGATATGGAAAATTCAGGGTCAGGAGATTCCATGGGTAATCAAGAATGCTGTCTGGAACATGTTAAATTTGAAATGCCTCGCTGGCAGCCAAGTAGAGTTGTCCTGTAAGGGTGTAGATTTGTGTAAAAGATTGGGACTGGAGACTTAGATGTTGGAGTTATCAGTGTAATGGATGGTATTTACACTTATCCCATATACTTTCTCATCTCTGACATTTGTTAAATGTTTTCCCTTTTTGAGTAGTGATTCCTTATGTTGTTTTGTGCACTTTGACTGATTGTATATGTTGCTCCTATTAGTGGTCTATTTTGGTTTACATACTTTGGTAATTCAGTCTTCAAATGTTGTGGTAACACCATCTGGAGTCCCTGAGTTTGCAGTGCTGTGATGTGTCACATATACATTGTGTCTGGAGCAGAGGAGAATTTGTTGTTGTATCTCTTTAGAAACATTGCACACAAGATATATGATTAGGCTCTAATTGGATTAAGTATGTAGAGAATGCACTTTTCTTATACTGGCTGACTGTAAGGACCATGAATTGAAAAACATGAAAGTTCATTTACCTGGTTGCCCTGCAATCAACATAATTGTAGCAGCCTGCTTCTTAAATAACTGGATGGTCTTGACGTCAAATTATGCTTAATAGGAGAAGGTAGTGGGAATAGAATTAGGAGTCAATACTCTTAAATTCCAACACTCTTTCTTCCTCATTTTTGACCCTTCATATTCGTCTCTTTTTTTCTCAAAGTATTTTGGTCACATCTCCCTTTGGCACCTATATTTTGTCTATATGATTGTTTTGTGGGATATATTTTATTGTTTTTACTAGCTTTTGAACTTGTTTAAGTTACACTATCACCTTGTTTTTTTAAAATGCAGTGTGCCTATAGCAATGATTTATGTAAAATAGATGTAAGAAAATGTTTCTTCACATCTCAAATCAATTTATCAATGATATTTGCTTTTGTATTTGTTGGTATTGTCAGATAATTTCTTAAGGCTACCAAATGATCTAAATCTAAATAAGATGATACTGTCTTTTGCAAAGTAGTAGTCAGGATCAAATGAAGGACATAAATTCTTGATATCAATATTAGGACACCTTAAACATCAATTTATAATGCCATAACTTTAAAGGATTTTAAAAGTGAGTTCCAGAATGATTGAGGCTATAATAAGTGTTTTTACTGCTGTAACATTTGTTATTGGTCTTTAACTGACTTATCAATAAGTTTTTTCCTACATTTTATTTACTTTTGAGTTCCTTGATATTAAGTTCAAAATAAATATTTTTAAAATCCTTATTCCTTACATAATAAATTCAAGAATAAATTAAATAACAAAATTATTAAGCAAATAAAGATTTTTGTTTATATTACATAAGATCCAGCCCAAACTGCAGAAATTTGAGAAGCAAAATAAAGTATTATTAGATTGTAACTCACAGTATAAAATAAATGAGTTCATATTGACAAAAAATAATGATTAATAAATTCATAAGTGAGGAAGAGAAGACAAATCTTCCATGGCAAAGAATTGCAAATTAATTATGTAGAAACTTCAGTCTTAAGGGGGGACAACAACTCCCTACTCATTATGTATAGGCTGCACATGGGAGGTTTAATACCAAAGACTAAGGTATGAGAAAAGGAGGAAAAGAGTAACTTACAGTGGAAGCATCTAACAAGTGCAGTCTCAGCCACAAGATCAAGGTTAAGATGAATAGCCATAAATCATGTTGATAGCATATTTTCTTGTTATGATGTAATTAAAAATGGTATGTTATCACTGTGGTATTCCCCGCTAAAACCCACAATACCAGTAAAATCCCAAGAAAAATGCCAGACAAATTCCGATAGAAGAGCATCTTACAATGCATCTAACCAAAACTCCCTGAACTTATCAAGGTCATCAAAAATAAGGAATGTCTGAGAAACTGTCACAGCCAACAGGAGCCTAAGGAGATGTGACAATTAAATCTGTTGTGGTAACCTGTATAGAATCCTGGAATGGGAAATCTAAGAAAACCTGAATAACCTATGGACTTTAGTTAATAATAAGGTGTCAGTTTAGGTCTATTAATTATACCACATGGGCCATACTAACATAAGATGTTCATAATAAGGGAGACTGTAGACAGGGAAGATGTGGGGGCAGAACTTACGTGGGAAGTTCCTGTGCTGTCTAATTTCTCTGTAAATCTAAAATGATTCTTTAAAAATGAAATCTATTAGTAGTTGAGAACGGTGAATAGGAGTATGACTAGACAGAAGATAGTAGGGATGACAAGTTTTTTGGGGTACAGTCCAAGTTGGTCTGGTGTCTGGAATGAGACTGGGGCCTAATAAAAAGGAGCATCCATACAGAAGCTCAAATGGGCTGTACCCTGTAGCATTCTGAGGAAAGGCCTGAATTCTGAGAAGGGAAAGTGGTAGAAGTATTGTCCAGTCCTTTTTAAGTTGGTGGCTGAGCTTGGTAAGGTGAGTTTTTAAAAGACCATTAGTCCATTCTACCTTTCCTGAAGACTGAGGACCCTAAGGGATATAAAGGTTTCACTGAATACCAAGAGTCTGCTCTTGTTTACACTGCCGGTTTACACTGTTTCTCCAAGCCATCACAGCTGATATCTCCTGGTGCTATCCCCAAACTGCCACTCTTAACTCTTAAAGTAAATAAATCATCCTTGCTGGCAGGACTATGCTGAATCTCCTTAGGCACTCTCTAATTAGATGTCCTGGGTCTTCCCAATTCTTAGACCTTTAATACCTGTTTTTCTCCTTCTCTTATTCCATTTAGTTTTTCAATTCATACAAAACCGTATCCAGGCCATCACCAATAATTCTAAATGACAAATGTTTCTTCTAACAACCCCATATTATCGCCCCTTACCACAAAATCTTCCTTCAGCTTAATATCTCCGACTCTAGGTTCCCACACTGCCCCTAATCCCGCTTGAAGCAGCCCTGAGAAACATCGCCCATTCTCTCTCCATACCACCACCAAAAATTTTCGCCATCCCAAAACTTTACCACTATTTCATTTTATTTTTCTTATTAATATAAGAAGACAGGAATGTCAGGCCTCTGAGCCCAAGCTAAGCCATCATATCCCCTGTGACCTGCACGTACACATCCAGATGGCCGGTTCCTGCCTTAACCGATGACATTCCACCACAAAAGAAGTGAAAATGGCCTGTTCCTGCCTTAACTGATGACATTATCTTGTGAAATTCCTTCTCCTGGCTCATCCTGGCTCAAAAGCTCCCCTACTGAGCACCTTGTGACCTCCACTCCTGCCCGCCAGAGAACAACCCCCCTTTGACTGTAATTTTCCTTTACCTACCCAAATCTTATAAAACGGCCCCACGCCTATCTCCTTTTGCTGACTGTCTTTTCAGACTCAGCCCGCCTGCACCCAGGTGAAATAAACAGCCCTGTTGCTCACAAAAAAAAGAAAGAAAGAAAGAAAGAAATCTATTAATAATGGTAATCTTAGAAAGCAAAAGAGGAAGACAGGAAGTGAGGCAAAGAAATAGTAGCATAAAGTGGATTCAATGTCCTGTTACTTACTGGTCCTGAGATGTAGGTGTCTACATTCAAGAACCCAAGAGAAATCTCTAAGAGTTAAGAAGAGCCTCTAGCCAACACAGCTAGCAAGGAAAAAGAGACTGTAGTTTTACAGTCATATGGAACTGAAACTGGCAACATCTGAATAAGCCAGGAAATAGATTCTCCCCTAGAGTATATGGCAGGACAAGGAACACATCTCTGCTGACACCTTGATTTTAGCCCAGTAATACCAATTTCTGACCTACACACCTGTAGGGTGTAACACAATGTGTATTGTTTTCAGCCACTAGTTTGTGATAATTTGTTACAGCAGCAATAAAGATCTTCATGCTGAAAGTGGTTCCAAAAGAACAGATTCTTAAGCATGAATCTTCTGAATTAGTTCTTTAATCTAAATAGATTCTTAAGCATGAAACTTCTGAATTAGTTCTTTAATCTAATTAGACTGAAAGTAACTAAAGATTCAGTTTTCAGTGCTAAAAAGGACACCAGCACTTCATGGCATAATGTGGTAAAAGAAACATGCAAAATAATGCTATTGAATATCCCTAATCAAATATCTATAGAGGGTGAGGTTCTGTGTGATCATGTACTTAATTACTGCCTCAGAATGTTTTAGTCAATAAGAAGAAATTCTGCCTATGGACATCAGCTTCAGTCCACACCCATGAGTTTCAGCTTCTGTTAGATAGCCTGATCAATGGCTACTGGACTTGCTTAGTTGACTCCTTCAATGAGAAAATGGATTACTTACCATACATCTATGGAACCCTGACTGATGCAGTCATGATCAGGATTTTTTTCTATTATATTTGCATATTTACTTAAGAAATATAATAACCATTTTAACAAATTTAACAACTTGTACTATAATATATTGATTTTCATCAAAAACTATGTAGATTTTAACATTTTTCTTAATCATTTTCAGACTAAATTATATTACAGTTGGTTTCCTTAAGAATAGGTGTGATTTAACTAAAGTGAAAACATAAATTATGTTAAGAATTTTTGCATTTATATTCATCAGGGATATTGGTCTGTAGTTTTCTTTTTTTGTTATGTCCTGTCCTGGCTTTGGTATTAGGGTGATACTGGCTTCATAGAATGATTTAGGGAGGGTTCCCTCTTTCTCTGTCTTGTGAAATAGTGTCAGTATGATTGGTACCAATTCTTCTTTAAATCTCTGGTAGAATTCAGCTGTGAATCTGTCTTGTCTTGGACTTATTTTTTTGGTAATTTTTAAATTACAATTTTAATCTCTGTTTGTTATTGGTCTGTTCAGGCTTTCTAACTCTTCCTGATTTAAGCTAGGAGGATTGTATATTTCTAGGAATTTATCCATCTCCTCTTGGTTTTCTAGTTTATGTGCATAAAGGTGTTCACAGTAGCCTTTAATTATCATTTGTATTTCTGTGGTGTCAGTTGTAATATCTTCCATTTCATTTCTAATTGAGCTTATTTGGATCTTCTTCTTTTCTTGGTTAATCTTGCTAATGATCTTGCTAATGGTTACCACCTTTTTGTTTTATTTATCTTCTTTATTTTTTTTGTTTGTTTCAATTTTATTTAGTTCTGCTCTGATCTTGGTTACTTAATTTCTTCTGCTGGGCTTGCATTTGGTTTGTTCTTGTTTCTCTAGTTTCTTGTGGTGTGACCTTAGATTGTCTATTTGTGATCTTTCAGACTTTTTGATGAAGGCATTTAAGGTTATGAACTTTCCTCTTAACACCATCTTTGCTGTGTCCCAGAGGTTTTGATAGGTTGTGTCACTATTATTGTTCAGTACAAAGAACTTTTACATTTTCATCTTGATTTCATTGTTGACCCAATGATCATTCAGGAACAGGCTGTTTAATTTCCATGTGTTTGTATGGTTTTGAAGGTTCCTTTTGTAGTTGGTTTCCAATTTTCTTCCACTGAGATCTGAGAGAGTACTTGATATAATTTCAATTTTCTTAAATTTATTGAGACTTGTTTTGTGGCCTATCATATGGTCTATCTTGGAGAATATTCCATGTGCTGATGCATAGAATGTATATTCTGTGATTGTTGGGTAGAATTTTCTGTAAATATCTATTAAGTCCATTTGTTCTAGGTTATACTTTAAGTCCATTGTTTCTTGTTGACTTTCTGTCTTGATGACCTGTCTAGTGCTGTCAGTGGAATATTGAAGTCCCCCACTATTATTGTGTTGCTGTCTATCTCATTTCTTATGTCTAGTAGTAATTGTTTTATAAATTTGGGAGTGCCAGTGATAAGTGCATATATATTGAGGATTGTGATATTTTGCTGTTGGACAAGGCCTTTTATCATTATATAATATTCTTCTTTGTCTTTTTAAGCTGCTGTTTCATTATAGGTTGTTTTGTCTGGTATAAGAATAGCTATTCCTGCTTGCTTTTGGTGTCCATTCGCATGGAATGTCTTTTTCTATCCTTTTACCTTAAGTTTATGTGAGTCCTTATGTGTTAGGTGAGTCTTTTGAAGGCAGCAGATAGTTGGTTGGTGAATTCTTATCCATTCTTCAATTCTGTATCTTTGAAGTGGAGCATTTAGGCCATTTAATTCAATGTTAGTATTTAGATATGAGGTCCTGTCCCACCCATTGTGCTGTTTGTTGCTTGAATACGTTGGGTTTTTAAAAAATTCGTTTAAATTCGTTTATTGTATTTTGATTGTAGAGGTCTGTGAGATTCATGCTTTAAAGAGGTTCTGTTGTAAAGTGTTTCCAGGATTTGTTTCAAGATGTAGAGCTCCTTTTAGCAGTTCTTGTAGTGCTTGCTTCATACTGTCAAATTCTCTCAGAATTTGTTTGTCTAAAAAAGACTGCATCTTTTCTTCATTTATGAAGCTTAGTTTCACTGACTACTAAATTCCTGGCTGATAATTGTTTTAAGGAGGCTGAAGGTATGGTTCATATCCCTTCTAGTTTGTGGCATTTCTGCTGAGATACCTGCTGTTAATCTTATAGGTTTTCCTTCATACATTACCTGGTGTTTTTGCCTCATGGGTCTTAAGTTTCTTTCCTTCATCTTGACTTTAGATAACCTGATGACTATGTGCCTGGGTGATTATCTTTTTACAATGAATTTCTCAGGTATTCTTTGACCTTCTTGTATTTGGATATCTAGATCTCTAGAAAGGCTGGGGAAGTTTTCCTCAATTATTCCCCCAAATATGTTTTCCAAGCTTTTAGATTTCTCTTCTTAGGAACAATTAAAAAAAAAAATTAAAAAAAAAAAAAATAAAATAAAAAAAAATTAAAAAAAAAATTATTCTTATGTTCAGTCATTTAACATACTCCCAAACTTCTTGGAGGCTTTGTTCATTTTTATTTATTCTTTTTTCTTTGTCTTTGTTGATGTGGGTTATTTTGAAAACTTGTCTTCGAGCTCTGAATTTCTTTCTTTGGCTTGTTCAATTCTATTGCTGAGACTTTCCAGTACATTTTGCATTTCTCTAAGTGTGTCCTTTGTTTCCTGAAGTTGTGATAGTTTTTTGTTTACGCTACCTATTTCACTGAAGATTTCTCCCCTCATATCTTGTACCATTTTTTTTTTATTTCCTTAAGTTGGGCTTCACCTTTCTCTGGTGACTCCTTGATTAGCTGATAATCAACCTTCTGAATTCTTTTACTGGCAATTCAGGGATTACTTCTTGGTCTGGATCCATTGCTGGTGAGCTAGTGTGATTTGGGGATTTGTTAAATAATCTTGTTTTGTCATATTACCAGAATCGTTTTTCTGGTTTCTTCTCATTTTGGGTAGGCTATGTCATAGGGAAGATCTGGGGCTCAAGGCTGCTGTTCAGATTCTTTTGTCCCACAGGGTGCTACCTTGATGTAGTATGCTCCCCCTTTTCCTAGAGATGTGGCTTCCTGAGAGCTGAACTGTAGTGGTTCCTATTTCTCTTCTGGATCTAGCCACATGGCAGGGCTACCAGGCTCTGGGCTGGTACTTGGAGGGGAGGTTGTGCACAGAGTAATTTGATGTGAACCGTCTTCAGGTCTCTTAGCCATAGATATTAACAACATATCAAAAAGATAATGCACCATGATGAAGTGGGTTTCATACCAGGATGCAGGGATGGTTTAACATATGCAAGTCAATAAATGTGATATGCCACATAAACAGAATTAAAAACAAAAAGCACACGATCATCTCAATAGGTGCAGAAAACACGTTTGACAAAATCTAGCATCCATTAATGGTTAGAACCCCCAGCAAAACTGGCATAGAAGGGACATAGCTTAAGGTAATGTAAGCCATCTATGACAAACCCATAGCCAAAATAATACTGAACAGGGAAAAGTTGAAAGCATTCCCTCTGAGAACTGAAACAAGACAAGGATGCCTACTCTCATTTTTTTGAGACAGAGTCTCGCTCTGTCACCCAGGCACCAGGCTGGAGTGCAGTGGCGCAATCTCATCTCACTGCAAGCC
Organism: Homo sapiens; assembly: GCF_000001405.40. NCBI lineage: Eukaryota > Metazoa > Chordata > Mammalia > Primates > Hominidae > Homo > Homo sapiens. The sequence goes on along the minus strand of NC_000012.12, from coordinate 81,970,668 downwards.
CCACCTCCCGGGTTCATGCCATTCTCCTGCCTCAGCCTCCCAAGTAGCTGGGACTACAGGCATCCACCACCACGCCCAGCTAATTTTTTGTATTTTTAGTAGAGACGGGGTTTCACCGTGTTCGCCAGGATGGTCTTGATCTCCTGACCTCGTGATCCGCCTGCCTCGGCCTCCCAAAGTGCTGGGATTACAGGCGTGAGCCACCACACCCGGCCTCTCACCACTTCTAATCAACATAGTACTAGAAGTTCTAGCCATTGCAATTAGAGAAGAGAAAAAAATAAAGGGCATCCAAATAGATTAAGAGGAAGTCAAACTGTTGCTGTTTGCTGATGATAGGATTGTATACCTAGAAAACCCTAAAGACTCCTCCAAAAAGCTCCTAGAACTCATAAATGAATTCAGCAAAGTTTCAGGATACAAAATTAATGTACACAAATCAGTAGCTCTGCTAGACACCAACAGCAACCAACCTGAGAATCAAATCAATAACTCAACCCCTTTTACAATAGCTGCAAAAAACAAAAAACAAAAAACAAAAAAAAACTTGGGAATATACCTAACCCAGGAGGTGAAAGACCTCTACAAGGAAAACTACTAAACACTGTTGAAAGAAATCATAGATGACATAAACAAATGGAAACACATCCCATGCTCATGGATGGATAGAATCAATATTGTGAAAATGACCATACTCCCAAAAACAATCTACAAATTCAGTGCAATTCCCATCAAAATACTACAATCATTCGTCACAGAACTAGAAATAACAGTCCTAAATTTTTTTTGGAACCAAAAACAACCCACATAGTCAAAACAAGACTAAGCAAAAAGAACAAATCTGGAGGTATCACATTACCCAACTATGAACTATATTATAAGTACAATATACTATACTATACATAGTCACCAAAACAGCATGATACTGGTATAAAAATAGACACCTATACCAATAGAACAGAATAGAGAACTCAGAAATAAAGGCAAATAATTAAAGCCAACTGATCTTTGACAAAGCAAACAAAAACACAAAGTGGAGAAAGGACACCCTATTCAACAAATGGTGCTGGGGATAATCAGCAAGCCACAGTAGGAGAGTAAAACTGGACCCTCATCTCTTATACAAAAATCAACTCAAAATGGATTAAGAACTTACATCTAAGACCTGAAACTATAAAAATTCTAGAAGATAATATCCAAAAAATCCTTCTACATATTGGCTTAGGCAAAGACTTCATGACCAAGAGCCTAAAAGCAAATGCAACAAAAACAAAGATATATAGGTGGGACTTAATTAAACTAAAGAGCTTTGCACAGCAAAAGGAACAGCCAGCAGAGTAAATAGACAACCCACAGAGTGGGAGAAAATCTTCACAATCTACACATTTGACAAAGGATTAATATCCAGAATCTACAATGAACTCAGACAAATTAGCAAGAAAAAAAAATCCCTTCAAAAAGTGGGCTAAGGGCATGAGTAGACAATTCTCAAAAGAAGATATACAAATGACAAATGAACATATAAAAAATGCTCAACATCACCAATGATCAGCAGAATGCAAATCAAAAACACAATGTGATACCACCTTACTCCTGCAAGAATGGCCACAATCAAAAACAAAAAATAATAGATGTTTGTGTGGTTGTGGTGAAAAGGGAACACTTCTACACTGCTGGTGGGAATGTAAATAGTACAACTGATACAGGAGATAGAAATTATTTAGGCAGAGACTGAGGGTAAAAAAGTCCTTAGTGGAATTTCCCTTTTAACAAAAAAGTAGCTCCAGAATCATTTATTTTCTATCAAAGAGCAGTCTGAAAAATCGAGCTGCAAACGTAGATAAGCAAGCTGGAAGCTTGCACAGGTGAATGCCAGCAGCTGTGCTAACAGAAAAGAGCTACCTGATGGCCAGGCATGTTCGATATGGAGGCTCCATCTTCCCTTTTCTTTGTCACCACGTGCGCAGTAAAGGAATGGGCAACATCGTGCTTGTCAGGCAGAGAAGCCATCTGCATAATAAAAAATTAGGGTGGGGATGGCCAGCTTTTTGCACACTATGCAAATGGCATGCCTGGTCTGACCAATCTTTTGTACCCTATGTAAATCAGACACCGCCTCCTCAAGCATTTATAAAACCTGCATTTCACCCTGGAATTGGCAACCCATTTCTCTAGTACTTCTCTCTCTGCAGCAGAGAGAGCTTTTCTCTTTCTTTTGCCTATTAAACTTCTGCTCTGAGCCTCACTCTTTGTGTCTGCATCCTAGTTTTCCATGGTCATGAGACAATGAATCTTGGGTATTTACCCCAGACTATGGAAAACTGTGTGGAGATTCCTTAAAGAACTAAAAGTACAACTACCATTTGATCCAGCAATCCCACCACTGGGTATCTACTCAGAGGAAAATAAGTCATTACATGAAAAAGATACTTGCACATGCCTGTTTATAGCAGCACAATTTGCAATTGCAAAAATATGGAACCAGCCTGAATGCCTATCAATCAATGAGTGGATGAAAAAATTTTGGGATACACACACACACACACACACACACACACACACACACACACACACACGTACATATACACAATAGAATACTACTCAGCCATAAAAAGGAATGAATTAATGGCATTTGCAGCAACCTGGATGGAACTGGAGACTATTATTTGAAGTGAAGTAACTCAGGAATGGAAAACCAAACATCCTATGTTCTCACTCATAACTGAGAACTAAGCTATGAGGATGCAAAAACATAAGAATTATACAATGTGATTTGGGAACTCCAGGAAAAGGATGGGAGGGAGGTGAGGGACAAAAGACTACAAATTGGGTTCAGTGTATACTGCTCGGGTTATGGGAACACCAAAATCTCACAAATCACCACTGAAGAACCTGCTCATGTAACCAAATACCACCTGTTCCCCAAAAGCCTATAGAAATAAAAAATTAAAAAAACATAAATCAAATGTCTGACATGCCAAAAGGACTATGTTTGGCATTGGAGGAAATATTAATTATGTTATTTAGCCTAACAGTGAGTTTCTGTAGTGGTCAATTTAAAATCTAATGGATGTTCTACTAAAATGGTGAATAAGGTATCTGGCCTCATGATTATAAGTTATTGCCTGATTTCATATGTTGTGGTTATTCTCCCCCTAAAGAGTTTGCTAAAACATAGTTACACACACACACACATATAGGGACACAGACAAACACACATGCCACACACTTATAAATGAAAGTAATCATGGTTAAAAAGGACATTCTGATCTTCAGGATTTTTATAAATCTGTTATCTGACTATATTATTAGGCCTGGGAATTTCTACATGTCCCAAAGTCTGGAAATCTTCAGGTTGGGCTTTGATGGCTCTTTTAAGCCCTAGGTTAGCAAGTGGGACCTGTCGTAGCTTTTGACTTTGATTTTTCAGCAGTCTTACATGTTTCTTAAAGTTTGTGTTTCTGGTTTTGCAGTTGGTTTTTTTTACTATGAAGGCTGGGGAGTTTGTTTTGAATTTCGACTTTTATAAGGGCTGGGGAAATAGGCTTATGAGCGTGCCAGTTTACCCTGCTTTATGAAGGCTTTGTTACAGGCTTGTGGCAGTTTGTATATAGGTGAGTGACTTTTATGCAGGCAAGGGGATCTTTTTACATGTGTAGAACTGCAGCAGCAGCCTTAACAACTGCAGGCAGACAATACTGCAATACTGCCCTTAGCAATCTGGCACCACAGAAACAAGGACTCAATTATAGAAAAGAGAGTGGATCAGTTTTATATTGCTGTGTAACATATTTCTACAAGCTTAGTAGCAAAAAAAAAAATACAAATTTACTATCTTACAGTTTCCATGGGTCAATAGTCATGGCATAGATTGGCTGGATTTTCTGCTCAGTTCTCATACAGCTGAAATAAAACTGTTAGGAATCAAAGTGTTATCTGGGGCTGCATTCTTATCTTCAACTTGAGGACCTCTTGAAATTCATTTAATTTTCTGGCAGAATTCATTTTTTTGTAGCTGTAGAACTCATGACAAGTTCCATTTTCTTCTAGGCCAACAGGAGAGCATGTCTCTCATACTTCACTTTATTTTTTAAAATAAATGTTATTGTGTATATTTGAGATTTATAACATTATGTTATGGAATATGTAGAGAAAGTAAGGTGGTTACTATAGTAAAGTGGATTAACCTATCTATCGTCTCATATAACTACTGTTTTTAAATGACAAGAGAAGTTAAAATCTATTTATTTAACAAAAATCTCCAGTGAAATTGTTTTATTAACTTTAGTCCTCATTTTATACATTAGATCTGTAGATTTGTTTATCCTACATACCTGCTATTTTGTATCTTTCAATCTTCATCTCTCTATTTCTTTCCCCATGCCCAGCCTGTGGTAAAAACTTTCATTTTCTATCTACCTCTGTATCTCCATGTATTTGAGCTCATGTATATATTCCACATATAAGCGAGATTATGTGATATTTTTCTTTCTCTGTCTGGCTTACTTCACTTAGTATAATGTCCTCCAAGTACATTCATGTTGTGGCAAATGGCATAATCTCTTTCTTTTTAAAGGCTGTATAATATCCTGTTACACACAGACCCACTCAGACACACACACATACACACCATTTTTCTTTATTCATCTGTCAATGGGCATTTAGATTGTTTCTATATCCAGGCTATTGTGAATAATACAATGAACATGAAAATGCAGGTAGCTTTACAAGGTAGCGATTTCATCTTCTTTGGATATTTACCTAGAAGACAAGACTGCTGGGTCATATGGTAATTTTATTATTATTATTATTTTTAAAAACCTCTATACTGTTGTTCATAATGGCTGTACCATACTTCATCTTATTTTATTGTATTTAATTGTGTATTTACTTATTGTAATAAGAACATTTAGCATGAGATCTACCTACACAACAAATTTTTAAGTGCACAATACAGTATCATTAATTATAAGCGAAATGTTGGACAGTGTATCTCTAGAAATGATTCATCTTGCCTATATTAAACTATATACCTGTGAAACAGCAATTCCTCATTTTCCCTTTCCCCAACTCCTGGAAAAAAACACTCTACTCTCTGTTTCTGAGAGTACAACTATTTTAGGTACTTCATATGCATGGAACCTTGCAGTATTTGTCCTTCTGTGACTGACTTATTTCACTTAGCATAATGATCTCCAAGTTCATTCATGTTGCATGCTGTTGGGAAAAGTGAATACCCACAATGGAAAGAATGAAACTGAACCTTTTTCTTACACCATACCCCAAAATTAATTCAAAGTCGATTAAAGACTTAAATGTAAAACCTGAAACTATAAATCTCCTAGAAGAAAACTTTGGGAAAAATTTTATGGCATTTTTATTGGCAATGATTTAGATATGAACCCCAAAGCACAAGCAATAAAATAAAATTAGACAAGTGGGAATATATCAAACTAAAAAGCTTCTAACAGTAAAGGAAATACTCAGTAGAGTAAAAAGACAGCCTACACAATGGGTACGATGTTGGAAAACCATATATCTGGTAAGGGATTAATATCCAAAACATATAAGAATCTCCTATAACTCAACAGCAAGAACAAAATAACCAAACAAACAAAAAGCCCACACAACTAAACTAAAAAATAAACAAAGGGCTTCAATAGACAATTCTCCAAAGACATACAAATTACCAACAGATATATGAAAAAAATGTTCAACATCACTAAGTACCAGTACAATTCAAACCATAATGAAATATTACTTTACAACTGTTGAAATGACTATTAGTCAAAATCAAAAGATAACAAGTGTTGGTGAGGATGTGGAGAAATTGGAACCCTTGTATGCTATTCATGGGAATATAAAAATGGTACAGCCACTATTAAAAACACTATGGTGGCTTCTCAAAATATTGTATAAAAGAATTACCATATGCTCCAGCCATCTCACTTCTGGTTATATTGAAGTCAAGATCTTAAAGAGATATTAGTACTCTCTTCTTCATTGAACTATTATTTACTATTGCCAAGATAAAAAATCTAAGTGTCTATTGATAGGTAAATGGATACAGAAAATGTGCCATGAACATACAATAAAATATTATTCATTTTTTTTTTTTTTTTTTTTTTGAGACGGAGTCTCGTTCAGCTCCCAGGCTGGAGTGCAGTGGCGCAGTCTCGGCTCACAGCAACACCATCTCTCGGGTTCAGGCGATTCTCCTGTCTCAGCCTCCTGAGTAGCTGGGATTACAGGCACCTGCCATTATGCCTGGCTAATTTTTATTTTGTATTTTAGTAGAGATGGGTTTCACCATGTTGGCCAGGCTGGTCCTGACCTCCTGACCTCAGGTGATCTGCCCGCCTCGGCCTCCCAAAGTGCTGGGATTACAGGCATGAGCCACCGTGGCTGGCCTATTCATTCTTTAAAAAGGAAATTCTAGCACTTCATCTTATTTTAATTATTTACCTGATTAGCTCAGACCCACCTAGGATAATTTTCCTAATTTAAGCCAATTGAATAAAGATTTTAATTACATCTGCAAAATCTTTTCACAGCAACACATATATTAGTGTTTGAATAACTGGGAGAAGGTGTGTAAACCAGGGCCTAGAAATCTGAGGTGGAGGGCATCTTAGAATTCTGCCTACCTCAGGATTTCTTGAAAAGGTTTTTAGACATTAAGATGATTAATTATTCTTCACCTGCTTAAATTGTCTTTCTCAGCCAAATTTACACACTAAGGCTTAGGCTTTTATTCACAAAGATAATTTACTTCCAGATGGCACCAGAGAGCCATTTTAGATTAAAATTTAATTTTAGATTAATAGCCATTGTGACTGGTGTGAGATGGTATCTCATTGTGGTTTTGATTTGCATTTTTTTGATGATTAGTGATGATAAGCATTTTTTCATGTTTGCTGGACACTTTTGTATCTCCTTTTGAGAAGTGTCTGTTCGTGTCCTTTGCCAACTTTTTAATGGGGTTATTTGGTTTTTGTTTGGTGGTTTGTTTAAGTGACTTTTAGATTCTTAATATTAGACCTCTGTCTAATATTGCACAGATTGCAAATATTTACTGCCATTCTGTAAGGTTGTCTATTTACTTTTGATAAGTTCTTTTGCTGTGCAGAAGCGCTTTAGTTTAATTAAGTCCAACTTGTAAATTTTTGTTTCTGTTGCAATTGTTTTGGGGGACTTAGCCAAAAATTCCTTGCCAAGGTTGATGTTGAGAAGGGTATTTCCTAGGTTTTCTTCTTGGATTTTTATATTTTGAGGTCTTACATTTAAATATTTAATTTGTATATGGTGAAAGGTAGGGGTCCAGTTTCATTATTCTGCATATGGTTAGCTAGTTATCCCGGCACCACTTAATGACTAAGGAGTCCTTTTCCCACTGCTTGTATTTGTCGGCCATGTTGAAGATCAGATGGTTGCGGGTGTGCGACTTTATTTCTGAATTTTTGATTCTGTTCCATTGGTCTATGTGTCTGTTGTACAAGTAAAATGCTGTTTTCGTCACTGTAGCCTTTTAGTACAGTGAGAAGTTGGGTAGACTGATGCCTCCGGCTTTGTTCGTTTTGCTTACAATTGCTTTGGCTATTCAGGTTCTTTTTTGTTTCCATATGCATTTTAGAATATTTTTTTTTCTAATTCTGTAAAAAATGACTTTGATAGTTTGAGAGAAATAGTGTTAAATTTGTAAATTGCTTTTGGCAGTATGGTCATTTTAACAATATTGATTCTTCTAATCCATAAGCGTGGAATGATTTTCCATTTATTTGTGTTGTACCTGATTTCTTTCAGCAGTCAACTTCAACTCATCCTCTCAAATTGTATCTGGAATTGTAAATTAGAAATTTCTGAATGTAGCTTTACATATCCGAGCCTTAATGGGCCATTTCACTCACAAAGGAGGAGTAGGTATTATTAGTAAAAAACAGAAGGAAAGGAATAATCCATCTTTTGCAGTTGTGATAATGAAAAAACCACAATGACATCATTTTGAGTCCCAAAGCTTAGACATTGGTAGGTCTGATACAAACAAAATGGCAGAGTAGCCAGAAGCTTACCAGAGACAATCAGAGAAAAAGACAGCAAATAAAAGCCCTTCTATGATGTGGACAATTCTAGAGGAGGCCTGTGCCTGTGTAATAGGCTTACCCAGACAGAAACATGAAATCTACATGTGGGCGTATATTTAAAAACATCTCCCAAGACTCACACAAATCAACATGTCTGAAGCTTCACTGGCAAATGGGCGTAAACACAACCTCTGACTGAACATTGACAGAATAATGAGCTACTCTGACCCAGAGGTGACTCCTAACCAGTATTCTAAATAATATCATAGTCATTCCTGGCATTCTCAAAAAACATGTGCTTGCCCAAGACTGCACACTCTCGGGAGTTGCCAGAGAGAGACCCTCTAGGCTATTGTTCCTGGTTGAATATGCAGAGACATGTAAAATCCCTGAACTGTGCTAGCAATTTCCAAACCACAAACACACATTAATGGTAAAGAGTAAAAATCTAACTGGCTATAGAGATTTACATGTAACATTTGACAAATTAGTGGCTATACTGACCAGGGTGGCCAGGCTTAAAGAAAAAACAAGGGGGAATATGTGAGCAATGATATCAGAATCTTTTCCCTGTAAGGGAAACATACAGCATAGAACTATTTCAGTCAAGCAACTAAGCAAATTTTTAAACGACCAGATAAGAAATACAACTCCAGGAATTATCAGTATCCAGGGTTGGTAAAATAGATTATCTGAAATGTTCAGTTTTCAACAATATAATGCGACATACCAAGAAATAGGAAAGTGTGACTTATAAATAAGGAAAAAATTGGCTATAGAATATGTCTTTAAAGTGTCCCTGATAGTGGGCTTAGTAGACAAAAACTTCAAAGCAGCAATTACAAATACTTTCAAAGAACAGAAAGAAATCAAGCTTAAATAACTAAAGGAAGGTATGATGACAATATTTTATCAAGTATAGAATACCAATAAGGAGATAGATACTATTAAAAAAATAACCAAATTAAAATTCTATAGTTTAAAAGTAAAATAACTAAAATGAAAAATTCATTAGCAGAGTAGAAATGAGCTAGCAGAAGAAAAGAATAGTGAATTTGAAGACAGATCAATAGAGATCAGGCAATCTGGAACAGAGAGAATAAAGGATAAATAAAAATTAACAGAGTCTCAGAGAAATGTAGGACACCATTAAACACACCAACGTACATTTCATGGGACTAGCAATGGAGAAGAAAGCAAGGGACAAAATAAATAAGCAAGGAAATAAAAGTTGAAGATTTATTAAATTTGATGAAATATCTTCACGTACAGAGCCAAGAACCTCAGCAAACTCCAAGCACAATAAGTACAAAGAGAAAAACACCCAGACATATCACAGTCAAAATGCTTAAAGACAAGGAGAAAATCTTGAAAGGTGCAAGAGTAAAAGGAATCATTACATCAAGCTGGCAGCTTATCAGAAAGAAGGGCCCAGAAGGTAGTGGGATGACATATTCAAAAAGCTAAAAGTAAAAACAGTGAAAAATAAATTTATATCTAGCAAGACTATCTTTCAAAAATGAGGGTAAGATAAGACATTCCCAGGGAAACAAAAATTGAGAGAATTTGTTGCCAGTAAACTGCCTTAAAATAAATAGTAAAGGAACTTCTTCAGGTTGAAAGCAAGTGACAATAGACAGTAATTCAAAGCTACAAGAAAAACAAAGAATGCCCATAAAGGTAATTATGTAGCTAATTGAAAAATATAGCATAATTGCATGCTCTTGTCTCTTCTTCTTTTGACTGATTCAAAAAGCAATTGCATAATACAACAATTTGGCATGTAACACAAAGAAATGTCATGTATTTGACAATCAACGTTCAAAGGAACTGGGTGAAAACAAAGTTATATTGGAGTAAGCAAATGATACCAAGTGTTATCTTACACCACTAGACGGAATAAAAAGAAACAGCAAGGGTAAATAAGAATGTTAATATAACAAGCTCTATACATATATATTTGCTTCTATTTCTTTAGTTCTTTAAAAAATTAAGATAATATAAAGTAATAATTATAACAATGTATTGTTCAGTTTGTAAGCTTTATAGAAGTAGTATGTATGACAGTAATAGCACAAAATATAAGGAGGGAATGTAGCTATATAGGAATAAAGTTTCTATATTTTATGGGTATAAAATCAGTATAAATCTAAATTAGACTTTCATAAGTTAAGACATACATTGTAAGTCCTAGAAGAACCACTAATAAATATTTCAAAATATAATTTAAAATTTACTAAAAATTAAACTGCTACATTAAACATAAGCTGCTTAGTATAAAAAAAAGTAGAAAAAGAAAAAAGACATGTGACACATAGAAAACAAAAGGCAAAATGGCAGATATAATTCTAAACATATCAATAATATTAAATGCATGTGGGTTATACAATCTCACCAAAACCCAAGAACTTTTAAATTGGATTTTAAAGACTGTGATCCAATAATGCTTTGTCTGGAAGAGACATAGTTTGAAAGTAATAGGATGGAAGAAGATATATCACACAACTATAAATGAAAGGAAAGCAGGAGTAGCTATTTGATGCTTTTAAAAATATAAAAAAAAAAATGACAAAATTTTAGCTGAACTAACCAAGAATAAAAAACAAAGAGAAGTCTGAAATTACTAAAATCAAGAATGAAAAAGGAATGTTACTATTGTTGTATTGAAATAAAAAGATTATAAGGGAATGCTATTACAAACAACTATAAACCAACAAGATGAGTTGCATGAAACGAATTAATTTCTTGGAAGACACAAAGTACTGACTCTTACTCTAGAATAAATAGAAATTCCAGATAGGTCTATAATAAGCAAAAAATTGAATTGATCATTTTAAAACTTCCTGAAAGAAAAGCCAAGTACCATATGTTTTCCCTGGTGAAATCTATCAAACATTCAAAGAAAAACTACTATAAATACTTCACAAATTCTTTTAACAAATAGAAGAGCTGGAAACAGTTTCCAACTCATCCTATGAGGGCAATATTACTCTGATACTAAAACTAGAAGAAAAAAACTACAGCCTAGTATCGCTGATGAATATATTTGCAAAAATACTCATCAAAATACTAACAAACCAAATCCAATAACATATTAAAAGGATTATACAACATGAACAAGTAGGATTTATCCTAGGAACACAGGTTGATTTAACATCCAAAATTAATTAATGTAATAAGCCATTTTGACAGAATAAAAGACAAAATATTATACAGTTATTTCGAAAACATTTGATGTACTACAACTACATTTCATGATAAAACACTCATTTTTACCTAGTAAAGACCATCTACAAAAAATCCACAGTTAACCTCATACTTAATAGCGAAAGAATGAATATTTTCACCCTAAGATCAAGAACCAGACACAGATGTTCAACCTCATCACCTTGATTTAACATTGTATTGGAGTTTCCAGCCCAGGCATCTAGGCAAGAAGAGGGAATAAAAGGCATCTAAATTGGAAAGAAGGAGGTAAAACTATCTCTATTTGCAGATCATGTTATTTTATATACAGAAAATTGTAAGGATTACACTAAAAACCTGTGAAGGCTGAAAAATAAAAGATCAATTTCTAAAAATCAATTATTTCTATAGGTTAACAATGAAAATTATGCATTTGAAACTAAGAAAACATTTCCAACCATAATGACATAAAAAAAGAACAAAATATTTAAGTATAACAAAAGGGTGTATAAGATTTGTGCCCTAGAAAATACAGAACATTGCTTAAAGATATTAAAAAAAACCTTAAATAAATGGAAAGACGTCTCATGTTTATGGATTGAAAGATTAATAATGTTAAGATGGCCAATACTTCCTAAATTGGTGGAAATATTCAATGTAATCCCTGTCAAAATTCTTGCTGGCTTTTTAGAAGAAATTGACAAATTGAAGTTAAAATTCATGAGGAAATGCAAGAGACCCAGAATAGTCAAACGATCTTGGCTCATACTTCCTGATTTCAACCCTTACTGCAAAGCTACAGTAATCAAGACAGTGTGGTACTGGCATAATTACAAACATATGGTCAATTTATTTTTGACAAATGTACCAAGAAAATTAAATAGTGAAAAAATAGTCATTTCAACAAACACTGCTGGGGAAACTGAATGACCACATTCAAAGGAATAAAGTTGGAACCTTACCTCAAATCATATGCAAAACAAAAAACAAATAAACACAAAGAAACAAACAAACAAAAACATAAAAACTCAGAATGGATCATAGACTTAAATATAAGGGATTAAGCTATAAATTCCTGGGAAAAAATTTAGGAGTAAATCCTAATGATCATTGGTTAGGAAACTTTCTTAGATACTACACTGAAAACATAAGCAGGAAAAAAAACAAAATAAACCATATTATTTTAAAACTTTTGTGCTTCAAATTATATCCTCAAGGGAAAAAAAACCACAGAATGAGAGAACATATGTCTGATAAATAACTTGTATCCAGATATTTAAATGAATTTTACCATTCAATAAAGAAGACAGTAACTCAATGTTAAAATGGTCATAGGATTTGAATAGGTATTTTCTCTGAGAAGATATACATGTGACCAATAAGCATATGAAAAGTTGTTCTACATCATTAGTGAAAATCAAATCAAAACCACAATAAGATGCTATTAACCCTTACTGGATGGCTATAATAAAAAAGATGACAACAGCAACTTTAGCAAAGATATGGAGAAATTGGAACACTTACATGCTGCTGGTGGGAATGTAAGATGGTGCAATCACTATGAAAAACAGTCTGGCAGTTTCTCAAAAGTTAAACATAGTGTTATCATATGACCCACAATTCCATTCCAATGTATATATGCAAATGAAATGAAAATATATATCCATACAAAACCTTGTTTATGATTATTCATAACAATACTATTCATAGTGGCCCAAGAGTGGAAATAACCCAAATGTCTATCAACTGATGAATGTGTGTCAATACAATCTGGCATATCCATACAAGGGAATATTATTTGGCAATAAAAAGAAATGAAGTATTAATTCATGCTATGGCACAATTGCTCTTAAAAACATTATGCTAAGTTAAAGAATCTAATCACAAAAGAACATATTTGTATTAAATGGCCAGAATAATGAAATATATTAGTAAGTTGCTTAGGGTTGGTATAGAATAGGGATTGACTGCTAATGGGAACAAGGTTTTTTTTTTTTTAGGAGGTTGAAATGTTCTAAAATTTAATTGTGCTGATGGCCGCACAGCAGTGAGTAGACTGAAAAATATTAGATGGTATACTCTAAATGAATAAGTTGTATGGCACGTGAATTATTTTCAGTAAAGCTGTTTGAAAACAAAAACAACAAAAACAAATGATTCACAATATCTGGGACTTTCAAAAGCTGAGGAGCATATGGCAAAAGCTGGTACAAATTAGGCTTCTGGGGTCACAAGTTACAGAAAAAGAAAAAAAAAAAAAACAGAACAAGTTTACCTTAGAAATATGCTGAAGGTGATTCTCCAGTTCAAATAAATGAGAGGACTAGGGGAATTCTTTCCTGTGCCACAGATTTCAAAAATTTCTAAGCTTACCCTTATTAAATGACTGAATTAAAGCATAGGACTAAAATGCTTGCTCACAAGGAAGTGTGAAAGCACAGAGCTCAAAAAATAAATGGAATTAAGAGGGATTAAATTAAATTTAGAGGTGAGATAGGGAGGGAGTAAAACAGCATATGGTGACTGGAGCTGCTACCAGTGTAAATTTCTAGACTTTGCAAGAAGGCAGCAGTAGCTCAAATGGCAGCATGAAAAGACAGTTTGAGTAGGTGGCTTCCCCCTAAAATGATAGGTGCTTATGGAAAAATATTAACCCCTTAATGAGAACTTTCACTCAATTGTGTTTCACACAAGTGTTTAACTGTGCACTGCAACTGACTGCCTGACAGCTCACTATGACTAAAATAAAGATTTTCCCCATTTCCTCTTCCTTCAGATGCTATTGAGTTTCTGCTATGGTCTATGGCAGAGGTTAACTCTGGCTGGACATTAAAATACCCTGGGCCAAGATGTCCCTAAATAGGTGAATGGATAAATAAACTGTGGTTCATCCAGACACTGGAATATTATTCAGTAATAAGAAGAAATGGGCCGGGCACGATGGCTCACGCCTGTAATCCCAGCACTTTGGGAGGCCGAGGTGGGCGGATCACAAGGTCAGGAGATCGAGACCATCCTGGCTAACATTGTGAAACCCCATCTCTACTAAAAATACAAAAAATTAGCCGGGCATGGTGGCGGGCACCTGTAGTCCCAGCTACTCGGGAGGCTGAGGCAGGAGAATGGCGTGAACCCGGGAGGCGGAGCTTGCAGTGAGCCGAGATCGCGCCATTGCACTCCAGCCTGGGCAACAGAGCGAGACTCCGTCTCAAAAAAAAAAAAAAAAAGAAGAAATGAGCTTTCAAGCCATGAAAAGACATGAAGACACCTGAGATACATACTGCTAAGTGAAAGAAGCCAACCTGAAAAGGCTACATACAGAATGATTTCAACTAGGTAATTCATCTGGAAAAGGCAAAACTGTGAAGACAGAACAAAAGAAAACGTCAGTAGTTGCCAGCCAGGGGTTCCAGTGGAGGGAAAAAAGAATGAATTGTTGGAGCATAGGGGAATTTAAGGCCAGTGAAACTATTTTGTATCGTAAGTAATGGTGGATATATGTCATATATTTGTTAAGCCCCATGGAATGTACAACACAGAGTGAATGTGTCACCTATAGACTTTAGTTAATAATTATTCATCAAAATTGTGTCATCAATGTAGCAAAGTTACCACACTGGTGCAATATGGGAACTCCCTGTACTTTCCACTCAACTGCCTGTAAACTTAGAACTGCCTTTTTTAAGGCTACTAAAAAATAATTAAAAAAACCTTGAGAGATTTAAAAATTACATCTTTACAAATTCCTCATTCAAAGATGCTGATTTAACTGTTATTGGGTAAGATACTAGTATTTTTTAAGAGTATATAAGACAATTATAGTACACATTTAGGAATGAGAACTACTGGTTAATGACAATACTAAGTATGTTATTGTAACAAAATTTTATGAAGAAATGTCTAGGTATTGGGGTTTGGCTGGTTATCTGAATTAGTCAGAAATGGTCCAGGGCTATGAAACTATGATATATTTTATTAATTATTTGATTTTTTATGGCATGAATTTTTTTTTTTTTTTATGAGATGGAGTCTCACTCTGTCACCCAGGCTGGAGTGCAGTGGCATAATCTCAGCTCACTGCAACCTCTGCCTCCCAGGTTCAAATGATTTTCTTGCCTCAGTCTTCTGACTAGCTGGGATTACAGGCGCACGCCCCCATGCGCAGCTAATTTTCTAATTTTTAGTAGAGACAAGATTTCCCCATGTTGGCCAGGCTAGTCTTGAACTCCTAATCTCAGGTGATCCATCTGCCTCAGCCTCCCAAAGCGCTGGGATTACAGGCATGAGCCTCTGTACCCCGCCAGAAATCTTTGATTTCTTTTTTTAATGAGATACATGAGAGACTGTGGCTAAATTCAACTTTATTAGTGCTATGGCATTCATAGCTTTTATAACAGGTGAAACATACTATAGCTTCAAGTATCAAGACTTCTTGCAGAGATGAAATGGAATAAGAAATTGAGAAGAACTTTAAATTCTTTAGGCTTCAAATTATTTTACTTAAATAAAATATTTATATCTTAAATGTAAAATTTCTTTGAACATTTTTAAATCTTTCCATGAAATTCATAATGGAAGGGGATTAATATCAAATATGGAGTATATTTTTGCTGTTATTTTATCATTGGTATATCATAAAGTTATTTAATCTTATTGCAGAAAACTTGATGAGAT
The DNA here is from genome assembly GCF_000001405.40 of Homo sapiens. Lineage (NCBI taxonomy): Eukaryota > Metazoa > Chordata > Mammalia > Primates > Hominidae > Homo > Homo sapiens. The sequence continues at coordinate 81,954,727 of NC_000012.12, read as the reverse complement.
ATAATGAAATACAGGTTGACATAATTTTAGCTGGGAAATAGTAAAGGGTATATAATTTGGACTGAGAAAACCTTAGAGTTAGTTGTTTTTTTTTTTTTTTTTTTTTGATGGGCTGTGAAGCTTTTTGTGGGATATTCCTTATGAGTTAGAGGATCACAGATAATCCAGGGAGAAGTCATTGGTATTTTGATTGGAGCCTCTTGGGTTTGGAAGCAAACTAGTCCTGACAAAAATGCTAACATCTTACCTGAGAGGGACAATCATAACCCAAGATGACCTTACATAAGTTGTTCAAATCCAATAGGTAAGAGTGCAAAAGGCTTGAAAGATTGGTGATGGCTACTTCTTTCTCTAGTAAGTCTTCCCGAGAGAGGATATTCTCATGACAGCCTGCACAATGGAAACACTTGGGAAGTTTTCCAAAGTCCTGATGTCCAGGTGACAAGTAGAGTAGTTACATAAGAATATCTTGGAGGAGACCTAGTGTCAAAAAGAGAGGCAACACTTATTATTTGATGATTTGGAAGAACACACTGCATATGTATAGATCACCTATTTCTTTCTTCTCTCACTTTGAAATTGGCCTGACTGCAGAGAGATGCATTATCTTTGCCTTTATACTGTGATTTTTACTGGGCTTGTGATGGGGTAGGTAAATCTGACAAATCTGGGGTGAATTATTAGCAGTATGCCCTTCTCCAACTTAGCTTTTATCTCCAATTAAAGCTGACAGCTTGATCTCTGTCATACTTCCAAATATATCTCTCAATTTGTTCCAAAATAAGGACCTAATTTACTAGCCCATTATGTCTGTGAAGCACTTATGAACCAGAGAAATTTCAAGGAACCCAGTTGCTGGAAATACATCTGGTGTCTAATAAGGTTCTATTCTCCTGTTCTCTCTCAGTCTTTCTCTGGGGCTGGAGGCTGCATGTTCAGCTTTATTCTCTTTTTCTCCAGATACGTCTGTCTTTAAGTCCCTTGATGACTCATGGTGAATCTAGGTTTCTATGACACTAGTTCTAACAGCAGTTGAACAATACCTTATAATTCCAAGAACCAATGCCAGCAAGTCGTGTCCCTGAATCTCAAAATATAAATTTCCAAGAGAGAAAATAAGATTATCTTATCTTGAAATATATGCTCATTTCTCTTCTCATCAACTGTGCTAGCTGGAAAGTCACAAGTTGCACAGAAGGCTGCCCACTCCTTCATCAGTCTGGGTCTGAGGATGCTTCCCAGAAAGGTGTTGGCTGGAAGGGTATCCCACAATATAGCTACTGAATCACCAGCTCTGTTCTGTTTTTATATTTATTCCAAGTCTCCTATGTAACTTTCAAAAAGTTCTTGAAAACTTTTATCCCTTAATTGTAAAAACTACCAAAACTGCCATTGTGAGAATGAGACAATTAGATGCACAATTTAGAGAACTTTAGAAAAAGTTGAATTTATGATATTTTTAGGTAGTTCAAATGTATTTCTCAAACTGCAGGTTAAATAAGAGTTATTGTTTAAACTTCAGAAGTTGTTACTATTAGTTAAGGATAAAATGATTATTGGAGATTATCTTACCTGGGGAAAGAGAATGATCACAATCACTTTACTTCTAATGTTTCTTTTTTAGGCTTTAATTATACCTCTACAACATTTTTAAAAAGAACTTCTTCAAAGTGTTTAAACCCTATTATTGAATGTTTAATTTTACTTAAAAATAGTCTCAACTGAATTTTACCTCACTAGTGAACTATCTAAAAATTGATTTTTGCTTTTCAAGAAAAGTGTTGAAATGTAGCTTGTTAAGGAAATACTGTTTCATTTTTAAAAATATGTTCTCTTGTACTTTCGTTGTTTAGATTCCTTTCATTTAGTTTTACTTTAATGTTGTAGGATTTGAAATTTCCTAGGGAGATGAAAGCGTCCATTTTGATTTTCCCTGCTATTAACCAATTATTCATTGGAGGCAGCACTATTTTTAAATTGCAGTAGCATTAGTCAGAGTTTTTAGAAGACCTGTATTTGATTCCATCTTTCTAACTAATGAATTGTATGACCTTGGGCTGGTGACAATATTTCTGAACTTCAGTTTTCTCATCTTTAAAAGAACAGAGTTAGAATATATTTTCTTTAATTCCTCTTCTAGCTCTGATGTATTATTCCATGAATGGCTCCAAAGAGCAGAATTCTTGGCTCATGGTTATTATGGTAAACTATTACAAGTCCATAGAATTACATTCATAGATTTCTATGAAACATCATCAGAGGTTCACTGCTTGTGCCCCAAGAACTTAACAGAGGATCCTAAAAGGTGCCGATATTTCTTGATTTGTTCATGTACATTAGCATTTTCTCCTGATCCAAATGGGCAATCAGTTTTCCTGAGGAATTAAGGTGTCATGATGGCAAGGTAGGGAGTGATGTGGACCAAGAAACAGAGAATATGTGATTTAAAACTTATGTAATAGTAAGGTCTTTTCTGGGGAACCTGAAAAGTTTTACAAAATTTAGGAAATCTTTATGCATGAGGTTCATTCCATGTTTTATTTATTGGTCTTATTATCACTTATACTTGCTCTGTGTAATGGGGATACAACAGAAGAAGGGCCCACGAGACAGGGCTGGACTAAGCTGGTAGAATGTCATTCCCATTGTGTCCTATTGATCAAAGTAAGCCACAAGACCAAGCCTTGTGAGGAAATAGGCTCTGTCTTTTGATGGGAGATTGTGCAAAGTGTTAAAATCATTTTTGAAATCTATCACATCCTCAGTCTCTGATAAAATTGACAAATAATTTTTGCAGAGTTTCCACAAGCATTCAGTAAAACAGAGTGCTTGTTTCAGTACCTGGTATAGAATGTCCACTCAGTAGGTGAAATCTCTTTATCAGCTACATAGTTATTATTAGAATATCATATCTGGGTTTTGGTCATCAGAATTACTAAATCTTGTTACTTCTACTCCTATCTTAAAAAAAATGCATCCTTTCTTTTCTACTTCTGCTACTACTGCCTCAATTGTGACCCTCCTCACTTCTTACCATGATTATTGAAATAAATAGATTCCCAGCTGGTCTCCTTGAGTAATAAACAATTGATTACCTGTCTCTATGGGGGAACCATAAACTCCATGAGGGCAGGGACCCTGACTTTATTGCTTATTGCGCATTTTCCTTTCCTGCACATTTCTTATAGTAAATGCTAATAAATATTTGTTGAATGTATCAATAGATAAAACTGCATGTAAAGAAAATTTTATAACATGCAAATCTTGTTATTCTACTTCTTTACATTCTGCCAGTGACTCCCCATAGTGCCCAAGATGAAATTTAAGCTTCTCAGCTTAACCTACAAGGCTGTCAATGATCGGACACCTTCCTTGTTAACTTCCTCTCTCACTCTTCGTATACATGTAGCCTGTATTCCAGTAGTTGCCTGAAACTATCATTCAGAAATGGTATCCTCTTCCCAAGAATGGCCTGAGCTCCCTTCTTCATGTGGCTTAACTCCTATATGTTTTAGGACTTTGGCAAAAAATTTCCTCCTCTGCAACACTCACTTTGATTTTTCTGAATTTGGCCAGACGTTACTCCTCTTGTCTCTTAGCACTCTATGCATAACTTTGTCACAACAATTTTCAGCCTTCCAAAGTAGGTGCCTCATCCTCCACATGACCAGCAAGCACCGGCATGTAGTAGAAGCTTTGTAATTTGTATGTGAATGAAGGCAGCATAACAGGAGTGGAAAAAGGTAGCTTTAAAAATTCATTGCCAGAGCCAGGTGCGGTGGATCATGCCTGTAATCCCAGCACTTTGGGAGGCCATGGTGGGTGGATAATTTGAGGCCAGGAGTTTGAGAACAGTCTGGCCAACACGGTGAAAACCCGTCTCTACAAAAAACACAAAATTTAGCTGGGCATGGTGGCGGGTGCCTGTAATCCCAGCTACTTGGGAGGCTGAGGCAGGATAATCGCTTGAACCCTGGGAGGCAGAGGTTGCAGTGGGCTGAGATTGCACCACTGCACACCAGCCTGGGTGACAGAGAGAGACTCTGTCTCAAAAAAAAAAAAATATTGCCAGAAGTTTGATGGAGTAACACCCCGTTCAAGCACTTAAGCCCAGGTATGTTTATTTCTTCCATGATTAAATTCTAGCTAGGGTGTTCTTCCACTAAATAGACTAAATTGCATTTCTTTGTTCTTAAAATAATTCTCAGTAGTGAGCTTCGTGTTATTCTATCCCCAAATGACTATTGTCCTAACCTTTATTTGCATTGAAGCTTGACTTCATTTCTCTTTGATTGCTTTTGTTGATTGAGCAAGTGGCTTATATTTTATTTCTGAAAAATCTCAAAAGATTCAGACTAGTCCAAGTAAAGCCGTGTTTGTAAAATGCTGAACTATTCATTGGCAGTGACTAAATTATTTTGGCATCTTGAGCACAGAGCTAGTCTCAGCTTCTTCAACAATAATAATGATATTGTGCTAGTATAATTGCTTTCAGGAAAGAAGAGAAATCCAGCATCAATTTGACAAGACTAATGTTTAAGTGCATCCTGCTGCATCTGCCTTTGAGTAGAAAGAGAAAAATGATAGTTAGACAAAGCACCACGTGAATCCTGTGCCTGCCATTGGTGCATAAGTTAAAGTAGCCCCAGGCAACTTGTTTAGTTACTCTTCTTTGATTTACTATCGTTCTTATAATAGAATATGAATGCATTCTAAACAATTTTAGGTCACCTAGTGCCTTTCATTATTTCCCAACTATAGCCCAGTTATTTAAATTTTTAAATATTTAAAGGAAGTGACAAGGCATAATTTAGTAAAGAAAAATACAGCAGAACATCACAAGCTATAATCTGAATAACCACAATTTCCTCTTTCTTAAGAATAAACTGGAGTAACCCTTCCATAAATATATTTGATAATTTCAGAGGATGGGTGGATTTCTCTTTGGAAAAAAAATGTATCCTTTACTTTTCATTGTAATGTTGCCTAAGGTTGAGCATGTGCCTTCATTATGTATCAATTAATTCCTTTCCTGACGGCACTAAATAATAAATGACACACTTACAATACAATACAAAGAGTGAATTGGAGTTTGCTTTATGAAAGCCAACATCCCCTTTATCCTGCTAAGAAGACTGAAGCCAAGGGAACGCAGGTGACTAGGACAAGGTTATTTAGCTGTCCAATAGAAAAAACTAAACCAGGGACTAAGACTTCAGTCTCTTTCCTTTATGTTCTTTCTCCTGAGCCTCTAATTTTCATATTATTTTGTTTCTTAGTCTTTTCCTTCTGAATACTTATATGTAACAAATTGTTTCAAAGGTAGCTATTCAGCAGGTTCTCAAATAACATTGTTTCATTGAAGATTGTTTGGTGGCAATGTTGAGAAAAAAACCTATTCCAGCTGGAGCCAAGGTTTGTATGGAATTTGCTAGCTTCTCCCCATATCTGTGTGGGTTTTCTCTGGGTACCCCTGTTTCCTCCCACAACCCTAGGATGTACACATCAGTGAATTGGAGTGTCTAAGTGGTCCCGGTCTGAGTTCTTGTGGGTGTGCCTGTGAGTGCACCCTGCAATGGGATGGCATCCGATCGGGCAGGGGGCAGGGAGGTTGTTCCTCGCCTGCTCCCTAAACTTTGGGGATACGCTGTGGCCATCCTCAACTCTGAAATGGAATAGTTAAGAAAATAATTATCTTACCTGTTTTCATGAATCTTTCTTAAATGTTTGCATTTACTTTTATTTCAGTGTTTACTATTAGAAGTGTTTGGGGTATTTATTTTGAAGTTAGATGATTCTTTTGTGACCAGAAATATGCCATAGAAACTTAACTCTGTTTTGTATCAATTAGCCTATGTAAAATTGATTTCGATATATGTCGTTTTGCTTAAAGTCACAATTTCCAAGAAACAATTGAGGACATTGAGGAAGGACTTATTGTACATTTTAAAAGGAGTGAGATTTTTAACTTAAAGAAATTGGTTTTGAGAAGGATTTGTTTATGGATGCAAGAGAATTATTATCCTGTACAAATCATAAAGCTCTCTTTTTTATATAAGATTTTACATTAACAAAAAAGAAATTAATATTTAATTACAATTGCTATGAAGATTGCAAATCTTATCCAGGATTTTTTGGGATACATGCTACATGTATATATTCAAGGTAAAATATATCATTTACGTTTAATTCAAATTAAATTTAATTTTTACTGGATGTTCTAGGAATTGCTTGTGTATATTCTAAAACATTGTCTGGACCTGTATACATATTTCTTGTTGTACTCAGTCTTTAATATAAATCTACCTGCAGAAACACGGGTATATTTATGAGCAGTCCAACTTTTTATTTCAGGTTAGATAAGTACTCATGCACCCAAGATGCAAATATGTCTGGATAATATTGAAAAAATGGCTGGGTTCCTTTAAAGTAAATCCTTTGTACATATGTCAAGGTACCATAACATATATGTATTCCATGTAGTTTGCTGTTTTGTAAATATATGAAAATAATTTGTAAGGATTTTTTCAAACTTATGGTCTGTATGAGCAAGAATACAGTTATTCCTGTACATGCCAAGATAAAAATGGCATATATATATATGTTTATTTATTTTAAAATATCATTTATTTAATATTGCCTAATTTTCCTTCACTTTATTATATGTATCTATCTCTTGTAAGATTTGATTGTCAAAGAGTGGTTTCTCACTTTTAAAGCATTTCATAGATCTTTCAAATTAGACTTTTCTAACAACACTGTGGACTATCCGCAGTGGCTCATGCCTTTAATCCCAGCACTTAGGGAGGCAAAGGTGGGAGGATGACTTGAGCCCAGGAGGTCGAGCGAGGCTGCAGTGCACCATAAGCATGCTCTGTGCTCCAACATGGGTGATAGAGTGAGACTTTGTCTCAAAAAAAAATTTTTTTTTTTAATTTTTAAAAATTAGCCAGGCACAGTGGCTCACGCCTGTAATCCTAGCACTTTGGGAGGCCGAGGTGGGTGGATTGCCTGAACTGAGGAGTTGGAGACCAGCCTGGGCAACATGGCTAAACCCTGTCACTAGTAAAAATACAAGCAATTATCTGGGTGTGGTGGTGTGCGCCTGTAATCCCAGCTGCTCAGGAGACTGAGGCAGGAGAATCACTTGAACCCCAGAGGTGGAGGTTGTAGTGAGCCAATATTGCACCACTTCACTCCAGCCTGGGTGAAAGAGCGAAACTCCATCTAAAAAATAATAATAATAATAAAATAATAACACTACTAGTAAAAGATTATATAGTTTTTATTAAGAAGAAATATAAATTCAGAAATTTTTTTTGTACATGTGTTTTCCCAGCTAGTTTTCTTGTCAAAATAGGCAGGACTAGATCTCAGATTTCTTGAGTTCTTATTTTACTACAGGTCATATTAAAACCTTATCTCTTTCTCTAGTGACAACAGAGGCCTGAATTTGGATTAATTCTAATAACTACACACTCTAAAGTTAACAGGTTATTAAGAATAAAATGATTACTGACACTTCGAGTTTATTTTGCAGTGTGTGTGTGTGTGCTGGTTTGGGAAATGAGGATGGCAGTGGGGATGGTGAGAATGATGAGAATGTTTATGAAAATATTTTGTGAAATTGACATTAGACTGACTTTGGGTGAAAAGGAGAGAGATAAACCAAGAAAGGAAGTGTGAACAAATGGCAAAAGAAAACACTGAGGAAGAATCCCCCTTAAAAAAATCTCTTAATCTGTCAAATATGCTTTTGGTTGCAAGTCACCAGCTCAATCTGGCTTAAGCAAAAAGAACTATCGCAAGGACAAAAAACCAAACACCGAATGTTCTCACTCATAGATGGGAACTGAACAATGAGAACACATGGACACAGGAAGGGGAACATCACACACCGGGGACTGTTGTGGGGTAGGGGTAGGGGGAAGGGATAACATTAGGTGATATACCTAATGCTAAATGACGAATTATACATATGTAACAAACCTGCACGTTGTGCACATGTACCCTAAAACTTAAAGTATAATAATAATAATAAAATTCTTTTTTTTTTTTTTTTTTTTGAGACGGAGTCTCGCTGTTTCGCCCAGGCTGGAGTGTAGTGGCGCTGTCTTGGCTCACTGCAAGCTCCGCCTCCCGGGTTCACGCCATTCTCCTGCCTCAGCCTCCCGAGTAGCTGGGACTGCAGGCGCCCACTACCACGCCCGGCTAATTTTTTTTGTATTTTTAGTAGAGACGGGGTTTCACCGTGTTAGCCAGGATGGTCTCGATCTCCTGACCTCGTGATCCGCCCGCCTCGGCCTCCCAAAGTGCTGGGATTACAGGCGTGAGCCACCGCGCCCGGCCAATAATAAAATTCTTATTTAAAAACATCATAGAGTAGATTAGTTTCAGGCCAGCTAAACCCATGATTTTGACACTTCTGATTCCAAAATTTTTTTCTCTTCATCTCTCAGCTCTTTTATCTGTGATATTTTACAAGCTTGTAATTTAGGAGTCAGATCTGTATAAGGAGTACAGATTTAGGAGTCATCACCAGGTAACTGTTAATTGTTTTCTTGGGAAAAGATGAAATCATTCATGAGAGGGTCCAAGAGAGAAGAGAAGAGGACCTTGAAGAGAATCCCAAAAAACACCAGCGTTTAGGAGGAAGAGAAGCCTAACTAGAACAGAAAGAACTACCGGAAAAGGAAGAGTACAAGGAGCACAGAGGCCATAGGGAAAGCTGAGCGTGCCATAGATACGCACTGTCTGGCTATTTGACTTATAGCAATTTCCTCATTTCCAGGAATAGTCTCTGTACTCAGGAATGGCCATTTGGACCATAGGATGCTGACTTCTGGCCACAGCTGCATGTTTTACGTGGCTCCAATTGAGTCAGGCTGGCCCCATCAGATTCCCATTTCTTTTTTGTTGTTGCTGTTGTTTGTTTATTTATTTATTTTGAGGCAGAGTCTTGCCCTGTAGCCCAGGCTGGAGTGCAGTGGCACAATCTCAGCTCACTGCAAGCTCCGCCTCCCGGGTTCATGCCATTCTCCTGCCTCAGCCTCCTGAGTAGCTGGGACCACAGGCGCCCACCACCACGCCGGGCTAATTTTTTGTATTTTTGGTAGAGACGGGGTTTCACCATGTTAGCCAGGATGCTCTTGATCTCCTGACCTCGTGATCCACCCACCTCGGTTTCCCAGAGTGCTGCAATTACACGCCTGAGCCACCACTCCTGGCCCAGATTCCCATTTCTAAGACATTAAAATTTAGAACAGAGAGACACAGAAACCATATATGACAGGCTTAGTTAAAACAAAGAAAACATGCTAAATAGAAATAAAATCATGGACAATTCAGAAAGTAAAGACAATTAGAGTCATAACAGCAGAAGAGAAAGACAGTATCTGTTCGGGAGTGGTAAGGAGGAGAATGGAATGCTTTTGCTTTACTTTGCATTGATTTAAAGTCTTAATGATTTGAGTATCTATTAATGTATTTGCCTCCCCATTCTTGTAAGATGAACTGTCTTCCTAATTCACAGAGAAAATGAAATTCACAAAGCAGAAAATTCCTCAATTCCTTGCCACCAACAAGAGTACTTTTCCTTCTTTGCATTGTTTCACAATGGAAAAAAAAAAGGAACTCTCTGGTAAATTTCTCCACCGTAATGTTATAAATAGATTCCAACAATTAAATAACCTAATATGTGGGGTTACTTTATTGCAAAACTAGTGAGATGCAGTCTGAGTCTTCAGCTACTGATACTGAATTCTAGGGGTCTGTCTGCAAGGTCCCAATCCATCTTGTTCTTGCTGCAGTTTGTCACCGTCTAGTAGTGGCTCTTCACCCTGGTGTAAATATGTTTGAAAATGATTCTAGGACCTAAAACTGGCTGTGACTTCTAGGACAGCACTTGTAATTCCAAGGCTGCTCCTAGTTAGTTTGCCCTTCACCTACTGGGACTAGTAAATACTAATAACACAAAAATATTTTCCACTGTCTGCGGTTTTCTTGCCTGTTTACAACCCCCTTCTATTGTATTCCCTTCCTCCCAGAAAATGAAAGCTTTAATCTGTTCCAGTTTGAGAATGGGAGCTGGAATGGAAGCCAGGGGCTGATTGCCCTGTGTGTTACACTATATGTCAAATTTCTCCTATCTTCTCAAACGTGTTCCTTAGGATTACCATATCCTCAATGCATATTTAGCACACTGCTGAGTACATTGTAGGATGTCAATTCAATTTTGTAAATTACGTGAATGGATGGATACATAAATGAATAGATGGATAATCCGTACAAATTGGAAGAGGCCATTATCCCGAGTACAAGAGGACAGATAACTTTTAGGGAAGAGGAACTTCTTTTTCTATTGAAACATGCCTATTCTTCAGGGAAGGAAACAATATGCCTTGGCATGGATTGTAATATATGTCACATACCACAAAGAAAAAAGAACATCAGATAATAGGTATTTAGTGTTCTTTTTTAAAAAATATATTTTTTGAGCAATTTTAGGTTCACAGTAATAATGAAGAGGAGGTACAGAAATTCCCCATCTGTTCTTGCCCACACACAGGCAAAAATCTCCCCTACCATCAAAATCTCCCACCAGTGTGGTTTAATTGTTATAGTTGAGGAACATACATTGTTAAGGTTCCTTTAAATTTTCAGAATGGTGTCCTGGGTGAATAAAGAATTATAATAATTGGGAATATGTTTAAATGTTTACTTCCAATTTTCATTTCCATGTGAATTAATTGAAGCAGTTTGATACAATTTTCTTATTTTGGAACAACCAGCATTATTAAAGTAAGTTATCATGGATTGAACAGCTGCAAGTTTTAAATTGAGCATGACTATTAAAGCAATGTATCTTAGGCTTAAAAACACAGTGCTTTATTTACATCGCTATTATTTAAAATGGGGCTCTGTTTGCTCAAAACCTTTGGGTTTTTTTTAAGTGTTAGTCTTTGACTTCTGCTTCTTTCTTTCTTAAAACCAGCAGAGAACAATTCCTATTTTCTGATTCTTTTGGAAACCCAGAAGCAACTCTCTAGAATAGGCATTTTATTATATGTCTGATAGATTACCTAGTTCACCCCAGTTTTTTTCATGCTGTCTGCTTTTATCCCCTGTTATTATTAAAACATCCTGGAACCCTATTTCTGTTTGATACATTCTTTTTAATGAATGGGGAAAAAAAAAGAAAAACTCCTTGAAATGTGTTTTCAGATTGTCAAGGGTTGGAGATACTTTGATATTTAGGGAAATTGATGAAAAGAAGTTTAGCTTTGTTATGTTAATTGTACTCGGCCTCTATATTTATATATCAAGACAAAGTTATCCTAGGTAATATTGTTTTGTTTACCTTTATCTTTCTTAGAGGAAAAAGATGGAGATAAGGAAAGAAGCTTGCAATTTTAAAAAATTTAATAATATTGGAGCCTCTCTAGAGGCTCAAGTGATCCTCCCACCTTTGCCTCCCTAAGTGCTGGGATTAAAGGCATGAGCCACTGCAGCTGGTCCACAGTGTTGTTAGGAAAGTCTAATCTGCAAGATCTTTGAAATACTTTAAAAATGAGTAACTGCTCTTTGACAATAAGATCTTAAAAGAGGTAGATATATATGATAAATGGAAGGAAATTAGGCAATATTAAATGAATGTTATTAAGTTTTAATATTAAGTTTTAATGTGATTTAATATTTAATATGATTTGTGGGGATTTTCTTATTGTTCTAAAATTAGATTAGGCTACTATGATGACATCTAGTGCTATTTATCAGTATTTCTGGTTCTCCTTTTTCTGGATACAAGGAAGAATTGCATCTTTCAGCTTTTTTGAAGATAGGCATGGCCGTGTCACTTTCTTTGGCAAACAAAGTGTGAGCAGAAATGGCATGTATCACCTTTGAGCGGAAGTCTTTGAGGAACAAAACATAATTTGTCATGTTCTTTTCTTCCTGTAGTGGCAAACCACAATATTTCAGGAAGTGGAATCTCTAGCAGCCTACAACCCTAAAAGAGGTTAAAGTACAGAAAAACTGCCGGCTGACCCAAGATGAATGTGCAGCATGAGTGAAAAATAAGCCTTTGCTTTAAATTACTCTGATTAGGGCCTCATGTAAAAATTAGTCGATTTTCACATACACAGGAATTTGAACAAGGAAGTAGAGATCTTCCATAAAAACTAAAAAGTAATATATGATATTCACTTATGAGCTGGTGGCTAGATAAAAGGCAATATATTTTATATGGTAACTGTGATAGCTAATACTGAGTGTCAACTTGATTGGATTGAAGGATGCAAAGTATTGATCCTGGGTGTGTCTGTGAGGGTATTGCCAAAGGAGATTAACGTTTGAGTCAGTGGGCTGGGAAAGACAAGTCTACCCTTAATCTGGGTGGGCACCATCTAATCAGCTGCTAGAATGACTAGAATATAAAGCAGGCAGAAAAATGTGAAAAGATTAGATAGGCTTAGCCTCCCAGCCTACATCTTTTACTGTGCTGGATACATTCTGCCCTCGAACATCATAATCCAAGTTCTTCAGTTTTGGGACTCAGACTAGCTCTCTTTGCTCCTCAGCTTGCAGATGACCTATTGTGAGAACATATGATTGTGTGAGTTAATACTGAATAAATTCCCCTTTGTATATGTATCTATCCTATTAGTTCTATTTCTCTAGAGAACCCTGACTAATACAGATTTTGGTACCAGGAGTGGTTCTAGAGGAATAGAATATTAAGGATGGAGTTCCTTTGTTGATTTTGGGTTTTCTGGAGTTGGCTGCTAAATATGATTAGACCCCAAAAATGCTAAGGACTCTACTTCTAATATTATGGAGAACACTGATAGTTCTTGGCATTAACTGTTTAGAGAGTTATGCAATATAAATGCATTTAACACTCCTGATTCACTGCTCATGAGAGGCAAGGAGTTTAGGGACTCTATATGTAATACCTTTGATCATATGTGGAGAACCAAGGACTATAATGAAGCTGGTTGGTTGCTCCTGAGTTCAGTGGACAAAGTGATGAAAGGAAACGATGAACTCAGGGATTCTAACTCCTGACCTTAGAAGCAAATACTGAGCCTCAAATCTATTAAGACTGCCCTGAGTGAGAGTCTCATCTCCTGTAGAGAAAGAGCTGAAATTGTGGGAAAACAGACACATGCTCTTATCATGCGAGTGGCTGACCTGCAACAAAAGGTGCATGCACAGCCTCGTCAGGTGTCTACTGTTAAAGTGAGGGCATTGATTGGAAAAGAATAGGACCCTGCAACTTGGAATGGGGATGTGTGGGAGGACCCTGATGAAGCTGGAGACACTGAGTTTGTAAATTCTAATGAATGTCTTTTGCCAGAAAAACAGCTGCCCCATCCCCAGTAGTGGCAACACCCCCTCCTCGACCCATGCTGCCATCAGCCTTTCCACCTTTGTCTGAGGAGATAAACCGTGCACTGACTGAGGCAACAGTTATGGCCTCTCCTGAGGCAGTTGCCAGGCAAGATAATGTTGATTCTCCTCAGGAACCACCCCCAACACACCTGTTTGCTTCTAGACCTATAACCGGACTAAAGTCCCAGCAGGCCTTTAGAGGTGAAGTTGAGAGTGTGACCCATGAGGTGGTACAGTACACTTAAAAAGAGCTCCATGAGTTTTCTAATTTATATAAGCAGAAATTTGGAGAACAGGCATGTGGATATATATTAAGGGTGTGGGATAATGGTGGAAGGAACATAGATCAGGCTGAATTTATTGATTTGGGCCCACTAAGCAGGGACTCTGCATTTAATGTTGCAGCTTGGGGAATTAAAAAAAGTTTCTAATAGTTTATTTGCTTGGTTAGCTGAAATATGGATAAAAAGATGGCCCACTGTGAGCAAACTGGAAATTGCCTAATCTCCCTTGGTTTAACATAGAGGAAGGGAGCCAAAGGCTTAGGGAGATTGGGATGGTGAAGTGGATTAGTCACTTTAGACTTACTTATCCCAGCTGGGAGGGTCCAGAAGATATAACCTTGACCAATGCCTTGCAAAATAGAGGGTAGCACCTGCATCTTTGAAGAGCCTTGTAATAGCTCTTATCTGTATATCAGATCTAACAGTGGGAACCACAGTCAATCAACTACAAAATTTAAGTACAATGGGAATAATTGGATCCTGAGATGTCAGGGGCCAAGTTGCGGCACTCCACTGTCAAAGGCAAGGTGGACATAGCTACCATAATGGACAGCAGAGGCAAAGTGGCACCAGCATAGTCTGACTGGTGTAGAGCTCTGGCATTGGCTAATTAATCACAGTGTTCCTAGAATTGAAATTGATAGGAAGCCTACTGCATTACAACTTAATATATATAAGCAGAAAATTTCCAGGTCAAATGGACAAAAGACTAATTTGAATTATAAAAACAGAGGAAGCCGTGTCCTTTGAGGAAGAACCCCACTACACTACCTACAATTTATGCTGCTAATCTTTGTCCCACCCTTCCCCAAAGAGAGCTGTGCCCTTTTACTAGGGTAACTGTCCACTGGGGAAAGGGAAATAATCAGACATTTTGGGGACTACTGGATACTAGCCCTGAGCTGATGTTAATTCCAGGGGATCCAAAATGTCATTGTGTTCTTCCAGCTAAACTAGGGGCTTATGGAGTTGGTATGGTTTGACTGTGTCCTCATCCAAATGTCATCTTGAATTCCCATATGTTGTAGGAGAGACCTGGTTGGAGGTAATTGAATCATGGGGGCAGGTCTTTCCCATGCTATTCTCATGATAGTAAATAAGTCTCAAGAAATCTGATGGTTTTATAAGCGGGAGTTTCCCTGCGCAAGATCTCTCTTTGCCTGCTGACATTCATGTAAGACTTGACTTACTCCTCCTTGCTTTCTGCCATGATTGTGAAGCTTCCCCTGTCACGTGTAACTGTAAGGGTCCATAAAACTCTTTTTCCTGTATAAGTTACCCAGGCTTGGGTATGTCTTTATCAGCAGTGTGCAAATGGACTAATATAGTAAATTGGTACCAGTAGAGTGGGGTGTTGCTGAAAAGATACCTAAAAATGTGGAAGTGACTTTGGAACTGGGTAACAAGTAGAGATTGGGACAGTTTGGAGGAAGGAGAAGGAGACAGGAAAATGTGGGAACCTTTGGAACTTCCTAGAGACTTGTTAAATGGCTTTGCCCAAAATGCTGATAGCAATATGGACAATTAAGTCCAGGCTGAGACGGTCTCAGATGAAAATGAGGAACTTGTTGGGAACTGGAGTAAAGGTGACTCTTGCTATGTTTTAGCAAAGAGACTGGCAGCATTTTGCCACACTCCTGGAGACTTGTGGAATTTTGAACTTGAGAGAGGTTATTTAGGGTGTCTGGCAGAAGAAATTTCTAAGTAGCAAAGCATTCAAGAGGTGACTTGGATGCTATTAATGGCATTCAGTTTTATACGGAAAGCAGAGCATAAAAGTTTGAAAAGTTTACAGCCTGACAATGTGATAGAAAATAAAATCCCGTTTTCTGAGGAGAAATTCAAGCCAGCTGCAGAAATTTGCATAAATAATGAGGAGCCGAATGTTCCTCACCAAGACAATGGGGAAAATGTCTCCAGGGCATGCCAGAGGTCTTCACAGAAGCCCCTCTCATCACAGGCCCAAAGGCCTAGGAGAAAAAAGTGGTTTCATGGGCCAGACCCAGGGTCTTCATGCTGTGTGCAGGCTAGGGATTTGGTGCTCTGCATCCCATCTGCTTTAGCCATGGCTGAAAGGGGCCAGTGAAGAGCTTGGGCCATGGCTTCAGAGGGTGCAAACCTCAAGGGTTGGCAGCTTCCATGTGGTGTTGAGTCTGCCAGTGCAAACAGTCAAGAATTGAGGGTTGGAAACCTGAACCTAGATTTCAGAGGATGTATGGAAATACTTGGATGGCCACACAGAAGCTTGCTGCAGGGGTGGGGCTCTCATGGAGAACCTCTGTTAGGGCAGTGTGGAAGGGAAATGTGGGGTCAGAGTCCCCACATGGACTTCCTACTGGTGCACTGCCTAATGAAGCTATGAGAAGAGGGCCACTGTCCTCCAGACCCTAGAATGGCAGATCCACTGACAGCTTGCACACCGCAACTGGAAAAGCTGCAGACGCTAAACACCAGCCTGTGAAAGCAGCTGGGAGGGAGGCTGTACCCTGCAAAGCCACAGGGATGGAGCTACCAAGACCGTAGGAACCCACCTCTTGCATTAGCATGACCTGGATGTGAGACATGGAGTTAAAGGAGATCATTTTGGAGCTCTAAGATTTGACTTCCCAGCTGGATTTCAGACTTGCATGGGGCCTGTTGCCTCTTTGTTTTGGCCAATTTCTCCCATTTGAAATGGTTGGATTTACCCAATGCGTGTACCCCCACTGTATCTAGGAAGTAATTAACTTGCTTTTGATTTTACAGGCTCATAGGCAGAGGGGATTTGCCTTGTCTTGAATGAGATATGGGACGGTGGGCTTTTGAGTTAATGCTGAAATGAGTTAATACTTTGTGGGACTGTTTGGAAGGCATGATTGGTTTTGAAACGTGAGAACATGAGATTTGGGAGTGGCCAAGGGTGGAATGATATGGTTTGACTGTGTTCCCACCCAAATATCATCTTGAATTCCCATGTGTTGTGGAAGGTACCTGGTGGGAAGATATTGAATCATGGGAACAGGTCTTTCCCTTGCTGTTCTTGTGATAGTGAACACGTCTCAGGAGATCTGATGGTTCTCTAAGCAGTAGTTTCCCTATACAAGCTCTCTCTTTGCTTGCTGCCATGCATGCAAGACATGACTTGCTCCACCTTGCCTTCTGCCATGATTGTGAGGCTTCCCCAGTCATGTAGAATTGTAAGTCCATTAAACCTTTTTTTCCTGTATAAATTACTCAGTCTTGGCTATGTCTTTATCAGCAATGTGAAAACAGACTAATTCAGGAGGTCAGGTAATTAATGGAGCTTTAGCTCAGGTCCAACTTACAGTGGGTCCAGTGGGTCCCCAGACCCATCCTGTGGTCATTTCCCTAGTGCCAGAATGCAAAATTGGCATAAATATGCTTAGCAGCTGGCAGAATCACCACACTGGCTCCCTGACTGGTAGGGTGATGGCTATTATGTTGGGAAAGGCCAAATGGAAGACATTAGAGCTGCCTCTACCTCAAAAAATAGTAAATAAAAAAAGATATCACATCCCTGGAGGGATTCCAGAGATTAGTGCCACCATCAAGAACTTGAAAGGCACAGGAATGGTGATTCCCACTACATCCCTATTCAGCTCTCCCATTTGGCCTGTGCAGAAGATGGATGAACTTTGGAGAATGACAGTGGATTACTGTAAGCTTAACTAAGTGGTGACTCCAATTGCAGCTGCTGTACCAGATATGGTTTTATTGCTTGAGCAAATTAACACATCTCCTGGTACCTGGTATACAGCCATTGACTTGGCAAATGCCTTTTTCTCCTTTCCTGTTCATAAGGCCTACCAGAGCAATTTGCCTTCACCTGTAAGGCCAGTAATATACCTTTATTGTCCTACCTCATGGGTATATCAACTCTCTGGCTTTCTGTTACAGTCTTATTTGGAGAGACTTTGATTGCTTTTTGCTTTTGCAAGATGTCCCACTGGTTCATTACATTAACGTCATGATGCTGATTGGATCCAGTGATCAAGGAGTGCAAACACACTGGACTTATTGGTGAGATGTTTGTGTGCCAGAGGATGGGAAATAAATTCAACTAAAATACAGGGACATGCTAACTCAGTAAAATTTCTAGGGGTCCAGTGTTGTGGGACCTGTCAAGATATTCCTTCTAAGGTGAAGGGTAAATTGCTGCATTTGGCCCTTCCTACAACAGGAAAGAGGCACAGTGCCTCGTGGGCCTATTTGGATTTAGGAGAACACACATTCCTCATTTGGGAGTGTTACTGTGGCCTATTTATTGAGTGACCCAAAAGGCTGCAAAGATGGCTCTGCAACAGGTCCAGGCTGCTGTGCAAGCTGCTCTGCCACTTAGGTCATATGACCCAGATCCAATAGTGAGTGAGATGTCAGTGGCAGAGAGGAATGCCATTTGGAGCCTTTGGAAGGCCCCCATAGGTGAATCACAGTGGAGGCCTCTAGGGTTTTGGAGCAAAGCCATGCCATCTTCTGCAGATAACTTCTCTCTTTTTGAGAGGCAGCTCTTGGCCTGTTACTGGGTTTTGGTGGAAACTGAACATTTGATTATGGGTCATCAAGTCACCATGTGACCTGAACTGCCTATCATGAACTGGGTGCTTTCTGAACCATCTAGCCATAAAGTGGGTCATGCACACAGGATTCCATCATCAAATGGAAGTGGTATATATGTGATCAGGCTCGAGTAGGTCCTGAAGGTACAAGTAAGTTACATAAGGAAGTGGCTCAAACGCTCTACTCCTGCCACTCTGCCTTGTCTCTCCCAGCCTGCACCAATCGCCTCATAGGGATTTCCTTATGACCAGTTGACAGAAGAAGAGGAGACTAGGCCTGGTTCACAGATGGTTCTGCACGATGTGCAGGTACCACCCAAAAGTGGACAGCTGCAGCACTACAACCCCTTTCTAGGACATCCCTAAAGGACAGTGGTCAAGGGAAATCTTCATAGTGGGCAAAACTTTGAGCAGTGCACCTGGTTGTGCGCTTTTCATGGAAGGGAAATGGTTAGATGTGTGATTACATAAAGATTCATGAGCTGTAGCCAATGGTTTGGCTGGATACTAAGGGACTTGGAAGAATCATGATTGAAAAATTAGGGACAAAGAATTTTGGGGAAGAGGGATGTGGATGAATGTCTCTTAGTGGTCAAAAACTGTGAAGATATTTGTATCCCATGTGACTGCTCACCAATGGGTGACCTCAGCAGAGGAGGATTTTAATAATCAGCTGAATAGGATGACCCATTCTGTGGACACCACTCAGCCTCTTTCCAGCCACTCCTGTCATAGCCCAATGGGTCCATGAACAAAATGGCCATGGTGGCAGGGATGGAGGTTATGCATGGGCTCAGCAACATGGACTTACAACACTCACCAAGGCTTACCTGGCTACTGCCACTGCTGAATGCCCAATTTGCCAGCAGCAGAGACCAACACTGAGCCCTCGATTATAGCATCATTTCTCAGGGTGATCAGCCAGCTACCTGGTGGCTGGTTGATTATATTGGACCTCTTCCATCATGGAAATGGCAGAGGTTTGTCCTCACTGGAATAGACACTTACTCCAGTTATGGGTTTACTTGTCCTGCACACAATACTTCTGTCGATATTACCATCCGTAGACTCATGGAATGACTTATCCTCTGTCATGGTATTCCAAACAGCATTGCCTCTGACCAAGGCACTCACTTTACGGCTAAAGAAGTGCAGCAGTGGGCTCATGCTCATGGAATTCACTGATCTTCCCATGTCCCCATCATCCTGAAGCAGTTGGGTTAATAGAATGGTGGAATGGCCTTTTGAAGTCACAATTACAACACCATCTTGGTGAAAATACTTTGTAGGGCTGGGGCAAAGTTCTCCAGAAGGCCGTGTATGCTCTGAATCAGCGTCCAATATATGGTACTGTTTCTCCCATAGCCAGGATTCAAGGATCCAGGAATCAAGGGGTGGAAGTGAAAGTGGCACCACTCACCATCACCCCTAGTGATCCACTAGCAAAATTTTTGCTTCCTGGTCTCACGACATTATGTTCTGCTGGCCTACAGGTCTTAGTTCCAGAGGGAGGAATGCTGCCACCAGGAGACACAACAACTATTCCGTTAAACAGGAAGTTAAGATTGCCACCTGGACACTTTGGGCTCTTCCTACCTTTAAGTAAACAGGCTAAGATGAGAGTTACAGCTTTGGCTGTGGTGATTGACTTGGACTATCAAGATGAAATCAGTCTACCACTCCACAACGGAGATAAGGAAGAATATGCAAGGAGTACAGGAGATCCATTAGAACGTCTCTTAGTATTACCATGCCCTGTGATTGAGGTCAATGGGAAACTACAACAGCACAATCTAGGCAGGACTACAAATGGCCCAGACCCTTTAGGAATGAAGGTTTGGGTCAGTCCACCAGGATAAAAACCATGACCTGCTGAGGTGCTTGTGAAAGCAAAGGGAATACAGAATGGGTAGTTGAAGAAGGTAGTCATCAACACCAACTATGACCACATGTCCTGTTGCAGAAACGAGGACTGTAATTGTCATGAGTATTTCCTCCTACTTTTGTTAAATACATGCTTGTGCATGTATACACTTGTATGAAGAAAATATCTTCATTTTATTTCCTTTTTCCTTTATCATGTGACATAATATTTATTGATTTCATATCAGCATTTAAGTATTGTTAACTTTTTGTAATAGTATTTGGTCAGGGGACCGGGGCATTTCTGGTTGTATGAAGGATAGTTGTATTATGTTAGGTGTAATTATGACCTTATTTTTGTCTTTATTTGAAGATTATGTATGATGTCGAGACGTGAATGAGTTCAAGTTGACAATGGGTGGACCTGTGATAGTTAATACTGAGTGTCAACTTGATTGCATTGAAGGATGCAAAGTATTGATCCTGGGTGTGTCTGTGAGGGTGTTGCCAAAGGAGATTAACATTTGAGTCAGTGGGCTGGGAAAGGCAGACCCACTCTTAATTTGCATGGGTACCATCTAATCAGCTGCCAACATGGCTAGATACAAAACAGGCAGAAAAATGTGAAAAGACTAGACTGGTCTAGTCTCACAGCATCTTTCTCCTGTGCTGGATGCTTCCTTCCCTTGAATATCAGACTCCAGGTTCTTCAGTTTTGGGACTCAGACTGGCTCTCCTTGTTCTCAGTTTGCAGATAGCCTATCATGTGAGTTAATACTTAATAAACTCATACACACACACACACACACACACACACACACACACACACACATATATATATATATATATATATATATATACACCCTATTAGTTTTGTCCCTGTAGAGAACCCTGACTAATAAAGTAACAATCAGTGTTATGTTATGTTATGGGAAAAAAATATTTGGCAAACATGTCTTCAAAGGTAACATGAGAGGCAGATCATGTACACAATGAACTCTTAGCTTTAGGGGATGAAGTTGGAAGACAGGCTACTAATGTGTATGTTGGTCATTGACTGCATTTCATCAGTTGTTGTAGGAAGCAATGAGATTAAAAAAGGACTTGCTGGGTTTGCAAGGAAGAGTTAACAGCACGAGAAACTGCAGAAACTTAAGGCCATGAAATCTTGGCAAAGACAGCTAATTTTACACCCAAAAGAGTGGAGATAACAATGAAAAACACTTTGAAAAACAACAACAACAAAAAAAAACTAATTAAAATTCAGTCTTATCAGTCTTATCTCTACGCATCTATTAGAATGGCTAAAATCCAAAACACTCACAATACCAAATGCTGGTGAGGATGTGGTGCAATAGGATTTTTTTTTTTTTTTGAGATGGAGTTTCACTCTTGTTGCCCAGGCTGGAGTGCAATGGCACGATCTCGGCTCACTGTAATCTCTGCCTCCCAGGTTCAAGGGTTCTCCTGCGTCAGCCTCCCAAGGAGCTGGGATTACAGGCGCCTGCCGCCACGCGTGGCTACTTTTGTATTTTGAGTAGAGACAGAGTTTCTCCATGTTGGTCAGGCTGGTCTTGAACTCCCAACCTCAGGTGATCTGCCCGCCTCGGCCTCCCAAAGTGCTGGGATTATAGGTGTGAGCCACCGTGCCTGGCCAGCAATAGGATCTTATTCACTGCTGTTAGGAATGCAAAATGTACATCCACTTTGGAATACAATTTGGCAGTTTCTTAGAAAACTAAATTTAGTCTTAATGTATAATTCAGCAATTCCACTTCTATGTATTTACCCAAATGATTTCAAAATTTATGTCCACACAAAAACCTGCACATGAATGTTTATAGCAATTTTCTATGTAATTGACAGAAATTGGAAGTAATGAAGATGTTTTTCACTAGATGACTGGATAAACAAACTGTTGTACATTCATACTATGAAATATTATGCAGTGATAAAAAGAAATAAATTATCAAGCCATGAAGAGATGAAGACACCTTAAATGTATTTTGTTAAGTGAAAGAAGCCAATCTTAAAAATGCTGCATACTGTGTATTTCAATTATATGACACTCTAGAAAAGGCAAAACTATGGAGACAGTAAAAAGATCAGTCGTTGTTGGGGGTTCAGCGAACAGACACTCACACAAACAAACACACACACACCCCTGACAGCATTTTAGCCATTAAGATTTTGAAAATGTATGGACAATAATTTCAGTTTTGACTGGAATTTTCTCTGGCTATTTGAGTAGCCTTGAAGTGGATGAGGCTTTGTAATTGGCTTTTTGCTTATTCTCAGGAAGGCCAAGGAAGTACTAGTTAAAATGAGAATGAGAATCTAAGACTGTTGTACAAATAATTTGCATAATTATGATTGCTAGTTTCATATACATTTTGGGAATCTTGAGGTATATATTTCCCTTCTTATTACTGTATTGTTTTTTAAAATAAATATTTACTCCTTGGAGGTTTTGTGTATGTGAGTATAAGTATATGCATGTGTGTGTGTGTGGAGGGGGAGTAATGTATTTATGTGTATTTGATCCAGAGTGCACGATGGTAAAAATTATGAAAAGTCTGTGCCAAGCAAATCACACTAAAGAGAGAGCTGAAAGAAAACTGGACTTTGATTGCTTAAGTACACATAGATATTGTAGTATGGTTAGAAGAAACCATACTTTGAAGTCAGGCAGACCGAGGTCTAATTTAGGTTTTGCTACCATGAGCCTCTAAAGTTTTGTTAACTTTAAGTCTTGATTTACTAATCTGCAACATAGGATTAGTAATTTATAGCTCATAGTATTACTGTGATAATTAAAAGATGATGTATGCAAAAGGCTTGGCTCATAGTAGAAGCTCAGAAGCAGGAACCATTGAAAGTGCTTGAAAAAACAGTGGAGCAAGTGAGAAAGTAGATCTAGAGAAACACACCCTTGCTTAGGGGAGCATAAAAATCTTGGTCCACGCTCCATGTAAATTCTTAGATATAAATGAATAACATTTTCTTATGTTTAGTCTTCATGAATAAATATTTACTAGGCAATTTTGCATTCCATACTACTCTAAGGTATATGTATTCAAAAGCATCTAATTCTTTTCTTTGTGATGTTTAGAAGAAGGTTGAGAGAGTGATTATTCACAAATCTAACAGATAGATGATACATAACAAACAGTAACAAAAAAGGGAGTGCACATTGACAAGTGAGGCCAGATTGCTATGATCCAGGAATGTTGGCAAAATCCAAGTGGAAGATGAAAGATTTGATCTCCGTTCTCAAAGAGGAAAATGGCTTAGATATGAGAATGTAGAACCAGAACACAGTAGAGGAGTAGGTGACTGATATTTGTTGAGTGATGCCATGTTTCAGGCACTATCAGCAAGTATCAACATATTTTGATAGGGTCTGATATAATGTTTGCAAACAAACAGATGGATAGATGGATTATATTGCTTTATCAACAATAAAATCTGGTTATTTTCATGTTAATAAATTTATATTTGTTTAGATAATTAGCACTTTCTTTTTGTTCTGGATATCGTATGTCCTATAACATTACAATACAATTTTATCATTATATCCTGTATAATATTGAGGAATGCCAGTTTGAATGGGGATCATTGATAATGAGTAATTTCTGTTTTGTCTGTCAAACATTTATTGGAATATTACCAAAGTCAGTATAAGTAATTATTACAATTTATTCTTACAGTGCTTGAACACATTATACATGGCTTTCATTTCTATATTCTTTAATGAGACATCTTCAAAAGGCGAGTACGTGTAGGTTGAGAAAAGTTATTGATTTTCCACATCATGAGTTATTTTTTTCAATTTTGTGTACATAGTTGCTTAATACTGCCTATCAATGGTGCTACAAAAATACTGTTGGAGTCTCTTTTTTCATCCTCTTGAAGGAAGTTTTTTGTAACTGTCAAATTAATTTTCTATAAGATGCATGTGACATACTGTCTTTCACAGGAGGTTTATATAAAATTTGTTTAGATCATCAATGGTTTTCCTCTAATTGGCTTAGCCTATTATTTTTACATGAGGTTATTTGGTTGTTTAAGTTTGTAGTTAAAAGCTGTATCTGTTGATTATTAGATGTTGCTGGCAGTTGGCCAACTGTCTCATGTCATACATATTAACGTTTTAAATTAGGCACAGTATTTACTGTTCGTTAAGTGTCTTATGTAAAAAATAGAAAATATATCCACTGCATATATTTATAATATAGGCACATGTAAAGAAGAAAATGAGTTACTCATAATTACATGACAGGGATAACTACCATTAACCTTTACATGCATTTTGAGAGTTAGACAGAAAATAGATAAATAGATGAAAAAATTACACTAATAATTTTAATTTTCTTGGTGACGTCACATTTAGACACACTTACTGGTGTAGGCATTAAAAAGTTAGCCTTGCAACAGGATTTGTCATCTAAATAGGATCATCCCCCAAAATCGCAGTCAAGAAAGCAGTAGACATACAGCTTTAAGAAAACATAAATGATCAAAACTGAATCTAATCTTATGTCCCCAAGAGGAGATGGGTGTGTGATATTCCAGTTGTAGTAGCAGATACATAATTTTCTAAATCCTATAATATTCAAATTCTCAGATAATACAGTTAGTAATCTGGCTTTTAATGGTATTAACATGTGATCTTCGAATTGCCAAGGTTGATAGGAATGAATGGCCTATCCAATAATATTTGGACTATTATTCAATAATTTCTTTCTAAAAAGATGCTCCTACAAATGTGGAAATGTGCAGGTGCTACCACATGGATGTAAGACAGAAAGAGAACATGTAATACAGAAAGAGAAGAAGCCATGTAGGGTGGATAGCTATGAGCCTCCTCTTCTGCTCTAAGCAGAGCCAGTCCACTTTTTTCTGCCTTTCATGTGTATTACTGTATTACATTGTTTTGAAGAATGGGCTTTTTTGCCAGCAACAAATATTTGAAAATTTTTGCATATATAGTTTGAATAGCTCTTACCAGTTCCTAAGTTGTCAAGATTAATTTTCATTGCTGTTGTTCCACTTCTTTTATAGAAATTTTGTGGTAAATGTCAATTCAATCTCTTTTCCAGTAAACATACTTCTAAGCTCAAATTGGTATATTTTTAACATGGTATATGGATGAGATAATGAGCCATGGAAGATGAAAACATGTATATACTCTTCCCTTCTATTATTTGGGGGAAAACTCACAGCACCATAAATTAGTGATAATAACATATTCATCTAGGGCTTCAAGGCATTCACATAGTATTTTAGGCATGGGAAAAGGGTGATCCTTTTCCTGCTCATGGAAAAAGGTCACAGTCGACACTCCTATAACAAAAAACAGGTCAACAAGAGAAAAGCATGATACATTTACTACTGTTACATGTACATGTGTGCATGGGAGTCATACAAAAAATGAACTCAAAGAGGGGCCAAATAGTTGAGGCTTAAATGTCCTGTTCATAAGGGAATAGGAAGTGGTTGGTGTACAAGGGAATGATTTTCAGGAAAAAGGAATAGACCCAACGCTCAGACAATGGTTAATTTGAAAAAAGTTTGTCTTATTATGAAGATAAAAATGTTTAGGTTATCTCTTGGAGCTGCCTTCAGATTAGATGGAAAGTCTGTCTGGGCATGATAATGACTTCCAGTGTCTTCTCTTCTCAGAGGATGAATGTTTTCTGCATATTTAATGAGGTCCCCAGGGAGGAAATCATCAGACAAGTGCATTTATTTTGGAAAGAAGCTTTCTTGGCCAAATAAGAAAATTCCAGAGGGTCCTTGCCTCTGCTTGGAGAAGGGTAACAAACTACGTTAGAGGGACCTTGATTTTGAGGTAGCTTCTAAGGCCTCTCAGAATGCTAATATGCCAGTCTTTGAGGAATTGCTTTCTGAGCCCCATCAGTATATATATGTGTGTGTGTGTGTCTGTGTATATAGTTTGTAGTTAAAAGCTGTATCTGTTTATTATTAGATTTTCCTAGCAGTTAGCCAACTGCATATATATATACACACACATATATATTTATATATATACACACACTTAGATATACTTATATATAAGCATATATAAGTATATATAAGTATATATGTTTATATATAAGTATATGTTTTTATATATAAGTATATACTTATAAGTATATATGTAAGTATATATAAGTATATACTTATAAGTATGTATCTAAGTATATATATAAGTATATACTTATAAGTATATGTTTTTATATATAAGTATATACTTATATATATGTAAGTATATATATAAGTATATATTTATATTTAAGTATATATATTTATATATAAGTTATGTATAAATATATACTCATATATTTATATATGTTATGTATAAATATATACTCATATATTTATATATGTTATGTATAAATATATACTCATATATTTATATATGTTATGTATAAATATATACTCATATATTTATATATGTTATGTATAAATATATACTCATATATTTATATATGTTATGTATAAATATATACTCATATATTTATATATGTTATGTATAAATATATACTCATATATTTATATATGTTATGTATAAATATATACTCATATATTTATATATGTTATGTATAAATATATACTTATATATGCATGTATAAATATATACTTATATATGCATGTATAAATATATACTTATATATATGCATGTATAAATATATACTTATATATGTGCATGTATAAATATATACTTATATATGTGCATGTATAAATATATACTTATATATGTGCATGTATAAATATATACTTATATATGTGCATGTATGAATATATACTTATATATGTGCATGTATGAATATATACTTATATATGTGCATGTATGAATATATACTTATATATGCATGTATGAATATATACTTATATATGCATGTATGAATATATACTTATATATGCATGTATGAATATATACTTATATATGCATGTATGAATATATACTTATATATGCATGTATGAATATATACTTACATATGCATGTATGAATATATACTTACATATGTATGTATGAATATATACTTATATATGTATGTATGCATACTTATATATGTATGTATGAATACATACGTATATATGTATGTATGAATACATACGTATATATGTATGTATGAATACATACGTATATATGTATGTATTCATACATACTTATATATATTTATGTATGAATACATACTTATATATATTTATGTATGAATACATACTTATATATATTTATGTATGAATACATACTTATATATATTTATGTGTGAATACATATATATATTTATGTGTGAATATATACTTATATATATTTATGTATATATACATATATATTTATGTATATATACTTATATATATTTATGTATATATACTTATATATATGAATATATACTTATATATTTATGAATATATACTTATATATATTTATGTATGAATATATACTTATATATATTTATGAATATATACTTATATATTTATGTATGAATATATAGTTATATATATTTATGAATATATACTTATATATACATAAATATATATTTTTACATATATATACACAAACACGTATATGGTTCTCATAATTTTTATCTGTGATTTTCCCTTTTTTTGTCTGAAAGCATTTCAAATTTGTTCTGAATTATCTTTTTTCAATAATAATTCTTTTCTGTTTATGTAATTTAGACCTAAACACTTCTATTCTATTTTAACTACTTCCATTTTCTGGTCTGACATATTAAGAACTTAGATGTCATCGCTCCCATCTTCACAACTAGAAAAACATTAAAAACATTAAATTTCTTAGACCCATTAGAGAACAGAGGTCACAGGGCAAACCACTGCCCCCACAACTGGAGAGACACACAAGAACAGAAAATCCCAGTTTACTAAGATTAGAAGCAACTGGTAGGAAAACTTAAAGGGTATTGAAAACATGCTGGACACAACATGGACCAGCTTGAGAGATTAAAAAGTCCTTAAAGAGGGCTCACACTTTCATGAGTTTTACCTCCAGGAGTTCCACCAAGTTCTCTTACGATGAAGGCAATAATCTCCTCATGCTTCTCTGGCAGGGAGAGGAGAAAAGTAATCATTTTTAAATATTCTGAGAGCACTCTGTTCTTAACAAAGGCTTGCCTTCAAGGGAAACTATTTTACCCGAGCCTAACCTATTTGGCACACAATGGAACATAACTGACCTGGGGGAAGGGAAATATCCAACTTCAGCCCTGTCTAGTCTCCCTGTCTCACCTAAAAGGGCTGAAGATAGCTGAGAAGCACTTATGAAGGTCACATATGGAAGCTCACTGAAAGACTGAGAGACTAATCATGGCACACTTTACCACCAAATCAATCAGGCTTCTGCATGATAACAGGGGATTACAACGGAAAGAACTGCCAGCCTCAAATGTTGTTTAAGAAAGAGCCCTGAGAATGATGGTTTCCAGCTTCATCCATGTCCCTACAAAGGACATGAACTCAACCTTTTTTATGGCTGCATAGTATTCCATGGTGTATATGTGCCACATTTTCTTAATCCAGTCTGTCATTGATGGACATTTGGGTTGGTTCCAAGTCTTTGCTATTGTGAATAGTGCCGCAATATCATTCTTAGCAAACGATCGCAAGGACAGAAAACCAAACACCACATGTTCTCACTCATAGGTGGGAATTGAACAATGAGAACACTTGGACACAGGAAGGGGAACATCATACACCAGGGCCTGTTGTGGGGTGGGGGGAGGGGGGAGGGATAGCATTAGAAGATATACCTAATGTAAATGACGAGTTAATGGGTGCAGCACACCAACATGGCACATATATACATATGTAACAAACCTGTATGTTGTGTACCTGTACCCTAGAACTTAAAGTATAATAAAAAAAGAAGAAGAAGAAAAAAAAAAGAACGAGCCCTTAGGAAACCCAAGGAAGCAGAGAGGATAAATGTAGGGACTCTAGAGGAGACTTTGGCCGCTGACTCCAAAGTTATAGCAGAAAGTTTAACTCTTACCCAGATCAACATAAAATCTCACACTAAGGCCAATTTATCTGAGTGTCTTTTCCACTAATATCATGTTTAGCTTTCAAGAACAAAAATTAACAGGAATGCTAAAAAGCAAAAACACAATCTGAAGAAACAAAGCATGCATCATAACCAGACTCAAATATGGCAGAGATTTTGGAATTACTAAACCAGGAATTTAAAATAACTATTATTAGTAGAAAAATGTACAAATGATGAGGAATATAAGCAGCGAGATGGAAACAAAAATGAAGAATATCTTTGAAGGGCTTTTCAGTAGACTGAACTCAACTAAGAAAATAACTGGTGAGCTTGAATATAAGTCTATAGAAACTTCCCAAACTGAAAATCAAAAAGAAAATTAGATTAAAATTTGAAATAGAATATCTAAGAATTGTGGGACAATTACAAAAAAAAGTTACATATGCATAATGGAGAAACTAGAAAGAGAAGAAAGAAATCGAAGTAATATTTGAACCAATAATGACTGAGAATTTTAATTAATAGCACACACCAAATCACAGATCAAGAAAGGGCAGAGAATACCAAGCAAAAAAGATACCTACCAATCTGTAGGTAGGCATATTCCATTCAAATTGCAGAAAATCAAAGACAAATATATAATCTTGAAGGAACCCATAGGAGAGGATAAAATACCTTATCTATAAGGACT
Source organism: Homo sapiens (assembly GCF_000001405.40). Lineage (NCBI taxonomy): Eukaryota > Metazoa > Chordata > Mammalia > Primates > Hominidae > Homo > Homo sapiens. The sequence goes on along the minus strand of NC_000012.12, from coordinate 81,924,928 downwards.
AAGAATAAGAATTACATTGGACTTTTCCTCAAAAGACATGCAAGTAAAAAGAATATGAATGACCACCAATACAGACTTATATATTCAGCACAATTATCCTTCAAAAGTGAAGGAGAAATAACGACTTTCTCAAACAAACCAAAAACTGAACCTATTTGTCACCTACCGTGCAAGATATATTAAAACACATTTTTCAGAGAAAAAACAATATAGGTGAGAAATTCGGAGCTACATAAAGAAGGAAGAGCATTAGGGAAGTAGTAAATGAAGATTAAAAATAAATATTTAAATTAATCTAATGGATAATAACTTGTTGACAGTAATAATAGTGACACCTTTTTGGGTGGTTATAGCTATGAATAAGTGAAATGAATGAAAGCAAGGTAGTAAGGAATAGGAAGGAAAATAGAGAATTCTTTGTTATAGGTTACCTGAGCCACTCCTAATGCAGTATGGTGCTATTTATCTCCCATACGAATGTTCATCAACCAAAAGCAAAGCTGGAGACATATACTTCCTGACTGCAAATTATATTATTACAAAGCTATAGTAATCAAAACAGTATAATACTGGCCTAAAAATAGACACATACAACAATGGAACAGAACAGAAAGTTCAGAAATATATTTGCATATATACAGTCAGTCAACTAGTCTTTGACAAAAGAGCCAAGAATACACAATGAGGAAAATAATAGCTTTTTCAAGAAATGTGTTAGAGAAACTTGATATCCAAATGCAAAAAAAAAAAATGAAATTTGATCGTTATCTTACATCATACTCCAAAATCAACTTAAATGAATTAAATATTTAAACCTAAGACCCCAAGTAGTAAAACTCCTAGGAGAAAGCAAAAGGAAAAACGTCTATGACACTCATGTTGGTAATGATTTTTTGGATATGACAACAAAAGCACAGGCAACAAAAGCAAAAGTAAACAAGTGAACTAAATCAAACTAAAAAGTTTCTTTTCAGCAAAGGAAAAAAATCTACAAAATGAACAGGGAACTATGGATTGGGAGAAAATATTTACAAACCATATATCCATTAGGTGGTTAGCAGTCAAACCATATAATTAACTCATACAACTCAATAGCAAACAGTAAAACAAACAAAAATAGAATAATCCAATTTTGAAATGGGCAGAGAACCTGAATAAACATTTTTTTTTCAAAGAAAAGATACAAATGGTCAACAGGCATATGAAAAGGTGCTCAACATCGCTAATTGAGAAAAATGCAATGCGAAACCATGAGATATTAACATACACTTGTTAGGATGGCTATTATCAAAAAGATGAAAGATAAGTGTTGGTGAGGTTGTGGAGAAAGGAAACCCTTGCGCATTTTTGATGGGAATGTAAATTAGTACAACCATTGTGATTTACAGTATGAAGTTTCTGCCAAAAAAAAAAAAAAAAGAAAAACCACACAACAAAACAATAGAACTACCTATGATCCTGCAATCCCACTTTTGGGTATATAGCCAAAAGAAATGAAATAAGTATGTGAAAGAGATAATTGCATTACCATGTTCATTGTGGCAGTGTTCATAAAAGCCAAGATATGGAATCAACCCAAGTGTTCTTTGACAGATAAATGGATAAAAAATGTGATACATATATACACAGACACACATATATATATATACACAATATTATTGTGAACTATTATTTAGTCTTGAAAAAGAAGGAAATCCTATAATTTATAACAACATGGATGAACCTGGGGGACCTTATGCTAATGAAATAAGCCAGCTACAGAGGGAAAAATAATGGACTGTTTCACTTTTATGTGGAATTTTAAAAAATCAAACTCATAAATGGAGACATCCTGGCTAACAGGGTGAAACCGTGTCTCTGCTAAAAATACAAAAAATCAGCCAGGTGTGATGGCACGTGCCTGTAGTCCCAGCTACTTGGGAGGCTGACGCAGGAGAATCACTTGAACTAAGGAGACGGAGGTTGCTTTGAGCTGAGATCACGCTGCTGCACACCAGCCTGGGTGACAGAGCGAGACTCCGTCACAAAAAAAAAAAAAAAAAAAAAAATACTTATAGAAGCAGAGAGTAGAAAGGTGGTTACCAGGAGTCAGGGATGGGAAAAAATGGGATGATGTCAGTCAAAGAGTACAAACTTGCAATTATAAATTGAGTGAGTTCTGTAGACCTAATGTACAGTATGTTCACTATAGCTAATTATAATGTGTTACACATTTGAAGTTTGCTAAAAGAGATCTTAAACATCTTCACCAAACCCACACAGGTAACCAAGTGAAGTGATGGATATATTAATTAGCTTGATTGTGGCAATTATATTACAATGTATAGATATATTAAAACATCTTGTTAGATGCACAATTTTTACTTGTCAATTATATCTCAATAAAGCTGAAAAATCAAAACCAAATGAAAACAAGACATAACAAGACTGCAATATCCACTCCTCTTTGAGTTTCCAGCTGGCCAGCCTTCCCTAGAAATTTTAGACTTGCCAGTACCCACAATTCCAAGAGTCAATTTCTTAAGATAGATCTCTCAATATGTATGTATGTATATGTCCTATTAGTTCTATATCTCTGGAGAATTCTGACCGATACAGCACATTTTAAAAATCATGTATGTATGTATGTATGTATGTATGTATTTGTTTATTTATTTATTTTTGAGATAGAGTCTCACTTTGTTACCCAAGCTGGAGGGCAGTGGCACGACCTTGGCTCACTGCAACCTCTGTCTCCCGGACTCAAGTGATGCTCCCACCTCACCCTCCCCAGTAGCTGGGACTATAGGCACCCACCATCATGCCTGGCTAATTTTTGTATGTTTTTGTAGAGAAAACGTTTAGCCATGTTGCCCAGGCTGATCTTAAACTCCTGAGCTCAAGAAATCCTCCTGCCTGGGCCTCCCAAAGTGCTGGGATTTAAAAGTTATTTAGGTGTAAGTTAAATTATCTCTAACATGAGAATAATAAAAGACACCTAAATCATAGTATTATTATGAATATAAAATCAGACAGTGCAATCAAATCACTTAGAAAAATATCAGATAAATCATAAGCACTTTATAAATATTAGCCTCCATTATTTTTACAGTATTCTGATTTCTAAAGCTAAAAAAAAATCCTGGTATAAGTTTATTATTTTTATCTCTTTCTATATCTCAATCTATTTTAATGTGTAATAATTTCACTAAGCTTTTCCTATAGCATGGCTCATGATATGGTTAAATTTTCCAGATACTGAGGGACTGATTCTCTTTTGACAACATGTTCATTGATTATCTCAACTCCTCAGGTAGACTGAACTCACATTTTAAGTCTTGAAACTATTGAGTGACTATAATGATTGTCTAGATAATGTTCACAGAAAATCTATGATCAAGGAAAAAAATGATAACAGACTCGCATCTTACTCCAACAAGCCTTTGGTCATTTTAGTCAAAAGTTTGGCTTACTGTTAAAAAATATTTAATGAGCATCTACTGTGTGTCAGGAGTTGTTTTACCAGCTGATTAAATAGCAGTAAGCAAAGCAAACAAAGTTCCATTTTCATAGAGGCTGCATTCTATATGGGGACTTTGTAAGGACTTTTGCTTTCCTCAGAAGGAAATCAGTAGCTATTGGAGGGTTCTGAACACAGGAGAGCTGTGTGTGGAAGCATAATTGGCAGTGTGTCCTGCTTCCATAATGAATAAGTTTGCCTGTCTAAACTTTACTTATGACATCGTGTCTGCCTGTTATAAGTAAAATAAACTCTTTGCACTCTAGATAAAGCAACAAACAAAAATTGGTCACCCTTTCTAGTTCTAATACTCCAAATAAATATATTTTTTTTGCATAAGTTACAAACTCCTTAGCAAAAAACAATTTTATCCCTGACTTGCATTGCTAATGTCTGAATATATGTGATGATTTTGTTGTCTAATCCCCACATGCTTGAAAACTGTTTTACTACCTTGAACAGATTAATTAATATAAATTTGGTAAACATACTCATCCTGCATTTTTCATTAAATCCTTTTTTTATTTGATTAAAATTGCATGATGAGGAGAAAGAAAAATTGATGGAACAATGTCCTTGAGTAAGTGTTGGAGCTTTACGATGTGTGCTGGTGCACAGTAACAACCAGCTTCCTAGGAAAAAGCCCTGATTTGTAGCATTTGCAAATATTTGTGGTATAAACACTCCCTCCCAAATTTGTGTTGTTTTGTTTGATTTAACAATGACCATAACCAGGAAAGGTAAATGAATGTATCTACATAAAAGTTCTTATTTATCCAGAATGAATTCTTTCCCAGCATTTTTTAGGAACATGTAAACGTCTGTCATCAACATTACTGGTACAATACCCACCTCTGCTAAGATGAAGCAGTGTGCATGCTCGCATCTTCTTTTTTTTAACTTCCAATAACTTTCCTCTCCATTCAAGTAGGAATAATATAACATAATAATAAAGCTATTATATTCATAATAAAGGCTCTAAGAGAATTCAATGAAACAGCACCATTAAATTCAGAGTCATTTCCACTCCAGCAAATCAGAATCTAAATTGATTGAAACAAAGCATCACAAGCTAATTTGGGGATTCTTGACATATCGGTCATTTCTAATGTGGTGCAAAATTTATTCAATCATCTTCCCTCAGTTTAAAATGAACATCATGTTTTATGTTTTGTACAACAGTAGTACAATTATAATAAATTTAGATGCTGATTGAAACAATTTCTGATTCCTATTTTTATAAATAGAAATTTTAACTATTGGTGGTAACCAACTCTAATGCTTTATTTTATTTATTTATATTCACTTATTGAACATATACTCCAGATGCTGTATGTGTCCCTGAGATAAAATGGTACACCACGTGGATATAGTCTCAGCATTAGAATACACTGGGGATTACAGTCTTACTATTTCATAATAGGTTTTAAAAGAGCACACAAAATGTATTGTTTATGTGTGTTTTAGGAAGATAAATAAAGAGAATTTTGGGTCATGTTACAGATTGAGCTTCCCAAGAGTGATATTCTCTGGAAGGATTTGCATGTAAAGTTTATTAAAGAGTATTTTCATGCCTGAGGAAGAAGGCAAGAAAGTAAGATTGCTCAAGGTAAAATTCGCAGTCTCAACAAAGGCTTCTGTCAACCAGAAGAAATTTTTAAGTTGATATGACCCTTCAGGGTTTTCCTGAGTTGAAGCAAGTGAGTGAGGCTTTAATGGACCTGCACAGATCAGTCATTAAATGCATGGTGGTCTGGGAAGGGGCCATGACCGTGGGTGAGGAGACTGTCTTCAACCTAGGCGATTCTCAAAGCAGACTATGTGATGGTCAGTTTTATATATTACCTTGTCTGTGTTATAGTCTTGTTATGCAAACACTAACAAATATGTTGCTGTGAAGGTGATTTCAGTTGTCCTTATGTAAGAAAGATTACCCTGGATAGTCTGGTTGAGCCTGATTCAATAAATTGAAAGACTTTTAGAACAAAACTGAGGCTTCCCTGAGAAAAAAGACATTCCACCTGTGAAAGGCAGCTTCAGATTATGCCCAGAAGATCTGGCCTGCCTTTCCTGATGGACTGTCCTACAGATTTTAGACTTGCCTTGACAGCCCCCACAGTTGTGTAAACTATTTTCTTGAGATAAATATGTGTGTGTGTGTGTATCTGTGTATATATATGTGTATATATGTATATATGTGTATACATATGTATGCATATGTGTGTATATATATGTATGCATATGTGTGTATATATATGTATGCATATGTGTGTGTGTATGTATGTATATATATATATATACATACATACATACACACACACATATACATACATAGTGCTGATTGTTTCTCTGGCTCAATCCTGACTGATATAGGCTGACAACTGAGAATTATCTACTAACAAAACATATATACACACACACACATACACACACACACACACACACACACACACACACACTACTGGTTCTGTTTCTCTGTTTGAATCCTGACTGATATAGGCTGACAACTGAGAATTATCTAACAAAATGACCAGTAGCTAGTTGATTAATCCTTCAGCCCAGAAGGTGTATCTGAGTTAGATATCACCAGGTTGCCTACATAGTAGTTAAATTACTTCTTGTTTTCTATCTCTTGCATTCAAATTCATACTTTCTGTCACTTGCCAAAAGGAGAAATATGGGGGAAGACTGAGAATAGCTATTATGCAATTATACTAGATAACAGTTTCATATCCAGGTTGCAGAAACCCAATTCAAACAGACTTCAACTCACATAAATTGAAAATCTGGTGATTCAGGTATGGTGAACCTAGGGGCTCAAATAAAATGGTTTTTTAAATTTCCATCCTTTATGTTTCTCCTCTGCATCCATCTGTGTTAACAATATTCTCACAATTTGCTAGATCCTCCACTGCTCAGGCCTTCATCAGCCTCTCACTAGCAAGTTCAATGCAAACAGACAAAGAAAACCAATCTGTGCATCAAGCATCCTGATGGTAGAATTAAGTTTTATTTTTCATGCTTAGATGACAAGACTTAACTCTGAACCAGTCACTATGATCAAGGAAGACAGAATATACTGATTGGCTAACAAAACCTGAGTCATTTGCCTACCATTGAAGACGGAGGTTTTAAATTTAAAGAAAGGGCAGCACCCGGAGCCTTGGTGGGCAGGTGATTGTAAGACAACTGCCTACACCTGGAAGCAATCATTGTAAACTAGAACAACATCCTCTCCAACATAAAAAGATGACAGGAAAGTGTGTCTGTTTCAGCCTGAACTCTAGAAGAAAAAAATAGGTCCTTTATTCATAATAAATACTGTTCAAATTTAGCTAACTCAAATCATCCTGGGTGAAACCAAGAAATTAATATTAAGAGTGGTCTTGGTCAGGCACAGTGGCTCACGCCTGTAATCCCAGCACTTTGGGAGGCCAAGGCGGATCACGAGGTCAGGAGATCGAGACCATCCTGTCTAACACAGTGAAACCCTGTCTCTACTAAAAATACAAAAAAATTAGCCAGGCATGGTGGCACACGCCTGTAGTCCCAGCTACTTGGGAGGCTGAGGCAGGACAATGGCGTGAACCCGGGAGATGGTGCTTGCAGTGAGCCGAGATTGCGCCACTGCACTCCAACCTGGGTGACAGAGAGAGACTCCATCTCACGAAAAAAAAAAAAAAAAAAGAGTGGTCTCAGGGCACCCAGACAAAGCAAAACCAAAATTTATCTGTGAGGAATTCAAGGTTGCTCAGTATTTCAAATATGAAGCCCAAATGAAGCGAACCCACTCTTAAAAATTACAAAACTCAAGAAGAAACAACTACATATGAGTGAGAGTCAGTCAATACAACAAATAATGAATTACACATGGGAAGTTCAAATAATAGAATTATCAGGTGTTTATTATTAAATAAGTATGTGTAAAATAAAGACAAAATTTAAAGTAAAACATTAAGGTCGGGCATAGTGGTTCACGCCTATCATTTCAGTACTTTGGGAGGCTGAGGTGGGAGGATCGCCTGAGCTAGGATTTCAAGACCAGCTTAGGCAACTTGGTGAAACCCCACCTCTACAAAAAATACAAAAGTTAGCTGTGCGTGGTGACATGAACCTGTGGTCTCAGCTACCTGGGAGGCTGAGGTGGGAGGATTACTAGAGCCTTGGGAGGTTGAGGCTGCAGTGAATAGAGATTGTACCACTGCACTCCAGCCTGGGCAACACAGTGAGACTCTGTCCAAAAAGAAAAAAAAAATGACAATGTTTCATAAAAAAAAATGTATTTTTAAAAGAACAAAATAAAACTTGTATAATTGAAGTATATAGTAATTGATATTCAAAGCTCAGTAGATGGATTGAACAGCCATTTAGTCACAACACAAGATAGAATTAGTGAATTGAAAAATAGATTGGAGGAAATTACCTAAAATACAGAACTGAAAATTAGAGAATTTCTGAGAAATTAATATAAATAGACGTTTCAATGTATATTGAATAGAAATTACATAAATAGAAACTAAAAGGAATGAGAAGCAGTAAGATTTGGAGGGATAATTTCCTAGTATTTATGAAAGACATAAATCCTCATATTCAGAAGCAAAATTGGTTCCTGAAGAGGAAAACCAAAAAATCAAAGTCATACCTAGACCCATTGTGGTAAAAATTGAGAGCATCAAAACCAAAGAGATCTTAAACTCAGAGGGAAATCAGATCAGTTACAAATGAAGGATAGCTTTTAGATAGTAAACTCTTCTTCTTAAAATCAAAAATCAAAAGAAAGTATAAAAATTAGCTTTAATGTGCTGACAGAAATACACTATCTACATAGAAGTATGTTCAGTGGTGTGCTGGAACCAGCTTTCTGGCTTATAAAACCAAATTGTTAAATATTTAAAAATTTTGCAAGTAAGTCATCAAACCAACTTCAAATGTGAGCCACAAAATAGAAAAAAAAAATTCCCATGGACAAAAAGAACCAAATATATTCTCCGTAATATTAGCTAAGAATTTTCCTGAATTGATCAAAGACTATTTCATATTCCAGAAACTCAACATAACTTAAGTAGAAAAAGCAAAAGGAAACACACTTGCAGACACATCTGAGTGACAATTCAGAATGCTAAAGGCAAAGACAAAATTATAAATGCAGCTGGCGGGGAAAAGGAGAAAAAGGAGTGTTAATCAGTTTAAGACTTTTAACATCACAAATGGAAGCCGTTAGACAGTGGAGTAATATCTTCAAAATTGACACTATTTAGAACTGTATGCTAGTTATATATTTGCATTTTAGATAACTCTATTTTAAAAAATGCTATCTTTTAATTTGAACTAAGGGCTATATATTTTATACACTTTAAAAAATAGGAATAAGTTATATGATTATTTTTGGTGTCACACTAAGCTTAGGGTGGGGTTTGGATTTTTAAAAATAATTTATCTCTTTATAAAATATGCTGACTTATTTTTTAACTTCTCTTTTAATTTGATTACATGTAATATATGTAAGTATATATGGCATACATAATATATAAGAATATATTATAATTTATAAGCATGTATTACATATGCATAATATATAGAGTTTTACCTCTAAAGAAATCATTGAATAAAAATCCTGTAATTATGTTCTCAAACTAAATATAATCTCAAATTTTATGAAAGCTTTTTAGATTTTGCTACGAATATCCTAAAATGTACCACTACATAGTATATTTTTAGTATAAAGAAGTAAAGAAGGTATAAAATGAATGATAAAGAATTCAGTTCTTTTTTTTTGTTAAATCCTTATATCATCTGAAAATACAAAAGTAATCTGAGGTTGCTAGCTAAAAAAAGTATTTATCGCATCAAATAAATTTGGCTTATTTGAATCCCTAACACTTTCTGGAAGTCTTTCTATATCTACAGCCTTTAACCAATTGGACAACCTGGTAATTGGAGTGGTGTATCCTACAGAGTAAATTCTGATGGGCATTATGAACACAATATACCCTCTTCTCTCCATATCTCATTTTTGTCCTTAGCTCTAAATTGCACTTTTCATGATAAACTACTGCTTTTTAATGATCAATTATGTGCATTTCATGATTGGTTTTTACTAATCCTCTGGTTAAAATTGTATATGGAAGGAATTTCATGAGTAGAACTATGGTACTCAATTCATATTTATATTCCCCTTACCCTGAAAAATCTAGAACATGAAATCTTCAGTGTTTATTTGACCTAATTACTTAAACATAACAAAATCAGTTTTTTGGAGATGAGGTAATCTATTATAACTTTCAGTAGGACTTTGCCCAACCCTAGGCTTAACCTAACCTAAAAAAAGTTAATAGTGTATAATTTATTCATATTTTTAAAGAAAATCATAAAATGCTTAATTTTTAATTAAATTTAAAACATTATTTCCTGGATAGGTTTAGCTAAAATATAAAATTTTATTAGAAGCATTGTCTAATTTCACCAGATATAGAAAAGTGATATTAGCATAAGAAAAGTATTGGAGTATTGAAGTATGTTTTACATAAGAAATGTTTGAAAATAAGTAAAGATATTTAATATGGAAAAGAAATAATTAAAAGACATAATAGCTGTCATCAAAGATTTGAGAGCTTTCATATGGAAGAGAAATTAGTATGGATTATAAGAAGAAAATTTTTAATTACTTTATGGAAGAAGCTTTTTAACAACCAGTCATTCAACATTGGAATCAGCTACCTCAAAATGAATAGTTTAAATGATGGCTGAATATCTGAAGTTATGATATAAAAAATTAGATGAGGTATAGAATTAGAGATCTGCAAGCGTATGTAGCAAGTATAGCACATTTTTGGAGTGTTTGCTCTACTGGAAAAAATAGGAATGATACAGAAAAATAACGTGGGGCAAGATAAATTTGTTTTTTAAGTTATAAAAAAATAGCAAGATTATATGTTAAGAAGAATGATGGTCTGGGAGGAAAGGGAAATACAGCAAATGGAGAAGGAGAAGGAGAGAGAGAGAGAACAATTGTAGGATAAAATGTCCATACTATGAAGCCAGCATGGTAGATTGTGCCTGCGCCTGTAGTGTCATCTACTATAGAGGCTGAGATGGGAGGATCACTTGAGCCCAGGAGTTTAAAAAAAGAAAAAGAAGACAATAAAAATAAAAAGCAGATGGGATTTAGGGCACAAGTGACAGATAAATCTTTGATAGAAGTGCAAGGAGTTCATTTCCTGTGATTGGCAGAGAATAGGAGTAGGTGCAGTAGATGGAGGTACACCATGGTGAAAGAACGAACATGCTCTAATGGCATCCGAATATCTATCTGCATCCTATTCCCTGAAAATTCTGAAAAAGTCTAATTTTTAAAATTTTGTTATTTCACAAAAGAGGAATAAAAAAGATCCGGAAACATGCCAATATTTACTGAATATATAGGACATTCGAGAGATTCATAAGAAACTTTACTTATGTTATTACATACTATCCTCATAAAGCCTCTAAAATGAAGGCATTATTGTATTGTTTAGGTACTAAATTAAGAGCCAGAGAGCTTAAAATCTTTGCCTACAATAACACACTCCTAGAAGTGACAAAGTAAGAATTTAGAATGAAAGTGTGACTGGCTTTAGATTCCATGTTCTTGCCGTAACTCATCATTGCCTGAATACTTGAAAATCACATGCAAGAAACCCCATTCAAACTGATCTCAATGAAAAATGAATACTAATATGTTTTTGAAATTTTTCCTAGGGCATGAGTTTCTTGATAATGACTTGAAGCAATTATTATAAGTTCTCTATTTTTAGTTTTCAAGAACTTGAGACCACATTGGCATTCTGGAAGTATTTAACAGACAATTCCTAAGAGAAGGAACTTAGAAGTTAATATGTATTTTTACTGTTCAAAATTTGTCTTAATTTGCTAACTCCATCATTTTGTTGCACAATTTTGATGCCTAATAGTTATTTATAACTTTTGAAATTGCCAACACACCATATGTTTAATATCAAATGGCACTAACTTCACAAAGTTTTGAATTTCAGGTAAAATATCTTGCATTTTAAAAACAGTGCAGGCCGGGCACGGTGGCTCATGCCTGTAATCCCAGTACTTCAGGAGGCTGAGACAGGTGGATCGCTTATAGCCAGGAGTTCGAGACCAGCCTGGGCAATATGGTAAAACCCTGTCTCTATTAAAAATACAAAAATTAGCTAGGCATGGTGGTACACCTGTAGTCCCAGCTACTCAGGAAGCTGAGATGGGAGAATCATCTGAGCCCTTGAGGTTGACGCTGCAGTGAGCCGTGATCACATCACTGTACTCCAGCCTGTGTGACAGAGTGAGACGCTGTCTCAAAAATGAAACAAAACAACAACAAAAAATAACAGTGCTGTGTGAAAAATTAATTACCTACATTGTGTAGAATACTAGTAATTCTTTTTCTATTGGTCTACAATAAGTATATCAGTTGTGCATTCTGTCATTTTATTAGTACATGGTCATTTATAAACCAACAGCTAAGCTTTAACAAAAATTGATTAATATTTTTTCTGCAAATTATCAATAATTTTCTTTTGTACTCTTAAGTGCATAACATATTCAACATCTGTGACCTTTCTTCTGTAATGTTAGCACATACATATATGATATTATTTGTACATAGGAAATTCAAAAATACTTGAGAAATCATTATAAATTGAAGAATAATCTCTACTCTGCTTTGCCTAATTATTATTAACATTGATAAATCTCAGTAAAAAAATCAGAAATATATATATCATGAGAAGAGATTTTGCTATATGTAAAGTTAGCAGGTTGCAAAATAATTTAAAACAAATAACAGAAAGATGCTTACTAATATTATACATAACCCCAGACCCTCACTTTTTTTAGTAATCAAAACAAGTAACCAAGACAGAACAGGCCTTTGAAAATGTTAAAATGTTAAAAATGCTTACCATTCAGAACATAGGCATGGGCAAGGACTTCATGTCTAAAACACCAAAAGCAATGGCAACAAAAGCCAAAATTGACAAATGGGATCTAATTAAACTGAAGAGCTTCTGCACAGCAAAAGAAACTACCAACAGAGTGAACAGGCAACCTACAAAATGGGAGAAAATTTTCGCAACCTACTCATCTGACAAAAGGCTAATATCCAGAATCTACAATGAACTCAAACAAATTTACAAGAAAAAAACAAACAACCCCATCAAAAAGTGGGCAAAGGATATGAAGAAACACTTCTCAAAAGAAGACATTTATGCAGCCAAAAAACACATGAAAAAATGCTCATCATCACTGGCCATCAGAGAAATGCAAATCAAAACCACAATGAGATACCATCTCACACCAGTTAGAATGGCAATCATTAAAAAGTCAGGAAACAACAGGTGCTTGAGAAGATGTGGAGAAATAGGAACGCTTTTACACTGTTGGTGGGACTGTAAACTAGTTCAACCATTGTTGAAGTCAGTGTGGTGATTCCTCAGGGATTTCTAGAACTAGAAATACCATTTGACCCAGCCATCCCATTACTGGGTATATACCCAAAGGACTATAAATCATGCTGCTCTAAAGACACATGCACACGTATGTTTATTGCGGCACTATTCACAATAGCAAAGACTTGGAACCAACCCAAATGTCCAACAATGATAGACTGGATTAAGAAAATGTGGCACATATACACCATGGAATACTATGCAGCCATAAAAAATGATGAGTTCATGTCCTTTTTAGGGACATGGATGAAATTGGAAATCATCATTCTCAGTAAACTATTGCAAGGACAAAAAACCAAACACCACATGTTCTCACTCATAGGTGGGAATTGAACAATGAGAACACATGGACACAGGAAGGGGAACATCACACTCTGGGGACTGTTGTGGGGTAGGGGGAGCAGGGAGGGATAGCATTAGGAGATATACCTAATGCTAAATGATGAGTTAATGGGTGTAGCACACCAGCATGGCACATGTATACATATGTAACTAACCTGCACATTGTGCACATGTACCCTAAAACTTAAAGTATAATAATAATAAAATAAAAAAAAGAAAATGCTAAAGTTTCTCAAAAATAAAATGTTCATTTTATATATATATATATATAGTGATATATGAGACCATATATAGTGATATATGGGACGAGTAGAGATGTTTTCAAAAACACAAGTTGTAACAATTAGAAACATTCATATAAATTATTTTATGCTAAACATTCTAGATGACACATTATAGGAAGACTGGATTATGCTGATTTTTAGAAAAAAAGAATATTGATTTTATTTCTGGCAAGCAGTTAGGTGGATCCTTTTCAACTTATCAGGATTTTATTTTTTACTGGGCAGTGTATTTCAGTTTTATTTTTACTCCTAGGGTGTAGTCTCACTCTTTGCATTGTCCCTACTGTTAAGATTTAGACTTTCAGGGGTCTAAATCTTTTCTGGGTGATGGTGATGCTATGGAGATCTCCTGATTCTATTTTGTTCAATAACATATCTCTACTACTTTCATTTCCAGCTATGATAGGCTAATTGGATTGGTGCTGGACCTATTTAGAATAATAAGTATTTCTAAAACTGGACAAAATACATGACTAGCAGTTTTCCTGAATTGAGGATCACATGTTAGAATTAAGGCTGCTAAAGTGGCTGAAAAGTCAAGGCTGATGATGATAATCCAGTATTCTATGTGGGGGTCACTGATTGGTCTTTCATCCATGGCTGGGCTACAAATACAAAGGGTAAGACCTAGTGCTGCAGGGCTGAATTATGATGCCAGTTATTACACTACAATATTTCCGCTTGACCAGATTGAATCAATACAATTATTCTCAAACTATTAAAAAATAGGAGCAGTAGGAATTCTCTTTACTAATTCTACAAGGCCAGTATTACCCTGATGGCAAAACCAGACAAGAACACAACAACAAAAAAATAAAACTACAGGCCAATATTCTTGATGAACATACATGCAAAAATCCTCAGAAAAATACTAGCAAATCAAATTTAACAGCACATTAGAAGACTTACTTACCATGATCATTTATCCCAGGGACGAAAGGGTTGTTAAATAAAAACAAATGTATAAATGTGATACACCATGTTAACAGAATGAAGGACAAAAATCATATAATCATCTCATTAGATGCAGAAAAGTCATTTGACAAAATTCAACATCCATTCATGATAAAAAAAAATCTCAACAGATTTAGTATAGAAGAACTCTACCTCAATACAATAAAAACCATATACACATGACAAGCCAGTAGGTAGCATTATACTTAAAGGTAAAAAGATGAAAACTTTTATTCTAAGGTCAGGAACAAGGCATGGATGCCCACTCTCACCATTTCAATATACTACTGAAAGTCCTTTCCAGAGCAATTAGGCAAGAAAAAAATAGAAAGTATCCAAATAGAAAAGAAAGAAGTGCAATTGTCACTGTTTGCTGATGACATGACCTTATACATAGAAAACCCTAAAGACTCCAAAAAACTGTTAGAATTAATACATGAACACAGTAAGGTTGCAAGATACAATCAATATACACAAATCAGTTGTGTTTGTATACAGTAACAATGAATAATCTAGAAAATAAATCAAGAAAACAATCCCATTTACAATAGCTACAAAAGTTATTATACTTAGGGATAAATGTAACCAAGGAGATAAAAGAGCTGTACGCAGAAAATTACAAAGCTTTATAGTTGAATGCTTTATAATCCTTTGGGTATACACCCAGTAATGGGATTGCTGGGTCAAATGGTATTTCTAATTCTAGACCCTTGAGGAATCACCACACTGTCTTCCACAATGGTTGAACTAATTTAAACTCCCACCAACAGTGTAAAAGCATTCCTATTTCTCCACATCCTCTCCAGCATCTGTTGTTTCCTGACATTTTAATGATCATCATTCTAACTGGCATGATGGCACCATTGTGGTTTTGATTTGCATTTCTCTAATGACCAGTGATGAGCTTTATTCATATGTTTGTTGGCTGCATAAAAGTCTTCTTTGGAGAAGTGTCTGTTCATATTTGTTGCCCACTTTTTGATGGGGTGGTTTGTTTTGTCTTGTAAATGTGTTTAAGTTCTTTGTAGATTCTGAATATTAGTCTTTTGTCAGATGGATAGATAGCAAAAATTTTCTCTCATTCTGTAGGTTGCCTGTTCACTCTGATGATAGTTTATTTTGCTGTGCAGAAGCTCTTTAGTTTAATTAGATCCCATTTGTCAATTTTGACTTTTGTTGCCATTGCTTTTGGTGTTTTAGTCATGATGTCTTTGCCCATGCCTATGTCCTGAATGGTATTGCCTAGGTTTTCTTCTAGGGTTTTTATGGTTTTAGGTCTGACATTTAAGTCTTTAATCCATCTTGAATTCATTTTTGTATAAGGTGTAAAGAAGGTATCCAGTTTCAGTTTTCTGCATATGACTAGCCAGTTTTCCCAACACCATTTATTAAATAGAGAATCCTTTCCCCATTGCTTGTTTTCATCAGGTTTGTTGAAGATCAGACAGCTGTAGATGTGTGATGTTATTTCTGAGGCCTCTGTTGTGTTCCATTCGTCTATAAAGACACATGCACACATATGTGTATTGCGGCACTGTTCACAATACCAAAGACTTGGAACCAACCCCAATGCCCATCAATGATAGACTGGATAAAGAAAATGTGACACATGTACACCATGGAATACTATGCAGCCATAAAAATGATGAGTTCATGTCCTTTGCAAAGACATGGATGAAGTTGGAAACCATCATTCTTAGCAAACTAACACAACAACAGAAAACCAAATACCACATGCTCTCACTCACAAGTGGGAGTTGAACAATGAGAACGCATGAATATGCGGGGTGGGGGGTCATCACACACCAGGGCCTATCAGGGTGTTGGGGGTCTGGAGGAAGAATAGCATTAGGAGAAATACCTAATGTAGATGATGGGTTGATGGTTGCAGCAAACCATCATGGCACATGTATACCTATGTAACAAACCTGCATGTTCTGCACATGTACCCCAGAACTTAAAGTATATATATATAAAAGAATAAGTTTAAAAGGTAAGAGAATAAGGTAAATAAATTATGCAAAAAAATGAAAAGAAGAAAATTACAAAACTTTGATGAAATTGAGAAAGATACTAATAAATGGAAAGCTATTTTGTGTTCATTCGTTGTAAGAGTTAAGATTGTTAAAATGTTCATACTATCAAAAGCAATCCACAGATTCAATGCAATCTCTGTTGAAATTCCAATTTCTCACAAAAACAAACAAAATTCAAAAATTCATATAGAACCAAAAAAATAACCAAGGCAATTTTGAGCAAAAAGGACAAAGCTGGAGGCATCATGCTAATTGACTTCAAACTTTATTACAAAGCTATAGTAATTTTAAAAGCATGATACTAGCATAAAAACAGACACAAAGACCAATGGAACAGAATAGAGAGCCCATTAAAATGCATGAATTTACAGTCAACTGAATTTTGACACACACAAAAATATTTGGTAAAGTTTCCAAGAACACGCAATAGGGAAGAACAGTTTCTTCCATAAATGATATTGGGACAACTGTATATTCACATATAAAAGAATAAAATTGAACTTTGATCTCACATCATATACAAAAATTAAATCAAAATGGATAAAAGGCTTAAAAGATCTGAAACTGTGAAACTACTAGAAGAAAATAAATGGAAAATTATATGACATTGATGTAGGCAATAATCTTTTGGATTTGTCCTCAAAAGCTAGGCAACAACAACAAAGAACTAGACAAATGGGATTATATTAAATTAAAAGGTGACTGCACAGCAAAGAAAATAATTAGCAGATGTGATGGTTAATACTGTGTCAACTTGATTGGATCAAAGGAATCAAAGTATTGATTCTGGATGTGTCTGTGAGAGTGTTGCCAAAAGAGCTTAACATTTGAGTCAGTTGATGGGGGGGAAGGCAGACCCACCCTTAATCTGTGTGGGCACAATCTAATCAGCTGCCAGCGTGGCTAGATTATAAGCAGCCAGAAAAATGTGAAAACAGAGACAGGCCTAGCCTCCCAGCCTATATCTTTCTCCCATGCTGGATGCTTCCTGCCCTCGAACATCACTGGACTCCAAGTTCTTTAGTTTTGGGACTTGGACTAGCTCTCCTTGCTCCTCAGCCTGCAGATGACCTATTGTGGGAAGTTTTGATCATGTGAGTTAATACTTAATGAACTCCCCTTCATATATATAATATGTAAGTATATATAAAATATATATAAATGTATATATAATATATAAATATATATAATATATAAATGTATATATAATATATAAATATATATAATATATAAATGTATATATAATATATAAATATATATAATATATAAATGTATATATAATATATAAATATATATAATATATAAATGTATATATAATATATAAATATATATAATATATAAATGTATATATAATATATAAATATATATAATATATAAATGTATATATAATATATAAATATATATAATATATAAATGTATATATAATATATAAATATATATAATATATAAATGTATATATAATATATAAATATATATAATATATAAATGTATATATAATATATAAATATATATAATATATAAATGTATATATAATATATAAATATATATAATATATAAATGTATATATAATATATAAATATATAAATGTATATATAATATATAAATATATAAATGTATATATAATATATAAATATATAATATATATAACAAATACATATAGGGGAGTTTATTATATAAAATATATATATACTTTTGATCATGTGAGTTAATACTTAATAAACTCACCTTTATATATATATTTCATTAGTTCTGTCCGTCTAGAGAGCCCTGACTAATACAACAGGGAAAAGGGGCAACCTATGCAATGGAAGAAAATATTCGTAAGCCATACTTCTGAGAAAGGGTTAATATCCAAAATATATAAGGAACTCAAACAACTGAATAGTAAAAAATAATAATAACTCAGTCAAAAAATGGGCAAAGAACATGAGTAACCATTTCTCAAAAGAAGACATATAATGGCCAAGATATATATTTAAAAAGGTTCAATATCAATAATTATTAGGGAAATGCAAATTGAAAACACAATATCACCTCAAGCCTCTTAGAATGGCTATATAAAAAACATGAAAAATAAATGTTGTCAAGGGTGTGGAGAAAAGGAAACCCTTATACATTGTTGGTCGGGATGTAAATTAGTACAACGATTATGGTAAATGTTTCCTCAAAAAATTAAAAATAGAGCCACCATATGACTTCTGAGTGTATATCCAAAAGATTTGAAATCAGCATGTGAGATATATCTGTATTCCAATGTTTACTGCAGCATAATTCACAATAGCCAAGTTATGGATTCAACCTAAGTGTCTATAAGCTGATTAAAAAAAAAAAAGGAACAAATTGTGGTGTATATACATAATGCAATGCTATTGAGCCTTAAAATAAAAAGGAATCTTTGTGGCACATATACACCATGGAATACTATGCAGCCATAAAAAAGGATGAGTTCATGTCCTTTGCAGGGACATGGATGAAGCTGGAAACCATCATTCTCAGCAAACTAACACAGGAACAGAAAACCAAATGCCACATGTTCTCACTCATTAAGTGGGAGTTGAACAATGAGAACACATGGACACAGGGAGGGGAACATCACACACTGGAGCCTGTCGGGGGGTGGGGGCCTAGGGGAGGTGTGTCCAGAGTTGGTTCCTGCCAATGAGTTTCTGGTCTCGCTGACTTTAAGAATGAAGCTGTGGATCTTTGTGGTGAGTGTTACAGCTCTTAAAGATGGCATGGACCCAAAGAGTGAGCGGTAGCAAGGTTTATTGTGAAGGGCAAAAGAACAAAGCTTCCACAGCACGGATGGGGACACGAGCAGATTGCTGCTGCTGGCTGCAGTGGCCAGCTTTTATTCCCTTATTTGTCCCCTCCCATGTTCTGTTTCTGTCCTATCAGAATGCCCTTTTTTCAATCCTCCCTGCAATTGGATACATTTAGGATCCTGCTGATTGGTGCATTTTACAGAGTGCTGATTGGTGCATTTTACAGAGTGCTGATTGGTGCATTTTACAATACCCTTCCTAGCTACAGAGAGCTGATTGGTGCATTTTACAATCCTCTTGTAAGACAGAAAAGTTCTCCAAGTCCCCACTCGACTCAGGAAGTCCAGATGGCTTCACCTCTCAATCCCCTCTCTAAGCAGGACACCACAACTGCTGTTGGGGATTGGGCAATGACCACTCTAGATACTTCCTGCTGGATAGAGGTGAAGAGGGGGCCCTGCAGTTATAGTGTCCTCCAGAGGGGAACTCTCTAAGCCAGTGGGTCAGTCCAGGGGCCTTTGTAGAAGTTGTGAGTTGAGCTCATTTGGGGTTCCATTTATAAGACCATCTATAGCTTGATGGCCTCAATGCTGGAGGAAACAAATTTGACAAGGAGGTTAAAAACACAGTGCCTAAAGGTGAGTAATAGCAAGATGGCTGTCATGGGACCTAGAAAGGGGAGAAGCCATGTCGCCCAACTCCAGAGGTTGGAATAAGAGTTTGAAAGGCGTTGTCTGATTTCACAAGCCTTTTCCTGTAAACGCTGGGTGGTGTCTCATACTATCCCTGACTGGTTAGTGTAAAAACAACACTCTTCCCCTAAGAAGGTACAAAGCCCTCCTTTCTCAGCAGTGAGGAGGTCTAGGCCTGAGCGGTTTTGGAGAGTCACTGCTGTCAAAGAGTGTATTTGGGATTGTAGCATAAGGATAGATTTTGTTATTTCTTGTAAACTGTCTGAGAAATCCTTTGAGAGTTTGTGCCAGTAGGATAATGAAGTAGATAAACTGGCTATTCCAGTGCTTTGAGGGGCACTGATAGGGCTTGATTTCCTGGGGCAATGTCAATGTTGGGACTTAGGAAGACTAAGGTGCAGGTGCCTGTCCAGTTGGTGAAGAGGCAGATATAGGTTGAAGTTCCACATAAGAAGAACATGCCTTGGCTGTGTAGACAGAACTGGTTGTGTATGTCAAAAAGGGGTGTGAGTTTGTTGTTTTCATTTTCCCATACTCCTAGAGTACTTGCCAAGGTAGCTCCAGTGAGTGGCTGGAAAGGGGTGTTGAGAGCAAACTGAGTGGCTCCCTGCGTTCTATTTTCCCATTGGAGAAAAAACTGTTTTGTATCTACTAGGAACCATTCAAGAGAGTGATTGAAAGAGGGGATGAGAAGGCATTCATTGGTGGGGGTGCTGCTGCAGGGGGTCCAGGGGTGAATGGTCATGCAGGGAGTATGTTTGCCATTACAAAACCTAGACTGTTTGCTAAGCAGGGAGGAGGTGATGATTTTTGGAGGCCCTGAGAAGCAGACAAGCCATCTGAATGGAACTGTTTGGGTGACTTGGAAGTTATTATGATCAGTTGGGGCTTGAAGTTGTAGGGTGTAATTACACTGATGGGATAGTAGGTGCCCCAGGGGCAGGCCTGATAACAGGTTGTGTTGGATGCATAAAAGGGCTTGGAAAGTTCAGATGGTATTCGTGGTTACAGGGCCATGTATGGGCTTTTTATTGCTCATGTAAAAGGTGAGGTTGAAAATGTAAGAGCATAAAAGCTGGATTTCGCATCCTGTTAGGGTATTTTTGGTCCTATCAGAGATGGGAAGTCAGCTAATAATTGCATATTTAGAAGTTGGAAAGGGTCTTTTCCTTCATAATGGGGGTGGTAAGTTAAGTTAGTAAAGACCCGGTTTTTTACAGGAACGGGAGTGGCAACAAAAGCAGTTGCTGATAGGGAGATACAAAGCCAACAGTTGTTTGCCAGGGAAGGATTGGACTGTTTTAACAGAGAGTGGGTTAAGTTGAGAGGCTTGTAGAGGTAATTAGGAGCTAGTAGAAGGGGAGAGGCAACTGTGTGGAGTATCCAAGGAAGCAGAAGGGATAGATAGGTAAAGAATAAGTAGGAAGGTAAAGAGGTAGCCCTGGAAGGTGAGATCATTTTATACAGTCTGAGTTAAAGGTAGGAGTAAATTGCTGTCAGAATGAAGGATGATAGAAAAAAGGTTGATGCGATTAGGATTTTTGTCCTGGCAAGAGCTACCATACATAGTCCTACTGCAAAGAGTATGGTTAGTATACTGCTTAATAATGTGATGAAACAGTAAAAGGATTCTGCTAAAGGGTCAAGGAGAGTTGTTAAAGATTATATAGGTTTTCACTTATCTTTTTTAAGTAAGGAGGTTTTCCACAGGATCAGCTGTAGGAGCCTTTTTAGTCTGGGATGTTTCCTTCTGAAATAGGAGACACAAGTTCTCCAATGGTTCACAGATGTATCGAGCCTGGTCTGGCTGATCTTGGGGCTCCTGAGCTGACGGTGCTGCAGGTTCTTCAAGGGGTGTCCAAAGTTTAACTCAGGTGTGGTTAATCCAAGTTTCCACCCCTGCCACCTTAACTGCAGTGGGGGTAGAGAGGATTACCAAGTATGGTCTTCCCACAAAGAATCCATAGATGGGGAGGTAGAGGGGAGGGATTTGACCAACACTGGATCTCCCAGTTGAAACAACTCTGTCCCCTTTTCTCTGTGACATCCTTCAGGTAGGTTTTTAAAGTTTTGTTGATATTTTGCCAAAGAAGTTATATCCTTGACCAAGTTGACCATTTCCTGATCAAGTAGGAGGTCATTTGTGAGAAAAGGTCATCCATACAGCATTTCATATGGACTGAGCCCTATTTTGTGAGGAGAATTTCAGATTCTCAACAAGACCATGGGCAAAAGAGTAGGCCATGGGAGATGAGTTTCTTGTGTTAGTTTCCTTAAGTGCCTCTTGAGTGTTTCTTTTGCCTTCTTGACCTTCCCTGAGGATTGTGGCCTCCAGGTGCAGTGAAGGTGATATTATATCCCTAGCACCCAGGAAATTCCCTGAGTTATCGTGACTTTAAAAGCTGGACCATTTTCACTTTGTGAGCTTTGGGGAAGCTCAAATCTAGGAATTATTTAATGAATTAGGACTTTAACCACTTCCTGAGCCTTCTCTGTCTTGCAGGGGAAGGCTTCTATCCAATTTGTAAAGGTATTAACACAGACCAACAAGTATTGAAATTCCCTTGACTTAGGCATATAGGTGATGTCTAATTGCCAGTCCTCTCCTGGATAGTGCTCTATTATTGTTCCCCGAGAGGGGCCTTATGATGGACCAAGGGATTATTCCTTTGGCACACCTCACAGGCTTTGACTACTTGTTGGATGGTCTGGAGGAGATTTGGCCCTGTAAATAGGGCCAAATTTGATGAGTGTTCTTAATACCCATATGAAAATTTGGTGGAGAGTCTTAAGGATTTTCCACTGCCTGGCTTTGGGTATGATTACCTTTCCCTCTTCTGTTGTTAACCACCCTGAGGGGAGAAAACTATTCCCCTGTGAATGTCCCCATTCTATTTAGGTTGGGGAATACTGGGGCTTAATGTCTTGGAGAGGGTTATTCCATACCAAGGGTCTTTCCATAGGTATTTCTAATGGGAGGTTCTGCCTGGCAGCAATTTTGTCCTCAGTGTCTGCCCCATAGTTTCCTTCTGCCTTTTCTCCTTTACTTTTTTGATGCCTTTGGCAGTGTAAGACTGCCACCTCCTTGGGTTTTTGCACTACGTGCAACAACTCCATGATTTCCTTGTGGTATAATGGGGGTTCCCCCAGAGGCTAGTAATTCCCTTTCTTTCCATATTGCAGCATGGGCATGTAGGATTAGATAAGTATACTTACTATCTGTATACACATTTATCCTTTCCCAGTTCTAAGGCTCGGGTAAGTGCCAATCATTCTGCTAACTGGGCACTGGTCCCTGGGGGAAGAGGCTTATTTTCAAGTACTGTTACATCACTATCTATGGCATAACCTGCCCTTCATATCCCATTCTCCGCAAATGAACTTCCATCAGTGTATAGGTTAAGGTCAGGATTAGCTTAGGGGACTTCTAAGGATCTCTCGGGCAGCATAAGTCTGGGCTAAAATTTGTTGGCAGTCATGCTCTATTCGTTCTCCATCTTCTGGGAGAAAAGTGGCAGGGTTGAGGGCCACACACGTGTGTATTTGAAGCACTGGTCCCTCAAGGAGTAGTGCCTAGTATCTAAGAAGGTGGTTGTCTGATAGTCATGAATTTCCTTTGGCACCTAGTATACCATTTACATCATGAGTAGTCCAGACAGTGAGATCCTTTCATTGTATTATTTTGATAGCCTCTGATACTAAGATGGCCACTGTCACAACTACCCATAAACAGTGAGGCCAGCCTTTTGCTACTACATCAATTTCCTTACTTAGGTATGCCACTGGTTGTGGGGTTGTCCCATGAGTCTGAGTAAGGACTCCAAGAGCTATTCCTGCTCTCTCTTTGGTGTATAAAGAGAAGTTTTATCCTATGGGAAGGCTTAAGGCTGGAGCTTGTACTAGGGCCTGCTTTAAGGTGTTGAAGGCTGTTTCTGCCTCTGGTTCCCATTCTATTAGATGAGTATTTGCCCTCTGGGTAAATAGTCCTTGATTAGAGTATAGAGTGGCCTGGCCATCTTGCTGTATCTGGGGATCCATAGTTGGCAAAAGCTGGTGATCCCAAGGAACCCCTGCAACAGTTTTAATGTCTTAGGGTGAGGACAAGCCAGTATAGGCTGTATTCATTCTTTGCTAAGGGTCCTGGTTCCTCTGGCTAAGATTAGGCCTAGATATTTGCTTGTTGTAGGCAGGGCTAGGCCTTTGATTTAGACACCTTGTACCCTTGATTAGGTAGAAAGTTCAATAGATCTAGAGTAGCCTGCTGGCATGAGGCTTCCGAACTGGTAGCCAAAAGTAAATCATCCACATACTGAAGGACCAGAGTGCCTGGACTTGAGAAATGGCCTAGATCTTGGGCCAATGCCTGATTAAACAGATCAGGGCTATCCCTAAACCCTTGAGGCAAGACCGTCCACATAAGTTGGGACGTGTGGTCTGTGGGATCCTCAAAAGCAAAGAGAAACTGAGAGTCAGAGTGCAGGGGAATGCAGAAGAAGGCATCCTTGAAGTCCAGAAGAGTGAACAATTCTGCTTCCTGTGGTATTTGAGAGAGAAGGATATAGAGGTTGGGTACAGCTGGATATAGAGGAATAACTGCCTCATTGATGAGTCTAAGATCTTGCACTAGTCTCCACTGATCATTCGGTTTTTGTACTCCTAGAATTGGGGTGTTGCAGGGACTGTTGCATTTTCTTACTAAGCCTTGAGGTTTTAAATGTCTAACAACATCCTGTAATCCTTTATGAGCTTCAGGCCTTAATGGATATTTCCTTTGATACAGAAAAGTGGTGAGGTCTTTTAGCCTGATTTGAACAGGGTGGGTATATTTTCCTTTCTGAATTGTCCTTCCAATGCCCAGACTTCAGGGTTGATTCCCTCCTCAAATAGAGGACAACAAATGGGTAACTTGTTCCCCATATTCATGTAGATAATAGCCCCAGCTTTGGCTAATATGTCCCTCCCTAATGAGGGTGTGGGACTTTTAGGCATAACAAGAAAGTCATGTGAAAAGAGCGAAGTCTCCAATTACAACTGAGGAGGTGGGAGAAATACCTGGTTACAGGCTGTCCCAGGATTCCTCGGATGGTAATGGACCTTGAGGACAGCTGTCCAGGACAGGAGATTAACACTGAGAAGGCCATGCCAGTGTCCAGGAGGAAGTCAATTTCCTGACGATCAATGGTTAAACATACCCGGGGCTCAGTGAGGATGATGACATGAGCTGGCACTTGCCCCAGACACCCTCAGTCCTGTTGTTGGATCATCTGGTTGGGGGCTTCTGACCCAGAGAACCTTTGTCCTCTGGGGCAGTGCACCTTCCAGTAATTGCCTTGGCATTGTGGACGTGGGCAAGGGGTCAGCTTGTTTCTCGTTGGACAATCTTTTTTAAAGTGTCCTTGCAAACCACACTGATAACAAGCCCTACCAGGTGACTGGCCTGCTCCATTTTCTGTCCCCTCTGAACCACCAAGGCTTGTTTGCCTGAGGGCCATGACTAAGGCTGTGGCCTTTCTCTTATCTACCTTTTCCTTTTCAGCCTGTTCCTCTTGGTCCCTATTATAGAACACCAAGGATGCCAGGTTTAATAATGCCTCCAGATTTTGTTCAGGGCCCAGGGCTTGCTTTTGGAGCTTTCTCCTGATATCTGCAGCTGATTGGGTAATGAACTTATCTTTTAGGATCAATTGACTTTCAAGGGAGTCAGGTGACAGGGCAGCATATTTTCTTAAGGCCTCCTGTAGCCACTCAAGGAAGGTGGAAGGATTTTCTTCCTTTCCTTGAGTTATGGTGGACGTCATTGAATAATTCATGGGCTTTGTCCTAATTCTCCTTAGTCCTTCTAGAACACAGGTCAACAGATGTTTGTGACTCCAGTCCCCATGATCTGAGTCTAGGTCCCAGTGGGGATCCATACTGGGGACGGCTTGCAGACTGGTAGGGAATTTGTCCCTTTCTTCAGTTGTCATTCTATCATTTACTTGACTAAGATACCAGGTATCTCCAAACTCTCAGGCTGCAGCTAAAGCCACATTCTTTTCATTAAAGGCCAGGGCTTGATCTAACAAAAGCATGACATCTCTCCAAGTGAGGTCAAAGATTTGCCCTAGACCCTGTAGGACATCTGTGTACCTATCAGGATCATCTGAAAACTTCCCCAGGTCTGACTTGATCTGCTTTAAATCAGAGAGGGAGAAGGGGACATGTACCTGGGTTGGGCTAAATTCCCCTCCCCCTACAGCTTGAAGGGGACATAACTGATAGTCCAGCAGTTTTTGTGGTCCCTTGGAGATTTCTTTGCTTGTTTCCTTCTGGGCAGGGGAGATTAGATGAGGCTTATCATTAATAGGAAAGGGAGCTGTAGGGAGGTTAAGATAAGGAGGTAAGCTGAGAGGTCCTCCTATGGAATGTAAATTGCAAGATTTGCATAGTTAGTTGTGGATTATCCTTCAATGAAAAAAAGCTTGGGCATAAGGTATTTCATTCCATTTGCCTTCCCTCTTATAGAAAAGGTCAAGCTGCAGGATAGTATTGTAATTTATACTTCCCTTAGGTGGCCATTTTTCCCCATCAGAGAGAGAATATTGGGGCCAGGCTATAGTATAGAAAAAAATAAGCTGCTTCTTTTTCAGGGTTTGTGGGTCAAATTGGTCCCAATGGCTTAGGATGCATTTCAAGGGTGAACATGTTGATGCCTGAGTGTTTCCCGTCTGAAAGAAAAAACAGCCCATGCTTTTAATTTGTTTGTTTGTTTGTTTGTTTCCTGCCCAAGAACCCACAACCATCCCTAGACCCTGCTGTTCAGAATAGTTGCACTCACCGAAGCAGCAGCAGAAACACTAGTTTTCCTCCTAGACCACAAACAGGACTGAGGAAGGTCAGATTTAGTGGCCCCTACTGATGCTTCTTGAAAACCTGTACCCTTGCCTTTCCTCTTAGACACAGAGGACTGAGAAAAATCAGATTTAGGGATTTAGTAGGCCTTACCAACGCATTCTTGAAACCTGTTAGAGTCCTAAGCATTTTCTCCTGTTGGTATTGGCACCTTACCCTTGTCCTATAAAGATGATATGCCTCAAAATGGAGTGGAGGGCCATACCTTGAGAGGGAAGGGATCTCCAGGGTTGGAAGAGTGACACCTTTTGTCCTCACTTCTCATCATGTGAATTGGAAAGCTATCCCCCCAATTTTGAAGTCTATAATTTCTGAGGCTCCCCATATCCTAGCTTTGGGAATAGACTTTGTTAGGCCTGCTAGTCTGAGGAGGGATCCTAAAATTCCAGATAGTCCTGCCCTGATGAGGCTTTGGGCTAAAATTATGTCTTTCTGATTGGCGAGCTCAGGTGCCTAAAGAAGGGAACAGAGTCTTGAAATTTATACTAGAAATCATTCTTATAGAAGAAACTAGAAGAGCACCAGGGTCAGGGACTGGTTTTTAGAAGCAGGACTAGCCTCAGAGACGAGAGGTGGGAGAAAGTTTGTCTGACAGGTGTTAGGACCCAGGAGGCAAGGGTCAGGATAGATAGGATAGATGGGCGAGTCTCGCTTGTGCAATATAACTCTGAGAGTTCTGCTTATGGCTACAGGCTCAACCAACTTTTTTTGGGACCCCGGAGATGAATGGCTTTCCTCTCTGTTGACCCTCATTCGTATCAGCTCGGAAGTGCAGGAAAAGTGGTTCCAGGCAAACCAACACTCCCGATTCCAAAGAGTTGGGGGTTGTTAGAAAGCCCTTTCCCAGAAAGCCTGACACCAATGTCTTTAGTCTGGCAGCTGTGCTAGTCGCTTTTAACTGGCTGACAGATGCCCGGTGTTTACCCCTGAATTCTAAGAAAAAATAGGACAGAATAGCAAGCGAAAGGGGTCTGATGGTACTCACCACATGGTGCTATCCTGGACGAGCCCCCAAGATATGTCCAGAGTCGGTTCCTGGTGGGGGTGCTTGGTCTCGCTGACTTCAAGAATGAAGGCGCAGACCTTTGCAGTGTTACAGCTCTTAAAGATGTCATGGACCCAAAGTGTGAGTGGTAGCAAGGTTTATTGTGAAGAGCAAAAGAACAAAGCTTCCACAGCCTGGAAGGGGACAAAAGCGGGTTGGCGCTGCTGGCTGGGGTGGCCAGCTTTTATTCCCTTATTTGTCCCCTCCCATGTTCAGCATTTCTGTCTGGCCTATCAGAGTGCCCTTTTTTCAATCCTCCCTGTGATTGGCTACTTTTAGGACCCTCCTGATTGGTGTGTTTTACAGAGCACTGATTGGTGCATTTTACAGAGTGCTGATTGGTGCATTTTACAATCCTCTTGCTAGCTACAGAGCACTGACTGGTGTGTTTTTACAGAGCACTGATTGGTGCATTTTACAATCCCCTTGCTAGCTACAGAGTGCTGATTGGTTCATTTTACAATCCTCTTATAAGACAGAAAAGTTATCCAAGTCCCCACTCGACCCAGGGAGTCCAGCTGGCTTTACCTCTCAAAGGGCTAGCATTAGGAGAAATATGTAATGTAGATGATGGGTTGATGGGTGCCACAAACCACCATGGCACGTGTATACCTATGTAACAAACCTGCATGTTCTTTACATGTATCCCAGAACTTAAAGTATAATAAAAATAAAAAGGAATCTTGCCATTTGAGACATATGGATGAATCTGGAGATTCAGAAAGGCAAATACTGGATGTTCTTTCTTATGTCAAAACCAAAACATTCAAATTTACAGAAGCAGAGAGCACAATGGTGTTTTTGAGAGTCTGGGGGATGGGGGAAATGGGGAGACCTTTCTCAAAAGTTACAATGTTTCAGTTACATGGGAGGAATAAACAATTAGTACTTGAGGTGATAGATTTGCTAATTAGCCTGATTCAATTATTCCACATTATATAAATATATTGTAGCATAACTTTGTACCCTATAAATATAAACAATTATAATTTGTGAATATTCAATACAATTATTTTAAAAGTTAAGGAAAATACTTTGAAACAAGCACAGCAAAATTCTATTTTTGAAGCTAAATGATGGAGATCATTGAGTTTATTTTACTGTACTATTCTGCATGTTTGAAAATTTTATTAATATGTGTTTATAAAGAGACAAGATACCTGTGAAGCTATATTTCACTGTCTTTGAAGACAAAGGATTTTAAAATCTATTTTAAAACATAATGTCAATATCCCCAATCATCTAAGACAGGAACTTGAACTCAGTTCATATGTAATATTGATGTGACACATACCTTGTCAGGCAGAAAACAGATGGCAGGCTCAAAATGATTAGCTGATGAAAGTTTAATGACTAAAGTATTTAGAGAGGTGAGTGTATGGGGAAGTAAACCAAGGGATGGTGAAGCCTAAGGGACTTGTGGAAGCCATGAACACCCTTGGCCTGAAAGGACAAGGGCAGGAAATGGATGAGTGTTACTGGAAACTATGAGAGTTGGAGCCCTGGGAATGGACCAGGGAGCAGGAGCCAGAGCTGAGGAGACAATGCACATGCAGGGGAGACATCATCTAATCACCTGCTGGTGTCTTCTGATGCCCAGCTGGAAGTCAGTGTCAAAAGATCCTGCAGTCTGCAGACTTCAAACTGCAGAAGCACACTGCTGTGCAGCATCAGGTAGAAAATGAATGTGACCTGGGGTGAGAAGCCATGAATGGAGAAAATTATTAATTTAAATGTTTATTCCACTAAAAGTCTAATTCTGATTGGGAATATATTCAGGTAATGTAAACTGAAATTTTATGAGTATATTAGTCAGTGTTCTCTAGAGAAACAGAAAGTCCATGGATGGTAGTCTTGGAGGTACCATTGTGTAAAGGATAGGCAAACCCATAACTGGAGTAAGTGTCTATTCCAGTGAGGACAAACCTCTGCCTTTTTTATGACATAAGATGTCCAAAATAATCAACCTGCCACCAGGTAGTTGGGTGATCACCCCAAGAAATGGTGCCATATGGAGGGCTCAGTGTTGGTCTCTGCTGCTGGCAAATTGGGCACTCAGCAGTGGCTGTAGCCAGGTCAGTCTTGGTGAGTGGAAGTCCATGTTGCTGAGGCCATGCATAACCTCCATCCCTGCCACGAGGGCCACTTTGTTCATGGGCCCATTGGGCGATGACAGGGTTGGCTGAGAAAGAGGCTGAGTGGTGTCCAGCAAATGGGTCATCCTATCTACTTGATTACTAAAATCCTCCTCTGCTGAGTTCACCTATTGGTGAACATGAGATACAAATATCTTCAGTTTTTGACCACTGAGAGAGGTCAATCCACATACTTCTTCCCCAAATTTCTTTGTCACCAATTTTCCAATCATGCTTCTTCAGAGTCCCTGACCATCCAGCCAAACCATTGGCTACAGCCCATGAATCAGTATATAATCGCATATCTGGCCATTTCTCCTTCCATGCAAAGTGCACAGACAGGTGCACTGCTCAAAGTGCTGCCCACTGGGAAGATTTCCCTCTACCAGTGTCTTTCAGGAATGTCCTAGAAAGGGACAGTAGTGCTGCAGCTCTCCACTTTTGGGTGGGGCTTGCATATCATGCAGAACCATCTGTGAACCTGGCCCTAGTCTACTCTTCATCTGTTAACTCCTCATAGGGAACTCCCCATGAGGCCATCGGTGCATACCGTGGGAGAGAAGGCAGGGTGGCAGGAGTGGGGACCTTGGGCATTTGAGCCACTTCCTCATGTAACTTACTTGTGCCTTCAGGACCTACTTGAGCCTGATCATGTATATACCACTTCCATTTGATGATGGAATGTTGCTGTACATGACCCATTTTATGGCTAGACAGGTGAGAAAGCACCCAGTTCATGATAGGCAGTTCAGGTCACAGGGTGACTTGATGACCCATAGTCAAACATTCACTTTCCACCAAAGCCTAGTAACAGGCCAAGAGCTGTCTCTTAAAAATATTTTAGTAATCTGCAGAAGATGGCAGGCCCTTGCTCCAAAATCCTAGAGGCCTCAGCTGTGATTTGCCTATGGGGACCTGCCAAAGACTTCAAACAGCATCCCTATCTACCACTGACACTTCAAGTAACATTGTGTCATATGGCCCAAGTGGCAGAGCAGCTTGCACAGCAGCCTGGACTTGTTGCAGAGCCTTCTTCTGTTGACCCTGCTCAAAACTGGCAGCCTTTCAGGTCATTCAATAAATGGGTGGG
The DNA here is from genome assembly GCF_000001405.40 of Homo sapiens. Lineage (NCBI taxonomy): Eukaryota > Metazoa > Chordata > Mammalia > Primates > Hominidae > Homo > Homo sapiens. Next base: position 81,893,704 of record NC_000012.12, on the reverse strand, counting down.
AGTAACACACCCAAATGAGGAATGTGTTGCCTCCAAAATCCAAATAGGCCCACTAGGCATTGTGCCTCTTTCTTGGTTGTAGGAGGGGTGAAATGCAGCAACTTATCCTGTACCTTAGAAGGATATATTGACAGGCCCCACATGACTGAACCCCTAGATATTTTACGAGGTAAGTCCCTGCATTTTAGTTGGATTTATTTCCCATCCTCTGGCATGCAAATGTCTCACCAATAAGTCCAGTATGTTTGCTACTTCTTGCTCACTGGATCCAATCAGCATAATGTAATCAATATAATGGACCAGGGTGATATCTTGTCGAAGCAAAAAGCAATCAAGGCCTCTTTGAATAAGATTATGATACAAAGCTGGAGAGTTGATATACCCATTAGGTAGGACAGTAAAGGTATATTGCTGGCTTTGCCAGCTGAAGGCAAATTGCTTCTGGTGGGCTTTATGGACAGGAATGGAGAAAAAGGCATTTGCCAAGTCAATGGCTGCACATCAAGGTACCGGGAGATTTGTTAATTTGCTCAAGCAATGAAACCATATCTGGTACAGCAGCTGCAATTGGAGTCACCACTTGGGTAAGCTTATGATAATCCGCTGTCATTCTCCTAGGTCCATCTCTCTTCTGCACAGTCCGAATAGGAGAGTTGAACCGGGATGTAGTGGGAATCACCACCCCTACATCTTTCAGGTCCTGGTGGCACTAATCTCCACAGTCCCTCAAGGGATGAGATATTGTTTTTGATTTACTATTTCTCTAGGTAGAGGCACTTCTAATGGCTTCCATTTGGCCTTTCCTAACATGGTAGCCTCAACCTACCAGTCAAGGAGCCAATGTGGGGGTTCTGCCAGCTGCTAAGTATGTCTATGCCAATTATGTAATATGGCACTGGGGAAATCACCACAGGATGAGTTGGGGGACCCTCTGGACCCACCGTACGTCAAACCTGAGCTAAAACTTCATTAATTACCTGACCTCCATAAGCCCCTACTTTAAATGGTGGATCACAATGATTTTTTGGGTTCCCTGGCATCAAGATCAGCTCAGAGCCAGTATTCAGTAGTCCCCAAAATATCTGATCATTTCCCTTTCCCCAGTGCACTGTTACCATGGTAAAAGGCGGGAGGTCTACTTGGGGAAGGATGGGAGAAAGATTAACAGCATAAATTGTCAGTAGTGTAGTGGGATTCTTCTTCAAGGGGACCCACCCTCATCTTCATTCAAGGGGTTCTGGGTCTATAAACTGGCTGAAATATGGAAATTGGTTGATGAGGGTGTGATTATGTTTTTATAATTCAAATTGGTCTTTTGTCCATTTGACCTGGAAGTTTTCTGCTTATATAAATGAAGTAGGAATGAAATAGATTTCCTATTAATTTCACTTCTGGGAACACCATGATTCATTAGCCAATGCCAGAGATCTACACTAGTCAGACTATGCTGATTGCTGCTTTGCCTCTGCTGTCCATTACGGTAGCTATGCCTACCTTACCTTTGACAGAGTGCCACTACTTGGCCCCTGTCATGTCAGGATCCAATTATTCCCAATGTATTTAAATTTTTTAGTTAGTGACTGCGGTTCCCACTGTTAGATCTGACATACAGAGAAGAGGAATTATGGGCTTTTCAAAGATGCAGGTGCTGCCCTCACAAATCTATTTTGCAAAACACTGGTCAAGAGTATATCTTCTGGACCCTCCCAGCTGGGATGAGTAGGTCTACAGTGACTAATCCACTCCACCATCCCAATCTCCCTAAGCCTTTGGATCCCTTCCTCTACATTAGACCAAGGGAGCATTTCCAGCTCGCTTACAGTGGGCCATCTTTTAATATGTATTTCGGTTAACCAAGCAAGAAAACAATTAGAATCTTTTTTTATCTCCCCAAGCTGCAACATTAAATGCAGAGTCTCTACTTGGTGTACCCAAGCCAATAAATTCATCCTGATTGAACTCTATGTTCCTTACACCATTTTCCCACACCATTAATATACATCCCCATGTCTGTTCTCCAAATTGCTGCTTATATAAATTAGAAAACTCAAGCAGTTCTTTTTGAGTGTTGCACGCCTCCTTATGGGTCACACCCTGAACCTCACCTCTAAAGGTCTGCTGGGACTTTAGTCTAGTTATTGGCCTAAAAGCAAACAGGGATGTTGGGGGTGGCTCCTGTGGAAAGTCAACATTATCTTGCCTGGCAACTGCCTCAGAAGAGGCCATCACTGTTGCCTCAGGCAGTGCAGGGTTTTTTTTTCCTCAGACAAAGATGAAAAGGCTCTTGGCAGCATGGGTCGGGGAGGGGATGTTGCCACCATTGGGGATGGGGAAGCTGTTTCTTCAGGCAAAAATGATTCATCAGAGTTTACAAGCTCAGTGTCCCTAGCTTCATCAGGGTCCTCCCACATGTCCCCATTCCAAAGTGCACAGTCCCATTCTTTTCCAATCAATGCCCTCACTTTAACAGTAGACACCTGGCGAGGCTGTGCAGGCACCTTTGGTTGCAGGTCAGCCACTCGCGTGATAAGAGCTGGTGTCTGTTTTTCCACAGTTTCAGCTCTTTCTCTACAGGAGATGAGACTCTCACTCAGGGCAATCTTAGTAGATTTGAGGTTCAGTATCTGCTTCTAAATCTAGGAGTTGGAATCCCTGAGTTCATCATTTTCTTTCATCACTTTGTCCACTAAACTTAGGAGCAACCAACCAGCTTCATTATGTTCCTTGGTTCTCTACATATGGTCAAAGGTATTGTGTATAGAGTCACTAAACTCCTTGCCTCTTATGTGTGGTCAATCAGGGGTGTCAAATGCATTTATTTTGCATAACTCTCTAAACAGTTCATGGCAAGGACTATCAGTGTTCTCTATAGTATTAGAAGTAGAGTCCCTAGCAATTCTGGGTCTAATCATATTGAGCAGCCAACTCCAGAAGCCCCAAAACCAACAAAAGAACTCCATCCTTAATATTCTATTCCTCTAGAACCACTCCTGGTACCCAAATCTGTATTAATCAGGGTTCTCAAAAGACACAGAACTGATAGGATATATATACATATGTTTATTAGGAGTATTAACTCACATGATCAATAGGCTGTCTGCAAGCTGAAGAACAAGGAAGCCAGTCCAAGTCTCAACCTGAAGAACTTAGAGTCCAATGTTTGAAGCAGGAAGCATCCGGCATGGGAGAAGGATGTAGGCTTGGAGGCTATGCCAATCTAGCCTTTTCACGTTTTTCTGCCTGCTTTATATCCAGGCCATGCTGGCAACTGATTAGGTGGTGCCCACCCAGATTAGGGATGGGTCTGCCTTTCCCAGCCCACTGACTCAAATATTAACCTCCTTTGGCAACACCCTCACAGACACACCCAAGATCAATACTTTGCATCCTTCAATCCAATCAAGTTGACACTCAATATTACCATCACAATGAGGTTCCCAGAAGTTTCATAGTGTGGGCAGTATCTGTCAAATTGCCTAGGGTAAAATTACTTCTGTTATAATAATATTTAATCGTTATGTTTGTATTTTAGAGCATATTAATGTGTCTTTATTTTCAATTTGTGCTTTCTCTTTTGTTTGTGAAAATTTTAATAGCATCTTTACCTGTTTTTTATAGCTGAGTCACTTACAAAAACTACCCAAAGCTAAAATAATTTTTAATTTTTGATTCAATTGATAATTTTTAGAATGCTGTAATCAACATATCCATGAAAAAATTGCGTGTACTTTGTAAAATATATCATGCATGTGGCAAGAATTTAAAGAAAAGAGAGGGTTGGACACTATATTTAGAAAAAATACATGGATCAAGGTCATAGTATTGTTTTTAGTTTTAAAACTACAGTGTGACCATGAGAGACCAATGAATTTGGTCAGGAATATTTTGAGAATCATAGTCGCATTAAATTTTGCACCTGCACTGCTTAAATGAGGGGCAGAAAGCTACAAGTCAAGATAGGATCTTTGCTGATCTGACCCAAATATTTGCGTAGTTTTTGCCCTGTTAAAGAGAAATTGGCTGGGTGTGGTGGCTCACACCTGTAGTCTCAGTACTTTGGGAGGCCAAGGCAAGCAGATCAGCAGGTCAGGAGTTCCAGACAAGCCTGGCCAATAAGGTGAAAGCCCATCTCTACTAAAAATACAAAAATTAACTGGGCGTGTTGGCAGGCGCCTGTAGTCCCAGCTACTTGGGAAGCTGAGGCAGGAGAATCGCTTGAACCCGGGAGGCAGAGGTTGCAGTGAGCCTAGATCACACCACTGCAACTCCAGCCTGGGACAACAGAGAGAGACTCTGTCAAAAAAAAAAAAAGAAAAAAAAGAAAAAAAGGAAAAGAAAAATAGAAATTGCACCAAACCAGTTAAACCATCACAAAAGACTTTATTCAAGAGTTTTACAATAGGGGAGATAGAAAATTGCTGTATAAGAGAAGGGCTGAACTAAACTCCACTGAAGCAAAAGGTAGAAGAGTGAAAAAGTATTGAAAAGACTTGGGAGGGGGAGGGATTAGTCAATGTGATTAGACCATCTGTGTTTGCTAATTAGCACTAACAGTAGTTAGGCTTCTGCCTGCCCAGGGAGACTGGGAGGTGGGAACCCTATCTTTCTTGAAGATTATCTTTCAAAAGGATGACTCCAAGGTACTTGGGAGAGACATTTCTGGGTTGTAGCAGATTTCCAGCTCAAAGGGACAGAGAAGAAATGTACAAGGGCAAGTTTTCCTATAACAAATGTCCTAAGAAGGGAGGTCAGGGCCCTACATCCAGGAAGAAACCTTATCTAAAGTTTAGTCAAGCTGAGAGGAATGTTAGGGAAAGGTAATCTTGGTCAACTATCTATCAACATTCTAATTATTAGGCCTGAAATGAAGATTTCATAAAACAGCGGTACCTTTTGTAACAGATGTTCTTAATGTGTTTAGGGACAAGTAACATATTACCAACTCAGAGTTGACCCTCTGTTCTAGTTCTAGTTCTTTGTTCTAGTTCAAAACATCACACTTTCATAAAACTAGGGCTCCCATTTAAATGGAAAAATGCTTTGAGGTCTGTTTATCCCAGGTTGAGTAAGCAGCCAATCTGTATTCTTACATAATGAGAGGCAATGAGCAGCCCAACTGTTGAAGAAAGTAATAAATTTGTCTGTTAATAAGAAAGGAACTCTGCATACCAAGGATTCTTTGTGGGAAGGTTGGCATAACTAGCTGCAAATTGTTGTAAACTAAGGCATAAGCAACCACTGCATGACAAAAAATTCTTTCAGGCAATTCAGTGAAGAATATCTATCATGATTGATATGCAATTTACATTCCAAAAGGCTCTAGCCCTTTTTTGGCTTAAAACTTTATACTTGCTGTTGCTTGAACCCACTACTTTTGTTTTCTTTTGTTTTGTTTATTTCTGGGCAACAGTACAGAAGGGAATTTCTTGGTATAACCCTCTAAGGAAAATGAGGTCTGTAAAATCCCTTGGAAGAGAGAAGCAGAAAAATGAGTGGTATTTTTGAACAAAGAAATGACAAAATATAAGATTGTCTTTTTCTTTTTCTTTCTTTCTTTCTTTCTTTTTTTTTTTTTTTTTGAGATGGAGTTTCACTCTGTCACCCAGGCTGGAGTGCAGTGGCACTATCTCCACTCACTGCAAGCTCCACCTCCTGAGTTCACACCATTCTCCTGCCTCAGCCTCCGGAGTAGCTGGGACTACAGGCACCCGCCACCGCGCCCAGCTAATTTTTTGTATTTTTAGTAGAGACGGGGTTTCACCGTGTTAGCCTGGATAGTCTCGATCTCCTGACCTCGTGATCCGCCTGCCTCGGCCTCCCAAAGTGCTGGGATTACAGGCGTGAGCCACCGCGCCCGACCTGTCTTTTCTTATAATGACCGAAAGGTTGGAATTGAAGATATTTTAAAATAAGTATAGTTTTACAAGACAAAAGAATAGCTCGTTAGGTACAGAAATTATTTCTGCAAATGTCTGTGATAAAAAATAAGAAAGCAAACAAAGGACTATGATTGAAAACTTGCAGAAAGCAAGGAAAAAAGCTATTTTCTGAAAAGACTGAGATCCAGTCCACATCTCAATGAGAAGACACAGAACGTTGATATTGGAATCAGTCAAAAGGTATAGCCTCATAGTACTTATAATTTTGTGGACATTCAGGCTTAAATTAATAGACTATTATTTGTAGTTCATTCTGGTATGAGAGCACAAATTTGAAAAATATCTCTCATATATATATATATATATAAGCCTTTTCAAACTAATTCTTCTCTATCTGTTACTAAATTTGAAGCTATTCAAAGTGAAGCTCTTCAAAGCTTGGCTCTAATTCCACTCTTAGCCTCTCACTATATATACACTCTCAATCCAATTACACCTATGCCTGCGGTTTATTTACCACGCAAAGGAAGTTGACTAGGTGACTCCAATTTGTATATCTGATCCAGGCCTGTTCTTTAAGTTCCAAAGTAAATAACAAGTTTACCTGGCTTCTTCTCTTGGGGGTCTGAAAAATTCAACACGTTGGAAGATGAATTAAAGGAAAATGTAATCTTTCCAAGTGCTACCTATCTTTTCACAGGCAGCCTCCATATCTAGTACTTTATGGTGGCACATTATTTTCCATCTTATATATCTTTTGAGCCTTCTTCCATCTATCCATCTATATTGCCACCACCATTCTCCAAGCTGCCATCATTTGACATTTACACGACTTCAGCCACCTGGACTACCTACATCTCTCTCCCTTGTTATTTCCTCAGCTATCTGCCCCCTACTAAGACCAAAATATTCCCATCTCTTATTTTGCTACAGCTGGAGTGATCTTTCTGGAATGTAGGTCTAATAATCACATCCACCTCCTCTTTCAACTTTTCAATAGCTTTTCTTTGCTTTTAGAATAAGTCCTTTACAAGACATGCAAGGTCTTGCATTGTTCAGCTTCCACCTATCTTGCCAGCCTTATCCCATTCCAAGCTGCCCCTTATTTTTTCTCTATAGCCACATTAGTTTTCTTTTCTCCTTCACTAACATATTATCATGTTCTCACCCAGAAATTTGTCCTTGTTAGTTCCTCTACTCCAAATGTTTTCTCCTAAGAAAAGAAAAGAATTTTTATCTGAGAAATGTAAGCCCTTTCAAATTATCAGGTCCAGAGAGGCATTAAAATGAGACAGTCCTACTTCTGCCCTTCTAAGCTACGTATTCATCTATTGAAACTTCTTGCTATTGCCACAAATAGCTATGAATTAACCTAATAATGCTGCTCTATAGCTTAATAATGTGTAGCTGTATCAGTCCCTTTTCACACTGCTGATAAAGACATACCTAAGACTGGACAATTTACCAAACAAAGAGGTTTATTGGACTTACAGTTCCATATGGCTAGGGAGGCCTCACAATTATGACAGAAGGCAAGGAGATGCCATCCACATCTTACATGGATGGCAGCAGGCAAAAAGGGAGTTTGTGCAGGGCAACTCCTGTTTTTGAAACCATTAGATCTCATGACACCCATTCACTATCACGAGAATGGCACAGGAAAGACCCACCCCCATAATTCAATCAACTCCCATTGAGTCCCTCCTATAACACATGGAAATTATTGGAGCTACAAGATGAGATTTGGGTGGGGACACAAAGCCAAACCATATCAATAGCCAATCATGAATCAATGTTATTTCTGTAAACCAATGAAAATTCTTGATCACTTCATATCAGCCTACTCCCTGTCCTCTTCCGTCTTTTTTTTTTTTTTTTTTTTGCCTGAAAAAATCTTCATGTAACAAAGGACAAATGGAGCTCATATCCAAGGTTACTTGGCTCTGAATCTTCTGGGCAGCCGTCCTCACTTTGGCTCAAATAAATTCTATAAATTATATTTTGTGCCTCCGCTTCTTCCTTTTAGGTTGGCACTCCCTGGATGATTATATAACCCCCTCCTTCAGTTCTTTGTTCAAATATCACTTCCTTAGTGAGACCTTTCCTGATTATTCTATTTAAAAACTAGTCACCTACCCCCAACTTCTGCACTCCCTATTCTAGCCTTTATTATTTTAGTTTTTTAGTTTTTCTCCATAAAACTTATCATCTTGTTGCATATTATATATTTTACTTATTTTGCTTATTTTCTTCACAAATCTATTAGAATATAAATATCCTGCTGCAGGAATTTTTCCCTCTGTTCCTTTCTAACACTGCAGAACCTAAAAAATTACCAGGAACATAGTGAAACCACCTTTGCAAAGATTCTGATAGTAGGAGAAATCTGACATAACTGGATCCATCTTATTTCTTATCTCATAAGCTGTCTTTGCTTATTCCAAGTTAACTAAGCAGGATTTAGTCTATACTTTAAAACAGAAATGATAACAACCTCTTCCCACAACTAATCTGCTCCTCACTTGGAGACTGAAACCACCTTCATAAAATTAAGAAAAGCCACCAGGCTAGAATTGTGATAGGGTCTAAATTCTGCTAAAATATAGACATACTTAAGGTCTAACCAGCTATTGTCTTTTCTGCTAAGATGGAGACATAAATTCCTACCAGCCATTGTCTCTTCTGCTAGAATGTAGGCATATTTTAACCAGTCACTGTTTTATAACTTGCCTTCTTTTTACTAGGTACCTCTCAAAAGTCACATAGCTGATAGCTGCAAGATTTATAAAGTCCCCAGCTTCCCTTATAAGTAACATTGGTATGTAAAACCTAAGACTAGCCTGGAGATATTTTTCAGACTTTGCATTCTGTACAGACCAACTGGCAGTACGTGGACCAGTAAACCCCTACCTAGAGACTGACTGAGTGTAAGAAAAGAGCTCCAATCTCCTGTGATTTCATCCTTGACTCAACCAACCAGCATTCTCCATTCCCTAGCCCCCAGGCTCAACAAACTATCCTTGAAAAACTCTAGCCTCTGAATTTTCAAGGGGGCTGATTTGAGTAATAAGCTCTGCCTTTTCACTTGTCTAGCCATGCATTATTTAAACTCTTTCCCTACTGCAGTAGCACTGTCTTAATGAATTGGTTTTATCTGTACAGCCAGTAAGAATAACCTGCTGGATGATTACAATACTGCTAGATATTCTCCATTTACCATACTAGATCTGTTCTATACCTGTCTGTTCTGTGCTTGTTATGGAAGGCTGGATTGAATATCTGAACTCCCTTGCACTCTGGCTATCTACTGTCCAATATTTGCTAATGAAAGGCACTGTCAGAGCATCAAGGGAAAAGGAAACGTAAGTTAGGTATTTGTTGCTCTCGCAGCACCTCCTTAGCAGCTGTGTTTGTCTATTTAAAGCCACAGCTGTCCCATAACACCATTTCAAACATTTTAGGATCCCCAGGTTCTGGTAACTGCTTCCTTGCTTCCTGTTCTTGCTCTTTAGGGATAAGTCTTCTGTTTTGATTCCTAGGCTTTCACCCTCTTCCTTTGATTCCCTCAGTCCTTCCTACACCTTTGTAATTTGTCCTTCACCAAAATCTCCTCAGTTACTCACTTGAATATGCCATCTATTTCCCAGTGGAACCTTGACTGATACAGTAGGCATTCAACAGTAATTTTTTAAAAAGTGTCTTATAGGAAAATCAGATGTTTAAAACAGTATATATCTGACATATTGTGAATGCTCAATAAATGGTACTTATTATTTGGCCAAGATTTATTATCAACATTGACATCCTAATACAATTGCATATGGCATTTTGTATACAGTATAACATTTTCACAAATACTAATAGCACATAATCAATCATTTTGTTACATATATCTAGCCTTTCCAGCTTCAGCTTTTTCTTCAATAACTAGGAAATAATATAGTAATAATTTTTTAAGATGTGGCTCTTTATGATTAATTTATTATCATTTTGTAAAAATTCAAGTACATCTTCAAAAACCTACTATGGTAGTAGAAATACATTCACTTTGTTTTATGTTAACTGAGTGACTTCTCTGTGTACAATAGTGTAGTTCAAAGATAGCTCAATTCATGATGCAAGCCAGAAGATAAATTATAGAACAAGAATTCTAAAAATAGCCAGTGATTACCTGTCAGCTCTCTGAGTTTCAGACTGCTATAAATGGGCTTATTTTTACTAAATTCAGGCAATAGTCACAAAATCCATATAGCCAAATCTAAAGCTGTGGGGTGTTCAACAACTAATTTAAAAGTGGGCTTTAAATTCTGTGTTGCTTTACTTTATGCTAGTGCATATAATTTTTAGGAGGGTAAATATGCATGATGCTATTAATGATTTTAAAAAATTATCTGCTGATAAATAGGCCAGCATTTCAGTCTTCTGTTTGGGATTCTTCTTAGGCTCACACCTAAGCAAGATATAGTCTCTACAATGACCACGTGGCATTCCAGAAGATTCTTAATGAGCTGGAGCAGAATTACTGGGAAAATAATTACGCCAATGTCTATAGGGAGTCCTGTGAGCTCTCTGTTGCCAGGAATATAAAATTCAAATGAGGAAATAGGCTTTGGTCAGATATAAACACAAAAAGAAAAGTAATAATTTTTATTTTTATGGGCACATTATGTAATTTATTTCAAACAATAATTGTACTTTTTAAACTGCATAATTAATAATTTTAGTTCAATACTATAGTAATTTGCTTTATCAACAGTACAAAATACATAATACCAAGTCAAGCTGATGTTGTTAAAGGCCAAATATCCCTTGGGTCATATAAAATAAATTCAAATGGAATCTACTTTTCTCTCATTTATACCCACCATAACTGTGAAAGGTGAAAAAGCTTACATATTCCATGAATTCATTTAATTCAAATTTTTCTGTGTCAACTATCTATGACATTTATCTTCCAGATTTATATTTAAGCTGTTTGTCAGACATCTCTTCACTCCTGGCATATCGTGTCCAACCAGCTGTTTTCAGTTTTTATCTCTTCCAAGCCTTTTGGTTCAGTGACAATATCTCCCCTCCAAAGATCTGCAGACCCATATCCACACTGCACAATTCCAGGGCCTGCTTAGTGCTCCCGCGGAGTTATGCAGGATAGGAAGTAGGATTTCCATGTGGATAGGAAAAAGAGGTAACTTGAAAACCTTACAAAAAAGGTTTGCTAAGAATACCTCCAATGTTATTGTGAAATTAATGTATCTGACTACAACTACAAAGAAGTCCAAATGAATACCCATAATATCACACCACAAAAAAACACTTCTGGGAACGAAAAGCTATTACAGTTCCCCACTCCAATGATAAAAATGACCAGAAGTACAATTTATTCACAGATCACTTAGGATAAGGAACTGCCTCATTATGCTTCAGGGAGTTCAAATATGAACAACATTTCCCACTCTAGAGTAAAATAAAGATTGCTCTACTAAATGTTGTGGGTGTTCATTTTAATTTGTCTAATCTAGCTGCATTTTAAAAGGATTAACCACGAGGTTTTTAAAATCTAAGTTCAATGTGAACACAGACACAGGGAGGGGAATACCACACACTGGGACCTGTTGATGGGGCAGGGAAGGGAAAGCATCAAGAAAAATAGCTAATGCATCCTGGGCTATTGAATATCTGAACTCCCTTGCACTCTGGCTATCTACTGTCTTGATGGGTTGATAGGTGCAACAAATCATCATGACACACATTTACCTCCATAACAAACCTGCACATCCTGCACATTTACCTTGGGTCTTTAAAATAAAATAAAATAAGAAAAAAAGAAAAACATAAAAAACAAAACAAAACAAATCTAAGTTCAGTGAAAATCTATGGAAGGTTTTAAAGTTAATTTAAATGTGTTGGTATTTAAAATAGCTTAACAATGTAGTCATTAAGAAAATCTGACATTTTTATTAACTCAAAAACACTTTATTAGTGAGATCATTTGATTTTCTCCTCACAGAATTAGGATTCCCTACTTTGGCTATTCCCACCTGCCAAATGATAGGCAAGTCAGTGAGCAATTGGGTACATCCCTTCTGCTGTACTGTATGTCTTCATGCCTCTGCCTCTTTGTGCTATAAAGGGAATGGTAGATTGACTGGAAAGTGCAAAGAAAAATGAATAGATGATCTCTATGGCGCCTTTCAGCTCAAAGAGTCTGAAGCCTGAGATTATAAATGAAATTACTCATTTAATTCCATTTCTGCCTAGACAGTACTCTTCGTATATATCCAGCCATAGTAATAAAATTAAGTGTTAGAATGATTGCTAGGTCAGGCATAGTATAACATTTCATTCCATAGATATTTACTGGATTCATAGACTGTGGCATTTTTCTCGCCAGTGATTCTTTCCACATTTTTGCTTTTACATAAAAATGTTTATCAAGGTAATATGGACATACAGTTAAAAAATATATAATATTAAAAATCCCACTCTCTACTGCTAATCCCCATTGTCAATCACTTCTTACTCTTTTAGCTATCTGTTATGATAGTTACCCGCATATATTCATGTAATATGCTAATGCCATTATTTAATTTATAACTTTTCATAACACGTATTGACCTCCTTTGATGCCAGACAAGGACATTCCCTTTTTTCTATGCAATATGGAAATCATAATTTTGAGTTATTAATCAGTGTTTAGATTATCATTACTGTGTAAATATTCATTGTTGAAGATCATTTATGTTTCCTTTTTAAAATATATTTTCATGCAGTTAATTTGTTTTACATACACATTTTTTTGTTATGATGTAACATAACATCTGATATAAGCTTACAATGGCAAAGATATGAGAATAAGAAGGGAAACACTGAAGAAGGCATACCAATAGAAAATTTAAAATGTTGAAAGTTCATGATTTTATAAAGCACAGGAATTATATTTAACCATCTATCTCCTAAATTATGTATCATCCCAATATGCATAGCTTAAATACATTTTGAGAAGGAAAATTGTCTGCTATCTATATTATTATTTATTTGAAATAGTGATTCATTTTGCTAACAAAAGCTGTTCTAAGTTAAATATCACTTGTTTACTATTTTTATCAGGGAATTCAAGAGGTCACATAAAAAAAGAGCATGGGCTTTCGGTGACTAGGAAAGAAATTATCTGTATTTTAAAAATTCCTTGTGCTGCTCTCTCTCACTCGTAAGTGATCCTTCTCCTTTGTTAGTTTTTCTATGTTATACTTCCCTAGACCATAGCTGTACAACATGAGAGCCTCTAGTCACTTACGGCTCTTTAAATTTAAATTGGTTAAGATAATATACAATTAAAAATTCAGTTTCTTAGTTACACTAGCTACACTTCAAGTGCTCAACAGCCGCATGTAGTTACTCTACTGCACAATGCAAATATAGGACATTTGCATCATCGTAGAATGTTCAATTGAACAGCACTGGCCTTAGAAAAATATAGAATTATTAATCATGAACAAATAGATGGCTTCTCTCTTGTGAGGAGATTAAAGCACAAGTTGAACTTACAAAGGCTACCTGACTCTCTTTTCCTATTAATAACGACTATATGAGCTCCAAAACAAAAACTTGACAGAAATATTACCTTTAAAACACTCCATTAGGACTTCCTTGTTTTTATAACTCGACCTGTGATTCAATCTATAATAAAGGCCAAGATGTGAGAGAAACATGGTACATTAGAGGAAGAGCAACATGTTTCATATTTGGAAACATGGCACATGAAAGGAGAGTATTAACATATCGGGGCAAATGAAGGGTTAGGATCTGAAGGAACATGTAAAACATGTTTAGATGTTAATTTTAACCCCAGGACAGTAGAAAAGATGTTCCAAATTTTTAAAGAGGGAAAGTGCATAAACATTGTGTTAAAAAAGCTTTTGATTTTATGAAAAAGGAAAGCTAGAAAGATGGTAAAATTTAGTATCAATCTTATCTAGATTCATATTATTTTTCTATCTGTCACAATCTAAACGGTCTAGTACAAGTTAATTTCTTCTGGACAAACAAAGGCATAACAATAAGCAAGAAAATGTGGGTTGACAGCAATATCAATGGTTCACTTTATTAGTTATTAAAATATTCTGTGTATCTGAGTTTTCATTTACAAAATGGAGTTAATATTATGTCATAGATTTGTTAAGGTAAATGAATAGAATGTGAAATGTAACATGCCTAGTTGAATGCTTGGCATTTAATAGGAATTTTGTAATTTGTTACTGCGTAGACTTTTTCTTATATGTTTACACTGAAACTATCAAGGGACATGAAACAGAAATTGTGCAAGTCAATACAGTATTTGATCCCATAGTTCAAGATGATGTATACATGGTTTAATTGTTAGCAAGTATAAGAAATTTGAGATCTGGAAATAGCTTGTCAATCACCCAGTGACATATCTGAGTACAGCAATATCAGAATAGAACTAAACACCTAGTAATCAAGTGATAGCAGGCATAGTGCAGGCATACCGACCACCTAACTTAACAGCTACGCTGAAACCCATCAATACAGCATTAGATGTGGCGATAATAAATGCAAAGAGGAAAGTTCGTTTTCTTCATATTATAAACATTTTTCAGTTAGTATTATGGTTCACTGGGATACTACAATTGTTCACAGTTGTACTGCTAATCTTCAAGAGATGTTTGTAATTTATATTGTTTACAACTGATTGTAGATATTATGAAGACACTTATTTTAATGCTTTTATGCATAAAAAGCTTTCCTTCCAGAGCATCATATAACTTTATTTTTCACTTTGTTGAGATATCTGCTCAAATGTTATCTCTTCCCATGATACCTCCTTGCCCATAGCATCTAAAATAGCTATTTTCCAAAGGCTTAAATTTTACCTGAAGGATCAAATTTTATCTTTGGCAACAAATGCTGTCAGTTGTTTTCTTGAAGTGACAGGCTTACTCCATTCATTTTCAATTAATTGTCTGCCAAGTACCTAAGTCTGAATAACCATAGTTTATCTGCCAGTTGTTTCATCAAGTGAAAATGTTGTTTTGATAATAAAACCGCTAGTTCAGCTCTCAATTCAAATAACTGTACAAGTTTTATTTTCCTTGAGACAACCATAGTACTTTCGGTATGCAGCAAAAATATTTTATGCATGTATGCATACTTCACACAGAATATTAGGAAGATGCACGTTCACTAATCAATATTTAATAAAATTAATAATTTTTACTTCTTCATTTAAGACATTCTTAAGTGGAACTGACTTTTTTTTGCAAGTACATTCCAGTAAAGAATGCAAAGATTAATAGTACAGTTTGGTAGCAATGTCTTCATTCATACTAAAGCACCAATAATTTTACCTACCATTACCTTTTCACTATCTAAATTGCCTACAATAGATAATTAGCACAGGGAATAATATTAAAATAGATTATACAATAAATAATTTTATTTATAATTCATAAAATAAGTGATAAAAATCTAAACTTTCAATATACCTGAATATTAAATAAAAATTATATAATAAAGAAATATGTATATATATTAAAGAGAGAAAACAGAGGCACAGAATTTAGAATCAGAAAGAAATATAATCACATAAGATATTTTAACATTATAAGAGATTACTATTTCCAACAGTATTCTCATAAATTGTAAATAATTTGAGTAATGAATAATATTGTAGAAAAACACAAGTTGCCACAATGTTCCTAGCTGAAAATATGAAAAACCTGAAAAAAACCATTAACCATGTAACTTAATTATCTTTAATTTCTTCTGGACAAACAAAGGGGCAACAATAAGCAAGAAAATGTGGGTTGATAGCTATAGCAATCATTCACTTTATTAGTTATTAAAATATACACGAATAGAGAGCTTAATTAAATATATAGTGCAGAAATAGACATATCCCTTTCATCATCACAGCTGACACATATTGAGCACTTGCAATAAGCCAGACACTGTCCTAAGCAGTTAACATGCCTTAAACCAAAATCCTGAAAACAATCCTGTCAAGGAAGTGACCCATAGTTGCACAACCTGGATATGGTTTGATCACTAGGTAAGAATATTTTCTATGATAAAGTATTTTAAAAGAGTAGAAGATGGATAAATTCATTTATAATATTGATGTGAAAACTGGTTATATGTTTTTATATGTTTTAAATTATTTAAATCCTCTTTTGATTAGATTGTTACATTTAAAATGAAATAAAACTATTTGAAAAAAGTAAATGAAACCCTGATAACTATTTAACAGGTTTCAAAAGTATAGTTATACCCACACCTCAATATTTCCAAGAAAATTAATTATAGAGAGAATAAAGATTTAACTGCAAATACAATGAAAGACATAAAAGTGAATATACAGCCAGATATTTGGGGGATGGGAAATTCTAATTATCCTGCAAAGACTGTATTTAAATGAGAACTGATAAATTTGATTACATGCATATATATAAATCATGTATGGTGAAACAACACACATAAATAATAAAAGACAAATTACAACTTTGGGAAAGTATTTGCAACATATATGACATGTATTATATGGATAAACTAAATATACATAAAGAGCTTCTATCAGTAAAAAGACAGCCCATGGAGACTCAAGAATAAGAGATTTATAAAAGGTCAGAGGCCCGGTGTGGTGGCTCATGCCTGTAATCCCAGTTTTCGAGGATTACTTTGGGAACCTGAGGTGGGAGTCTTGATTGAGCTCAGGAATCTGAGACCAGCCTGGGCAATATAGCAAGACCCCCATCTCTATAAAAAATTTAAAAATGAGCTGGACATGATGGCACTTGCCTGTAGTCCCAGATACTCCAGGAGGCTGAGGCTTGAGCCCAGAAGTTCAAGATTGCAGTGAGCTATGCTTGTGCCACTGCACTCCAGCCTGGCCAACAGAGCAAGATCCTGTCTCAAACAAACAAAAACTAAAAATAAAAGGTCAGAGACAATGACCAATAAATATCAGGAAAAGTTTTAGTGTTACAAAATCAAAGATGTGCCCACTGAAACAACATTAAGATCTTGGTTTTTACATATTAAAAAGCCAATGATTAAGAGTAATGTCAAACATGGGGAAATAAGTACTTCTGTTGTCAGAGCACTTAAATTGGTAGGAATTTCCATAAGGAAATTCGCTGTGTATCAAAAATTTTCAAAATGCCCATACATATGCCCATGAAATTCAGTTTACCATATTTTATGCTAAAGCATATACAAGTTTATACATATTGAAGCACTATTCATAACAGTAAAAGTTAGAATGTAAATGTATATAAGTTAGAAACTCTGTTTTAAAATGATGGTACATCTGGATACTCTGCCATTTCAAAAAATGTTTTATATTTTTATTTACTAACCTAAAACAATATTGATACATGTGTGTATATCTCTATAGATTAACCTGGGAGTTTAGGGGTTAATCTGGTTACCTTAAATTTTTCTTTATTAATTTATGTACGTATTTTCTGTAATTAGATTTTATTCATTTTATATAGATAAATAGTGTTTAAAATATTGAAAGATAAAAGTTATTTTGTAAGGATTATAACTGTACTTATTACTGACAAGAGATAATGTCAGTGATGATTAAAGTGGTGTAAACTCTTAAGAATATTACATAACATTTATTAAACATTTTTCATTTCCAGTTAAAGTTTAGACATATAATTTGAGAAAGGTGAAGATAACCTATAACTATTTATGCAGGAGCTGGGAGAACTGATAATTCAGATTATTGTCAAATACACCTCTCTGATTTTTTTAATGTTTCTCTTCAACTGTTTTAAAATTTCTATAGCACAACCTCTTTTTCATACATTTAAAACAAACTTTGAGCCTTTCCAGTATCCTTTAAATTCTTATATCAAACTCAAACTTCTTACCCCTAAATGGCTACAAATAATCTGACATGGTACTGGATCAGATTCCTAACTTCAGCACTTCACCTGGAAATTTCTGAACCGAAAGGGTACATCTGATTAGGAGTTAGAATATGTTCTCCCAGAAGCAGAATATGCTTGACACAATTTATGTCCTAGAAGCTGCAAACTGATGCTCACTTGTCACATCCATCCTAGAGGTACCTTTTCTTTGGTTCACACAAGATCGCAAAAATATTGAATTATTAAACAACAACTTTAAAATGTTTGATTTTATACAAAACTTTAAAAGTTGGGATTCCAGGCTTCATGCTTGCTATCCTGCATGGCAACATCTTTTGGAATGGAGCAGCTGCAGGGTGCCCTAGATGTGGTATTCACACTCAAATCTGCAACACAAAGTCTGCATTGCTCATATATATTCCTTGCCTGACTTCTTTATAAAATGTGAATATGTGATCACATCTTTAGGCATGTCCAAAGTCTTACCTGACACAACATGATTGCTCAACATGCCTGCTTTACTATCAAATTTCTATAAATAAAGACTTTTTTGTTTATATTAGGTTGAAAGTAATGGCAAAACCTGCAATTACTTTTGCACCAACCAACCAAATGACCTCTATAATATTTCTAGGCAGATAGAAGATATGTATCATGTGAGAGATTAACAATTTCATTATCACATTAACAAAGATTGGATAGGGAATAGAGTTCCAAGTGAAGGTGGCACATAGGATATTTAAGTGTTCATAGAAGATGCAATCAGAAGCAACGGGTACCAGTTTTCACAGAAGTCTGTGATTGGGTTGTGGAGAGGAGAATCAAAATGGACATTTCATAGAAAGCAACAGAAGTAATTTACTTCTGAAGTTAATGTAAAAAGCTTTCCTTACCTGAAACAAACACTTAGTTGCAGTTTATAAAGCTATTCACATTGACTTTTGAGCAATTGAGCCTGTTGAAGACTCAATATGTGCTTACATATACCTCTTTTTTTTAAAAAAAAAGAGACAAACATGTGCTATGTTTGATGTTCTAAGGTAGTTTGATCTCAAAAGTGCTTTTTAATTCTCGTGCTATTCTTGATAATTTTGAAATCTGTTGTTATCTCTTCAAGACAGATGTTCTTAGTTGATTTTGGGCATTGTTCCAACAGCAAACGTGACTAAACTTGTAATGGAAGCATTCATTCAGCCCCTAATAAGATGTGAATTAAATTCATATTTTAAAATTCCTCATAACTTTTTTCTATAAATTCATTCAACTTTTTGAATATTGTCTCAAATAATTTTGGAGCTGAGATTTACTACTGTTAGCACTTATCTGAATGGTCTGCTGCCCTAAGTGGTGATAAAAACTGGGTCAGAGAATTTAGGTCTAATTTGGGGAAAGAGAGTATATGCTCCTTTTACTCATTCAAAAACATTTATTAAGATTGGATTATATGTTTCTTACACTAGTCTTTGCTGGGGGTTTAAGGTGAAGAGGACATGGTTAATGCTTACAAGAAACTGGCAACTTAGCCAGGCAGAAAAACAGCTAACTAGTACAATGTGATAACTGTACAAATAACCTGAGGCAACCGCAAAGGGAACACAGTGGAAGGGTCGATTAATATTGCCATGGGAATCAGGACCTTCCCCTAAAACAGCGAGAAGTAACAGTGAACTGGACTTTGAAAGAGGACGGTGACTTTATCATATAGGAAAAGGATATATGAAAGCAAACATCAGGTTCTGGGGGCCATAAGTAAACTCACAACATTAGAAAATAATTTTGAGGAAAGATAAGGCTGCCAAAGGGTAATGGAACCAGATGGTGAAATGTTTTAAATTGAGGCATTGTCCAAGGAAAATCAAGAGCAACTGGGAAATATATACCAAGAGTCTTAGAAGTTATATACATTTTGAACAATTTTATGTTCAGGACTTTATTATAAGAAAATAGTGTGGAATAGACAATATACTGTAGTAGAAAGGATGTTTCTCACAGCATTATCTAGAATACAAAAAAATAGAAAATAGCTGAAATGAATAGTGATAGAGGACTGAAAGAAGACTAAATAAAAGGAATCATTTCCATATTTCACCATTGGATATGATATTTGCTAGGGGCTTATATAGAAATCTTTGTCCACTTAAAAGGTAGTTTTCTATTACTAGTTTTCTGAAGTTTGCTATTATTTATTTAGTTTTTTTTTTTTACTAAGAATGCATGTTTAATCATGCTTAATATTTGTATTTATTTATTGAGATTATTATCTTTTTTCTCTTATGACTAAAGTAAAGCAGATGAAGAGACATTCAGAAGTTAAATTATTTTGCATTACTTGTTAATAATGAATTGATAAATAAGATTTTCTTCTGTTTTACTGAGAATATTTCTTCTATGATTATATATCAGATTGGTCTGTATATTTTCTTTCTCATACAGTTATTTTCTGGTTTTGGCCTCAATGCTATGCAAACTTCATGAAGTGTGTTGGACTCACTCAATTTACCATCCTCAGAGAGAATTTGCATGTAATCGAAATGATCTTTTTCTTGAATATATTATAAGACTCATCTTTAAAAATACCCTTGACCTTTAAAACCTACCCAGTAGGTTTGGACGTGTATGTTTATATGTATATAATTTAAATTATTAATTTAATTAATTTAAAAATTTGCGTTTTTAACAAGAGACGTAGTCCAAAGAGATACGAATAAACGTTTAGCAAAATATGAACTACATGGATGTATTTTTCTTCTGTTCCTCTTTTCTCTTGAGTAGTATGTGAGTCTTAAATGCTTACTTCCTACAATCAATTTTGCTTATAACACCAATCAATGTGCCAGTGACAATAGCCCATTCCACTTTTTATGCCAGCTGATGTCCAAACAATATATAATTTTATCACTCTCCATGATTGCCAAAAATTGAAAAAGTTATTTTATCACACACTGAACTGACAGTAAGAGACCAGTGACCATTTTAAGCGATAGTCTTTTGTTTCTACAGAAAATAAAAAACTATATATTTGATCCAATTAAAAAAGGCTTCCACTTCTACAGATACTATAAAGCTGTACCAATTTTTTTTTTTACTGGAATTGTAAATCACTTTACCATCAAAGTATCAAAAACTTCTGAGTTCTCATTTTTGACAGCAACCTGGAGGATAGATAGTGAACCATCAATAATGACAAAAAGAAAACTATGCAGGGAAAGACATTAACAACCTGCTCCAGCCACCATAAGATGAAACCTAACTTTGTTAATACTTAGAGTATTGCTAGGTATGACTCAGCTGGTGATGTGGTTAGGCTCTGTGTCCCCACCAAACTTTTTATTTTGAATTGTAATCTCCATAATCCCCCCCATGTCAAGGGAGAGGCCAGGTGGAGGTGACTGAATCATGAGGGCAGTTTCCCCCACGTTGTTCTCATGATAGTGAGTGAATTCTTACAACATCTGATGGTTTTATAAGGGACTCTTCCCCCTTTGCTCAGCATTTCTTCCTGCCACCTTGTGAAGGAGGTGCCTTTCTTTCCCCTTCACCTTCCTCCACGATTGTAAGTTTCCTGAGGCCTCCCCAACCATGCTGAACTGTGAGTCAATTAAACGCCTTTCCTTTATAAATTACCTAGTTTCGGGTATGTCCTTATAGCAGTGTGCAAATGGACTAATACAGCTAGTATATGCAAATACAGCATATCATCTGAGTTTCCTGATTATTCAGGCACTTACCCTGGCTGATAGGTTCTCATAACACACCATTAAATAGTATTATTGTTTAAAACTCTTTTGCTTGTTTTTAATTGATATGTTGTTAGGATCTAAGTACTATGTGATGTGAGAGAGAAGGAGGAAATTTTGTGAGAAATGTCTGCTGGCAGTGATTGATAGACTCGATGAGGAGAAGAAACACAGGATGGTTTATGCTCAAACTTGCTCCCATTTGCTACTTTGGAAATTTCTAGAAAGAATACCATTGTTTAAAAGTGAAGATGAATGTTTCAAAGGGATTTAGGAAATACAGCATATAGACAGTGCTGCCTCAGGACTTAGGGACCAGTGGGATCTCGAGTAGGCAAAAGCATTATTTCAGTTTCTATGAGGAGCACACTGAAGTTCTGGCTCCCTGTGAACTGACACATCTTTAGTGTCCAACAGAGCTTTGCGTCAAGATGCGAATAAGCAAGACGTTAGCAGATGTCGTTGAGATCATATACAATACACATTGGTGATCTCTAGAAATAATTGGAGTTTGGGGAAGGGTGGAATGGGTGCTGTGGTTCTAAAGTCATTTTCCTAAGGCTAGAAGGTAGCAAAATGGACAGTAATAGTTACCGAATTTGCATAAATACCAGTTACACAAATATGAAAGGATGATACCTCATGATTTGATCTTAATAGCAGATGGTGTACAGGGAGAGAATATTTTAGATGTTACATTGGGTTAAGGAATTATCTCATATTTGTAATTTGTTGAGTAGTAAGACAAATAAACAAACAAAAACAGCAAAAAAAATGTACTTGTTACACCTTGTCTTTTATTTTTGTTTTTATTTTTATTTATTTATTTATTTTTAGACAGAGTCTCACTCTGTCACCCAGGGATGGAGTGCAGTGGTGCGATCACGGGTCACTGCAACCTCTGCCTCCTGAGTTCAAGCAATTCTCCTGCCTCAGCCTCCCGAGTAGCTGGGACTACAGGCGTGTGCCCCCATGCCTGGCTAATTTTTTGTATTTTTAGTAGAGACGGGGTTTCACCGTGTTAGCCAGGATGGTCTCGATCTCCTGACCTCATGATCCGCCCACCTTGGCCTCCCCAAGTGCTGGGATTACAGGCGTGAGCCACTGCGCTTGGCACACTTTGTCTTATAATAGGGAATTTAACCAAGTTACATTCATGATAATAGGGAAAATTTTTGTCCCTGTTCAGGTTATTTATTTTATACCTAATATATTTTCACATTTTCAGCTTTTGCTTTATGTTTGAAACCATCCAACTTCATATTTTTAAAGGTAATTTGACTGGTTATATATTCCTATGGCAACACTAATTTACTGTGAATATTTGGAAACTTTTTTTTTTTTGCTTCCTTCTGAATTCCATTCTTAATCTTGTTGACATAACTGCTTAGAAATGAGCTGTTTTCTCTTTGCAAGTGATATCTTCTTATCTTAGATAAAATGTGCTTCCTGGATATGTATTTTGTTTTTTATATAAAATCAGTTCAGGAAACACAACCATTATTTCTTGAAATATTGCCTTTTGTTTAGTATGTGTTTAATATATTTTTTGAACATTTTTTACTTTCCCTACTTACTTTTTTTATTCCCTGCTTCTGGGATGCCAGTCAGATGCTTACTAGACTTCTCATTCTGTCCTATATAAATATTAATGTCATTTTAATACATCTTTTTATCTGCATGACGTATTTTAGTCATTTCTTGGGATATATATTCCAGTTCATTAATTCTGTTTTTGACTCTTTCTAATCTACTATTTAAGCAATTCAATGGTTCTTTTTATTTTGAAAAATTACATATGATTATTTCTAGATGTTAATTCCTCATTGTTTTGTTATAGACTAAATTTAAAAAAAATTCATCTGTAGCTGTTCTCTAACATCTGCAGTTTCTGTATATCTAAATTTTTGTGTCTAAACCTTTTTAAAAATTTTTACTTTTACTTATGGATACACAGATAACACTTGTCTATTTTTATGGGATGCATGTGATATTTTTATACAGTTATACAATGTGTGTGATAAAATCAGGGTTATTGGGGTATTGATCACCTTATGCAGTTATTATTTATTTGTGTTAGAAACATTACATTTTCACTTTATTATTTTAAAATATACAATAAATTATTGTTAACTATAGTCACCCTATTGTATTACTGAATACAACATCTTTTCATTTTTTAATCAAACTCTGAGTTAGTGGGTGGCTTTTGGTGACCTTTGATAATTTGGTTATCTTTGATATATTTTATTTCTTTATTTTATCCATTGAGAATCTAGCATTACAAAAATTGGAAAATCTTTCTTCCAGAGAGGATTTGCTTCTGCATTTGCTGGCATCCAAACTGAGATCATTTCAGCTTTCGGAGATTCATAGTCAGTGGGGAAATCATAGACTCTGCTGCTCTACTTCATCCCCACTGAAACTGAATATCCATTCAGCAGTGTTATCAGTGGTAAATGTTCTCAGAGCAACCCATTTCTTTAGAGCTATGTACTGTTCCAGCACCAAATCACACTTTTTGTTTTCACTGTGAGGAGAGTAATTAGAGACCTCATGACCTCTTACTAAATCAACTGTGCCTCATGATAAAATTCTATTTAGGATGTACTATAGTAGACTTGTAGTCAGAATGGTCTATCAACACTCTTAGTCACTGATAATGTGGGAAGCAGAAGGCCACATTAACTATATATAAACATTAATCATTATTTTCTACTGCAATCTTTATTGCTAGAATCTAAAAATTATTGAGAATGTTGGTGAGCTATGCTTCCTTCTTTACTGGACATTATACTTTGCCTCTTTTTTGAAAATATAAAAGAATTTTTGCTTTATGATTTCATTTATATACAGCACAAAACAGGCAAAAGTGATTTAATCTCTTAAATATTAGAATTGATGTAAACCTGTGTCTCAACAATTTCACTCCTACAAATATACTCAACAGAATTATAGCCTTAGGGACAGTGACTTAGAGGGGACACAAGGGGTTTCTAGGGGGCTGGCAATATTCTGTTTCTTGATCCAGGTGTTGCAACAGAGGTGTGTTTTGTTTGTAAAATTCCACTAACTTGTGCACTTATAACTAGAATGTTTCTTTAATAAAAATATGTTTCACAAAATAAATTAAATTTGGAAGAAGCAGCTGGGGAATAGGTTGTTCCTGTGAATGTATCTGACCTGCTGCTTGAGTCTGTACAGGATAAAACTTATGTAGCCACAAGCCTAGATCATGAGTCCAGACATGAAACGCGGGAAATAATCACAATATTGTATATTGTAAATCGTGATTTTTTTCATGAAGCTCAGCAAAACAGTATCCCTAATCTGTTTTTTTTTTTCTTCTACGATGTTTTTGCTGCTCCATTGAGCAACCATAGACGTAGGAAAAGAGATCATTGCTAGCATGCACAGGACCAGCCGAGAAAAATTAAAAACTAAATATATTTGGGAGTTTCTTCTTAATATTCTACCCACCTGGAGTTCTTGGGGCTTATTGAGATGGCTAGAGATGCTCAAGGGGACACTCAAATGGATATACCCTGTCTAATCTATGAAGATAGAAAATAGATTTGCATTCAAAATCTCTGAGGAAATGTTTCAACCTAAAAGGTGTCATTGTCTCAAGGACTGGGGGCACCTTTAAAAAGAATGAACAAGTGGCTACAATGAGGTGCTTGCAGGTCAAAGTTATGGACCTCAATCTTCATTTAGTACAGTAAAGGAAGAAATAATGGGGAAGAAGAAAAAATGCCCAATATTCTAACAATAGTCTGAGATATGTAGATCATGTATATTGCCGAATATCTGGTGGTCATTCTGCCAGTTTCCATTGACTAGTATTTTCAGAGCCAAAGGATTCTGCATAAGAACATGGAGGTGTGGGCTAAATTTGTCATATCAACTGAAATCCAACATTATCATTGAGAAATATTTGCTTAAGGTTTTTGTTTTGTTTTTTGGGGATTTTAATTAATTGATTTTAGATACAGGAGTTGCATGTTCTTATTTGTTACATGAGTATGTTGCATATTGGTGAAGATTGGGCCTCTAGTGTGCCCATTACCCAAATAGGGAACATTGTACCCAATAGGTAATTTATGAACCCTCACCCCTCTCCCACACTTTCTTCTTTTAGAGTCCCCAGTGTTTATTATTTCCATCTTTATGTCCATGTGTACCCATTGTTGAACTCCCACTTAGAAGTGAGAACATGCACTATTTGGTTTTGTTTCTCAATCCCCTTGGGGCAATGGCTTCCATCTTCATCCATGTTGCTGTAAAGGACATGATTTCTTTTTTTTTTTTTTTTTTTTTTTTTTTTTTTAATGGTTGTGTACACTTTACCCTGTTTAAGAATCTTGGAGGTCACCAGTTAGAAACTTTTTAAACGTGGTAAGAAATTTTGTTTCCAGGACATTTTTGTTGTTAATTTTATAGGTTATATTTTACTCATTGTGAGAAACTTTTGTGATTTAATAATTCTTTGGAAAATATATAAAACAGGAAAATAAATTATAATCTTCAGGATATCTAGGAAAATACCATTATCATTTTAAACTATCCAATTCCAGCACTATGCATATTTACTGATATATTTTCATTTACTCTGCTTATTGATAATCTATTTTCATTTAGGAAATATATTTTTAAAATAAATGTAAATGATCAATCTAGAAATTCAAATAAGTTTAAAAATTGGAAATTAGAGAAAAAGACATAAAATTTTAACACCCTGATGTAACAACTACTAATACTTTGATCAACCTTGTTCAAGATCTCTAAGTATACACACATGCACAGACATACTATTTTCATAAGAGTATATTGTGTAATATCATGTTATATGTGCTATTCTGTAACTACCTTTTTCCCTCAACAGTATGTTCTAAACTACACAGAGAAACCCCTTTTAAAATAGTATCTCAGAATTTTGAAATAAAGATAAAGCTCAAGAGAATAGTTGAGACAAAGTTGAGATATACAAAGAGAGTTGATGAGAATAAATCTATTCATCTTTTCATGAGCTTTTTAAAATTTATATCTTTATAAATTATCACTTTTCATTATTTGGTTTATTCTCATGTATTCTTGCATACATGTATACATTAGGCATTAAAACTGCTATTGAGATCCCATGATTTTAAGTGCTAGAACTAGATGTTGGAAAATAAATGCAGCCTTGCCCTTGAGACATATCAACCCAGTTAAGAGGAAATAATTAAGCATATTAGCAACCTATACAGAAAACACCCAGGCTACAAAGAGGAGTTAGCAATTCTTTCTGAGAGGAAAACTGTCCAAAAATCTTAAAGAAGAATATCTGATAGTATCTGTTAGTCAAGTAACAGCAATTTATTAGATTTAGTAAATCAAGGGTATAAGAGTATTAAATTATAGATAATGGTGGTAGAACTAAGTTAACCTAATTAGTGAAGCAGTTAACTAAAAATGACATTTTTTTCTAATTCAACAATAAGGAAAACAAATAATCTCATTAAAAATGGGCAAAGGACATGAATAGACAATTCTCAAAAGAAGACATAGAGATGGGCTACAAAATGACTGACTAGATGCAGCCAGTGAGCACTGCTCCCACATAATGAGATGAAGTTAATGAGTAAACCAACATAATTTGGGCAGATCTACAGAGAGAAAACACCAAGAGTAGATAGAGAGGTGATGCTGGTGTCAAGGCTGAAGAGAGAGGAAGCTGGGAACCCTGTACAGCCCTAAACAACTCCTGGGGAAGGAGTGAGTGAGGAGAATGAGAGACAGTCTACTCCTGTGGCAAACCTCTGGGATCTTAGCTACAGCAAACCTCACATACCCCAAGGATGTATGAGCTGGCAGGAGGATCTGCCCAGGAAGTAGGCAGACATCAGGCTTTGGCTAGTGCAGAGCCCTAGGGCTTTTGTTCTTGAGGCAACTCCAGTAAATTGCAGCCATAGGCACTCATTACCCGGAGATCCCCATCTCCCTCCTAGAAGCTCTAGCCCCAGGTGACCACAAAGGCAGGAGAGAACAGCACAGTCTTTCCTGTGAGACTGGGGCATGTCTGTCCTGCAGGCCCTTCTGCATGCCAGCCCCTCCCAGGGATCCTGCCTAGCCATCCCATAGGAGCATGGGCACAGTGCAGCATCCAATGCCCATCCTGAGTGCTTTGCCCCATCTGAGTACTTTTATGGTGACCTAGGAGCACTGCAGATACCCCAGTGTAGCTGGAGCCAACTTCGTGCCCCAGGGATGTAATGTGCAGCTCAGGAGTGCTGAGTGGAGATCTGTGGCCAGCAATCAAGCAAGGGAGGAGCTCACAGTCTAAGAGCACTGAGAAGGGTTAGAAATGGGGATTCAAGGGCTGGTGCAGGAGCAGGGTGTGCATTCTACTGCAGGGATAGTCCAGAAAGTACGAGACCTATCTCCCTGCCACAGCCTCTGCCCTAGGGAACCCCATAGCTCAGAACACCTAGTAAAAGAAACACGAGCATGGCACCAGTGATCACAGGGGGTTCCCTGAAAGCCCAGGAGAAGAGCTGGTGAGGGAATCATATCTCCCCTCAGCCCCTACTACAGAGCATACCAGCAAACACAAGGAAATACAAAAGAGCCGCATGGCTAAGAGCCTTTCTACTGGCCATTACTCTTAAATACCATCTAGTGTATCACTGCCCAAACCACAACACCAAAAATTATTCTGCTAACATACACCCCTGAAAACAAGTGCAAGAATTTGCCCACAAATAAAGATCCTGTATGAACCTTGACCCTCTGAAAACATTCAGAAACAAACTGAATTGACTATACTCAGCTTACACCCCAATTAAAGAAACACCAGTCCCCTCAGATAGGAAAGAATCAGCACAAGACTCTGGCAATTCAAAAAACCAGAATGTCTCCTTATCTCCAAATGAGCCCACTAGCTCCCCAGCAATGGCCTTTAACCAGACTGAAATGCCTGAAGTGAAAGGCACAGAAGTCACAATCTGGATAGCAAGACTTAACTATCATAAATATATAAGCACCCAAAATTGAAGCACCCAGATTCATTAAAAAAAAAGTTCTCCTTGACTTACAAAAATACTTAGATAGCCACACAATAATAGTAGGAGACTTCAATACTCCATTGAAAGCATTAGACCAATCATTGAGACAGAAAAGCAACAAAGAAATTTCGGACTTAAACTCAATACTTGAGCAATTGAACCTAATAGACATCTATAGAATACTCCACCCAACAATCACAAAGTATACATTTTCCTTACTTGCACTCAACATATTCTGTGATTCACCACATACTTAGTCATAAAGCAAGTTCCAATAAATTCAAAAAAACTTAAATAATACCAAACACACTCTCCAATCACAGTGCAATAAAAATAGAAATCAATATCAAGACGATCTCTCAAAATTACACAAGTACATGGAAATTAAGTAACTTGCTCCAGATAACTTCTGGGTGAAAATTGAAATTTAAGTCAGAAATCAAAAAATTCTTTGAAATTAATGAAAATAGGGGCACAACTTGCCAAGATCTCTGGGATGCAGCTAAGGCAGTATTATGAAGAAAGTTGTAGCCCTAAACACTTTAATCAAGAAGCTGGAAAGATCTCAAATTAACAATCTCACATTGCACCTTGAGTAAATGAAAAAAATAAAATAAAAGCATACCAGAGGTGGGGAAGGGTGTGAGGGTGAGAGGAGTAAGTGAAGAGAGGTTACTGAATAAGTATAAACTGACAGTTAGATAAAAGAAATAAGTTCTAATGTTTCCTACCAGACTAGGATGACTATAGGTAGCAACAATATATTGTATGTTTTACAATAGCTAGAAGAGAGGACTCAACATACTACCAACACATATAAATGGCAAATACTTCAGGTGATGGATACCTCAAATATCCTTACTTGGTCATTACACATTCTATTCATGTAAAAAATCCTCACATGTACCCCATAAATATGTAAAATATTGTGTATCTATAAAATAGAAAGACTTTTGTTCCAAATTCAATTCATTTCCAGTGCTATGTAACTATATTATCAATTATATCACATGACCTCTTACTATGATGGTTAGATTAGATATTCATTTCAGTAAACACAAATATGTTTTAATTAAAATGCCTTATGAGAAAATGGAATGTCACATTTTTAAATGGAATTTCAGGTTGCTATAGCAACTAATAAAACTGTCACTATTTATTCTAAATAACATAAAAAGCATCCTTAAAGATAGTAAATCATTTTCAAAAAGCCTAATATCACTGAATATCTTTAGCTACTGATATTAAATTGAATTATATTAACAATTAGATGAATATTTCATATGTGAGAAATTGCAGAGTATGTATAGGAAAAGAGAGAAAATAGAGATATCCTTAAAAAGCTTGATGGGTTAGTTGGAGACAAATGTTTAATGTACTTTCTGCAAAAGAGGAGACAGTTTCTCTTCACAGATCAGATCATCTGTTAAATTCAGATTATCCCATAACAATAACTTTTGTTGTTGTTGTTCCCATGGAAGTCTGCAAACCATTGAAGCATGAGTGTGGTTAAGTGAGGGAAACAGAGAGCATAACACATTCTGGAACTATGTGGTTCCTGGGGTCAAATCCCTGCAGGAATCCTTGTCTCTTTGTTTCAGACCTTGTGACGTGGGAAATAAAAGGCCAACTGTAAAAGAGTGCAAGTATTTTTAAAAATGTTTTATAAAATGTAACTAATGCAATATAGAATCTTAGAGTCTTCCTGATGTCTTTTGAAACATGCTTTAATAAAATTTTAAAACATGTAATCATGCCCTTACTACTTGGTAGTGGCAGAGATTCCCCAGTATATTAAAAGAAGCAAAGTCAGGAGCTTATGATCAAGAATCCCTTTAAGGGTTAAGAAGAATGCCAGCTAAAGATCTCCAGGGCAAGTTCAAGGCCTAAAAGCAAATTTCAAGCTTTACTAGTAGACTAATGGACACCATCATGCTCCTTCTTATTTTTAAGGAAGCAGCATAATTGCTATTTTATCCTAGTTGATCTTTCTCTGGCCTCAATTTACTGATCTATAAAATGGAGAAAATATCATCTACAGCAAATGAGGAAACGATTTTAAGAATTTTAGCACAGTGCCTAATAAACTTTGGTTCTCTTTTTTGCCATTCTTTTTTAAGCTTTTAATAAATCCTACCCTGTCATAGAAATTTACAAAAGAATGTTTTCACTTATGGTTACGATTTTGCAATAAAGGAAGAGTTAAAAAGTCTTGCTTTTTTTTTTTTGTCCCCAGAGGAGAAGACCACCCATGGCAAAGCTAAGTAATTGATTTTGTCCATAAAAAGATGCAAAAAAGCTTATGTTGCTCAAGCTGGTCTAGAACTACTGTGTTCAAGTGTTGCTCCTACCTTGTTCTTGCAAAGTGCTGGGATTACAGAGATATTCATTTCTTATTAAATATATCTCTGTGAAAATATTTTGCATGATAATTTGAAATAGGAACTTGGTTTTTAAATATACATTGCCTGGATTAACTTTGTTAATTAACATTAATTTTGGCAATACTTGCTATAAAGCATGTGCTTTCTTAGGGAAGATAAAGTTTTAAATATGATCAAAAGACAAACAACAAATCCAGCCAGGCATTGGAAAGAATTGCTATGAGAATGAAAATGTTATTTTTACACTAGGGCTTCACATTGTATTAATATTTTAATAGTATTGAAATGAAATAAAATAATCTCTGTTAGACAAAGGTGACCCAAGAAACAGGTGAAAAAATTTAAAATTTGTATGTATGGACAATTAGTCCATGTTAGTTTCAGTATTCTAAAGGGAAGAAAACTCTTTTCTTAAAAATTATTTTCTGGGTGTGGCACAGTGGCTCACACCTGTAATCCCAGCACTTTGGTGGATCGCTTCAGCCTAGGAGTTTGAAACCAGTCTAGGCAACAGGGTGAAACCTTGTGTCTACAAACAAACAAAAAAATATAAAAATTAGCCAGGCATGATGGCACGCGCCTGTAGTCCCAGCTAGTTGGGAGGCTGAGGTGGGAGGATCACCTGAGCCAGGGAGGCAGAGGTTGCAGTGAGCCTAGATCTCACCATTGCATTCCAGCTTGGGTGACAGAGCGAGACTCTGTCTCAAAAAAATTATTTTCTGCAATGTTAAAGGTACTTATTCAGACATTGTGAGGTGATAAAGTATAAAGTATAAAAGTCAGATGCTAGAGTTAGAAAAATTTGAGTTTTAATCCCACACCAGCTGCATATATATTGGGTATATTACTTAATTTTTGTAACCTTCACTTTTCTCAACTGAAAAATGGAGATAGTTAACTGTAAGTAGTTAATTAAATAAAGGAGATAATGTAAGTGACAACCTTAGCAAACACTGTATATTGCTGATGGTAAGCAATCAATAATTGTTATTATTAAACTTATATTTCTTTTATTTTTTTATTTTTTCATACAGTAGTAAGCTCAATAAAATTGAGTATATAATTTACTTCATACATCTATGTCCCTTGCAGCATTAACTCGTAACTGATGGAAGTAGAGCCAGAAAGGAGGCTTCAGGAAAAATACAAAATTTTCATCTCCACTTCTACATTGATCTGAATGAGTATGTATTCATTTTTAATAACCACTAGAAAAAGATAAAATATGTACTCATATCTTTCCTAAGGAATATTATAGTATATTGCATAATCAGCTTTTGGCCTAATATTATATTTAAGTTATTTAGGGTACTGGGGGTAAGGAGGAGGGAACAAAATGCCTATGATTTCCTTAATTGAATACCTTAGTTTTAAAAATATCTATACATCCTGAGTGCACATATATTGAAGGCAAAATACTCTACGTTTACTCCATAAGTGCCTTGAAGAACATAATAGTAATATCCAAAGCTTAAAATTTCAAAGGTAATTTCACCACAATATAGAGATATTTCTAAATACCATGTACAGATGGTGTCAGACTTACGATGGTTTGACTTACAATTTTCCACTTCACCATGGTACAAAGCGATAGGCATTCAATAGGCTCCTTGATTTAAGATGAGGTATGTCCAGATAAACCCACCCTAAATTGAAAATATTTTAAGGCAAAAATGCACTTTCAATATAGTATATTTTCAATGTAGGATGGGTTTATTGGACTGTCACCTCATCATAATTGAGGAACACCTGTAATTTGTAATTAAGCACTGACACCATGTAATATAAGTAATTATATACATCTTCTCTAGATTCGTATAATAACCATTTTTTTCTCTGCATTTATATGACTTAGCATATAAGGGGAAATGCTTACAAAATGCAGAGCACTTTAATCCATAAATTATTTGGGAAAAGGCTTGGTAAGAAATCAGAAAACTTTTTAAGTGAAGGTTTACCATGCATTGTTTACTGCAGGTAATCTCTCTCAGCATGAATTCATGGCAGTGGTTTACCTGTGTTTCTATTTACAGTGCTGTGTCCTTTAAAAGATTTTTAAGCCTCAGAATGAGTTTGTAAGTTGTATCATTAAATTTGTAAATTTCTTTTCTCAAACCAGATTATATATTCCCAAAGCATAAAGTTTCTTTTCACCTAACTTTAAATGAACATCAGTACCTGATACTCATGGCTGCTTGATTGGATTAAACTGAATTGCATGAAAGACTCCTAGAGTCTGATTTTAGCAGTCTTAGAGATTCTTATTCTAACTGTACTATTAATAAACTATGGGACACTGAACCAACTGCAAATGCCCTAAATCTGTGATTTTTCAGCTGTAAAGTAAGGATTATAACATGCTCTGCCTTGCTGACTTCAAAGTTCTATTTAGTGCAGTAATATAAGTGAAAGCATGTTGGTTGCCATAAATGCTTTGCTTCCTTTCTAGTCACGTATTCTCCACCTCAGGAGCTTTCATTACCAGCAGATACTAAATTATAGAGCTCAGATTTAAAATGCCAAACTTTGGTGGCAAAATAAATAGTCCCTTTCTCCCTACTTTTTTTCATTAAAAACAAAATAAATTTATTCCTACCAGTACTAAGTCATATCCATTTCTATAGGACCAGTTATCTAGTAAAATTTGGTAGAAAAAAGGTTACCAAGGACAGGAGAATGGCTATGTCCACTTGTGTTTTGAGTATAATTTATAGATCTGGATAATTTTGTTAATTTTATTAATCTTTAAATTGCATCGTGCTTTATCAGACCTGATCCCTTGCATGTAAACTGAATATTTACACCTTACCCTGAATTGGATTTACATCTCAATTTAGCTGTGTGTGTGTGTGTGTGTGTGTGTGTGTGTGTTTAACATAAGAAACCTCATAAGCCAACTACAATTTTTATTGATGTTTTTATCATGCTGTTTCCGGCAAGGAGTTCTTAATTATTTTTATTATAATACCTAACATGTATTTGACACTTCTACTAAACTCTCCACAATTATCCAGTGTGAGTGTACTGTTTCCTGATGGACCATGGCCAAGAGTATTAAGGAAGTAGCTTAAAGGCGAGATAAGCTAATGATTGCAAAGGATTTCCATTTCTTAAAGGAGTATGCTTTTATTCTGTCTGCAATAATAGGGCCACTAAAAGTTTTTAAACAGAATAATCCCATTTTCAAATTTTCATGCTTATCCTAATAGTAATACCCCTGAGCGTTGTGGCAGCTCACTACATCAAAAGATTCTGCAATTTCAGAACTGAGCTTAATCGGGTCCAGTGGTTTAATACAATAAAAAATGAAGAAACAACTAGCTTGCTTACAGGAGTTTATGGACTGCTGTCAACTTATATTTAATCCAGATGAGGCAAGATATATGGAAGAAAGCTTATCAATATTAATCTCCCTTCAAAAATACTTTAGACTCCTCACACAAGCATTCATGAACCTCTATTATTAGATTACTTTGACATAGCAGCCATTTCCATCCTTTCTTTGTCCTACTATCTCAAAAGTACTATCTGACATTCCTTTGGTATTTTTACCTTCATCAGATTTGCGATCGTGTCCTTGTTTCTGAGGAAAAGTCTCAAGAAGCTCTCAATTATCTCTTTTTATGCAATTTTTCTTCCTCTCTTTTATCAAAGGGGATCCTAAACTCAAGGTCATAAAGTTAGAAAGAGGAAAAGCAGAGGCTTAAAAATTGGTTACCTGTCTACTCCTTTCTTGCCAAAGGCATTGGTCCTACCATAATTTTTCCTGCCCTTTAGGACTTGCATCTCTCCTGCTTCTTATTTAGTGTTTTCAGATTTCTTTCTTTTTTTTAACTTTAAGTTCCAGGATACATGCGCAGAACATGCAGGTTTGTTACATGGGTATACATGTGTCACGGTGGTTTGCTGCACCTATTGACCCATCCCCTAAGTTGCCTCCCCTTGGGCCCCACCCCCCCAACAGGCCCTGGTGTGTGTTGTTCCCCTCCCTGTGTCCATCTGTTGTCATTGTTCAACTGCCACTTATGAGTGAGAACATGCAGTGTTTGGTTTTCTGTTCCTGTGTTAGTTTGCTTAGGTTGATGGCTTCTAGCTTCATCCATGTGCCTGCAAAGGACATGAGCTCATTCCTTTTTATGGCCACATAGTATTCCATTGGTGTATATGTACCACATTTTCTTTATCCAGTCTATCATTGATGGGCATCTGGGTTGATTCCATGTCTTTGCTATTGTGAGTAGTGCTGCAATGAACATATGTGTGCACGTATCTTTATAATAGAATGATTTGTATTCCTTTGGGTATATACCCAGTAATGGGATTGCTGGGTCAAATGGTATTTCTGGTTCTAAATCTTTGAGGAATCGCCACAGGAAGACCCTGAAATGACTGATCACTGAAGGCTATGTACTGACCTCACACCTCGGAGTTGGTGTAACAAGTCAAATTCTCATTGAAGTGAGACTGGTACTTCTCA
This sequence comes from Homo sapiens, assembly GCF_000001405.40. Lineage (NCBI taxonomy): Eukaryota > Metazoa > Chordata > Mammalia > Primates > Hominidae > Homo > Homo sapiens. The sequence goes on along the minus strand of NC_000012.12, from coordinate 81,858,281 downwards.
GCGTCCATCATAGAGGTAAAAGATAAAGTCACTGAAGTTAGAGATTGTCCTTGGAATCATGACATAAGAAGCTGAATCCGTTGTTTGTCAATTGCCAAGATAATTTCAGATAGAAAAAGTGAAGACAACATTTGGGAGGATACATTTAAAGGCATGAAAAAATCACGGGCATCAAGGACAGAAATGGAAACATGTCTTAGAAAAAAGAAGGGACATATTTTTTTCTGAAAAATAAGATGATTTGAAGATTGTATAGAACTGTATTTATGTTAAAAAAAAAAAGACAGGAGTAGAGTAAAATGAGGGTCAGAGACTAAATGGGGATCTATAAACCCAAGGTCATGAAGTTAGTAAGAGGCTTAAAACTTCGTTGCGTATCTACTGCTTTCTCACCAAAACATTGTTTCTATCATGATTTTTCCCACCATTTATAACTTGCATCTCTCCTGGTTCTTACTTGATCTTTCAAATTTCATTGATAAATGTTGCAACTCCAGTAATATTTTTGCTAATTTACAAATGTCTTATTCCAGTCTCCATCCCTCTAACCAGTATTTCTGCATGATTCTGAACAATCATCTCGTTCATCTAGTTCCACATTCACAACTTCAGTTTGAACATCAGCTTCAAAGCTTTGTCTTGTTTCACTCATGCCTGTGTCCATCCTCTTTCCTAAAATATGATATGATGTGGTTGAGGCTCTTCTACTTCCATCTCCTGGGAAGGAAGAGAGAAAATAAATATTTATCAGTCATCTACTTTGTGCCAGGTAGAGTAGTAGAGTTTCTACAATAGTTACGTCTTGTTTTTTTATCATAACTCATAACAATGATAAAAATTATGCTTTATACCCTATTTTACAGATGAGAAATCTGAGATACAAAAATACTAAATAAATTTGGCCTAGACTATAAACTTCCTGCTTATAGGAAGTTACTTCTCAGATTAAAGTGATAAATGGCATGACTATTTCTGTCATACCATGCTGGATCTCATATCCTGTTGGTGAAATTATAAACTGGTATTTCTTTGCTATCATTCCAATTAGGCTTAATTTCTATTACTTCAGTGAAAGTTTTCTTGTCAAGGTCATCAGTGACTTGTGTATTGCTTGAGCCTGGTGGTAAATTCTCAGATCTCATTTTATGTGACCTGTCAGCAGCATTTGACAAAGTTAATCACTATATACACCTTAATATACTTCTGTCATCAGTTTTCTGGACACCCCACTCTTCTTTTTTTCATACCTCTCTATTCACTCTCTTTTTCACTAGTCTCTCCTCTACTCCTTGACCTTTTAATCTTTAAATGCCCAAATTCCTTGATTCTATTTTCTTCTCTACCTACATTCACATCCTTTTGGCCTTATCCTGGATACTCCAACTTCTCTCAGATTTATATTTTCAGCCAAGACATCTATTTCAAACTCCAGATGTGGGTATAAAACTGTGTACTTGACATGTTTACTTAAATTCTAAATAGGTATTTTAAAACTTGAATAATCAAACACATCCAAAACTATGCTCTTGATTTTCTTCAACTAACTTTTCATCCTAGAGTTCTCATTTCAGGTGATGGCAGCTCAAACTTCTAGTTGCTCAGGCCAAAAATATTGGAGATATCTTTGATTTTTTGAAAATCTGGATATACCACATACATTCTCTTAGGAAATTTTTTTCTGTCTACCTTTCAGATGTTCCAAAAATCCAATCATTTTATACAAAGTCCAGCATGAAACCTTAGGCCAAATCACAATTAACTTGCACCTGAATTATTGCAAGTCTTCTTTCTGGACTCCCTGCTTCTTTCCTTGACCCTTCGTGGTATATTCTCAACATAGTATCAGGGGTGGTCTTTTAAAAACACTAGTTAGATCGTGTCTCCTATCTGCTGAAAACCCCATTTTATCCTCAGTAAGAATCCCAAATCCTTACGATGACCTACAAGTTCCTGTATGATCAGTGCCACCACTGACCACTATTTTTCTGATTTAATTCCTACATAACCACTCCTTCAGCTACAATGGCATTCTTTGCAAAATATATTTTGCTTTGACTGCTCCTTCTACTTGAAAAGTCCTTCTACTAGATATCTGCATGTCCAACATCCTTATCTCCTTCAAGTATTGCTCAAATAAATTTTCAATGAAATTTTAAAATGCAACCTGCCTCTGTTCAGCAGTTCTCCTGATCCTTTTAAACTTATTAGTACTTTTCCTTTCTCCCATAGTGCTTATCACCTTCTAAAATACTATGCGATTTACTAACGTGATTGTGCTCTTTACCTAAAGTGCAAACTCCTTGAAGGCAGTACTCTGTTTTCATTCTTCGATATATTCCAAGAATCTAAAACAATATCTAGCACAATATATTTTCAAAATTTTCTGAATGAATAAATTATTTCACACACCATTTTGGTATTGTATTCTGACATTGAAAACTCACATATTCACCAGTAATTAGATTTCAAGGCATATATACTCAAAGGAAATATTAGCACACAAGGAGATATACACAATCCAAAACATCTGAAGAATTCTTACAGCTTGATAGCAAATAATCAAATTAAAAAATGGGCAAAATACTTCAATAGATATTTCTTCAAAGAAGACATACAAATGACCAACAGATGCTCAATATCATGCAAAGATGGTCAACATCACTAATCATCAGAGAAATGCAAATTCAAACCGCAGTGAGATATCACCTGTTAGGATGGCTATTATCTAAAAACAAAAGATAAAAAATGTTAGCAAGAATGTCGAGAAATTGAAACCCATGTACAATGTTAGTGGGAATGTAAAATGGTGCAGCTGCTGTGGAAAACATTATGGAGGTTCTTCAAAAAATTAAAAATAGGACTATCATATGAGCCAGCAATCTCACAATACTTTTTATATCACTTTCAAATAAACTCGGTTTATTCTCAGAGAATATTATAAAAATAACACCAGATTCTCTGGTCTGAAATAATTTACAAAAAGTAGAAACATGAGTAATCAACTACATGGACGAGTTGAAATGAAATAGCTAGCAATACAGTTGAATAACACTTAGAATCAACTTATTTGAAATATGGTCAAATTTCATTTGGAATATTTTGGCCACTAAGAACTCTCATTTGGCTTTCCAAATGGAAATGTTCAGTTTCCTGCTTTTAAAATATTTATGTGAGTTTGAAAATTCAGCAGTATCTTGGATTCTGGGTTTTGTTTTACCTCATAGACATAATAAAAGTGTGATTAAGATGGTGATAATTTCCTGTTTTAGCTATGACACTTTCTAAAAGTAAGAATTTCCATGATAATATTATCATGAATGTGAGCACCAGAATGCCATGAAAAATAAAATTAGAATAAAATAATTGGCATAGTGTAGGAAAGAGACTAGAGTTTATCTTTGTTAATAGTAATATTTTTCTTACTGGAAGAGCCTTATGAAATATACATCTACTATTCAAAACAGTCCCAAGAGAACAGTAGAAATTTTGCATTTACAAACATACTTATGAATACATGAGTAATATTATGCTGTAAATTTTATAGTAGCAATTATAATTATTTTGTAATAAAAGGGTGGATGATAAATGTGGAAAGTAAAATTTTTGGATATGAAATATTTATTCTTTCCGTAATGGGATTGAAAGTTTATTCTACCACCTACTGGTTCTTCACCTTGTAAAAGGACTAGATAAAATGAAGAAAAGAAAACAATTGTTTCTACTAGTAACAATATAAATGCCATCAATATATACTTAGTGAGATTTCTAATAAGGATATGGTATGATTTTATTAAGTATGTCAGTTTTTTTTTTTTTGAGGTGGAATTTTGCTCTTGTCTCCCAGGCTGAAGTGCATTGGTGCGATCTTGGCTCACTGCAACTTCTGCCTCCTGGGTTCAAGCAATTCTCCTGCCTCAGCCTCCAGAGTAGCTGTGATTACAGGCACCTGCCACCATGCATAGCTAATTTTGTATTTTTAGTGGAGACGGGGTTTCACCATGTTGGCCAGACTGGTCTTGAACTCCTGACCTCAAGTGATCTACCTGCCTCGGACTCCCAAAGTGCTGGGATTACAGGTGGGAGCCACCACGTCTGGCCAAGTATGTACATTTTTATGTAAAAATTTCCATCTTGATTTTAGACCACTAGTTAAATAAAAATTATTTCATTTTTAAAATAAATTTAAATCTTACATTTCACACGTCAATATCAAAAATAAAATATACGTTTGTTCATTGTACTTTACTAGAAATGTTTGCCACAGTTGGCCTTAATCTTTATTATACTGCAATTAATTTAGATGACAGAGGTAAGCAAGTCAGCATTAAAATCATTTATGGTGTTTCTAAAGCATTGTCCTGTGTTTAAGCTAAATATATCAAACTCAAGTTCTTATAATATGCTATGAGTTCTTATTTTATCAGCTCAAAACCCTCTATAGCTTATTACCTCTATAGCTTATTATTAGAGCATAATCTACCTGATTATTGATAAACAAACTACTGATTCTTTCTTATATTGAACATAATTCCATTTTGGAGCAATAAGAAGACTGCAGTCCAATTGAAAAGAGAGAAGAAAACCTAGTCACAGTGGATTAACTGATTTGCACGCTCTGAGATGTTACCAACTGCTGCTCTTAATAATAAATGAAGTCATCACATTTAGCAATCTGGAAAATAAATGGAAATAATTATGTTTTCAGTTTTGATTTAACTGAAAAACAGCTAATGGGAGGGGGCTCAAAATTCTCCCAACTGAAACAAGCTATAATTCACTGACAACCAGGTCAAGTGTATATTTTTCACAGTGGCCTAATTTATTATATGTATACCCACTGAAGTGAAGAAGGCCTCAGAGGGCTTTAAGGCAGAGGCTCAAGAGTAAAACTGAAAAAGCTCTGTATTCAAACCAACCAGATATCTTTTAAAGATACTGTTTTGAGATTACTATTGAATTCTGGCCTTATTTTACATTAATAACCAGCATTTATTCAACACTTAATCTCTAACTTGTTTTCTTACTACATTAAATGTCACATATAATCCCCAAAATATAACTGAGAGAAGGTGGATTTCGTATCCCTATTTTAAACATAGGGAAACTGAAAGGTATTTACCTGCTCAAGGCCACATAGTGACAGATTTTGGAATTCTAGTCTTTCTAATTCAAAATCTTAGTTTTGTTTTTTTAAATCTCTGTGATATTGATATTTCCTATGGGCTTATTATTAAATTCACTATTTATATAGAGGAACTAATATTTACATTGCATATTTGGTTTAAGAAATATTTTTAAGAGAAACAAAGCAATTCTCTATGTCTTCATATAGCATAGAAACCACAGTCCAGGACCATGCATATTTAAGGTCTCAATAGCCCACATGACATCACTAAAAGTACCTAATAGATAAGCGACAACATTTATTTTATCTGATCTTATAAGTTAGTAGTTGGATATAAAATTATACTAACTCAGGGCCACAATGCGCAATTGTGGTATTGTGTGTACGCAAAGCTAGTGGGTACTATTCATGTTGCATACTATGTAACTGAGATGATGTGCTATTACATAAGTATCTAACTTCTGTATACATGCTTCCAGAAATTGGTAGAGTTTAGATTTTAAAGAGTTATAATTTATTTATATTTATTTATTTTCATTTTTTCGGGGAGAAGACAGAGTCTCGCTGTCTCGCTCAAGCTGGAGTGCAATGGCATGATCTCGGCTCACTGCAACCTCCGCCTCCCGGGTTCAAGCAATTCTCTCAGCCTCCTGAGTTGCTGGGATTACAGATGCGCACCACCATGCCCGGCTAATTTTTGTAGTTTTAGTAGAGACGGGGTTTCACCATGTTGGCCAGGAATTGTAACATTTTTAAAAAATATATTTCACAAAGAAGGATATGATTAGAAATTAGTAATTCCCCCTTCTAATCACAGGACAAAAATATAAATTAAGCACAAAGGAATTCTTCATAGTCAGAGCCTTAAATAACTCTGCTCAAAGATAAACCAAAGGAAATATATCATTGTAAGGCGTTAGATTTTTTCTGAGGAACTAATCAGAGCTTGAAAATCAATCTGCTTGATTTTGGAATCCGGCTTTCCTACTGCTACTTAATTGTTGTATACCTTAGTTTCCTATCTATGAAATGGAGCTAACAATAGCACCTGTCTCATAATTATTGTTAAGAATTGAGTGAGCCGGTGTATATAAACCTGTTGTCATGGTGCTTGTGACATAAAATAGTTCAATTAGTGTTCAGTGTGTTAACACATTTTAAGACAAAATTGCAAGTATGGTAGAAGTAATTGCTTGTCTTTAAAATAATTTTTACAAGTTAATGAGGAAAAAAATAACATGATGAACGGGAAATAGGCAAACAAAAGAGGAAATATCATTAGTACTTAAATGTATAATTTTAAAAATTCTATTTCAGTTGCACAATGATACTAATGCAAAATAAAGGAAAATGAAAAATCATGTTCTATGCATCCATTAAATAAGATATAGTGAATAATATTTATATGGGAAAATGTGATATACAGTGGCTTATCCTTTATTGATGGTGACTTTGTAATTGTACAACTGTATTGGATATACATTAGGCAATCTGTATCAACAGCTATTTTAGGTTAATTATCTTTGATCAGTAATACCAATACTGTGAATCTTGTGTAATGAAATAACACCAGTATGAAAACAAATTCACAAATAGACTCTAATAAAGAAATTCTTACATAATTAATAGTTTATTTACATAAGAATATTGTATACAATTCAAAACTAAGCACTATAAAATTTACATTAAAAAGGAAGATACTTTTTTTTAAGTTGAAAAAAGGGATAGATATTGTAAGTATGGAAAAAAGGACAAAAGAAATCTTAAATTGAGGAACAGCATCACATCACAGTGTATTAAACTGGTAGCATTTTGAGTGACTTCATTTATTGTTCTTTCTCTCTTCTGTAAAATGATTATAATATTTTTGTAATTTCAAAAATTGCTTAAAATATACATTATACCATATGAATGATATTAAATAAGTTGGTAATTATGTACATTCGTTTGTAATGGAAAGTCATATTGAGAATACACTGTGGCAGACCAAATGAGAAATATAACCAGAATTGTCTGAAAATTAATTTTTTAAGCCTCAAAAACAAACACAGGTTAAAAGCACAGTTCTTGTCCTGTATTTAGGTATAAATTGTTATAAACTGAAATTATTAAGAAATACAGGACCATCACATGAGTTTGAAGTTTGAAGTAGAGGGATTAGACAGGAACAACAAGGTATATGTCTATATATACCTTACATATATATATATGTGTGTGTGTGTATATATATATATATATATATAAAGTATTTCATATATGAACAATAAATAATGTGAAATTATATGTTATTGTTTGGGAATTCTATAATGAAATAATTGCTACCTTCATCTAGAGTGTATCACAAATCAGGCGTTATATTCCACCTAAATTTTAAAGCTTTAAAGCACAGTATCTTTTAAATAAACTTTTGGGACATATAAGGGGAATGATTAAGCTCAATTTAGGAGTTCAGATGATACTTCTAACAGAAGTTGATGTCTTAGCCAAAACTTGAAGGATGAGGAAAATTTGCCAAACCAAAAATGCTGAGGCAAATAATACAGCATTATAATAGAGAAGAGATATTGGAGAAAGAAATATCAGTGTATTTGGAAAGAGATGAAGCAGTTCAGTATTATTAAAATGTAAATTACCAGGCAGGGATATTAAGAGAAGAAAACAGAAAAATAACCAGGTCATGGGAAACCATGTATGAAATATTTAGAAATATAAGCTCAATAGTTCTTGCCTCACTTTGGGTCACAGACCTCTGATTACCTGATGACAGTAATTAACTCTTTTCCCCTTAACATTGTATACATAAATAAATGCACTCAATTATTTTGCATACAATTGTAGGGAGTTCACTGAACACCTGAAATCTGTTAATTGACTCCCTGAATCCCGTGACAGGTGAAAAACGAAACAAACTATAACAGAAAAATAAAAAACTGGTCTCATTAATGAGGCAACAATTATGACAGAAAAAGGAGCTATGATTTCAGTAAATCTTTCTTGTTTCAATTTTGGAAATATATTCCAACTGAACCCACCACTTCCCATTTCCAATACCCCCACCCAAACGGAAGCCACTGTTTAGCTATCTGCTTATTTCACTGTTTCCATTCTGCCCTCCCATAATCTGTTATTTGTATTGTAGCCAAAGTGATACATCTAAAAAGGATATCAAATAATGGTACCCACTGATTAAGACTCTAATGGCATTTGTTTTTGCGCTTAGATTAAACCCATAGTAAGTACTATGTCCCCAAACTCTTGTGCTCTGGCCTGGGTCAACTCCCAACCTTACTTGGAACCATGCTCTCCTGCTGTATCTACTTTCTAGCTTATTGGATTCTTCCGCCCCTTCAGCTACCTGGATTTGTTCCCAACTCAGGTCTTTGCATCTGCTTTTTCCTCTGCCCCAAATGCTTCCCCCAACTTTCTCATTCATTCCCTATCATTAAAATTCCAACTCAAGTGTTTACTCCTGTGACAGGAATTCCTTGAAAACCCAGCAAAACTCTGCTACCTTTAAGTTACTATTTCAATAATCTATTTTTATATCAATTACTAATAGCTGATATGTCATGATTGTTCAATTATGTACCTAGTGACTCTTCTGTCTTTCTCTACTTGCATCCCCCTAAGTATAATTTAACTGTTTTTCTTCTCAACATCCTTAAATGCTCCGCACATAGTAGGTAGTCAATAGATGTTAGATAAGTCAATTTCTCTGAATAATTGTGACTCTTAACTATTCAGTATTTAGATCTAAGTAAAAAGAAATATTAGATTGCATATATGTCCTGAACAAACGTGTTAAGTGAATGCATTATATCTTTTAGCAATTATTTTATGCTGACATTTCTGAGAACAAGAAACCTTTGCAATAGATATGGTTCCTATAAAGACTTAAGCAATTTTATCTTAAAGTTTGCAATTTCTGTACATCTAAAGGGAACTAAAATTATCTGTATTTTTCTTATCTGGGTCCTCTGCCAAATTTTTTTCCTGCTTATTTGAAGTATAAAACAAACATTGCTGAAAATTCTATCGACACTGCTACCTATTGTGAATAATACTGCAATACTATATAGTCCGTCTCAAGTATTAGAAACTAATAAAATAAAAATTCAAAATTGTACTAATTTTTAAATGTTAAAAGAATATTTATAATGTCACTTCTATTTTCTTAAAACCGTTATTTAATACAAGTAGGATGATCATATGTTTTGGTTTGCCTGTGACAGCCCTAATTAATGTCTGTCCTAATTACTCATACTTTCATTCTCAAAGTATTTCAAAATAGATGACAAATTCTATGCTCTCTATAATTACGGGTAATATTAACTTCCATATTATTTCATATAATATTATCTGTTAAATGGTGAACAGGATAATAATAATTTATTCTATACGCTCCTGCAGAGATTAAGTGATTTAGTGTATTTAATGTGCTTGCAAAGATACCTGGCATATAATGCATATGAAATAAATATTAGCTACCATTATCTAGTTCAGATGGAAAGGACAGACTAGCAGAAGCTGCCCATTTATGTGGAAGAGCAAGCATTGAATGAATTCAGAATCACTGCTCCATCAAAGGTATCTTTTCCTATTTAGTTACATTTTATTTTCTCCCGATATTTTCATGTTTCCTGGTTTTCTTCTGTAAATTGAAGCCAGATAAACACTCAGGCCCCGTGTAGTTCTTTAAAATTATTGCTTTCCTCATAGGTTTTTTTTTTTTTTTTGTATTTGACTACGTTAGGAACAGGCTATGCTGAATAAAATAATATGAGAAAACAGCATGCAGACATTAGTTGGTCAGGAACACAATTTTCTCTTCATGTTGGGAAAGAATTGGATTTTGGAATATGCAAGAACGGGAAGACTAAGATAATCTGATTGCATGTATCATGCATTAACTACCCTAACTCTTCTAGATATCTAGTTTTATAATATAATTTGTTTTCTTATATAAATCAGTTTCAGATGTAATAGACTCACACTGAAACACCAAAAGGCTGTATTATTCATGCATTCATGAACATTGACTTGCATTTTATGATAAGAAGTGTTTTGGGATTGCTTTCTTTGTGATCTTCAAGACATTAAGGCAATATTTAAGGACTACAACTCTGTTGTTGTTCTTTAAGGGACACATGATTTTATCTCTGTAACTTATATATGAAGATTTCAGTCATATTAAATTTGAAGTTGTTTAATTTTCCAGAAAACATTTCTAGTAGAAACAATTGGTCAGGAGCCCCTCATTTACAAATATGCCTGTGTGGAAGTTTATAATTTATTTTTGAATGTTAAATTACCAAAGTATTTGTAACTTAGTTATTTTAGTTAATTTAAATTAATGTTATAATTAATTTTTACTTAATTTTTAAATTAATTTTTACTTATAAATTAATTATGAAAATCTTTGGAAAATAGTGTTGATTTATATTTGCTTTTTATTAAACTGTACTGATAACCATTGATCCTTGGTTTACGTTGCCATTTAGGTTTAAATATATTCTTCCATAAGCAGATCATTTTGGGAAATCTACAGAACCATGTTAATCCTTGACAGAAAACAGAGGAAGCTTCCCTAACTCCCAAATTTGACTCAGGAAAAAAGAAAATTTTACTACTTATTTTTAGTTCACATTTCCTCAGATAATTGTCTTTCATGAGTATATTCATGAGAAATGTTTTAATATTATTTTATTTAATTTTTAAATTGTTTTATTTATTTTTTATTGTGTATATTATGTGCAATGTGATGTTTCAGTATAGGTCTATGTTGTTGAATGATTAAATCAAGCTAATTAACATATCCATTAACTCACATACTTATTATTTTTTGTAATGAGAACATTTGAAGTCTACTCACTTAGCAATTTTTAAGTATACAATATGTTTTGTTAATTATACTCATCGTAATGGACAACAGATGTCCAGAACTTATTCCTCCTGTCTGACTGAAACTTTGTACACTTTGACCAACATCTCCTCATCCCCTCTGTTTGGCCCCCATCCCCAGGTAACCACCATCCTACTCTCTGCTTCTATGAATTCACATTTTTTAGTTTCCATGTATATGTGAGATCATACAGTATTTATTTTTCTGTGTCTGGCATATTTCACTGAGCATAAAGTCCTCCAGTTTCATTCACCTTGTCACAAATGACAGAATTTCCTTCTTTTCTAAGACTGAATAGTATTCTATTGTGTGTATATACTCATTTTCTTTGTTTATTCATTCACTGATGGACACTTAGTTTGATTCGTATCTTGGCTATTGTAAATAATGTTGCAATGAACGTGGGAGTGCAGATGTCTCATCAACACGCTAATTTCAACTCCTTTTTGTATATACCTTAAAGTTAGATTGTTGGATTATATAGTAGTTCTAGTTTAAAATTTTTAAGAAACTTACCTTCTGTTTCCCAAATTGGCTGTACTAATTTTCATTTCCACCAACAGTATATAAGTGTTCTTTTTCTGCATCCTCACCAACATTTGTTTTTTCTTGTGCCAACTATGCATTGAACAAAGGTCTAATGTCTAGAATCTGTAAAGAACTTAAACAGTTCAGCAAGCAGAAAACTAAATAACCTCATTAAAAAGTGAATAAAGAATATGAACAGCCACTTCTCAAAAGAAGACATACAAGTGGCCAATAAACATGAAAAAATGCTCGACATCACTAATCATCAGAGAAATGCAAATCAAAAACACAACAAGATACCATCTTGCACCAGTCAAAATGGCTATTATTTAAAAATATTCACAATAGCAAAGACATGGAATCAACCTAAATGCCTATCAATGGTAAACTGGATAAAGAATATGTGATACTTATACACCATGAAATACTATGCGGCCATAAGAAAGAATGAGACCACATCTTTTGCAGCAACATGGATGGAGCTGGAGGCCATTATCCTAAGTGAACTAACATAGGAACAGAAAAGCAAATACTGCATGTTCTCACTTAGAAGTGGGAGCTAAAATTTGTTCTCAAATGGAAATGATGTAGGTAACAATAGACACTGGGGCCTTCTTGAGGGTGGAGGGTGGGAGGAGGATGAGGATTGAAAAACTATCTATCGGGTACTATGCTTATTACCTAGGTGACAAAACAATCTGTACACAAAACTCCTGAGACATGCAATTTACCTATAAAACAAACCTGTGCATGCATTTTTTTTTTTAAAAAAGAGAGTAAATAGAAATTTTTAAGACCATTGCCTTAAAGATGTTACAATTTTTTTTTAATTGGGAGGTCATCAGGCTGAGATGACTCCAACACTTTGGGTTCCTATATAAGCAATCCAAAAGCCCAATGTAAACAGTAAAACAAAACTAAAGACTTTGCCAATCAGAAACCACCAACTAACCTCTACCTAGAGAATTTCCACTCTAATAAATCAAATATATTTTCTTAAAAGCACATTGCCCACACTGTTGCAGCAGAGCTCTGTGAACTTCTTTTGATTTTGAATGCTGCCCAATTTTTGAATTCTTTTTGCTCAGATAAACTCTTTAATATTTGAAATAAATAAATAAATAATAAAAACTTTAATAGCAGATGTTGGAGAGGTTATAAAGAAAAGTGAAGGCTTATATACTGTTTGTAGAAATGTAAATTAGTTCAGCCACTGTGGAAAGCAGTTTGGATATTTCTCAAATAACTTAAAACAGAGCTACTATTTGACTCAGCAATCCCAGTACTGGATATATACCCATAGGAAAATAAGTTGTTCTACCAAAAAGACACATATATTCGTGTGTTCTTCACAGCACTATTCACATGGAAGAGACATAGAATCAGCCTACCTGCCTATCAACCGTGGATTGGATAAAGAAAAAGTGGTACATATACACCATGGAATACTACACAGCCATAAAAAAGAATGAAATCATGTCCTTTGCAGCAACATGGATGCAGCTGGAGACCATTATCCTAAGCAAATTAACACAAGAATAGAAAAATAAATACCACATGCTCTCACTTATAAGTGGGAGGAAAATATTGAATACATATGGATATAAAGATGGGAACAATTGACATTGAGGACTACTAGAGGGGGGAAGTAAGGTGGAGGATGAGGGCTCAAAAAGCACCTATTGGGTAATATTATTTTTTAACTTATAAAAAGTGTCAAGGAGCAAATACAGTGCACTTAAATATTTCATTATTGTGCAAAAATACATTCTTATTTTAGTCAAATTCATCATCTGTTTCAGTGGCTTGGATTTTATAATACTTCCCACAGAATAAAACAGAAAGTAAAGATAATTTGCCATTTAATTAGTTGTGAAATACACAGAAATCCTATATGATTTTAAAGAGTTGGAGAATGATGGCTTGTGAAGGGGGTTTGTTTCTGTATAAAACAACAATCTGATGACTGATATTGTGGAAATGACTGAGAACATGTTAACCAAGTCAAAAAGAATTTCTAAGAAATAATATTTCTGATATAGTCTGTCAAAGAGTAATTTTTACACTAGATTATATTTATACATCCAATACAATTCATAGCTTATTGATTATTGAATGGATTACTAAATATAGCACTACCAGTTTATCAAATTCACAGCTGGGCTATTTTAGTTATTGACTCCCTTCAACATTAAAGAAGGCTGGAAAACAATTGCTGAACCTCTATACATTCATTTTTACTGCATTGTCTGAGACCAGTATACAAAGTTGCTATAAGCTGGTTTTAAGACAGTTACTATTTTGGATCATTCATGTATTCATGTATTAAATAAATACCTTGATAAATATAAAAGAAGCAGGCACTTATTGTGAAAAACTTTGGAAGTTCATTATTGACAGAATAACATGTTTACTTCAGATAATATAAAATACTTTTTGAATCAAATAGCATGTTCATATTATGGGCTTAACAAGTTGGATTTAGTGTTTATACTCTTATCAAGTTGATTGACATTTCTTTTAGCTTCTTATAGAAGGAACTGATTGTTAACAGAACTAGTAAATATCAACAAATAGTTCCCAGTAAAAGCATTACTTATAAATTGCTAACATTTACTAAGATTTTACTGTCAGTGAGGCTATGTGTTAAAATGTTCTTCACAACAATTCTAGGTCAGTTGTTAGTATATGGTAAACTAAGGTAGCAAATGGCGCAAAAACAATGACTCAATTATATAGTCAAAGGGGATTATTCCTGTTTGGTAGGCAGCTTTCCTTCATGGAGAGAAAGCATGCTCTTCTTAACAATCTTAATTTGAAAGAGACAAACATCACTTCTATTCAGATTTCATCAACAAGAGCTAGAAACATGACCACATCTGGCTGCAGTAAGAGCTGAGAAAGAGGGTCCATTAATGAATAAATGCTTCCTAGCAAAACTTGATTAAGAAGGGGAGAGCAGATTTTGTTGAAGAGATAGCCAGCCCTGTCTAATATATGTTAATGTTATCCACATTTTACTGATGAGGAAACTGAGATATAGAATCATTAAAATCTTGCCCAAAGTTACACAATAATTAGTGGCATATTTGGGATTTTCACTGAGAATGCACTGCCTTTTAATTTCTCTTCTCTTCTCAACTGCCATTTTAGTTAATGCATGTTCAATGGCAAGCTGCTTGTTAAATTCCCTTAAAGTTTTCCCATGCTTATATTTTGTGTTTCTTGAAGTAGCATTTAAATACTTACTGGCAGAGACTCTGCCTTCTTCTTTTTTTTTTTTTTTTAACAATTTAGTATTTTTTTGTGACTCTTGAGATTGCTTCAATTCATAATTAATGTTCAGTAAATTTTATCTGAATGTTTGCTTGCAGGTTAATGTCCAACCCAATTTAGAAGCATAAGGCATGATGTAGGAATTAATGTAAGAAAGGAGTGAAAGTAATGGTTGAGTTGTGTCTTGACAAGCTTTCATAAATAAATCACAGTGTAGCTAGTATTAAAATGTTAGCACAACCTTCATTCTAACCAAGCAAATTATGTACATGAAGTAAAACACAAGTGAGCGTTTTTAAGTGTCATTTGAAAATATCCTTTATATATATGCAGTTAATATTGCATGAAAATAGGGAAGTGGTTGCTGCAGAATGCTTAAACTTATTTTTTAATGTATAAAGATCTGAAGTAAATAAATAATAGCTATACTTTTATGTCAATAAAAAACTGTAGAAAATATTTGTCCAACCCAAAGTAACCGAATTCATTATGGCAGGTATTAATAAAAAGACACCATAGTTAAAAGTGCTCTTATAAAAGTCAGATACAGTTAACTTACTATTCTCTAAAAATATTTTATATAACATTTCTCCTCTAATTTCTGTAGAATATTTTGAGAGAAAATCCAAATAAGGATATGTATAAAATATGTTCAGTTGGAAGGGTGAGGTCAGATAACAGATATGATCATATAACAATGGTAGAATTCATGAGCAATGTTTAAAAAAAATATGAACTACTCTAAAATTTCCCAGGTGGATTTACATGTTAAAGATAAAGAGATAAACTTTGGGATTAAATATTGCATTTTAGAGGACACCTGGAAAACCGATGTCTTTGTAAAACAAATTTAAGGGGTCTTTATTTTGATACGTTTAAATGTCTGGTCACTATTGTGGTGAGCTCAAAATTTTCTTTCTTTATTGCTTCCGAATCTTGAGCACACTCTTTCCCCAATTCAAATTCTTATGTAGGAACTTTATATTTTTTGCCATTTTGCAAATTACATTAACTACATTTTGTATTTAAGTCAACTTGCTTTTTTCTTAAGGAAACTTATTTAAAAATAAAACTCTACATCACAACTTTAAATAAAAAAGCATCAGTCTCCACAAATAAAATGTAATACCTAATATGATTAATTTTATTTTTAATTTATTCAAATTAATAAATTGTATTAAATTTATGATTGAACAATTATAAAGTTTTTGCCAGTTCAGTGTTACTTGAAAAAATATATTGTCAACTATACAAAGGTATAGACAATAGGTAACAGAGAAAGATGTTATTTCTGAAGTAATTAGAGAGATTGAAGAGAGTACTTGTCTTATTACTTGGCTTAATTATTTACTATTGTGTTTACATACATAAAATCATCTTTTGCCAACAGTGGTATTATCCTGCATATTGGAATGCATCAAGAAAATGCATGCAAGGTTTTTTTTGGTATGGAAAGCATCAGTGTTTTTTAAAACGTTTGATTACATCTTGAACTTTTGTATTGCTACAGAGACCAAGAAAATTGGTTTGCTTAACAGAAATACAGATTTTGAGTTTTTCTTATACCCATCCTCTCTGTCTGCAGTATCTTCACTACCATTTCTGTCTGTTAAACACTGCTGCCTCTTTTAAATCCAAAATGTAGTGCCACCTCTGTGAGAAATCTTTCAAGATCACAGTCAGAAACATACACTTCTTCTTGATTTACAGTAATCAAGTAATCAAAAATCCTGTAATCCCATCTGGTTTAGTACATATCTTAGAGTTTTCTCTTTTTAATGAAGTACTACAATTTTAGTTTAGGAGACTAGGAGATATTGTACTAGTTAATGGCCATGATTCTAGAGGGGCAGTGAATATGAATGGCAATGGTGATAGACAATGAATGTTTCAAAGTCTAGATTCTTAAAAATTACAGCTCAAATCAATTACACTTAATTTCTATATCTTGGTAAGATCTTTGACATAGTAATAGACAAGTATGATAAATGTTAAGAATTAATTTTGTATTAATGTCATATTTTAAACTTTGACTGGAACAGAAAACACAGTTTGAAGAGAAGACAAGACAAATAGTGAGAAAAATCATTTTAAAATGATAGTGATCTTTAAAGTTATTTTAGATTAATGAATTTTTATGCTGGCTCACAAAACCAAAGCTAAATTATATGCCAGTTGGTTAATTATTTTTGCTAAACTCAATCAGATTATTATTGGTATTCAAATGAAATTGCTCACATTGCTCACAATTTGTAAATTATAAATTTATTGCTTACGCTTCTATTCATCTCATGCACATTAACACTGAATAAAACTAATGTTTTAAAAGAAAAGAATAATTAACATCCTTTAAATTGTATTTATAGCTTTAATTATTTTCACAAAATTATTTTATTATTCAAAACCTCTTGTTTTGATTATATCAAAGAAAAAGACTTCTCAATACGCAAATTTCTTAAAATGAAGAAGCATAAAGAAACACTTGAAGGTAATGAATATGTTTATTACCTTGGTTGTGGTGATGATTTTGCAATGTATAAATATGTACAAACTCATCAGATTGTATACATTAAATGTGTGCAGTTTTTGTATATTAATTATACTTCAATGAAGCTGTTTTAAAAAAAGATAAAAAAATATTGAACCATATAACTATATGAGATAGAAGATATAGATTTTGCATAGGTTTAAGAAATTGAACACATTTCACTTGATGATTGATATCATGATGCTGAAAGCTTTTCTTACTTAACTGTGCTTAGAAAAGTAAGTACAGAGCTGGTCAGGGTGGCTCATGCCTGTAATATCAGCACTTTGGGAGGCCGAGGCAAGAAGATCATTTGAGCCCAGAAGTTCAAGACCAGCCTGGGCAACACAGTGAGACCCAGTCTCCACAAAAAATTAAGTAAAAAAAAAATTAACTGGATGTGGTGGTGTGTGCCTATAGTCCCAGCTACTTGGGAGGCTGAGATGAGAGAATTACTTTATCCCAGCAGGTTGAGACTGCAGCAAGCCATGATTCTGCCATTGCGCTCTACCTTAGGTGACACAGAGAGACCCTGTCTCAAAATACAAATAAATAAAAATAAAAAATAAATATGAACTTGATTACATTGTCTTTTTATTTCCAGTTTTATAGAATAACAGATTCTTCCTCTCTAATTTTAGCATTAAGTATTATGTTAACTATGTTTAATTCATTCATTTATATAATTTAATTAGGAGTCCATTAGTACTGAAAAATTAAGCATGCAACAAAACTAATGTAAGCGTTTTAAGAGAGATCAATAATATGGGAATAAATAGGAGAATCGTGGGTATCCTGAAAAGTAGGTTTCTGAAGATATAATCTCTGCACTAATTTCCTATTTGAAAACCACATCCAGGGCAACAACTGCCTCATTATTTGAAGGAAAAGGAAATAAGATTTAAGAATACTCGTGTTATAGAATAAATTAGTAATTATTGTGCAGAAAGGAGATTGTTTAAAAATTCTTCCATCTTCAAGAGTAATTCATCATGTCATGATACACATTTAAAAAGATTCATGGTCTTGTCAGCAAAGCCTTACAAAGCATGAAGGAACTAGAAGGGGAAGTCATTGTGTATCAACATAAAAAATTTAACCAGACTGAGTGTTTCTCAGACTTGCTTATGCTTAGTCTTACAGATGAAGCATGTGATGAGGATGGGCTGTTTAGCTAGGCGCTTCTTCAGCTGGGCTTACTAAGTGTCTATGGGCCAAAGGAATGGTTTTCAGCTCCATATTTTCAAAGCCTTTTGATCATACCTAACCTTGTGTTCACGCGTAGGTGTTTAGTTTTAAAATGAGATATACGTATGAATAATTAATTGCACTAATTTAAAGTATATTGCTAGAGTAATTTTAACATAAAAATGTTTACATATTACTACATCAATTTAACAACCATGACCCAGATCAAGATACCAAGCTCCAGAAGGTGCCCTTGTACTGAAATCCGTCCCAGTCAATACCTTCCTCCAGAGATACTCAGTATTCTCCTAGTCAACAACATTGATTAATTTCACCTGTCTTGAATTTCATATGAATTGAATCATACAGTATATATTATTTCTTTTACTCAAAATTATGTCTGTGACAGTCATCTATGCTGTTGTGGTTATCACTAATTTGTTCTTTTTTAGCGCTGTATAGCATTCCCATGAGTTTGCATGTGCATAATCTGTGTGTTTGTTCTCTTGGTGGTGGCCATTTATGTTTTTACAAGTACATGGCTATTCTAAATAAAGCTGCTAGGAACAAATCATATGGTACACATATGTACTCTTACGAATATCTAAAAATAGAAGTAATGAGTCTAGGGTAAATGTAGGTTTTACCTTTGCCAAAAGTTTGCCAAAGTGGTTGTAGCAACTTATACTAACACTTGCAGAGTGAAAGAGTTTTACCTACTCCATCTCTGTTACAACATTTGAAATGTTCATTCCTTTTCATGTTAGCTACTGTGATGGGTGTTTTATCATTTCAATTTTAATTTCTTTGATAATAAATGATGTGGAACTTTTCATGCTTATTGAACCACTTTTGTGAAGTGCTTGGTCAGTCTTTTGGCCATTTATTTTTTGAAATTAAGGTATTTATCTATTATTGTTTAGTTATAGTTCTTTATGTATTCTAGATATGAGTCCTTTCTCAGGTACATTTATTCTAAATACTTTCTTATATTCTGTAATTATAAGAGTGTCTTACTTATGAACTCTGTTGATACTTTTTGAGTAACAAACATTCTTAATTAAATGTTGTACAGTTTGGCAATTTTTAATTATTTTTGTATGTCATGTTTAAAAAATCTTTGCCTATCTTATAGTAATAAAGACATATTCCCATGTTCTTGTCTAGAAGTCTCATGGTTTTACATTTTCAATTGAATTGACTATGCAAATTGAATTTCTTTTGGATTATGGTGAACATAAAAATAGAGATTCAATATTTCTTATTTATATCTAATTTTCTAGTACCATTATTAAAAAGACCACTCTTTCCTCACTGACTGTCATTGGCCTATTTATTTATAAATAAAATGGCCTGGTATGTGTAAGTCTACTTCTTAACTATTGTAGTTATTCTTTTATTTGACTATTCTTAGGCCAATACCACATTGTCTTAATTATTAAAGCTTTATAACCCGTCTTGTAATCTGATGATGTAAATTCTATAACTTGTTGAACATGCTCAAAATTGTCTTTGCTATTCAAGTATCTTTGGGTTTCCAAAAATAAAATTGTATTAATTTTTCCAAAAATACTTTCAGAAACTTTGACTGGAATTTTATTAAATCTATAAACTAGTTTGGGAAGAATTTCTGTTCTGGCAGTATCGAGTCTTCTAATTTATGTTTGCCTCACTTCATTTATTTAAGTCTCTTTGTCTTTTTCTCGGCTCTTCTTTGTAGTTTTAAGGACACAGGTTTTACCTTGCATTAGCTTTAATCCTAGGTATATTGTTTATTTATTATGGTAAAGTATGCAGAAAATTTATTATTTTAAGTGTATAGTTCAGTGGCATTAAGTCCATTCACATTGTTGTGTAACCATCACCACCATCCATCACCAAAATTATTTTCATCTTATAAAACTGAAACACTACAACTCTCCATTCTCCTCTTCCACAGCCCCTGGAAATTACTATTCTACTTTCTGTCTCAATAATTTTGACTTATCTGTTTTTCTGTGGCTAGCTTGTTTCACTTAGTGTAATGTCCTCAAGGTTCATATATGTTGTAGCATATGTCAGAACTTCCTTTTTTAAGTCTGAATAATATTCTATTGTATGCATATACATTTTGTTATTCCATTTATCTATGAATGGACACGGGTTACTTCTATGTTTTAGCTCTTGTGGAATAATGTTGTTATGGACACAGGTGCACAAATATCTTCTCAAAACTCTGCTTTCAGTTTCTTTGAGAAGCAACCCAAATGCCCACAAAAGTGGAATTGCTGGATCATATGATAATGCTATGCTAATTTTTTTGAAGAACTACCATAATATTTTGATAATGGCTGTACCATTTTTACATTCCCATCAGAAAAGCAAAGAAGTTCTAATTTCTTCATATCTCTGTCAACAATTAATTTTTGTTTGTGGTTTTGATTTCATTTTTGTAATGCTTAGTGATATTGAGCATTGTTTCACATACTTATCGTCATTTGTATATCTTCTTTGGCAAAACACACATTCAAGTCCTTTGCTCATTTTTTAATATGGTTGTTTGTATTTTTGGTGTTGAATTGTCAGAGTTCTTTATATATTCTTAACATTAATTCTTTATTAGATAATGACTTGCAACAATTTTACCCCTTTCTGTGGATTGCCTTTTCACCCTGTTAATAGCATCCTTTAATATAAAAAGTTTTTAATTCTGATGATATTCAATTCATTAATTTTTTTTCTTTTCAGCACAAAAGCCTGTGCATTAGGTTTCATATCTAAGAAATAACCTACAAATCCAATGTCATTGGAGCTTTTCTTCTATATTTTCTTCTAAGAGTTTTATACTTTTTGTTATTACATTTAGGACTTTGATCCATTTTAAATTAATTTTTGTATATAATGTGAGATTAGGGTACAGTTTCATTCTTTTGCATATTCTGGTTTTTCAAAATGCCATTTCAAATAGTGTTTTAAAGATTTTACTTTGCTTCCCAGTTATTTGTTCCAAGTATATAGAAATACAATTGGTTGTTGTATATTGAACTTGTTTCCAGATACCTGCAAAGTTTAATTATGAATGAGATTAATTTTATTTCTAGATTATCTTGAAATTTTTATGTATACAATTACATTAATTGTAAATGAAGAGAGTTTTACATGTCATTGTCCAATTGCAATATTTTTTTTTCATCATTCCCACTCCTTTTTGTTTCACTCCTGGGCTCAGGAATTAAAATTTTTACCGCAAAGTATAATGTTAGCTATAGGCTATTTGCACATTACCTTTATTAAATTAAGAAAAGCCATTCTATTTCTAGTTTACTGGAAGTTATTGATCTTTAAGAGGTGTTGAATTTATCAGAAAAAAATTTTTAATTCAGTAAGAAAGTTGTATATTTCTTCTTTATTCTGTTAATATGGTAAACTTTTAAACTTTAAACCCACATTGTATTCCTGAAGTAAACTTCATGTAGTTAAAGTTTATTATCTTTTTAATATATATCCTGAATTCAATTAGCTTATATTTTGTTCAGAAATTGTATTAGTCTGTTCTCACTCTGCTGATAAAGACATATCCAAGACTGGATAATTTATAAAGGAAAGAGGTTTAATTGACTTGCAGCTCCACATGGCTGGGGAGACCTCACAATCACGGTGGAAGGTGAATGAGAAGCAAAATCATGTCTTACATAGAAGCAGGCAAGAGGGCTTGTGCAGGGGAGCTCCCACTTTTAAAACCATCAGATCTTGCAAGACTTACTACCACAAGAACAGTACGGTGGAAACCGCCCCCCATGAGTCAATTATCTCCACCTGGCCCTGCCCTTAACACATGGAAATTATTACAATTCAAGATGAGATTTGGTTGAGGAAACAGCCAAACCATATCACTCCACCCCAGCCCCTCCCAAATCTAATGCCCTCACATTTCAAAACCAATCATGCCTTCCCAACAGTCCCACACAGTCTTAAATCATTTCAGCATTAACTCAAAAGTCTGCAGTCCTAAGTCTCATCTGAGACAAGGCAAGTCCTTTCTGCTTATGCGTCTGTAGAATCAAAAGCAAGTTAGTTACTTCCTAGATATAATGGAGTTGCAGGCATTAGGTAAATACAACCATTCCAAATGGGAGAAATTGTTCAAAATGAAGGGGCTACAGGTCCCATGCAAGTCTGAATCCAATGGGGCAGTCAAATCTTAGCACCAAAATGATCTCCTTTGACTCCATGTCTCACATCCAGGTCACACTGATGCAAGAGGTGGGTTCCCATGATCTTGGGTAGCTCCACCACTGTGGCTTTGCAGGGTATAGCCTCCCTCTTGGCTGCTTTCCCAGGCTGGCATTGAGCGTCTGTGGCCTTTCCAGTGGCACGGTGCAAACTGTCAGTGGATCTACCGTTCTGGGGTCTGGAGGATGGTGGCCCTCTTCTCACAGCTTCATTAGGCAGTGCCCCAGTAGGGACTCTGTCGGGGGGCTCCAACACCACATTTCCTTTCTGCATTGCCCTAGCAGAGGGTATTCATGAGGGCCCTGCCCATGCAGCAGACTTCTGCCTGGACATCCAGGCATTTCCATACATCCTCTGAAATCTAGGCGGATGTTCCCAAACCACAATTCTTAACTTCTGAGCATCTACAGGCTCAATACCACATGGACGCTGCCAAGCCTTGGGGCTTACACCCTCTGAAGCCACAGCCCAAGCTGTACTTTGACCCCTTTTAGCCATGGCTAGAGCAGCTGGGACGCAGGGCACGAATTCCCTGGGCTGCATAGAGCAGGGGGACCCTGGTTCCAGCCCATGATACCATATTGTCCTCCTAGGCCCCCAGGCCTGTGAAAGAAGGGGCTGCCTTGAAGGTGTCTGACATGCCCTCGAGATATTTTCCCTATTGTCATGGCGACTATCATTTGTCTCGTTACACAAATTTCTGCAGCTGGTTTGAATTTCTCCCCAGAAAATGGGTTTTTCTTTTTTACTGCATCATCAGCCTGCAAAGTTTTCAGACTTTTATGCTCTGCTTCCTCTAGAAAACTTTGCTGCTTAGAAATTTCTTCTTCCAGATGCCCTAAATCATATTTCTCAAGTTCAAAATTCCACAGATATCTGGGGCAGGAACAAAATGCCACCAGTCTCTTGGCATATTAAGAGTAACCTTTACTCCAGTTCCCAAGAAGTTCCAACCTTTACTCCAGTTCCCAAGAAGTTCCTCATCTCCATCTGAGACCACCCCAGCCTAGACTTCATTGTCCATATCACTATCAGCATTTTGGTCAAAGCCATTCAACAAGTCTCTAGGAAATTTCAAACTTTCCCACATCTTCCTGTCTTCTTCAGAATGCTCCAAACTGTTCCAACCTCTGTCTGTTACCCAGTTTCAAAGTTGTTTCCACATTTTCAGGTATCTTTACAGCAGCACCCCACTCAACCTGTACCAATTTACTGTATTAGTCTGTTCTCATGCTGCTAATAAAGAGATATGCAAGATGGGTAATTTATAAAGGAAAGAGGTTTAATTGACTCACAGTTCCACATGGCTGGGGAAGCGTCACAGTCATGGTGGAAGGCAAATGAAGAGCAAAATCACATCTTGCATGGCAGCAGGCAAGAGAGCTTGTGCAGGGGAACTCCTATTTTTAAAACCATTAGATCTCATGAGACTTATTCACTACCACAAGAACAATGTGGTGGAAAATGCCCCCATGATTCAATTATGTCCACCTGGCCCCACCCTTGACACGTGGAGATTATTAAAATTCAAGGTGAGATTGGGGTGGGGATACAGCTAAACCATATCAGAAATTTTGCTCCTATACTTATTAGAGATACTGTCATATAACTATGACAGTAAGTTTTCTTATCTTCTGAAAGTTTATATAAGAATGGTATTAATTTTTTATCAACAATTTTTAAAAATCAGGCATGAAATCAACTGGATCTGAATTGTTCTTAGTGGGAAAGCTTTTATTATTATTATTATTATTGGTTAAATGTATTTAGCTGTAATAGGACTATTCAGAATTTTTATTATACCAGTTTTGGTGGACTCTTTTCTTAAAAATGCATCAATTTTATCTAAATTGTCAAATTTATTTGCATAAAGTTATTTATAAAACCCTCTAATTGCCTTTTAAATGTTATCAGGATCTGTGGTGATGTCCAGTTATTTTATTTCATTTGTTTAACTAGGTGTTTATTACTTTTATAAATCTTAACTATCAGTTTATTACTTTTATTGGTCTTCGTAAAGAACAAACTTTTGACTGTGGATTTTCTCTATTGTGCACCTCCTTTTCTATGTACTAAAACTGTGTTCTTCAAAAATTTATATGATGAAACTGTAATCACCAATGCGATGATATGTGAAGATATGGCCCTTGCTCAAGTCTCTGATATAAAATAGTGTAGTATTTGCATACAACCAACATATCTTCTGCTACATATTTTACATCATCTCTAGATTACTTATAATACCTAATACAATGTAAATACTATGATAATAGTTGTTATAATTTATTTTTCAGGGAATATTAAAAAGGAAAACATCTATACATACTCAGTACATATGCAATATTAATCCTTTTAAAATACATTTTTTATCTGCTCACTTGAATTGGTGGATGTCAGACTCATGGATATAGAGGGCCAAATGCATACATTTTTATATCTGTATCTATAAGTCTGTCTATGGAGATAAATCAGATAATAATAAAATTTGGGTAACATATTAAAGATAGATGAATCTGGGTAGAGGATTTATGATGTCTTTTGTACTTTTCTTATTCTGCATTTTCTCTGTACATTTCTAATTATTTCCAAATAAAACATAATAAGATGCATTCTGCAGTTATTATACCACTTTTTCTGTGTTAAGTTATTTAACTCTATACTCAAATTTTTAATGTACTTACTATTTTTTGTTTTCTGTTCTTATTCTATTATTTATTCAAAAATGTGAGTTAAAAATCTCTATTTTCATAGATTTATGTACTTTTATTTCTTGAGTTTTCAGCTTATATGTGCAAGCTATATTATTAAATCATGTACATTAAAGTTAAATTAATAACAAAAATTAAAGTAATAATTTTTATACTTTTTTTGTATTAATATAGCCACAGCAACTTAGTTTTGTTAGTGTCTTTATGGTGTATATTTTTCCCATTCTATTTTTTAAAATTCTGTATTTTCATTTATTTGAGTATAATTTTTCAAGAATATAGTTGGATATTTAAAAATAATTTTATTGTTTTAAAACTAGTCTAATAAACCTTATAATTTAGCTATTGTGTTCAGTCCATTTAAATTTTATTTAATTTTTGAGATATTTGGATTTAGTATACCATTTAATATTTGTTTTGCTATAATTGTCTATCCTCTATTCTTTGTTTCTTTATTTTTATTTTATTGCCTTGTTTTAGATTAATATTTTTATTATCCTATTTTTAAATTATCTAATAGTTAAAAATTATATTATTTTAATGGTTGCAACACATAATGCAGTATAAATCTTTGACTTAATAATAGTCTAATTTAATATTTTTTCCTACTTCCTGCAATATGAAAATTTTTACAGCAATTGATCTTCATTTACATGCTTCTGCCTCTGTGTTCCACTGTCATATACATTTTTAAAAATATCTTATAGCCACATTTTCTGCAAGTAATCAAACATACTTTTCCATTTACTCATGTAAATACTCCATGTCTTAGTTTTGTTTATCTGAAAATGTCTTTGTCTTGCCTAATTGTTGAGGGATAATTTTAATGAATATAGAATTCTAGACAGGGAGAGTTTTTTGTTTTTGTTTTTGTTTTTTGTTGTTGTTTTACCAGTTTAAACATTTCTTTTTATTGCCTTCTGGCTGCTGTAATTTCTTCTTCTTAGATTCAGTCATCAGTCTTATTGTTTTGAAATGTGAGCCTAGGCTGAATTTGAATACATTAAGGTTAAAATTTTATGTAGTGAGTATAACTGTGAATATGAATGAGATTGCCTAGGGAGATAGTAATGCGTTAAACAAGAAAGCGTTGTAAGTTTTGAAGAACTAAATAGACAATAGTCAAGTAGAGAATGATAAGCAGATCCAGAAATAAAGTCCAGAGAAGTAAGAAGAAAATTAGGAAGTGTGGTACCATGGAATCAAAAGGAAAAAGAAACATTTGAAGAAGCAAAGTAAGCCAAAATTATAAAATATTTGTAAAGTATCAAGTAGCATGAGGATCAAAGGGCAAGTTTTGGATTTGTCAACATGAAGCACACAGATTATCAGATAATTAAAAGTCATTGAAAAGTAAATTCAATTTTTTTCTCACCTACTTAGAATTGGTTATATAGGGAGTTAGATTTCTATATTTATCTATCCATATCTTTATACCTATCTCTCTCTCTCTCTCTCTCTCTCTCTCTCTATATATATATATATATGGATATATATATATATATCTGACAATTACATCTTATTATTGTTATATTATTATATATTATTATAGATATATATCTGACAATTACATCTTATTATTATCTGACAATGCATCTTATTATGTTGTATTTGGAAATATATATAATCTGACAATTATATATCTGTATATATATGTATATATATATAATCTGACATATATATATCCATATATATATCTATGTATCTATAGAGATATATATATATAGAGAGAGAGAGTGCCCTATTATACAATTGTTAGGTCAATTTCTCTGCCATCTTCTGTTCTTCATATTCCTTGTAATTCTCAGATTTTGAACTGTTAACACCTTAAATGTGGATAAAACTTTATAGAGTTCACCAAGTATTTTCTCCTCTTTTGTCCAAATTCATGCAACTAAGCAAAACTGCTCTCTGGAATTGCCACATATCTACAATTGCTAACTCAGTTCTTCTGATTCTTCTTCTAGTGCCATTCTCATTATACCACAGGGGAAAGAGTAATGCACTTTTAGTCAGACTGATTTAATTTTACTGGGAAGGCTTCAGTTGTATTTATTTCTACATATGTTGTAATTTGTACATAAAGAAACACATAAACTCTTTTTCCTTTCATGTGTCATAATTTTTTTTAAAAGACTCAATATTAATTAGTCAAATGATGATTGAATCCAGTGGATAAATGTCTTAAAAGAATCCTGTGATCATTTTTTCTACTTTTTTGATAAAAGAATATTTTATACTGTATATATTTTTGTCCTCTTTTTTATTAGTATTAGAAATGTAGATTCTTTTATTCTGTTTTTTTTTAAGTGAGGCATACCTGAGCTTATCAGAAGGAAATTGAACATATCGCTTTGTGTAACCAAGAAATTGAATATCTGCATTTCAAGTATGTATATCTTTTAGTGAACAGCTTTAAGTTTCAAAGACATCATTTATGCTTCAAGGTTTTATATAAATCCACACTGGCAGAGATCCAAAAATAAATAGCATGATTAATAAAGAAAAATTCTTTCTATTTCCCCGCAACCACTGTTGTAGGAAAAACTCTCTCAAAATGTGCTCTTACCCCAGCACAACAACAATCAATACAGAAGACTTCTGTGACCTCAGAATACATGGTGGTTTCTCCTGACCAATAAGCAAGCAATCAGTTCTGCAGCAGATACCAACTGGGTGTCATCCAGTTCCATTCTGACACTATCTACCTGGTGATAGCGTTTTATCCCACAGGTTGAGGGTGCAGTCTCACAAGACTGCTCCCACACATTACCAGTGGCAAGTCCAGGCCTCTGCAACTTCTGACCAAGTGGCTTCAATTTGGGATTCCCAGGACTCTTATCTCTGAGTTTGATTAATTTGCTGGAGTAGCTCACAGTACTCAGGGAAACTCTGACTTACATTTATCTGTTCATTATAAAGGATATTATAAAGGAAACAGATGAAGGTATGCATAAGGTCAGGTATGGGGGATGGGGCCTGGGCCATTCCTCCCTGGTGCATCCAGGGACCTCCATATATTCAGCTATCTGGAAGCTCCCAGAACCCAGTCCTCTTGGATTTTTATGGAAGCTTTTTGAGATCAGCATCCTTCTGGAATGACAGTCCTATGACCCACAATTAGAAAGGTGGGGAAAAGTTAGAGTCCTGCCTTAGAGCAGAAGAAAGGAGGGTAAGAGGTCAGAGAGGTTCCATTTCGTGGGACCTGACACACCCAACATTATAACAAAAGTCTGTAACAGGGGCTATGTGAGTTATGAGCCAGGAACAATGAAATGTATATAATAACACCACAACTACATCAATTTCTTTTTTTATTTTTATTTTGCCATGCACATAACAGCATTTACATGACAACTGAAATATCCTCTTGAAAATTTCTTTGAAACTTGAAAAGTTAAGGTATGATCATTTTAAATTTGAAACTTCACTACTGAATATTCATCCAAAAGAAAGGAAATCACCTATTCGAATAAGTCTGAAGAAGTTATAGAATATGGATCTTCGTCCCTCTGCAACCCTTAGGATAAGGGTTTTCTTATAAAAGGGAGTGGGGAAATTGGTCAGAGGCGTTTGAACCAGAGCAGGTTAATCTTAATTAAGGGCTGGGTAAAATGAGGCTGAAACCTATTGAGCTACATTCCCAGACAGGTAAGGCATTCTAAGTCACAGGATGAGATAGGAGTTCAGAACAAGATACAGGTCCTAAAGACCTTGCTGATAAAACAGGTTGCAGTAAAGAAGCCAAGTTACCCTATATGGTCTAAAAAGGGGAGGCATGAATAATCCACCCCTTGTTCAGCATATCATCGAGAAATAACCATAAAAATGGGCAACCAGCAGCCCTCGGGCTGCTCTGTCTATGGAGTAGGCATTCTTTTATTCCTTTGCTTTCACTTAAATAAAAAAAGGAACAAATACTATTTGACCATAAAGAGGAATGAAATCCTGTCATTTGCAACAACATGGATGGAACAAGAGAGGTCATTATGTTAAGTGAAATAAGCCAGACATAGGAAGATACATATTGCATGCTCTCTCTCATATTTAGGAGCTATAAAAGTTGATCTCATGGAGATATAGTGGAATGAAAATTACCAGAGGCTGGAAAGGGTGTGTGTTTGTTAGGGTTGGGGGGATAAAGACAGATTGGTAAATTGGTACCTAGATAAAAGAATAAGCCCAAATGTTTAATAGCACAGTAGAGTGAGTATAGTCAACAATATAGTGTATATTTAAAAATTGCTAGAAGAGAGGATTTGAAATGTTCCCAACACAAAGAAATGACAAATGCTCAAGGTGATGGAAATCCTAAATATTTTGACTTCATCGTTACACATTCTATGCATGCATCAAAATATCACATTCGCCCCATAAATATGTACAAATATTATGTATCAATAAAAACACCATCTTATAATGTATTTTAATAGGCAATTCTCCAAAGAAGATAAGCACACCGAAAGGTGCTCACTTTTGTTAGTCATTAGGAAATAAATGCAAATCAAACCACAATGAGATGCCACTTAGCATCCACTTGAATGGCTGCAATAAAAAAATCCAAATAATAACAAATGTTCGCAGGGCATGGAAAAATTAGGACCTTCATCTATTGTTAGTAGAAGAGTGCAGTCACTCTGGATTTGGCAGTTGCTAAAAATGTTAAAATGGTGTAACTATATGACCTAGCAATTTCATTACTACCTATATCTCCAAGGAAAGTGAAAATATGTACATTCAAAACTTGTACATGAATGCTTATAGCAGTATTTTTCATATTAGCCAAAAAGTGAAAACAACCCAAATTTGTACCAACTGCCAAATGAATAAACAAATATATGTGATATATATACATATACACCCACAAACATAACAAAATACTTGGCAGTGAAAAAAGGAATGAAGTACTGATACATGCTATAATATGGATGAAACTAGAAAGCATTTATGACAAATGAAAGAAATCAGTCACAAAATACCACATATTATATGATTCAATTTACATGAAATGTCCTAAATAGGCAAATATATCAAGCAAATAGATTGGAAGTTGTCTTTGTCAAAGGAAAATTGCATCGGACGAGTTAAACAGCCAAGGAAGACTTTATTCAAGACTTTATTGCAATAGGGGAAAGAGACTGATCTCAACTCTGCCAAAACAAGAGGTGGGAGGGGTGAGCTAGTGGGAAAGTATTGTAGAACATTAGGGGGAAAGTTGGTCAATGTGTTAAGGCCATCAGTGTTTGCTAGTTGGAGATATTAAATTGAGGCTTCTATCTCCCACAGAAGCTGGGAGGTAGTGGTGATATCTTCTTCAATAATTATATTTCAAAGAGAAGACTACTGGATTATTTTACTTTTCCTAAGTTGTAAAACTTGCAAGAGGCTGGGAGACTTATCTACATTTCAAAGAGACATAGACAAATAATAAATAAAATATATATATATCTATTATATATTATAAGATGGTAAGTACTATGGAGAAAAATAAAACATAGCAGAGGAAATAATGACTTAGCAGGGGCTGCAATTTTTTAAATGACAGTCTGGAGGCACATTTTGAAAAGAAAACATTTGAGCATATTGTTGAATCAGAAAACATAAACCAAGCACTTCAGGTAAAGTGCATTCTAAGTAGAGGGAAAAACCAGTTCAAAGGTTCTGAGGTAAGAAATGCCTGAGTTTGAAAATAGCAAGGGGAGTCAATATGTCTTGGAAAAGGTAAATAAGAAGAGTAGTAGGAAGCGAAATCAAAAAGGAAATCGTTTATGTTGGGCTTTGTAGGCAATTTAAAAGTTCTGGTTTTTAGTCTTTATATCATGGGTAGACATTATTGGAAGGTTTTGAGGACAGAAGTGGTATGATCTGTCTTACATTCTTCAAGGATCACTCTCACTTATATCGGGATTCAATTTTCAGGGAGCAAGGGTGGAAGCAGGAAGACATAAGGTCACTGCAAACTATAGGCAAGAGATGGCAGTGGTTGTTAGGAAGTGTTGAAAAGTGGTCAGAGTTTGGATATATACCAAAGGTAGATGTGTATGGATTATATGTGATGCATGAGAGAAAGAGAAATGTTAAGCATAATGCCAACGATTTTATTATATGAATAACTGGAAGGATAAATTTCCTTTAACCAACATGGAAAGAATGTAGGATAATGGATTTGGGAGTAAAATGCACACTAATTTTGAAATGTCTATTAGACATCCAAATGGAGATGTTGGGAATGCAATCAAATCTATGAAACTGGAATGTAAAGAAAAGCACTGAGTGGATTTATATATTTATATCTGGCCTTCACTTGGGGCCAGATTTGCATTCCAGTCTGACAATTTTCCAACTTTTCCCTAGCTACCTCCCTCTTTCTTCAGAAAGATTTCAAGAAGTGTTGCAAGCAGGATCTGAGCTGGCATTGATACCGAGAGACCCAAAGTATTATTATGCTCTCCTTTCCTCTCCCTGGTTCAAATGGGAACCTATGAACCCAGGTAATAAATGGAGTTTTGGTAAAAGTATGACTCTCAGTGCGTCCAGTAAGTCTGCACACCTATTCAGCGGCCATTTCTCAATTTCTGAGCACATAATTGCAATTTATATACTTGGCAGTAGGAGTGACTCCACATTGAGTCCTTTGTCTATGGAGTAAGAGGTACTGTACTGGGGAAAGCCAAATAGAATCCTTTGAAACTACGTTTTCATCCAACCCTATCCAAGAAAACAATATTTTCTTGGGATATATGGTGAAGATTAATGCCACCATTACAGACTTAAAAAGATGCAGAGAGGCTGGGCGCAGTGGTTCACAACTGTAATCCCAGCACTTTGGGAGGCCAAGGTGGGTGGATCAAGAGGTCAGGAGATCGAGACCATCCTGGCTAACATGATGAAATGCTGTCTCTACTCAAAATACAAAAAATTAGCCGGGCGTGGTGGCGGGCACCTGTAGTCCCAGCTACTGGGGAGGCTGAAGCAGGAGAATGGTGTGAACCTGGGAGGCAGAGCTTGCAGTGAGCCGAGATCATGCCACTGCACTCCAGCCTGGGTGACAGAGCAAGACTCAGTCTCAAAAAAAAAAAAAAAAAAAAAAAGATGCAGAGATAGTGGGCCCTGATCATATATCTATCTAATTTGCTATTGTGGCCTCTACAGATGCAAGAGAAATTCTAAAGACTATTGCAGACTTTACCAAGTAGTAGCCCCAATAGCCATTGCTATGTCAGGCATAATGTCATTGCAAGGGAAGATTGATAATAACTCAGGCACATAGTATGTGGTCTTTTATTTCACAAATGCATTTTTTTTCATCATACCAATTTTAAAGGACACCACAAACAGGTTTCTTTCACATGAGCTAGACAATACGCATTTACAGTTTTGCCACAGGGCTATGTTAACTCTCTCACCCTGTATCACAATAAAGCCCAAAGAGATTTGGATAATGAAGAAATCACAGAGCACCATACTGAACCATTACAATGATGGACCTAAGAGTAAGACGTTAACTCAAGCCATTTCTTATTCAAAGTGACACAGTAAATGAAAAATGGCTTGAGTTAATGTCTTACTCTTATTGTGCTGCTATAGCAAAATAACATAGACTGGATAAATTATAAAGAACAATAATTTATTTTCCCACAATTCTGTAGGCTGGGAAGTCCAAGATCAAGACACTGGCAGGTTCAGTGTCTGAAGAAGGCTACTCTCTGCTTTCAAGATGACACCTTGACGCTGTATCCTCCAGAGGGAAGGAGTTCTATGTCCTCATGTGGCAGAGGAGCAAAGGAAAGTGAATCCACTTTCACAAGTCCTTTGTATAACAGCATGAGTTCATTGATTAACAGATTAAGACCCAAACACTTCTTAAAGGGCCTATCTCATAACACTATCACACTGACAACATGTGAATTTTGGAGGGGATACATTCAAACCATAGCCCCATACTAATGAACCCTGTCCAGAAAAGTTACTGGCAGTGGGTAAGGAGAATACGGATTGTATTATGGATAAGGCAGGATCACCAACCTAGGTCTTTTAAGTAGCTAAAGAAGTAGCCATATTTTGCATTAGTTAAGTCCTGTTGGTCCCCTCGGTTTCTTCTGCTTTCCTTTCTTAATCACTGATTATAATTAATATTTTAGGTTTCAGAAGGAAGTATTATTGAATTGATGTGCTGTGGGACTTTATATGTCTCCCGTATGGGAACACACCTATCACCTAGGACAAAGACAGAAGTGTATGCTGAGAAACAAAGGGATGAACTGTGCTATGTATCTTCTATTTGTTCCCTTAGATTCAGCCTCTACCTGGCTCTTCTTCCTCAAAGAAGAACTTGCATTGACTGTTTCAGCAGACTCACTTGTCCCCTGACTTCCAGTTGAATTTGGACAAAATAATCCCCAGCAGATGAGTAGTGGGAAGGAAGACAGAAACATTGAGTATGCAGCACAGCAGCTCTTTCCCTAGAAGTTTCTGTATGAAAGGTGGTCACACTCCTAACCTTTTAAATAGCCTCTTTAAAAAAAACCCTCCTCAATTGATTCAAATTTATTGTACTTTCTGTTTTTGGTGTCAATCAAATTTGTTAAAATCCAGAAAATTATCCACAAAATTGTTCAGTTTACTTGAAAAAAGAGAAATGAGGATTATAATACAAGATGTCACAAGTGCATCCAGTGAGATAGAGGTAAAGGAAAGCTTTTCTTAGCAAAAAGGAAGAGGTGCCTTTAAGCTGTTTAGAATGCTTAGAAACATTGTTCATTGACTCCAAAGAACCAAAGCAATAGTCCTCAGTTCGTTGGTGGAGATGACATTACTGGGCAAATGTCCTTTTGAGAGCATTTTATCTTAATTATTACAGTCCTAAAGAATGTTCAGTGATAAATTTTGTCGTAGAAATGTAAGTACCTGTGCAAAAATGTGTAAGCCTGCATAGCAAGAGATGTGTAAAGAATGTCAAGGGATTCCTTGTGGATTTTAGAAAGTCCTTGGAAACAGTTCTTATCTCACACATGTAAGCACTAGCCTCCTCTCCTTGATGTCTTCACAGCCCTGTTTAGTTTGGGCCTTCTAAAAGTAATTTCATCCTGATATCTGCAACTTTCACACCTTCTGGGACCCTGACTTACACACTATTACGTATTTTCGTTTATTGTGGCCTAATTTCAAAATTTTATGTCCATGCTAATCATATGGTCTACAGCATAATACTTAATATGAAAATAACTGAAGGAATTTTTTTAGCCAAAGAAAGTAATCTGAAGCTTATAAGCTTTGAAATTAATTGCTAGCTTAAAGAAAAGTGAATACAATTTGACCTAATAAGGTCAGCTATAATATAGGGTAAGTTCATTCCACTGAAAACCAAGTTTGTTTTCAAAGCAAGTAAAATTATGTTTATACTTAATGTGTTATTACTGTATTTAGCACAATATGCAATTATTTTAAAATTAATGATTCTGTTTATAGGTTTTAATCCCTAAATGTAAAACTGAAACTCAATTAAAAATTTTTTAGTGATTATTAAGATGATATTTCTTTTTGATTAAATATATTATATTCACTATTTTATCTTTGAGTTTAGTACAATGAGTGACCTACTTCCATTGAATTACAATCAACTATCAATTTTGATTGAATGAATGAAACCTAGCTAAAAAAAGTACTAAAAATATTATATAATGGATCCAGGACTTTGTATTATAATCTTATGCAAAATCTAAGCTGAATTTCAAATAATGGAAAATGTATTCAATGTGAAATTGTTGATAATTCTTGAATTTCTTTAACATTTTTTAAAGTTATAAAATACAGGAAAAAATTTATGGTTCATTTTAATGACAGAAATATGAAATATATTCTTGTATATTAATTAAGATGACGAATGGTTCTGATATTAAAATTAATAATCACAATTCTCTGGAATGTGTTAAACCAATCCTGTTTTCCTTAATCTCTCTAAGTCTAATAAATTTTGTTGGCATTGCCCTTTTTTTGAAGTCCAAATCTTTCAAATTTGGTATGCAAGCCATCAAGTTTAAAAGAAATATTTATTCCAGGATTCAAGGTGACCTTTGTTCATTGTGACATATGTCTACATATATGAATGTGTATACGTATCGAATCAAGCATTGAGCAATTTCTGTTCATTTATGGTGTCTATGAAATTCTTGTTTATACAAACTGTGTCCATGTCGTGACTTTATTGTCCATAAATTGGAAAGATAAACTATTTAGAATTCAAATAAAAGGAAGTATCTAAAATTAACAAATAAAGCAATCATCTAACAAACACTGTAAACTTTTTTATTTTAATGAACATTGATAAGTATCATAGAGGAAAAAAGAAATAAAAGTTCTAACCTATGTAGTTTAAATACTTTCATTCAAATACAGGTGGTAAAGGTACAGTTTCCTCAAGGCAGTCTAAGTACAGTCAGCCCCCCATATTTGCAGGTTCCACATTCAAAGTTTCACCCACATGGATACAGTCTACTACTGATTAAAATTTTTTGAAAAAAATAAAAATAATACAACAAAAATAATAGAAATTTTTAAATGATACAGAATAACAGATGTTTATATAGTATTTATATTGTAAGAGGGATTATAAGTAATCTAGAGATGATTTAAAGTATAGAGGAGGATGTGCATAGGTTGAATGTAAATACTATGCCATTTTTATATCAGGGACTTGAGTATTTGTGAACTTTGATATCCACTGGGGTCCTGAAACCAATCCTCTGTGGATATCAAGGAATAATTGTATATGCCTGCCATCCTGGTTTAATTAAAAAGCTGTCTCTTTTATTATCAAAGGTGGCCTTAATAGTTCAACAAATTATATGGTCACCCTAGAGATAATGCAAATAAACCAATAACTAAAGTAGAAACGGGCAAGCAGTTAGTATCAGAAAATTGATACAAAGCATTATCATTGGAATTCATAATTGGGTGAGTTCAATTTTCCCTGGTGATCGGGGAAGTTTTCAAAGAATTGGCAATTATGTCAGATCTTAAAAAATAAAGAGTAAGATTTTAATAGAGATAAGATGAAGGGCAGATAGTTTATTTAAATGATGTACTTAATGTTTAAAATCTCCACATTAAGGATAAAATGTAAATTAAAACCATAATTTTTTTATAACAAATGTAGTTTTCTTCCTGAATGTACACTCATTGTTCAGTGAGAAAATGTTTCATTTTAGATTTATCTAGCTTTAACCTTCTTCTGTTTAGATAATCTAAAAAATGTCTTCAAGAGACTGATATACTATAGAAAAGAAATAAATGCTCAGTCTCTCATGTTTTTTAGTCTTTCACCCACAAGAGTATTTATTGCAAAGTATTTGTAATATTTTCATGTGGTCTAAATTTATTTTTTTAAATAAGAGTAATGCATTCATTTATTTATTTACTTTTATTTTCCTAGATTTAGGAGGTATAAGTGCTTGCACATTTTTTCACAGGTACTTACGTTTCTATGACAAAATTTATTGCTGAACATCCAAAAATGGATATATTGTGCAGTGATGAAGTCTGAACTTTCAGTGTACTCATCACCCAAATAGTGTACATTGCACCCAACAGATAGTTTCATAAATCACATCCCTCCCACCCTCCTACCTTTTGGAGTCTCTGCTATTACACTCTGTATGTCCATGTGTACTCATTGTTTAGCTCCTACTTGTTAAGTGAGACCTGTGGGTTTTTATTTTGTTTCTGAGTCATTTCACTTAGGATAATGGCTTTCAGTTCCATCCATGTTGCTGCAAAAGACATGATTTCATCCTTTATTATGGCTGGGTAGTATTCCATTATATATGTGTGTGTATGTGTGTGTGTGTGTGTGTATATATATATATATATATATATATAATATTATATATTTATATCTATCATTGTTCTGTCATTATCTATCTACATTATATATCAAATATATAATATATTTATATCTATCTATTATCTTTCTATCTATCTATCTCACAGTTTTCAATCCAGTCATCCGTTGATGAACACTTAGGTTGCTTCCATGACTTTGCTATTGTGAATAATCCTGTGATCATTATACAAGTGCTGTTGTCTTTTTGATATATTAGTTTCTTTTTTGGAGGGGTAGATATCCAGTAGTGGGAATGTTGGATTGAATGGTAGTTCGATTTTCAGTTATTTGAGAAATCTCCATATTGTTTTCCATAGAAACTGTACTAATTTACATTCCCACCAACAGTGTATAAGTGTTCCCTTTTCTCCACATCCTTGCCAACATCTGTTGTTTTTAGACTTTTTATGAATAGCCATTCTGACTGGTGTGAGATGGTATCTCATTGTGGTTTTGATTTGCATATCTCTGATGATTAGTCATGTTGAGCTTTTTTTCTTTTTTGTTGGCCACTTGCATGTCTTCTTTTGGAAAATGTCTGTCATGTCCTATGCCTACATTTTAATGAAGTTATTTGTTTTTTTCTTGTTAGATTATTTGAGTTCCTTGTAGAATCTGAACATTAGCCATTTTTCAGATGCAGAGTTTGAAATATTTTCTACCATTCTGTAGGGTTGTACATTTACTCTGTTGATTTTATTTTTCTGCACAGATGCTTTTTAGTAAAGTCCCACTTATCTATTTTTGGTCTTGTGTTATTTTTGAGGACTTAGGACTTAGTCATAGATTCTTGGCCTAAGCCAATGTCCAGAAGAATTTTTCCTAGGATTTATTCTTGAATTTTTATAGTTTCAGGCCTTACATTTAACTCTTTAAATAGTCTGGAGTTAATTTGTGGATATGGTGAGAGATAGCTGTCCAGTTTCATTCTTCTGCTTATGGCTATCCAATTTTCCCAGCACCATTTATTGAATAAGGTTTCCTTTCCCCAGTGTATATCTTTGTCAACTTTGTTGAAGTTGTGGCATTATTTCTGGGTTCTGCATTCTGATTCATTGATCTAAGTGTCTACATTTATACCAGTACCATGGTGTTTGGGTTACTATAGCCTTGTAACATAATCTGAAATCACAGCAAACATCATATTGAATGGAGAAGAGTTGAAAGCATTTCCCCAAGAACTGGAACAACACAAGGTGCTCACTTTCAATACTCCTATTCAACCTAGTACTGGAAATCCCAGCGAGAGCAATCAGGCAAGAGAAAGAAATGAAAGGGATCCAAATTGGAAAAGAGGAAGTCAAATGAGATCTGTTCATTTAACATATGGCCTCCTATCAAAGAAACCCTAAAGATGCCTCCAAAACACTCCCAGGTTTGATAAATGACTTCAGTAAACTTTCAGGATACAAAGTCCATGAATAAACTCAGTAGCATTTCTTTTTTTTCTTTTCTTTTTTTTCTTTTTTGAGAAGGAGTCTTGCTCTGTCACCCAGGCTGGAGCGCAGTGGCACTCGCTCACTGCAAGCTCCGCCTCCCAGGTTCAGGATATTTTCCTGCCTCAGCCTCCTGTGTAGCTGGGACTACAGCCACCCGCCAACTGCCCGGCTAATTTTTTGTATTTTCAGTAGAGACAGAATTTCACCATGTTAGCCAGGTTGATCTCGATCTCCTGACCTCGTGATCTGCCCGCCTCGGCCTCCCAAAGTGCTGGGATTACAGAAGTGAGCCACCGCGCCCGGCCTAAACTCAGTAGCATTTCTATACATCAATAATGATCAAACTGAGAACCAAATGAAGAACTCATTCCCATTTATAATAGCTACAAACATACCCCTAGGAGTGTGAATATACACCAATGAGGTGAATGATCTCTACAAAAAGAACTACAAAACACTGATGAAAAAAATCTAGATGACACAAATTATAATATATTTTAATGCAATAAGTTAAGAACACTGTATTTTTCTACTCCAGCAATACTTCCAATATAGCTTGTGTGAAAGGATAGTGGCTAGGAGTTACAGAAAAGGAGGAGTTGAATTAGAACTATGTTTAGTTTGGGTTAGATTTGATGTATTTTTGAACTTCATTCTCATTCCTGTAGAAGGTTCTCCTTTTCTTTTCCCTTTTCTTTTCTTTTTTTCTTTTCATTTCCTTTCTTTTCTTTTCCTCCTTTCTCTTCTTTATCTCTCTCTTCTTTTCTTTCATATCCAACAGTTATTTTAAGTTCATGAGTACCTGTGCTGAATGTACAGGCTTGTTACATAGGTAAATGTGCATCATGGTGGTTTGCTGCATAGATCATCCCATGACCTAGGTATTGAGCCCAGCATGCACTAGCTATTCTTCCTGGTGCCTTCCGTCCTCCCACCTCCCATGCCCCCATATTCCAACAGGCCCCAGAGTGTGTTGTTCCCCACCCTCATCTGTCCATGTGTTCTCATGATTCAGCTCCCACCTATAAGTGAGAACATGTGGTATTTGGTTTTCTGTTCCTATGTTAGTTTGCTGAGGATAATGACTTCCGGCTCCATCCATGTTCCTGCAAAGTACATGATCTTGTTCCTTTTTATGGCTGCATCTATTTCATGTCGTATACGTACCACATTATTTTAGCCAGTCTATCATTGATGGGCATTTAGGTTAATTCTGTGTCTTTGCTATTGTGAATAGTACTGCAATGAACATACCCATGTATGTATCTTTATAATAGAATGATTTATATTCCTTTGAGTATAAACCCAGTAATGAGATTGCTGGAACAAATGGTATTTTTGCCTCTAGGTCTTTGAGAAATCACAACAGTCTTCCACAATGGTTGAACTCATTTACACTTCCACCAACAGTGTAAAAGCGTCCCTTTATCTCCACAACCTTGCCAGCATCTGATATTTTGACCTTTTATTAATAAACATTCTGACCGGTGTGAGATGGTATCTCTTTTTTTTTTTTTTTGAGACGGACTTTCGTTCTTGTTGCCCAGGCTGGACTGCAATGACACGATCTTGGCTTACTGCAACCTCTGCCTCCCAGGTTCAAGCAATTCTCCTGCCCCAGCCTCCTGAATAGCTGGGATAACAGGTGCCCTCCAACATGCCTGGCTAATTTTTTTGTTTTTTGTTTTTTTTTAGTAGTTTTTTTTAGTAGAGATGAGGTTCTGCCATGTTGGCCAGACTGGTCTTGAACTCCCGACCTCAAGTGATCCTCCCGCCTCGGCCTCCTAAATTGCTGGGATTACAGGAATGAGCCACTGTGACCAGCCTCTCATTGTGGTTTTGACTTGCATTTTCTCTAATGATCAGTGATGTTGAGCTTTTTTTCATATGTTTTTTGGCCACATATATGTCTTCTTTGGAGAAGTATCTGTTCATATTTTTTGCCCACTTTTAATGGGGTCATTTTTTTCTTGTAAATTTGCTTAAGTTCCTTGTAGATGCTGGACATTAGACCTTTGTCAGATGAATGGATTGCAAAAATTCTTTCCCATTCTGTGGGTTTTGTTGTTTACTCTGCTGATAGTTTCTTTTGCTGTGTGGAAGCTCTTTAGCTTAATTAGATCCCATTTGTCCATTTTTGCTTTTGTTGCAATTGCTTTTGGCATCCTTATCATGAAATCTTTGCCTGTGTCTGTCCTGAATTGTATTGCCTAGGTTTTCTTCTATTGTTTTTATAGTTTTGGGTTTAACATTTAAATATTTAATCCATCTTGAGTTGATTTTTGTAGGTGTAAGGAAGGGGTTCAGTTTCAGTTTTCTGCATATGGCTAGCCAGTTCTCCCAGCACCATTTATGAAATAGGGAATTCTTTCCCTGTTGCTTGTTTTTGTCAGGTTTCTTGAAGATCAGATGGTTGTAGGTGAGTGGTCTTATTTCTGGGTTCGCTATTCTGTTCCATTGGTCTATGTATCTGTTCTTGCACCAGAACCATGCTGTTTTGGTTACGGTAGCTTTGAAATATGATTTGAAGTCAGGTAGTGTGAAGCCTCCAGCTTTGTTATTTTTGCTTAGGATTGTATTGACTATTTCGGCTCTTTTTTGGTTCCATATGAATTTTAAAATAGTCATTTCTAATGCTGTGATGAATGTCAATGGTAGTTTAATGGGAATAACATTGAATCTATAAATTGCTTTGGGCAGTATGGTCATTTTCACAATATCAATTCTTCTATCCATGAACATGAATGTTTTTCCATTTGTTTGTGTCATCTCTGATTTATTTGAGCAGTGGTTTGTAGTTCTCCTTGAAGAAGTCCCTTACTTTACTTGTTAGCTGTATTTCTAGATATTTTTGTGGCAATTGTGAATGGGAGTTTATTCATGATTTGGCTCTCAGCTTGCCTGTTGTTGGCATATAGGAAAGCTAGCAATTTTTGCACGCTGATTTTGTATCTTGAGACTTTGCTGAAGTTGCTTATCAGCTTAGGAATCTTTGAGCTGAGACAATGAGGTTTTCCAGATATAGGATCATCTCATCTGCAAAGATGGTTTGACTTTCTCTTTTCATATATAAATAAATATTGTCTCTCTCTCTCCCTTCCTTCCTTCCTTCCTTCCTTCCTTTCTTCTTTCTTTCTTCTCCTTTTTTTTTTTTTTTTTTTTTGACAGAGTCTCCCTCTGTTGCCAGGCTGGAGTGCAGTGGCACGATCTTGGCTCGCTGCAACCTCCACCTCCTGGGTTCAAGCGATTCTCCTGCCTCAGCCTCCCAAGTAGCTTGGACTACAGGTGCACACCACCATGCCCAGCTAATTTTTGTATTTTTAGTATAGATGGGGTTTCACCATGTTGGCCAGGATATCCTTTATTTCTTTCTCTTGCCTTATTTCCCTGGCCAGAACTTCCAATACTATGTTGAATAGGAGTGGTGAGAGAGGGCATCCTTGTGTTGTGCCAGTTTTCAAGGGGAATGCTTCCAGCTTTTTCCTTTTCAGTGGGTCTGTCACAAATGGGTCTTATTATTTTGCAGTATGTTCCTTCAATACCTAGTTTACTGAGAGTTTTTACTATGAAGGGATGTTGAATTTTTATTGAATGACTTTTCTGCATCTATTGAAATAACCATGTGGTTTTCCTCTTTCCTTCTGTTTATGTGATGAATCACACTTATTGATTTGCATATGCTGAACCAACCTTGCATCCTGAGGATGAAGTCTACTTGATTGTGGTAGATAAGCTTTTTGATGTGCTGCTGGATTCAGGCTGCCAGTATCTTATTGAGGATTTTTGCATCAATGTTCATCCAAGATATTGAAGTTTTCGTTTTTTGCTGTATCTCGGCCAGGTTTTGGTTTCAGGATGATGCTGGCCTCATGCAA
Organism: Homo sapiens; assembly: GCF_000001405.40. NCBI lineage: Eukaryota > Metazoa > Chordata > Mammalia > Primates > Hominidae > Homo > Homo sapiens. The sequence goes on along the minus strand of NC_000012.12, from coordinate 81,815,620 downwards.
TGAGTTAGGAAGGAGTCCCTCCTTTTCAATTTTTGGGAATAGTTTTAGTAGAAATGGTATCACCTCTTCCTTGTGCCTCTGGTACAATTCAGCTGTGAATCCATCGGGTCCTGGGCTTTTTTTATTGGTAGGCTATTTATTACTGTCTCAATTCCAGAACTCATTATTTGTCTATTCAGGGATTCAGTTTCTTTCTGGTTCAGTCTCGGGAGGGTGTATGTGTCCAGGAATCCATCCATTTCTTCTAGATTTTCTAGTTTATCTACAAAGAGGTGTGTAGAGCATTCTCTGATGGTTGTTTGTATTTCTGTGGGGTCAGTGGTAATATTCCCCTTATCTTTTCTCATTATGTTTATTTGAATATTCTCTCCTTTGTTCTTTATTAGTGTAACTAGTGATCTATTTATTATTTTTGTTTTTCAACAACCAGTTCTTGGATACATTGATTTTTTGAAGGTTTTTTTTTGTTGTTGCTGTTGTTTTTATGTGTGTGTGTCTATCTCCTTCAGTTCAGCTCTGATCTTGGTTATTTCTTGTCCTCTGCTAGATTTGGGGTTTGTTTGCTCTTGGCTCTCTAGTCCTTTTAGTTGTGAAGTTACATTGTTAAATTGAGAACTTTCTAGCTTTTTGATGCAGGCATTTAGTGCTATAAATTTCCGTCTTAACATTGCATTAGCTGCATCCCAGACATTCTGGTATGTTGTCTCTTTGTTCTCATTGGTTTTACAGAACTTCTTTGTTTCTGCCTTAATTTCATTATTTACCCAAGAGTCATCCAGGAGCAAGTTGTTCAATTTCTATGTAGTTGTGTGGTTTTGAATGAATTTCTTAATCTTGAGTTCTAATTTGATTGCACTGTTGTCTGAAAAATTGTTTGTTATACTTTCAGTTCTTTTGCATTTGCTGAGGAGTGTTTTACTTCGGATTATATGATCAATTTTAGAGTAAGCACTGTGTGGTGATAAGAAGAATGTATATTCTGTTGTTTTTGGGTTGAGAGTTCTGTAGATATCCATCAGGTCCATTTGATCCAGAGCTGAGTTCAGGACCTGAATATCTTTGGTAATTTTCTGTATCAATGACCTATCCAGTGTTGTCAAAGGGATATTAAAGTCTCCCACTATTATTGTGTGACAGTCTAAGTATCTTTGAAGGTGTCTAACAACTTGCTTTATGAATCTGGGTGCTTCTGTATTGGGTACATATATATTTAAGACAGTTAGCTCTTCTTGTTGAATTGAACTCTTTACCATTATGTAATGCCCTCTGTCTTTTTGTTATTTTTGTTAGTTTAAAGTCTATTTTGTCAGAAACTAGGATTGCCACCCCTGCATTATTCTGTTTTCCATTTGCTTGGTAAATTTTTCTCCATCCCTTTATTTTGAGCCTATGTGTATCTTTGCATGTGAGATGGGTCTCCTGAAGACTGAATACTGACGGGACTTGTCTTTGTATCCAGCTTGCCATTCTGTGTCTTTTAATTGGGGCATTTAGCCCATTCACATTTAAGGTTGGTACTGTTATGTGTGGATTTGATCCTGCCATCATGATGCTAGCTGGTTATTTTGCAGACTTGTTTTTGTGGTTGCTTCAAATTGTCACTGGTCCATGTACTTCAGTGTGTTTTTGTAGTGGTTAGTAACAATTTTTCCTTTCCATATTAAGTGCTTCCTTCAGGAGCTCTTGCAGGGCAGGCTTGGTAGTAACAAATTCCCTTAGCATTGCTTGCCTGAAAAGGATCTTATTTCTTCTTTGTTTATGAAGCTTAGTTTGGCTGAATATGAGATTCTGGGTTGGAAATTCTTTTTTTTTTTTTTTTTTTTTTGAGACAGAGTCTCGCTCTGTTGCCCAGGCTGGAGTGCAGTGGCGGGATCTCGGCTCACTGCAAGCTCTGCCTCCCGGGTTCACGCCATTCTCCTGCCTCAGCCTCCCAAGTAGCTGGGACTACAGGCGCCCGCCACTACGCCCGGCTAATTTTTTGTATTTTTAGTAGAGACGGGGTTTCACCGTTTTAGCCAGGATGGTCTCAATCTCCTGACCTCGTGATCCGCCCGCCTCGGCCTCCCAAAGTGCTGGGACTACAGGCGTGAGCCACCGCGTCCGGCCGGAAATTCTTTTCTTAAACAATGTTGAAGTTTGGTCCCCCAATCTCTTCTAGCTGGTTGAGTTTCCATTGAGAGATCTGCTATTAGTCTGTTGGGCTTCCCTTTGTAGGTGACTTCATCTTTCTCTCTGTCTGCCCTTAACACTTTTTCTTTCATTTCGACCTTGGAGAATCTGATGATTATGTGTCTTGGGGATGATCTTCTTGTGGATATTCTTACAGTGGTTCTCTGCATTTCCTGAATTTGAATGTTGGCCTGTCTTGCTAGGTTGTGGAAGTTCTCCTGGTTGGTATCCTGAAGTACATTTTCCAAGTTTGTTCAATTATCCTCATCTCTTTCTGGCACCCCAATCAGACATAGATTTGGTCTCTTTACATAATCCCATATGCCTCAGAGGTTTTGTTCATTTCTTTTCATTCTTTCTTCTCTATTCTTGTCTGTCTGTCTTATTTCAGAAAGATTGTATTCAAGTTCTGAGATTCTTTTCTCTGCTTGTGAATTAATGCTTGTGATTGCATTGTGAAGCTCTCATGTTGTATTTTTCAGCTCTACCAGGTCAGTTATGTTCCTTTCTAAACTGGCTATTTTGGCTATCGGCTACTGTATTGTTTTATCATGATTCTTAGCTTCTTGGCATTGAGTTACAACAAGCTTCTTTAGCTCAGCAAAGTTTGTTATTACCCACTTTCTGAAGCCTGCTGCTGTCATCTTAGCCACCTCAGCCTCAGCCCAGTTCTGAGCCCTTGATGGAGAGGAGCTGTGGTCATTTTGAAGAAAAGGGGCACTCTGGCTTTTTGAGTTCTCTGTGTTTTTGTGTTGATTCCTTTTCATCTTTGTGGGCTTATCTACCTTTAATCTTTGAGGTTGCTGACTTCCTTGTGGGCTTGTTATTGTTGTTTTCTGTTTGTTTGTTTGTTTTTCTTTTAACAGTCTGGCCATTCTTCCATAGGGACATTGCAGTTTGCTGGGGGTCTGCTCCAGACCCTCGTTGCCTTGCTTTTTCCTGTACCTGGAGGTATCATCAGTGAAGGCTGTGAAACAGCAAAGATGGCAGCCTGCCCCTTCCTCTATAAGCTCTGTCCCAGGGGAGTACTGATCTGTTGGCAATCCCAATGCACCTATTGGAGGTGGCTGGAGACCCAGGTTGGGAAATCTCACCCAGTCAGGAGGAACAGGATCAGAGACCCATTTAAACAAGCAGCCTGGCTTTTTGGTTGAGCAGCTGTGCTGTGTTGAGGATTGCTTCAGCCCCTGATTGGTTTGGGCTCTCCAGGGCCCACAGGCTAGACTAGCTGAGAAGTCCAAATGGCCAAGGTGGCGGCCTGCTCCATCCCTCAGACACTTCATCCCAGGGAGAAATTAGAGCTCTGTCAGCCTGGTAGAGCACAAATCGGGGTGGCCAGAGTCCCTGGCTGGGAGGATCTGCCCCATAAGGAGGAGTGGATTGGGGTCCCGCTTAAAGAAGCAATCTTTCCATGCCTCGACACAACAGCTGTGTCATGGTGGGGAACTGCCTCTTGTCAGCTTGGACTCTCCAAAGCATGCAGGCTGGAACTGCTGAGTCATCTAACCAACCCAGGTGGTGACCCCCCACTCCCCAGGGCACTCTCTCCCAGGGAGAGATTATAGCTCTTCCCCCGATAGGTGTGGGCAGGTGTGGCTGGAGGAACGGGCTAGGAGATCCTGCCCAGTGAGAAGGAATGGATGGGTGCCCCACTTAAAGAAGCAGTCTGGCCATGATCTGGCAAAGCTGCTGTGCTGCGTTGCTCTGGGGACCCTTCCTAATCTGGAAAATTTAGACTCTCCAAAGCCTACAGGCAGGAATGGCTGAGTCGATCAAACAGCAGAGATGATCCCTGCCCCTCCCCCCAGGGGCTCCCTCTGGTCTCAGGCATGCTCTATTCTGTTGCCAGTGGCTGGCTGGAATTCCAAGCCAGTGGGTCTTATCTTTTGAGGTGTTGGCGAATTGGGGACCACAGAATGATGCTGCTCAGCTTCCTGAATTCCGCCCCCTTTCTGAGGGTTTGTGCAGACCTCCTGCCTTGCCTGAGTTGCAGACACTTTTTTTGGGAATCCCAGGGCTGGAGTAGGTATAGCTCCTGAGTCTCTGTGTGTGCCTGAGCAGCTGCTTTGCCAAGACTCCACACAGCTTTGTGTGTCAGACCTAAGGCTCTGGTGGATTGGGTTCACAAGGGGATCTCCTGACCCATGGATTGCAAAGATCTGTGGAAAAAGAATGGTTTCCAAGGGTTGCACAATCACTCACCACTTCCCCTGGCTGGTGGTGAGTGTTCCCTTGGCTCCCTGTTGCTCCTGGGTGGGCGGTTACCTCGCCCTGGTTTTTTTCATTCTCCGTGGATAGAGTTGTTTCCCATTGTAGGAATGGCTTCCCAGAACTACTTTTACTGTTCCAGTAGCAACTCACTCTACTCATGATACAAAGATACAAAGCAAAGGGACTTATTATAAAATAAAGATGTTTTATGGCATCAGAAACTAGAAGTATTTGGTGGGTAGTGGTGGAGAGAAAAAAATGTATAAAATATTCAGAGCCAGAAACTAATCTTTGAAAACATTCTTCCAATCTTAAAATCTGTTTATATGTATACATAAACACTATATATATATGTGTGTATATATATATAATATATATATATATATAGACAGAGAGAGAGAGAGAAAGAGAAGTAGTCTCACTATAGGTTTATGGGGCATAATACTACTGAGAATTAAGTCTGAAATCAGTGACCAATTAAACTCATCATCTGTTTACTTCCAGTATTGTCAAAGCAAGATGGTGCTCCCTGGAAGACTTAGTTTCATTCCAGGCCTCTGTGACTTCCTACTTGGGTGGTTTATCTGCTTAAATGACCTCCCAACCTACTCCAGGAAAACTCAGCAGCCAGCATCTTCATCTGCTTTCTGAGTTCCATCTCAGTTCATAAAAGAACTTTGGAGAGTCAAACTCTAGCTACATTGCCTAACCACGAAGTATGATCACTTATTCTGCTATGGGCACTCCAAGATTGATGTGAGAGAGAAGAACACCCGTGAGACAGTTTTATTGCACACTTCAAACAGGAAATGGAGTAGGATTTCCTCTGTCTCATTTATTTGACTCTCCCTTCCACGTAAATTCTAGAAAGGAGAAATTAGAACACAAATTTAACTACTTTCACTTCCTTCTCTATCTCTTTCTTTATTATGCTTTCATAATCCCATGAGACAGAGAAGGACTGGCTTATTGCCATCCTCTATGTTCCAGCTTCATTCTACTATGAACAAAAAGCCTTAAGGACTAGCAGTCAAAGGACAAAGTGGTATCTTCTCGATGCTATGGCTATGCCCCTTATGATTGTCCCTTAAAATATTAAATTGGCACTCAAAAAGCCTGATAATTTTTCCTCTCTCCATAGAGCCAGGTCTTCAAGTCCAATGTTTTGCTAAAGAGAGTAAGGCCCTACCCTTTTTTTCCCTAGAAGTAATAAATTTCCTGGCTTGGCTCTAGAGATGGGAAATGGAAAACCAAACATGACTTAAAGGGAAAATTAAAATGCATTTGGGTCACTATTTGCAAAAGATTAACCACAATACACAAACTGTGTCTTTCAATAGTTTTTCTTTCCCCTACCTTATTCCCAACCCTTGTTTTCAGGTGGGAACACAGAAGAATGATGTAAATAAACCCTAGGATACCTTAAAGGAATACAAAATTGATATTTTTTAATTTAAAAAGTGAAAACTTGTCCCACCCATCGTTAGTACCCTTGAAATAATATTAGTACCTTTAAAACTAATTTTATTTTCCTGAGACAAATAAATGCTTCTGACTGAAGTTCAAGAAGAAACCATATTTATGTGAGAGTATTGAAACTCTTATGCATGAGTAAAAACAATGGGAACTATATTTTTATCATCAATCTGTCATAACTTACAGCCTAACTTTCAGACGATACCTCTGATTCATTTTAATACATATTTAACTAAGCGAAACTTATGTTGGTTATACTATAGAAAAATTCTGTCATTCTAAAAGTAAAGACATTCTAAAAGTAAAGTAATAATAACACCCTTTAGTTAATCACATTTTCTATGATAGGAAGAAAGGGAAAGAATCTGCCTTATATTAAAAACCCTTTTTCAAACATTGCTACTATTTCTAACTATCACACTTCTATAATGTTTTTGCTTCATCATCATAATAAGTTGATTAAATTTCTTCAGTCAAAAATCTGGAAGGTAGGTGGTCAGGGCTATCAAAGCTGCTCAAGGGTGTCATTAGGAAACCAGGCTTCTTCTGTTGTCATTATCTTCCATCCTTAACGTACAGCTTTCTTCCTCATGGCCTTAAGAAAGCTGCTCTACTTCTGAGCATCATGTTCACATTCTAGACAGGAGGAAAAAGAAAGAGGGGGGGTCAAAGACAAAGCCATTTTTCAAGCAACTTTGACTTTTCATTCAGGAAATACAGCTTGAGGTGTCCTTCTACATTCTACTGGTCGCATCTGTGTGTCCTGGCCGACTTTGTAAGGCAGTTGTAAAGGACACCAGGATAAAGTGTTCAGCTTTCCAGTGTCCAAAGACGAGGAAGACAGGAGAGGCTTTCAAGGAGTTGTGAGTGAGTGAACTGCCAGCATCTGACACACTGACATGAGGTTGTCTTTCAGCATGAGTTCAAAAGTAAAGGAACTTTGAAACTATCCTTTCCTATCTACATTCATAATTATAAATTACATTGTAATTCTAAAACTTCCTGTGGAGCAAATGTTTGTGATTTTTGAATAAACATATTAACTAGTAATGTACAATTTTTACATACGATGTAGCATCTAGCATAGTTAAATATTAAGTCTGATCTATCATGACGGAAGTTTCTTAAGGATTGGGATAATAATTCTTAGTCAAAATCATGGTAAGCAGATAATATTTTCAATTATAATATAAAGATGTAGTTTGCATTTATTATTTCCCCAAAAAGCAAAAGAAACATTATTTTTCAACTGAAATTCTATTTAAACCTCAGTGAAAAAATCCTTTTGTCATCACATCAGAAAGAATACAAAAATAGTGAAAGGGAAGACTTATGAATGAGAATGAAGCCGATTCAGGAAAATGTCACATTTAACTCTTTTCTACAGGTAATATTCTTAATCATAAGTAGTTTAATGTATTATCATATATCTGATTATGTACTGTAACTATTTCAGGATAAGCAGAACTATGATAAGGATCAGTTGGCATTATATTGAGTTTTCATTTAACAAAATAAAACATTGTGGTCACTCCTAAAAGAAACCTAGCACCCATTAGCAGTCTCTCCCCAACTTCTTCCCAAAGCCCTCCCCTCTCAGCCCTAGGAAACCACTAATTACATTGTATTTTAAGGGTTTCCTTATTTTAGACATTTATTAAAAATTGAGTCATACAATCCGTGGTACTTTGTGACTGGCTTATTTTACTTAACATAGTGCTTTTAAGGTTCTTCCATGTTGTAACATTTATCAGTACTTCATTTCATTATAATGCCTCATAATATTTATTCCATTGTATAGATATACCATATTTTATCCATTTATTCAGTTGATTAACATTGGTCTTGTTTTCACTCTTGCCTATTATAAATCAAATGGTGCTATGAGCATCTGTGTACATGTTTTGTGTGTATGTATGTTTTAGTTTTTCCTGGGCATATACCTAGGAGAATTACTGGGTCATATGGTACTCTATGTTTAATCTTCTGAAGAACTGCCAGACCATTTCCCAAAGCTGCTGTAACATTTTAAATCATACAAGCAGTGTCTGAGGGTTCCAGTTTTTCACAAGGTAAATATTTAAATTTTAGCTTTTCAAATTTAAAAGGTAATCTTAGAAATAGAATAGCACTTCATAGCCTCCCAAACTTATTAGTAACCTCAAACCCCTATTTATTTGCGATAGTCTGAACTGACCTAAGCAGTTTCATCACCTGCTGTAATTCTAAATAGTATGCATTATTTTGTCTCCCATTCTCTTAGGCTCTTATTTCATTTACTATCTATTAATCCTAAAAATAATCACTGTTCTGAGATGTGGTAGGCTGAATAATGGTCCCCAAAGATAACCAAGTACTTATCCTTGGGAAATTTGTAAACTTATATAGCAAAATGGACTTGCAGATGTAATTAAAATGGGAAGATTATCCTAAATTATGTAGATGGGCCCTAAATGAAATCCCAAATTGGGATGTAGAGAGAGATTTGATGCAGAAGAAGGCAATGTGACCACTGAAGCAAGATGGTACACAGGTGGCTTTAAAAATTGAAGCAGGGGCCATGGGCCAAGAAATACAAGCAATACAGCTCTAGATGCTGGAAAGGTCAAGGAAGGAGATCGTCCTCTACAGCCACTGAAAGGAGCATGACAATGCCAACACCTTGATTTTGACCAAGTGAAACTGATTTCAGATTTCTGACCTCCAGAATGTAAGAGAATAAATGTGTGCAGTTTGAAGCCATCATATTTTTGGTAATTTACCATAGCAGCCAAGGAAACTACTACATCAGGTAATATATTTAAATTTTAATAGGATTCTTAGGGGAGCTGTACTGCATTACCTCATAGGACAAATTCTAATAGTAATATCATACAAGGAGTATGTAATTGAAGGAGATGTCTGAGGGTAAACAAGCTTTTTATGTTCCATCAAATCACATATTCTATATGATAGTTTATTCTTTAAGTTCCATAATTGGGAAAGTACACAAAGATCTTTGTATGGATGATAGGATTCCAGGGGAAGAAAGCTACATTCCATCAACTCAAGGATCCTGATTTACCCTCATTGCTTTTCTTTACTTAAAGAAAATCTATGAGCACTAGGGCTATGCTCTTGATTCTCCTGTGGATTGAGTGGAAGAAAGTATAGCTAAATGGTTTACAAATTCAGGCTTTGATATTGATAGTCATTAAATTGTGCTAAAAAGTACAGGTTGAGCATCACTAATTTGAAAATACACGATCTAAAAGGCTCCAAAATCTGAAACTTTCTGAGTGTCAACATGACACCACAAGTAGAAAATTCCACACTTGACCTCATATGACAAATGACAAATCACCATCCAAATGCATATGCACAATACAGTTTATTTAGCTTCGCAAAGGAAAAAAAAAGAGACCTCCAATTTCCCTTTAGCTGTGATGTATCTTTTTCAAACATGCCAAGATTTCCCCTACTCATGCACACCCACAACAAGTAATAAAATGGCAAGTGTGTGGGTTTGACATGCCAAGAGCCAGTTCCCATGATGCCCTGCATGGAAACAAGACCTATGTGCATTATTCACTGGGTGCTTTTGCTTATTCTCTGCTCTGTGGTATAAAGTTATTGTTGAAAATATCAAGAAAATCTATGGATACCCCTGTGGGTAACAGAAATAAGGAAAAGTTAAAGCATTTATGTTTATCTATAGCACAGAAAGTCAAAGTGTTAGACTAAGTGGACAGTGGTGTAAGTGTGAAACATCTTACAGAAGAGTATAGTGTTGGAATGACCACCATATATAACCTGGAGAAAAAAAAGGATAGACTATTGATGTTCTATTTGGAAAGTAATGAACAGAAGTTAATGAAAACCTTTTTTAAAAAACTTAATAAAACTGAAAAGGAAGATCTTAATCATGTATTGAAGTAGTAGATTCATCAGTGTTGCAGTGAACATATGCCACTTAATAAGCTGATAATGAAACAAAGATCTACCACAATGAACTGAAAACTAAAGTGAACTGTGAAAATTCAAGAGGGTAGATGCAGAAATTTAAGAAAATGCATGACATTAAATTTTTAAAGATTTCTGATGATAAAGCATCTGCTGATCACAAAGAAGTAGAGCAATTCATTAATAAGTTGAACATCATTGCTGATGAAAATCTGATGATGGAACAAGTGTATGATGCTGACGAAACATCAACTGTTTTGGCATTATTTCCCAAAAAGACACTAGCTATAGCTAAGGAAACAGACCCTACTAGAATTAATGCCAATGACAGAATAACTGTGCTTGGATGTGCTAATGCGGCAGGCATGCACAAATGTAAACTTGCTATGATAGGCCAATACTTGCATCCTTACTGTTTCCAAGAACTCAATTTCTTACCAGTCTAATTATTATGCTCATAAAAAGGCATGGATCACTGTGAACATCTTTTCTGATTGGTTTTATAAACATTCTGTACCAGTGGCTCATGCTTACTGCAAGGAAGCTGGATTTGATGATGACTGCAAAATTTTCTTACTCCTTAGCAACTATTCTGCTCATTGTCTAAAATTCTCACCCAAAATAATGTTTATGCTATGTATTTTTTCTCAAATATGACTCCATTAATTCAGTCGTGTTACCAGGGTATGCTTAAGTCTATAAAGATTAAATATAAAAATGCTTTATTGAACAGCATGCTAGCAGCAGTAAACAGAGGCATGGATGTGGAAGATTTTTTCAAAATGAGTTTAGCATATAAGGGGCTGTATAGGCTGCTGCAAACATTTGGAACACGGTGACTAAAGACACAGTTGTGTGCAGGCCTAACACAATCTCTGGTTTGTGACTATGTTCAGTGATGATGATGAATAAGGTGGTGACTTTGAAGGATTCCATATTTCAAGTGAGAAAAAAAATGCTGTCTGACCTCTTCAGATATGCAAAAAAATATACCTACAGGGTCCCTCAGTAAGCTGGAAGAAGTGAATATTGAAGTTTTTAACATCAATAATAAAGCTCCAGTTGTTCTTTCATTGGCTGATGGTGAAATTGCTAAAATGGTTCTGAATCAAAGTGATCATGATAATAGTGATGATGAAGATGACATTGTTAACACTGCAAAGAAAAGTGCCTATAATGTGTGATGAGCTTATTGAAGGACTAGAGCAGTGTGCCTTTATAACAGGTTAAGAAATCATGTCATTTTATAAAATCAAAAGAGAATTCTAAGACAAAAACTCTTGTTAATGTGGCAGATGACACATTTTAAAAAGCTACCCAGTAGAATGCTAGACATCCCTAGAAGACTCACTTCCCGGTCCTTCAACTCCTTCTGATGTTTCCACTCACCTAAAACAATAAAATACAATATGTGGTAGCCTTTTAATCAAAACACAGCATCGTAGGTAGAGGCTGAAAGCCTGCCGTTGTTTGTTGTTGGTGTTAACAGCTGCTATTCTTGTGATGCTACTGCACTGCTTAGTTACCCTGAACACATTATTTTCTCACTGTATTAATGGTGTGTCTTATTTTTTACTGCTAAGTGCTTATGACACTTATGTGTGATTAAGTGTAATAACATTATTGCTTTTCAATAGCATAAAAATTCAGAGTCAAGGGTAATGGTGATACCAATCAACCACAGATTGTCGACATGGGTGGCTGAGATAGTGACACTTTTGCTTTCTGATGGTTGAATGTACACAAACTTTGTTTCATGCAAAAAGCGATTAAAATATTGCATAGAATTGTCTTTAGGCTCTGTGTATAAGGTGTACATAAAACATAAATTTATTTTTTGTTTAAACTTGGGTACCATTTCCAAAGTACCTCATTATTCATATTTAAATATTCCCAAATCTGAAAAGAAAATCTGAAATTCAAAACATTCCTGGTCCTAAGAATTTTGGATTAGGGATACTCAGCCCATATAGTGCATATATATCAGAATTTGTTATGTAGAAATTTAAGAAGGTAAGTTTTGTAAGGTACTCAATACAGAGCCTAGTGCATAGTAAACATTCAAGAGTGCCTACTAGTCGTTGTTATTATTATTATTAACATGGTCATGGCTTAGCCAAACATTAGGTGTATGGCCTTGGATAAGTCATTTGTCAGCTCTGTGTCTCAGTTTATTCCTGTATAAAATGGTATTAATAGGAGCAACTGAATTAGTTAATAAATGAAAATTTGAAGAGTCATTCCTATCACTTACAGTCTGAGTAAACATAAATTCTTCATATTATTTATTAAAGAATTGCTTTCACTAACCTATCTTCCACATTTGAGAGTCTCACTCTTTCAGTTGTGGAGTCATGTTTGTTTACAGGTGGGTAGAGAAAACCTGGATAAGCTGATGTTGTGTTTCTGTGTCTTCCAGCCTGTCATATCCCTTTTGTCACTACACTATTCATGCCAAACAGTGATGCCCAGCTCTCATAAACCAACAGGGAAAAAAAATCCCTGTTAGATGGCCTCTTTACTCAACTCACTCAAACAGTACTTGGTGATAAAGGGGCTTCTGTAATTCTGCATGCTTCCCTGGGGAAAATTCCTATTTCCACTTGTGTGCAAGTTTGTTTCTACATTTTAGAAAGTTGCTTTGTTTGTGATGATGACTCCCAGCCAAACACCTGATGGGGCTCAGTTTACAGAATTCAAGCTCTAAATTTAGGTTAGATACAGGGGAGGAACAATGAATGCAGAATCAAGACCAGAAGAAACAAATAATAGTCTAAATTTTATATACAAATTTTCTTCAGAAATGTTCAGACCAATTTATACAATTGGATTCAGATAAACATTATGTTGATAACTTTTCTTAAGCACATCTCACTTTAAAATTATAATCATATTAATATTTGCTCTCAACAAAAATATCCTAGGATGGATGTTATTAATCCCATTGTGAATTTGAAGAAACAAAAGCTAAGTTAAATAGTTTAGAAAAAGTAAGACATAAGAAGGGAGAAGATCAGGACTTAAATCTTTGCCAAATCTCATCACCCAAACAGCAGGTGGATGTGCCGATATGCATTAAATCCCTTTCCAAACGTTAAACATGTAAGTTGTTTCTAATATCTGGCTATTAAAAGTAATGGCACAATGAATAGATCAGTGCATTAATCTTTTTTATTGCCTCTAAATAGATAGAATACTAGGAAGGGACACACTAGGTCCAAAGGGTATGTAATATTTTTAAATTTTTTTTTTAGGACATGAGATGAAATTGCTTCCCAGAAAAAAGCAGGAATGAGTGCCAAATTTGTGTATTTTCACCCACATTATCATTCTTTAATCTTTGAGAATTTGATAGGTAATATAAAGTGTTAATTTACATAATTACATTAAAATGAGATTGAAAACTATTGTTTCTTAGCCATTTATATTTATTCTATGAATTTTCTACTAGTATATATATTTTTTTAAAAAATTGGAGATATTAGTGGGATTTTAGCAATTGATTTGTGGGCACTCTTCATAGATTAAAACATCTTTTTGACTCTGACATATTATTGCATTTCCCTTGGTTAGTTTTTGCTTTTAAATTTGTTTATGGTGGTTTTGTTGTTTTTAATAGGTAATTATGTCTAATACATATAATAAAATGTACATTTTCCCGTTATAAATTATCTTTTTATTTTTGGCTTTTCTCCTTCCCCGTAATCACATTCACATGTTTACTTTTAAGCCATCTAACCCTTTTGCAGTTATATACCTCACATATAATTCTTCAAACTTCTTGGTATTATTATAGAATAATAAGGTTAGGATATAAATTTATCTTTTCTCAGAAAGCTAAAAATGTTAACTATTTTAACTCTGTTATATATAGATCTTCTCTTGTCGCTTTTTTTAGACCTTTTAAACCTCTAATAGGTATTATCCTGTCCTTTTCATTTTGCATTTTTGTACTATTTTTGTAAATGTTAGCATTATTTTAGTTTCCGTCATTGTCTGTGAGGAAACTGATGATCCTATAAAGATAAATGGTGAACTGCATCATGGAGTTGATACGCGGTATGGCGGAGACTGGATTAAACCCAAATTTTCAAGCTCTAAATGCTGTATAGTTATCATCATGCTGATCTTGCCTGTTTTATTTTTCCTCCTTTTTTTCTCTTCCTCTTAGTTCAGATAGCATATTTTTTTCTTATATTTTAGTGATAACACATAGTAAATGCTGTCTGACATCTTCTTACATCTCCAGTGGTGCTATATTTCTAGAGTAAACTTTCTGGTATATTTTTAAGGGAATGTCCCCATTATGTTTATGTAGTCTTTTCATTAGCCTAAGGCCACTTCCACGGCTCAATACCCCTGCCGGTTTCCTTACTCTGGAATAATAAGTGCTCTCTTCCAGTAGTTTGCTGTGCAGCACAGATAAGATGTGTGTTTTCCCTTTGTAATCTCTCACGGTACACCTGGATGCTGCCAGAACACCCCTCTCAGATCTTCAGCTTGAGGACAGTTCAATGTGCAAAGTCTTTGCCAAATTTCCATTTTCTGGCAGCCTTTAGCTAATGCAGTTCTGCAAGATTAAGGAATGATCTCTTATCCTTCTCGTTTTTGCCTGTTCTTTCAACTCTGAAGGCTGGAATTTTTTCCCCTGAACATTTGGAAATAAACGGTATTTCATTTGCCAGCCTCAGAATCACTGCCCCAGTTTACAGTGGCGTTCCTATCCCAGGGCTGGCTTCCTTATTTGGAAATGTTCTCACTGGGGCAAGCTACATTACTGAGTGCTTAGCCTCTAGGTCAAATGCTAAAAGCACAGAGGGGGCTAGTAATGACATGAAACTGAAGAAAGCAGGTTCACTGTTTTGGTGCAAATCCTGTCTTTCTGAGGTCACTGTACAGTGGGACTGTACCAGAACCTTATACTCGTGATCTTCCTATGTGGCTGTGTTTGGTTTACTTCTCAAAATATGGGGCAGGTCAGAGTATTTGCTGAATCTGGCACATCTGTGTGTAGCAGAGGAAATTATTCCCAGAATGTGGCAAATCACAATCAGTACTCTCTCTTCTACAGCCCTGGAAATTTATATGCTTGTGATTTCATGAGTAATTTGAGTATTGGAGGTGAATGAGTCTATCATTGGGAACTGTTAGTCATCAACATAAGACAAAAGCCACAAACTTGTTTAAAAATTCTACTATCACACAAACTTGGAAAATTTATACACTTGTGGCACATCACATCCACCCCTCTTCCTGAAAATGCCTGTTTTGTAGCACATGATTTCAGGGAAGTTAACGGAAAAGATCTTTCCGTTCCCTTGTCTTCAGGCTTTGTACTATTTCTGTATCTCTTTCTCTTTGCAGAAACCAGCACTGTGAAGCAATTGTGAGACACATAATAAGTGGTTTTAAGTTGTTTCTAATTCGATTTTCTTCTCTTACTGTTTTGCTCCATAGTTTCCATCCACTCCTTCTTCGTTGCTATGCGTTTCTTCATGAGAAGCCAGACAAAAGTTACGCTAGCTCTGAAAAAGGACTGAATTATTTTGTATTTCTTCTTCTACTTCAGTTATTTTTAAGAACCGCACATAATAAAGTCCAGTGCTTCTTATCTTGAATCAACAACTTTTTGTTCAAGAGTATTTTCTACTTTGTTTCTTCCTCCTCATGCAAACATGGTTGTGCAATTACCAGTACAGACAATTTCTCATAACTTACAGGGCAAATTGTTACAGGTAGTTTCAAAGACTTGTCCATAGCTGAAAACATGATACATCAGTGGTAGAGCCCAAAGTGGATATAAGGATGTTAATCTTATGTGCTTATAGTTTAAAATTCTAATATGCCCACTGTCTCATTGGGGGTTACTATTATTCATAAATAATAATTATAAACTAATATGAAATATATTTTTGGTGAACTATGATATCGTATAAATTCTTCATAAATCTAATAAAATGTTACCTTGATTATGTTCACTTTTATAACAATTAAGAGGAGTAATTGAGACAATAAATATAAAGTGGTTAGCAGTGCCTGGCACATAGTAAGTGCTAAATAAGACTTCATTATCATTATGTATTAAGTGGCTAATAGGTGTCAACTGAGCTGCTCTTCACTTCACAGCTAAGGAAGGCTTTATAGCAAATCATTTAATTATCTAAATTTCTTTTTGGCTTTTATATATTCCTTGTGTCTATTTTATCTACCTAGTATCATTTCATTTACAGTGTAATTTAAATTGCAGTATATCATTAAGTAATTTAGAATTTACATATTAGAGAGTGCTGGGTTTTTCTTCATCTATTTAATTTCCTCTAGTTGTATGCTTCACTGAAATGGCCAGGTCCAGAGTTCTATTTGTTGAAAAGCAAAAAAACACACTCTCATAAGTCTACTTGTGACTGTTTGCCATAGCCTATGCTTTAAAAAAGTTTAAAAATAAAGAAAAAATACTTTAAAAATGTTTTTATGCCCTAATATTTTTTACACAGTGAGTATATAAGAAGGAACCCTGTGATTGAAAATAAGCAACTACAAAAGGAAGACAGGCAGTTACATAGATGACTGCCACAGGATGGGTCAGGAAGGCAGACAGACACAGTCACTACAGCAGCAAAATACTCTTCAGGTCACTACATGTGACCGGGGTAACATGTTGGGGGAGGTCTGTATGTTTAAAATGGAAGACAGTAATGATCCATTTCACAGATACAGTAAGGGTTTTGTTGTTGTTGCTGTTGTTGTTTTAAAATGAAGAGTTCCTAACAAGTTACCTGTAGAAAACTATTGGGCTGTGTCTCCCTTAGCAGCCTAGGGTGAAACTGATCACCGCAGTGATGTTTACTTTGTGTTCACAGATGTCATATTTACGGTTATGGCTGGGATGCCCAGAAACAGATCCTTCTCTTCATTGTCTTCAAAGATAGGACTTTCTGATACTATGTTCCTTGCTTACAGGATGGCAGCAGTAGTTAATCCTCTCATTTTTCCAAAGTTAGCCTTCTGCTCCTTCTGGGTGATTGTTATGTTGGTCCCTGTTCTTCCTTTGTTCCAGGTAAATAATTGGGAAATGAGAAGAAATTGAAAGTATGTGGTTTTATTTATCATCATTCTAGGCTTTCTGTCTACTCAATGTCCTCTTCTGCCCCAATATAAAGCAAAGCCCAAGTCAGAAGAGGTATTATATCTGGACAGGAAGTGAGAAAAATCAGAGCGGCATAATGTGTAGGATTTGACATATCCCTTGAGGGGAAGCAGAGGCCCAGTTTTCTTTGAGAAGGAAAGGCTGAACCAGCCAGAAACACCCACTTTCTGCATTGTCTGGCTGCCGGCTGCCTGCGAAATGCAGATGGAAAAGCTTGATTGCTTTCAGGAAGAAGCAGCTTCTCCCCAGGTATCCACGCTTACCTGTGGTTAATCAATCTTTCTTCAGTACCTCATGTTTCTATTTTCCTGCTCCGTCTTGCGTCCCCCTGTAAAGAGATTCTCAGTTATCTGTAGTTCAAACCCACTAAGGTGTGATCTGATAGTGTTTTAAGGGAAAGGTTTTCAGAGTAGGTGTGTGTGACAAGAGGCTAAGAGAGAACTTGAAGCTACTTAAACACTTTATGTTTAATTAGGACTGCCATCGGTTACTCGTTAAAGAAACTTGCCTATCTAGTTTAACCAAATAGTGGTATAGGTGTAATTGTGCCATCTAATATAGTGACCACTAGCCACATGTGACTATTTAAATTTAAATTTAAAAATACATTCAGCATTTATTCCTCAGTCTCACTAGCTGCATTTCAACTGCTCTGTATGTGGCTAGTGGCTACTGTATCGGGTGGCACACAATATTGCAGGAAGTTGCGTTGAGCAGCATTAGATGTGGGCAGTCACATGCTGGTGACACTCAAGGTACTTCTAGATTCTTACCAGGTTATTCGTTATGTACAGATGTCCAAGAATCCTCAGCTCAAAGTGACTGTTCCTTCTCCAGGCCTCATGTCAATGCTCCACGCAGGAAAGAGGGAAAGAGCAACAAAAAGATGATGACAGCTCATTCCCTTCCCACTTTCTGTTTTTCAGGAAAATAATAACTTATTCAGAGTTCCCAACTGTTAAATTACTTCTTATAGCACATGAAACGAAAATCGGTTGCATGGCTTTCCCCAACTGGGAGAAGGACTGGGGTAAGTGAATATGTTTAATTGGCACATGGCTACTACAAACAAAGTCAGAGTTGTGTTGGAAGACAGAAGGGAGGAATCAAAATTGAGTAGGTAACATCAGAATCTGAAACACATGGGATACCTTTTTTATAGCATCAGTTTGCGCTTAATTTAAAATATGTGCTTTGAATTTTTGGTAAGTAAATTTTAAGTAACTTAAAACGGTGCATATTTAAAGAAACAGGGATATGCTGTACAGTAGAATATTTCCAAATTACAAATTTTTGGTAAAACATGATGATACAAAGAAATGTTGTCCCTTGGCAGGGCCAATTTAATATATACCTCCACATACTGTTAGGGTACTTAGCCTTCTTTTGCCACTAGGGGGATTTGGGTTTAATAGTTTGAAGGAAAAACATACATTAGGTGCTTCTTTTATTAGAACAGTTCTCATTTTCATGGGCGGCTCTAGGCAACTGGTAAGTCTTCAGGGTCTCAAGGAATAATGAGATCTCTCACACTGTTAGAGCTGAGGAGCTTTTGGTTGTTTTGGGTCGTGTGAGTTTTACAGCTTTTTGCAATGCCTCAGATAAAACCAAAACAATTGTGTATAAAAGGTATATTAGTGCCTCATCTGCCTTACACAGCTCTTTAAACTCTTCCTAAGATCTTCTTAAAATGAAAAACTGGGTTTGGATTTCTTAATGTGATGGTGGTGGAGAGAAAGCATCAATCTAATTTTTCTGCTTTCTAATTTTTCAAAGTATACTTTCAAAATGTGAATATCCACTTACAAGTGAGTTTGCTTTGAAAGTACTATGGTATATTTGTCCTATAGTAGGATTCTTTGGCAGTGGGGACTCCTTAATGAACATAGACATAGGCTTACTGTACCACAGGGGTGGCCCCCTCAAGAAAGGTTTTAGTAGAGGTTAACTATGATTTTGCAGAATAAATGACCAATAATAGTGTATCGATTTTCCATAATTGCCCTGACCTTCTCTCCCACATCCCAATATTTTTAATAAAACAAAATGGGATTTTGATACATCTTGATTCTTTGATGCATCCATCCTAAAATTTGCAAATTAGCCACAAATATTAAAGACAGAAGTAGCCTTACACTTTTTCTTTGTGGGTAATTTTTTAATCTTTAATTTAATGGTTTTAAATATGTAATATTTAACATTCCTCCAGTTATACCATTGTGTTTTATAGCTAGGACACACTCCGATGTGCTTATGTGTTACTATGCTCATCATCCTTCACAAAAGCAAGAAAAATAAAATGAAATAAAAAAGACTCTACTGTTTCCTTTACAATTACTTATAAAGTCAGATTAATATGAGAGCATAGATAAACACAGCCAAATGTAAATTTTCAGATAGGGCTCACAGCAACAAGTGAATAAATTGATATGCATATGTCTTCGACACAGAAAACCAAGGCAGCAGACTTTATATTTGGTTTTGCTGGAATGACAAGATTGGAAAGAAATGTAAAAGATTATTAAATAAATTTTTGAACCTTTTAAAACCAAACTATATTGTACATATAAAAGAAAGCAAGTCATACTATACTGCCTGATTTACTATTAAAAGGTAAACACATTTTTATAACTACTACCTGTATCAGAATATGAGAGACCCGGTGTCTCGAGAAGCCTCTCTCATGCCTCCTCCTAGCGTTGCCTCTCCACAGGTAATTACTATTCTGAATTGCATAATCATGAACTAGGTTTGTCAATTTTTTTGCATTTTATAGGAATGGACTCATACATATAGTACGTGTTGTTTTGTGCCTGGATTATTTCGATCAACACAGCACAACTGAGATTTATCCATGTTGTATGTAGCACTGATGCAGGTTATTTCTTCTTGATCACTTTGCAAGCCAGAAACCCCTGGTCAGTGATGCCCTGCCCAGGCCTCACTTAGCCATGCTGGCGTGCCCCAGCTCACCTGTGTTATAGCTTGTACCTGCATTTGGCAGTTCCCGAACTCTTGTACTGTGCCCAAGAAGAATGAGGATATGCTGGACACTGAAGGGTGAGGAGGGCCGAGAAAAATTTTATTGAGTGACAGAACAGCTCTCAGCAGAGACGGGATGCAGCATGGTACGGGAGGGAATCCCCTACCCAAAGATGGGAAAGTCCCCCTCTATGGCTGGATCTGGGGTCTTTTATGGGCTCAGAATGGGGTGTGTGTGTGCTGACTGGTTTGTGAGTATGCAAAAAGGGTTAAAGCGAATAAACCACTCAAAGATGTACATGACAGTGTAGAAAACCAATTAGGAAAGAGTAGGTATATGTAAAATAGGTGAAGGGTGGAGATCAATCAGAGGAAAGAGGAGAAGTTCTCAATTCAGTCCAAGGGTTTAACTTGTAGCTTGATTTTCAGGCTTTAAACTGTCTTTGGCTTGGTGGTGAGGTTTCACTGGGGACCCGCCCCTGTCTGCCTAGGCATTTGGCTGCCTCCTGTCAGTATCAGTAGTGATTTGTTCTTTTTCATTGATGTGCAGTTCTCCATTTTAAGGATGTAACATTGTTTACCTTTCTACTGCTGATGGTTGAGTTGTTTCCAATTTAGAGTTCTTATTAAGAGTGCTGCTTTGAATATGTAGCACTAATCTCACATTACAAATTTCTGTTCACTTTTTAATTTTATGTGTATACTTTAGAGTGGAACAGTGGAGATGCAAGGTATAGCTGACTATAGTCAGCTTGTTAGATACTGCCAGTTTTCCAAGGAGATTATAACAGTTTATGCATCATCATCAGTGTTTGAGAGTTGAAGTTATATTCCTTGCCCTCACCAACACTTTTCATTGTTGGCTATCTAAGCCATGCTTTTGAGTGTAAGATAGTATCTCATTGTTAATCTGCTTTTCCCTGATCATTTGGAATATGCAACAGCTCTTCATATTCTTAAAGGCCATTTGTAATTTCCTCTTTTGTGGAGAGATGTTTTGTCATTAGTCTCCTTTTCTAAAAGGGTCATCTATCATTTTCTTGGTAGATTTTTTTTTTTTTGAATTTTAAAATATTCTGAACATCAGTTATCTTTTAGAAATAAATATTACAAATATCATCTATCTGAAGCTTGGCTTTATATTCTTTAAATCTTTTTTTATAAATAAATGTTATTAAAATTTATTGAAGATGTGGAAACATTGCTACCATGCAGCAGAACTTAATAAAGATTCCTGTAAGAAATTTTATATCTCATTCATCAGTATTTCTGAGGTTTTTGTTTTGTTCTGTTTTTGTTTTTATTTTTTGTTTAACCAATCTGTGCCCATAAATTTCTATAAATCTGTCCTATAAATTCATTTTTCTCTCCTGTTCAAATGCTTAAACATTTTTGTTTTCAGATAATTATTTTATATGTAAGTTAAAATGGCTTATTTGTAATATAAAAATATTTACTGTTTCAAGCCGCAATAAGGAACATGCTTTATTTGCTGAGCTGGCTGATAAGAATGAGGAAATTTGCAAGACTCTGGAGGTCGATGGATAACTGAATTATGTTATAAAAAGAAACCATGAAACAATGAAGGCTGGCTGACAGGTTCTAGAGTTTGAAAAGCTGTAGCTTTAAATGTTGGAGATGCCTGTAGGAAAGAGAAAGTTAGGTGAAAAGGGTGGAACAGAAAGTGCTTAGATTTTTATTAATTTCTGCTGTATGGCTACAGTGAATCTCCCAATAAAGTCTACATTGCAAGCTGTTGCTTCCTAGAATTGTATCTAATTTAGGGGAAAATGTGCAAAAATTTCTGAAGATGATGCATGATGGGCACAAGTAAGTACAAACGTGATCATGAGGACCCCATCACATCTGTGAAATCCACAATTCTAACATATCTACACAGTGCAATTTTCAAGTGCATTTTCAGTTAATTATAGAAAAATCATTTATTATTCTTTATGATATCATACTTTACAACGAAAAGTTAGCCCAATTATTTTAACTGTTTTTTCTCACTTTAATAACATTTATTTAAATTTTCTATGTGCCTTTTATTTCAGAAGTTGATATAGTCTTGCAGCAATATATTTATTAGAATAAATAAAGTGATATCATATTTTCAACATGCTATAATTCTCTAAATTGTGGCCATGTAAGAATTATGCCAGAATATATCCAAACTGGGTTAGTCATTTTTCTCTTTTTGCTACAACAAATTGATGTTATTGTTTAGATTTACATTAATAATAGAGAGAGTAAATTGCCATCTTGTGTTTACAAAGTAGGTTTTGTTTTATTTGACATATTTTAGCCATGCCCTTGGTTTTTCCTCTCACTAACATAATTTGGCTGGGGGAATCTAGTTTTTATTGTTTCCAGAAAAATGAATACTGGTAAGAATTGATAGTAATATTGATAATTGCCTGCCTTAAATGTTGACATGTATTACTGAAAAAAAAAACGAATACTGCACCCTCAGAAGGATACTACTGGTGATATTACTCACATTCAAAAACTGTATTTATTGCCGTATACCACTAGATTTTCTTCTCCTGCTTCATTCTCTGTTTTCTCTCCTGTAGTGTTAGAAAGTAATAAAATTCACTAGACTACTATTCTTGACAAACCAATCCTGCCCTGACAAAAGAAAGACCTTAGAATAAAACCAATCCTGCCCTGACAAAAGAAAGACATTAGAATAAAATTTCTATAAAAAGAATTTCAAGACTTCTACAATTTTGACTGCATGCAAAATTCACGTAACATTTACATTCACAAAGGTTGTCCACGTTGTTATTATCATGGGTGAGAACTAATCTAATTAGAAAGAGTGCCAATGCCCCTGCAGGTGGAGAAGGGGTAAGATGATTGACACAGAGATTTTGAGTGTCAAAAGTAGAGTGCTGATGTAATACTTTGTTTAGACTTTCAACAAAGGTTTTCAAAATCAAGAACTTTAGATGTTGTTAACTCAGACATTTTGTAAAATGACAGATAACTTATTCTGTGTGGGATCTTCTAACCAAAAAATTAATTTTTGCCTTTGGCTGGCTGTCAAGGGCTGATTAGGTAGTATAGAAGTTGAATAATAAAGGAGTTATTTTTTAAATAGAGGAATTTTTGTCTACCACGTTCCAGCAGGAAAAAGAAAAAGAGGACAGGCACGGTGGCTCACGCCTGTAATCCCAGCACTTTGGGAGGCCGAGGTGGGTGGATCATGAGGTCAGGAGTTCAAGAACAGCCTGTCCAGCATTGTGAAACCCCGTCTCTACTAAAAATACAAAAACCAAAAAAATTAGCCAGGCATGGTGGCGCATGCCTGTAATCCCAGCTACTCAGGAGGCTGAGGCAGGAAAATTGCTTGAATCTGGAAGGCGGTGGTTGCAGTGAGCTGAGATGCTGTCAGTGACTCCCAGGATGGAGTCACTGCATTCCAGCCTGGGCGACACAGCAAGACTCCCTCTCAAAAAAAAAAAAAAGAAAAGAAAAAGAAAATTCTACCCTATTGCAAGTGGGATTAAGGATTTTTTTTTTCCTAATGGATTACACAGGAAATCAGGCACAATGCTCTATAAACATGTAGGAAATGTGTTTTGAGCACCTCTATTATACAGTATGAACCGAGGACTTCAGGGAAATTCTTTATACATGCTGCCTTCCATGTGTCTATGGAAAAAAAAAAAAAAAAACCACAACCTAAAATTCCTGATAAGCATTGGTATCTCCTGTTGGAAAAGTTATTCTGCATTCAAGGAAGATGGCTTCAAGATTTTTTTACTTCTTCCATTAGCCTGGAGACAATGATTAGGTGACAATTATCTTTGTTCTTATTTCTCCTCAATTTCCTTATAAATTGGTGTGTAAGTTCAGCAAGCTTATTATTATTAATACTTGTTCTGTATATTTTACTGAATTATGGGAAATGTGTCACATAAGAGCAATATGCAGTGTGCACAGTTCTGCTGAATGTTTTTCCTGCCATCTGTCTCGATTCTTGTCTTTGCTTCTCCTACCTTGCTCTAATAATCAAGCAAATAAAGCAAACAGAGAAAGCAGCAGCAAACTCGGTAGTTTTTCTTTCATCCTCTTGTTGATAATGTTTATTTTGACATCAAATATCGTCAACACTAATACAGATTACTAGGAGGCAGTATGTTGTGCTGTGGGGGTAGAGGGCTTTGTAGCCAAGGGTTTGAATCCTGGCTTTGCCACTTACTCAGAAAAGTGGAATTAGACAAGTCATGTACTTCTCTGTGACTTAGTTTCCCTTATATAAGATAATGATAATAATACTTAGCGTAAGGTGCTGTGTAATTAGAGATAATGTTCTTAGAACATAGCAGGCATGATTTAAATGATAGCTAGAAATCAAAAGAAAAATCTACAATCTCTTTCCTTAAGTAGCTTGGTATATAATGGGAGATATATGGAACAAAGAAAATAATTCAATATATTAGTATATAATTTTTCCAAATGATTAATCAGGATAATCAGTGCTAGAGAATTTTAGAAGCCAAGTGAAAGATTCAGTACCATTCATAAACTAGTGCCCTTTTCTCAGCCAAAAGCACCACAGTGAAATCATTGTCTTAGGCAGTTCCCCTTAACAGCAGTTGCTGCAATACACCAGGAGTGGCTATTGGAGGTTAGAAAGCTATTGCAAAAATTTAACAACAAGCTGGAATTGTACAGACAGATAATGCTGTTCACATTGGAATTAAAAGCACTTAAGGACTGAAGGGAGCAAGCAGCACAAATAGGTAATTCGCTCACCAAATGCTAAACAGAGATAAGCATAATGTTTTTCCATAGATAGATAGGTAGCATCATTGATTTGAAATAAATTAAATTGCATTGAGCTGCTTATTAATCCAGAGAAAACCAATTGGAGCTATGAATAAGAATCTTTCCAAATTATTTCCCTAGCCACTTCACACCCTGGTGCTAGTGTTGAATTTAATAAAACAGGACCAAAGAAGCTGTGGCAATTGAAGCCTGTAGCTTAGCTGCAGAGCTGAGAAAGGGTATACGCAGCTTTATCCAGGCTGTTTCACAAAGGATATATAATATCCACAGAAAGAACCTCAGGATTTGCTCCCTTCTAACACCCTAGCCCTCCCCCGACTCAAGGCCTCCTACATTCACAGATATAGAAAAGATATATATTCTAATGCCCAACAGAGTAAAAATAATAGCTGTATTATTCTATATTTGCATAATACTTTATAATTATCAAAGTGCAGTGATACATATTTTCAGTAAGTTTCTATTGGCTCTTTCCTATATTTCCAAATATATACTTTAAATATGTATTTCATTTTCTCAAAAGTTGCAATCTCTGTGTATTAAATTGAAAAAAGAGGCCAGGTGCAGTGGCTCACACCTGTAATCCCAGCACTTTGGGAGGCTGAGGTGGGCGGATCACCTGAGGTCGAGAGTTCGAGACCAGCCTGACCAACAGGGAGAAACCCTGTCTCTACTAAAAATACAAAATTACTTGGGCATGGTGGTGCATGCCTGTAATCCCAGCTACTTGGGAGGCTGAGGCAGGTGTATCGCTTGAATCCGGGAGGCGGAGGTTGCAGTGAGCCGAGCTCACCCCATTGCACTCCAGCCTGGGCAACAAGAGTGAAAAAAAAAAAAAGGAAAAAGAATTTTAAGAATGTCTCTATTGTCAAATCATTTTAGATGAATGATGGGAATACAAAAAAGGTGGTCAGAATAATTCTATCTTTTGGAAATATTTTGTTTAAAGAACCAAAATGAAGTATTTGACATAGAGCCTTGAAGGTTCCGGGCAATAAGAAAAAACAGGAAATATGTCCTCAGTTCAGCCTCTTGAGTGCATCAGTTTAGTATTAATATGGTTATATAAGTCTTCACAGAAAGGGATTGGAGTTTCCAGAACTCTAAACTCAAACATTCAGAATAAAAAGTATTATCTGGGTATTAAAAGTGACCCTTACATGGTGTGTTCGAGGTCATATGCCCAAGTCAGCAAATGTGAACTGCTCATTATCAACTCTAATAAATATGAGCCCTGCAAGTCACAGTTTCTATCCCCCAGCAGTCCTGACAAGGAGATAAATAATTGTAAATCAAATGTGGATTTTTCACTTCTTCTATTATAAGAAATCAGTGGTAAAACATAATAGGCCCCAAACAAGTTAACTAGTAGGATAGCCTTTTAGTGTATGTGTGGCAGAGGATGTCAGCGAAGTAAAAGCATCAAAACATATAGTATAGATAGAAAGTTCAGAGATAAAAAGCTCTGAAAATCAATTTTTAAGTCCCTTAAAAGCATGCACATTCCAAAGCAATGATTTTTGAACATTCAGTTAATACTATGTTTTCTGAGAATTTAAGCTTCCTATTGGGGAGGGCACAGAAATAATTAATTAGAGACTAGTCATGCAATCTCCATCTTTTGTTCTGTTCAAATAAGTAAATTTACTTTAAAGTTTACGTGAGACGATGTTCAAGAATATTTTAATATGACAATATCATAATAATGCGTAACATATTATTAAAATGTGAATGCTGTCTAATGTACCCATTTTTCATATGTCGAGCAAGATCATAGCAGAATCTGGAAATTTTAAAGTACCAATTTACCAAGTAAATCTTGTCATATTTAATGTAAGAGTTAACGGTTACCTTTTACTTCAAAATGAAAAATCATGAACAAATATAAAACTGGATATGACACCGTATCAGTAAGCATAATCCAAGACTCTCTTTAAAAAAAAAACCCAAGAAATATCGGCACTCTGTGTAACAGTAAAGTCAGAGAATATGGTTTTAGGAAATCCAAAGGAAGAGAGAGTTGTGAGAAACAGTATTTATTAACTGTGTCAAATGTTTCTGGGAGCTTAGTTTAGAGGAAGCCTGTCAAGTGCCCATTTGGTTTAGCATCATGAAGTTCAAGGAAGGGCTTGATTAGAACGTGTTGATGTGAATTATGGAATGAGAGGGAGCTAATGAAATGTAGATATTACAGGTAGTATATCAATAAGATTGGCTATAAATGGGAAGATATGGAGTAGTAATTGGTAGACTATATGGATGGTAGGAGGGGCTTAAAAAGATGGATAAGACTTGAGTACGTTTACATATTTGTAATAATGAGTCAAAAGAAGAGGAGAGGTTGATAATAAAAATAGAGGTTGAGAAAAATCAACAAAACAGGAAAAGAGCTCCAGAGAACCGGCATATATGTGAAGCTGATGTGATACTCAATTGTAAATACTCTGTAAAGAATACATTTATACATGTGTGAAGCAAGCTAAAGTGAATGAGAAACAACAGAAAAGAAAACTTATTAAGAGGGGATAAAATAATAAGTTATGAAGGCAAACCTTCAGTAATTTGAAGGGAATTTCATTACAAAATGCATTAAATAAATGAAAAGTTGATCATCGTAGTAATGGGTTTTAAGTTTTATGAAATGCTGCTATAATTAGGTTAGAATTTTCAAGTGGAATTTAAGTGATCATTGTTGGAGATGCAAAATATTCATGGAACCTGTAACCAAGATGTTATTAAAGTGTTCAGATAAATACAATTCTGGCACAAAATAATAAGCTTTCATTTATAATTCTGAATCTCTATAAAATTTGCACCCAAGTATTTTTATAGAATCTAATATTCTAACAATTTTTACAGTTTCTGAATGAGAACTTTTGAAAGTCAATTTAGCTTGAATTTGTTTTATATTTGAAAACCCATAAAACTGGATATATAGATATGAAATGAAAAAATAATCTGTTTAAAAACTTTAATTTCATTCTGTCATTACTTCATCTTTTATACAGCAGTGTAACTCCACAAAGGTTTATTTTATTGTCTACAGTTGACTGTGTCATTCTGTCTGTCCATTACTTATGCCTACTACTGAAGTCAATATGTTTATATGCCACAGCAGATAAAGGCAAGGTTTCTTTATTATTAAGGTACATAATGTGATGACTCTAGTGAAAACCTAAAAACAAAAAAATCCTCTATATTCCATTTTAGAAATGTGACATATTAGACAGGCATGGTGGCAAATGCCTGCCTGTGCTGGGGCAGGAGAATTGCTTGAACCTGGGAAGCCAAGGTTGCAGTGAGCTGATTGAGCCACTGCACTCCAGCCTGGGTGATGGAGACAGACCCTGTCTTAAAAAAAAAAAAAAAAAAAAGAATTGTGACTTTCTCATTGTGTAACAATACAAACACTAGTCCATGTCTTTTCTTCAAGTGAAACTGAATGAGATACAACTTTCAGTACATTAACAAGAGAAAAAATTTCATAGACTAGCCATCCGATTCTCCATGACTATTGGTGATACATTCTATTTAAAGGCATTATTTACCTAATATGTCCAAACATTTTTAATGAAAGAGTTTACTTCCCTTTAGATAGAATCACAATAATTTAACTTATGTTTATACTTATATAGATATAACCATAAAATATGGTTCACTTCATAGTTGTGAAAAACATTGTGCACAGAAACTAATATTTTTCTAATGCAGTGAAATAACGGACGTGAAAGATACTATATCTGCACACATATTAAGAATAAAGATGGCTTTTGAATTTATACATGTCTTTTAATTAAACTGAAATATTTTAATGTGTTATTTCAGTTTAATTACTAAAAATAACTCCAAAAAAATGACAAAAACTAAAGGAGAATAATTTTTCTTTGTTTTAGGCCTTTTCTTATATACTAATTATCCATGTGCGCAGCAAGCTCTTTGTAAACTGTAAAGCCCTATGCAAATATATTTTTATTGATTTTTCTAGATCACTAGAGTGATTCTATTTATCAAAACTTGTGACAATTAGGAGAGCAAACATAAAAGAAGGGTTTTATAAAACTGTAAAATTTTATTTTGATTTGTCATAAAGTTTTATAATGATACACCTACACATCCCAGCCCCAAAGTCTTTTTGTGAGCAAATATGTCTTTAAAATTAAAGTAGAATATTCTAATAAAAATGCTAATTAACCAACGTGATGGTTTTATTATCCTTATAATAGACTAGGTGCTATGTAACATATGAATTGTAGCTGATCCTTTTTTGGTTCAAAAACATTTAATTTGGTTTTGAAAATCCTAATTACAGAATGACTCAGTGACTTAGCACAGAGCTAAATAATTGCTTTTGTAGTGAAACAAAACAAATATTCTCAAAGCATATTTTTGTTTGTCAGTGCTGACTTTTCACACAATAAAGGTAAAGGCAAAAAAGTAACTCGAAAGATAGTATAACTTGTGTTACAGAATAATTAATTCTTCCATTCTACACTATATTAAGAGAAATGTCCTATCTTAGATGAACTCGAGTGTGGAGTATACAGGAAAATTAATTGGTATAGAGGAGAACATCTATCCTAAGAGGAGATGAGGAATGAAGGGTGCTTGTGAACCGAAAGTGACTGGGAATGGTGATGGCTTCCAAAGGGCAGAGCTTGTCAACAGGAATTTCTGGTCCATAGCAATCTTTACACACCAGGCAAGGGTCATTTTGTGGCTCCTAGGGCCATCTAATTCCCTGCAGCACAAAGAGCTGCTGGTGTCAGGGATCAGGAGCCACTCTAGGAGAATAGAACTGAAAATACTAGACAAAGTGTCTGGATACCAGCCATGTGGTTAGAGTTTCAGGAAAGAACTCCACCTATAAAGAAAATTTGAGAGTACAACAAAGAACTGGAGTAGAAAAGACAGAATTTGGGGAGAAGGATGAAGCTCAGAGAGCTCTATGATATTTGGAAATCTCTTCAAAGTACTAGCTTCAAAATATGCCTTGATAAGCTTGATTCCAGAGTCTACATTGCTGATTTCCCACATATTTCACTGCAGGAAGTGAAATATACAATGCCTATAACTGAGTTGTGAAAAGTTTTCAAAAACTTTTAAAAAAACAGAAATAATTGTACAAAATCTGTACTCCAACCAGAGTGTGTGTGAATATTTATATGCATATATTTTTAATATGTAATAAAATATATAAAAATATAAATAGAATCATGTAAAGTATAAAATCAACAACATAGGGGGTTGAGATCTGTTGGTTCAGAGAGGAAATCAACATCAAAATGAGCAAATCTCTATAAAATAATAACCAAAGTCAAAAATCCATGTAGATTTCTGCTCTGGTCAAGATGAAGTTATGAGACTAGATGTACCTTCCCACCCTAACCACTAAAAAATAAACATACAAAATCTATAAAACAATGGTATTCAAAACACTGGACATTAATCAAGGAAGCACAAAGATCCCTAAAAGTTGTGAGATAAATAAGATACGTTCTTCCCCAACTTATTGCCTTGATAGAGTTTTTGCGCTGTGCTGCACAAAGACAGGGTACTAAGTAGAGCCTGGCATGTTCCCTAAGTTGAGGTGGATGGAGTCCGGCAGGTCAGACACCCGACAGGAGAGGGTTCTACGGTGGATTCCCCTGGAGTATTCAAGAGAATACTCATCAGCACATGCCTACAAGAAAACTACTGGGAAAAGCTGGGAAAAGAACTACACAAAATGATGGGTAGGTTTTTGATAAGCGTGACATAAAATACAGGAACCCTCAAGTAAAGACTGATAAATATATTTACATAACAACTTAAAATACTCTGGAAAAAGGCAAAAGGCAAATAACAAACAAATAAAAATATATGCAATACATAAGACAGATGAGGGTCAGCTTCCTTATTATGCCAAAACTCTCATACAAATTAAGAAAGAGACTAATAACTCGATGGAAAAATTCAAACACTGTAAAACAGATATATGTGTAAAAATGACTATTTCGGGATTGTTTATAACTGAAAATGTTCTATATCCTAGCAAGAATGGAGGCATTATTTTGTTACATATATGTTTTGTTTCTATACTATTTTGACCAATCAGAACTGAATAAGTTTGAATCCTTCATTTGCATAAATCCCAAATATATATTGAAATTTATGCAAATAATGATTTGCATAAATAATACTCCAATATATTCTATCCAGAACAAAGTCATTAAATATATTTAATGTGTTACACAAAATAGATTTAATGGCTTTGTTCTTGATACAATATATTGGGATATCATTTAATATATAGAAAGAATATGGGAAATCCATACATCTTAATATGGGCAGAAGAACAAGACAGGTTATTGTGCAAATAAGTCAGAATTGTAGAATAATAATATAATATGATCCTACTTTTATAAAATTAAAAAAATACATTATATGTTTATGTAATACAAAAAGAAAATAAAGTGATACAAGTCTGTGAAAAGACTTATCTAATGATTAACATAAGAAAATGACATGCCAATAACCAATAAATCTATGAATATATAGTTATGTTAAATGACACATTGAAAAAAGTTGAAAACATCAGTGTGGACAACTGCTAAGTAAAACAGAAACTCTCAAATATTTGGTTTTAATATAACAAGATTGAACACCTTTGGTAATCGATAAGGCAGCAAATATTGAAACTATTTCTTTTTTTTTTTCTTTTTCTTTTTTTGAGACGGAGTCTCACTCTGTCACCCAGGCTGGCATGCAGTGGTGTGATCTCAGCTCACTGCAACCTCTGCCTCCCAGGTTCAGGCGATTCTCCTGCCTCAGCCTCCCAAGTAGCTGGGACTACAGGCCTGCACCACCATGCCCGGCTAATTTTGTATCTTTTAGCAAGAGACAGGATTTCACCATATTGGCCAGGCTGGGTTTTGAACTCCTGACCTCAAGTGATCTGCCCTCCTCAGCCTCCCAAAGTGCTGGGATTACAGGCGTGAGCCACTGCACCCAGTCGAAACTATTTTTTTTTAACTAGAAATCCTGCTTGTAGAAATCTATTACATAGACAAGTGAGGAAGAACAGATGCATACAGGTAGCCAGTACTTACAATAGTCAAACTAATGTGAAATAAAACTGTAAAATAAGACCCAAACCTCCCCAGATCAGAGAGACTCCCTGTGGCTAATAAAGATGCTCTAAATTTAAAAGCATAAACAGGTAGCAGAGCAGGAAGAGATAGAGTCCTGGCATATACTTGGGTTCCTAGCAAAAGCGGCTCTTGACAAACATTCTGCTTTACCTTGCAGAGTCAGAAGAGTTCTTGTAACCAGAGACAAGATAAACTCAGGCCAGAAACACACCTCACTGACCATTTGAAATAAGTACCTGACAGAAACTTCTGGTTTGGGGCTTAGAAACAACTCAATTAGGGCTTAACTATTTTGACCAATCAGAATTGAAAGGTTTGAATCCTTCATTTGCATAAATGAACCTGGTAAAGTACTTAGGTGAGAACTTTTCCTATTTAAGCCAGATCCTTTCTTTGTTCATTTACATTTTCACTTGTGCTGAAGGCTCTGTCTCCCCAGTCTGCAGATTTTTTTTTAATGGAAAATAAAGCTCTCCCTTTTCCTTCCACAGATCTCATGGACCTTTGTTAACACCAAAAACAAGTTAATGACCATTCATAAGAAACTACTTTAAAAATTAAGGTTTTAAAATATAATTAATATTCTTCAAGTTTTTAAAAAGATGTGGTATAAGGAGAATTTTTTGATGTCAGTTTGCCTCTCCAGATCCACTCCCGTCTCTCTCCACCAAGTTTTGTGCTACCTAGACTTGTAAATAAGATTTCTTGACCTCTGGACCCATAAGTTTTCTTGACCTCTGCCCTCTTGTTGAGTGGAAGAGGAAGATGAGCTAGGGTTCTCTGCTCTCCCCACTCCCTGCTGGGCCACTAAGGTTAGAGTGGGCAGATGATTTTCATTTCCTGTAAAACAGGCCTATCTACACAATTCTCTCTGATGTCAAGGAACGCTACACATTAAGCCATTGTTTTTTAAAATCCAATACATTACCTTCAAAATAAAATATGTGTCCATATCTATTTCTATGTATCTATCTTCTATTATGCATATGAATATACCTATCTATATCTCATTAAATTTCAATTCATTTATTTATATACATATAACTAAAATAGTATATACATTTACAACTATTTTTAGTTGAATTTCGTACATAAATAATATAACTCTTCCTTGTAGCTAATGAGCAATGTCAAAAGTCTGAAACTTATATCATCAAATAAAATTACTAAATGTGCTTTATGTTTAGAAAATATAAGGTTTTGGTATTTTTAAACTGTTTATTTTCTTATGAATATGAAGAAAGATTTCTCTGTATTTGTGAGAAATGTTTTTCTTTTGTGCTATCAGACTGAAGTGATAAGTTTTACTTGGGAAGCTACTATTTTACATGTGTTAAATGAAAGAGTATATTTTATTTATTTCTATTTTACTTAGGAAGCTCCAATATTGTTTAATATAAGTAGTTGATATTCTGAAACCCTCTCACTTATTATTTCTACCCCAAGATTAGCGGCTCCTTTAAAATACTGGAATATGCTTTGAACGAAGGACATAACACAAATTAATAGAATCTCTGACTAACGCATAAAAAACTTCTTCTAATGTAACCATGGTTTTATCATTGAACATTTCTATTGTTAGTTCCCTATTCTAGTGGGGAAAGGCAAAACAGCAGGACTTTTTGATATCAAGATAATTTGAATGTGAAATGATAGAATATAATACAAAACGAAGATAGCTGAACTTTATGTGAGTATGGGTTTAAAAATATTTTTTTTATTTACAAAAGGTAATATAGATTCCTATACCAAAGCAATACCTCTAATTTGAAGCATTGTTTATTTTGAAGAATGAATTACATGATGACACATTAGGGCAAACTGTCAGTACTGGTGCTTAAATATTGTGATTACAACTATTACAACTATTATTGCTAGTCAGGGGCAGAGATCACTTCGCTTGAATTCCTTGATGATAATTTATTGCTAAAATGCGGTATAAAAGGGATAGCTACAATCAATGGACCTGTAATTTATATATCTGTGATAGATATTTAA
This sequence comes from Homo sapiens, assembly GCF_000001405.40. Lineage (NCBI taxonomy): Eukaryota > Metazoa > Chordata > Mammalia > Primates > Hominidae > Homo > Homo sapiens. The sequence continues at coordinate 81,781,762 of NC_000012.12, read as the reverse complement.
GGTTAGAATATTTATTGTTAAAATAATATGGTCCCTAAAATGTGGTATAAAAAGGATAGCTGCAATCAATGGACCTGCAATTTATATATCTGTGGTAGATATTGTCAGGTTGCTATGTACAAAGACAATAAAGAAGGCAAACCAATGGGAAAAATATCAAAGATTCAAGCTGAATCAAAAGCAAGGATATTTTACAATAAGGTTTTATTAAGATAAGCTTTAACATTAATAAATGTTAAATTAATAAATTTTACCAAGGGTAAAGTTTGGTTTTCTCTCTTTTTTTATTTCTAACATGTTTATTTTAAAGTCCTTTGAAAAGGTTTCATAAGACATGGTAAAAAGTGAAGCAGCAAGATAACATTTGTGTTGTAGTTTTCATAACTTAATTTGCTCTTTGCAAGCTAAATGTTCTCACAAATTCTTGTCATTTGGGTAATGTTTATATTAAACATTTCATACCAATTAGCTTTTAAGCAAAACCTTTTCCTAGATCATCTATATTTTCTTATTTTTTTTCTTTTGACATTTATTTTAAGTTTGGGGTAGGTGTGCAGATTTTTCATGTGGGTAAATTGTGTGTCTCTGAGATTGTGTGTCTCTGAGGCACATGAATAATCCTGTCACCCCAGTAGTGAGCATAGTACCTGATAGGTGGTTTTTCAACCCATGCCTTGTTCCACCCTCCCCACTCAAGTAGTTCCCAGTGTCTGTTGTTTCCATCTTGGTGTCTATGTGTATTCAGTGTTTAGCTCCCACGTATGAGTGAGAAGATAACAGTATTTGGTTTTCTGTTCCTGTGTTAGTTCACTTAAAATAAGGGCCTTCAGCTGTATCCATGTCACTGCGAAAGACATAATTTCATTGCTTTTTATGGCTGCATAGTATTTCATGGTGTATATGTGCCAAGTTTTCTGTATCCAGTTCACCGTTGATGGGCATCTAGGTTGATTCCATGTCTTTGCTATTGTGCATAGTGCAGCAGCAAACATATCAGCACATGTGTCTTTTTGTTAGAATGATGTATTTTCCTTTGGATATATACTCAGCAATGGGATTCCTGGGTAGAATGGTAGTTCTAAGTTTTTTTTGAGGAATCTCCACATTGCTTTCCACAGTGACCAAACTAATTTACACTCCCACCAGCAGTGTGTGTGTTCCCTTTCCTCTGCAACCTCACAGGCATTTGCTATTTTTTAAACTTTTTGTTAGTAGCCATTCTGACTGGTATATGATATCTCATTGTAGTTTTCATTTGCATTTCTCTAATAATTACTGATGATGTTTTTTTTCATGTATTTGTTGGCCATATAAATGTCTTCTTTTAGGAAGTATCTGTTCATGTCCTTTGCCCATGTTTAGTGGGGTTGTTTTTTGTTTGTTGAACTAAGTTCCTTATAGATTCTGGATATTAGATCTCTGTCAGATGCATAGTTTGTGGATATTTTCTCCCATTCCGTAGGTTATCTGTTTACTCTGCTGAGTTTTTTTTTTTTTTCTGTGCAGAGCTCTTTAGTTTATTTAAGTCCTACTTGTCAAGTTTGGTTTGTGTAATAGCAGGGAAATTATAAAGCGTATTCCAGGTTCACATGCAGTTACCTTTCTTGTAGTTGGAAGAAAATAAATGTTCTAAAAAGGAGTAAAATAACAAGGGACATTGGCTCCATTAGTAAATAACATTTAACAATATTATATGATGGTGAAGTTAAATTGTACATCATTTATATTGATGAATAAAAATGTGACATAATAGATTAAATCAATTGTTGTAATGTGAAGTCTAAACTTAAAACCCTCCAGAGCAAAATCTTCAAAGATCATAACTTAATCTTTCTTTTACCTGCCAAACAAATGGTGATGTACACAAGCAGAAAATGCTCTTTTTCTCAACAATTTTTCCATTAGTCTCAAAATTATATTCAAATACAAAAAAGCTATCACCTTACTCTCAAAATGCCACATCAGAGTTCCCAGGTAAAATGTATTAGATTTTTAAAAATCGTGTATACATTCTATAAACTGGAATATGATAATGATGATCTAATCATAATACAGCCTGGTGAATAACTTCTTGAAATAGATCCCAACATGACATTTGAAAATTTCCGTAATATATTTTGAGCTATTATAGATTTTTCGTATCAATTTTTTATTATCTAATCTTGGAAAGTGTTTCTTAGTTAATCATAGATGATTCTAAGCCACCATATGAAAATAAAAGTAATTTAATAGTATGACCTTCTTATTAATAAGAATCTTTTTTTTAGTTCACAATGGTATTACAAATGGTATCAATTCATGTTAGGCAAGAATTGGCATTACAATGAAGTTCATATAATGGTTTGAAATTCCTTACATGTGAGTAATTATTTGCACATGAAGGAAATAGAAACTTACAAATGTGTTTCTACCTCCATCCACCATACCTTCTATTACCACTTCCCTGATAATACTTGAAATTGTATGAAGACAATAAATTTAGCTAGTTTTATTTTCATCCACAAAACCATAGATATGTATACTATCTACATAAATATATGTATACAATTATTTGTAATCTAGGATACAAAGATAAGCAAATAAGTTTTTAAAATCATGTGGGTTTTTTTTTTGCATTTTTAAGTTATTTTTTTAGAATCACTTTACTCTTATTTCAAGGATCTGAATGTAAAAATGTATTGGTAGCACTCAATTTAAAGGTGCCATTTAATATGACGACATTTTAATGCATTTTCCTTTTACAATAATTAAATTGTAAAGTGCATGGCCAGGATGGCTTCTGATATGAAAAATTTGCACTACAGTGATATCATTTAAGAATTGATTTATCTTAGAAAACTGACAGCATAATGAATATAATGTCATTAACCTTGAAACCAAGACTTATAAACAGCCACAGTTGACGAGGGACAAAGGTCACCATCTGAAGGTTAACCTCAATATCTTGAGCTAATTTCTAAAGGACAAACTACTTCATCTAACACTAAATCTCTAATTATTACAAAATGATAACTGCAAGTTAGTCTAAACTAAATCAACTTGTCCATCTGTAAAGCTCTTTTGTCCTTTAAGAAGTAATTGACAAAGAAAGATAATACTGGATTGTTCTTGTTGATGTCCATAAACGTTTACAGCCTGTTAAGCTAGTGGTATTTTGTTAATCTTAGCCAGATTTGCTCATGGGGTCAGTCTTTCCTAAAACGTGCCCTTTCTTCACCAAGTATATGTTTTTATTAAAGTTTCTCAAATAGATGACATCATTGCAACCCAGGATCCTCAAAATAGTTTTCCCACTTAAATAACTTAGTGTCTCCTGGTGACAGAAAGCATTAAAAATTGAGTCTTTTGAAGGACTTTTAGGCAGAAGTACTGACGGCAATTTACACGACTAAAACACAATTCCAGTAAAAGACAAGAAAATAAAAAAAGTATGCATATTACTTAGGAAGCTTTTCAAGTAATGTGAGTTTATAAGATAACATACAGCAAGATTTAACTTTTCCAAATATAAATGTACATGTAGGAAATAACAACTCTTATTCTTATGAATATAAACTGTAGAGAGAGGTGGAGGAAGACAGGGAGAGATGCATAGATGGATAGGTAGAAAGATATTATACTAAAACAACAATTGTTTAAACCTGGAGTGATTGGGTCTGAACATTTTATGAAGATGGTAATTGATAAATGGGAGCTATCATTCTTTAGCTGCATGCTGATTTTACAATGTTATGACAGTGCTCATTTTATTAGTCATAGTTTCAATTATTTGTCCAATTTTTAAACGTGCTTCATCCTCTATATACGGTCTGAATTTAAAGGACATTCATATGGAATATTATAATTTATTTGTTATAATTAGAACATTTGATATAAAACTAGGACATTTGATTTGATTTCTTGTGTTCTAACTTATGAAAATTAGAACATGTGATAGAACATTTGATATATAACACTTCTTACAGAAATATTGTTTATTCTTATGGTAAGAATGATAAATTAAATTAAATTATATTTTTCCATATTAGAAAAAGAAACTCCTAGTTCTATTCCTAATACAATTTTAATATTCAGTTTTTGATGATATGAGCCCAAATATTCCAATTATCTTAGAGAAATTTGCTTATCTTTCTGTAACATGACTTTTGTATAAAAATTTAATCACATTTAACCTAAAAATAGTATCTTGTGAGGTAATCATTTTTGGTAGCCCATGTTTTACTTAAGATTTTGAAAATGGTCCTTTCTAAGGACCTTCAAAATCCCAATACCTGGAGATAAAAATATTTTCTCATAACCATTATCTTTGATGGTATGAGATGTTGGCTGAAGACTATTATAATATTCCATCAAATAAATGACAACTTGGTGAACTAGGATAAACAAATAAACAAATAATACCCTGAGGTAGAGAAAAGCAGTCATGAAAAGTTATTCAAGTGAACAACTTGTCTTTGCATATTTATCTCTAATATCAATATTTTATTATTCTTTTTCTTGACTAAGTCTGTTTTGTCAACTACTCTATTGCATTATTAGAGCACTGTTTCATCACGTACAATTTCCTATCTTTTAAAGTAAAACTAATACCTCAGAACAACTGAAGTACATATTGCTTATATCTACAGGTAAGGTGCTCATCTGAATTAAATGATTATTACAATAATTGCTTAAAGAAAATATACCATATTAATTGCTGTATATTCTGTGTCCAGCACAATAAATATTTGTTGAATGAAGTAATTTTTGTTTTAAATAGATGACAATTTTCCATATATCTAAACAATATATAGCCATAAATCAATTATATTAATATTTTGCCATGTGTTTTATGCTTTTTAAAAGAGCTTTCATATAGCTTTGTGAGAAAATCAATATTACCTGAGGAAATAATTTAAGCTGGTATTGCCTTCTCACAAGTTGTTTTAGCTTCCTACCATGGGATTTAGGTATGAAGTGCAAAAAGGGTAATTGTAATGTGTTTTCTCCCAAAATGAACATATAAAGCATTCTTATACTTACTTTAAAAATCTCCCCTAAGCAAACACTTAAATCCTGATAAACAGGCAGTGAGGATAACTGTATTAGAAAGCACTTATGAATGTATTAATAAACTAAATTTTTAGCTTAGTTTATATGTTGGCAGCTTAAATGTTAACAAAAATTCTATATAATTTAGTTATGTATTTTCTGTATGAAACTGCATAATTGAGAGGTTAGAGGAAGGTATGTTTATCCATCAAGACCATCCCTGACTTTCATCTACTTATACAAATTAGCTTTACAATGACCTCTAATTTTTATCTCTGCTGCAAATATGAGGTTTTGCCTGGTTTCTCGGGTCTGAAATTACTGATGCTAATAATAGTTGGCATTTATTAAGCCTTGTATATGAATGATCTCCTTTAATCCTACATCCATAGATGTGGATATCATTTTATCCCTATTTTACACATAATGATATGGGTGATACAGAAAGGTTTAATAATTTGCTTAAAGTCAGCTAGCATGTGATGTGGCAGAGACAGGGTTTGAAAACAGGCAGTCTGCTTAGATGATGCTTTCAGTACTATGTTCTATTCTTTTCATACCCTGCCAGAAATGTTTAAGGCAGGTATCATATCTTGTTCTTGTACCCCTTCATGGGCTGGAATCCTGTTTCTGTCTATAGCTGAGTAAACCTCACATGCTGTCAGGCAACCCAGCCTGCAGCCCCCTACTTGCCTGCTTAAGTCTCACATATTATGTGTGGACATGACGATTCAAATGCTCTTCTTGCTGACATATTTATGTATAATTTACAATTATACCTCACTGGTGCATCTTCCTATGTTTCCTGTCCCAAGAGCCTCTTTATATCCCAACCTCCTTGTACACTTACTGAATTGCTCCAAGATTAGTAAAGAAGGTTAAATGGCTTATGCAATAATATGGCTTGAGATATTGAGTCCCAGTAGGATAAAAAGGAAAATATTGAGAAATATTTTGTAGTTAAAATTCAACAAATCTTACCATCATACTAGTTATAGGGTCAAAATTTATAATTAAGTGGGGATTACAAAATTATGAATTTTAGTTACTCGGAGGATGAAAATGGCATACAGAAGGACACCTGGAAGGAGTTAAGGATAAAAAATTACAAAAACTCCATAACTTTGGTTTTAAATACATTGACTTTGATGCAAACGAGAAACATACAAAGAGAGATCTTGTGGTATCCCTATGTCTACAAGTTTATTATTTCATTATACATGGTATTTTGATTTTTTCTTTTAATTTTTGAATATCTTCTACAGTAGGAATTCAATAAGTTGCATTAAGAGGTAGATAATAGGTGTTCAGGAAGTTCATTGTAAATTGAATTGTAATGATCAGCCTAAGGCGTAGATTGATATCGAATTTTGCCAATTTCAAGGCCAAATCATCTCAAATTAAATGTGCTATGCTCAATTGTTAATATTTTTTTAAATCAACCGTTGCCACTAAGGCAAAACCTGATTTGCAGATATATTCAATTAATCTCAAGATGTTCTGTAATAAATTAAAAAATACTCAATAAATTTTATTTGTGCCCTTAATAACTTTGAAGTAAAATTAAAAATCAGTCCAAAAGTTTCTGATTAATAATGCTTAAGCTTTAATTGCAGGTAACTTTAAGGTGTTTTAATAAGGTATCTTATTATACAATCCTTTTCACAAGGCATTTTGAAAGAAGAGATTATGAGATTTATTCCTGATAAATTTGTTTAGGAAAAGTTATATTGTTAATACCTGTGACATCTAAAATATTTGATGAATTAATAAATTTATATTTTTAGAAAGCAAAAAAACATGTTTCTCTTTGTTTCTCTGCACTTTTTGTCTGCTTTCTGAATTATTTAATTAGAACACTGAAATCTAATTGGACAGAAATTAATCTTTAAAATCGACTGCCTTCATTCAAACCCTAGTCACAGGGCAGCAAATAAATAAACTGAAAAAAATATTTTAAAATGGACTTTCTGGTTCTACAAGAGCTAGAAGTCATTAATAAAATTTTGTGTCTACAAAATTTCAGAATAATTTTCCAAGTTATTTGCTTGTCAACCATTAAATGTAGAAGTATCTTAATATAAAGCCATGCATGACTGTAAATAAATCCAACAGGAGCATAAAAACAGTTTAATAAAGGTGTATTTTGCATTTAAGCTTCTTCATGATGTAATAGGAACAGAGGCAACGTGAAGCGAATTTTTAAAGTACAATATTTGTGAAATGTTTCTGGGGTCAAAATTCTCCCTGCCCACCCTTCCCCGCAGGATTTGTGGTTTTTAAAGAATTATATAATAATTGATATTTATAAGTGATAAACCATAATACTGACACATTGTCTGATGAAAATAAGGTCTGTGGTAAATATTTTTAAATGACTGAACACTAGAATGTAAGCTTCGTGTAAACAAGAATTTTCTCTTATTCTATTATTTATCGCTGCATCCTAAGTATCTATAATATTGCCTGGTACATCATAGATGTTCAATAAGATATAGAGAATGAAAGAAAGGAAATGCAATCACCATTTTACTGAAACTCCCCTTAATAAATATAATATGTTCTTGCTAAATCCAAATAATGTTTTCCAATTTTTATATTACTTGATTTTTCAGGAATATTTCACACTCATCACCACTCCCTACTTCTTGCCATGATTGCACTCTTTCCTTCCTTCCCCTCCTCACCTCTGCCTACTTCTTGTTAGAAGCATTTCCTAAATATTAGTGGTCACTGAGGTTCTGTCATCCTTTCCTCATGTTACCTGATTCTACACCCTCTTAATTATCAATGTTCCTCTCTTCCATCATTTCAAATGCCAGTAATGATTTGCAAACACTTCTTAACAGCCCAGATTTCTCTTTGATAGACTGGTATTTCAACTGCTTTTGAACATCTCTAATTAGATGGCTCATGGTCAGATAATAACCCTTAACATGATCAAAGGTGAATTCATTTTGCTTCAACCTAGATATACTCATCTCTGTTTCATATCCCATTGAAAGGTGGTTCAGTATTTATATCACCTATCCTTTCTTTCTTATCTCTCAATTTTCATCCTGCCTCTTGCAAAATATACACCACATGCCCTTGATTTAAAACTTTAATAGGTTCCCTGTTACCCACAGGATACATCTTGAAACACTTTAACAAGATTTTCATGTCTTGTTTAGATTTTTATTCTTTTCTTTCAGTCAAAGCTTCCCTCACCACTCTGCTATAGCCAACTTCTCACCATCCACCGTTCCTTATGCAAGCCATAGTTTATCTGCCTGTAGTTATTTGTCCTCACTTTTACCCTTTCATGCCATTCATCCACAAATTTCCTTGGTAACACATTTTCATCCTCGTTTCTGATCTTCCACAAATAGATTAAATATATCACCTCCATTATATTTTTTATCACAATGTGGGACTCCTGACTCCCTATGTAGCCGGTTCCCACATGATGCAAGGAAACCACAAATTATAAATCAATACATTATTTATATTATCAAATAAGTCTCAATACCCAAGACACATTTTATAATCCCAAAACTCAAAAATAGGATTGGTATAGTAAAATAAGAGAAAATAAAGCAGAAACACACATGTATGCTGTAACAAATATTTGCTAACTATGGTAAATGATCACTAAAATTTAATTACATAAAATGTGAGTTTGCATAATTTCAAGATTAATTAAAAGACCATAATGAGATTTTATTGCTAGCTTGCCAGGAGTCCCAAGCTCCCTCTATCCAAATCTATCCTGGATCCAGTTGCAGGTTGGCATTATTTTGTGATAGTGGTCTGCCACAACTTACATATCTTTGAGATGATTTGAGGTTCTTTGGCTGAATAGGACTTCAGAGATGTCAGGAAGTTGGCTGACGTGTTTGATTAGCACCTGCTTTTCATTTTTTGTTTTTGTTTGTTTGTTTGTTTGTGACAGTTTCTCACTTTGTCACCCAGGCTGGATTGCAGTGGCATGATCATGGCTCACTGCAGCCTCAATCTCCCAGGCTCAAGCAATTCTCCCACCCTGGCCACTCAAATAGCTGGGACTACAGGCACACATCACCACACCCAGCTAATTATTGTTTTTTTTATTATTTTGTAGAGATGAGGTTTTGCTATGTTGCCCAGGCTGGTCTTGAACACCTGGGCTCAAGCGATCCCCCCATTTCAGCCCCCCAAAGTGCTGGAATTACAGGCACAAGCCACCGCACCCAGGCTTTTCTTTTCTTTTTACTTGTTTGTATTTGTTTTTGGACTAATTCAGGGAGTTCTGAGAAAATATTTTGGGTCATAAGAACCCAAGTTTTGCATTCCTACTTCCCAAAATAAAGTGTCATGTGGGACATCACCTTGATACAATGGAAGCCTCCATGTTCATTACCAGCAAGTACATCCCAGAGGTCACAGAATAGAAAGGCTCACAGAACAAATTAAAATGATCAAATGATGCATTTTCTCAAGTCTACTAAAAACACGTAGAAACAAGGGAAAAGAGATGGAGTCGGTTAACACATGTAGGGTAGGGCACAAAGAGTGTGGAGAAACCATACTACCTAAACTCTGGGATCCGCAATGTTTTTATGTCTTGTTCCTCTCTCTGTCTCATTAGCCTTCCCCATGAATGGTGTGGTTACAAGGCCCATAATGGAGGGGCCTTGAAACACCTGCTAGGGGTCAAAAGGGCAGAAGACACTTGGGTCAATGGCACATACTCTATTAGAGAGACGCAGGGACAAATACATCTGGCTGGTAGATGTAGCTCTCTAATTAGCTGGATGAATAGTGATGGGTTTTATTTGTGTTACTTGGGCAGAAGATATATATGGTTATAATTAGTGTCACCTATGGATGGCCAAACAAAGACCTCTTGAATGCTAATTTTTCATGTATATCTAGTGTATCCTAAATACTTAGAATCTCCTGTGTATTTGTTATCAGGTATGTTCACATATAATATATACAAATATATACACAAATATGTACTACGCACATGTCTCATGAACACTGGATATCCCTGGTCTTTCTGTGCTTTTCTGTCTATGTTTAACACACACATGCCCTGATTTTTATTTTATACTTTACAATTCCCATGAATTCTGCCTATGTCTAACAAACATTTTGCTTACTAGCTACTTATCAGTTCTTGAAATATTTTAAAAGACTTGGCCCATCTTTTAGAAACTACAAACTTATGTATGAAAATTGAATATTTGAAATAGCAAATGCACATTTCACAAAGGTAGCCTGCTGTGTCTGACTTTATTTTCTAAAAATGGCAGCAACAGTACTTTTTACCATGCGATTTGGTGCTACTCTCATTAAGAGAAGGGGATTTATGTTTCTTCCCCTTGAAACCAGGTGGGTTGTGATGGCTGTCTCATAATACGAGTACGGCAAAAATTACATGTGACTTCTAAAGCTTAAGTCACTGCATGTGACCTTGTTCACTACTTGCACTTCTGCCTTGCTCACTACTTGCTCTTGAAGACTTATCTTGTCATGTCTGACTATCGTTGGGCTGCCATAATTGTGAGGAAGCCCAAGCTATCCCATTTTGCAATACAACATAGGGAATCCATAAGATGACACACATACACAGGGAAAAAGAGAGATTCCTGGACAGCCCCCACTACTTTAGTTGACTCTCACCCCGACACTTCCCAGTCTAGTCACTGTCTGACTGTACATGCATAAGAGATTCCAAGCCAGAACTACCTAGGTGAGCTCTGACCCCCTTATACCATGATTAAGAATAAAGTGATTGTTGTTTTAAATTACTAAGTTTGGGCATGATTTTTTACTCAGTAATGGATCGGTAGAGTATCTAACATTTTCCCACCTGGTCTTGACCTATCTTCTATATCTTATGCCTTCAAATTCATAATATATGAACTTAAGTTCACCCTATTTATGGTGGAGAAGAAGATAAGAGCCAATTGCTCAATGAATTATATAAATTTTGGAGAAATTTTTATACATAATTTCAACTGTCTAGGACTTCTTAAAATTAGTACTAATTTGGGATTGAAATTGCTGACTTCTCTTTATTGTCCTTGTAAAGCATGCATTTGCATTCTTCATTGTTCAATGAATCTTTAAACTATGTCCAAAGTGAGGATTACTCATATCAATTATTCTTATGGTTTAATTTACTGTCCATGACTGCTTGCACATGTCTTTGAATGGTAAACAGTAAGGAAGGGGTCATTGTCATGTTAGTGACTTTTTCCCAGTGATTTCTCATCTAAAAAACAGTAACACTTACTGATCTCCACTTCATACAGTTTATTTATGTTGCTAGTTAATCAAGTAAAATGTTCACTAGGTATCAACAATGCCAATGGTCAAAGTAATTTGGTAGTCATAAATCAGTTTGAGTCATAGCTGAATGATTTATATTTGATAGAAGTTAAAAAGTAGGTATTATAAGTCATGCAGTACCTGTCCAGCTTCTTCAGGTAGTTGAGTTGGAAAATTCAGGAATTTATACTACTGAGTTTTTATTTTACTAATTTGTAAGATTGAAATTAGACTAGTACTCTCAGTATAAAACTTTGTGATTTTTTAATTAAAAAGTGAGTGTCTCTAAATTGGAGTAGAGTGAAAAATGAAAACCTTTATTATAAGCTTCGTGTTAGAATAAATATTCTTTCTGTTTAAAAACAACGGTTAGTTGTATTTACATCATTTCTCTTCCCTTTTTATCAGACTTTTTATAAGTGTATGGTCGCCAAGTCTGAAGATGGACATGAAAAACTTTTTCCTGGGAAATTTTATTTTCCTTTAAAAAAGAGAAAATATTTTAGAAGGCATTGTCATTTTTTATTGTTCGTTGTTTCTCTCCTAGTGCTCTTAGATTTAATGTCAGATAGTATTGAGTGATGCAAAACAAAATTCCCTGAAACTTGTCTTCTCCTACCATACTTTGACTTCAAAATATAACAGTCTTTGTTTTTTGAGAACAGTAAGATATCCTTGGTTATGAATTGAAATGTCAGTAAATATTTGCCAAGTTGCTAGAGCTTACAGTAATCTCGTATAAATGCATAGATAAAAGCTGATTAATATAGCCTTTCACAAAAATTTATCTTGTGAGAAGTGATGCTTATAAATTTGCGTGGAGGCACAAGAGTCAGTAACGATGTGCTTAGCATAGCTTTAATATTCTGCAGTTTGCTTTTTTAGACAGGTAGGAAGAATAACGTGTAGCATAAACATCACAAGAAACATGCTAAACTTACATAATAAACAATGCTTATCCTTTGTAATAAACAGAATTGGGTGTTTTTGTATCCTTATTTTCAATTAATTGCATTTAATATGTTTCTTAAATTTACACATCACAGAAAGTTAAAACATAACATTCTCTAACATACCTTTCATTTCCATTATTGTTTTCACAAACAATATATGGGAGAAACTGGCTAAGTTTTAACCAAAACCTTTTTTATTTTTTCTGTACTTAAGTCTAGACTACTTTCCCAGTTTCTCTTGTAATTGGATGTTGCCATGTGAGTTGTTCTTACCAGTGGAACTTGAGAAAAGTCTGGTCACATGTGGGCCAAGGTTTTCTATGAGGTGAGTATGCTGCCTCCACCCTCTTTCCCCTCCCACTCTCTGGCAAAACCCAAGGGGATGGCAAGGCACAGACAAGAAAGGAGCCTGAATTACTATAAAGGAGACAGCAGTCCGCTGATCAATTCTACCTTGGGATACTGAGAAAGTAAAGAATAAACTTCATTTGAGTTTGACATATTAAATATTTGGGATTGTTTTGTTGCCCACCCTAATAATACAGTGTGATAATGCCATGTGACTTTATTTTTAATGGAAATACAATTTGTGTTCTTACAAGACTATTATATGTAAAGTGTATTATGATAGTTTCTTCTATTATCTGTATATAAATCTGTCTTAAATTTTAAGTTAAACTTTAAGCGTAAATGTAGAAAATTTAATTTAATTGTTTTTAATAAACTATTTTCATTATAGGAAAAATATTTTGGTAAATAGGTAACTATACAGTTGAAATGGTGTAATATTGAGATCAACATGTCTTTTACAACTAACATTACTTGCATTCTATTTGCATGAAAATTATTCTTGTACTTAAAAGGTAAATTATTGCTATTTACTAAATTTTTATTATTTTAATGGCCCATTTTAATTACCCATTTTTTGGTGCCCAATATCATTAAACTTCATCTTTACAAATAAATCCACCCTTGATTTAAATAAAAACAAGTGACCATTATTATATTTGTATGTTATTATATTACTAATATACCATGTGATATTCAGACTATCTAGAGGGATAGGAGGAAAGGATTACCATAGTAAAAATAAGTTGTATAACAGATTCCATTTAAGGAGTTGGGGTTGTCTAGAGGGACAGAACTAATTGGAGATATATATATATATATATATATATAAAATTATATATATTTATATATATATAACTTAATACTTCCCCTCTATATATATAAAGGGGAAGCTCCATATATATATGAAGTTCTCTCTCTCTCTCTCTCCATATATATATATATATATATATATATATATATATATATATATATATATATATATATGTAAAGGGGAGCTTATTAAGTATTAACTCACATGATTACAAGGTCCCACAATAGACCGTCAGCAAGCTGAGGAGCAAGGAAGCCAGTCCGAATCCCAAAGCTGAAGAACTTGGAGTCTGATGTTAGAGGCCAGGAAGCATCCAGCATGGGAGAAGCTGTAGGCTGAGAGACTAGGCCAGTCTAGTTTTTTCACAGTTTTCTGCCTGCTTTATGTTCTAGCCATGCTGGCAGCTGATTAGATGGTGCCCAACCAGATTAAGGGTGGGTCTGCCTTTCCCAGCCCACTGACTCAAATGTTAATCACCTTTGGCAATAACCTCACACCTCACAGACACACCCAGGATCAATACATTGCATCCTTCAATCCAATCAAGTTGCCACTCGGTATTAACCATCACAAGTCCATCTCTTGTCAACCTGAACCCATACACATCTCCTGAGATCATAAATGATCTTCAAATAAAGACAATAGTAAGGTCATAATTATGCCAAACATAATGCAAATATCCTTCAGAAAACCAGAAATGCACCAATCCCCAACTCAAAATACCATTACATAAAGTTAACAATATTTAAATGCTGATATAAAGTCAATAAATCTTATGTCACATGATGAAGAAAAAAGGAAATACAATGAAGATATATTCTTAGTACAAGAAAACATGCACAAACATGTTTTTAACAAAAGAAGGAAGAAATACTCATGGCAGTTACAGACCCCTTTTTTGCAGCTGGTCACATGGTCGTAGCTGGTATCGATGACTATCTTCTTCTACTACTCATTCTGTATTCACCTTGCCTTCAGCAAGCACATCATCAGGTCATGGCTTTTTCCTGGTGGAGTCACCCAAACCTTCATTCCTGAAGGATCTAGGCCATTTGTAGTCCTGCCTGGATTGGGCTGTTGTAGTTTCCCATTGACCTTAATCAAAGTGCGTGGTAATACTAAGACACACCCTAATGGATCTCCTGTATTCCATGCATACTCTTCCTTATCTCCATTGTAGAGTAGTAGACTGATTTCATCTTGATAGTCCAGGTCAATCACCCCAGTCAACACTGTAATTCCCTTCATAGCCTGTTACCTTAAAGGTAGGAGGAGCCCAAAGTGTCCAGGTGGCAATCTTAACTTCCTGTTTAATAGAATCGTTCTTGTGTCTCCTGGTGGCAGATTTCATCCCTCTGTAACTAAGACCACTAGGCCAGCAGAACAGAGTGTCGCAAGAAGAGGAAGCAAAAATTTTGCTAGTGGATCACTAGGGGTGATGGTGAGTGGTGCCACTTCCACTTCCACCCCTTGATTCCTGGATCCTTGAATCCTGGCTATGGGAGAAACAGTACCATATATTGGACACTGATTCAGAGCATACACTGCCTTCTGGAGAATTTTGCCCCAGGCCTGAAAAGTATTGACACCTAGTTGGCATTGTAATTCTGACTTCAAAAGGCAATTCCGCTGTTCTGTCAATCCAGCTGCTTTAGGATGATGGGGAACATGGTAAGACAAGTGAATTCCATGAGCATGAGCTCACTGATGCACTTCTTTAGCAGTAAAGTGAGTGCCTTTGTCAGAGGCAATGCTGTGTGGTATACCATGACAGTGCATAAGGCATTCTGTGAGTCCACGGATGGTATTCTTGGCAGAAGCACTGAGTACAGGATAGGTAAACCCATATCCGGAGTAAGTGTCTATTACAGTGAGGACAAACCTCTGACCTTTCTATAATGGAAGAGGTCCAATATAACCAACCTGCCACCAGGTAGCTGGCTGATCACCCTGAGGAATTGTGCCACATTGAGGGCTCAGTGTTTGTCTCTGCTGCTGGCACATTGGGCACTCAGCACTGGCTGTAGCCACGTCAGCCTTGGTGAGTGGAAGTCCATGTTGCTGAGCCCATGCATAACCTCCATCCCTACCAACATGGACACTTCGTTCATTGGCCCATTGGGCAATGACAGGGGTGACTGGGGAAAGAGGCTGGTGTCCACAGAATGGGTCATCCTATCCACTTCATTATTAGAATCCTCCTCTGCTGAGGTCACCTGTTGGTGAGCACTCACATGGCATACAAATATCTTCACAGTTTTTGACCACTCAGACAGATCCATCCACATACCTTTTCCCCAAATTTATTTGTCACCAATTTCCAAGCATGCTTCTTCCAAGTCACTGACCATCCAGCCAAACTATTGGCTACAGCCTACAAATCAGTATATAATTGCACACCTGGCCATTTCTACTTCCATGCAAAGTGCACAACCAGGTGTAGTGCTCAAAGTTGTGCCCACTGGGAAGATATCCCTTCACTAGTGTCCTTCAGGGATGTCCTAGAAGGGGGTTGTAGTGCTGCAGCTGTCCACTTTCAGGTGGTGCCTGCATATCATGCAGAACCATCTGTAAACCAGGCCCTAGTCTTCTCTTCCTCTGTCGACTGATCATAGGGAACTCCCCATGAGGCCATTGGTGCAGGCTGGGGGAGAGAAGGCAGGGTGGCAGGAGTGGACACCATGGGCATTTGAGCCACTTCCTCATGTAACTGACTTGTGCCTTCAGGACCTGCTCGAACCCGATCACGTATATACCACTTCCATTTGATGACGGGATGCTGCTGTTCATGACCCACTTTATGGCTAGATGGGTCAGAAACCACCCAGTTCACGATAGGCAGTTCAGGTTACACGGTGACTTAATGACCCATAGTCAAACATTCAGTTTCCACCAAAGCCCAGTAACAGGCCAAGAGCTGTCTCTCGAAAGGAGAGTAGTTATCTGCAGAATATGGCAGGGTCTTGCACCAAAATCCTAGAGTCCTCCACTGTGATTCACCTCTGGGGGCCTGCTAAAGGCTTCAGACAGCATCCCTTTTTACCACTGACACCTCAAGCACTATTGGATCTACTTAGTCATATGACCCAAGTGGCAGAGCAGCTTGCATAGCAGCCTGGACCTGTTGGAGACCCTTCTTCTGTTCTGGACCCCACTCAAAACTGGCAGCCTTTCAGGTCACTCAATAAATGGGCCAGAGTAACACACCCAAATGAGGAATGTGTTGCCTCCAAAATCCAAATAGGCACACTAGGCATTGTGCCTCTTTTATGGTGTAGGAGGGACCAAATGCAGCAACTTATTCTTCACCTTGGAAGAATATCTCAACAAGTCCCACACCGCTGGACCCCTAGAAATTTTACTGAGGTAGAAGGTCCCTAAATTTTAGTTAAATTTATTTCCCATCCTCTGGCAAGCAAATGTCTCACCAATAGGTCCAGTGTTTGCTAATTCTTGCTTACAGGATCCAGTCAATACAATGTCATCAAGGTAATGGACCAGTGTGATATCTTGTGGTAGCGAAAAACAATCAAGTTCTTTTCCAATAATAAGATTATGACACAAAGCTGGACAGTTGATATACCCCTGAGGTAGGACAGTAAAGGTATATTGTTCATCTTTCCAGTTGAAGGCAAATGGCCTCTGGTGGGCCCTATGGACAGGAATGGAGAAAAAGGCATTTGTCAAGTCAATGGCTGCATATCGGGTACTAGGAGATGTGTTAATTTGCTCAAACAATGAAGCCACATCTGGTGCAATTGGAGTCACCACTTAGTTAAGCTTATGATAATCCACTGTCATTCTCCAAGGTCCATCTGTCTTCTGCACAGGCCAAATAGGAGAGTTGAACAGGAGGGATGCAATACTATTTTTGATGTACTATTTTTCTTGGTAGAGGCAGCTCTAACGCCTTTCATTTGGTATTTTCCA
Source organism: Homo sapiens (assembly GCF_000001405.40). Lineage (NCBI taxonomy): Eukaryota > Metazoa > Chordata > Mammalia > Primates > Hominidae > Homo > Homo sapiens. The sequence goes on along the minus strand of NC_000012.12, from coordinate 81,764,386 downwards.
ACATAATAGCTGTCACCCTACCAGTCACAGAGCCAACGTGAGGGTTATGCCAGTGGCTAAGTATGTCTATACCAATTATGCATTCTGGCACTGGGGAAATGACCACAGGATGAGTCTCTGGACCCACTGGACCCACTGTAAGTTGGACCTGAGCTAAAACTCCTATAATTACCTGACCTCCATAAGCCCCTACTTTAACTGGAGGACCACAATGACATTTTGGGTCCCTTGGAGTCAATGTCAGCTCAAGCTAGTCTTCAGTGGTCCCCAAAATGTCTAATCATTTCCCTTTCCCCATTGCACAGTTACTCTGGTAAAAGGCCAGAGTTCTCCTTGGGAGAGGATGGGAGAAAGATTAACAGCATAAATTGTCGGTAGTGTAGTGGGGTCCTTCCTCAAGGGGACATGGCCTCCCCTCCATTCAAGGGGTCCTTGGTCTGTAAACTGGCTCAAGTCTGGAAATTGATAGAGGGACCATGATTCTCTGTTTTTATAATTCAAATTAGTCTTTTGTCCATTCAACCTGGAAGTTTTCTGCTTGTATAAATTAAGTGGGAATGCAGTAGGCTTCCTATCAATTTCACTTCTAGAAACACCGTGATTAGTTAGCCAATGTCAGAGCCTTACACAAGTCAGACTCTTCTGATTGCTGCTTTGCCTCTGCTGTTCATTATGGTAGCCAGGCCCACCTTGCCTTTGATGGTTGAATGCTGCCACTTGGCCCCTCTTTAGGATCCAATTATTCCCACTGTATTTAAATTTTGTAGTTGAGTGACTGCAGTTCCCACTGTTAGATCTGACATACAGAGAAGAGCAATTACAGAGCTCTTCAAAGATGCAGATGCTGCCCTCACAAATCTATTTCGCAAAGCATTGGTCAAGGGTATATCTTCTGGACCTCCCAGCTGGGATGAGTAGGTCTAAAGTGACCAATCCACTCCACCATCCCAATCTCCCTAAGCCTTTGGATCCCTTCTTCTACATTAAACCTACGGAGATCAGGCATTTCCAGCTCACTCACAGTGGGCCATCTTTTAATCCATATTTCAGCTAACCAAGCAAATAAACTATTAGAACTTTTTTAACTCCCCAACTTGCAACAATAAATGCAGAGTTCCTACTTAGTGAGCCCAAATCAATAAACTCAGCCTGATCCAACTCTATGTTCCTTCTGCCATGATCCCAAACCCTTAATATCCATTCCCATGCCTGTTCTCCAGATTTCTGCTTACATAAATTAGAAAACTCAGGCAGTTCTTTTCTAGTGTAGCACACCTCCTTATGGGTCATGCTCTCAACCTCACCTCTAGGGGCCCCCTGGGGCTTTAGTCCAGTTATAGGTCTAGAAGCAAATGGGCGTTGGGGGTGGCTTCTGAGGAAAATCAACATTATCTTGCCTGGCAGCTGCCTCAGGGTAGGCCATCACTGTTGCCTCAGGCAGTGCAGCTTCCATCTCCTCAGACAAAGATGGAAAGGCTGACTGCATCATGGGTCAGGGAGTGGATGTTGCCACTACTGGGGATGGAGAAGCTGTTTTTCTGGCAAAAAAGATTCATCAGAGTTCACAAACTCAGTGTCCCCTGCTTTATCAGGGTCCCTCCAGAGATCCCCATTCCAAGTTGAGCGGTCCTATTCTTTTCCAGTCAATAACATCACTTTAACAGTAGACACCTGGCAAGACACCTGGCACCTTTACTTACAGGAAATCCTGTGTATATACGTATATATACATATATACACATCCTATTACTTCTGTCCCGCTAGAGAACCCTGATTAATACAGATTTTGGTACCAAGAGTGGTTTTAGAGGAACAAAATATTAAGAATGGAGTTATTTTATTGGTTTTGGAGCTTCTAGAGTTGGCTGCTTAATATGATTAGACCCCAAAATGCTAAGGACTCTACTTATAATAGTATGGAGAACACTGATAGTCTTGGTGTGAACATATATACATATATATACGTATATATACATATATACGTATATATATGTACATATACACATCCTATTACTTCTGTCCCACTAGAGACATACACACACACACACACATATATATATATACTTCTGTCCTGCTAGAGACATATATATATATATATATATATATATATATATATACACACACATATATATATATGAGTTTATTAAGTATTAATTCACATGATCACAAGGTCCCACAATAGACTGTCTGCACACTGAGGAGTAAGGTGAGCCAGTCCAAGAACTGAAGAATTTGGCGTCCAATGTTCGAGGGCAGGAAGCATCCAGTGCAAGAGAAAATGTAGGCTGGAAGGCTAGGCCAGTCTAGTCTTTTCACATTTTTCTGCCTGCTTTATATTCTAGCTACGCTATCAACTGATTAGGTGGTGCCTATCCAGATTAAGGGTGGGTCTTACTGTCCCAGCCCACTGACTTTAATGTTAATCTCCTTTGACTACACCCTCACAGACACACCCAGCATCAATACTTTGCATCCTTCAATCCAATCAAGTTGACCCTTAGTATTAACCATCACAGGAGTGTATAGACAAAAAAACTCATAATTAAAATAAAATGTTAAGAAGAAGCATTAGTACATGTGGCTACTATAATATTATATTCTGGTGTGGACTACTTTGATTGATATTAGGCACTAAGACTAATAATGGCTTTCACTACTTCTACTTAAATCTGGTTGACTATTCAGGAGACAAGCATATCTCATCTTAATAATTCATTGGGCATCAAAAACAGTAGAGTCAGATTTATATTAGTATGGGGGATGTTTTTTCTTTGAATAAAAAATATTTCCCTGTTCTTTTTTTTTTTTTTTTTTTTTGCTCTGTGCTTCTTTTGTTCCCAAATTTCTCCAGATGTATCTACACAGTGTTTCTCAGAGTGGGATCCCTGACCTAGCAATATTAGTACCACCTGGGAACTTAATAGGCACGTAATGAATCAGATGTAATGAATCAGAAACTCGAAGGATAGGGCCCAGCAATCTGTGTTGTAACAAGCCCTTCTGGAGTGTCTCTTGTATGCTAAATTTAAGGGCCTAAACTAGAGAAACTGGTGCAGGTGGTAACTCTTCTCATGTGAATCGGCTCACCTAATGCCTCATGCAAAATTGCTACTTTAAACAGTCTTTCTCAGTTTTAATATATTATTTACACTCTTTGCAGTGAAGTTAGCAGTGATAATGTCAAGTTTTTCAGCTGAAATTTACTATGAAGACTGTATCTTCTTAACAAAATATCCTTTAACTCGTGATATTTTTTTCTGCCTCCCATTATCAAAGTTTTTCTTTCTGCGATACCTACCATGGGTTAGCCTTTAACTATGCTGTGTCAACTGTATGTGGGGATTATACTTACAATTAAAACTTGTATTTGACATACGAATGGGACTCAAGGAAATCAAAACTCTTCTTGGAAACAGTAGGAACATCTGAGCCAGTAATTAACAAACGTTGATTGCCAAGGAAATTCAAACCAAGGTTTAATAAGGAAGGAATTCTTGTAAAAATAGACATAATAGCTATATGTAAAAATAAGAATATCTCTCATGTATAAGGAATTTTTATGTTTTGTGTAGAATTCTAGAGAGTGAAAGTTATGAGTACTGATATATGATTAGTATGTTGAAGCTATTACAATATGAAGTTTGTCTGAAAATAGACTAGGCTATCCTGTGAGGTGAAGAGTTTCCTGTAGTTAGGGGTATTTAAGCCACATCAAATTGTGGGTCGATTGGGTGGTCTAGACCCTTCCTCCTCAAGTGTAGTACCATCTGGGAGTCATTAGAAGGGTAGAATTTCAGGTTTCACCCCATTCCTGGTGAATCAGTATCTACAACTTAACAAGATCCATGGATGATCTGTATGCACATTATGTCTGAGAAATAGTGCTCCAGTTGACATCTAATGAATTTTCGTATTATTTTTATACTTCTTATAGGATTGTGTTGTGTTGTAAAATTTAAATAACAGTCTAGAATAGAAGTTGGGTAAATACATGAGCTTTACCCCACTTTCCATTGTAAAGTCGCTAACTGAATTAAATACTTCCCTCAGAAACAAAGATTGTTTCTTGGATATTGTAGTTAATTTTAAGTGAACAGTTATTTACATACTAGTTCTTTGTTAACTTTGGACTCTTGGCGTTACACAAAAGTAAAACACGTCTTTTGGCTTTCGTGTAGCACACTCAGAATATTTTCAGTAACCCCCAAAATATATTCAGTGTTTAATCCTCCAATTCCTTCATGCATGTCCTCTTCATTTTCACCAAACCCAGCAGGATTCGTGACTCTCCCTCACAGAAACGTTCCCTTTCTGCTCAGAGTAGGTACTGATTTTGTCTCCTGCTTCCTCAGTCTGTATGAATGGACAGCAGCAACGGAAAGAAAAGAGGGTAGGTAAAGGGAGGTGGAGATATAAGGGGGACTGGAGCGCGATGGAGAGACCAGACTCTGCTCAAAGCTAAAATTTACTCGGGCAGGGAATACTTAACATACAATTCCCATTACCAAAACAATATGAATGAAGAAGAACTGAAGAGGTAATGAGAAATGACAGATGCCGCCACACCCTAGATTGGCTCAGGTCCCTACAACCATGACTACCATGCCCTGGCCCAGTGGGAAGAAAGCTGCTTAAAGAAATGACAAGCACAGAAGACCGGGGAGCCAAAAGGTGCCCAAGTCCGTTCCCATCCCCACCAGCGCAGGCTGACACAAGCGAAGGCTGTAGAGCCCATTGTGTGAAAGAAGCCCAGGCGGGGAAGCGTGTGCCCCCTTCCCACTTTGCCCATCCCTGGCCCTCGCCTTCGCAGGGGGCACTGGGAGCAGAGCGAGCCTCGGCAGCCCGGGAGCGGCTCTGGGGGAGACGAGTGTATCCGCGGGCGCGTGTGCGTGAGGAGGAGAGCAAAGACGTGATTACTTCAGAATTTATTTAAGGGCCGGTGGAAACCACTGCAGCAGCTTCCAGGGGAAGCCCTTGTTCCAGAGGAAGAGGAGGTGGTGGCTGCCAAGGAGGAGGAGGGGAGGAGACGGAGGAGGAGGAGTAGCAGCCACCGCACGAGGCAAGTGAGGAGAGAAGATGCTGTAGCGTCCTCACCGGCTGCCAGCAGGTTGGTTCTTCCGGCCAATTGAAGCAAGCAAAGAGGCTTGCAGAAAGGCCGGGAGGAGAAAAATGGGTGTGTGTGCTGTGGCGGCGGGGGGGCGGCGGGGGGGAGGGAAGGGGGGCCGGGGGACGGCGTGGGGTGATGTTTGCCTTTCCAGAGAAAAAGCGCCTCCTTTAAGTGAAACGAGACACGGGAGCGCGCGGAAACAGGCTGGGGGCCAGGAGGAGACCTGTCCTGCTTTTTGCATCCCTAGGGACTCGTTTTCCTTTAGGTTTCTAACTCCCAGGGTTAGCCTTAAACTCCAGAGGGGCTCCAGGAGGGGAGACTGGGTGGAGAACTTCTCTCCCAGATACTTCTCACGCCTTTTCTCCAAGCTTTCTTTTGGAGGGACGCCCCACACACCCCGGGTGGCCCGGGCGCGGAGGGGGAGCGGCGCCGCGTGGTTAAGTTTCTGAAAGTCAAACCCAGTCCCCGGTCTCCGGTCTCCGCCCCGGGGCTCCAGCTGCACGCGGGGAGCTGCGGCTGTTCTGGCAAAGGGGCCGCGGCTGCTTTAAGAGCCGCCTCCCCCTCTCCTCCTTTGACAATGGTCTGAACCGAGCTTTGCTTCCCAAAGCAAAATTTGTAATATGCCATTTTTCCGATGGACGCTTCTCCTTTTGGCTGCTGACGGAGCCACGGGAAGATGCCGAGCTCCTGCCACGCCACCGGGCCGGGGCACGTTCCGGGAGGGCGCCGGGGCACGCGTGTGTCTGAGCTGCCTTTCTCCTCCCGTTGCTAGGGAAATGGTCCAGGAGTGCTGGGTGTGAGCCTCCCTTCTCCTCAAGCCGGAGACTGCGGTTGTCATTGATCAATTGAAGAAGCAAGGACCCGAAATCACAGACATTAGGTACAGAAGCTGTCTTTGAGTTTTACTGTCTCCTTTCGCTGTATTTTTTGACCACCTCCCCGGCCCCACCCCGCCCCCAGGGAAGATGAGATGCAAATTCCTCCTTGTTGATTACCGTTAGGTGCCTTTTGCTTTCACCTCATCCTCTCCATCTCCTATCTCTCTACCTCCTGCCTACTTGGCTGTGTCCTGTTGGGCAGGATGAACAATTTTAGTGTGGAAATGATGAAGTCAACTTCTTCAAGGTGGTGGGGGGTGTGGCTGAGAGATAACTGTCCAGTAGTGTGGGTTGAGCTGGCTCTGGCTGTCCGTAAATGCACTAGGGTAAAGAAAGTGTAAAATGTGTCCATTAAAGGTGATAATCATATTTCCCGAGGACAGAGGCTTTCAAAGAGTTAAATAGGAGGGAGAATATTCATGTAATGTAATCAGACAATGGCTAGGATTTCTCTCACTGAATTACTCCTTGTAGGTTAACTGAGGTGGAGCTGGGATGGTTCTTAAGACTAAATGTTTTCAGAAGAAACTCACTATGGATAATAATTACATTCTTACCTCTAGTAGGGCCGAATTCCTAGTGATATGATTAAATAAAGTCATTTGTTGACAGAAAAAAGAAAAAAAGCTTTTTGTAGCACTCTCATATCTGAAGAGGTACTGCTTGGATGGCATATATTGTTAAGGAACACATTGGATCTTGAAAGCCCTTGAGTGAGGACTCCAGTGGGCATTCAAACTTTTATTTTGAAATCTGAGAAATTTAAAAGACAGTCAAGGCTATGTGCTAAGAATAAAGGAGTTATTTTCCTGATATAAAATTCTTCCGGCTAAATTTAAGCACTGGGATAATTAAGCCAATCAGATTTATTATTACTTTTTTTCTTTCTCAACAAAATTAACAATGTCTCTGACTAGGTTTCAAAACCTTCAGTAATTTAATGAGGAAAGCATCAATATCTAGATGAAGATAACATAATTTATATATCAAATTGACTTTGAGGGGGGAATGATGAAAAAGCAAATATCAAGGCAAATTGTTAAAATGCCCTTTCTGGCTTTTCAGAAATTATGTGATGAATGCAGTTTTTAGTATTGATACTGATTATAAAAGTTAAAAGTGATGTATCTGGGTGAAACGCACTAGACATTGAATGACCATAGCCTTCCGGACTGTGCAAGCTGCTTCAGATGTCATCCATTTTTTAAAAGGGTGTTTAACTCTTATATTGAATATATATCTTTAATTGCTTTTAATACTTAAAATGTGCAAAATGTGCATTTAAGAAATGTTATACTGCATTTTAAGGATTAATCAAATATTTTGTAATTTATGTTAGAATCTGAATTCTAATGAAAGAAACTAAGCTAGTTCATGAAAGTGGCCTTATTTTTTTGTAGACTATTTTTTTCTAATTTTGATAAGAAGACTTTGGATTTACTCATTTGGGTTGACTGCAAGGTATAAGCAGCATATATTCATCTTATTTCCTAAGTAAATTTTGCATAATTTGATTTTTATAAATTGGATTTGAAGAGTTCAAAAGTATCTACTAGAATTAAACCTTTACAGCAGCAGAATGAGTCGTAAAGGTAAAATATTGTTTCTACAAAGATTAATGTTGATCACTTTATAATAGAAATTAATACTTACATTTGTAATTGCCCTTTATATGTTTTGCTGTGTGTTCTCAGTCAGGTAACCTATTATATATTTTCTTTTTTTTCCTCTAAGCATAGATTATTGGCCCTCTTTCATGAAAGAGAGAACTAAAGTTTTAACATGTAAAGTAACTTGTCCTGGTTCACCTGCCTTAGGAGTGGAATCAAATCAAGTTCTTTTGAGTGTAGATTTAATAGACTTTCTAAGTCCCTAAGCCACTTTTCATCATAGCATCTTTTGACTAAATCGAAGACTACCTTTAATGTTGATTTAAGACCCTAAAGTTTGTGAATGTTTATATCCCATGGTAACAATGAGGGATTGTTAGGATATTATTTTCAGGTGAAAATTATATTGGGGTATTCACTGCTGTTATGCTTTGCCTTGGAATTTAAAGTTGTTCTGAGTGATTCAGGGTGGAAAGGGATTAATAACTTTCATTCAAGAAGGACGTAATTTAAAATATAGATTTAAGAATTTAAATCTATAGGTAACCCTAACGTTGTGAGTGTTTGGGCACAAATTGTCATGATGCTATGATTTGCTCTCCCAGTACTTTGTTTTAACCTTAAATGTCAAAAGTAAACATATTGGCTCCTGGTAATCATTTCTCAGAATGACATAGCGGCTCAATGTGTAGGTTTCATGCATGGCCTGCTAACTAATCGTTTTAAATAATCAAATGTGTTGGAACACTTTTTGTTGTTTTCCAATTCCTTTTCAATTAATATAAAGAAAATTTGAAGCATCTAAAAAGAGTCTGTATTTTCCATCTTTGTGATAGTCTTTGAATGAAAATCAAATTGAGATAAATGCAAGAAACAGTTTTATCCATTAAGTGTGTAACAGTAGTATCAAGTGTGGGTATCAGGGTGTATGTGCTTATATTCATTTTATGTGTGTTCTCTGTTATATATTTTAGTGTGCATACAAAATTGAACAAATTAAATTCCTGCCTTCAGGTAGCTCAGTGTTATGAGCAATGAGCAAAACTTCAAAGCGTTTAAAACTTTCCTAATGTTCAATGACCCCCTTAATTTTTTAATATAGGTTATCAATCACAAAATACTTTACTTACATACTTTTTAAAAGTTTTTCTTAGTTTTCAGGAGTCCCTGACCAGATCATTCACAGATAATTGAATTTCGCTCCTCAATAACCCAATTTATATGAAGACTCACATAAAAAGTAATTAAATATTGAGCTGTTAAATCTTGACATTCTATTTGAAAATATCACCAGAAATATTTTCCCCAAGGACAGGAATGTATAGGCAGAAAAATTAATTAACCTTGCATTATAAAACCAAACAGTGCTTCAGGATCAACAGCCAAACCTGCCTTTCTTTACATCAGCCTTTTGCAAAACCAAGCCATCTAATTAATAGCTGCTGGCCATAGTACAACAACCAAAATTGAGATGAGTTTGACTTTTCTTTGAAACATTAGCTAGAGGATGAAAGAGAAAATGAGATAATTTCTGATTTTTAAGTTGCCACATAATTGTTCAATCATGCACCTAAGTGTGTTTTGTCTATTTTAAATCAAATTTAAAAATATTCTGAAAACAGTTCGTTTATTTCATGACTGAGAACTTGTGATTGGCGGTTGAGATGTGAAGTTACTACATTAGCTAATATAATTTATGACATCTGTTTTGCGGAATATTTGAAAGAGTGCTAGTTTGTATTGTTTGGATGAAAACCAGACCATGCAGTTAACAGGAAAAAGGGAATATTAAGTGTAATGATGAGTATAATGCTCTAAACAAATTTATATACCTCAGTTTATTTCATAAGGTTTTGGTCTAATTCAGTCAGTATCACTTATCTGCTCTGGGTAGACCACGTAGGAATTCAGGGAGAGAGCATATAAAAGTAATAAAATGGAAAATGTAATGTCAGAAAGCTTAAAACTAGTCAGTTTGAAAAAAATCGGTTGACTAAAAAACAAAGTAAAAGCTGATTATTATATAAAATAAATACTCAATGATTTGTATATTTTCTACAAGAAAGAGTAAACTTTAAATCATTGAATTACCTAAGTCATTCAAGTCATTTACTTCCTACCCGTTAAATGCCAGACACTGTGCTTGCCATTAATAATATACAGTAATAACAAATAAGGGTAACATAAAAGTATTCGCTGTAAGAGATTTGTAAACTTGCAGATAAGAAAGGTGATGAAATAATAATAGAAATCACATGTTTATGTAAATTGAATTAGGTGGGATAAATCATGAACAACAATTTTGAGAAACAGGTGAAACCAAGTTGCATATGGGAGGTGGGATAAATGTGATGTCATGGAAAGAGAAAGCACTTAGGCTGAAGGAAGTAAATGGATCATATTTCATTGAGGTCAAAACATTTTGCTTGGCTGGATTTGGGGCAACAGGTAGGGGAAATAGAGACAAATAGGCTAATAAGCTGAAAAATATTTAGTGAATTGCTCTCCAAATGAAATTATTGGAAATCATTTCTTTACTAAGACTCCTTCCCACTTACTTTCTTTAAGCAATGATGTGTGAAGTGATGCCCACGATTAATGAGGACACCCCAATGAGCCAAAGGGGGTCCCAAAGCAGTGGCTCGGACTCAGACTCCCATTTTGAGCAGCTGATGGTGAATATGCTAGATGAAAGGGATCGTCTTCTAGACACCCTTCGGGAGACCCAGGAAAGCCTCTCACTTGCCCAGCAAAGACTTCAGGATGTCATCTATGACCGAGACTCACTCCAGAGACAGCTCAATTCAGCCCTGCCACAGGTATGCTTCCTGGTAGCCTTTGTTTCTCCTATTGTAATTGAACATTTGTTAAGATTCACTTTACTCCCATTCTTAATGTTACTTTTCCACTTAACATATGTGATACACACGTTTTGGTGAGAACAACTTAGGAATAGATGATTAGTTCACTTGAAACCTTGCCTCAAACAAAATCATGGACTACTGATGGTGGTTGGGGGTTTGTGTGAGAAGCAAGAGTTCTTATCCAGTCTTTGTTAAAAATTGTATTTATGTGTTTTAGGGAGGTAGAAAACCACTTGTGGATCAGCTTTTAATGACCAGAATGTGGAGATAGTTTTATCTTTCTTACCTTTTAAACACAATATTGACATTTGGAAATATGTATTTTTCATTTTCAGTTGTGTGGTCTTTGAAAATGACCGTACTTTGGAAGTCTCGTGTCCAACTATTGTTTTTTTTTTTTTAAATGCCTAATATCTGCTTTAAAATTCTTGGAATTACTAATATATTATCCTCTCCCTTGGGAAAAAAAAACACTTTAACTGGTTTCTTTTTATTTTTAAAACATTTTGAAGATTGGTGAAAGGGAAAAAGTTAAGCCTCACTAACTTAACGTTGTTAGCTATATTTAAATATATTTCTGTCAATCTTTGTATTTTACAGAAAAAAAAAATCCTAAGATATTTTAAGAACTGCCAGCCTATTTATATACAAAGTTAATGATGAAAGTCAATTTACTTGTTTAAGAAACTCATAGGCTGGCCGCAGTGGCTCAGGCCTGTAATCCTAGCACTTTGGGAGGCCGAGGTGGGTGGATTGCCTGAGCTCAGGAGTTCGAGACCAGCCTGGGCAACATGGTGAAACCCCATCTCTACTAAAATACAAAAAATTAGCTGGGTGTGGTGCCATGCGCCTGTAGTCCCAGCTACTGGGGAGGCTGAGACAGGAGAATTGCTTGAACCCGGGAGGCAGAGGTTACAGTGAGCCAAGATCACGCCACTGCACTCCAGCCTGGGACAGAAAGAGACTCCACCTCCAAAAAAAAAAAAAATGAAAAGCATAATTGTGCCTCTTTTAGGTATGAGAAGAAACATAAAAATGAATGGGATTTTTGATACTCACCCCCATTAAACTAAAACTTTCTTTTAAATACAAGGTTGATTGGCCCGCTCCTTAAAAGACAGTATACTAAATGTTAAAGAGTTGAATTCTCTCCACAAAGTTATGGCTTGTAGCAAAGATATCTTTATAAATATTGAAAACTATATATTCAAAGTTGATAAAATTCTAAAGCTATCTGTACTATTAACTCATAGAGATATTTATGACTCTCAAAATGGAAAGGATCACTAAGAATCCCCTGTCACATCCTGATAGGTAAACCCATAACCCTGTGTGAATAACTGCCATTCTAGTCCTTTTCGTTTTCAGGCAGTTTATCTTGTATTGAGATGAAATAATGTTTTTAATAACTCTCACTTCTTGGTACCCTGGTTTGTGTCATCACACAAAATGTTTTGACTCATTTCAAAAGGCAGCTAGATAGCTACACCAAATATTATATTTTTTAAGGAAAATATTTTAGTCTTTGCAATTGCTCTTCATAAGGTGATTTCTAGAACTATCACCATCCTGCTTACTCTCTTGGAGGATTATTTGAGTTAGTTAATTCTCTTGTTAAAGTGGTCCCAGAACCAGTCACACTCTTCCTTATCTACTGTAACAAGTGGAAAATGGGGCAATCATTTCTTCTTCTGGATACAGTGTTTCATTAGTTTACACTAGGATTTTATTATATTTGGAGACAAGTTCAACATACCTTCAATGTGTACTGGGACAGCAGTCAACTGAAGTTTCTAATTGACTTGCATAGATGCTGCAGTGTGTTCCCATTTCCCTTCCACTCTTCTTGGAAGTTGATTCTGATCCTACATGTAAGACTGCATGAATCCCTCTTACATTTGTCTTTCTAGATTTTATTCAAGCTTGAAGTTTTCAGTTTAAATCCCAATCTTACCAAAATACATCTGAAAGTAATTTGGATTTTTAAATGTTTCCTCTTCTGTAAAAAAAAGGTGACTATTTTACTTAAAAATGTTGTAAAAATAAAGCACTAGAACAAGATACTTCAGGAAAAAAAGGAGAAAACTGAAAAATATTTTTATACGTAACTGATTGTGGAGGTAAATCTCTTTGTAAAGGTACAAGAATGAAAATGTTTTATTTCTAGCTATTCAATTGTATGGAGTATCTAAATTATGATTGCCTTTAAAATGTTAAGTTTTAATTTTTAAATATACTGCCCAGCCTTTTATCTAAATCCCTTGGGACCAGTTATGTTTTGGAGCTCAGAAGTTTTCTGGTTCTCTCTCTCTCTCTTTCTCTCTTACTCTCTGTTTCTTGTCTCTCTCTCTCTCTCTGTATATGTGTGTGTGTGTGTGTGTGTGTGTGTGTGTAGCATATTATAGAACAATCCTCCTGAAGGACTATGGGCAGCACCCATATTTCTGAATATTTCTGAAATTTTTCTGAAGATAATTCTATGAATATTCCTACTGCATGGTAAAAAAAAAAAAAGACTGTAAATAGTCTCATGATAAGTATAGGTCTGATTTTCCCACCCGTCAAATTCATTACATATTCACAAATCAAATATCAATTTCAGAGTGTATGGATTTTGGAATTGTAGATTAGGGATTATGAGCCTATACATTTAGATGGCTATAGTTCCATTCTAAATTAAAAATACTTTGAGGATATCTTTTTCAATATCAATTTGTATGTTGCTATTATAAATATCTGAGTACCCCTAGAAATCCACAGGTCCTTAGACAGTGATAATCATCTTTTTTTTTTAAAGAAAGTGTTTAATAACCTACTCTGTATCTTTAGGGCTATAAGTTTTCTATAAGTAATAGAGGAATATTCTTCATCAATTGCTATTGTTGAAACTTTATGAATATTTTGTAAATAATGTGCCACTGTTTGGTGGCATTGCACTTGACATTTAGCTGGAAGGTGAAAATAACTACCATAAATGTGACTTTTGGGGCAGAAATAAAGCATGTAAAATTGAAAACCACTAGGGTAACAGAAAAATGAAAATTATTTCAGCAAACACAGGGTAGAATTGAAAGCAGAGATAAACTTTATGACATAGATGTCTTAAATTGCCTATTCAGTGCTATTAGGTCTTGGTGATTGGAGCTTTACTTTAGTCACTTTCTCTCCTATTATTTCTTTATAAAAGTATGCAACAATAATTTTTAACAATTTTAACCATGTAAATTATTTTATAGCTGTATTGTTTAGTTTTTCATTATGTCTTTGGGTATATCTGCGTTTAAAAAGTGCTGATAATTTCACATCATTCCACACCTCCAGGCCTGAAGTTTCTTAGCTATGCCCTCAATTATCTAACTTATTAATGCACAGATCCATTTTTATGTTCCACAGAACCTCAGATTCAACATGCTCCAAACCCAGTCATCATCTACCTCCAATTCACAACCTAAGTGTGCTCTAACTCCTTACTTAGGCACCTTAAGGGTCCTTATAGTTGGTGCTTTCTTCCTTCTCTAAATTCAGTCCTCAGTGGGCCACACTTTTTGTACCTCTTAAATAATTCTCAAATCTCTCTACTCTTCTGTTTTTCTTGGCACCTGACCCTGAAATTCTTTGCTGCATCTCCTAACATTTCTGGTGTTGTAAATATGTCACATTATATGCTTGAATAATACGACACTGTTTGGTGTGTCCCAGCAAACTCCATTCTTTTTCCTTCATTAATGTTCATCTCTCTACCTATAATGTTTTTCCTCAATGTCTTTGTCTGGTTAATTTCCCATCCCAGCCAAAAGTTTATCTCTTTCAGGAACTCTTTTCTGAACCCTAAGTACATTTGTTCTGTGTGCCTTACTCTTATCATTTATCATATTGTAATTAAATTGTCTGTTTATGTGCCTGTTCCCCAACCTAATCTATAAGCTCCTTGAGAAAAGGAGCAGATCTCAATAATGCAAAACCCTCTGAACTGCCAAAGTACTAGGCCCATAAAAAAGGCTTTTAAAGTAAATGGAGAAGTAAATATATGTGCATTTTGATGTAGAAAGAACAATAAACTTGAAATAGGAAGATCAGATTTGTACTGTGACCCAACTACACATCACCAGTTTGAGTCAGAACTTCAGATTTCCATGCTACAAAAAGTGTTTAATACTAACACCTCATAGGGTAACTTGTGATGATTAAAGAATATGAGGCAAATAAAAACTAATTAATGTATAAAAAATTAAATATGGAATTACTTGCATTTGTTTTATCCAGAATGCTAAAAGATGATCATTTCTATACATATATGTGAATAATCATTAGGATAATTAGAGTAATTTACTAGGAATATTGACAAAATAATCCTACACATTTTTGAGAATGGGGGAATAATTGTCAGTTATTAATATATTTGTTAAGAATGTTTGGAGAAGAGGTAAAGGGAATGTGCTTCCTGTTGCAAAATGTCATATGTAGAAGTTTAAAATTTGTTTTCATCACCTTTTTTAGCATACACTGAGGGTCCACTGTGCATTATTAAATAGCTACATATGTTTGTAAAGGGGATGGGGAAAAAAGTTTGGCTCTCAGACAGTTTAGGGAATAGAGTTGCTTGGAAAAAATACATAAATGGGCCCAAATAAATATAGTACTGGAAGATTATAGAAGTACTGAAAGTATTTGAACTATGAAGTTGATATGTGATTCACTACAAAAAGTTTCATGTGGAAAGTGATATTAAAGAGGTATTTTTGAGAAACGATTGGTAAAGATTCTGAGATATTCCATGTGGGGCAGGAAAGTTGTGCAGATAGAACTTTGCTGAAGGACATATGGGAAACCAAAATTCAGCATATGCTGTGCTTCCCAGGCTAGGCTTAGGGTCCCTACTTTGTACAAAGAAGACTCTTTGGGGAATCTTGTTTGTTTAGTTTTAAAAGATTAAATAGCAATCAATAATGAAAAAAAGATTTGTTTGATGAAAGGTTATAGGATGAAAGTGAAGTTCTATATAGTGGCTGTGAAGCGTAGGCTGTTATTATGTGTGGTGCAAAATAAAGACAGGAATTTCTATGTGGTATAATCTGGAGAATTTGGGGTGAACTGATGACCAGATCATGAAGAAAAATTATTTTACAATCTTGATTTTGGATGGATTACATAATATTCATCAGTTATCCATTGCTTAAATAATGCTATATAACAACACAAAAACCTCAATAACATACAAAAATATGAGTTTGTGGGATTCAGCTGATCTTGAATTGGCTGATCTTGGCTGGACTAACTTTATGTCACTGGCTAGCTGAAGGTTGGCTGTGTCAGCTTTATGTCAATTGGCTGTTGTCTGATTCTGATCCAGGACAGCCTTGGCTGAGCCAACTGGGGCCATTCACCTCTATGCCATGTGTCTAATCCTGTAATGGGCTAGCCCTGGCAGGTTCTCATGATCATGGAAGAGGAGTAAGAGCCAAATAGGAATAAGCAGATGCTTCTTAAACTTCTGCTTAAGTCATTTTTGGTAATGTCCCTTGGCCAAACCTAGAGAGAGTGGAAAGCAGAACAGAATTAAATGGCAAAGGGTATGGCTACAGGATAAATGAAACACTGGGATTATTACTGCAACTGACCTACACAAATGTTACTAAAAGAGTCATTTTGGTCATTTTCATGTTAGAGAAAGCTTATTGTGATAACCTTCTGGTGAAGTATGGAGATTTGAAATAGAAATGTGACCAGAAAACTAGAAAAGATAATTGAAATATAAAGACTATTGAAGAGAAAGAATGGTCAGGGATGGGTAATGTCCTGAATGGCCAAGGCTTTGGACTTGAGTCAGAAGATCTGAATTTGAATTGGGGCTCCTTCCTTTGTTAACTGGAGGACCATTGGAAAGTCACTTGATTTCTCTCAAACTCTGTTTCCTTAATTGAAAAGAGTAAATAATATCTACCCTTAAGAGTGATTGAAAGGAGGTATGAGAATGTGTTTCAGAAACCCTGAGCATTTTAAAATACCAGGTTTTTATATGTATAATTTGGGATGTGCTGGTGTACATCTTGATGAGAAATTAAAAGAGGCTACTTATGGAGGACATATATATCTTTTGACATTCTAAAATTCAAACTATTTGAGTAAATCTTATAGAGAGCAACAGATTATGCCCTGACAGCCCTTTTATTCTGAATGCATACTACCTAGGTATAATTGGACTTGCTACTTACTAGCTCAATAACCTTGGTCAAAGTGCTTACTTCAAATAATAATAGAAACTGCCTCATAAGATCGTTATGAGGAACAAATGAGTTGGAATATGTCAAATGATAATTCCATGCCTTACAGGTAGTACATGCTCAATAAATGTTAAATGTAGCTATTGTTGCTGATATTATCATTGTAGATATTGTCATCATTATCTTTAGCCAACCTTAACTGCACAATTTTACTGGGTAATAATGAACACTAGCACAAATTGAGAGCATTAAAAATCCTTACTCTCTTCAATCTTTATCAAATTTTAAAGGTATTTTGATTTATCTTTTTAAAAAGTTCTTAACTAAATTTTCCTAAATTTTCCACTTCCACCATGGCCAGTCACACATGTCCCTTGATTACATCAAACAACATCCCTTCCTATTGTGCTGCGATTATAACTGAATTTAGCTCCTTTGTTTTTTGTGAAACCTAATACCAGCACACTGTTTTATCCCTTACCTGTAAAAGAGAAGCATGCTCCATCTTTTACCTCCTGTTATAGCCATCCTATTTTCTTAATGTGTATTTCTCTCTTCTAGTTATTTTTTCTTTTGGCCAAATAAAATATCTGCTTGCTTTCTGTATTGCTCATTGCTTCTTTTTCTTTTTTTAACCCTTGCAATCAGGCTTCTATCATCATTGTTTTCCTAAAATAAAGTACACTCATATATGTCACCAATATTTTGCAAATCTAGTGATGCTTTCATATTCTCCATGTCCCTTGAATTCTTTGTGTTAAGCAATGCTATTAATTATTTCATGTTGAAATTCCCATGCTCTTAATTCTCCATAAACATTCCCTTTCTAGGCTAGTAGGTATGTTGTCCTTCAATGCTCATTATTTTCCTCCCACACACTTACCCATACCCATACTTGTCTTCATTTACTTACATTCTCCAGTCTTAAGCATTGCCCTTCTGGTATATGAATATTTATCTCTAAATCCCTGAACCCTCCCTTTTACCTCCTCTTTTGATTATTGTTTCCCTCTGTCTCTAGTGTCTTCAATTACTTTTCCTCTAAGCTGGCTATTTTGCAAGATGTTCAAATATATTTCTTAAAATTAAAATGATGACAAGTACAATTAACAACAAAAAAGTCCCTTGACTCTGTGTTTCCCTTTAGTTTTCAACTTATTTTTTCTTTTTCTATAAACTTATTCTCCAAGTTTATTCTCCAGACTTGCTCTCACTGTCTCAATTTTTTCGACTTCTATACTGCAGTCTGATTTTTCCTCTAACTCCCTGTTCAGAATGTTCGCTATCACCAATAACCAATTAATAATTGTAGTAGGTTTGTTTTATTTGACACTGCGCTTCTCCAAAAAAAATGGATAAATGAATCTTATCCCCTTAACTTTCATGATACCATACTCTTTTAGTTCTTAAATATTTTGTTTTATTCCTCTCAATTTTTTTCTTGTGGCCAATTCCTTATGTAGTTACTTCTTAAGTGTTCAATAACAAAGATAAGATTAATTGTAATAGCTAACATTTCTGAACACTCCCGCTATGCCATTCAGTATTTTATTTAAGCACCCAGATATTAAAGTGGGAGTGTTTCCCTCTCTCTCTGTTGGAGATGAAGCTAATTAAGTGAGGCACAAGACTTTATTTGCAGGAGATGCTAAGATATAGTCCAACCAGTAAGTTTTGTCTTAACTCAAACTCCATATTTGGACTCTACAAAGATTGAGTTGGAAAAGCTAAAAGAGAAATACTTTTGTTTTGGAAAGCTGTTTGTTTGTTGTACATAGTCTACCACTCCATGTATGAGAAATGAGAGCAGTTCCTGCTCACCTTAGCCAAGTGAGAAGAGCTTCGGGAAAAACATTCAGAGAGCTTAACAGGTTTCCTTTAGAGAGTAAAGGATATAGAGTCTAAAATCTAAAAGCAGCCACAGTGGCTGTGGATGCCCATATAGCAGATGAAGGAGTTTCAAGGCAGGCAAGTCCTCATAGTTCTCCAAGGTCAAGAAAAAGGTTGGCAATGTTTGAAGAGCAACTGCGGTCCTCATGAGGGGAGCTTGCTTAGGGTTATCTTAAGCCCATAGGTGAGTATACTCGCAGAAGCCCAGGTTCCAAGGTGGTGAATTATGAGCAACAAATTTGGAGGATTGATTCCAGAGAAGAGAACAGACAGAGGGGTTCTTTGAGAATGCCACAGATGCACTCCAGAAGAAGAAGAAAAAAAAGGTCATTGCTTCCACATTTGCCATTCCAGAAGTCCCAGACAGTGGTGACACAAGGGTCAGCCACATGCCACTGTGGTCTTTCCCCTCCAAGTTTCTTTTCACAGGCCCTGAGTCTGAAGTGGTCAGAAACAGTTGCTGTGAGTGGGTGAAGTGAGAATAAAGAGAGACCACCAGACTCCTACCCTCCAGTGCAGACTTCAGGGCTTGAAGTAAGCCTGAACCAAGTGTAAGGGGAGAAACTTTAGGTTAGATGGGACCTTAGGGCTGTGTCTCTTTTATAATCCTATTTCAAACCAAAACTATAAAATCATTAGTCTAGACTAGACTTTTTCATTATAAAACAAAAGATAATTAATTTATTGTCTAATCATGCTAGAGAAGCTAGGACGGCTGTCTGAAATTTTGTTTCATATTAATTTCTTAACCTGAGGGAATCAGAGGAGATAAAATGGTTACTAAATTCAGCTTATTCATTAAACTGGGTAGAGGTATCATCTCAATTAATATTCCGAACATTCCAATGAGGCTGTTGTTATTACTATTCCCATTTTGCAGATAATAAAACTAAGGAACAGAGAGGTTAGGTAACTTCTTCAGCACCACACAATTTGTAAGTGGTATTCACCAGGATCCCATTAATGACATACTTTTGTTTTTACCCTGAGCCCTCTTCTTCATCTTGTTATGTTCATCTAGATTAAAAGAAGTATTAAAGTCCTCTGGAAACCCTGTTTAAAAGACATGGACAATAGAAAGCATTTCTTGTGGCTGGGCGCAGTGGCCCATGCCTGTAATCCCAGCACTTTGGGAGGCCAAGGTGGGTAGATCACCTGAGGTCAGGAGTTTGAGACCAGCCTGGCCAACATGGTGAAACCACGTCTCTACTGAAAATACAAAAAAAATTAGCGGGGCATAGTAGCAGGCACCTGTAATCACAGCTACTTGAGAGACTGAAGCAGGAGAATCGCTTGAACCCGGGAGTCAGAGGTTGCAGTGAGCTGAGATCGTGCCATTGCACTTAGCCTGGGCAACAATAGTGAAACTCTGTCTCAAAAAAAAAAAAAAAAAAAAGAAAGCATTTCTCATATTTCTCATGACTACCTCTAAGTTTTAGTAAGGCAAACAAATTATTATTAATGAAATTTGAAATGATTGTTAGAATTCATATAATTATACTGAATTTAATTACTTAAGGATCCCCAGTCTAATATTTATGATACTATAAATTTACCTTTTTATGCACTGAGCATATTTTATAGACTATAAGATCCATTTTATCAGCCAGAAACTGTAGGTTACATGAAAGGGTATTTAACTAGAAAGTAGAACACTTGGATTTCAGCTTCAACTTTTGCTAAAACCTGTGACATTGGAAAACCACTGAACTTCTGAGGTTTCTATTTACATACATACAAAAGAATTTACTATTTTCTATTGTCTTACATACAAAAGAATTATAGTCTCTCTAATCTGTTGTATTATTTTGCTAATTTTAAATGATTATGAAGGGCAAACATTTTAGATGTATTAATTTTATCATAACCATTTCATAAATAATTACTATTTATTCAACAAATACTTTAGGGCCTATTCTGTGTCAGGTTCTATGCTTATGGCATAGAGTTGCTATCTATATTTTATTTTATCTTGTCAATTATGGTTTCTAGGAATATATAATGGCAAATAAGAAGGCACTGCCTAAATTCTGCTGGCTGTCACATGTATTTGTAAATTCAGTGAAACTGGCTGTTATTTTTAGTGATCTTATTGCCTTTTATCCTCTACTGTGATGAACTGTACATGTTCCTAGAAAAGGTCAACTTTTTCCCTTTTGTTCTAGATCTCATCCCTCCTTGCTATTCCTGGACAAAACGTTTGCATTATTTTTCCTACATTATGAATTGGTCCATCTCTAATAAATTATAACTGAAAGCATTAAAATATGTACCTACATTTCTCTTTTTTTTTTAAAAAAAGCTATTAACACCCCCCCACCACTCTACCAAGATGCCACCCCACCATTTATCTTTCCCTTTACAGCAAAAGTTTTTTTTTTTTTTTTTTTTTTTTTTTTTTTTTTGAGACGGAGTCTCACTCTGTGGCCCGGAGTGCAGTGGCACAATCTCGGCTCACTGCAACCTCCACCTCCCGGGTTCAAATGATTCTCCTGCCTCAGCCTCCCCAGTAGCTGGGGCAACAGGCATGTGCCACCATGCCCAGCTAATTTTTGCATTTTTAGTAGAGATGGGGTTTCACTGTGTTAGCCAGGATGATCTCCATCTCCTGACCTCGTGATTGACCCACCTTGGCCTCCCAAAATACTGGGATTACAGGCGTGAGCCACCATGCCCAGCCTTGTTTGTTTTTTTAATTGGCTACGTCTGTTCTTATTTTTCTCCCCAAATTTTCTCTTGAATCAACTCCTGGGTTCAGGCATTCAGCCTGAATTCACCCTGAGTGGAGTGGATTTAAGAGAACATGAATTTAGATCAACTTCATCTAAACTGCTCTGTGAAGATTAGCAATATCTCCCACATTGCTAAATGCAACGGTCACTTCTCAGTCTTTATTCATGCTTACTTTATCAGCAACTTTAGACAGTGGATCCCCCTTCTTTCTTGAGACACTTACCTCATTTGGCATTAGGATAGCCCACTTGCCTGGTTTTCCTCCTTTGTTTTTGGCCACTTTTCAGTCTTTATTATCGTTCACTTGCCATCTTCCTGGCATCTTAATGCTTGATTACTCCAGGGCCAGGATCCTGAACCTTGTCTTTTTCTATCTCTATTGACACTATTGATAATGTCATCCATCTGCTGGCTTTAAATATCATCTAAATGTTGATGACTTCAGAATTTTCACCTCTTCTCCAGACATTCTTTCAACTTTCAGACACTTATTGTCTAACGTGTACAAAACTGAGTTCATGATCTTCACTTAGTCTTTGACATCTCAATTAATAGCAACATCAATCTTCCATTGGCTTAGGCCCAAAACTTCAGTGTTTTATTTCTTCCATATTCTCTGTGCAATCTAGCAGCAGTCTCTCAGTGTTTCCTGCAAAGTATGTGCAGAATTGAACCACTATAAGTACCTCTGCAACTCCATCCTAGTCAGAGTCACCATCTCTTACCCGAATCAGATGAAATTTTCCTAACTGTTCTCCTTGCTTGTGTCCTTGTAGCTCATCGATATAATTCAGAGCCATAAAAGAGATTCTGATTCGGATAAAAAGTAAGTCAGAGTTTGTTTCATATCTGCTCAAATCTCTGAAATAACTTAATGTCTTAATGGAAAAGCCTAGGTCTTTAACCAGGCCTACAATGTTAACATTTGCAATTCCCCTTTACCTATCTGATAACATATCTTACTGTTTTCCAGCTCACTCATTCTATCCCACCATCCTGGTGTTCTTGCTGTCCAACGGGTCAGGGATTCAACTGCCTTAGGGACTGCTGCGGCTGCTCTCTAGGCTTGGAAAAGTTGTCCCCTAAATAACCATATGGCTTGCTTTCTTTACCTTTTCAGGTCTTTACTCAAATATTTATTTAGTAAGGCCATGCCTGATCATCCTGCTTAAATTTATGAAATTATTACATCCCTCTTCCTCATACACCCAACCTCTCTTCTCTACTTTTCCTCCAAAGCACTTATAACCACCTAGTATAGTGTATATTTTATTTCTTTATCTTACTTTTCTCTTTCTTCCTCCATTGGGCTCTATGCTCTCTGAGGTCAGGCAGGGGTGTCCAATCTTTTGGCTTCCCTGGGCCACATTGGAAGGATAAATTGTCTTGGGCCACACATAAAATGCAATAACACTAATGATAGCTGATGAGCTAAAAAAAAAAAAAAATCACCAAAAAAATCTCATAATGTTTTAAGAAAGTTTATGAATTTATGTTGGGCTGCCTTCAAAGCCATCCTGAGCCACTTGTGGCCTGTGGGCCCCAGGTTGGACAAGCTTGAGTCAGGGGATTCTTTTATATTTGGTTCATAGCTGTATTTTCTGTCTCCAATATCTAGCATTTAGCTGGAGTTTAAAAAAAATACTAAATAAATGAAAACAAAGATTATTCTTTTTCTTGTTGTGTACATTCTCCATATCTACTCTATGCTTGTTTAGCAAATCATGCAATCATAAAAAAAAAACTATCATATATTAAAAATCTTAATGAAAACAAGAAAACAAATATAATTCATCGAGCCTTATGGCTCAAGTGTCTACAACACGAGTGTCATTATGTATGAGACCAGCATTAATGCTGCACCTCAAATCCCCTTCAAGAATGAAGTGGGTTTTATATCAAGAGGTGGTGGTGACATTTTGAATATGTTACAATCATAGCACTGAGGTCAGAATGTATATGATTTGCTTTGAAGGAATTTTTAAGAGATATTGACACAATTTCTGTGGATTTGAAATTCCATTTTTTTCACATTCTTCATGTTTTTTCACTAAGGAATTTATTTCTTAAACTAAGCCACTTTTGACACAAAAAAAAGTGTATGAATATTTATATGACTTTATAATACTGCTACCACTATTTATTATCTATATCCGACTTTCAGTTTGTGGAAGGACAAAATGAAAAGTAGAATATTTTGATTAGTTTTTCACTTTGGAATAGTTTATATTTGAATTATTCTATTTTTTTTTGGCCTGCTCTTATTGTTATTCTGTCAGAAGGAATGATACCAACAGAAAAATAGTCATTAGTATTATCAAGATGAGTTTCTATTTAACCTGAGATTTTTTGCTAAAATTTATAGTCTAATTTGTTGTACTTAATATTAGCATGTTTATGATTCATTTATTTTTATGAATCTTTGATGAGAAATTCTATATGCAGTAACAGAAACACTGAAATTCACACTATTTACTTTTCCTGAATAGTTCACTTCAGAGCTTTACAGCTTGAGGGTAAGGTAGCAACAACCATCACGATTCCTCAGTTTGTGAAAAGGAGAGTTTAGAACTGTGGTTGTGGACATCTTCTTTTAAAACATGACTATCACACTCTAAGTAGATCACACACCTTTGCATTGATCTCTGCAATTAAATCAGTTTACAAAATAGTATCTCTGAATTAGCTAAGGCTGCCTGGCTCTTAGTAAACCCTTACTACTTGCTGTTTGATTACTTAAGAGTCATAACAATTAAGTTATTTAAGAAAAGATTCATAGGCCAAACGTACATAGGGCTTGAATTTTAAGTTACAATTTGCATTGCAATCAGAGTTTTATTTGTGACACTGATAATTTAAAAAATACTCATAATAAGGCTCTACTATTTTCTCTCAAATATGATTAAATTTATTGAGTAAGATTCTGAATGACTGGCAATTTCTTCCTTGGGCCTTGAATTAGAACAAATTTCCCCAAAAATGAATATTTTAAATCATTTTTGCTTTTCAAAAAGTGAGATTGTTGGCCCTGGAACTTGCAATAGGTGCTACAGGAAGAAAATGAAATCTCATTGCTCTTGGCTCCCAGCTCTGCTTTCCCTCCTAGGTCAAGAAGCCCCAGGTTGTCTTCCAGGCAAGTACAAAGACTAATAGTTATTCCTAAGATATTTGCCAGAAGAAGGTTTCTGTTTTGAAGAGGTTTTTGTTTTTGTTTTTTTCTTTTTTAAATCTATAAGCCCATGTTAATATTGATGTTACCTGGAAGAAATTGTTTAGGAATTTATGTGATTAGAATTTGACACTATCTTGTTCTATGTACGGTAAATTAATTTTCATGTATTATTCTTACCTATGATTTTCTCTTTTTATGTCCACTTTTAGTGTAATCTGCTTCAATTAAGATATGTGATATAGTTCAAAATTTTTTATTAATTCTTATAAGAGTTTATAAGATGCATTGATATGTTGCTGATCGATAATAGATTAATTGACCAAGTTTTTTTAAAAAATTGGTAATTGAATTGAAAGTTTTCCCTGATAAGAATATTATTTCATGATCTATTTCTAAGATAAAGGAGATAAAATCAGTTCTAAATATCAAAATTATATTATCTTTGTTAATTTTGTATATAGAAAAGTTTATTTTAAAATGCTTATAAAAAGGTTATTTAAAAGTTATGTTAGCCAATTGTCTGATCCATCATGCTATCAGAATACAGTACTATGAACTATATTCCATCTGGACAAATAATCTGTGGCAGTTGATGTTGCTTGAGTTAGAAAATCTCTTCAGCTAGTATTCCTTTTATAGAAAATGTGACTTCTGAAATCATAAGTTTTAGTAACTGTCAAATATATTTAATTTGTTTTTTTAAAAATGTAACTTCATTTTGCATTTCCACATCTAAAGTTCTGTGTTAGAATAATAACAAGTTTTATTGTCTCATGCTATAATTATAGAGTTTCTACTTCTTGCAATTCTTTTATTTTTAGCATATATTTTGAGGCTGCTATCAGTTTTATTTGACTATATCATATGTATAACTTCGTGGCCAGTTGAGCCTTTTATCATCATGAAGTGACCCATTTATTTCTGGACTGGTATTTTCCCTTGAATTCTATTTAATCTGATTTTATTACTAGTAGTAATAGTATTAGAGCAGATTTCTTTTCTGTTAATGTTTGCATTGTGTGCCATTTCTATATTTCTAATTTCAATGTGTCTGTGTTCTTATATATGTTTCCCACAAATAATAAACAATTTCTGAATTTTATTTGTATGCAGACTGATAATCTTTCTCTTTAAATTATTTGGTATCTTTATAATTACTGTAAATACTTGTATATTTGTATTTAGTCTACTATTTTACCAAGGGATTTCTATTTTTCCTATCCTGTGTTTTTTTTTTAAATCAACCTTTCATGCCACCATTTGAATTGCATTTTTTTCCTCTGTTATCTAGAAGTTTTACACTCTTGCTATTCTTTTGCTAACCTACAAATTACAATGTGCATCCTTAGCAAAGTGTAATGTTAATGTATACTTTCCCTGCCTTATACTTCCATGTGTAGGATGTGAAATATATTATTATATTTTTATCAGGCAATATTCCTTTAGATTTATTCACATGTATACCATTTATGTTACCAATTATTCTTTCTGGATCTCATTCTTTCTGGCTTTTCATCTGGGATCATTTTTCTTCTACTTGAAAAATAAACTTGAATATTTCTTTTACTGTACGTCTGCAGATGAGTAATTTTTCTGGTTTAAGTTTTTCAGAAAATATCTTTACTTCACCTTTATTCCTGAAAGGTATTTCTACTGGAGATAGAATTTTACGTTAGTGGTTATTTTCACTTGGCACTAAGACATATTATTTTATTCTGACTTTCATTGTTGCTGTTGAGAAGGCAGGTGTCAATTTAATTGTTTCTTCTTTGAGAGTAAACTGTCCTTTTTTTTTTTAATCTTTTTGGCTGCTTTAGAGAGTTTTCTTTACAAGAAGTTTTACTATAATGTACTTAAAACGTATTTGTTTTTATTTTCCTTTTTTTCTTCTTAGTGTCCATAGAGATTAACATTGTGACTTACTGCCATTTATTGGTTTGGAAAAATATTTACTTTTGTTCAGTAAATACTGCCTCATCACATTCTGTTTCCCCCCTCATTTTGGAATGCCACTTCCTATATGCTAGTTCTCACTTTATTTTCTATTCCTCTTACTCTTTCTTCTATATTTTCCATCCCCTTATTGCTCTGTGATTCATTTGGAATTTTATTTTTGTACTGAAATTTTAGTTCACTAATTTTCTCTGCTGTTTCTAATTTGCTGTTGAGTCTATATATTTAATATTTTGTTGTGATTACTATCTTTAAACATTCTTTTCCATTTGTTTTGTTTTTAATTTTGTTTAACAGTTGAAACATGGCCATTTTAAGTCTTTCTGCTAACTTGAATATGAGGAATTCCTTTTATCTGTTTCATTTGTCTTTTGGTGAATTATTATTCATTTTTGTCAAGTTATATCATGTACATTGTTATTTTTGACTGTGTGACAGTCATCTCATTTGTAAAATCATCAGTGGAAGTCATTTTAGTTCTAGGAGAATATTATCTTCATCTAGAGGGAACATTTATTTTTTTTGGCCAGATGTCTGGAAAAACAGTGATCTTAATTACCTCAATCCAGATAATCCCTGGGAAGATCTGTCATCCAGGGATTATTTCTTCTAGGGTACAGTTCTTAGGAGTCTCACCTCCAAGTGAGGAAGATTCATTAAGGCTACTGCATCTTGAAAGGACTTGATCTCAATTCCCATCTCTTCAGCCTTGTGAAGTTGCCAAATGTGCTGAGCCAGCCTCTCCTTTTTCCACAACTAGGGAAAAAGCAGGTCGAAATGCCTGAGGGCTTAGTTTTCCCTAGATCCCAAACTCTAAAATCTTCACTGTTTTTTTTTGCCTTTATTAATTCACTTCAAAAGTGAATTAAAATTTGTTTAAAAAATTACCCAATTTTTCTAGTTGTTCTTATCAATAGAGCTGGTCCCAATTACACAGTCTGCCATTCCTGGAAGAAGTCTGCAACTTTAATAAGCACGATAAATGTAGTAGCCTGATACCAGCATGGGCAACAAAGTGAGACCCCCTTCTCTACAAATTATTTTTTAAATGAGCCAAGTGTGGTGGTACATGTCTGTAGTCCCAGCTGCTGGGGAGGCAGAGGCAAGAGAATCCCTTGAGTCCAGGAGTTTGAGGTTACAGTGAACTGATCACACCACTGCACTCCAACCTGGGTGACAGACAGAGACTTTGTCTAAAAAACAAAGAAAAGATAGCTTAAAATGATTTTCTTAAAATAAACATGTCCATTTCTATGACAAAATAAGCAGTTACCATTTTCAATTTTTTTTCTGGTGTACTCCTAGTCTTGTTATATATTCCTTTGAGTATTCTAGATGTCAGTAATTGTCCCAACGGTGTTGAAAAACTCTTACTTCCTCCGGCGTTTCCTCCTTCAAATGCATCCCCTTCACAGCTGCAGAGTTATCTGTTTAAAATACAAATCTGACTGTGCTACTGCCTTTATTAAAATCTGACTGTGTTACTGCCTTTATTAAAATGCGTCTATGTCCACAAATAAACCCAACAGAATGAATAAACCAATTCAGCAAGGTCACAGGATAAAAGATAAACATACATAAATAAATTGTACTTTGGTACAGTATCGAAGAATGATCAAAAATGAAGTTAAAACAACTCCATCTATAATAGCATCTAAAATAATGAAATACTTAAGAGTAAATTAAACAAAATACATGCAAGGCTTGTATAGTGAAGACTTTAAGAGAAATGTAAAAATATCTAAACAAATGTAGAGACATTCATGTTTTAAAATATTCAATATTATTAAGATGTCATATATGCCCAAATTTGTCTATAAATTCAACACAGTTCTATTAAAATGTCAGCAGCCTTTTATACAGGAAGGGATGAGGTGATTTTAATATTTATATAGAAAGACAAAGGACCAAGGATAATTAAAACAATCTTGAAAAACATTAACAAAATTGGAGAATTTAACATTTACTGATTTCAAAACTTACTCTAAAAGGACAGTAAACAGGTTAGTTTAAGGATAGACATATAGAGCAAGTATAATGATAGAGAGTACAAGAATAACCCCGTAGATTTATGGTCAATTGATTTTCAACAATTATACCAATTCAATGTGGAGAAGATAGTCTTTTCAACAAATTAGGCTAGGATGATTGGCTATTCAAATGCACAAAGACTAATTTAGAACCTTACCAAACATCATACACAAAAATTGACTCAAAGTGGCCCATAGACCAATATGTAAGAGCAAAACGATACACTCTGCAGAAGAAAATAATAGGAAAACATTGTTGAAACCTTGGATTAGGCAAATATTTCTTAAACATGGCACTAAAAGTACAATCCACAAAAAAAATTATAAATAGAACTTCATCAAAATAAAAAAAACTTATACTTCAAAATAGTAAGAAAATGAAAAATACTAAGATAACTAGGAGAAAATGCTTTCAAAACATATCTCTGTTAAAGGACATATATTCTGAATTTATAAAGAACTCTCACAAGTCAATAAGAAGAGGAAAACCCAATTAAAAAATGGGTAAACAATTTGCATAGACATTTCATCAGTGATGGTAAATAGATGTCAATAAGCAGATGAAGATATGCTCAATCTCTGTAGTCATTAGGAATTTCAAATTAAAACCACATTTCACACCATCTAGAATTTTTATAATCAAAAGATAATACCCAGAATTAGAGACATTGTGGTGAATTAAGAACTTTCATACATTGCTAATTGGCATGTAATATGGTACAACTACCATAAAAATAATCTAGTAGTTTATTTAATTAAAAAAATTTACTCCTAGAAATCTAACCAAGGGAAATGAAAACATATTTTCATGTATATCCTGTTCACAAATGTTCATAGCAGCATTATTCATAATAACAAATATCCCTCAGGTGGTAAAGAAAATATTGTGTATTCATGCAATGAAATGCTATTCAGCAATAAGTAACAAACTATCAGCACTACAACAAGAATGAAACTTTAAAAATCATCATGCTAAATGAAGGAAGCCCATCATAAAAGATTACATATTACATGATTCCTTATTCATGAAATACCCAGAAAAGTCAGAGCTATAAGATGGAAAGGAGATTAAAGTTTGCCTACGGCTGGAGGTGGGCATAGGAAGTGACAGCAAATGGGTAGGGATCTTTTTGGGAGACTTAAAAGTGGATTGTTGTGATGATTACACACCTCTATACATTTATTAAAATCATAGCATTCTACACTAAACACAAAGGAATTTTGTGATATGTAAATTATTTTTCAATTAAGATGTTAAAAAATAACTTTCCATGGCTCCCAATCACCTAGAGAAGTTTTCACAAGCTTGACTGAAAAGGAGAATTGCTCAAAGTGCTTGTTGACAATGACATCTTCTCTGGAAATTTTGATTTTATACTTTTAACAATCACCTTAGGTAATTCATAGAATTACATTTGTAAAATGCTAATCTGGAAAATAAATGATTAAGCTTCTTATTATGTCTTCAAGCCTGACCTCTAATCTGCCTCTCTCCCCCTTTGTATTCTTCTATTCTGTCACATAACTTAAAATACAAGTCTAAACTGGTTATTAATGATGGCTTGCTTAGTGTGATTGTATGCATTTTTTTTCTGCAAATGCAATGTAATCTCTCAGAGCAAAGAGATTTTTTCCTTATATGTGCATATCTTCCCAAACTACAAACACAGTGCTGTGTGAGCCTTTATTTAGACTCAACAATTGTTAGGTGTTTGAAGAGGTTCACCTGGGGTTAGAGACAAACTCCAACTGTGAGCTCCACAGCACCTATCACTTTCACCACAGCATTCTCAGATTTGGGCACAATATGCACCCTGAAATAGGAAACAGTGGTAATATGAGACCATGATTATCTGGGACAGGTGCTGATTATCTTCTGCATTCCTGTGCTCATTGGTCTTACACATTTTCAGAAGACACAGCCCTCAAATCAGAAGTTTTAAATAAAATATGTGTGTAGCAGGCACGTTATCTAGTTTATGAGAATACAAAAGATAGACATGTAGGTTATCCTGGTGGCAATGTAACATGTAGGTTACAGGATAAAATGTTGCTTATCCTGATGGCTTATAGAAACAAAAAAAGATGATGAAAAATGCTTCTCCCTTTCAGGAATGCTTAGCTTATTTGAGGTGACTGATGATTAAACCAATATTTACACTTCTATGTGATAGAAATATGACAATGATAGAAGTATGACAGAAAATGAATAAGAGCAAAGAACTCAGTGTAGTAGAATAGGAAGAAGCATCTGTTGATCAATATATTCATTGCCTCTTTAAATATTTTGTTTTATCTTCATAAGAGTTGTAAAAGCAATCTCTTTAATTCCATTTTATATATAGATAAAATCTCAGAAAAGTATGTTTCCTATTCTCACATTACTGGTAAGTGTCAGAGACAAGATTTAAATTTAAGATTCCCTCATTTTATTTTATTATTTTTTATTGTGGTAAGAACACTTAACATGAGATCTACCCTCTTAACAAAATTTTAAGTGCACAATACAGTATTAACTATAGGCTCAATGGTGTACAGCAGATCTCTTGAACTTATTCATACTGCATAACTGAAAATTTACATCCATTGTACTTTTAAAACGCAATCTTCCTTAAAGCATTTAAGATTTTAGAGTCAAAGAAAGTCAAGAACAAGGATTAAACACTTGATGCGTACTAGTTGCTTTATATTTCTGGAGAAGTTATTTAACCTAAAACCTAAAAAGAGAGATATTCTTAAGAACTATGTCTCACACTTTAAAACTGGAATTTTATGTACTTTACCATCATAAACTTAACCATAATATATATATTTCTACTATATAGAGACAATAAAAGATTGTTGTATTAATTTATAAAATATTTCAGTAATAAATTTATCAAAAATACAAGGCCAGACGTAACTAAGAAAGTTGTTTGCTTTTTACTGGTCTGCTCTAAGTTAATTTTCAACACAGTTTATAATACCTATTTTGGTGATTTTCTACTTTGAATTACATATTGACTGTGTTTAATTTTGGGTCTGTTCTTGGAAGTTGTTTCCTTGTACTGCTTTTTTTGTGTGCTTTGTAGAAAATATTCAAGTTTCTGCATCTATAATTACTTAAAGTTCAATTTAGGTCGATGGTCTTTATCATCTTTTACACTAAGAGAAAGATGCTATTCTCAAAATTAGAAGCATACTATATGTAATTTTATACACTGCATTTTCACTTAACATATCATGAGCAATTATCTATGTCATTAATTTTTTATTTCCTCTTTTTCCTTCCTTGATATTATTTTGCTTTTTTGCTTTGGCTGTTGAAATGGGTTTTGTTGCCTTTTCTCTTCTGCAGTATATGTAAGAAATACACATTGTTTGTAACTAAACTAGTGGAACCTGTTGTGTGTGTGAGTGTTTTTTTTTTTTTTTTAAAAAAAAACATCATCCATATTTCTTTATTTGGTATAATCAGGAAAGTAATCATTCCATCTTCTGGTCCAACATATAAAGAGGAAGAATTGAATACTTCTCTGTCCTTGCTCTTTTCCCCACACTGGACTTTCCAATTTGTATTAACATAAAGTGTTATTTATTATTAAAAACTTTTATGCGGTATTTTTACTGCAAAATCCAGTCTAAAGTTGCATTCAGATTTGAAATTAAGCTATTAGCAATTATTTAAATGCTATTAATATGTTCAATTTGAATGATTCTATCATTCTTGTAGTCACCATTTGTCCATTTTTATATTTTACATTTGATTTCATCACTTTGCCTGAAGGAATGTATTTCTAAGTAAGCATTTTAAGAAAGATATTTGAGTGGTGATACATTTTCTGAGCCCTTACACATATGATATTTTCTAATTACTTTATATATTGTCACAGTCCATGTTATATTCACATGTGTTTCTCATATCATCCTGTGACATAGGCTTGAAGAATTAACTTTCATCTTTTCATCATGCTTTCTTTAATACAATTATTTAGAACTCCCCACCCACCCCTGCACTGCTGACTCTTTAGTGACTAGAATCAGAACCAGAATTGATAGCTCATGTTTAAGAGCTTGCTGAACTCCAGGCATAGTTTTAAGGACTTTACATATATAACAAACTTAATCTGAACCACCATTCTATGACTAGAGGTACTATTATTATTCCCCTTTTACAGATAAGGAAACTGACATAGAGGGATTAACTCACCTTCTCTAGTTTGCAAAGATAGTATATGGCAGAGTTCCAATTCTACCCAAGGTTGTCTGTTTTCTGAACCCTCACATTAACCAGCACTCTAAATTGATATACTCATATAATGATATATCACTTTTAATACTATTTCAACCTTATATATTTTTAATTAACTGAAGTGTCTTTAAAAGCAAATGTTTAGATTTTTATGGTGAGATATAAGCACAGTAAGGCTCTTTTGTGAAACTTGAGACAGAAAATGCATTTGCTCGCAATGTTTGAAGTTTGGGTTTCAAGTTACCTTAACCCACTGAACCTCCCTGTGTCTCAAATCTTTATTTTTGAAAAGTAAATGAGACCCACATTCATAGCCAAGAGAAATTACAAAAAAAGTGCTAAACCTTCAGATTCAGGTATTTCACACTGTTATGTGCAGAAATGGAAAAAACACTGGAAAGTTACATTTCCATCTCAATCTCTCCAGACAGACCAGATATAGCCTTCCTTTAACTGCTGAGTTCAGACAAGAAAAGAAGAAAATGGGATGAAAGAGAACAAAGCATTTTGAACAGCCAGTGTAGGACCCATAGAACAGCATCCAAAACAGGGCTTCTGAAGACCAAGGCTGTGAGTTTCAACTGAGCCTTGTAGTAGGGTAGTGCGTAGCAGTGGAAGTGATGTTAGTGTGTGGAAGCTCTGGCAGTTGCAATAAGAGCAGCAGTACCAGGATGGCAGGAGCAACAGAGATGTAACAGTTTTAATCAAAAACTACTACATTTTTTAAATAGGGATTCTTCATTCTTTATAAAGGGTACTAATGCACCTAACTCAGAAATTTCTAGGTTTTTTTTTTGTCATAACAAGAACTCATTTATACTTTTCGTGCCTTCTAGACCAATTCTCATATAAACAACTATTACCCTGTAGTTAGATTAACTCAGGTTTAGGGTAATAACATTTAATTGGAACATGGTGAACTTTACATAAAATATTATTTACAAATTTCCTAATTTGTTATCTAACATATAGCAGACATATCAAGGTTAGTTGCTTTTCCATTTGAGGACAGAATAAATTCTGGTCCAAGTGTTTGTTTTGTGAAACCAGAAATAATAGCTCTGTGTCCCCACCCAAATCTCACCTCAAATTATAATCCCAATAATCCCCACATGTCAAGGGTGGGACCAGGTTGAGGTAATTGGATCATGGGAGTGGTTTCCCCCATGCTGTTCTTGTCATAATGAGAGAGTTCTCATGAGATCTGATGGTTTCATAAGCATCTGGCATTTCCCCTGCTTGCCCTCACTCTGTCCTGCCACCTGTGAAGAAGTTACCTGCTTCTCTTTTGCCTTCCGCCATGATAGTAAATTTCCTGAGGCCTCCCCAGCAATGTGGAACTGTGAGTCATTTAAACTTCTTTCCTTTGTAAATTACCCAGATTCAGATATTTCTTCATATCAGTATGAGAGCAGACTAATACACTTGGATTTGAATAGTTCTTAATATTCATTTAATTTAGCCAGGCTCAATTTATCATGGAAAATGGGTATATTCAAAATAGGAGCATAATGTGTAGAACTTTCTCTATGCAAAGGAGGAAAGGAACATATGGTATTAGTTTTCCTTTTGCTGCTGTAACACGTGATCACAAATTTAGTGGCTTAACACATTTATTATCTCACAATTCTGTGGGTCAGAAGTTCAGGTAGACCTTGAGCCAACTGGGTCTTTTGCTTAGACTCTCACAGAGCTAAAATTAAGGTGTCAGCAAAGGCTACATTCTTTTCTGACAGTTCTGGGGACAAATCCCTTTCCAAGCTCATTCCACTTGTTGGCTGAATTCAATCCTTGCGGTTGTGGAACTGAAGTCCCAGCTTTCTTACTGGCTATGGTGGGCAACTTTTCAATACCTTAAGTGGGCTGCATTCATCCTAATTTTTCCCCATCTGTCTTCAAACCAACAATGGTCTGATCAGTTCCTTCCCTTGCTTCAGATCTCCTTACTTTTCCTTCTGCTGCAGCTCTGAGACTCCAGCTGGAGAAATGTTGCTACTTTTAAGGCCTCAGGTGATTAGACCCATAATCCAGGATATTCTTCCTATTTTAAATTCCGTAACCTTAATTATATTTGCAAAGTTCCATTTGCTATGTATGTAACATATTCACAGGTTCCACAGATTACTGAGTAGATATCCTTGGGGGGCTGTTCTGTTTACCGCACTTGAGGCTACTTTTAAAAATATCTCCAATAATAAAGTATGTGCTGCATATCTGAAACTATTCACAATATCAAAGTCAGGAATTCACTGCAAAGTACAGTGTAGGATACAGAAAGACAATTGTTTTCAGTATGTCCAACGTTGTCACTAGGGCTTGATGCATTTCAAAAGTATCCAGAGGACTTGCTCTAAAAATAAATCCCGATTTCTTGAATGTTTTATCATTTATGAAATTTTTCTGTGTGACCATGGTTAGTGTGCCTTCTAAGTGCTAATTATTTAAATGAGTCCATTTATTCAAGTTCAGTGATGAAAATGCTAATGTAGTCATTCTAAAAATGTAGATATAACACTATTTGGACCCTATAAAAAAACAGATCTTTTGTTTCTCTTCCTAATTTTTTATTGTAATACTTATTTAAGTTAATAAAATTATTAACAGTTTTTTGGTCAAGGGTCCATTCACTTCCAAAACAATTTTGATATTTCGTAATGAAAGTGTCTTGATGTTTACATATATGTAGCCCATAATTGTACGTTCTTTTGGTATAAATATGTGGTTTTATTATCTTTTCAGAGTTGACTACAGATAGATGAGTTGAGAATTTCCTTAAAAATGTCCTTTCTTCCTCCATCCCATTTACCCATCTGTCCACCTATCTCTCAATACCATCTATCACATTGCTGAATTTTGTTAAATAGGTCAGAATGTTTTGAAATAAGTTTACTCTTTTTCTGGTAGTCACCTTAGAATTCTTTTTCTGGGTTATCAAATTCAACTGCTTTACTAAAAAGCAGTTTTAATGGCAAGGAAATCTGTCTTCTGCGTTTGTTCAATATTTTTTCTTGGTTCTGCAAAACAACAGTAATTTTATAACATTTTAAATGTTCTTATTTTTAAAAATTGTAATCTATAGGAAATACAAGGAAAATCTAGATATAGTTACAGAACAAACTATAGTTTTTATTAAAATTTAGATAATAGAAGCTGAGAGAAGGAGAGGGGGATAGCAAGTAGAAGGAAGTATAGTTGTACTAATTTTCTCATCTTGCACTATTTAAAATTATGCTGTAGTGGAAAATAACAGAAAACCTGGAAACATAAATGATTGAAAGTGGGGAGTGAGACTGAGCATAAAGATGTTTGGGGAAGGAAGATTTTTACTTTGTGTTTATATTGAATTATTTTTTGCCATTGACATTTTTAATATTATGTTTATGTGATTGAAAGTCATGACTATTTTAAATAGCCCTATAAGAAAAGATACTCTCAACCATTCTTAGCCTTTTTGCTCTTGGACTTGGTGGAGAGATATCAAATACAAACAACAAACAACCAAAAGTGAAGGCAATAGTCCAAACCAGCAGAGACTGTGTCAGCCTTTGGCAGTATTTTCCCATAACCTAATATCATTCCTTTGTGTTATTTCTTCTTATTGCATTAGAGTTGAATAGTATTCATTTACACATTCATCATATTAATCAACACATTTTATTATGTTCCTAATATGTTTCAACTTTGCATTTGTTTTAGTCTCCTTTGCAGTTAACAGTGAGATATTTTGTACACTATCTGATAGAACCTTATAAACCCGTGAAATAGAAATAGGTAGTAACTTCACCATGGATGGAAGAAATGAATTTTGGAGAAGTAGTTTTCACAGAGCCATGCAACTAGTACTAAGTGTCAAAACTGGAGATTCAGACATACTCAGCTAAGCCTAAATTGATTTTTCTCAAAATGTATTATATAAATCTCTTACATCAGGATCACCTGAAAGTTTCATAAAAAGAAAAAATGATCCTGGCTGTTAACTACTCCAGATCTATGAAAAAGAACATCTAGTAAAAAGGAGAACTTGTTTTTTTATAAACCACAGCCTCTCAAATGTTAATGTGCATCTCAGCTGGAGACTTTGTTAAAATGCAGATTCTGTTTCAGTAGGTCTTGGGTGGGGCCTTGGAGCCTTCATTTTTAACAAGCTCTCAGATGCCTCTGTTTGACTATTTGAGTAGCAAAAGTAGAGATCCCCAAAGAAACAGCATAGAAACAAGGAGAAATACTTGAACTATGTTAATAGGATTAAATGGCAATGAAATTATATTACTTTTCTATCATTCTAAGTTTTCTTCTTTTGATGGTTAGTGAAAAACTGTCTTTTGTAAATTAATGTTCGAAACAGCCAAGAAGTGGCGAACAGAAGAGCTAAATGAGCCAATAGAAAGTTAAATACAATTGAAAAGAATTTATTTCTGACTCCTAGTACTATGAATTCAGAAGGTGCTCATGAACCTTTAGTTATATAAATAAGCTTGTGATGGAGAAAAATAGCATTATTTTGATTTGATATGACATGGTCTGAAATGTATGGAAGGAACCCAGAATTCCTTGGCCTAATGCTTTTCAGGCACCATTAAATTGGGCTGCATCAATTAGCTTTTGCTAGAATATGTTGCCATAACAACAAAAGCCAAATCTCTGTGGTTTGCAACAAAAAAGATTTGTTTCTCCTTTTTGCACCATATTGGCCACCTTGGCTTTGGCTCTGTCCCACATGTCTTCTTTATTCTAAGACCCAGCTAAAAAGTAGCTTCAATCAGAGACATGCCATTCTTGAAGCAGTAGGAACTAAAAAGAGCAATTGGCAGGTCATTCAATGGTTCTCAGGGATTTTGTTGCATCACAGCAGTACTTCTACTTACATTCTGTTGGCCAAAGCTAAGCTTAAAGGCAATGGTGTGGAAAGC
The DNA here is from genome assembly GCF_000001405.40 of Homo sapiens. NCBI lineage: Eukaryota > Metazoa > Chordata > Mammalia > Primates > Hominidae > Homo > Homo sapiens. Next base: position 81,726,787 of record NC_000012.12, on the reverse strand, counting down.
TCACTTACCCCAGATGCAGATACTACAGTTCACACAATAAGAGGCAGGCCATATAATCTTTTTTGAGCGAATAGCAATACATGGGCCATCTGTGGGTTGTTTTGTTTTGTTTTGGTACTTAGTGGTAGTTTCTCTGTTGATTTGAATTGTTTGTAATTCTAGGGAAGGTGATTACTGTTTTACATTAGAAACTTCTCAGAAGCAAAGCTGGTGTCTAACTCAACTATGAACATTCCCAAACTTATACAGGGTCTAGCATATTACCCTCTTTCTGCAAGTTTTCAGTAGCTCAAGGTGGACAAAATCCAGGTTTCAGTGACTTTAAAAGAAGAGGAGTAGGAGAAAAGATTTCAAGTATAAAGGGTTGTTTCAAGGAATTTTACTAAAAATGGGAAGAGATGAACAGGTGGTAGCTGATGAGTAAAGTGGGGTTAAGAGAAAGAAAGTTTTCTTTTCCTCCAGACAGATATCAGGATGTTTTCAAGGACATATGCTGATAGAAATAATCTATTTGAGAACCATACATTTGTGATTTATGAGAGAGGGATGGGACTTCCTGGAGTACTGTCTTCGAGTAGTTTTAGAGGAAAAGTATGGAATGGCTTTAGTAGAAAAATACATTATTTTTTCGATGATAGTTAATGAGATGTTATAGGATATCAGTAGAGATGGTAATAGGTGGGAAGATGTGATTGGGGAGTTGGTGGAAGTTCTCTTCTGGTTGACTCAATTTCTTCAGTGAAGTAGGGAGCAAGGGCATCCATTGAAAGTGAATATGAGAGAGGACTTGGAAGTTTGAGTCTAGAAGAGGTGAAATAGTTTCCTAAGAGAGTGAAAGAAAATATGATTAGGGTATAGAGTATGATTACTGGAAAGCACTCTAGGTCCTCTTAAGGTTTTTTATAGTATTGATTACTGGAAAGCACTCTAGGTCCTCTTAAGGTTTTTATGGTATCTATTATTTACCTATTGTCATTTTTCTTTTTTACTTTATGCTTCCATTCTTTCTCCTCCCCCTTATTTCTTGATTAGATTATTCAAAGGGTTGTCTGTGCTTGTTTCTTTCAACTTACTTTTATTTCCTTTATCATCTCTACAATGTATGTTTTCTTATTTATCAATTTATATTTTTATCATTTTAAAATACTTTATTCTACTTTCTCTAAGTTTATATATTTTTTCTAACTTTATGAGTTAGATGTTTAACTCATTTATTTTAAATTTTTCTTCTTCATTAACATGGATTTTAAGACCCTAATTTTTTCCTGAGAACTCTTTGGTTTCCTTCTAATAGGTTCGGATAGGCAGTGTATTAATATTCTGCAGTTTAAAAGAACTAAACAATTGATTAATTGTTTTTCCTTTCCTACTGATGGGAATATGTTTTGTTTCTTTTCTAAATTTATTAGTGTTATCTTTAATGCACTGTGATCAGAAACTGTGGTCTCTATTGGCTCCAATTTTTAAATTGTTTCTTGATGTGTCTTCTATTATGGTAAAATGTATGTATTTTCTAAGGGAGTTTGGGGAAAAAAACTTACTCATTGTATGGAATTTAATATATAGATTATGTAGACCTAATCTTATTATGTAAGTTTTTCTAAATTATGATATTATTTTTGTTCCCTTGATCTGACATAACTGAAAAAAAGCTGAATTAATTATATAGGCAATTTGCAACATGTGTATGAAAAAATGTTCAACATCACTAATCATCAGAGAAATGCAAATTAAAATCACAATGAGATACCACCTTAAACCGGTTAGAATGGCTATAATTAAAAGTCAAAAAATAACAGACGCTGATGAGGGTGTGGAGAAAAAGGACCTATTATACACTGTTCATGGGAATGTAAATTAGTACAATTTCTGTAGGAAACAGTATGGAGATTGCTCAAAGAACTAAAAATAGAACTACTATTGGATCCAGCAATCCCACCACTGGCTATCTACCCAAAGGAACAGAAATCATTATATCAAAAAACACCTTCCCCCTTATGTTTATTGCAGCACTATTCACTATAGCAGAGATATGGAATGAATCTAAGTGCCCATCAATAGATGACTGGGTAAACAAAAATGTGGTATATATACATATCATGGGATACTGCTTAGTCATAAAAAAAGGATGAAATCATGTCTTTTGCAGCAACAAGGATAGAACTGGAGGCCATTGTCTTAAATTAGGTGAAATAACTCAAAAAAGAAAGTCGAATGTTCTCAATTATAATTGGGAGCTAAATAATGCATACATGTGGACATAAGAGAGTGAAATAATAAACACTGGAGACTCAGAAAGGTGAGAGAGTGGGAGGGGGTTGAGGGATGAAAAGTTACCTAATGGGTACAATGTGCATTATTTGGGTTGTGGTTACACTAAAAGCACAGACTTCACCATGAAACAATGTATTCATGTAAGAAAACTGCATTTGTACCCCCTAAATTTATAAAAATGATAAATAAATAAATAGAAGGCTCAAAATTACATAAGCAATTTAATAACATCTTGTCATTGCTTATAATTATAGAGCTTTTACATTATCAGTCAGGCATAACACAATGTTATTTGGAAACTTTATGTAGAACGATTAACAATCACTATTAACAATGTCAAATATGGCCTTTTAAAAGAAGATATCCTATAAATCCTCTAACATTGTTTCTTAAGATTATTCACATTTAGAGATAGAGCATTGTAACCAAGCCAAAAGATGATTGGGAATATTCTCTTATGAAACAGTCACCTTTCCCTGTTTCACTTTTCTTATATTTGTAGATAGCTTGATTATTTGAAATGAGTGAAGTAATAATATTTTGAAATATCCCAAAATGTACTTCAATCTCAAACATTTTAGCTGATAATTTAGATAAAATTAACAGATAATACCATTTACAATTTATTTTATTTACAGTCATGAAGGAAAAATGTATCTTAATTTTACCCTCTGATTTATGCTTTCAGATATAAAGCAACTTAAAGGGGAATTATCCCATTATAATATGCAGAGTTTTCTCAGTGAGCTTGCTTTGTAGACAGAAATTCTAGAGTGTCTTTATATTCTCTAATTTGCATTACAATAGTTGTGTTTGCAAGAATTTAATAAACTCAACTGGAAGCTTTTCAATGTGTATAGATAATTGTGTTCTATAAAGTGATGACATCGTTTTTTATGAAAGAAGTGTAATTCTTTTCATGGACACCTGGGAAGTGTGTTAGAATTAAAATACCAATGACAGAATAGGTGACTATAATGACAGCTAAGAATGCATTTCATTTATTTCCCCCCAAACCACAGTATGGATAGTTTTTACAGAGTTACATATTTGGTCATTGTTTTCATGAATCTTAAGAAAGTTCATTGACTTTTGACTTATTAACATTCTTTCAGCTGTCTGTGTCTGAACTAATTGTATATGTGTCATATATCATTTCATTTAATCCTCACCATAAATTATGTGGCAGCTTGTGCAGGTTGGCTGTGCATTTTCTGTAGACTGGCAAACTGTGTCCCCTTTATCTTTTATATTTAAATACAGGCAGGAAGAGTGCAGTGAACTAGTTAGCATTTTGAGATATTAATTATAGGTTTTAAAGGGTTTGCATGCAGTTAGTAGAGCAGAGAAATATGAAGCAGCAAGGTAAAAACACAGAATATTCTTAACACTAGGTTTCTGAATATATTTGCTTATATGCTTTAATATGTGCACTTGTGCCTTTAGACTTTAAATTGAAGCTAGGCAGATCATAGGAGGTTAAATTCTTAGGTTATGTCCTGTTCTTTGGTGTTATATATTGCTAATTGATGTGTTATTCATGTATTTTCTGAACCTGACAAGTTGAACAGGTAATTAATATCTTTTATACTTTGCAAAATGCATCCTCATGAATCTTCAGAAGAGAAATTTTGAATAAAAATCATATTGTATGAAGGTAGCACAGCGTGCTTACATAAACATCCCTTGAACTGTTTTTGTTTTGTTTTTTTTCAGAAGAGGAGTTGTCCTTAGGAGAGTTGAAATGAGGTGATTTGGAACATAAATTTAATATTTTGATAATATAAAACTTCCTTCGTAGGAACTGGAACCTGCCTGAGGTAGCGTCCTGATTTGCATTCCAGAAGGCAAAGGGAGGAAAATACAGGAACTATTCCTCAAGGGATTTTGCTGTGGGAAATTGAAGCTTAATATGGAATTGAGATAGTGTTCCTATCTCCTATCTCTCCTGGGGTTCTAAGATGTCAGACAAACCTTTGTTGATTAAGGAGAAATTACTTTTTAAATTTTAGGGAGAAACTACAAAAGCATAACTACCTGTAATTTTAATAAAGGTCAATGTCAGATCTAGCCTATTTAGATTTGGGGATAAGATACTAGTAATAAGTACATTTAAGATCATAAATATATGACTTGATGGACAGTAAATCTCATTTAGAGAAAAATCTGTCAGAGACAAGTTGATATATTTGACATCAAGTTCTTAATGATGATTGTCATACACTGTCTTCTAATATTATGGCAAGGTATGTGACTACTTGATTTTTTTGTTAAGATTAATCTTGGCTGGGAGAAACGTGGGGCTTGGGGAAGACTGAGGAATGAGTCACATTGAATACTCCTAGGTTATATCTACTTTATATATTGCATCATCTGTATGAAGTTGTACAATAAAAAATATTATTTTAGATCTAAATGCCCTGAGGAAAGTGTCCTATGAAACACTGATTTTTTTTTCCTGGACACTAATAACAATTAGAAATCAGATATCTAAACTAATGTCCTACACCACCACTGCAGATATATTATGATTGTACAGCACATTGTTTTAAATAATAATAATAGTAATATCTATTATGTGCTTATAATATATCAGACACTGTTATATCTCACTGAAATCCTTGCTAAACCCTTCTGAGGTTGATGTTATTATTACCTTGTTTTTTCTAGATGTTTAGAGAGAATGCTTGTTTTATCCCAGATCAAACAAACAGTGAAAGATGAAGCCAGTTTTATGTGACTAAAAAATGTGTGGCTGCTATGATATCAGTGCTCTGTCATGAAATTATGACAAAAAAGGTTGAGTTGCTTTTATAAAAGACTTGTAGTAAAAATAATATTTTTCTCATCGTAAACTTTTAGTCACTCTCAGGTTGAATTAGCATGTGTAGGTGGTGGAACAGGGGTGAGGGGGGATAAGCTTTATGCTTTGTGAGACCCCCAATTCTTTTGAAATCATGTCTTAATAGCAGATAGCTAATCACTGGGAGAAGTTGTAGAGATAAAATTGCCACTAGATGTATGCATATGTGTGTGTATGTTTGTGTGTGTGTGTGTGTGTTTATGTGTGTGTGTATTAGGTGTTAATGGAATAGAATTTCTGAACAATCACTCTACCAGATATAGAAAAAATAGTAACCATAGTCCCTTCCCAATTGGAGTTTATAAATGCATTGAGGAATGCAATAAGCTTAGAATACATGCGAAGCAAAATATATAGTCCTAGAGAGTAGAACCATCATTAAAGAAAATTGGTCAGGGAAATTTTTCTAGGAAAACCTCTGGGGTCAACATGAAAGATTCTCCACAGTTGGCCCTTTCTGCACCCCTTTCTTCATTTCACTAGAGGCTTTACACTTCCCCTTTTCTGTAATATTAATGTAGTTTCTGATAGCTGCAGCTAGGCAATAAAAACGGCCACCTTTTTTTTTTTTTTTAGCTAGGACGCTATCATTCATCCATTTCATAATCACCTGCCTGCCTGTTGCTGTGCTTCCCAACTTAAGATTTATAGTTCATCTTATGTGCCGATTTTAACTGATTTGTTATTAGAAACATTTCAAACATTTCAATTTAAATGCTTTTGAACATGGAATATTTAATCATTTTTATGAGCTGTTATTAGTTAGGGATCTTTGGTTGTAAGTAACAAAAGTTGATTCTGGCTAACTAAAGCCAAAAAAACAAACAAAAAAAATTTATTAAGTGTATACAAGTCAGCTCAGTCACAAAAAGGAAACCCAATAGTTATATTCCAGAAAAAAATGGGGATCAAGGATTGAGCAGGAACTAAGGGACAATTGATAAGGTGTTTGTACATAAGATGAATTACCTCTAATTGTTTTCCACCTTCATGGAACTCTGTTCAAAATTTACTCCCAGGTCAGAGAATTGAGGCAGCCTAATTTGAGTCACAGGGCCATACCTTGGCTAGAAGGGTGCAGTTCTTTAATTGGTGGTCCTATTGTGTATTGAAGACAGGTAGCATCCCAAAGAAGTTGAGATCTCTTTACCAAAAGGGGCAAACAAGTGCTGTGCAGGGAAACCAGGGAAAGTGACAGATGACATTCTAACTGAAGTTTTATATTCTACCCATTTTAGGTCCACTTATGTGTGTAGCTCTTGGCTATCCAAGAATGAAGTTAGTATGTGCATTTGACATGCAGATCCAAATGTATTTAGTGTCAGTAATTTAAAGCAATTTTTCCCCCAAAGCATTTTACTGTATAATCAGTAAGAGCCTTTTACAGAAACATTTCTTTTCCTAATTAAAGAATCCTGTTGAGAGCAAGTGTTTCTGCACAGAAGAGAGTAACAATTAGGGAGTTGCTTTTATTTGAAATTTAAAACCTGGGCAGATGTAGGCCATGCTTCTTCACCAATTATATTACAGGTAATTTCACAAGAATTTACACTTGACCTCTTAAGGTAGGGAATGCCAGACTATGTTTAAATTACATTTTTTTTTAAATTTACTAACTCTAAATGCAGATAGAATGGACACAATTTTACAGGTAAATTTACTAACTCTAAATACAGATAGAATGGATATAATTTATTAATAAGACAAACATAACTCTTTAACTGTAAGCAAATGGAATAAATGTTCCCTTACACTGAAATATTCTATATATTTTTAAAAGCTTATTTATGTAAATTAAGCTAAGTATGTCATGATGTTATTTATCAGCAATATGTTGCTTTTTTAAGGTCAGTGAACTTAAACAACACATTTTGAAATGTATTTGTTTCACCTAGATATTAGAATATGTATATATTATTGAAATTTCAGGAAATAACTGAATTTTTCATCTGTGATCTTTTTAAGATGTATGCTTCAATGCTGTTTTAATTATAGATTTAATTAAACTAAGATATATAAAGATGTTCAGTTAAAACTTTTTAATTCCTCCAAATGCTTCACTTTGGCTTAAATTTCTTTTTGATGTCATTGGTAGTTCAACATATTTAAAAGGAGGAAGAAGAAGTATGACACAGGAGATGAAAATTAGGCTTCTGTTTCAAGGACATCTCCTCCGTCAGGGGTAATCATCACCCCAGAGAACTTTTTAATAGCAAAGAATCAGGAAGCAGAATTAAGATCAGAACTTGCATATAGGAGAATTGACATCAGAGCTAGGATATGGACCATTTAAGGTAGAGCTGGAAATGTAAGAAATTCTCTTTCAAGAAAACAAGATATGGCTTTGCATTGGAACATAAAAATATTTTTGAATTATTAGAAACATTGGGTATAGTTACTATACATTGAACAACACCAACAACAGAGGGCTGAACCCACTAATAAATATTTCTATGAAGTCCAGTACTAACATGAAGTGGAATATTTCTTTCAAACTAATAGAAGTCACAAGATACCACTATTGTTAATGGGAATTCATATGCAATGTTATTTTTAAATTGCTTTATAACTACTTAATGATTATCTTCCAAGAATAGTTTTTTGTTCTTTATTTGTCAATTTAAACATAAAATATTTTGCATTGGATTTGGTGGAAATAACAATTTATGGAGCTATAGTCATCTTGGCAGTAGCTGACCACTGCATGTAAAGAAAATACAGCTCACTTGCTTGAAATTATTATCACTATTTCCCTTTCCCAACGTGCTGAAATTACAGCTAGAATAAATGCCAAGCCAACGTCAGACAGTGAGCATGCATCCTCTGTGCATCAGCCAGCTGTCTCTCATCCTCTCACAGTTTTGCCATTGATGGGATGACATTAAGATTCAGGACTTAAACAAATGAACATAATCTGTAGAAACTGTTCAAATATTTATAGCAGCATTTTCTTCAAATGTATTAAATGGGAAGTCACTTTCCATACATTTTAGAACTCTATCCTTGTCTTTTATCTTCAAAGAGATTTTCCACTGTACAAATCTCTAAAATTGAGAAGTTAGACCAGATGGTTTTTGAGAGCCCGTCTGGGTTCTACAAGTATAATGCACATACTTGTAGCACTTGGTGCTTTTGTTTCTTAGGGTAAAAGCTGAACACATTACAATGTTCTTCAAGGCCCTATGTAATCTGTCATGACCCCTTTCATCTAGCTTCAGTTTCTACCTCTCCACTCATCCTTAACACTTCAGCCACATCCCACTTCTCACACATTCTAGAACATTCTAAGGCTAGTTCTGTCTTGATTTAAAACTCCTCTTCCCTCAGATAACTGAATGACTGGGACTCAGTTTCCTCAGTTCTCTTCTGAAATTTCACATTATCACAGAGGACTTCCTTGGCCACTTGATGTAAAAGAGTAATCAATCCCTCTACCTATATCTTTCTCTGTCTTCCTCTAGCCACAAAGCCATGTCACTACCTGACATATTAAAAATGTTTAATATTTATATTTATTATTTGTCACCCTTCTGTAGTGGATGATGTTAGTTTTATGCCCAGATCTCTCTAATGACCACTCAGGAATGTTCCTGTCTCCCTTGGAAGCATTACCCTCAGGCCAAATAGGAGGTGCCTCTCCAGTGAGGGACAGGAGTACAAAAGTCCAGCCCCCTTGCCTCAGAGTACAGCTAACTGTGGTACAGTTTCTACTTCAGATTTTCTCCATGGGATCAATTTGACGGTAGTCTGAAGCTAAGTCCATATTCTTGTTTAGGTTTTTTTTTATGTTTTGCCTTGTCCTTCTTCCCCATTCCCCTCCTCCTGAGAGCACTTTGCCATTGCATCACATATACAAGAATCCACATCTCAGATTCTCCTTACATGGAGCTTGTCCTAAGACACAATCCTGAAAGGTAAGCTTCTTGAGGTTAATTTGTTTCTTTCATTCACTATTGTTTTCCTAGCACCCAGGACAGTGCCTGGCATATATTGGTGCTCAATTAAGTAATTTTGAATGACTATATTAGTTTTGAAGGCCCTAACTATTTTAGGAAGAGCAGCACACTGGTTTATTTGAGCTCTCATTATGCTTCTGGGTGAAGATAGTCATATAAACAAATAACAAAGGAAAATAAGTACACCCAGCACCTTTACCCTCTTCACTTGCAAGCATCTTACAATTCAATTAAAAAGAGGCTCATTAATATAAAGGTACTATTATTATCCACCAGTGTTGGATTTCCTGCAGTTCTATGATGATTTAGGCCTGAAGCTAGCAAACTATGATCTATGGGCCAAATCTGGACATCACCCATAAGATAAGAACACTTGTTACATTTTTAAAGGGTTGAAAAGAACAAAAGAAGAACACTGTTTCATGCCACATCAAAATTATATGAAATGCAAATTTCAGCATCCATAAAGTTGTATTGGAACTCAGCCATAATCATTCATTTATATAATGTGTATGACTGCTTTCTTGGTACAAAAGCAAATTTGAATAGTTGCAACAGAGAGTATGTAGCCTACATAGACTAAAATATTTGCTATCTGGCCCACTACAGAAAAAGCTTGCTGACCCCAGATTAAACTCCCATGTTGTCCCACTATCTCATGGATTCTTACAATTACATTACTTCAGATCATGAAATGTCTTTAGTTCAACAAGGCCTATGATGCCATACCTTGTCATTTTTTTTTTCTGACTTATTCTATTCAGAAAAATCTTTTTTCTTTCCTGGTGGGAACTTCCTTTTTTCTGGTTACCAGCTGCTGCTTGTCTAGCTGGTAACATTTATTTATCCAAAGCATTCGCACCTCTTTCTGAGCACATTTGCTGTCTTACCTAGGAAGACATTTTTAGCACAAATCTGCTAACAGAAGTAATAATTTTAAAAAGTGAAATACATGAAAATGTAACAAAAGCTTCCAAGAAGTTTTTCTGACTTCACAGGTGTAAGTCCAGTAACAAAACTACGTTTAAAGCATCACTTCTAACATGCATTTTTAGGCATTTATTTTTGCTTTCGTGTTTTCCACCGACAGTGTGAAGAGAACGCCCTATGTGTGTGCTTGTGTGTGTGTGTGTGTGTGTGTGTTGGTACTTTCCAAGTATTTTACTATCTAGTTGAAGAACTTCTGGGTGAGAAATAGAATCTCAATCACCATGGATTATACTTGATATTTTAAATAAATGTCATGCAAATTTTATGGACTGTTTGGCAATTTTACTATCTCAGTATTTAGACTATAGTTCTAAAGAGTTGAAAAGCATGAGCTTATTTCCTATATAGGCTAATTAGCTCTATGCTCTTCTTTGGCAACACAAACTACAACTCATCCAAATGTTTTGCTGATCCAGCTCTTTGTTCACATAGAAAATAAGGCAATACAGTGGATGAAATCAGTAAAATTAATTTTGTAGCTTTGGTTCACATTCTAGAACAAACTTTATGTATTTAGATTATAATTTAATACTTATAAAAATTGTTATTCTACATTATATGTAGATAAATATAAACTTAATGGTAATAAATGAACAATTAGCCATTATTACTAGTTATGATCTTACCTATTAATATTAAAACAAAGTATTTCTGAAACTATATGAATATTACATGTTATTAATTTATTTACTCAATAAATATATTAAATATTTGTTACAGAAAATTTAATAAATTTATTCCAGTTCTAATTAAAGTTTTTAATTGAACTGTGAGTTAAAATTTAAAAAAATTGTTTATTAAGGTCAGTCATTTGTAAGAAACTATAATTGTGTTCACAATAATAGTCCAAATTTGATTTTAATTATTTAATTTTTAATAGTAAAAAAGACAAGATAATATGAAATCAAGGGAGCATAATGCCATTAGCTTTTCTAAATTTCATGGGAATATACTTTTATCGTGATTGTACGATTGTTTTATGTGATATAGATTTCCTTGACAAAGTTTTATACATGCAGCTTGCAAAACATTCTAAAATTACAAATATATTTCTCATTATTCACCCAAGCATTAAAGTTTATATTCATGGAAACTGAGAGCAAATGTATTCCTCTGACCATTGTTATGGACATCACCTTAATCTTACTGGGGGAAAAAAGCTGAGAAAAAGCACGTAAAGCTTGACCATATCCTAACCTGCTCATATCCAGTAGCTTTTCTTCACCTGAGGCTTAATCTGATATCATCTGAGAAAATGTAATTTTATTTGCAATCTCCTACTTAAAAAATAAATTATTCTGTATACAAACCATAGAGCACAAGCACAAATTTAAGAACACATACCGATTTCGCTATTAATATGTATTAACATGTAGTAGATTCAGCTATTGATATAATTAAATTCTCTTAAGATTAATAAATGGGAAAAGAAGTGAATGAAGATAAACAGTTCACACAGTCTTACCAAATGTACAAAGAGTATTCCTAGGACTAGAATCCTATGTACAAATTGTGTTATTTCTATTTTGTACTCTGTATATTGAGAAATTTGAATGTATGTTCCAGGGTTCTTGTGCCATCTTGTAAAATTAGGACCAAGGAGTACATCTATTTCTTTAACAATTTGACCTCCTCTTGTCTGCCAGTTTAATATGAAGAAGAATGACATAGGGAGTTTGGAACAAACTTTCCACTTCATTAACACCCATTGACTATTTACAGATAATTATATATCAAATCCTCTACCACTACCTCCTCGAAATGTTAAGAGCTGACATGTGCTGCTAGAGCAATTCCTATCAAGCATTAACATATATGTCCTCATAAATAGAGCTTTTATTTGCATAAAAGAATACCCTTATATTCATTTTGGTTCATTGCTAAAGTCAAAGGGTCTTACCACAGTTGTAATTAAAGTACAATATCTCCATGAAATCAACCACATATGTTTTATGAAAACTGTTTTTGCAAAACATATTATGGGATATTGTCTGAAGGATACTCAGACCCTCTATTTCTTCAGAGTCTAACAAAATAACCACTTTCATATCTTCCCAGCTTCAAAATATCAACATATCCAAGGCTGGTCTTCTGCCTTTTCTTTCTATAACCACTCTGAGGGTGTGCTTATCTATTCGAGGGCATTCAATATAATTCACAACGTGGCAACCCTAGATGTTTTATTCCTCCTCAAGGAAGACTCACATTGGCAACTGGTTGTTTAATATCTTCCTTTGACATTAAATAGGAATATCAAGCCTAAAATGTTTATAACTTGAATACCTAATTCTCATTCACCTTCTAAGAAATTGCTCACTCAGCTGCCTTTCATACCTTTGTAATAGATCCCATTCTTTTAGTTGCTTAGGCCAGAATTTCGAAGTCATCCTAGATTTAATTTTCTTTCTCCCCCAAAATATATCAGCCAGCACTTAATCATCTTTGCTCTACCTTCAATACATAGAATTGAATGCATGAAAGTGTGTATGAATGTATCTACTTATTATATGTATATAAGGACATATTTATGCTTCTATACATATTTACCATTTGGTCTGACCACCTCTCTCTCTCTGACCACATACTACTTACCTCTTTGTTTTCTTTTCTCCAATTACGCTGGTCCCCTGGATGGTCCTCAGAACTCTTCCTAAAATAGTCTTCTTCCAGTGATCTTCACAGATCGTTCCTCATTTCATTAAGGTCTTTGTTCCAAATGTCATCTTATTATTGAGACCTACCCCTACCATTCTGCATAAAATGATATCCTCTATCTTCGACTTTTTCATCAACAGCATTTATTACTAACAGACAAATTGTCACTGTTCACATTTCTCTAGAATATAAGCTTTATAAGAACAAGGATTTAGTTTTGTTCTCCACTATTTTCTCAATGATGGGAATAGTTACAGACACAATCAATTTTTTTGATGAGTGAATCAGGTTAACCCAAGAGTAAAATTAGACAGCAATAAACTTCATAGCAGTGACCTGAACAATATGCTATAGGATACCTACATTAGCAAGCCTATGAGACACCACTAGCACACTGGGACTTCCAGAACTAGGAGTGATTGAATTGGGGTTGCTGTATAACTGTAGGAATTGGCATTGCTGGGTAAAGGAAATGGTGTCTCTTTTATTTTCATTATGACCCTGCCATAATTGCAGACTATGGAAGCTGTAGAAGAGTATTAGTTAATTAAAGGTACTAAAGCATTTTTTCATATACAGAAACAACATTATTTGTAAGGTTCTCTTTGAGACCTATCAATAGAAATTATTAAGCACTTTGTATCTAACTAGAGATCATACTCTTCCAGAGTATATAGCAAAAGCAGTCTTCCTGACTTTGAGTCCCAATTTTGTTACTCTTAGCTGGGTGGCCTTGGGCAAGTGTCTTAATTTTTTGGTGTGTCAATTTTCTCATATGTCAAAGAGGAATACAAATAGTACCAGCCTCATAAGTTTGCTTTGAAGCTTAATTAAATTAATGTGCTTAAAGCTCTTAGCATTCAATCAGACCCCCCCAAAAAAGCTGTATTATTATTTATCATATTTTCTAATAATTTTGTACTAAAGTATTAAAATCATTTCAAAAATATTAATCATGGCTATGTATCACACAGGTAAAAATTTGGCATAATATTTAATTGTATTATGAGCAAAGAAGACAAAGAAAATGAAAAAAGTTAATCGTGACATTTTAGACTTTGAGATGTAGGCTCCAGCCCTTGCCTTTAGAACAGTTAACTTATAAAATAAAGCAAGCTTTCATTATTTAGTGAGACTCTAGTCACACCATCACTTCTCTTGGAGATGTGGTTGAAAATATCAGAACATTTAAAGAGAACTTGAGAACTGACGAGGTGGCAGTTCCATAATCCAAGTTAAAGACAGCACAATTGAAAGCGTAAGAGTCTTTTTTTGTGCTTGATTAAAAAAAAAAAAGTGATGTCCCACTTAAAAAAAAAAATCCTTTTATGTTATTGTTAGAGTCAGAGTGAAGGGGCTGAGTCACCCAGTAAGGCACCTGTTAAATCACGATGTTTCAAACTATCTACCTTCAGAATATATTTGAGAGTGGGCTGTTCATTAGTCATGACTAAAAACACCAAGGAATTCTAAAATGCAACCTATACACATAGCCTCTATAACTGATACTTATTACTAAACTCTTACTCTAAGTTTATATTTAGGAGCTTAGGCAACACTGCTTTTAATGTGCATCCTTATAAACCAAAATTAATGTCAGCTGGGAAATTCACATTTGCAATTAAGGGATTTTAGCATTTTTCCTGCCATACAGAAAAAATATTCTTTGTGAGGTTCTCTTTGGAACATATCAATAGAAAATATTAAGTACTTTGTATCAAACTCTTATAATGGCATATTTATATAAATCTCAACATTCAAATTTATAAAACGATTTCTCTAATCTTGTTTATAGACTTTTGTTTAAAATTCAGGATGAAAATGAGACCAATGTTATGTGAAACTCAAATTTTGCTTTTTCTTTCAACCAGCATAGTAGTTATTGAATTAATGCCTTTTTAAAAAAGTGGTGCTAAGTTGTTTTACACAGAACATATTAGTATAATTGATGTTAATTCTCCTTTAAAATAATGTTTTAAAAATATAATATATCTGTAAGTATAAAACGTATGAGAATGACTTTTGTAAAATATTCTAATATAATCTTCTTTTGCACAATGTTGAATTATTATTTTCTCATGCAACTGAAAAATTTTGAAGAAATTTTTTTTTTCATTGTATCAGAAGTATAAGAAATGGTTATTTGAGCACTTACAGTAGAGTTTTCCTTTGTTTGCTTTGGAGCTTTGCATTGGGGCACTGATAAGGTACCATACTGGCTTGCTGAAGGACATTTGGAAATATTCCTCCTAATTAAAAAAAAAAAAATGTAAGTATAGCCCATCCCAAAAGAGAAGCTTCACCACAGAGACGGAAAGATACACTTGTGTGCCTTTTAGTAGAGTCAAGCTGATGTTGGCACTAATAGGCAAGTATTAAGTAGAAAACCATTCTTATTTGTATTCATTCACAAACAAAAACTATGTGGAAATGGGACAATTCTGAATGGTAAGTGTAGAATTGCCCACCACCAGGTATACAGGTGTTATTACTATAGCACAATAATTATACTGGGATCAATGAAGAAACAATAGGAGATAATAGAGAATCTAGAAATGACTACATAGATAGATAGATAAATAGATAGATAGTATTCTATAATTAGTTCATATAGTTTAGTTTATATGGGGATTTACAATGCATGAAAATCTTGGCATTTCATTTCTGTGGGTTAAACGGTGGATGTGTGTGTTTCTATGTGTATGTGTGTGTTTATAATGATCAAAGCCAATTGAGAGAGATAATACTTTCTATTTATAGCTCCCATAACAATTAATTATATGTTGGTTGAATATTTCATATTCTTTTTATTTTTATTTTTTGAGACAGAATCTCACTCTGTTGTCCAGGGCAGAGTGCAGTGGTGCAATCATGGCTTATTGCAGCCTCAAATTCCTGGGTGCAAGCAATCCTCCCACCTCAGCCTCCCAAGTCACTGGGACCACAGATGTGTACCACACCTGGCTAATGTTTTTGATTTTTAATGGTGAAGAGGTCTCTCTATGTTTCCAAGCTGGTCTTGAACTCCTGGGCTCAAGTGGTTCTCTTCTCGGCCTCCCAAAGAGCTGGGATTTCAGGTGTGAGGCACTGTGCTTGACCAAAGATTTTACTTCTAAGTAGCAAAACCTTAGTAGTGTTTAAAGAAAATTCAGGTGGATATACATACAGATTGAGCATAGCTAATGTGCAATTCTGAAATCCCAAATGCTCCAACACCCAAAACTTTTTGAGTGCTGACTGATGTCACAAGTGAAAAATTCCATACCTGACCTCATGTGACAGGTTGCAGTCAAAACACAGTCAAAACTTTGTTTCATGCATAAAATTATTTAAAATATTATATGAAAATATCTCAGTTCTATGTGTATAAGATGTATATGAAACATAAATGAATTTTGTGTTTAGACTTGGGTGCTGATCACAGATATCTCATTATGTATATGTAAATATTCCAAAATCCTAAAAAATACTCAATCTGAAACACTTCTGATTTTAAGCATTTCAGATAAGAAATACTCAAACTATATTTATACCTGCATGTATTATACTGTACATCATTTACATGTCACTGTAATTATTACATGTTGATTAAACAAAATTTAAAACTTCTTGATTAAATATTTAAATCTAAAACATTACAACAGTTTTTGGAAATATAAAATATTTTATAAATACAATATATAGCATGTACATGTGTGATAAGTATTAGATGTACATTGTGTGTGTGTATGTGTGTGTGTGTGAGAGAGAGTGTGCAATTTTCATAGTCTTGGGTGGAAGGTGCCCATTTTTAAAGTTAATACTAAACTCAAAAATCCTGAAGGGAAAACAGATTTTACTGTAAAGCAACTAAAGATATATGCCCCAAGATATATAAAATACATATAAATATTGGAAAAGTATTTATAACTGAGAGTAATTTTACTATAGATATTAAAGTCTTAATATGTGAATAGATCTTAGAAATCAACAAAAAATAAACTTTCCAGTAGAAGAATAGGCAAAGGCCATAATTTATTAAAAAAGAAATTATATATTATCCCCTATTGAATTGGCAAGTATTCATAATTTCAATATGGCCAAGATTTATATAATGTTTATTTAAGAAGAAACTGGTAAAATATTTTGGGAAGACAGTATGGCAATATGAGCCATAATTTAAAATATGTATATTCTTATTTATTTAGCAATTTAATTTACAGGGATTTATCCTGAGAAAACAATCAGGCAAGTGAAAAATATCTATTTAAAAAATAAGAGACAAACTACTATTTATAGTAGTAAAAAAGTATGGTGCTAATATAAGTATTCAACACAGGAGATTTGATAATCTAGTGTACTGAAATGGTGGAACACCCTATAGCTGTTATAAATTTGCTACAGGGATCTGCTTATTGACTTTGAAAGCTCTCATAATATATTTTTAATAGAAAAAACCTTGCTAGCAAATAGCAAAAAAATTAACTTTGTAAAATATATATGACATATTTACAAATATATTTATTTGTGAGTCTATGTGTGTGTGTATGTGTGGTATGCATGCGTGTGTGTGTGTGTACCAACCATTTGTTAATGGTAGTTTGTTTATGGCAGTTATTATCTAAATAATGGTTTATGCTCTCATGGAGTGTAGTTTCCATAATGGAAAATCCAACAATAAACAAGCAAAAAAATTAACAAAATAAATCAAAATTTGATGATGGATCTGACAAAAAGAAAGGAATAATTCCCTTCCTACATTAGGGGAAGTGGTGAGCACTTTAAAAGAAAACTCTGGAATGCTGTCTTTGAACTGAGACTTAAATGAAAAGGAGCCATTTATGAGAGGAGCAAGGAGCAGAGCCTTCTAGGAAGAGGGAACAGCAAGGGTAAGGATTCTAAGGCTGGAATAGGCTTGCAGAGCTGGGCAGAAAGAAGCCCTATGTGAGGAACCTGAACAATAAGAAAGATGAGAGAGAAGGTTTGAAACATTGGCAGTCCGATGGCTCTGGTAGGTTATTAATTTAAAAAATAAAATAAAAGGGGGTTTTTAATCTGAGTACAATTTATAAATGAAGCAGAGCTTCACTTTTACAGTAACAAAAGAAGAGAACAATTTTATCTTTAAAATTACCTTGCCTTGAGAAAATTCAGTTAGAACCTTTAGCATTGCCTGCCTGAAACAACACTGTTTTGTCTTCCCTAACAGTTTAATTTAACATGGATTCAGGTTCATTGAATCACAGCTAATTGTAAAGCTTTCAAAATTAGCAGACATCTTCCATTAAGGGCCCAGTGATTATGTTCATTAGTATTTGTGGCCTGATTTGTTATTAGGTAAAGAATGCTATTACAGTGTAATCTCATGCATTTTAACAGCTGTGTTATTCCTAATCATTTGAAGAAGGTTGTAAACTGAGTCTCTTATATTAACAGAGATTCCCTAAACAAAGTAGATAGTAACAATCAGTTTTAAGACACTTCACAGAACTAGTGTAACTATCCACTTAGTTTAATGCTATTGCATGTCACTATTGCTTCATGTTAACTCAGCTACATAAATCTCAGTTATAATTCTTTTACAAGTAATACTTTTTTTTCAAAATAACTTAAGAAAACTTTTTGCATGAGGTTCACTAAGTTAAAAGTAAATTCTAATTTCATTCTTTAAAATTTTACAATAATTGGTGGATGAGTCTCCATATCTTTAGTTTGGTTTACAAATAGATGCTGAACATCTGAAGCCATTTTCAATTTGGTTTTAAATTATATACCACCCTCTGTTTTTAAAATTTTTCTTCCAATTAAAAACATAAAAATAAACACAATGTATATTATTACTATACATTTCTTTTTTTTTCTATTTTGTTAAATTTCCATTTTTTTTGTTTTTTTATTATTATACTTTAAGTTTTAGGGTACATGTGCACAATATGCAGGTTAGTTACATATGTATACATGTGACATGCTGGTGCGCTGCACCCACTAACTCGTCATCTAGCATTAGGTATATCTCCCAATGCTATCCCTCCCCCCTCCCCCCACCCCACAACAGTCCCCAGAGTGTGATGTTCCCCTTCCTGCGTCCATGTGTTGTCATTGTTCAATTCCCACCTATGAGTGAGAATATGTGATGTTTGGTTTTTTGTTCTTGCGATAGTTTACTGAGAATGATGATTTCCAATTTCATCCATGTCCCTACAAAGGACATGAACTCATCATTTTTTATGGCTGCATAGTATTCCATGGTGTATATGTGCCACATTTTCTTAATCCAGTCTATCATTGTTGGATATTTGGATTGGTTCCAAGTCTTTGCTATTGTGAATAGTGCCGCAATAAACATACGTGTGCATGTGTCTTTATAGCAGCATGATTTATAGTCCTTTGGGTATATACCCAGTAATGGGATGGCTGGGTCAAACGGTATTTCTAGTTCTAGATCCCTGAGGAATCGCCACACTGACTTCCACAATGGTTGAACTAGTTTACAGTCCCACCAACAGTGTAAAAGTGTTCCTATTTCTCCACATCCTCTCCAGCACCTGTTGTTTCCTGACTTTTTAATGATTGCCATTCTAACTGGTGTGAGATGATATCTCATTGTGGCTTTGATTTGCATTGCTCTGATGGCCAGTGATGGTGAGCATTTTTTCATGTGTTTTTTGGCTGCATAAATGTCTTCTTCTGAGAAGTGACTGTTCATGTCCTTCGCCCACTTTTTGATGGGGTTGTTTGTTTTTTTCTTGTAAATTTGTTTGAGTTCATTGTAGATTCTGGATATTAGCCCTTTGTCAGATGAGTAGGTTGTGAAAATTTTCTCCCATTTTGTGGGTTGCCTGTTCACTCTGATGGTAGTTTCTTTTGCTGTGCAGAAACTCTTTAGTTTAATTAGATCCCATTTGTCAATTTTGGCTTTTGTTGCCATTGCTTTTGGTGTTTTAGACATGAAGTCCTTTCCCGTGCCTATGTCCTGAATGGTAATGCCTAGGTTTTTTTCTAGGGTTTTTATGATTTTAGGTCTAACGTTTAAGTCTTTAATCCATCTTGAATTGATTTTTGTATAAGGTGTAAGGAAGGGATCCAGTTTCAGCTTTCTACATATGGCTAGCCAGTTTTCCCAGCACCATTTATTAAATAGGGAATCCTTTCCCCATTGCTTGTTTTTCTCAAGTTTGTCAAAGATCAGATAGTTGTAGATATGCGGTGTTATTTCTGAGGGCTCTGTTCTGTTCCATTGATCTGTATCTCTGTTTTGGTACCAGTACCATGCTGTTTTGGTTACTGTAGCCTTGTAGTATAGTTTGAAGTCAGGATGCCTCCAGCTTTGTTCTTTTGGCTTAGGATTGTCTTGGCTATGCGGGCTGCCTCTTCAAGTGGGTCCCTGACCCCTGACCCCTGAGCAGCCTAACTGGGAGGCACCCCCCGGTAGGGGCAGACTGACACCTCACACGGCCGGGTATTACTATACATTTCTACCTGATGTTTATTTAGACTTTTCTCTTTAGCTTTAACTTATAAAAAAGTTCTATTAGAAATCAATGAATTCAAATGGAAAGTATTATACATAAATAAAAAATATATGCATTTTTGTATAATTTTTAAGGTTGTGGAAGCAACAAAAGTAGCACAATAAATAGCTTCATAAAAGTAACAGTAAAGATAGTTATGAAGTTCTCTGCTACAGTAGCACAATACTGTAAATGCATTTCAAATTTAATTGAAAATATGTAATATAGCCTCCCTAGATGGAACCATATTTTTAAAAGTGCTCAGTGCTTTCCCACATGGATAAGACAATACTTATGCAGTACATAGTGTTAAACTTTTATGCTTCCTTATTTATATTACATATTGTTTTAGAAAGAATTTTGCAAACTCCGTATTGGACAATGTCTAATCTTCTAAGTTGGTCCCATCCTATTCCTGAAAAATAGTATTAACTTGTTTCATAAACTTTTTAGAGCAGCATTGCCCAGTAGAAATACAATGTGAGATACACATGCAGTTTCAAATTTTTGAAAAGTCCCATTTTGAAATAAGAAAAATAAATAAAAAAATACTTTTAATAGTATATTTTTGTTTAAATCAATATATCCAAAATATCATTTTAACACGTGGCAAATAGCCACATTTCAAGTGCTAAATACCTATCTGTGACTAGTAGCTGCTGAATTGGACACTGAAACTTTAGAACATGACTTAATGTGTGACTCAAATGATTTCCTATAAACTACAGTTTCTACAAAAGAGAACCTATTTTTCAGTAAAAATGATTACTACAGTGGAAAATTCAACTGGCTGATGAGACAGTCATGCATCATGACAAAATAATCAACTGAATCACCTTGTTTGGTTTGAGTTTTTGCATTTTTACCTTTCAGTAAGGGTCTTTGGCTCTGTGTGGAGAAAATCTTTACTCCCCAAGAATCTATTGTATTAATTCACTGAGATATTGTGCTTGTATCTTTTACATACCACCTGTTGCAATGTATATTGATTTGAGGTTCATAGGATTATCTTCCTTCCTTCTCCCTCCAACTGGACTATGGACACTCTGTGAGTAGGTACTGTATCTTCCTTTTCTTTTCTTTTCTTTTTTTTTTTTTTTTTTGAGACCTAGTCTTGTTCTGTCACCCCAGGCTGGAGTGCAGTGGTGCAATCTCAGCTCACTGCAAGCTCCGCCTCCCAGGTTCATGCCATTCTCCTGCCTCAGCCTCCTCTGTAGCTGGGATTACAGGCGCCCACCACCAAGCCCAGCTAATTTTTTTGTATTCTTTAGTAGAGATGGGGTTTCACCGTGTTGGCCAGGATAGGATAGTCTCGATCTCCTGACCTCGTGATCTGCCCGCCTCGGCCTCCCAAACTGCTGGGATTATAGGAGTGAGCCACTGCGCCCGGCCGTATCTTTCATTTTTGTAACAATACACCAGGTAGAGGCTGGACAGAAGATGGGTTCTTTTTTTTTTTTTTTTTTTTTTTTTTTTAGACAGAGTTTCACTCTTGTTGCCCAGGTTGGAGTGCAATGACACAATCTTGGCTCACTGCAACCTCTGCCTCCCAGGTTCAAATGACTCTCCTGCCTCCGCCTCCCAAGTAGCTGGGATTACAGGCATGTGCCACCATGCCCAGCTAATTTTTGTATTTTTAGTAGAGACAGGATTTCACCATGTTGGTCAGGCTGGTCTCAAACTCCTGACCTCAGGTGATCCACCTGCCTCGGCCTCCCAAAGTGCTGGGATTACAGGTATGAGCCACCGTGCCCAGCCCACAAGATAGGTTCTTAATAAATATTTATATATTATATTTAAGTTGCTATCCTCAAGTAATGTCCCTTGGCTTTTTAATATAACTTATAGAAAAATTCAGAATTGTGGGTATTAAAACTTCCCAAGGCAAATGAACCTTGTATGTGCAAGTATATGGGTAATTTAATTTTCCTATTTTAGTGAAGTCTGCACTTGTCTTTTATTTTATCTGTTCTCATTGATGCTCCCTTTCTGAAGGGCCTTGGGTGTTTGAGGTCACTCCCATCAAAGACAAGTTTCATTTGCTATCATTAAGTTTTATTACATATTTCACAGGTGTTTTTCTCATCATGAAGTCATTTTATATATCCTTTTCAAGTTGTTTTGTGTGTTTATACCTTAGCTCCTCTAAAATATTATAACCTTTAAAATCAGTGACCATTTTATTTTTTACTCAACCTTCTTCATAACACCAGGCAGTATTTTGGGCACAGAATAGGTACTGGGTTCAATAAATACTTGTTAATTGAGCTATAATATTTTTGGATGACAATTATGTTTAATATTGAAACTCTACTACACAACAACACAGTTTAACCTGTTTAATGTTATAATTTGCACACCCTACTTCACTATTTAAGTGTACATTGAATGTCTCTTTCATTCTTGAGTTCATTCATTTCACATATTGAGTGCTGCAAAGTCCAGGAAATGTACTAGAACTAAGCATCCCTTAGTGAATACAAGAGACAAGATCCTATGTCTGTGTTATTTGTGTTAGCAGAAATACAAACAACAAACAGGTAAACAACAAATAGGTATAAAATAATTTTATCTTAATTCAATGAAGGAACAAATGGTTGAGGAATAGAATAATAAGTCAAATCAAGATACTTGAAGTGAACAAGGACTCTGTGAGTAGGCAACATTTAAGCTGAGGTCTGAAGGATTAATAAACAATTGCCTTACGAAGAGCAGAAGAAAGAGCGTTCCAGAGAGAAAGAGTATCATATGTAAGACACAGCTTGGTACACAGTGGCATTAGGAAGATGCTCGGTGCATCTAGGGACTCAGTGAGCTCGTCAGAGCCATGAGTGAGGTGAGGTGGAGGTGAGGTGTAGCCAAGGCACGGGATTATGGTGGGATTTTTAGGCCACAATAAGGAAATTGGGCTTTATTTCAAAAGTATGGAGTAATGAAGGGCATGATCCATACTAGCAGAGAAGTCTGCTGAAGCAAGTGGAGAAGGAGGGCAAGAGGGTGAATGTGATAACAGTGAGGGACATATTTTAGTTTTTCTGTTACAAGTTAGTGGGTTGGTACAGTTGAGCAGCAGTAGTGATGAAAAGAAGATGCTATACATTGGATTCTGTACATTGGATTGATAGGACTACTTAAGGGATAGGACTTGGGGATTGAGGAAGAATAAAAATCAAGGATGACTAGCAGTTTTTCTGGTTTTGTTGGAATGATTTTTTCAGATAGAGAAGTCTAAGAAGGAGAAAAAATTGGGGCTGTAAAAAAGAGAAATTTTAAACTTATTTAGTATGAGGTGTCTGTGAGATGTCTAATAAGATGTCTGATAAACAGATTGCTATAAAAATCTGTAGCTCAGAGGAGAATTTGCAAAAGTACAAATATGAAACTCATTGACAGTAAGTAGCCTTTAATAAGGTTATGAAACTGGGTAGAAACCCCTCAAGAAGAAGTGTAGAGAAAAAAGAGAAGAGGTCTGTGGACTGAACTCTGGGGAACACCGGCGTCTTAGTCTACTTGTGCTGCTGTAACAAAATACCACAGACCAGGTGGCTTAAACAACAGACATTTGTTGCTCATAATTCTAGAGGCTGGGAAGTCCAAGATTAAAGGCTGGTAGATTTGGTTCTTGGTAAAAGCTCTCTTTCTGGCTTGCAGATAGTTGCCTTCTTGGTGTGTCCTCACACGGGGGAGGGAAGAAGCTCCAGTGCCACTTTCCTGTTTTATATGGGCACTAGTTTGATAATAGGGGCTTCACCCTCATAATCATATCTAAACCTAATTACCTCCAAAACACTCTGTCTTCTAATATGATCGCATTGGGATTTAGGGGTTCAAAATATGAATTTTTAGGGCACACAGCATTTAGTCTATAACAACTGGAATTTAGAATTTTGTTTGACAAGGAGAAACCAGAGAAGTAAGAATAAAGCCCAAAGAGCCTAGTGTCATTGGAGGCTTCCCCTGCCAAAATCCTTTCAGTGGCTTTCTGTACATTTTAATTAAAACCCACAATCCTTACTGTGATCATCAACGCCACTGTTTTGACAAATAGAGTGTAGACAACTTCAGTAATTGCTACTGACATTTAATGAAGTGGATTAAAATAATTTGGTGATATAGACAAGATTGATTTCACTGGAGTGATGGGATTTAAAGCTAGGTCAGAGCGAAGTGGGTAATATAGTGGAGAAACTAGTGAAGACAACATTAAAAATTTGGCAGTCAATGGCAATAGAAAAATTTATAGTAACTGGGGAAAGAAAATGGACCAAGAAAAGACACATTTAGACTGGGAAGTGCTACAACACATTTGTGTACTGAAGGGATGCATGTGTGGAACTACATCAGCATAATCTGTGCTGTGGCACTAGATACAAGCAGCCACAGTGTCATTGATGGTGGGGGTAGGTCTCAGAATGAGAACTTATGCCCTGGGTGTTTGCTGGCTGCCCTGTTTTTCTTACTCCTCTCCAGCAGCCAGCTGCTAGGAGCAAGTGATAAGAAATGCCAGCTTACATCCCACATTTTCTCTCACTTTTTCCAGTCTTCAGCTTCCTGTTGTTTCTCTTTCTCTTTCCTCACTTACTTAAATCTTGTAAATCTAAGTTGCAGCCACTTTCTTCTTACTTTTTTTTTTTTTTTTTTTTTAGTCTTCCCATAAAGTGTATAGTTTACTCTTATGGGTTGATTTAAATGAGACAAAGAGTTCAGTTCGGGGTTCATCAGAACAGTTGTGTGACTGACGAAATGAAACACAAATAATAAGCTTTATTTGTATAGTTTTAATGGAGAACTGTATTACTATTTTTTACAACATACTGACAGAAAGAATAGTAGAATATTAGGCACTGATTGATATTTATTTATTGAGCACTATGTCTCATAAACTATCTAGTGATTTATATAAAATGTGCTTTTTAAATTTCACAACCCATTTAGTCAGTTATAATTTTTATCTTCATTTTACAGATAAATAAAGAGGTTACATAACTTAATTAAGATAATGCATTTAGAAAGTTTCAGAGCCGTGATTTGAGCCCAAGTAGCCTGACACAAAGCCCAGGCTCTAACCCCTAAATTCTACTGCCTCTAACCCCATAAATTCTTCTTGTCTCAGGGATCAAAATTATGTGGATGGATGTATTAACAGTGTTCCAACATTGTGTGGTTTCTTCAAGATGGTACCCTCATAACTCTCTCTAAATGCATGAATCAGTTTGACCCCAGCCCTAATATGGAGGCAGCAGGTCAACTTCCCACCTGTAATGAGCAGTAATAGCAGCAGTTACAGCAGCTACACTTAGTTATAGGTGACATTTGCTGAATGATGACTAAATGTCAAGCACTGTAACATTTCATTTAATCTTTCCAACAATCCTTTGTATTGTGCACCATGATGGCCTGCATCTCACAGATGAGAAAATGCAGTTCACAGAGGCTAATTTGCCATATAACCTGTATGTGCAGAAGGAAGCCGTTTCATTCTGGAACCCAAGCTGTCAGTCTTAAAATCTTGTATACCTTTACTTATTCAAAGTTCTTACCGAATTTACTCACTTCTCCATGGTTTGTTTCTTCTTTATCTTCCAAACCTTTTAATCCAAATTTGGGTGCAACTTGTCAGTGACATTAAAAATAATTTTTATAGTATATAAATAAAAGAAATTTAAACTATGAGCATTCTTAGTAAAGTTTATCTCCACACAAAATTTTTATTTTCACTCAATTTTATAACCAACTGATTTATTTATATCCAACTAATCAATATGTATATCCAACCGATGTTAGTTATTTTGGTTTTTGTTTTCTCCATAGTCTTTTTTGGTAACTGTTCTCTGGAATATTTCTGTGATAATTTTTGGTTATCATTTTATTTTTTTATCCTTCTAAACACTGTATGCAGTCAATGTATAAATTCAGACATAGTGCACAATGCCAGAAGTGGAACTAGTAATCTTTAAATAATGCTAGAAAATTGTTTGGAAACACATTTCCCAGAACCATATGCTTTGGAATTTGTTAAAACAAAACAAAAACCAAACCTATTCTGGTCAGAGAGGGTTTCCAGGTTCCATATTTTATTCTTATAATTCATCATTTAATTTTCTGCATGTTATGACAGATTTTATATTTGGTAGACAAAAATCTTTATAAAGCATGAGAATGGGAATTTTAAGTTTTGTTTTTTAATTTGAAAGCTGTAGACATACAGTTGTAGAACTCTGCATTTGATTAGTAACTAATTTAAAAATATTTTCATTTACATATTTTATATATAACATTATATTTTATGTGTCTCAGTGAAAATAAACACTAGAAGAGATAAAGGTTTAGCCATCATCAGTATATATCATTGCTAGTGATTATGACTCTGTGAATGGATGAGATCATCCAAAAGGATTACAGAGTATGAAGATATATGGTCAAGGATTAAACTGAAGAACACCACCATTTCAGGGGAGCTCAGGTGAAGAGGCATCCATGAAGCAGTATGAAGACAAATGGTCATAGGATATGGGAAAGTCCAATATTTTCATGAAAGATGAAGACAAGTTTCATGGGTTAAAATTTCAAGGATTGAAGAGTCAACTATATTATGTACTATGAACATCCAGTAAGAATTTTATTTAGCAATATATTAAGGTTATTTTACTCTTGGCAAAATAAGATTCAATAGAAATGTGGATGCAGAGACAGGTTAGGAATTGAATAAGTTAGATATGGAGAAAGATAAATGTGTATTACTCTTTTAGTTCTACATGGACTAGAGAGATAGGAAGATACTTGGAGGATGATTCAGGGTTAAGACATGTGTATTCAGAGAGAATAATTGAAATTGCTTAATATTATATGATAGAGATCAACCATGGTGATGAAATCCACTAAAAGCAAACATTTAGGTTTATGGCATAATCTTAGAATGCAATAATTTGTTTTTTCTTTCATTTAGATTATACTTAACTAACCTAAATATAATTCAAATAGTCAAGAAAGAAGCTATTTTTTTTTTGTTTTAGAGAGGATATTATTATTTTATGTTTATATGTCTTCAATAAGAGCTTATAATATTACTATGACTATGAAGAAAGCAATTTTACCACTACATAATTTTGGTTACATAAAATTTTTATGATAAATGGTGAAAAAACCTTTATACTAAGAAGCAAATATCTCTGCAAAAATTGTACAATATTGAAATCATGAAAATTTAAAAATGCTTTTGATGTATTAATATATTTATCAAAATAATTTGGTATAATGTTTACCAGAGTAAAGTCTTTACTCAACACTATCAAACTTTTAAACCCCTATAGAAACAAATCAATTTTAAGTCACCATTAAAGTCATCTTGTTTTATCTTTTACTAATGTTTGAGGACATGAGTAGATCACATGAAATGTGCTATACTCTCTATATCTCCTTTAGTAATTTCTTACAATTTCTTTAATCCTATAATGTTTTATTTCTAAAATTTTTCTGTGGTTTTATAATAGATGCATGGCCTAATTCTGCATATTACTTGATAGTGAAATATGTGATCTAAGGCTTTTCTGAGTTAGTAGAAATGTCTGCTTTCAAAGCTACTCATAGATAGTAAAAATCTTAGCTCTACCAACGCTTATAATAAAGTCTGTTTTGCTAAAATGCATTTTATTACAACAAATGTTAATTGTCATGGAACATACAATAGATAACTCATATACAGTCTACTCAAAACCACTACTTTAAAGGAGAAAAATCAATGAACCTTTTTGTTTCCACTAGATGTGTGTGTTTGTGGTGTGTGTGTGTGTGTGTGTATAAAGGACTAGATAGGTTGAAATTAGTAACACTTCTAAACTGTGCATCTCATACCTACCCTTCTTCCACAGGCATAGGGAATGGCCAAAATATATGCAAACTCATTTGCAACAAAGGGTTTACTTCAAATGATAAACAAAATATTTATTTCCTGACACTTCTAATTCTTCATGTTCTTTCCTCTGGCTCTTTATTCACAACCATTCTTCTCTTAAGTTCATTTTGTGCTGTGATAACAGCATAACACAGGCTAATTTATAAATAAGGGAAATTTATTTTTTACAGTTCTGGAGGCTAGGAAATCCAAAGTCAAGGGGTCCTCATCTGGCTAGGGCCTTCTTGCTGTGTCATCTCATGGTGGAAGGTAGAAGGGCAAGAAAGCATGTTTAAGAGTGAGAGCATGAGGGGGCTAAACTCACTTTTATCAGAAACTTGCTTCTGCAATAACAGCACTAATTCATTTATGAGGACAAAACCCTCATGGTTTTACTACCTCATAAGGGTCCCACCTCTTAACACCATCACAATGGTAATTACATTTCAACATGAGTTTTGGAGGGGACATTCAACTCATAGCAATTCTACATGAATAAATCTTCTTTCTTAGAAACAAAGTTTTTCAACTCCTGGCCTATCGAATCAGAAATTCTCAGAGTAAGTCTTGGAATCTTTACTTTTGTCACCTTAATGTTTCTGTTCTTGAATACTTATATCCATGGTGACATTTATATTACTACATTTTAAGTGGCTTCTTTAAAAATATTGCTCAACAAATGTGTCTGTATAGGATTATTCTTATCACATTGGCTATAGTATTACTGCATTCAGGTTCCAAACATGATATCTAGTTTGTTTTCTTAAAAATTAATGTTGGATATTTCCTTGATTGATCATTCTAGCCTGACTTGAATTGAAATAGTATATTCATCTAGGCATTCAACTCTACTTATTGAGAGAGAGCCTATCATATGCAGACACTGATTGATCCAGGTGCCTGGAAATAGACCAGTGAACAAAGCAAAGTCTTGGTCTAGAGGAAATGTTCTAAATAGTGAAGGAGACAGACATATGGGAGCATTTGTAACATTTTGGAAAAGTTTTTCTACTGATTGATTTTCAGTTTACTAAGGAAAACTATGCTATCTTGTAGTTTCTGGACGAATGTTATTACTAAAGAATTTGAATTGTCTTGCTCTGAATAATGTAAATCTAAATCAAATAGTTTGACATATTCCTGTATAGATTTTTTAGCTGAAGTGGCTTATAAAACTTTAATAATCTTAAATGTGACTTACTTAATTTCCATGGCTTTTTCCCCTTTCCTTCCTCAGATTAATTAGATATACTTATCCAGTCTGAGCTGATAGTTATTGCAAAGGAAAAGAATTATAAATAGAATACTTAATTTTAGTCTCTAAATAAGTTTTTAAATAATGTATCATAATTTATGTAATTTCTCATACTGTGTGACATTTAATGAATCAGAATAGCCTAAAGGGCCTAAAAAAGATTTACTGAGAAATATGTCACTTGGAGTGTATACACTTTCTGATAATTCCTTTCAATTGAAAGAGAATGGGAAAGATGTTTTACTTTTTATGCTTAATTCATTATACATTTTAAACATATTAATTAAGCAAAATTTAGAAATTCAGGGAGATCTACATTTTCTAGTAATCCTGCCATTTCTCTCATTAGGCATTGTCTGTCTATGATTCATTTCAACAATGACAAAGAAGCTTCTAGACTCATAACAAACCTGAGTTTAAGATTAATATTCTCTAACTTCACATGTCAAAAAAACCTATTTCTCAAGAGAAAAGAAATTAAGGTCAAAAGGTAGGACTCTATTTCTTTTCAAGTGCATAAGGTTTAAGGATCAGAGAATATCTTTTCATCTAGTAGCGGGGGATCATATAGGTCAAGACTAATTGGATTGCATTTTAATAGGTTAACTTATTTTCTGCCTATCACCAAGGAAGTGTCAAATAATCTTTAATTCCTTTACTGGGTGAAGAATTCATCACATATCTTAATAAACTGCTCAATCAAAAGCAAAGTATGAACAACTGAAAACATAGCAGTATGTTTAATAAAGAAAAAGTTTCGCTGAGGCCATTATGCACAGGATGAGTATAAGAGACCCTGTTCAATGAGGTCCCCATTCGATCTGTAAAAATATTGTCAGATTTGTTAAACTTGGCTTATGTCTTTGCTTCATAAGCAAGACTAGGTTCCTTCATAAGTGTGTAAATTAAATATGCAAGGTTTAAATATGCAAATATGCAATATGTCAGTCTTTTTCCTCACCCTTCACTGGGTCCCAATACTTCCTGATGAAATTATGCTACCACATTCTTCATGACTGGATGATGAGAGTTAAGAGCCTGCAGCCACAGACCCAGTAGAGGAATTGACAAGACCAGATTTATCCTCCTGCCAATGTGCAAATCAAAATTTAAACAAAGCACATCAAGTCAGTATTTCACTGTCTACTACTGCTGCTACTATTGCTATTTGTGCTACTGCCACTTAACCCTTATTTGCATTTGCTGTGTGTACACATTTACCTTCCCAAGAATCATCAGAGGCAGGTACTATTGTTACGTAAGTTTTATATGTGGGAAATTAAAACACAAAACTCTTAAGTAACTAGCCCAAGGTTACACATCTGTACAGTGTCAGAGCCAATATTCAAATCCAGGCATCCTAGGCCTAAAGCTCTTGTATTAATACCAACACTCAATTACACCACACAAAAATCACAATATGTTAATATTAAATTAGCCTTTTTGCTGATTTTCTGATTGCAAAATTCTCAATAAATTTGTCTCATTTTGGGGGGATACTGCTTATTCAGACAATTATATAACATAGCACTGAGAATTAAGAAATGAGGTCAGGGAATTGCCAAAGGAAACCAGAGTTGGGAAATATAAAGTGCAAAAACATTCAGAAGAAGCCAAAAACAATTGCTGTATAGAGATGATCATTTGAGCAGAAAAGTTTGCTAATGAAACTATATTTTTATTTTTTGGCTGGTGTTTTTCTGAACAGAGTAAGGCTGAATCATTTGCAAATGCTTATGAAAAGGGAAATAATTTATATTGTTTTTTTAAAAAGTATCTTGTATTAGGCCATTTTTGCATTGCTGCAAAGAAATACCTGGCTGGGTAATTTACAAAGAAAAAAAGTTTAATTGGCTCACAGTTTTGTAGGTTTTACAGGAAGCATGGTGCTGGCATTTGCTTGGCTTCTGAAGAAGCCTCAGGGAGCTTTCAATCATGGCAGAAGGTGAAGGGGGAACAGGCATATCACATGGCAAAAGTAGGAGCAAGCAAGAGGGGATAGGGAGGTGCCACATTTTAAATGACCAGATCTCGCAAGAGCTTACTACCACAAAGACACCATCAAGCCATGAAGGATATGCTCCTATGATCCAGACACCTTCCACCAGGCCCTATCTTCAGCACTGGGACTACAATTCCACATAAAAGTAGGGTGGGGACAAATATTCAAACTATATCATTTTACTGCTGGCCCCTCCCAAATCTCATGTCCTTCTCACATTGCAAAATACAATCATGCCTTCTCAAAAGTCCCTCAAATTTTTAACTAATTCCAGTGTAAACTCAAAAGTTCAAAGTCTCAGCAGAGATAAAGCAATTCCCTTCCACCTATGAGCCTGAAAAATAAAAAACAAATTAGTTATTTCCAAGATTCAATGCAGTTATAGGCATTAGGCAAACATACTCCAATAAGGAGAAATTAGCCAAAAGAAAGGGGCTGTAGACCTCATGCAATTATGAAACCAAAGAGGATAGTCATTAAATTTTAAAGCTCCCAAATAATCTTTATTCCGTATCCCATATCCAGGGCAAACTGGTGCAAGGGGTGGACTCCCAAGGCCTTGGAAAGCTCCACTTCTGTGTCTTTGCAAAGTTAAGCACCAGGCTGCTCTCACAGGTTGTTGAATGCCTGTGGCTTCTCCAGGCACAGGTTGCAAGCTGCTGGTGGATCTACAGTTCTCTGATCTGGAGGGTGGTAGCCTCTCTCTCATAGCTTCACTATGCAGTGCCCTCATGGGGAACCTGTGTGGGGGCTCCAATCCAACTTTTCCCATTGGAGCTTCCCTAGGAGAGGCTCTCTGTGGGGACTCTGCCCCTGCAGCAGGCTTTTGCCTGGGCACTGAGGCTATTCAATACATCCTCTGCAATCTAGGCAGATAGCACCAAACCTCATTCACTCCTGTACTCTGTACACCTACAGGCTTAACACCACATGGAAGCCACCAAGGCTTTCAGTGGCTTTTGCACTATCAGTATCTGGCAGCACTAGCAGTATCTGGAACCCTTTGATCCAAGGCTGGAGCAGGAGCAACCAGGATGCCAAGAAGGCTGCACAGGACAGTGGTGGCCCCAGGTCTGGCCCATGAAACCATTCTTTCTTCCTAGGTCTCCAGGCCTGTGATGGATGTGAGGGGCTGCCACACAGTTTTCTGAAATGCTTTTGAGGCCTTTTTCCATTGTCTTGGCTATCAGCACTTGGGTCCCTTTTAGTTATGCAAATTTCTCTAGCAAGTGGTTGCTCTTCAGCCTCCTTGAATTTCTCTCCTGGAAAAATAAAAACTCTTTTCTTTCTCTATCACATGGCCAGGGTATGGATTTTCCAAACTTTATGCATTGTTTTTTTAAACATAAATTCCAATCTTAGGTCATTTTTTTTTGCCCCTGTATCTGAACATAGGCTATTAAAAGTAGCCAGACCACATCTTGAACACTTTGTTAATTAGAAATTTCTTTCATCAAATACCCTAATCATCACTCTTTAGTTTAAACTTCCACAGATCCCTATAGTAGGAACAGAATGCAGCCAAGATCTTTGCTAAGGCATAACATGTGTAAACTTTGCTCCAGTTCCTGTAAGTTCCTCATTTCCATCTAAGACCTTGACACCTGGACCTTACCATCCATATTACTATTAGCATTTTAGTCACAGCCATTTAACCAGTCTCTAAGAAGTTCCAAACTTTCCCTTATCTCTTTGTATTCTTCTGAGCCCTCCAAACTCTTCCAACCTCTGCCCGTTACCCAGTTACACAGTCACTTCCACATTTTTAGGTATTTTTATAGCAGTGCCCCAAACTCCTGGTACCAATTTTCTGTATTAGGCCATTCTTGCATTGCTACAAAGAAATATATGAGACTGGGTAATTTAAATTGGCTTACAGTTCTGCAGGCTTTACAAGGAGCATGGTGTGGGCATCTGCTTGGCTTCTGGAGAAGCCTCAGAGAGCTTTCAGTCATGGTGGGAAGTGAAGGGGGAACAGGGACATCACACGGTGAAAGCAGGAGCAACCAAAAGAAAGTTAGAGGGGAGGTTCCACACACTCTTTGATGAGCAGATCTCATGAGAACTCACTATTACCAAGACATCACCGAGTTATGAGGGATCTGCCCCCATGATCCAAACACCACCCACCAGACCCCACCTCCAACACTGGGGATTAAAATTCGACATGAGATTTGGGTGGGGACAAACATCTAACCTTATGATATATAAGACTATATCATATTATCTCTTATACACTTTATAATGCTTCCTGAAAAGAGACTTAAACTGCCTCATTTATTCCAAAACACTAGGTAAAAATGAGTTGGATAGATATTTTCATTATGTGGTCAGAGATATTGACTAAGGAGTACTTATGTTAGAAAGTATTTCAGGTTTAAAAAAGTATAAATCATCTACTGTGATGATATATTCAGCAACTAAAAATTAGTTGCTTTTTAAACATTATTGTCAACTAGGCCAAGCTATTTATAAATAATTAAAAATAACTGCTTTTTCGTCATAGAATTTTATATCTTTATTGATAGTTATATGGCTTTAGGGTATCAAAACTCCACCTAGAATTTATCACCACAAAAATGTTTTTCTTAGAAATTTAATGATTGTTATACATTCAAAATTGACCAATACTATGAAAATATGTGTGGAAGCAGATACAGTACAAGTTATGTGTACAATTTTATGATTCATATTGATAGTTGTCAACATCAATCAATTGAATGATCATTTATTATTGTTTTTCTAACATCGCTTTGCTTTTCGAAGTGTAATTAGAATTATAATACCAGACCATAAAATCCAGAGGAAGAAAATTGCTTATTTCTTTTATGGATTCATTGGTCTAAAAAGATTCAACCTGTAAAATATTTTTATTTTATAATGAGCACTTGTATGGTGAACATAGAAAACTCAATAACAGATTAGAAATATATGAATATTGACTCTAAAATTAGTTATTTATTCCTGTGTAAATAATTACCTGAACACTTACTGGCTTAAAACAATTTATATTATTTCATAATATCTGTGGGTAGGAATTTGGCACGGTTTAGCTGGGTCCTCAGACTCCAGATCTCTCACAAGGCTGCAATCAAAGTATCAGCTAGGGCTGACATCAGCTCAGGCTCAAACTGTGGGAGGAGCAACTTCTGAATTCACTTAACCTGAGCTTGGCAAGCTTCCTTTCCTGGCTAGTGGTTGGCATGAGACATCAGTTTCTTGCTACCTTGATCTTCCCATAAGCTGTACAGTGTGGCAACTTCCCCCAGACAGGTTTTGTGTGTGTGTGTGTGTGTGTGTGTCTGTGTTTGTGTATGTGTGTGTGTGTCAGAGAGAGAGAGAGAGGAAGAGAGAAAGTCAGTCTATAGTAACCTAATCACAGGAGAGACAAGAAGACATCCCAACACTTAACCATATTTTTACTAGGCCTAAACATCTACATGTAAGAGAGGGGGATTACACAAGGGTGTGAATACCAGGAGGTAGAAATCACTAGGAACCATTTTAGAGTCTTCCTATCACAATTTCCAAAGACATTCTAAAGAATATTATAAAATAAAATTTATCTTTTTCTTCTTTCTCTTTTGGACAATTTCTTCCTTGCTAAATACTGTTTCTTGGTGTTTCCCCTGGTCAAAAGTTACTTATCTCCTTTCCACAGCTAATTAAAGTTTGCTTTTAGCTAACTATTATCCATTAATAGGTCCTTGTTGAATTAATCTTATGTGAAAGACACTTGGCAAATGCAATCTGTACAATAAAAGAATGACTAACTTAATATACTTCCTCCTAATGAGTTTGCAGTGGAGGTTCAGGCAAAATCTGTTGAAATGATTCACTTAGTATTGGTGACTAATTCCAATAAGGTGTTATCTTGTCATTGTGCCTGAGCATTCAATGCCACAGAACAGAAAGCAGTATATAATAAAAGGAATTTCAGGTACTGAAAGAGGATACTTTAAGGCAGAGTCCTCCCACACACAGGAAACTGCCCACTGAAACTGTCTTTCCATTTATTTTTCTCGAATCAACATATTTATTGAAACATTACAGAATATAGAGAGGTATGGATAAACCTATGCTAAGAGAGTTAGGATTTATGTGGAAAGAAAACACATAGAATGATAATATCAGGCAATATATAGATGAAAATAAGTATAATGGAAGTTCAGTGGATGGAGAGGTCACTCCTGCCTGGGCTGGTCAAGAAAGTTTAATTTGGTTTGAATCCAAGGTATTCTTACATTCAGGCCAAGCCTGTTCTAACTTACATTTTTAATTACCCCTTGTGGTAGGCTGCATAAGGAACCCCCAAAATGTCTGCATCTTATATCCCAGGACATGTGGCTATGTTACCTTTGGGACATTGTGGGTGTGAGAACATTAGGTCGGTTAAGAATCTTGAGATGGAGAGAGAATTCTGAATTAGCTAGGTGCATCCAATGTAAGAGTCCTTATAAGAAGGAGGCAAAAGGGTTAGTGTTAGAAAAAGAGATGTGAACATAGAACTAGAGATTGAAATAATGCTCTTTGAAGATGGAGGAAGAGGCCATAAGCCAAAAAATGCATGCAGCCTTTAAAAGCTGGATAAGGCAAGGAAATGGATTCTCCTCTGAAGTCTGCAGAAGGAACATAGCCCCTGCCAACACCTTGATTTTTAGATTCTAACCTTCAAATCTGTGAAATAATAAATTTGTGTTATTTTAAGTCACTAATTTGTGGAAATTCATTACAGAAGCAATAGGAAATTAATATACTCTTCACATGGAATGGAATTTAGTAGTTTACCCATGGGCCACGTTGCTTTACTTTTCTAGCAGTCCTCTTAGGTCAAGCACTTTAAGATGCACTGCCCACTCTGCAGCTCAAATCTGGTCCTCAGGAATAGTCACCTCTGTGTGTTGGGGGAGGAGGAGTGGGAGGGTGAGGAGTGAGACAGGAATAGACTTTGGTGCCTAAGTGTAAAGATGCGAAAAATCCTGAAATTCAAATTCAGTATACTTTCCATGAAGAAATTTCCTGCCTAATTTGCCAATAATGCTCTCATTAAGAGACAATGTTTATCAATTCTGGCAGAATCTGTTTTACAATATTTTCACATGGCTTGATGTAGCTCCTTGCTTAAGGATATGGAAATACTGGTCATCACCACATTATTTTTGGCCTTTGGACCAAAGCTAAAATTGAGAAAGATTCCAATTTTAATATTGTGTTACATAGCCACTGCACTATGCATTCAAGATTCACAATCCAGTTTAAGGTATGCTGGAGGCAAAGGGATGAAGATTTATCTGCCATTAAAATGCCACTATATTCTTGCTTTGAGTGGTACTGTACTGTGTTTACTGAAACCAGTACATACCAGAACCAGGGGAGCCATGTCCCTGCTTTATAGTAACTGATTTCATGGAGCCATGCAAGGTAAAGACAGTTAACACTGTACTGTGCCAAGTAAGGACTGTCTGTATCGTCTGTTTTGATTGCTCTCAAACAAAAGAAATATCCAGACTTTGCCACTGCACTAACCCCAAGGAACTTAGCATTGTATGCACTTTGAAATTCTTACCTGGTGGTGTGGCTCATTTGAATGCTGTCAGTTACATTTGGGAGGAAGTATAAGTAATGAAAAATATGTCCTAGAAATATTAAGGAAAGGAGAGATAAGGATATAAAATATTCTAAATTGATCCCAGTAAATGAAAGAATATTATAAACTTTAAAGCTTTATTTTAGTTGTATTTTGGGGAGGGGGAGCTTGAGTGGATGAAAAGGAGAACAAGACTGTCTGTAGAACATTTAATGACTATAGAATGTTCTATGATCGACTCTAAATCTCCAGCTCTATGCTGTGCTCTACAACTCCTACATTATGCTATAGTCTCAATTACTTGAATAACATAACATCAATGCATTTTATGCTCTGATATCAGTCAGTTACATTTCCATTCAATAGTATTATTTGGTATTATAAACATTTATTCATAATAGAATCCTGGTAGCATCAATTGAAATGGAGCTGCCCAGAAGAAAAATAGATAAATCATATGTTCTTTTGCTATTTCTTGTTAACATTATGATCATCACTTATTTCAAAAACTGAACTAAAAAATAAAAAATAAATTTGAAATTAACTTATTATGATTTAGAACTTGGTGAATTTCTTTCCCAAAGAAAACAGCAATGCAAAGGGAATTT
This sequence comes from Homo sapiens, assembly GCF_000001405.40. Classification (NCBI taxonomy): domain Eukaryota; kingdom Metazoa; phylum Chordata; class Mammalia; order Primates; family Hominidae; genus Homo; species Homo sapiens. The sequence continues at coordinate 81,689,216 of NC_000012.12, read as the reverse complement.
TTCTGCATGTTTCTTAGGTTCCAAATTAGACTTCCTTTCACAAATTTTGCATATCTGATTTTGGATAGTGTTGCTAATTGCTGTTTTTTTTTAAATTTAAGATCTCATCTCTCCCCCTAGCTCTATCTAATTCCTCCAAGGCTATTACTTCCAAAATTAATATATGACCATAAAATACTTAATATTCAGCTGAAAATCCTATGCCAATTTTTTCTAGAAGTGTGAACTTGAATTTGAATATAGATCATCTGTTTTCTTGCCAGCTTATTATGATTACCTTGAAACTGTTTATATTAATTGGCTTAATACCTAAATTCCAGTAAGGGAGAGATACGGTTAAATAAATATGTATTAGAAATATCTATTATTAGAAGTATCTATTTTAAAAGCAGATATATATATATATATATATATTTAATAAACCACTTGCCCTGTTTTTGCTTTCAGTTCACAAAAAATTCTGCCTTGTGGTTATTTATGAATCAGACTGATAAATTGCCTTAAGGTACCACAGTCAGAGGAACTGCAGTTATTAACAGTTGGAAAAGACAGTATTTTATTCTTCCCTCTTACAAAAATCACTTCCGATAGGCTAATCTCCAAGTTTTTTTTTTTTAAGCCAGTATTTTAGGCTACTATTTACTGAGTTGAAAATAAAACCTGATTTTTAAAATTAAATTATGTGGTATTATATTTTTCTAGTTATTTGTTTGCATTTTGTGTCAGATAGGAGAAGATCTAAGCATCATGTAATTGAAGACTTAATTATAAATTAGAATTACAGTAATTGAGCCTCCGATCCATCAAACAAAAGTGAGTCTCCCATAAATTATGTGTATCTAGGATTATAATATTGATATTCTCATTTAAATGTTGAATTCTTCTTCTCAGTGGCTATAGCACATTTCTAACCTACTTAAAGCTTCCCACATCATGGTATATAAACCTGTGATATCAAATAACACATTTAAAGAGGAATAAATTTGTATGGGTTTATGGTATACATGTTACCCAATACATAGTTTTTAATGTACAGCAAAAAGATTACTCATTTTTTTATTAGGAAGAATGAAAATAATATGCTTTAATATGACTGGTGAAAAATGTTTAATAACCAAAGCCATAGAAATGCATAAAAGTTGTAAGACTATGTGGGGAAATAAAATGAATCTTAGGTTTCCTTCCCTTTCAGGCAAAATAATCTCTAGAAATCTAATGGAGATTTATACCTAAGATTAGTCTATATTTGGGTCTTATTTACATGTATTCTAATGCTTATCTGTTTTAACATATATCTTTATGTAATCTGTATCCATAGCCTATCTTTATTTTACACATGTGTAACTAGACTGTACCTATGTATTATTACATGAATAATAATAATTAATATTGTTTACTGTAAGTTATCAATAGGTAGCTTTCCATGAATTATTAAAATTAATATTAATTATTATAATAAATATTCCAAACCTTTCTAATTTGTGTACTAGGACATAGATTGATTTATTTTCTGTAAAGAACATAAAGCAATTAGCCTAAGGTCACACAGATAGTAGGTAGTAAAGCCAGGCTTGAACCTGTTCTCTGGATCACTAAGCTGTCTATTTTTGCATGTGTCTTACATTTTGCAGGCTTGAAGTAAAATTGGAGAGCTGTTGACTACCCCTCAGGCAAAGTTTCTTGGGACAGTACCTCTGTTGTGCTAGAGTAGAACCCTCCCTTCGGTCTGAGGGACTCAGGAAAGCCTCCCCAGAGGAGATGGTGCCTAGACTGAGTTTCAAAGGATGAATTACATTCACCCACAAGGTAGGGGTGGCTTTCTAGACATAAGAATCCGTGGTGCAGAAACATAAAAGAAAACACTTGTCACAATAAGGAAGTGCAGGATTCATTATGATAAGAGTGCAGGGTTTCTTTTTTGGAAAGTGGTAAAAGGTGAAGTGAAAAAAGTAGTTCAGAAATGTATGATGACAATGGAAAACCACATGTACAGAGGTTTGATTATCTTTCCTTCCTGGGAATGGGGACCTTACTTAAGTATTTTGAGTACAGAAGTAACCTGTCTATATTTGCATTTAAAATACATCACTCTGGGGTAGTGGTTCTCCAACCTTAGCCTGCATCAGACTCACTTGGAGGGTGTGTTAAACAGTTTCAGATGCAGCCGAATTCAGGTAGGGCCCAAGAAATTGCATGTCTTATGAGTTCCTAGGTGATGTTGCTGCTGCTGCTGGTGGTGGTCCTCAGGCCACACTTTGGGAACTGGTTGGAAGAAAAGATGATATGAAAGTGAGAGTGGAAAAAGGAACTCAACAAAGACACTGTTTTGGAAAAAGCCAGGGGTCAGGGGAAAATAAAATGAGGTTTTGAACTAAGCTGGTAAATGCAATGGTAAATGAAAGAAGGCAATCAACTAAGCAGATATTTACAAGGAAAACTAGACTGGATTGGAATATGCATACCAGAGTAAGGGAAAACTCTATTAACATCCATAAACCTAGACTGGATAACTAACTGCTTATTGAAAACATCAACAGGAATAGGAAATTGGCGGTTGGCCATGGCAATGGCTGATAAAGAAGATGATGTCTTATTTGGATATAGTGAGTTTGAGATAGCAAGGATGCATCAGTGTGGAAAAGTTGGAAAACAGAAATTGATTGAGACTGAGTCAGGAATTAGCAAAACATTCCCTTTATCGCCTCAGCCATATGGAAAGGAATGGACAAGAAAAAGCGACACACAAAATTTATGAAGTGGAAAATGTAGAACCTGAATCTCTGGCACTTTCTTCAGAAAGCCCTATTCTTATGCACTATTGAAACACTTGTGCCTTTGATACACATTATATTTCCTAGTTAGGTTTGAATTCAGGTAGAAGACTTTGAAATTAGAAATATATAGCCAAGATTTTGGGAATTTTACTTTTTGGCTAAATCTGATGTTCTCAGCTCTTACATTTACAGGTCAATCAAGGATAATCATCCTCCCATCAGAGGATATCAGCCACCTCAGAATTATTCTGCCTGCAATTTGTTGCATTTCTTCTTCAGATAGTGAATAAGTATTTATGTTTTTTTCCAAGTCACCATATGCATGCCAAGAAGTTCTCCCTACTCTTTTCTCATACCTCAATTCATTCAAGAGAGCATCATTGTTAAAAATCATTGCCTCTGGAATCAGCCTCTTTGGTTTGAATACTTATTGGCTGTGTGACCTTTGTTAAGTCATTTAAACTCTGAAAGACCCAGTTTCATCATCTTGAAATGGTGGAAATAATAATGGCTAAGAGAGTTACGATGTTACCTAATGCGGCAGTAGAGCTCTTAGCATGGTGTGTGTTTCAGTAAATGCTTAATAAATGTTAATTATTATGTTACTCAACCAGTTCCTGGAGACACTTACCCAATATGCATTCAAAAATAAAGTACAATCTGGCAATATGAAATACCCAAACTAATTGTCACACTATAAAATTTAACACCACAACCCCTGTCTGTTATAATTTTAACACCACATTTCTCAAAATTCTTCCTCATGTTGTTCTGCAGATTTATGTGCTTTTGGACTGAAAAATCCTTAAAGTCAGAGAGCATGTCATGACTCTGAATACTATGAAACCTGTGACCTTGATTTACTCCTCATTGTGTCCTCCCATGAAGAGTACAGTGCCTCAGCCACAAAATTTGCTCAACTGCTCTTTTTTGAAGGAATTAATTGTGTGGCTTAAGGAAAATTCAGATTCAGGCTGGCCTATACTCAAAGTAAAGAAAGAGATATTTCCCCTTTTTTTGTTTTAAAGAATAATTAAAAAGGACACCTTTTGGCTTACATAGGAAAAATTTATAAAATTGGTCTGTATGTTTCCTGCTTATTCTATGCCTCCCAGGAAATTTACCCTATAATGTTGTCAAGGAAACACTAACTGCTTAAGTCTGGTTGAGGAGGAAGATGCCTCATTAACAAACTCAGCTTCATTATTTGGATGCTTGCCTTAAGGAGCTGGTATTCGGTGATGAAAGGTTGTTTCCATTAAGCCTTGTGTGAAAAAGTGAATGATTTGTTTAAAATAAATTTTATCTTCTATTACTTATTCCCAGTGCTGTGAACCAACACACTATGAGATGTTACATAAAAATAAACATTATTGATTTTTAGTTTAACATATTTGAACCATTTATTAATGCCAGACATACATGTTAGGTCAAATTTTCAAGCATTGATTTATTGATTGTACAATGATTAAGGTGTCAGACCTTTAATTGGAAGCATTGGCAGTATTTAACCAGAGGATGAATTTAATGTATTGTTTATTGACTATTAAATAATTTTGCATTTTTCCTTCTGATGCACTAGAAACCATGTAATATATAGAAACTTAGTACCTCAAGAGATGAGAAAATACAGAGTTGAGGAGTTTTTCTTTCAGGAGGATGTCTCATTAGTGATATATGATGGAACAGAAAATATGCTGGGCTTGGAGTTATAACACTTGGGATTTCAAAGCTTCTTTCAAGCATTCACCAGCTGTGTGATTTGGGGCAAGTCATTTATTAGTTTATTCACTCAGGCATTTTATAAAGATTTATTGTGCAAACATTATTGCTTTCAGCCATGCTTTCAAAGTGATACAGTTATACAAAAATAAGACACACTTCACCATATGTACTCTGAGATTCAGCTTTTTATATATGTAAAAATAGTATCACATCATTCATTCAATAATTGTATTATTCAATAAGTAGTTATTGAGTCTCCACTGTGTGGCAAGCTGTTCTATAGGCTGATGATAGGTATTCACCTCTTGCTGGACTCTTGACTACATTGTTCTTGCACCTTCTTTAGGTTTAAGGGTGGTTGCAATGTCTAGCTGTTGCTAGTCCCCATGTACCACCATTTCTCTGGACCCTGTAAACTATCCATACCTCTATAAATCATACCTTTATTAAATGTTCTTCTGTATAGTCTCCGAGTTTGTCAGTTTGTTCAGGTGGAACCTTGACTGATTTAGATAATTAGTTTTGGAAGGTGATTCAGAATTTTGGTATGCTAAGACCTGAATGAAGTGGGTGAGTTAAATAGGAGGATATCTACTGCTATGGTTTTAATGTTTGTCCCCTTCAAACCTCATGTTGAAATTTGACACCTAATGTTGGAAATGGTACCTACTATGAGGTGTTTGGGTCATGGGACAGATCCCTCATGAATAGATTAATGCCCTCCCTTGGGGGTGAGTGGGTTCTCTCTTTATTAGTTCCCATGAGAGCTGGTTGTTACAAAGAGCCTGGCACCTCCTCACTCTTTCACACAGCTGGCTCCCCTTGGCCTTCTGCCATAGGTGGGGGCAGCCTAAGGCCCTGCTCAGATGCAGAAGTCCAATCTTGAACTTTCTGGCCTCAGAATTCTGCACCAAATAAACCTTTTTTTTCTTTATTTAATTTTTATTACCGAGCCTCAGGTCATCCTTTATAGCAACACAAAATGGATGAGGACATCTAGAAATAAGCACCCTAAGAAGCAGGAAAAGCATGGGCAAAGGCCTTGAGATACAAGCCAAATTTTGAATATTTTTTGGAATAATAAGGACGCCATTGTGTCTGAGAAGGCAGGACAGAGGGAGAACGGCAAAAGATATAGTCAGAGAGATAGCCAAGAGCCAAATCATACAGGGCATGGCAGAGCATAGCAATAAGTTTGTGTTTTGTTTTAAGATTGCTGGGAAACCATTTAGGGTTTTGGTCAAGACAGCAATGTGATCTAACTTAAAATTTAAATGGATAGTTGGGCTACTATGTGGAGAATATATAGGGGAGAGGGAGATAACAAATTCATGGACAACAGTTAGAAAGCTATATATATATATATATTATTTTTTTCAGTTTATGTGATAGATATTATTGATATAGTACAAGGGATTAGGATGACAGGAATGAAGGTAATGAGATGTAGTCAAATTCAAGTAGTATTTTTACAATAGACTTAGTGGGGTTTGCTGATGGATTTGGACCTGAGCAACTGGGTGAATGGTGATGTCATTTAATAAGATGGCAATCACTGGGATGGGAACCTAATTTAAGGGAAGAGTTGTGATGGAATCAAGAGTTTAATTTTGCATTATTGCATTTTACATGGCTATAATACATCTAAGTGGAGATTGAAGTAGCAGTATGGATCTCAGAGGATAAGTTGAAGCTGAAGATAGAAATTCAAAATTTATCAACATGCATTATATTTAGAGCCACAGTACTAAATAAAATCATGTAGCGGGTGAAAATAAATGAAAGCCAAAAGGGAAAAGTATTTCAATAAAGATGGAGTAGTCAGCTGTGTCGACTGAAGCTTAGCGATCAAGAAATATGATGACAGAACATGAAAAATTAAATTTGAACGATAGGATGTCATTGGCAACCTTGATAAGAGGAGTTGCAGTGATGTGGTGGGCACAATAGGGCATGTCAACAGAAAGTAGTGGGAGAGGGGAATTTTGAGAAATTTTTCTATAAAGGAGATGAGAGAAATGCTTAATTTCAATATTTTGAATACAATAAATTTTGTCAAGTTTTAACATATACATAATACTTCATTAAATATTTTAAAGACTTGAAATAATTTTAAATATAACCATTTGACAGAAATGGTCATTTTACTATTTCACATTGATTCCACTGATACTGACTTTTTTTATAGACTGCTTAATGAACTCTTATGTACTCTATATTGAAATATGTTAACTTTTCCCAAAGAATCTAAAAACTAGTCCCAAATTACAAATATGCATGCATTAGTTTTCTAGGGCTCCTGTAACAAAATACCACAGACTGAGTGACTTAAACAATATAAATGTATTTTCTCACAGTTCTGGGGCTAGAATTCCAAGATGAAGGTGTTTGCAGATTTTATTTCTTCTGAGGGTGCTCTCCATGGCTTAGAAATTGCTGCCTTCTTCTTGTGTTCTCATATGGCCTTTGCTCAGTGTGCACACATCCCTGCTATCTCTTCCGCTTCTTATAAGGACAACCAGTCATATTGGATCAATCTTCTTAATCACCTCATTAAAGACCTTACATTCAAACACAGTTACATTCTTAGGTACTGAGGGTTAAGATTTCAACATCTGAATTTTCAGGGAACATAATTTAACCCATAACAATGCATAAATCTGAAATTTTAAAATGCCCATAATTGACAATTATTATAATGTTTTAAGTATTTTCATATTACATTAAGTGACTTTTTGAACAAGTGAAAGCTTAAAACCTGATATTAACTTTAAATATAACTCTCAGGTTTGAAGATCTCTTGGGTCTTGTGGGATATGCGATGCGAGAGTCAACTAACTCTTTAGAATTTTATTTGTTCATTCTTACTGTATTCGATAGCCAAATTATTTTATCATATTTTTCTTTAACATAATTGGCTGATCCTGCTCTTCAGGGATAAAAATAAGAATCCAGCAACAGCTCTGAGAAAGACCTGAAATCCTAATATCCTTTTTTTTTTTCACTTGCACACAAAGGAAGCAAGACTTACAGTATCTGAACTTGATGGCTTACACTGAGAGCCACATTATTAATCCCTATAGCTCCATCATTCAAAGTGTTTGTCAAGGGAAAAATATGCCAATTCTTGAAGCAGGAGGCCAGGGAGCAAAGGTGCAGGCGAACAACCACTATTACAAATGCAGTGCAATGTAGACTCCTCAAGTCTGAGAATGCCCTAAGTCTCACTCTACTTAGAGCTCTGACACTGATCACCTCACTCTTCCTGGAGCTCAACCTTCCCAAGCTTTAAGACTTCTGATTCACTGGCCATCCTTGGTTTACTGGGTTTTCATGCCAGGAACAGAACTTTCCAGTGTTGAAAAACTGAATCTGCACAGCTGTGTTAAGGACTGGCTAATAACCCCACTTAGGTTTTTCACACCTTGGAGAGGAAAATGAAGCTTTCATTATCTGAAATGATGTTTAAGAAATGAAGTTTCTTATATAATTAATACATACTAGTTTATTTCATTCAGCATTGATGATAAAAATTCATATGATTGAGGATACCAGTGTGAAGCAGCATGCAGTCCCTGAGCAACCACATGGCGTAGGTGCTTGCTACACTTCTACAGATTCGAGTGATAAGGAGACGATGAATCCAAATGGTTTTATGTTTGTTACTTACACAGTCAGCATAAAGAAGGCTACCATTGTTTCAGCTCCTCAGGTCCCTAGAAAGGCCAGGATTCAGATGAGACAAGTGAGGTGCTTAGGGCACAAAATTTAATAAGGTGCTCACTATCAAGATTATACAAGTGCAGGTCAGCAGTTGTATGACCCTAAGAACCAGCACCTACTTAAATTTTGCACTATAGGCACCTCACTTACCTGCTCTAATTCTGACCCTGGTCCCAATTTCCACTGGACAACACTGAACTGGATGGGTCAAATGATAGGCAACAAGAGAAGTGGGCTGTATTGTTAGGTAGGAGCCAATTCCATACTGCACCTAAGTAGTTTGATATCCTGAAGATGGACCTGGTGTAGGGAGGTGTGAGGTGTGGGAAGTCCCATGCCTCACTAGTGTGAGGGAGGCAAATAAGAAATAGCTATGTAAAAGCTCCTCATAAGACTGCCTCCTTTGTCATGTTCTGGGAGAGTCACGGGATATTCCATCAAGATTTACCAGCCTGTGGTTTAGCCTTACCTGCATCGCCAACATAGATATGTGCAGTGTCACCAGGGTACCAGGGTGAAACTGTTCACTAGGACTGGTAATTAAAAAAATACAGGTTTGGAGTCCTATGTATATGTTTTATAACCCATTTCTTAATAGCTCTATGATACTGTATGAGTCATGTAAACTATCTAACCTTTTAAGTGAGAAAATAATTAACTAACATAAGTTTATTATGGCATTAATGTCTACAAAGCACTTATAAAAGTACCTGGCACATAGCAACTGTTCACTGAGTAGTAGCTATTTTATTATCTATTAGATACAAATGATGACCTCAATATGGTATGCAATATGGTTAAATAAATTCTGTAGCCTAGTTAAAAATAAAATGATGTTTTGAGTGTTTTAATTAAACAAATAATATTTTTACAATAGTAAGTCAAAAAACTTTCTAGGAAGTCAATGTTTATACTATTTGATGTCCCCTTTTGTTGTTATCTATATAAAATATATTGAAATAAGAAAATAGACACATTTGCCAAAGATTTTACTTATACTTTGCAGATAAAATATTCAACAACCATCAAAAATATTGACTCACTTTTAGTTATCATTTGAAAGCTATGTAGTAATCATATGTCCAGAGTTCCTCAAGTATTTGTTTTATCTATTATTTTACAACATAAATGTATCCATGCACACTTATGTTCATTATGCACACCTGAGAAAATTCCTTTTGCATGAACTGATAAGCCGTGTTTAACTTGGACCTCTCTCCAAGTAGGACACTCCTTTTCAACTTACACTCAAAATAGAACATGAACTCAAACATTTTTTTACAATTGAATGATTTACATTCAATTTACAACTTACCCATTTAGAGATAAGAATATACATCTGTATACTATTTAGAGCCATGAATTCGTAATTGATTTTGAATTCAATGTGTTAAAAACTACAAAATTTATTGCCCTTTTCATTCATCTTCTACATTCTTCTTTCTCATTTTTTCTCAAGACATGATAATCACAAAGAGCTTAAAATTTTAAAAATCTGAAACTTGGCACAACTTACTTAGATAAGAAATCTTAATGATCAAACTTTACAAAATATGAGAAAATGCATTGACTAAATTGCTAAAATACTTGTTATCCACATCAGTTTCTCTATTATCCCTCTGATAGCTTCATTAAAATTTATATCATTAATATAACTTATATGCCTTTCTACAAAGAAAGACATGTATTAACTCCAAATGCACTTGGTATCTTTTTTTCATTTTAAGTATAATTGGAAATAACATTTTACATGAACAGAAACTTTTCAGTATGGTCATAGCAGAATATTATCAAACAGTGCAAGCTGTGTGTTTTATTTTCTGTAAATCTAATATTTTAGTCATTTTACTACCTAATGTTGTTCATTCCATGAGATTTTAAGACAATTTTAAGTTATGTTTTATCTTTGGATTTGATAAGGATATTAATATTCCTTGTCAATTTATACATGTGTTTGATGCTTTGTTTTAATTATACAAAGACAAAATTTACTTAAGTGACAATAAGAATGCTAAAGAACATGTAAGATCAGATAATTTAGATGAGTTGATTTTTTTTATGTTGGGCATGATGTTGGAATAAAGCATTTGAACAGGATGGAGAGGGTGGGCCTTTTACAAACAGACCCAAAAAATGCCGATATAATTAGGATATTTTTACTTTTCAGAGCCAGAAATCTATTTTAAGCTGAATTGCAGGCAGAGAGAACATCTCATTTCAAACATTCCTCAAATGATACAATCAAGGACTTAAACTCTACCATTATGTTTTTCAGATTCTATATTGCCTTAATTCTCTGGCAGGTCCCTACAATATTTGAAGCAATTTTTGTTAGCCTCTTTTGTAGCTAGAATGGGAGAGGGGAAGGAGTAGTTTCTCAAAAGGATTCTGGGTAGAGAAAAAATATATATACATTTCCATTAGAAAGGAGACCATTTAATAATTTTCTTGGTAAGTACTCCTTGTCATTTGTGACCTTTAATAGACTATGCATGAATAAATTCATTACCCATTATGTTCCTTTTCACAGTTAGCATTTCAGATAGAAACAGTTATAACACCATCCTTCCCTGTCCCCTTCCTTGAACGTTTCCATCACATGCTCATCCCAGCCCCATAATGTATTATTAAGAGTCCTCCCTTTTTCAATATAAGGGGAAAATCATCTGATTAAGTCCTAAGTGAATTAGTAGCATAAGTCCTCTTAATTATATCAAAATATTGGCCTTTTTCCTCATCATAGGCATTTAAATTTCCATTACTTCAATTGGGACTTAATTATCCTTCTTTTTTGCTTTCTTAATGCAACTATATTCCCCCCTCTTCATCCCTGTCTTTCCAACTAGATGCAAACAGATAAGAGGTGATCAGAGTCATAAGAAAGAACATTTTTAGCCAAGAAGTGTAACCATTCGATTTAACCCAAAACTCCTTTCCAGCAGCCTTTTAGCAGAGAGTTGTGTTTTTTTCATTTGGGAGGGATGAGGGACGGTTTACAACTTAAATCAGTTGCAAACACTAAAAACCTGGGTGATTTTACTTTAAAACCTAGAATTGCAACTTCTTTTGAATAAGTCATATAATCATTAGTAACCCTGGAACCAAAGCCTTAGAACTGATAGGGCTGAGTTGTAGTTGTCCCTATAAACAGGTCACAGCCTCTACAGCTTATCACACCATTTCCTATTTCCCCATTTATAAATTTAACAACTATAGTCATTACTCAAGCATGACCTTCTGTGGTTACCTATTAAAGGTTAAAAATCGATCTCTTTATATTTTTATACTCTATGTGTAGAAATAGAGTAGACCATAGTTATAATTTTTAAAATTTGCAACAGCATGGATGATCCTGGAGAATATTAGGTAAAATCAGCCAGGCACAAAAAGATAAATGTCACCTGTTCTTACTCATATGTAAGAGCTATAAAAAAAAATGATCTCATGGAGGTAGTGAATAGAATGGTGGTTACCACAGACTGGGAAGGCTAGTTGGGAGGTGGTGAAAAAAGAAGATTTGGTTAATATTTTTATCTACAGTTAGATAAAATGAATAAGATATAATGTTCAGTAGCACAATAGGGCGACTGTTGTTAACAATAATTTACTGTATATTTCATGATAGCCAGAAGAGCATATTTGGAACGTTTCCAAAACAATGAAATGATAAATGTTTGAGGTGATGGACTTAAATTTGATTATTACACATCAAATACTTACATCAAAATATCATATGTCATAAATATGTACAACTATTATGTATTCATAAAAAATAAAAAAAAATTAAATATTTTTAGGTTAAACATTTTCCATGGGTTTAATATTTTTCAAAATAGTACGTTAAACTGAAGTTTTCTTAAATTTTCTTTTTTCTGCTCTCACTTCAGCTCTTCAAAGATGAAACTTCTGCATATTTAAAAAAATCTGTTTACATGTTTTTCTTTTTATAGACTTCCAGAGTTGGAGAGAATATCTAGATGTTTAGATGTAGACTATTTGTATAGTACTACAGTGTCCAAGATTGCAAAAAAATAATAAAATAGCTGACATGCCCTAACTTTGCAGCTAAATAAATTATTACACTGTGGGACTGGGGGATTCTTCATGCTGTTGAGTAGCACTTTACAATCAACACCTCTCCCCTTTTCAGGATATCGAATCCCTAACAGGAGGGCTGGCTGGTTCTAAGGGGGCTGATCCACCGGTAAGTTAGATTCTTCATTAAATTTAACTATTGATGAATTGAATTGTGTACACACCAGATTATCAGTTGATTGCTTGTATATTATTTGTCATATGCAGGTACTTTTTATAAATACAGCTATTATAGAAACTAATAACAGAAGTATGAAATTGCTTTGAGGTGTGGGCTGGTGTTTTTATTAAAAAGTTTTAACAACTCATAAAAATTTATCTCAATTTATTGGCTTTAAAAATAGGAATAAAATCTTTATTAGAATATCTCAGTAATTTATGTTCTACTAACTGGAGAGTTTGTTTTTCTAAATATGAGTATAGTATTTGGGTTGCAATATATTTTCTAGTTACTGAGAAAAATTATGTCCATGTGATAAATAGTATTGACTCTGGACATTGTTCTTTTCTACTTAATTCAGGAAGCTTCCAGGAAATTAAAGTTTATAAAGTGTTCTAAAGTTTCTATGAATTATAATTTACAAGCAGCAACAAAAGCTTGATGTTCTATTATTGGAACATCTTAGTCCTTTCTGTGATGTCAGATTTCAGAAAACACTGATAGAGATGACATCCCTATGACTTCATGCTTGAGATCCAAAATAAATTCAAAGTATATCTAAAGTAATAAGACAGATTCAACTTATATCAACAAATAGTCAATGCATACATTTTTGTCATTACTTGCTTTTTGTTTAGCAAAATGAAATTTAATGTGGAACATACAGAACTCAGTGTTATCACTTTTTAGCTGTTCTTCACATAGGCATGTAGGTGAAGTACTTTAACTCCATTAAAACACCAGTGAGTTGTTAGAGAGATAACTTTCTGTTCTAGCTCTTTCTCACTCAGATATGTCTCACGGTGTTATCTAATTTTCATCAAGTTGCTCCTAAAGTATGGCTAAAAAATGTATTATAGTTCTTTTCCTTCTTTTTATTTTTATCATAAGTATTTATGTGGAAAAATGTATTGGCTGCAGACAGCTGCTTGTATTTATCCCCTAGACCTATTACATTACAATGTAAGGCAAGATGAAATGTAAGTCAACCCAGAAAGTATATTGACAGGATTAATGGCCAGTCTTTTACCTAAGTATTTCAGGTGAGTGCTTATGTGATGTAATTTTACCCTTCTGCCTTGCACAGTGCTTGCCCATAGAATTCAACTTACATCAGAAAAGTAGATCTACTACCTTCAAAATACTTCCCTCAACTGTTCACTGATTCCTGGAAGAATTCTACAGTTAGAGATTAGTTGGTTTCAAAGGATTTGTCTCTTGTTCAAAGCAAAATAAAATATCTGTCTTCTGCTAAGTACTGATAAAGATCTTATCCATTATTTACATGTTAAAATAAGTTAGTTTGTCATACCCTCTAAGAAAGCATGTTTCTAAACATGAAAGATTGAATGGGTATGTGGCCTAGTTGTTGAAAAAATCCTTTTGCAGGGAGAAAATAAAGGTCACAGAAAGGAAAAATGGTATCCTGAAGGCAAACGACATCAATGTCATTCCCAATAAATAAAAGTGAATAGGCATGAGTTATACAACTTTATCTCTCTCTCTCTATATATATATGTGTGTGTGTGTGTGTGTGTGTATGTGTGTATAGTATATCAATCTATATATGTATACTTAGATAGATAGATTTTTTTCTTTTAAAACAACTTATAATATTGTGAAGAGGATAGTTCTTTCTTGGCTGTGCTATACCATGATGGTTATTTTATACTTACGTTTTCTGAAGTTTCAATGATTGTGCTTATTTTATAACATTTTGTAGAGTGGAAAACATTATGAACATTTCAGAGTGCATAAGGGCTTAGCTAATCTAGGGGTTCAGTAGTACACATTAATTTAGTGTCTCCCATTGTTAAGGAGCTATCTAGAACATACTGCCGGGAGCTATGTAACAGTCATTTTCTTTAGCCCTAAGTATCTAAGGTATCTAGGTATTTAGCCCAATAGTATCTAGGGTTACTTCCATTATTTAAGAATAAAGCAATGAATGAAGCTATTGTTTTTGCCTCCAAGTTAGAAAACTGAAAGTCAGATTAAATTATACATAATCTAAATCAATTTCAAGTTTTTAAAATAATTTTCTCCTTTTTAAAATTAAAAAAAAATTTTTTTGAGACGGAGTCTTGTTCTGTCTGTCACCCAGATGGGAGTGCAGTAGCCTGATCTCACTGCAGCCTCTGCCTTTTGGGTTCAAAGGGTTCTCCTGCTTCAGCCTAGCGAGTAGCTGAGATCACAGGCATGCGCCAGCATGCCCAACTAATTTTTGTATTTCTAGTAGATACAGGGTTTCACCGTGTTGGTCAGGCTGGTCTTGAACTCCTGACTTCAAGTGATCTGCCTGCCTTGGCCTCCCAAAGTGTATTTTTTCCTTTCTCTAAAAAATGTCATTTTAATAGATCATCAAAATACTATTGTCTACTTCAAAAGCTATGCTTTTTCTAGAAACCATTCTATGATGATGTTTTCATTGGTAAGAAATTCAAAGTCTTATATTTTTTCATTTATTGAACAGAATACATCAAGTATTGAGTGAATGATCTCTCATAAGGATGCATAGCTGTCAAGTAATTTCTTTGCCAGTGTAATAGAAATCTCAGAGGTATATTGAAATGTTAATGGTATGTTTAAAATTGCAAATTTTGCTGTGGGTACACATAAATGTTATTTCTGAAGCATTAGAAAAAAGAGTGAAGTTTGTTATTTCAAATGGTAAGGCATATATAGAAGGTTGTGTCAAATTTGCAAATGTCATTATAAGTAAATTTGCATATCTGGTAAGAATAAATTTGAGAACTCTAGGAGAATTTTGTATTAATATTTTTAACAATAAGTGTTAAATAGATTTTATTGAAAATTCAATAGATTTTATTGAAAATTCTCAGTTTTAATGTTAATAAAGAAAAAGAAAATCACTCATTCATGATTTTCAAGGGTGATTCAAAATTTTACAAATGGCCTGTTTCTGAAAAGGATTTTAATTCAGAAACTGTAAATTAATTGTAGCAGCAAACACAACTTGCAGATTTTTCCAAATCACATAATTATTTTAGAAAATAAATGCTTTTATCATTGGAGAAAAAAATAGTATCTGTTAAATATTAACTTAAAGCTGTCTTTGAAAATTATATCAAAAGATATTCTATATTTGGCATATGTTTCCATTCATAAAAATTTGATCACAGATTAACCTCCAGCATAAGAGCATAGAATTTATATTTACATAGAAGTACAAAGGAAAAGAAACTAGATAATCAAAATTGAAAGTGCAAAATTCGTTATTAAATTAAATAGTGCTTTGTAAATATACCACTTTGTCATAGTGTTTTATGTTTTAAATATGAGCAATATTAAAATGTAAAAAACTTGGGAACTGTAAAGAATCAAAGTGCCCCACATTGTCAGCCAACCCCTGGCAAGGCCAGGGTAAAGTATATCCATGTCTGGTACCTATGGCCAAGAGGACTTTGAATACTGAAGTACTGGGGTGCAATGCATGAACTCTGTTATGTATCTGTAAAGCATGAACCTGCTATCTGGAGAGCTGTAGTTGTGCAGGTCAGTGTGTAACCAGCAGTGTGAAGGATCCCTTCTTGTGTTGAACCCATGAGCCAGTAGGAGAGAGGTGTAATTTTTAAGACAACCCCTGCCCTGGTGCCAGAATTGTCTGTAGACTGTGGACTAGGTGTAAGTCAACAGGTAGGATTTAGTGGATCAGCTTGGCCATACGAGTTAAGTTTAGTGATAACAGACTCAAGCAGAGTCTGTATATACACAATGAAAGGTGTTTCTCTTTGCAATTTGGTTTAGGAAAATATTTTGATTGTTATGTAGCTATTTACTTTCTTATTATTTCTGATGTTTTTTAAGGGCTGATATTGACAAAAATCTAATAAAGAGACTACATGAGACATTCCAGAGCATGTTTCGTTGTAACATACATTGGTCAAATGTGAAGATGTTTCATTGTATGTTACAAAATGTTATTATCAGGATTTAAATTAAATCTACTTCATTGCCTCATATAGTAATTATAGCAAGAATACCACTGAAGGTATTCAGTTTCTTCCTTGTTTTCTTTCTATTTATTTCTTTGGAATAATAAGATCTATACATTTTGCTCCCTATAGAACTTAATACTTTTAAATGTTCTAAGTTTAGTTTTTTTCCTAAATGCTAATGGTTCTCTTTATTTCTAGAGTGTGATGAATAAGTGATTACCCATCTAATTCATATCCTTGGGCTTGATATGCACACTGTCCTGAACATTCTTAAGCTCTATTAGGTTTTTTTTCCCCACTGAGGAAACAGAATTGTACTTTCTGTTCTCATTTTAATTGTCTTCCTGATGGTCCTTAGCAATTTAGATAAACACACCACAGAATTTAAAACAATTTCAATTTTCTGAGTGTGCTGTTTAGACCAAATTATATATATTTTAAATTGTAAATGGTCTTAGAGTTTAAAAATCTACAAAACTGATTTTAATTTGATTATTCAAAAGTGACAATGTTCTACTCATTTACTTCAACAGATAAGATAATAAAATAATATTAATCTGAATCGTGTCCTAATTTAAATTATTTCAACCTTATATTGTTGTATTTCAACCTTATATTGTTATATTATTTCCTTTCATTTTCCTATTTGTTTATTTCAAATTCAATATATATTTGAGTGTACACTATGTGCTAGGCTGTACTATAGCATTTGGTTAGGTTTTGGAGACACTGATAATCAATACACAGTTACTCATTTCAGAATCTTACAATATACTTGAATGAACAGTTTGGCAAAAACCAATTATAATATCATGTAAGCACAAGATGAGATGAAAGCAAGTAAGAGTATCACATAATGCAATTGATGGGAATAGAAAGGGGCTGGAGAAACAAGCAAGGCAAATAGAAAATAATAATTTATTTCTTGCCAATTGTAGAATGAATTGAAGTTCGCCAAGTGATGGGGGGACCATGGTATATTCAGCAGAGGAAACAGCATCTGCATAAGTAAAAAATGAGAAAATAACGTCATGTAGTAAAGTATAAAATAACCTGGGCATGGCAGATAAAGGTGAGATAGAAGGCTAGAAAGTTAAGCCTGGGCAAGAATATGATAAATTACATGGAAGGAATTTGTACTTTATACTAAAGACCAAAGGGAAGCATTGAAGTCTTTAAACAGAAGAGTCAACGAGATCTTCCCTTTAGAAACATTTTCTTGTTACCAGTTGGAGAGCGAATTAGAGAAAAGACTAAAGCAAAGAGACCTATGAAAAGACTTGCAGTCTTTCTTCCAAAGGATAGTGATGAAAATGATCATGGTGACTTTTTTTTTGTCTGTCTCCCTAGATTATAACAATAACTGAGGGCAATATCACAGGAGAAACTTGACATTATTTTTTAAAAAAATTAGATGGTTAATAAAAGCCTGTAAGGTGACAACAAGAATGGAGAAGAATGGATTGACTCATGAGATACTGAGAACATGGTGAACATACAAGAATAGGTGGTTGTTTGGAAGCAGACTGAGGCCTATTGAGAAGTCAAGGCTGATATTGGAACTTTCTGGTTTGGCAATTGAGTGGATGAAGGTACCATTCATCGTGACAAGAAACCAACGAGATAGAGCATTTTCAAGGGGGAAATGAGGGATTCAGTTTTAGACATGTTAAGTTGAGCTGAGTTGGGAATATATGAATGATTTGGAAATTTAAAGGTGAGGTCTCATTTAAAGCTATTTATTTGGACATGTAGAAGACTTAATTAAAGCTATTGGAGTTGATGACATCATCCTCCCAAAAAACATGTATATAGAGTTATAAGATGAGAGAGTTCAGAATAAAGCCTGAGAAAGAAAAGCACTTAAGTAAAGGTCAGAGGAAGAATGTGCCTCAAAAAAGACAAAACAGAGATGGGTCCAAGGATGGGATACCAGAAATGTGAGAATCATTAATGCCAAGTTAAAGAGAGGATGGCAAGAGGGTTATTAGCAGTTTCATGATGTTGAGAGTTCACAAACTATGTTCATTGTATTTAACAAGAAGAAATTATCTTGGTGAGAGTAATTGTAGTAGAGTAATTTAGGTAAAATCAAGTTTCCAGGGGCCTGAGAGATTAAATGGAAGACTAACAACTGTATTCAGTGACTGTAGAGAACTATTTTAAGAGCTTGGTTATGCAGGAAGTCAGAGGAAGCAATAGCCAATAGAGGAGATGGGATTGAGGCACAATTATTTTAAGGAGATAAGATTTGAGTGTGTTTTGTCATTACCTGTGTGCTTG
Source organism: Homo sapiens (assembly GCF_000001405.40). Taxonomy (NCBI): domain Eukaryota; kingdom Metazoa; phylum Chordata; class Mammalia; order Primates; family Hominidae; genus Homo; species Homo sapiens. Next base: position 81,670,497 of record NC_000012.12, on the reverse strand, counting down.
GTTTAAGCATTTCAGAACCAAAATATTTCCAGGTACTAGTAAATTCCAGATTGTGGTCATAGACATGGGTGATGAAATAAAGAGGGACTGAGGCTAATTGGAATTGATGATATTAAGGAACCGGGAGGCCACAGTGTTGGATGAATCATTTTTGTGGGCCCTGCAATGTTTTCTATCTACATTCAGGCCCTTGATGGCCCAATCTATTTCACAGCATAAGTTCTACTTAAATAATAATAACTGAAAAATTTATATTTCCAGGTTAGATCACTCCCTTGAACTTCAGATTTGTGTATATGACTAAACATTTGACATGTCCACTTGTATATCTGATAGGAATTTAAAACATAACAAGTTAAAAATTGAACTTCTGATTCCCTCTATCACTCTTACAAACCTCCTGCTATTTTCCCCTCTCAGTTAAGGGCTACTTCATGCTACCCTTCTCAAAAGCCAAACACTTAAAGTCATAATTCGGCTTTGTCTTCACAATTTATTTAGAATCCTCCAAAACTACCACTGTGTTTAAAGCCACCATTCTTTCTCATCTGTCCAGTCTCTATGAACCAAGGACAGGTTTTATGAAATGTAAATTGCAATATGTTACATTTAGCCTTAAAGCTATGTTAGCTTCCCATCACAATAAAATTCCCAAAGCTCATGGAGTGGTTTCTGAGACTCTTCATTACTTCCTTCCCTTACGATGATTCTAGGAACTCACCTTCTACCTTTTTCTCCATAGCTTATCCACTTAGGCTGCACTAGCCATTGCTGTCCCCTTTACCCAGACAAGTTTATTACTGGTAAGGGACAATACGCTTGTCATTTTTCCTTCTTTGTGCCATGCTGTCCCCTCAGATATCCTCATGGCTTACTGCCTCACTTTCTTTAGGTCTTTGTTTTATTGTCACTTTAACAGAGTTTTCCGTGAACACTCAATATTATTTTTTCTGATCCTATAGGATGATTGTTTATATTTTTCTACTAGAATATAAACTTTACATAGTTACAAGCCTTGTCTCTTTCTTTCACTATTATAGAATAAAGATTTATAATACTTGGCATATGAGTTCCTCAATAACTATTGGTTGAATGAATGAATTAGAACAGATGTTAATGAGCACACGATTTACATGGACATATTTGTGTGCTCACAATGATAACTCTAGCAGCATACTGCATGGAAAAAGGAGATTGAGGGTATTATAATAATTCTGGAATAAAATTACAAAGGTGAACTTCAGACTATAGTAGTGGTAGTAAAAATGACAATAGCAAATGAAAAAAAACTTACAAAATCAGTATTAATAGAATTTTATGGTAGGGAAAGAAATAGGACCCAGGGAAACCTTTAAATGTTGACCACTGGAAGAAATAACAGTAGAGAAAATCAAAGGGACAAATTTAGAATGCCGTATGTCTTAGTTACATTGTTTAACATCATTGGAATAGAAACCTTATGAGAGCAGAAATTTCTGTCTGGTTTAATGCTGGACCACCAACGCTGGCACATAGTATGCCTTCAATAAGTATTTAATAAACATAAATTAAACAAGAATGATGATGATAACAGGTCTCAGATTGTAATAGTGTGAACCAGTAATTGAAAACTTCAAAAAATGCAGGAGTTAAAAAATGTGAAATGAGGTTTCCATTGTTGAATCATAGTTATCTTTAAAACCCCAAAACATAGTGCCATTGATGATAAGTATCCCCACATTCTTTGGAGAAGTGTTAGACATATTCACCACAGACTTGTAATAATGGCAGCATCAGTCCTGCCACTATGAATCACCACTATTATTCTCTCTTAGAGAAGACCAGATGACTCATTAGCAGAGAGCTGTCAGCTGGTAGGGAGTACTGCAGGGTTTTTACTCTGTGGAGGGAAGTGTGTGCTTCTCCTTAGCCAAATGAGGGTGGACCCAAAGCAATGACTCATAGAAAGAAGCAGTGGTATTTTCGTATTTTGATATTTTTTCAGCAATATATCAAGTACTTCCATGGGTTAGATGTAAGGTAAGAGAAGAAATAAATTAATGTGCATTCCTTGGAGTTTGCGGACATGCAAGACCACTGAATCAGATGTTTGTTTCTTCTCCAGTAAATTTGGGAGGTAGAAGTCTGGTTAAGCTAACCTAAATTAGGCCAGTGAGAAAGAATAGCAGTAAGAGTGGTCTTTACAACAAGAATTTGGTGTGTCAAAGGTACATGAGCTTCCCATGGGCCAGACTGATGAAGTAGAAGGATAATAGAACCCTTTATATGATGACTGCCTGCTAGGGCAATGGGATCCAGTATTAAGAATTAATAGGATGTCAGCTGTTTTGCCAAGAATATAAACTGAAATGTGAGGTGGTGGCAGGAGGCAAATGGTTAGTCAGAAAGCAAATAGCAATTGCCTATGTCAATGATCTGTGTAGCATGGGATGTCCCCATGGGAGGACCTCCAAAGAATCCTCTAATGAGTCCCAATTTAGAAGTCCAGTATTTTGGCACCTGGAACATAGAAGTCACCAGTCTTATAAAACTTTGCTTTTTTTCCTGTAACCCACTTTCATATCCCTGCCCCAACCTAGAAGAAAGACCTATGAAGCAGATAGAATGCAGGTGAAAAAGTGGATCATCTTCCTCTTTTCTAGTAGTTCAAGGTGGGGTGATCAGAAAAGTTCTCTGTTAAATAAGTAACTTAAATTTTGGTGGTGGGCTGTACTGGATATTCTGAACTTGAAAATGGTCTGGATATCCACAATGAGATTTATTCCTGTAACTCTAAGTGACTGGAAAGTTATGAATCTGCTCAAGCTGAAGTCCAGACATGTAGAGGGAATATATGACAAAGCCTGTTTAATAACAAGATTGATGAAAGATGAAGGTATTATTTATTTGGGATCTGTTACTTGATTGTAGTTGCTTGTTTGAATTGAAGTCATTTCATTAACTAACTTCATTTACATGTTAAAAAGACCATGCCATTTTTAGTTATTAATGATGGGGAGGAGTAACAGGAGGAATAGTCAGATGGTGTGAGCACCAAAGTAGAGATGGTTCTACTTTAGAATGGAGGAGTAATGGGTTGGAAATTCTAATGGTTTTCAAGAAAGGTGCTAACACTGCTTTCTGAAGTTAAGTGAGCTGAGGAATTTGGAAAAGCATCCTATTGGTGCAACCTATGAAGCCATTTAAATCTATTTTCGTTGAGGTAAAGTGATGATGGGCTCCTTCAACAAAGTGATAAAATAGGAAAGATTGTTTTATGTAAAATAGAGGTTTCAAAGGCACAGTGAAAAGTCTGAGGGGAAGATATAGTGGAAAGTAGGTAAAAGAGAAAAAGCACAGAACACTAGGATAAACATGCTGGAGAAGCTTGGTGATGTAGAATGGTTAACATTTTGTATATGCCCCAAAGATGATAAAGGGTAACTGCTAGGAAAGTTTCCAAAATAATTAGTGTCAAGTGTACACATAGAGTCAGTTCAGACTACAATTTATTAAAAGTTAATAAAATTATAGAAAGTATACAATATTGTGTGCAAACCATATTTTATATAAACCTTTGATTTCAATTTCTTGTAATCCTTGCAAAATAGCATAAGATGTAGTGGTGTAGAGTGTGGACTCTGGAAAGTCAGCCTCAATTTGATTTTTGACTCAACCTCTTGATAGCTGTTTGTAACCTTGAGCAAATTTACTTTCTTCTTTGTGCCTCTATTTCTTTTTCTTTTTTTTATTTTTTATTATACTTTAAGTTTTAGGGTACGTGTGCACAACGTGCAGGTTAGTTACATATGTATACATGTGCCATGCTGGTGTGCTGCACCCAGTAACTCGTCAATTAACATTAGGTATATCTCCAAATGCTATCCCTCCCCACTCTCTCCACCCCACAACAGGCCCCGGTGTGTGATGTTCCCCTTCCTGTGTCCATGTGTTCTCATTATTCAATTCCCACCTATGAGTGAGAACATGTGGTGTTTGGTTTTTTGTCCTTGTGATAGTTTGCTGAGAATGATGGTTTCCAGCTTCATCCGTGTCCCTACAAAGGACATGAACTCATCATTTTTTATGGCTGCATAATATTCCATGGTGTATATGTGCCACATTTTCTTAATCCAGTCTATCATTGTTGGATATTTGGGTTGGTTCCAAGTCTTTGCTATTGTGAATAGTGCTGCAATAAACATGCATGTGCATGTGTCTTTATAGCAGCATGATTTATAATCCTTTGGGTATATACCCAATAATGGGATGGCTGGGTCAAACAGTATTTCTAGTTCTAGATCCTTGAGGAATCGCCACACTGAATTCCACAATGGTTGAACTAGTTTACAGTCCCACCAACAGTGTAGAAGTGTTCCTATTTCTCCACATCCTCTCCAGCACCTGTTGTTTCCTGACTTTTTAATGATCACCATTCTAACTGGTGTGAGATGGTATCTCATTGTGGTTTTGATTTGCATTTCTCTGATGGCCAGTGATGATGAGCATTTTTTCATGTGTTTTTTGGCTGCATAAATGTCTTCTTTTGAGAAGTGTCTGTTCATATCCTTCGCCCACTTGTTGATGGGGTTGTTTTTTTCTTGTAAATTTGTTTGAGTTCTTTGTAGATTCTGGATATTAGCCCTTTGTCAGATGAGTAGATTGCAAAAATTTTCTCCCATTCTGTAGGTTGCCTGTTCACTCTGATGGTAGTTTCTTTTGCTGTGCAGAAGCTCTTTAGTTTAATTAGATCCCATTTGTCAATTTTGGCTTTTGTTGCCATTGCTTTTGGTCTGCCTCTATTTCTTAAACCATGTGATTATGATGAAAACAGGATCTTTTACAAGATGGTTCTATTTAATGAGCCAGCAATGTAGAGTGCTCCAAACCTGCCTGGCAAACGCAAGTCCTCTCTAAATGTTTACCACTGTAACTGCTATGATATAGAACTACTTAAGCATCTATATTTCAACACAATCAAACTACTTAGAGGGCACATGCAAATGTAGTTTTCCATAATCAAAAATTTAAATTATGTTAAATATAGAAGTGAGCAAAGAAATAGGAACTTTCAGACTAACACCTGAAAGACCTAAAAGTTAAGTTTATGCTAACACTGAGTGTTACGTGTTACAAATGTGGGAAGCATTTTGGAAATATCTTAACATATTGTTTAATCATTCTGATGATTAATGTGATAGAAAACATTTTAGAAATAATTTTTTGCTGTATCTGTCAAATTATTTGAGAAGCTCTGAGTAATGAAACAACTCTGGGTTAGAAAAAGAGTCTTCCTTTTGATGTACCGTAAATTTTTTTCACGTTTATTTTTATTACACTTGAAGTTTTAGGGTACATGTGCACAACGTGCAGGTTTGTTACATATGTATACATGTGCCATGTTGGTGTGCTGTACCCATTAACTCATCATTTACATTAGGTATATCTCCTAATGCTATCCCTCCCCCCTGCCCCCACCCGACAACAGGCCCCGGTGTGTGATGTTCCCCTTCCTGTGTCCATGTGTTCTCATTGTTCAATTCCCACCTATGAGTGAGAACATGTGGTGTTTGGTTTTTTGTCCTTGTGATAGTTTGCTGAGAATGATGGTTTCCAGCTTCATCCATGTCCCTACAAAGGACATTAACTCATCCTTTTTTATGGCTGCATAGTATTCCATGGTGTATATGTGCCACATTTTCTTAATCCAGTCTATCATTGTTGGACATTCGGGTTGGTTCCAAGTCTTTGCTATTGTGAATAGTGCTGCAATAAACATGCATGTGCATGTGTCTTTATAGCAGCATGATTTATAATCCTTTGGGTATGTACCCAGTAATGGGATGGCTGGGTCAAACAGTATTTCTAGTTCTAGATCCCTGAGGAATCGCCACAGTGACTTCCACAATGGTTGAACTAGTTTACAGTCCCACCAACAGTGTAAAAGTGTTCCTATTTCTCCACATCCTCTCCAGCACCTGTTGTTTCCTGACTTTTTAATGATCACCATTCTAACTGGTGTGAGATGGTATCTTATTGTGGTTTTGATTTGCATTTCTCTGATGGCCAGTGATGAGCATTTTTTCATGTGTCTTTTGGCTGCATAAATGTCTTCTTTTGAGAAGTGTCTGTTCATATCCTTTGCCCACTTTTTGATGGGGTTTTTTGTTTTTTTCTTGTAAATTTGTTTGAGTTCTTTGTAGATTCTGGATATTAGCCCTTTGTCAGATGAGTAGATTGCAAAAATTTTCTCCCATTCTGTAGGTTGCCTGTTCACTCTGATGGTAGTTTCTTTTGCTGTGCAGAAGCTCTTTAGTTTAATTAGATCCCATTTGCCAATTTTGGCTTCTTTTGCCATTGCTTTTGGTGTTTTAGACATGAAGTCCTTGCCCATGCCTGTGTCCTGAATGGTATTGCCTAGGTTTTCTTCTAGGGTTTTTATGGTTTTAGGTCTAACATTTAAGTCTTTAATCCATGTTGAATTTATTTTTGTATAAGGTGTAAGGAAGGGATCCAGTTTCAGCTTTCTAAGTATGGTTAGTCAGCTTTCCCAGCACCATTTATTAAATAGGGAATCCTTTCCCCATTTCTTGTTTTTGTCAGGTTTGTCAAACATCAGATGGTTGTAGATGTGTGGCATTATTTCTGAGGGCTCTATTCTGTTCCATTGGTCTATATCTCTGTTTTGGTACCAGTACCATGCTGTTTTGGTTACTGTAGCCTTGTAGTATAGTTTGAAGTCAGGTAGTGTGATGCCTCCAGCTTTGTTCTTTTGGCTTAGGATTGACTTGGCAATGTGGGCTCTTTTTTGGTTCCATATGAACTTTAAAGTGGTTTTTTCCAATTCTGTGAAGAAAGTCATTGGTAGCTTGATGGGAATGGCATTGAATCTATAAATTCCCTTGGGCAGTATGGCCATTTTCATGATATTGATTCTTCCTATCCATGAGCATGGAATGTTCTTCCATTTGTTTGTATCCTCTTTTATTTCGTTGAGCAGTGGTTTGTAGTTCTCCTTGAAGAGGTCCTTCCATCCATTGTAAGTTGGATTCCTAGGTATTTTATTATCTTTGAAGCAATTGTGAATGGGAGTTCACTCATGATTTGGCTCTCTGTTTGTCTGTTATTGGTGTATAAGAATGTTTGTGATTTTTGCAGATTGATTTTGTATCCTGAGACTTTGCTGAAGTTGCTTATCAGCTTAAGGAGGTTTTGGGCTGAGACGATGGGGTTTTCTAGATATACAATCATGTCATCTGCAAACAGGGACAATTTGACTTCCTCTTTTCCTAATTGAATACCCTTTATTTCCTCCTCCTGCCTGATTGCCCTGGCCAGAACTTCCCACACTGTGTTGAATAGGAGTGGCGAGAGAGGGACTCCCTGTCTTGTGCCAGTTTTCAAAGGGAATGCCTTCCAGTATGATATTGGCTGTGGGTTTGTCATAAATAGCTCTTATTATTTTGAGATATGTCCCATCAATACCTAATTTATTGAGAGTTTTTAGCATGAAGGGCTGTTGAATTTTGTCAAAGGCCTTTTCTGCATCTATTGAGATAATCATGTGGTTTTTGTTGTTGGTTCTGTTTATATGCTGGATTACATTTATTGATTTGCATATGTTGAACCAGCCTTGCATCCCAGGGATGAAGCCCACTTGATCATGGTGGATAAGCTTTTTGATATGTTGCTGGATTCAGTTGGCCAGTATTTTACTGAGGATTTTTGCATTGAGATTCATCAGGGATATTGGTTGAAAATTCTCTTTTTTTTGTTGTGTCTCTGCCAGGCTTTGGTATCAGGATGATGCTGGCCTCATAAAATGAGTTAGGGAGGATTACTTCTTTTTCAATTGATTGGAATAGTTTCAGATGGAATGGTACCAGCTCCTCCTTGTACCTCTGGTAGAATTCGGCTGTGAATCCATCTGGTCCTGGACTTTTTTTGGTTGGTAAGCTATTAATTATAGCCTCAATTTCAGAGCCTGTTATTGGTCTATTCAGAGATTCAACTTCTTCCTGGTTTAGTCTTGGGAGGGTGTATGTGTCGAGGAATTTATCCATTTCTTCTAGATTTTCTAGTTTGTTTGCATAGAGGTGTTTATAGTATTCTCTGATGGTAGTTTGTATTTCCGTGGGATTGGTGGTAATATCCCCTTTATCATTGTTTATTGCGTCTATTTGATTCTTCTCTCTTTTCTTCTTTATTAGTCTTGCTAGTGGTCTATCGACTTTGTTGATCTCTTCCAAAAACCAGCTCCTGGATTCATTGATTTTTTGAAGGGTTTTTTTATGTCTCTATCTCCTTCAGTTCTGCTCTTATCTTAGTTATTTCTTGCCTTCTGCTAGCTTTTGAATGTGTTTGCTCTTGCTTCTCTAGTTCTTTTAATTGTGATGTTAGGGTGTCAATTTTAGATCTTTCCTGCTTTCTCTTGTGGGCATTTAGTGCTATAAATTTCCCTCTACACATTGCTTTAAATGTGTCCCAGAGATTCTGGTATGTTGTGTCTTTGTTCTCGTTGGTTTCGAAGAACATCTTTATTTGTGCCTTCATTTCGTTATATACCCAGTAGTCATTCAGGAGCAGGTTGTTCAGTTTCCATGTAGTTGAGTGGTTTTGAATGAGTTTCTTAATCCTGAATTCTAGTTTGATTGCACTGTGGTCTGAGAGACAGTTTGTTATAATTTCTGTTCTTTTAGATTTGCTGAGGAGAGCTTTACTTCCAACTATGTGGTCAATTTTGGAACAAGTGCGGTGTGGTGCTGAGAAGAATGTATAAACTGTTTATTTGGGGTGGAGAGTTCTGTAGATGTCTATTAGGTCTGCTTGGTGCAGAGCTGAGTTCAATTCCTGGATATCCTTGTTAACTTTCTGTCTCATTGATCTGTCTAATGTTGACAGTGGGGTGTTAAAGTCTCCCATAATTATTGTGTGGGAGTCTAAGTCTCTTTGTAGGTCTCTAAGGACTTGCTTTATGAATCTGGGTGTTCCTGTATTGGGCGCATATATATCTAGGATAGTTAGCTCTTCTTGTTGAATTGATCCCTTTACCATTATGTAATGGCCTTCTTTGTCTCTTTTGATCTTTGTTGGTTTAAAGTCTGTTTTACCAGAGACTAGGATTGCAAACCCTGCCTTTTTCTGTTTTCCATTTGCTTGGTAGATCTTCCTCCATCCCTTTATTTTGAGCCTATGTGTGTCTCTGCACGTGAGATGGGTTTCCTGAATACAGTACACAGATGGGTCTTGACTCTTTATCCAGTTTGCCAGTCTGTGTCTTTTAATTGGAGCATTTAGCTCATTTACATTTAAGGTCAATATTGTTAACGTGTGAATTTGATCCTGTCATTATGATGTTAGCTGGTTATTTTGCTCGTTAGTTGATGCAGTTTCTTCCTAGCCTCGATGGTCTTTACAATTTGGCATGTTTTTGCAGTGGCTGTTACTGGTTGTTCCTTTCCATGTTTAGTGCTTCCTTCAGGAGCTCTTTTAGTGCAGGCCTGGTGGTGACAAAATCTCTCAGCATTTGCTTGTCTGTAAAGTATTTTATTTCTCCTTCACTTATGAAGCTTAGTTTGGCTGGATATGAAATTCTGGGTTGAAAATTCTTTTCTTTAAGAATGTTGAATATTGGCCCCCACTCTCATCTGGCTTGTAGAGTTTCTGCCGAGAGATCCACTGTTAGTCTGATGGGATTCCCTTTGTGGGTAACCCGACCTTTCTCTCTGGCTGCACTTAACATTTTTTCTTTCATTTCAACTTTGGTGAATCTGACGATTATGTGTCTTGGAGTTGCTCTTCTCGAGGAGTATCTTTGTGGCGTTCTCTGTATTTCCTGAATTTGAATGTTGGCCTGCCTTGCTAGATTGGGGAAGTTCTCCTGGATAATATCCTGCAGAGTGTTTTCCAACTTGGTTCCTTTCTCCCCATCACTTTCAGGTACACCAATGGGACGTAGATTTGGTCTTTTCACATAGTCCCATATTTCTTGGAGGCTTTGTTATTTTCTTTTTATTCTTTTTTCTCTGAACTTCTCTTCTCACTTCATTTCATTCATTTCATCTTCCATCGCTGATACCCTTTCTTCCAGTTGATCGAATCAGCTACTGAAGCTTGTGCATTTGTCACGTAGTTCTCGTGCCAAGGTTTTCAGGTCCATCAGGTCCTTTAAGGATTTCTCTGCATTGGTTATTCTAGTTAGCCATTCATCTAATCTTTTTTCAAGGTTTTTAACTTTTTTGCCATGGGTTCGAACTTCCTCCTTTACCTCGGGAAGTTTGATCATCTGAAGCCTTCTTCTCTCAACTCGTCAAAGTCATTCTCCATCCATCTTTGTTCCGTTGCTGGTGAGGAGCTGCGTTCCTTTGGAGGAGGAAAGGAGCTCTGATTTTTAGAATTTTCAGTTTTTCTGCTCTGCTTTTTTCCCCATCTTTGTGGTTTTATATACCTTTGGTCTTTGATGATGGTGATGTACAGATGGGGTTTTGGTGTGGGTGTCCTTTCTGTTTGTTAGTTTTCCTTCTAACAGTCAGGACCCTCAGCTGCAGGTCTGTTGGAATTTGCCAGAGTTCCCTCCAACCCTGTTTGCCTGGAGCGTGGAGGCTGCAGAATATCGAATATTGGTGAACAGCAAATATTGCTGCCTGATCATTCCTCTGGAAGTTTTGTCTCAGAGGGGTACCCGGCCGTGTGAGGTGTCAGTCTGCCCGTACTAGGGGGTGCCTCCCAGTTAGGCTACTCAGGGGTCAGGGACTCACTTGAGGAGGCAGTCTGTCCGTTCTCAGATCTCAAGCTGCATGCTGGGAGAACCAGTACTGTCTTCCAAGCTGTCAGACAGGGACATTAAAGTCTGCAGAGGTTTCTGCTGCCTTTTGTTTGGCTATTCCTTGCCCCCAGAGGTGGAGTCTACAGAGGCAGGCAGGGCCTCCTTGAGCTGCAGTGGGCTCCACCCAGTTCTAGCTTCCCCGCTGCTTTGTTTACCTCTTCAAGCCTCAGCAATGGCGGGCGCCCCTCTCCCAGCCTCATTGCCACTTTGCAGTTTGATCTCAGACTGCTGTGCTAGCAATGAGCAAGGCTCCATGGGCGTAGAACCCTTCGAGCCAGGTGAAGGATATAATCTCTGGGTGTGCCGTTTGCTAAGAAAGTGCAGTATTAGGGTGGGAGTGACCTGATTTTCCAGGTGCTGTCTGTCACCCCTTTCCTTGGCTAGGAAAGGGAATTCCTTGACCCCTTGCGCTTCCCGGGTGAGGTGATGCCTCGCCCTGCTTCGGCTCACACTTGGTGCACTGTACCACTGTCCTGCACCCACTGTCTGACAATCCCCAGTGAGATGAACCCAGTACCTCAGTTGGAAATGCAGAAATCATCCGTCTTCTGCATTGCTCATGCTGGGAGCTGTAGACTGGAGCTGTTCCTATTTGGCCATCTTGGAACCGCCCTCCGTTGTACTGTTAATTTATAACTAATCTAAAGGAAAAAGGTATTTAAAGAAAGGCTTGTGAAGGAAAATCAGTGTTAATGAAATAGGGCAAAATATGCAAAATAAATATTAATATATATTCAACTTCCTGGTTAAATTATTTAAAGTGCAATATAAATTATTTTACTTCAAGTGTTTTTGCTCCCTAGAATTCCATAGTTTTGTCAAAAATGGAAATATCATTTTAACCATAGAAATTGCAAATGTTTGTATTTTGTTCTTTTTTTCTCCCTTCCTTTTCTATTTATGTTTATTAGACATACATTTGTTTCTTTGCATGTAAGTTGGAAGGCATTTATATACAACCCTTAAACATATATAAAACATATGTAACATATTTTTATATATCATATATGTATATGTATGCACATATACACACACATATATACGTATATTCTTCTACAGCAAATAGAACAGGTTTCTTGATCTTTTAAATTCTTAACAAGAGACTGGTTTCTAATTAGACTGTTCTCATCTAACACAATAAAGTTAAACGATTTTTACTTTTTATCAAAGATAGATGTTTTTCTGGAAAAAACAGATGGATGAATACAGCTTTATACATATAATTACTCATTAAAATGTGAAAAATATGAAGTAAAGATAAAGGCTTATAGAGAAAGCATATTAGTAATGTCTGTTGTACACTTAGTACTATTCTTAGCACTTTATAAAAAATAAAAAATATTGACCCTTTACTTTAAATTTTTGCACTCTAATTGGTTAGCAATCATTTTTTTTTTTCTTTTCTTTTCTTTTTTTTTTTTTTTTGAGATGGAGTTTTGCTCTTGTTGCCCAGGCTGGAGTGCAATGGCACGATCTGGGCTCACCACAACCTCTGCCTCCTGGGTTCAAGTGATTCTCCTGCCTCAGCCTCCCAAGTAGCTGTGACTACAGGCATATGACACAATGCCCAGCTAATTTTGTATTTTTAGTAGAGATGGGATTTCTCCTTGTTGGTCAGGCTGGTCTCAAACTCCTGACCTCAGGTTACCCACACGCCTCGGCCTCCCACTCCCTGGGATTACAGGTGTAAGCCACCACACCCAGCCAGCAATCATTTCTTTTTAACACATGATTAACAAGTGTAAAAATGAGTACATAAATAAATGATTAATTTTGCATTATATGGAAATAATCATGGTAATTTGGGTTGGGGGGGTTATTTTTATTTTTTTGGAAGACTTGTTTTGAGAGGTAGATGTTGAACCAGGTCTTAAATAACTAATTTGCATTACATTAAGATCTTCATTATGTATGGGAATAAATCAAGGATCTTTCTTTTCTTGGTCCAAAGGTATTTCAATTCTACAGACTTTAGCAATTACAAAAGCTAGCTACTGCAACTGTTTAAGGTACATCAGTTTGCATTTAATTGCCAAATTTATTTAGAAAATAAAATTGAAATTGATTCTTAGAAATCTTTTTCAAAATTATTTACTTTTTCTAGGGAACCCTAAACATCCTCCCTGTGACTGTGTAGCCTAATAGCCTGTTCAATCTCAGTTAGATTAGGGTTGATACTTGCTTAGTCATTCCAGAAAGAATGAAGATGGCTCTCTAAGAAGGTGAGTCTGAAGGCCAATCTCCAGGATAGCCCGAGGCAACAGGACGTGTACAGGTCCAAGGTAGCTTCTGTTGCTTCTCCATGGACCCCAGTAAGTTGGTACTGCATTCTATCTCTTTTGGCAAGATAAGAAATGAGCTAGTTTTCCAAGGATCCATCCCTGTTCTGTCATTAGTATTCATTAAACTTTGGCTTTGTAGGAAATTGCAAACCTCTTTGGCTTGGGATTCTTCCCTTTCCCCTCTCTGGGTCTCCAGAAGATTGGCGGCAGCATTAACCTTCCCAGGGGAGCTATGTCTCTGTGTTAAGGAGCACTCATCTGGAAGGAAAATAACTTGTTCTAGCTTTTCTTCTGTAACTAGACAGTCTTTTCAAGTGCTTACAGTCAGGGAAACATTAATCAGCAAAACGTGAAATTTATGCATTTTTTTCACTTAACATTAATTATAACCACTACAGGCACTTTAAAAATGGATCTGATTGTATATTCATAATAAATTAAAGTTGAGATTCTGCAGAATTATTACTTACAATTAAAATCTATGTTGATTCCAGAATACCACATAATAGGAATATGCCCTAAAGATTTTATGATCGGCTATTAAATTATTTTTCAAAGAGGTATTTTAATCTATTAAAGTACATTTAGAAGATTTATAAGTATTATAGGAAGAGGAGTTAAAATTATATATATTTAATATTTAATATTTTACCAAAAGAGTTCACCAAAGTTCTCTGAAAGTAACTAAATCATTTATATAATAAATTCTCTGGATATTCTTATATTTTACTCATAGACATAATTTATATTTTGATTGAAGCATGGTGAGAACTTTTATAGAAAATCCTATTTTTAAAAATTTTTCTTTCCTTTATCACAGATTACAATGGCTAATCTACATGAATGACTATTTTTCTTCTATTGACAACTCCTTCTGCAAAATTATTTTTATTTATTTTCTTGAGTTATAGATTTAGGGGGTACAAATGCAGCTTTGTTACATGGACATATTGTGCATGGCGAAGTCTGGAGAAATCTTCCGCATACACCTATTCAGAAACACTAGATTTCACCTAATTTAAATCACCATTCTCTAACAGGTCAAGAATTTAAATAAAAACTGATTACAACCAACATCATCATTCTAACTTTTAAACAAAAGCATGTAAGAAATTGCATTAAATATAAGTAGAAAAATGGTCAATTCAAGATAAAATTCAAGAATGTTTTTGAAACCATGTATTTACAAAAAAATTCTAAAATACGCCACAAAGATACTCCTCGAGAAGAGCAGCTAGATCCTACAGACAATAACAGATAAGAGAGAACAAATATGATAATTAAATAAAGGTTGAAACTAAAGTGATAGAAAAGGTATACCATAAAATACTAACTAAAAAGCCTACATAACTACATTAATGTCAATAACCATGGTCTTTCAAAAAATAATAGATTTAAAAAGAGAGCTTTCAATATTGAAGTTGGTGTACCAGGTAGGTAGAAAAATTTTTAATGTTTATACATCTAATAACATATATTTAAAATATACATACAAAAATTAACAGAATCAAAAGGAGAATAGAAAAGCCTCAATCATGGTAGAACATTTTATTTTACTTCTCCGCAGATCTGATTGGACTAGAATATAAAGTCTGTAAAGATAATAATCTGAGCAATGTGATAAATAAGCTTGGCCTTGGTGACATATATAGAGCGCTTACTTTATTTCCCCAAATTGACCAAATGAAGGCCATATACAGATAAACACATTAATTGTCAAAGAATTGAAATCATATAGAATACATTTTCTTTTAACAGCAGAGTTCAGCTAGTAGTTAACACTAAACATGAAAATTTTAAAAATAATAACTAAAAAGTGCTAAAATTTTTGGAAAACAAGATAGACACTTCTAATTAACCCATTGGCCAAAAAATAATTCAAGTACAAATAAGAATTTTTTTGATTCATTTTGAGATACTACATATTGACACATGTGGAAGGCAGTTAAAACCCAACTTAGAGAGAAATTTATAATATATTTTTAAAAATATGTATTAGAAAAATAAAGGCTAAAAATCAATTATATAAACATTTAATCTAAGAACCTAGGGAAAAACAAGTAAATAAAACCTAAAATATATAGAAAAAAATAATGGTGTTAGTAGCAGAAATTAATAAAATATATTGGAATATTTAATATAGAGGATAAAGGCAAAAGTTGATTTTTGGGGGAAAATTAACATTGACAACTCTCTGGCGGGTTCATCAAATAAACAAGTGAGAAGGTGCAGATAAACAATAGCAGAACTCAGTAAGAGTATATCACTATAGGTCCTACAGACAATCAAAGATAAGACGATATTTTCAACAGAATTTATACTGATGAATCTAAAATTGTGGATGAAATGGACAAATTCCTAGAAAAACACACTTCAACCAAGTTAATTCAAGAAATAAAAAATTCAGGTGATACTTCACATAAAAGAAAAAATCTTCAATTAAAAATCTCCTCTCACAAAGAAAACTTCAGGACCAAATGGCTTCACCAGTGAATTCTACAATCATTTAAGGAAGGAATTATACCACCTATTAAAAGCTCTAACAGACAGTTAAAAAGAAGAAGCGCTTCCCAAGTTGTTTTATTAGGTGTATTCATTTTCTATTGCTGCGTAACAAATTGACGCAACCTTAATGACTTAAAATAACAATCTCAGTTTCTGGGAGTCAGAAGTCTGGGAACATCTTAGATGAATCCTCTGCTTAGTGTTTAATGGACTGCAATTAAGGTGCTGGTGTGGCTGCTTTCTGATCTGGAGCTTACGGTCTCCTTTGGAGCTCATGTTTATTTTATAATTAGTTAATTAAATGAAGCAATACACAGAATATGACCTCAGGAGATAGTTGGGTTTATTCCATAAATGCTAGGTCTATATACTCATTATATAGCCAGAAAAACATGCTAGGAGGAAGACTTATGAAGCAATTCTTTTTGTTTTGTTCTTCTGTGCAGAAATTTAATTCTATAAACAAATCACCAAGATCCATACATCGTTGATAGTAATTAGTTAGGATTTTATGTTAGTAGGCTTTTAAAATAGTGATCAAGTGTCTCGCAGTTTTTACTTACAATTATGTTTTGTTTATTTTACATTTGTTAATATTGGGACTTACTATCTCTCAGCCTAAGAAAAAAAATCAGTATAAAATAGATGTTTTTTTCAACATCTTATATAATACAAGGTGTTATCACTCTGTATCTTTTCTTTACATTTACATTATTTTCTCATTTTATTATTATTTTTTAAATCCACAGATTTTTTAAATTTTTTTCTTCTTCGCTAGTACTTTTCATTCTACAGATGATTTTTTTTTAATTTTTTTCCATTCCTTGAATACTCCAGTTGTTTACTGGCTTTTTTTGAGTATATGCCATGACAGTTAAATTAAGAAATGTTCCCATATTCTTAGCTGATAACACAAAGTATATACACTTATACGCACATATTACTATATTTATATGTTTACTCATATCTATATTTAGTATGTATTCACATATACATATATTATATACAAACTATGCCACTGAAATGATACTTGTTTGGCTGGCATTGTGAAGGAAACAGCAGGGAGCTATG
The DNA here is from genome assembly GCF_000001405.40 of Homo sapiens. NCBI lineage: Eukaryota > Metazoa > Chordata > Mammalia > Primates > Hominidae > Homo > Homo sapiens. The sequence goes on along the minus strand of NC_000012.12, from coordinate 81,653,835 downwards.
ATGAAGAAAGGAAGGAAATCAAGGAAGACTTCTCTGAGGAAGTGATTTTCAGAAGATGGACCATCTGAAGATCAGGGAGATGAAATAGCAGAAGAAATGCAGTGGGTTAAATATTGTCCCCTCAAAATTTATATCCACCTAGAACCTCAGAATGTGACCTTATTTGGTAATATGATTTTTATAGATGCCATTAGTTAAAGATCTTGAAATCAACCTGGATTTAGGTTGGGCCCTAAATCTAATGACTGGTGCAGGAGAATGCCATCTGAAATGGAGACAGAGATTGGAGTGATACCTCTACAATCTATGGAATGCCAAGGATTGCTAACAACCACCAGAATCTGGGAGGGAGGCATGGAAGAGATCCTCTTTTGGAGCTTTTAGAAGGAAACAAATCTACTGACAACTTGGTTTTGGATGTCTGGGATCCATTTGTGGTAATTTGCTACAGCACCACTAAGATACTAAGACAAGGAACAAAGGATCTAACTGTGACAGAAATGTAGTGAGCTAAAGGCAAAGTGGCATAAAATGGTATTGGAGTGAGAGGCAACAGCTAATCATGCTAGGTCCTGTAGGAGTCTGGATTTTATTCCAAGTACTATGGAAAATGATGGAAGTGGAAGTACTATGGAATTACATGACAAGATTTATGTTTTAAAAATATTATGCTGGTTGCTCTTAAAATTAAGTGAAATAGAACAAGGACTGAACCAAAAAGAATCTGGTAAAGGGCTAGGCTAATACAGGAGTTCAGGTAAGTGGTGGGAGTTTGGTTTAGGGTCATAGCAGTAGGGAAGTGAATTGGGTTGAGATATATTATGAAGTTAGAATTGGGGACTTGCTGATGGGTTGGATTCGTATATTGAGGAAAATTAAAGATGGCTCCTAAGTCTGGGGAACTACTGGATAGATGCTCATGACATTTACCAAAACAGAGAACATAAGAAAGATTTGGGTGGGGTTGGGAGTGGGAAGAAAAGGGCAATGTTCTTTAGTTTGGCGTAGGTGAATTCTTCATATGGATTGAGATGTAAATTTCAGGGATAACAGTATGTAAATAATATATAATGATATGGGAATAGTGAGACCATCTACAAAGAGCAAGTAGAAAGATGGGAGGAAAGAAATCTAAGACCAAACCAACAATGAAGCAAATTAGAGGAAAAATGTGCAGTAAAGGACACTAAATAACTAGCTGTCAGGAAGAAAATGTATGAATCTTATATTACAGAAGGAAAGACGGGGAGGTGGGGAACCACATTCTATTGCCCCACAGTAATTGATATAACTGATTTATTTTTATGTAAATGAGGATTAATTAGTCAAATGACTGCATTCAGGACTTTCTACCTAATTAATATCTTAGGGAAAATTTTCCTCAGCAATACATTCTGAGTAGCTCTCTGAGATTTCTGGGTCTTTAGTCTTTGTGTTGTTTTTTTTACTATGTAAGATGAGATGGAAATGAAATTCTGAAGCAAATCGCCAATGATAACTTTGTAAGGCCACAATTATAGTTCACACTGCTTTTTATAGCTTCATGAGCCGAAAACCTCAATGGTATTCTGTTTTAAATTTTGCAGCCAGTTTATCTAGTATGACTTTTTAAAAATAGCATTTATATGTAAAATCCAAGTGAAGAGTGAAGAAGGCTATAAACAAATAGCCAATTTCAAATTTGGCTCATCTCCAAGGTAGAACTGGTCTTTCACAGTCATCCTACTTTTAGACTCATAGAAATGTAGAACTAGAAAAGATCTTACAGACTGTATAACTGTATACCTTACTTTACAAATAAAGAAATCAACGTTCAGAAAGAGCAAATAACCTGCCTACGGTCGCATCTTGTTATTGGCAGAAATGGAATTAAGATCACTAGTTTTCTTTTGGCTGGTCAAAACTGTCAACTGTGGAAACTCCTCTTTGTAATTAATCACAAGGGGATGCTATCTTCAAAAGCCAATAATACCAAAGGAAAGAACAAAACAGATAATATTTCTTGAATATTGTGGTTATGTGAGATAGGAATGAAGTCCTAAGAAATGACCCAAGAGTTTAATTCCAATTTTATCACTTATGAGCTCTTTGATTTTAGACAAGCCACTTATTCTCACAGAGCATCAGTTTTCTCATCTGTAAGAATAAACTTGCATTTCACTGTTATGTGAGGATTTGTGATAATCTTTTGGTAACTATAATGAAGACTTTAAGACTCTTGTAGCATTCAGTCATAACACCACTGAAGTAACACAATTTTGAATCATTACATCAGAAGCTGACCTTGAGGGAAAGAGTCAAGTAGAGGGAAAGAGAGAGTAGTAAGAAAAGAAAAGACAAAAAGAAAATAGCATGTTTAAGTTTTGGTCATGTAAGTGTAATACAATACAGATACATTGACTTTCAACTATTTACTCAAATTTTTTTGAAAAAAAAAGTTTTGTTAATGTTTCTGCCTGCAGGAAGAATAAATCTCTGTTTTACATCTTAATAGATTAGAACAGTTTTTCCATCTCTCTTGGTTTTTACCCATGTTACTGCTCTCATTTATCTCCCAGCTCCTTGGGGGAACTTAAACCTTCAGATATTCCTTTTCCCTCCAGCAGTCTCTTCCTTTCCATTAACTCACTTTTCTCTGCTTTGGAATGTCCCCTATGCTGAAGATCCTTTTATGAAACTATAATATCCTCCCAGTTGGGGTCTACAGCTTTACTATATAGCCAGATTCCTCAAATTAGTACATTATATCTCCTACTACAGTCTCTCAACTATGATTCCCTCCATTTTATGTGAAAAGATTTTTAACCTCCATCTAAAACAGAATGCTTGAAAATTATATCTGTATCTGTAATAATTGAATCCAGTGACCTAATTTCATTCTTCACTTCTCTTGCCCTCTCCGTAGAATTTAAAACTGTTCTATTTCTGCCTGGAGACTCCTTTCTCCCACTGTATTCAGTGAGCTTGTCTTGAAATTCAGTCTTTGGCCATATGTTTCTCTTCGTTCCTACCTACATTTTTACGGTGGTCAAGAACAATCATAGCTTCCACTGCAGGTAGCTAAATCTAAAATCTCTGGCTTCAGGCCAAATATTTCTTTTGATTCTTAATCTTCCACTTGGAATTAAAGAGGAAAAAATTGATTATTTGAGAAATATTGCATAGGTTTCTAAACTTCAACCCGTGCCTACCCTGCAACCTCAGCAATCTAGTTTTACCTCCCTAAACTAATCTAGTTTTACCTCCCTAAATTATACATTTAATTTCATTCCCTTGCTCCAGAACATTCTCTTTCTCTTATTTCCTATAGGATATAAGTCTATACATGGTAGATTTGCTCTTATGCATTAGGGATTTTATTTGAAAGCCTTAAGAAAAAAATGAAAAATACTCAAATTATTTTTGAAAATCCTTTAGAAAGAAGGCATGTTAAAGACTAATAGTACAAGTTATCCGGTATATTTAATTTTTTTACTCAGGTACAATAGAGAAAGAGTACAATCCACATTTTTAAAAATACACAATTTTGCTGGGCTCGGTGGCTCACGCCTGTAATCCCAGCACTTTGGGAGGCCGAGGTGGGCAGATCACGAGGTCAGGAGATCGAGACCATCCTGGCTAACCCGGTGAAGCCCCGTCTCTACTAAAAATACAAAAAATTAGCTGGGTGCAGTGGCGGGCGCCTGTAGTCCCAGCTACTGGGGAGGCTGAGGCAGGAGAATGGCGTGAATCTGGAAGGCGGAGCTTGCAGTGAGCCAAGATCGCACCACTGCACTCCAGCCTGGGCAACAGAGCAAGACTCCGTCTCAGGAAAAAAAAAAAACAAAAACAAAAACATAATTTGATTAGTTTTGAAAAATGTATGTAGTTCTTTAATCACCATGACAATCAATATATGGAACATTCCCATGGCCCTAAAAATTTCCCTGGGCCCCTTTTGAGTCAGACTATACTGACACTAATACCATATCAACCATTGATCTACTTTTTGTCATGATAGTTTTGACAATTCTGGAATTTTATATCAAAGGAATCACACAATATGACTTATTTCACTTAGCACAATGCTTTTAAGATTCTTCTATGGTTTTGCGGTATCAGTAGTGTAAAATAGTTCCTCTTTATTGTTGAATAGTTTTCTGTTATATACATATACCGCAGTTTGTTTATCCAGTTGCCATTTGATAGATATTAAGGCCATTTCTAATTTTCAGATATTATGAACAAATCTGCTCTAAATATTCAAATATATATTAAAACCTCTTGAGCAGATACCTACAAGTAGAATTTCTATGTTTTCCAATGAGTGCATATTTAACTTTGTAAGAAAATGGCATACATTTGCCAAAATGAAATGTCATTTGGCATCATCAACAATAATGTATGAGAATTCTAAATTGATCCACAACCTCAGCAGCACTTGGTATTGTCACTCCTAATTTTAGTCATTTTAGTGGATATGTCATATCTTATTCAGTTTGCACTTTCCATTTCTTGTTAAGTAATGACATTGAACATGTGGTCATGCATTTATTGGCTGTCTATATGCCCATTAAAGTTACTTTTTAATCTTCTTGTTATGGAGGTTTCAGAGTTCTTTTATGTAGTGAGTGGACAAAGCCATTATCAGATATGTGTTTTATAAATATTTTATCTGAATCTGTTGCATGCCTTTTTATTTATTCTAACAGTGCCTTTCAAAGAGCAATTTTAATTTTGATTAAGTCCAATTTATTTTTTTCCTTGTTTTTGAGGCCTATATAGAAATTTTTCTCTAAATAAAGGTGACAAAGATTTTGTCCTGCTTTTTCTTTTAGAATCTATGAATTTAGCTCTCACATTTAGACTTATGATCTGTGAATGATTAATTTTTGTGTATGGCATGTAAATATTTTTTCTCATATGGCTAGCCAATTGTTCTAGTTATATTTCTTTAAAAAAAAACTATGATTTCTTCCTTAAATTACCATAGTATTTTGCCAAAATCAAGTGACCATATATGTTTTGGTCTGTTTTGGACTCTCTTCTTTTCCATTGATCTGTAAGTCTATCTTTTTGCCAATAATAGAGTCATTATTACTGCAATTTTATACTAATCCTTGAAAGAGCTACAATTTTGTTCTTATTTTTCCTTATTGTTTTACTTAATAAAGGCCTTCACGTTCTGAGTAAATTTTAGAATCAGCTTGTCAATTTCTACATAAACAAAAAAAGAAAAAACCCTGCATGAGAGTCACCGAGATTACATAGGATATATAAATCAATTTAAGGAGAATTGATATCTTACCCATATTTAATCTCCTGATCCATGAATATGGAATATCCTCTCATTTATTTAGGTCTTTTAAAATTTTCTCAAAATTGTTTTAATATTTTAATTTCCATTTTTTGTTGATAGTGTATCAACTTACTATTGATTTTTTATATTAACTTTGTATCATGCAATCTTACTGTATACACTATTAGTTCTAATAGCTTTTTTTACATAGATGAATGTCAGCTGTGAAATTTTATACTTTGTTGTGTTTCATTTCATTTTAATAATTTTCCCCTTTTAAACTGAGCAAGTTCTTTTCTATTCCTAGTTTTCTAAAAGTTTTTTTGTATGTATGAATTGATTTTAATTTTATTAATTTGTCTTTCTTGCTTTTTATTGATTGAGAAAATAATGTGATTTTTCTTTTCCAGTGAATTGTATACATTGATTTCAGTTGTTGAACTAACCTTACTCCTTTACTAAAACATAATGGGTCATGAGATATTATACTTTTTCTGTAATTCTGGATAAAATTATATTCTATATTTATAGAGTTCTAGATTGAGTTTTTTTTTTCCTTTTGGTTAAGTGTTGCTCCCTTGTCTTCTAGCTTTCAATGCTTCTGACAAGAAGCCTCCTTTAATTTTTAATCATAGTTCCTCTTTTTCTCTTGATGATGTCTTCAAGATTTTATATATATATAATATATATTATATTATATATGTTATATATTATATTATATATTATATATACTATATATTTTATAGTATATATAATATATATTATATTATATGTATATTATATATATATATATATTTGAGACAGAGTCTTGCTCTGTTGACCAGGCTGGAGTGTAGTGGCACGATCTTGGCTCACTGCAAGCTCCACCACCCCGGTTCACGCCATTCTCCTGCCTCAGCCTCCTGAGTAGCTGGGACTACAAGCACCCGCCACCACGCCCGGCTAATTTTTTGTACTTTTAGTAGAGACAGGGTTTCACCATGTTAGCCAGGATGGTCTCGATCTCCTGACCTCGTGATCTGCTCACCTCGACCTCCCAAAGTGCTGGGATTACAGGCGTGAGCCACCGCACCCAGCCATATTTGGTTTTTAATAATTTTACTACGATTTTTCTGGTTACGCTTTTCCTCTTATCATTCTTAGAATTCTCTGAACTTTTTGAATGTATGATTTGTTCTTTTTTCATTATTTTTGGAAAATATATTTGCATATAAGACCATTTGATACTGTCTTACAGCTTTTAGATGTTCTGTTTTCTGTTTTTCCATTTTGTTTCTCAATATGCTTCAGTGTGGATAACTCCTATTAACCCATTTTCAAGTTCACTGATCTTTCCTCTACTATGTCTGGTCTGCTACTAAGCCCAATTAAGGGAATGTTTAAATCTCTGATAATTAATTTTTAATTTCTGGTATTTGTATTTGATTCTTTTATTTATAGTTTCCAAATTTGTGTTGAAATTCCCCATTTGTTTATACACGCTCCCCCCCCCTTTTTTTTTAACCAGTTCCTTCAAATTATCCATAATTTTTAATTTCATATCTCTGCCTGAAAGTGTCATCATCCTGAATTTCTATGTTTCTGGTTCTATGGACTATTTTGTTGCTTTACACTAGAACTTTTTTTCCTTCCTCCTTTTCTCCCTGCTTCCCTCCCCCCACCTTCATCTCCTTCCCTTCCTTCTTTCATTCCTTCCCTCCTTCCTTCCATACCAAACATTGCATTGGTTAAAAAACACAGAAGACACTGAGGTAAATATTTGTATTCCTGAATGTCCACTCCCCTTTATCTCACAGGCCAGTAACTTGGAGTTTGAGTTAGCAGAAAGTAGTTGAGCTTGATTTGGGCTTTAGTGTCACTATGGACACATTCAGTGAAACACAGGCTTAAAATTCTTCCTTTTATGGACTGCGCCTATGTTATAATTTGTATGAGTATTGCAATGTCAGAGGGTTTGTCAAAATGTTCCTCTTCCATTTTTAACTTTCAGAAGACTTTGCATGACTGTGTTGAAAGAGGAGTGAGGGCTTTCTCTTTGCATTCCTGTGCCTTCCCTAGCAATAGACTATTGTGGCTTCCTACTTACTGCCAGTCTCATGGTAGGAGCAAAGGAAAGGGGAGATTGGAACTTCATAGTTCTCCTCCAGCCCCAGTCTTATGCTGGCTCTCTGCACCAAACCTCAGCACTGGGTCTTTCTTCATTTCCCTTCCTGTTCTCTAGAGGGTCTAGGGTGCAATCAAGTTTTCTAGCCCTCCTTCAAGACAGCTGACCTCTGCCTTGAATGATTGGGTGTTTCTACAGGCTGATTTCCTGCCTTTCCCCTGTAGCAATATACTATATCATTGTAGAATTCTGGAATTAAGTTGGTGTCTTACTCCTCCCTCAGTAGCAGATGGCTTTTCCTACTGTAAAGGGCTGGTTGGAGGAGTAAGACTTCTATACCTTTCTTCATGGCAGCTGACCTTGGCCTAGGAGGAAGGGGTAAGAGTGTCTCCTGTCTCTTTGCCAGTGCAGCCAATCTTTGCCTGCGTCTTATGGAAGGGTTTCCTGTCTCTCTCCCATGGGCAGATGGCTTTGGTTATCAAAGCAGGACTAAATGTTGGATGCTAGACAGGATCTTGCCCTTCCTCTAGCAGCAGATTGTCTTGTTCTCTTTTCCTACCTGTCTCCAGGAGTAGCTGAACCCCTCTTGTAAAAGAGCTGGTGTCCAAGCAGGTGCAGACTTCCCTTGGAATGGTGCCCTCAGGAATTCTGACTTCTCATGATAGCCCACGCTAGGTCTTAAGAATTTTTAAAATGTTACTTGCCTCCCTACTACCCACTTTTATGGCTGCTTTCACTTGGCTCCATGTTCTGCTGATAATTAAACAGTTTGTGTGTCCTGTCTTTCCTCAAAGGAACTTGTCAACCTTTGGAATTTTGTTCATCTCAGAGGGACGTCTTAAGTACTCAGCTTTCTGAATGTTTAAGAAAAAAATAATACTTTTCAGAATTACCTACCTCTTTCTCATTTTTAGCCTGGGATCAATATTCCCTTCACACTTTTTACATCCGAAGTAGAAATAAAACTCTTATCTATTTTTTTTCAGTATTGGTGCATATTATTCTTCCTTTAGGTGGTTACCAGAAAAATAATTTGGTTTATGCTGAGGGGTGGTGTAAGCAAATCATGTAAAATATTGAACATTAAGTTGGGCCTCAGCAGGGTGAGATGTAAAACTGTATGAGTCTTGAAGGAACTGAGGGACCAGACAGTCAGGAAATATAATATTTGAAAAATATGATGAGTAAAATTAATACCACTATTCAATTTCTTTTTAAAAGTTCCTTCTTTCTCTTTCTTCTCCTTCCTTCCTTCCTTCCTTCTCTCTTTCCCTTTATCTCTCTTTCTTTATTTCCTTTTCCTTCTGAATACCTAAATTCAGGTTAAAAAAGTGTGCTTAGTATATGACTCCTCTGTACTTAGTTTAATATTAGAAGGTTTAAATATAGTATTTCTATGTTATATTCTAGCTTTTCTTTATTTCCAGAGAAGAATTTCTGTTCCAGCCAAAATTTTATTTTTACTATTCCTCCCTTTGTGTTTTTGTTTATGGCTACTATGCATTTTCTGAACTTTTAAAACCTCTAAATTCTTAATAACTGAAATTGCTACCAAAATGTTTTATACTTTTAGCATTTAAAAAATAAAAATCAAATGAAAATAAGTTTTCAGTAATAAATGCATTTTCACTGCTCATTTAGCGACTTAAAATCATGCTCAATCTGTATCATCATTGAGCACTATGCTTACATAGAACAAAACTGCTTCCTGTTGTAATTTTTAAATAAAGAGCACCACCTTGTGGGAACACATGCTTAACCATGTTACAGAAAATGGAAAACAAATATTAACAGAATAATAATGTTTTAAATTACTGACAGTTTATTTATTTTAAATTAGTATAGAAAGAAAGCACCATACTACTTCTGAAGAAAAAACTAAAAAGGTAGAAAATAGAATTTGAAAATTTTGTCAGTTTTTCATGTTATGACTCAATACAAGTCTGCAATATTGTACTTGCTAATGATTACTTTTTTATAAGTATTAATTATCTTAGAACTAAGATTTAGCTTAAAATAACAGAGCTATCAGGAACTATGAATATGACCTAATCTAGAAAAGCTTTATTTTAAAAATAAGGAATCCAAACTTAAGGGGATATATTTAGTGTGTTCACCAACTTACATATAACCAGCGATGTGATAGCTATATTCATGTAAACATCATTTCTATTTGCCTGAGTGAGTCTTGATGGATTTTCAGACAATAGAATATAGTAATGCATCATTTACCCATACTGAGGTATAGATTATCTAGCAAAAGTAAATTTTATCATAATGTAAAAGGTATAATACAACACACTACTGTATCCTTAAAAATGATTATTTTTATAGAATCTTTCTGTGGTGTATTATCTGTATTTTTAACAGCATATGTTTAATGCACATAACATTTTATGGAATTTAATTCAAAAAAACTTGACATTTTTGTTGGTCAAGGTGCTGGTTCTTTTAAATGTTTCCCATTTGACATCAATTCATCTCAGTTTGCTTTCGAAAATTGGGGAAAAGTTTGTTGCTATTCCTCTTTTAATGGGAAGCTCAGAACTGGAAAACAGCCCTTCCCCAAACAGAAAAGGAACATTGATTTTATCTCTTTTAAAATCACTCTATGCTTTAGAATGCCAAATTACCTTACTACTTGAAGACCTCAAGTCATATCACTCTTCTACGACAAAATCGCAGAATAATAAAATATTTTATAATGAAATTATATATTGTTTTAAACATGGGATTTTGTTGAGCCAGATTTTCCCCACCTGATTTTGATAACCTACCTTCAGGTGACTCCAAATTCAGTTACTCAGTCTGATAAGAAACCATCTCACTGTCACATCATCCAACCTGTATATCGTTATTTTTTCCCAAGATCCATAACTCAAATAATCCTGCCCACCAGGATTGATTGGTTATAACAATATTTATCTCTCTATTCTTATTACCAAATGTAATTCAAGTAAACATTCTACTTCGACTTATTTTCATTCATAATTTGTTGCATCTAATGAAAGTATTCCAGAGTCTAAAGAACTAGAAGCTGTAGACTTATTGGACTTTGTGTAATTACTAGAAATCATTATGCAGGATAATTAATAGAAATTATAGGGAAGGTGTCTGCAAAAGTATTTTAGTGGTTGAGGGGTCTTTGGTGTTTATTTTTCAGTTTCTTGATGTCTATTGAAAACCTATCCTTCAGAGAGATATGTGACAGTTATTCTGAATGAGTTTCAAATCATAATCCCTTTGACTTTTAACCAACTGAATTGAGTGTTGAATGATAGTATATTTTATTTTTATAATGATATTTTAAGTAATTTGGATATATATGTTTTAAGAATAAAATGAATATATTTATGAAATATATATACACATATAACATATATGTAAAATATATACGTGTATATATAACATGTAATAATAAATGTCATAGATATATACACTATATAAAATATATATTATATACACATAAGAGATATATAATTTATATATGTGTGTATATTACATATATTATTACATATGTTATATATACACATTTTTTACATTTGTGTGTATATAACATAAATATGTTCATTTCATTCTTACAACACATATGTAATACATGTTATATATGTATGTAATACATACATACATATACATGTATGTAATACATACATACATATACATGTATGTATATAATACATACATACATATACATGTATGTATATAATACATACATACATATACATGTATGTATATAATACATACATACATATACATGTATGTATATAATAGATACATACATGTATGTATATAATAGATACATACATGTATGTATATAATAGATATATAGTATCTATTATGTGTGTGTATATATATATTACATATATTATTATACTTTTATAATAAGGGGCAATGCTTGTTTTATATCCATTGTCCCTTATTGTAACACTGTACTAAGGACATTACACAGCATTCTTTAGTACAATAGTTGCAACATGGAAGGAACTGCATATATTTTCAGTTTTTATTAACATTATTATTAACATTCCAAGAAAATTCTTTTGTTACAAATAGGAACATAGGAGGGTGATAAGTTTTCTGACAGATGTAAAAGCTAAGGCCAGAGAGATAAAATAACTGCATAAAATCTTACATAACTCTGCATAGAAGTTGTTCTATAACTGGAGCTAATCTGCTATTTTTCCTACTTTTTTGTTTTACCTCTTTAACTTTCAGATATGTAAGCTTTTGTGTGTATATATGTGTATAAGTCTTATTATAACAGAGTCTTTGAGATAAAATATATATAATTGAAATCATATAGTTGAAATATCAATACATTTATCTATCACCTATCTATACATGTATATATCTACATATATATAACAATGATATAAATCATTGAAATCATCTCCATTATTTGATACTGCAAGCCTTGGATAACTAGAATTGTGTCATATGATAGGATAAAATATTCAATGAATTTAATCAGTAACACATGAATGCAAGAATATGAAAGTGTTAAAATATAGTATGCAAGTACAAAAGTGGGAGAATAGTAAGAAGTTCAGTTTGACTAGAGCAGAGTTTTCCTGAATGGATAAGCTACACTTTGATGCATAATAAGACACCCTGACACTTAGTTCTCCTTAGACACTTAGTGTTTTAAAATAGTAAATATTCATTTCACCTATGATTCTATGGGGTGGGAATTTGAGGTTGGCTCTACAGGGCAGTTCTGCTGATGTGGGCAAGGCTCAGGTGAACTTGGCTGGGCTTGTTTATATGACTGTGGTCAGTTGTCAGATCAAGGAACCTGGCTGTTCTAAAATGGTTCAGCTGAGACGACTCATCATATTGTGGGGTCCTTCATCCCCCAACAGGCTGGACCAGGTGTCTTCAATAGGCAGCAGTGGCCCGTGGCTCCAGACTGAGAGCAGTGGCATGAAAATCTATTGAGACACAGATTCAGAACTCATACAGCCTCACTTCTGGGGCATTCTTTGGGCCACAGTCAATCACCGGACAGGTTAGATTCAAGGTGTGCGTACCTTGGCAATGGGCAGATCAGTAAAGAACTGTGGTCACTTTTGTAATTTGCTGTAATCTGAATTGTGGCCATGGAAGTGGAAATGCTACATATGGTGAGATAATAATCAATGAGATTTGGAATCTATGAAATAAGTGACAAAGGGAGAAAAGCCTAGTTAAATTATTTTAACTAGGTGACTTAGTTAATGAGAAATAATAAAATTTATGTGGTTAAATACTTGCGGTGAAGTTGACCTTGATTAAAACCCATTCCAGACTATATTTAACACCTGTTATATATTTCAAAATAGCTGGAAGAGAAGATTTGAAATGTTCCCAACACAAAGAAATGAAAAGCGTTTGAGGTTATGGATATCCTTAATTGCCCTGATTTGAGCATTACACATTATGTACATGTATAAAAATACCACATGTATCCTATAAATATGTGCAATTATGTATCAATAAAGAATCGATTTCATTTTATCACCAATTCCCTTCCCTAAAAACTAGGCTTATGCAAACAACTTAATTTTTTTTAAGGTCTCATGTGTTTCTTCATTTGCAAAAAAAAACTGTAAATGATGGTTGCTAGCTCATTGGGTGATTAGGAGCATTATGAAATAATGCAAGCAAAATAAATAACTATGTACTTAATGTTCTAGGGGCTCAAAATGGCATGAGTTTATTATTTTTAGGATTTATATTTTCTTGGTAGTATTGTGAATAGTATCCTGGTTATAACAAAAGCACATCTCAGAAGGAAAAACTCGCTTGAAATTAATTCTGTTTTCGACAAAGTTTAATTGTACTGTCAATGGAAATGGATGATGGGGCACTAGAAAATTTAAACTGGAGTTTTAGATAGAAGTCATAGATAAAGATCCCCATATCAAGAAGATAGTTGAAAAGTTGTGAATAAAGAAAATATGGAGCAAAAGTCTGTGCAAGGAAAAGAGCAAGCAGCCAAAACTAAATATTGAGGAATTTTGAAAATTAAATTATGATTATTTGGCAAGTGTGATTAGATACGTAGGATAAGACGATATTTTGTTGTTGTTTGTCGTTCTGAGTTTTGGCTCATCCTGTTTCTAGTCACTCCTATCATCACCAACTGTTAGAATCTTATTCCTCTACAGACTTCTTTTGTATCTCCTGCTTTCTGTGTTTGATTATCACATTGCAATGTATCGTATAGGTAAAGAACTCTTCAGGGAGTATTTTCACTGAATAACAATAAGATGCAGGATTCATAATATAAATCACTCCAAAATTTTATGATAGTCCTTCAAATGTTACACAGACATTAAATTTAGATACATATACACACATGTTTATGTATAATCATACTCATATTTGAGGGTCATTAAATACAGCTAAGTTTTCCGAAACTTCAAATATTTCAAAAACTAACACTCCTTCCTCATAAGTGAGTATACACGTAGCACTAGCAGGTATAAATAATAATTTCAATTTATATAAGAAATTTTGGCATCTTCTGCTGCCTTCAAAAGCAAACTTATATTCATTTTATTAGGGTGATGTGTTTTGCTTCTTAAATGGAGATTCTTTCCTGTATGGCTCACCATAGGGCAGAGGTTGTCTAGATTATCAACAACCTTGTCCTCACGTATATAATTTAGTATTGCGATATCAATGCAAATTCTACAGTGAAATATTATATCGTTATTTTCAGTCCTATTCAAAAGACATTGATTTAGCATATATTATGTGAAAGATGATATTGTTTATCAATTAAGAAAACATTTATAACTTTTATGAAAAACACATATATCTCAGCTTTCTTTATTTAAATCTAAAAACATTTCACCTGTTGTAACTGCATAATACATTATATTTTATTGCTGACTTTAGGAATACTATATATATATATATTTTTTTTACCGAGTAGATGTTCTTTGTAATTGTAATTGTGGTTAAAAAGAATGTGTGTGTTTGAGTCATGCTGGAGGTGGGAAGAAATGTGGGTGGTTGTGTTTTATTTTTCTAGGCTGTGGGTAGTATTTTGATATGTTGGGGATATTTCTAGGCTTGGGAGTGAATGTTCTATTGTAGTTTCTATTTTCTTTTGTCAGAGATGTGCTAAATGTTGTTTTTCTTGCAGATGGTATTTGGAAATTTGATCTAGAGCAACATGTTTTAAAAGAAAAAAAAGCAGGGGGAAATTGATGCTAGTTAAGCATACTCCTACACTACTCATCTGGTAGTTGTTATTGCTTTTCCAGTTTTATTTTGTTTCTTCATGAGAGAGATACTGAGTGATGAACAAGATTACTGGCTTTCATATTTGACAAACTAAAGACTTTGGACAATTCCCTTAATAACAAGTACTTCCTTCAAAGGAAGGAAAAGAAAAGTGACAGGACACTAGAGAAGAAATATGGAAAGACATTTCTGAAGTATATTAAAGTGGGAAAGAAAATTTATGACAAAACAGGCCGGGCGCGGTGGCTCACGCCTGTAATCCCAGCACTTTGGGAGGCCGAGGCGGGCGGATCACGAGGTCAGGAGATCGAGACCATCCCGGCTAAAACGGTGAAACCCCGTCTCTACTAAAAATACAAAAAATTAGCCGGGCGTAGTGGCGGGCGCCTGTAGTCCCAGCTACTCGGGAGGCTGAGGCAGGAGAATGGCGTGAACCCGGGAGGCGGAGCTTGCAGTGAGCCGAGATCCCGCCACTGCACTCCAGCCTGGGCGACAGAGCGAGACTCCGTCTCAAAAAAAAAAAAAAAAAAAAAAAGAAAATTTATGACAAAACAAGAAAATCTGAAATTACAGTCTCTATTTTACCATACTAGGTACAGAACCCTAAGAAATCCTTATGTACATATCCCAAATTTATAAAGCGATCATCTTGCATTCATCTTATATTGATCAAAGAAACATTGCTTTAAGATTCATCCTCAACTCTTTACTTTTCTCTCTTCATAAAAATCATCTAACTTATGGCTCTCTTTGTAGCTATAATAATTATCAATTCCTAGGAAGATAAACTTATCTCTTTATCTATAAATATTTATATTATTTATTCCTTAGGTTTTTTTCTGAGCTCTAGATCCACTTTACTTGGATGGCACATAAGACCTTGAAGTACAAATTCATTACTACCCTTATTTTTCTCCTACATTCTATATTTTAGTAAATAGTTCTGCCATGCAGTCAGATGATCTTGAGTAGATTTTCAAGTCATACAGGGTGGTGATAAGAATTGATGCTGAAATAAGGAAGTTATTCAAGAGTTAAAGTCAATATTAAATGACATAAGTGACTAGGGAGGAATGGGAAAAGGATGAGATGACAAGAAGAAGGAAGAATAATGAGGAATAAATAGTGATGTATAAATTTCAAAGCAGAGGACATTTGAAGCAATAACTAGGAAAAATAGTCGGGTAATGGGGAAAAAGAATACAAGTTTTCTTCTTCTGTGACTGAGCAAAAGATAGCGTATAGCTCGTGGAAAGGGAGTAAGTATTTTATTATTATATCTCGTTTAAAATCTATACCTATACCTTTTAAAGATATGTATGTCCTTTTTCTTTGTTTTCAATAAAACCAGATAATTTGAAACTGTGCTTTTTTGTGGAAGAGTAGACCATGGTATATGGCACATGATACATGTGCAGGACAAAGAAAAAATATGTCTACTGTTGTCTCTTTTCCACATTAGCCTACAAGCTTTGAGGTGACTGGAACCAATTGCCATCAGTTGCCATGGCTAATCATCTTTCATGGCATATAAATACTCAGTATAAATGGATGAACAAATGTTATTATCTAGTGCTTGATTCCTACCCTTAGAAGGCTCATAGTGTAACAGAGGAATCAGGCAGGTAAGCAAATGCTACAATGCTGTAAGTTCTGAAAGATTATTTGTATGAAATGATTCCATGTGAGGGGAGGTAGGGGTAGAGATGGCCATACCTTGAGTTAGGTATGGAAGAATCCAAATATTTGACAGGTAGATAAAGGGAAATACAGTTTAGGAAAAGGAAGACCAATCTAGAAAAAAGGAAATTGTTGGCTGGGCACGGTGGCTCATGCCTGTAATCTCAGCAGTTTGGGAGGCCGAGGCGGGCGGAACACCTGAGGTTGGGAGTTCGGGACCAGCCTGACCAACATAGAGAAACCCCATCTCTACTAAAAAAAAAAAAAAAAAAAAAAAAAAAAAAAAAAAAAAAAAAAAAAATTAGCCTGGCGTGGTAGCGCATGCCTGTAATCCCAGCTACTTGGGAGGCTGAGGCAGGAGAATCGCTTGAACCCAGGAGACAGAGGTTGCAGTGAGCCGAGATCACACCATTGCACTCCAGCCTGGGCAACAAGAGTGAAACTCCGTCTCACAAAAAGAAAAAAAAAAGATATAGAGTAATTAAATTATAAGATGTGTTCTTAGGAAGTAAGTTATACAACAATGAATGGTTAGAGGGAGAAAATTCCATTTTAAGAAAAATGGAACAAAGGTAGTTTGACAATTTTGAAGTGTCTTAATAAATTTCATTCTACCCAGCACTTTGGGAGGCCAAGGCAGGAGGATCACTTGAGGTCAGGAGTTTGAGACCAGCCTGGCCCACATAGTGAAACCCTATCTCTACTAAAAGTACAAAATTTACTTGGGCGTGGTGGTACATGCCTGTAATCCCAGCTACTCAGGAGGCTGAGGCACAAGAATCACTTGAACCTGGGAGGCAGAGGTTGCAGCGAGCTGAGCTTGCGCCACTGTACTCCAGCCTGAGCTACAGAACAAGACTCTGTCTCAAAACAAAAAACAAAACAAACCAAAATTTCATTCTAAGGATTTGGAAAATAATCTTGTGAGCTGTCTCTTTTCCTTTACTTTTTTTTTTTTTAATATCAGAGAGTTGGCCGGGCGCGGTGGCTCACGCCTGTAATCCCAGCACTTTGGGAGGCCGAGGCGGGCGGATCACGAGGTCAGGAGATCGAGACCATCCTGGCTAACACAGTGAAACCCCGTCTCTACTAAAAATACAAAAAATTAGCCGGGCGTGGTAGCGGGCGCCTGTAGTCCCAGCTACTCGGGAGGCTGAGGCAGGAGAATGGCGTGAACCCGGGAGGCGGAGCTTGCAGTGAGCCGAGATCCCGCCACTGCACTCCAGCCTGGGCGACAGAGCGAGACTCCGTCTCAAAAAAAAAAAAAAAAAAAATCAGAGAGTTATGATTGATACAATCAGATTTACGTTTGAGGACTATTAACTGGCGCCAATAGAGATTAATGTCTAGAGGGATAGAACAGAGGTATGAGATAGGATCAAAAGCTATTATTGAAGACTGAGAAAAAGATTATTTTGTAACATATTTCCATATTCTTTCACATTTAACAGTGAGTGTTACTTTTGGCAGAAACAGAAAAAAAGATTAAAAAACATAGAAATCTAAGTAGGTGTAGAGATTAATGGTAAAATGTTTTGCATAAATAAATACTAATACAAGATATCTTTGTTTCTAAAATTCAAACATTTCACGTGTGTGTGTGTGTGTGTGTGTGTGAGAGAGAGAGATTGCATTTTCCCAAAATGGCCACAGTAGTATCTCTTATTCCACATGTTCTTCTTAAAGTGTGACTTTGATACTCCTTCCAACTTGATCTGAGAGAGTTTGTGACTTCGGCAGAAATTATGTTAGGAGACTTCCAAGGCTAGGTTATAGGCAATCTAGCTTCCACTTGGCTTTTTTTTCTGTGAGGGAGCTCAAACTAATACATACAAAGAGGCCGCATGGACATGTCAGGTGTGGTGCTGTTCCAGCTAACAGCAGGGCTGGAGTCCCCAATGAAAGCCAGCACCAGCCACCACACATCTGAATAAAGACACCTCCAGGTGATTTCAGCTGCCAGGTCTGAGGTCATTTCATGTCTTCCTGGTTGAGGCTGTAGACCCCAGGTGTGAGGTCATTTCATGATTTCCTGGTTGAGGCTACAGACATTCTTGCACAAGGGTAAGCCATCACTACTGTGATCTTTCAAAATTCTTGACCCAAAGAATCCATAAACCTAATAAAATTATTATTTTCTGTCACATATTTTTATACAATTATAGTAAGTGAAACAGTGAGTGTGTGTATATATTCCTTTAATAGAATAATGTGTGTATTGATGAGTGACAGCTCTTATTTATTTTTGAAGTCAAAGCAACAAATTTAATAATTATACTGCCTAAAATGCAAAGAGAGTTATAAAGAAAGTCACCAAGGTTCAGGAGATTCTTACTCTAAAGTATGCCCACCTTGATTTATATTTGACAGATAAGCAGTAGAGATTCTAGAAGGAAAGGGGACATTTCAATAGATTTTCCATTTGAAATTTATTAGAATAAAATGCAAACACTTTCATCGTTGCTCCCATTGTCTCACATCAGAAAATCTGAGCCAATCATGCAGCAATAAAATCCTAATTTTGTATCACATACTGAGAAGCAAGCAAGATGTTTTAAAATAATGTCTCCTAGTACCTATTAATGACAATGAAGATATGTTGGAAGTTAGAGCTATTATGTAGTGTTCTTTGATAAAGACAATATTTAGGGAAAATTTTAAAGGACACATTACCCATACTATTGGGAAATAACAAAAGAAGGAAATTTGGAACACCAGAAAAGAAGAAAAAAACAAGCAAGGGTGAAAATGTGGGTAAATAATATAGACTTCTCTTTACCTCTGGAATTTTCAGAATTATGTTTAATGGTTGAAGCAAAAATGATCACAGTGCCTCATGTGGTTCTCAAAACTAATTATGATAATTCAAATAATGCCTCTGAAACTTGTATTATAATATGCAGCATTGTTCCTTCAAGAAAAATTATTCCACTTTTCACAAGAGGTCAATACAGAAGCCTCTGGTGTGATGAACTGATTTTAACCACACAAAATTCATGTTTAAGACATGAAAACAGCTCACTTGCAGGAAGATATTGACAGATTTTCCAACTCTGCAGTATAGCAAAGTTACAGCTGGATTGGGATGCTTCATCAGTTCAACCAAAGGCCAGAAACGTGCTCTGTGCTTTAAAGAATACAAAATGAAACAGCTCAAACATTTTTTTTCATTCCACAAAATAAACTTACAGAAATCATTCTCGTTTCATTACAAAAATAGGATTAGTCACTTGAAGCAGGAACATTTCGAGAAAGAATGGAGGGGACGTCTTGCCTTATCCACATTTTTAAACCCTTAGCTCCAAAATTCATATTGCAAGCTACAAAAAGATGCCAACCTTCAAACTAACCAATTATACAGAGCAGCCCATGAGAACAAAACCTGCTATTGCAATGTTACAGACATTTCTGGAAATGCAAGAAGTTCTCTTATTTGGATCTATATTGGGTGAGGCAAACAAAAAATGCATTACTGGAAAAAATTAATGTAACATTTTAACTTATATTTTAAGCCATTACAAAGTTAACACCAGTTTAACACAAGAGAGTGCTTTTGAATAGCTGTTCACCTCCAAGCATTGCCAAAGCATTGTCTGACAGAGTTTTAAGTACCTGGTCTTCTCAGTTTTGGCACATATTTTCTTGAGCTCCTAATATAAACATAAGCAACCTCTCTATTACCCACCTTCCTCTCCCCCCTGCTCCAAACACAAAACAAAAACAAAATTACCTTAAATACCATCCTAATAAGGAATTATGGCTAATTTTATACTCTCCTATCTTGTCTAATATTCTCCATTTAATCTCATTATCTACTTAATTATCCAATTTTCACTATATAAATGCGATCCTTAGTTTGTTTCCTTTGCTCATAAAATTTCTCCTGCCTGAAATGTTCTATTCCTATATCTAACTTTCCTTTCTCTGCCTGGCAAGCTCCTCTTTAACTTTAAAGGACCAATTTAGAAGTTGCCTCTTTGGGTATTTTTTTTTTGCTGTCCTGCCTAACCTAGCCATGATTATAGTGCAGTTGTCTTGCCTGGGTCCCCAGGTGAACTTCAGAATATGTTGTATCACATTGTCTGCATGTCTGCCTCTCAAGAACATTGCCAGCAACTAAATGGTGGGGACAATGAAAAATTTATCACCAAATCTCCAGTACCCAACCCTGTACCTAGCACATGACTCCAGCATGTGGTTCATTAAATATTTCAATACTCTTTCTGTCTAGTCATCCCTAAGCCTCTCTGCAGGCTACTCTTGTATCTTTTGGATAAGAAAGAGAAATCCCAGATGTATTCAAAGTGTATGAGATTGTAAAATATTTCCTTTTCCTATAGCTCCATTAAGGTGGAAGGACATTGTAATAAAAATAGCCACACTCACAGATTTTGAAGTCAGACAGAAGCCTGAGCACAAATGCCACATTCATCATTTACTAGACGTGATTATGATCAAGTTTTTACTACATCAAAAGGGTGGGCATGAATATTCAATGTGATAATCCAAGTGGATATAACGCAGAGTGATTCAACGACAGTAATCATTACTTTTCCTAGTCAGGCAGAAACTAAGCTGAGATTGCAGTATGGGCTCCAATGCCACTGAAAATCAGTATATGGAGAACTACACTAGAGCCCTATCAGAATGCCAGGGTCCACAGGGCTGGGAACAGAAGAGTACAGCAGCTCAGAGTATCCATGGCCTTGTAAATCCCCTCAGGACACAGATTGCTTTTGCCAGTTAAAACGGGACCCCTTATACACATCCTGATTTGCTTTTTTGGCTCAGACACTAAAACAGCTACTGCATTTGTAGCTTGCATATTTCCTTTCTTATTCCTGACAGAGGTGAGAAATTAAACATATTGTGTAATTCCTACCAGGAGTTAAAGAAAGGTAATGATACAGCAAGAGAATTGGAAAGGCAAAGAGGGCAAGAATGAAGGAGCAAAGAATTTCAGCTCAATATAGAGTTTTTCCTTCATTCAAACTATTACATGTATATATGGACTTGATCTCTTTGCAAACTACTTTTGCATTTTAAGAATTTTAATGCAATGTACACTTGAAAATTTCTAGATAAGAGATGATATTTTGTGTCTCTCAATATCTACAACATATATATATTTACATATATATATAGTGGTATTCATTATATGTTTTTCAAATTATGTAAGGATGATTTTTAAGGGAAATTGAATAATTTCATCTGATGGAGTAACAAAACTAGCATTGCCAAATATTTACAGAATGATTTGGGGTGATGTCTGTGATTACTATAATAAAAAAAATACAACTGTAGTTTATGACACTGTTGATTTCTTTACCTTCCTTTTATATTGAGAGTATTTCATGGTCTACAAAATACTTAAAATTATAAAACACAAACCAAGTTCTCACTTCTGCATTTTCTGTTAATGAATATTTTCTAAAGTTGTATTTTGATAAGAAGTATATTTAAAAATACCTGCCCTTTGTATATGTTAATGGTTTATAAAAGTAAAATATATGGAATAAGTGAACATAGTATATTTCCCCAAGAACTGATACAAATGCTATACACTTAATACATATTTAATTTGTCCTTATTATTGATATTAATAGCTAAGATGTACTAAATAGTTATTGTGTGCCAGATGCCATGCCAAGTCACTAAAGGCATTATGTCATGCCACTACATCACACATTACTAACCCATGAGGAAAATATGATGATTACTATCACTTTATACTTGAGGCGAGGTGTTTGGCGACTGTAAGTCCAATAGGTCAGAGCCAGTCTTGCTCTTGGATATATTTGCAAATGATGAACTCGCTTACAGAAGCATGAACACTGAATAGTAGACACTGTGGAAATTATGTTGCAACTTAGTTGAAATGGTATCTTCCAATTTCAAGGTTCTAGAATTCTTGAGTTAGATCCCCATGTATCAACAGAAGAAATGTTTTAATAGAATGAAAAACGTATACTTTGAACTTTCCTTTTTTCTCTGTATTTCTATATAAGAATTTATAATTTTATACAACCTTTTAAATTGTTTTCCCTTCCTTTTAGTATATCATCGGATCTTGGGGTTAGGTAAGACAGAGGATTAAGAAGAACTGGGCTCAAAAAAATTAATTTTCACAAGGCCATTCATTCATTCAATGTTCCAGAATTTAGATCCTGACTCTTGAGCAGTATTTTTTTTCATCAGACAACACCAACAAATTCAATTCCATAATCCAAATTTTATATTCACTGTAATAACTGGAAATGTTCTGTTAGGATAACATTGCTAGTAGCATTAAAATCAATATCTAATAATAAGAATCAGGTTAAAAAATTTGATAGACTTTCCAGCCAAGCACTATGGCTCATGCGTGTAATTCCAGCACTTTGGGAAACTGAGGCAGGTGGCTCGCTTGAGCCCAGGAGTTTGAGATCAGCCTGGGCAACATGGCAAAACTCTATCTCTACAAAAAAATACAAAAATGAGCCTGGCATGGTAGCGAGCGCCTGTAGTCCCAGCTACTTGGGAGGCTGTGGGAGGAGGATGGTGAGACTGGGAGGCAGAGGTTGTAGTGAGCTGAGATTGTGCCACTGCCCTCCAGCCTGGCCAACAGAGCTAGACTCTGTCTGGAAAAAAAAAAAAAATATATATATATATATATAGCCTTTCCATAGACATCTTTACATAAAAATGTTACAGGGCCTGGAAGCACAATTCTTTTTAAAGAAAGCATTACGCAATTATATAGAAAAAATTTATTTTTCTTTTTATATTATGTTTGAAATAGATCTAGGTTGAGCTACCGTAGAAATTAGCCTTTATCTCTGAGAGCTAAATCAAAAGTCTTAGTTTCTGAAGTTTTTTGGTCTTGCTTTGAGCTGTTGAAGGTATTAATCTGGGAAGGAATGGAAATAGTTTATCAGAGTCATCAGGACAAGACTATTAGGCTTCCAAAAGCTGATTATATCAGAGTCCAAAGAATAATGATAATAAGAAAGTGTGATAATAGGAGATATTTGTCCTTTTGAGGGGCTTCTCAATACCTTCCGTATCCTCAGGGAATTCTTCATCATATACTTCTTAGGGGAAGTGTAACCTGTATGTTCTATAGAAGCTACAAAAATACTGGCTTTTTCCAGCCTTTCTTGTAGTTAGGGAGTAGCTGCATCTTTTGGGCCTGGCAAGTCTGATGCACCCAATAAGGACTGGAGTTGAAAGCTGATGATCAAAGAAGCATCTGCATTGGGCAATTGTACATGTTTCCTCTTGCACCTACAACAAATTACTATAATTTTATAGTTTAAAACTACATAACTTTATTATCTTATTTATCTGGAGGTCAGAAACTTGAAATTGGTCTTACTGGGCTAAAATCATAGCGTTAGCCAGGCTGTGTTCCACTGGAGACTCTAAGGAAGAATCTACTTGTTTGCCTTTTCCAACTGCAAGAGTCTCCCTGCATTCCTTGGTTTATGGTCCCTTCAGCCACAAACCAGCAGGATAAGCATCTTCAAATCACTCTCTCACCCTTGAACTCCTGCCTCTCTCTTATAAGAAACTTTGTGATTGCATTGGGACCACTGAATAATCCCAGATAATCTTTCAATCTCAAGATCATTAACTTAATCACATCTGTAAACTTTTTTGGCCATATAAAGTAACACATACAGGCTTCAGGGATTAGGATGTGGACCTCTTTGAGAAGCCGTAATTCTGCCCATCACAGAAATCCTGTGTAGTGGCTCACCAACAACAGCAGTGTTCATTTCTTAAAGGCAACAGTGACCTAGGGCCTAGTGGGACCATGTAGGGTGCAGTGGAAGTTGGAAAATCAGTGACATTTAGTGTTCTGTGACAAGTGTCCTCACTTGATGGGTGCTGGAATGAAAGGTTAATGTTTAGTGTGATCCAGGTTACTCCTAAGCGTTTCATCCTTGTTTCTATTTTCCAAGCCAGGTTTCTCAGGTTTTGGGTAGCTCTGTGACCTATTAAGCACTCCTTCCATAAGTTCCTTACTGATTAATCACAAACCTGAATCTGTGGAAGAGAGGGCATTGAGTATAGATGGTAATGAATGGATGAGAGAGGTGATGTTTGAAGATGAAAGATCCAGCCCTCCCCCAACCCCAAAAAATTAAAAGAGAGTTTCTAACTGTTAAAAAGACTAATTATTGATTTACTGAAAAAATGTAGTGGTCATTAATCAGTTATTTTTAATCTTAAAGGCTTTTCGTACCAAAAATGTATTTTAAATGATTCCTACATTTTAAATTTCTACCTAGTTAGAATATAATATTGAAGCTCATTCAATGGAATCTAAATTTTTTATAGTAATTGATTATATTATACAATTAAAAAATTCATATTATATATAAATAACCTGAATCCTTGTTACATAAACATTTTCAAAGCTCGTATGATCTCATTTATGTTCATTTCTCATTGTGATGGTGCATACTGAGCTGGTTTTACCTTATCTTTTGGCACATATCCCTTCTGGAAGAGGTAGAAAGGTCAACTAATTTAGATTACCCAGGGCAGTGTGCTCAGCATCTCTCTGCCTGTGGTCCTTTTCCTCCATTGTATTGGCTCTGGGCCACTCCTGAGTATTTGAGCACTGAAAACAACAGGAGGCTATAGGCCTTATGTGCAATTGGATCCCTTTGCTCTAAAAAGAATGGCTTCTGAAACCTGCAAATGTGACCAGGAAACAGCAGCTTCAAACAAAGAGGACTCAATAGATATTTTGACTTGCATTCTAGAAATCAGTTGGAGGAAGTGAAAAAAGAAAAAAGAGAAAGGAGCTATTGATTGCTAATCAGTTCTTGCTAACTAGAAGTAGGACACATAGAAAGTAGATGTTATGACTGGACGTGGTGTCTCACACCTGTAATCCCAGCACTTTGGGAGGCCAAGACAAATGGAACACTTGAGGTCAGGAGTTCGAAACCAGGCTGGCCAACATGGTGAAACCCCGTCTCCGTTAAAAATACAAAGCAATCAGCCAGACATGGTGGTGCATGCCAGTAGTCCCAGCTACTTAGGAGGCTGAGACAGGAGAATCCCTTAAACCTGGGAGTTGGAGGTTGTAGTGAGCCAAGATCACGCCACTGCACTCCAGCCTGGGTGACAGAGTGAGCCATATCAAAAAAAAAAAAAAAAAAAAAGGTAAAAGAAAGTGGATTGTGGATTTAGTCGAGATCATGTGGCTCAAACTTCTTTTACAAATAAGGAAAGCTTAAATAGGTAGCTTGGGATCAATTGATGCTTAATACCTTAAATGCCTGATTGTATTCATGTTGTTACTTAATCCATCTTTGATGATAGAGGTGCTCGGTTGATTAAATATGTCAGTTCAAAAAAAGAATTTTTTAAATCATCTTATGATATCTTAAAATATCCTTTCTCCTGAAATTATATGAAGTATAACATTGGAACTTTATTTTAGGAAATGAAAGCCTTATATCAACTTCATGAATCAATGAATGCCCATGGTTTAAAAATTAATAAATAATCATAGCAAACTCTCATATACTTAGGTATTGTATTTATTGAATAATTTTATTGTAGCCAATACTGAATTTTCAGCAATCAAGATTTTGTCTATAATTCATATTTAAGATTTTTCATTTCAATTTTGTCCTGACATATTATTAAGTCAATTTTAAGATACCATGTGTTAACAAACCCTCGAAGCATTTACTAGATGGAAAAAAAGACATACAATGTTTTCATTTTGTTGTTAGTAGCTTTACAGATGGCCACAAGAGGGCAACCTATGAAAGTAATTGAAATTCCAAGGAAAAACCTCTGCAACGTTTAATATGTGCGTCTTAGGTAACTTGGATCATGAACTTAGCATTATTGTCAGAATGTATAAAAGAGTTCCATTTCAATTTTTTTCAAACTGGAAAATCAACTGAGACAAATTAATGTCTACATTGCCCTTTAGATTGTGGTATTGAGAGTTATGTAATAGATATATCCCATGTGTGACACGGGAATCAGATGACATCTTTCTAGTAATGATGTCTTGGAAAAACAGTTGCAACAGACTGTCAGTACTTTCCTAGGAGAGTGACATTCTTTGTTTTTTAAAACAATTTTAATTTAATGGGTACATAATAGTTGCACATATTTATGGGGTACATGAGATATTTTGTTATAAGTATAAAATGTATAATGATAAAATCAGGCTAACTGGGAAATCCATAACCTCAAACATTTATCATTTATTTGTGTTACAAACATTTTAGGCCCACTCCTCTAGTTATGTTGAAATATTCAATAACTTATTGTTAACCACAGTTACCCTATTGTACTACCAAACTTTGGATTTTATTCCTATTATCTATTATAAATAGATGCTCATTTTAATTTGTATCCATTTATCAGCCCCTTTTTGTCCCTCCCCATCCCATTACCCTTGTCAGCCTCTGATAACCATCAT
Source organism: Homo sapiens (assembly GCF_000001405.40). NCBI lineage: Eukaryota > Metazoa > Chordata > Mammalia > Primates > Hominidae > Homo > Homo sapiens. The sequence goes on along the minus strand of NC_000012.12, from coordinate 81,627,093 downwards.
TCTTCTTTCAACTATCAAAATGACTCTTGCTTTTTAAAGATAGTCATGGATTTTGAGACCTTGCATAATCATTGATAATACCATTACCTGCTTTCAAGCACATCAAATGAGACCTGAGGCAAAAAAGTATCCTTTATGGATTAAAATAGTTTTGATAGGTAAAATAGATCAATTACTAATTTGTGTATTTCTCTATGATTCAAGGTAGTGTAGTATAAAATGATTAAATTTTACATCAAGATGAAAAAGTGTCTAGAGAATAAAGAATGATTTGGCATACTGAGTACCTCAAAAATCCTTGCTCACCCTAACATCTCACCCCAACAATCCCCAAAATAATACACATCGTCCAAAATGTACTTTAACTTTTGTTCCTAGGAAAATAATGCAGTAGAGTCCTCTAATTGAATTTCTGGAAGCAGGTGTCCTTTATAATAGCATCACCTTATTTCCTGCCAAGAACATAATGTGCAGCACACAATTCCAGTTTTATTAATTTTGTCATTGTTTGCAGTACTTTGCCCATCCTACCAGACATACTGCAGGGTGACTCAAACAGCACAAGAGATAAATTCTATTCATATCCCAACATTGTGTTTATTTGGTTACATGCCTTAATTTTCAAGATTATGCCATTTGTTAAATTTAATAAGGTTTTAATAATATTGGATCAAATATATCATGCAATTATATTTGGATGATGCCTCAGATCATATAATGTAGCCTTAAAATTTGGGGTTTTATAAGTTGGAATAGGCCACTTTAGAAGAAAATATTCCTTTGATGAACAACATAAAAAGCTTGAAAATAGTTTATTTTCCAACTTACAGAAAGTTATTATTTTAGATAGCTTTAGAGCCCCCATCCCACCCCCTTTTTTTTAACCTAGTATGAATCCTCTACGTAGTTTGATGTTCCTTTAATTAGGAAATATACGTAAAGTTAATCTACAATCTTGTAAATAACAGCATGAATTGATAACTTGAAGACCTATGAATCAAATTTAGAAAAGGAATAACAAATATGAGCTTTATATATTTTGCTTTTGAAACTGGACATTTCTGTCAACTTAGTAGAGCCCTGTGGTTGAGGTTTTTTAAGGAAATGTGACAATTTTTGTTATTGAGAATTATCCCTTTCTCTTTCTGTGACTTAGGCATCATTTCTCTCTCTTTGACAAACACCAAAGGCTATATACTATATCTTATGTATAAATAATATACTATAATATACTATATTTATAATATATTTAATAATATATAAAATAGCTACAGGAAGTAAAAGTAGAAGGAAGGGCAAATAAATCAGGAAATTATAATAATGTTTAGAAAAATGTTGGAGGGTAGCAGAGGTAATATATAAATGAAATCAATCAATATTTTATTTTAATACCTACAATACTAATTATCCTTAAATTAGATGTCCAAATATAATGGTTGCAAGAATCTTTTCTTTCAGGTTTGTGTCATTAAAATTCATTAACAGCCTTAGAAATCATGATTTCAAAAGTTAAGTATCTTACCTAGTGACACATAATAGATACTACACAATGTATCAGAGCCAGGATTCAACTACACAATGTATCAGAGCCAGGATTCAACTCATGCCATCAAATTCCTAGTCAGGTCATCACATATATATCATACTATTTATTATATGTGGTTTGATTTTTGTCTTGTGAAAATTCCTCCTTCACAACTCTTTCCAAGTGCTTAGGACATGTCCATGCAAATCAAACACATTATAGACAACCTCGACATATTTGACTTACAGAGATTAATATGTTTAGGCCCTGATCATGACCCCATTTAAAGTGTGTAAGTACATAGTTTTAGCAACTAGGAACCTCATGATTCTCATGAGCTGAAAAGATACATTTCTGACATCCATGCTGTTCTTTATATACAGCATACTTATGTAGTCATACAGATATATATATGTGTGTATATATGTATACACACATATGTATAATTTATATCTATTCATACAAACATATTGTGTGTGTATAATATAGTCTTTATATAATAAAATCAGTTTATTTAGGGATCGTAGTGACATTTCCCATACTGCCATACATTTTTAGCAATGTATGTATTGATTTATTTTTGTTTTGTTATTTCAATAGTTTTTGGGGTGCAAGTGGATTTTTGTTACATGGATGAATTACATAGTGGTGAATTCTGGGATTTTAGTGTGCCTGTTCCCCGAGTAGTGTACACTGTACCTAATGTGTAGTTTTTTATCCCTGGTCACCCTCCACCCTCCCCCTTCTGAGTCTCTGAAGTCCATTATATCACTGTATGGCTTTGCATACTCAAAGCTTATCTCCCACTTATAAGGGAGAACCTACAGTTTTTGGTTTTCCACTCTTGTGTTACTTCACTTAGAATAATGGCTTCCAGCTCCATCCAAGTTGCTTCAAAACCATTATTTTGTTATATATATGTTATACATATATAATATATATTATATATATAATTATATATTATCATTAATATATGATATATATATATTTGTCCAGGTCACTATAAAATATATATTTTGTTATATATGTGTTATACATATGTAATATGTATTATACATATAATAATATATAGTATCATTAATGTATGATATATATATATATGCCCAGGTCACTATAATTATACATATAATATATGTATATAATAAGTATATATATTTTATAGTGAAATATAAAATCAGTATATATATTTTATAGTGACCTGGGACTGGTTAATGCTAGAGTAACATACAGATTATAGGATTGGACTGGTCCTGAACCTAAGAAGTTAATAATTAAGGAATGGAGTATATAGAGATTAACTGTATGAATCTACTCTATATTTTCTCAATTTACAAGTTGACATATAAGTAACATAAAGCAAGCATCTGGATTATATATACAAGGTTTTATACATATATATACATAGATGCCAACTACTCTAAGAAGAGCATCTTTTGACATTAAGTGCTTATAGATGTAAAGACCCACTTTTCAAAACACCTCTTCCTTGCATTGCACCTGTGCTTTCCTATTCACCATTTCACATGGGATCTTTTCTTCTGGCAAGGGAAAGACAGATTAATTGCAAAAAACGTTTAGTACAAAATAATATAACAGGTAATTTACTATAAAGGATTGTTGGCATAATTTTCTGATCAAAAAATAATGAAAATTATTTTTTGTTGTAGGGTGTTTGTTTTTTTGCAGCTATTTAAGTAGTACCCAAAATGTAGCTGCCTTGTTTATAGGAGATAAAAGAATACTAAGTAAAATTTGCCCTTTTTGACCCCAGTATCATGCTCTTACTTTCACTATATCTTAGGTGGAAAATTGAGTGCTAATACTTTACTATTCAAAATAAACTCAAAACTCAAAAACATAATATCCTTAGCTAACACGTAATAATTTGTTCATCTTTCAAGTGTCTGGTTTAAGGAACTTTACCCACACAACTATAAGGATACAATCATGAATATATTACAAATGTGCTTTGAAAAAAGGAAGCGGTGACAGTCCTACACTCTAAATGTAAGTTACCCCAACATTTTGGGGAGATCACTTAACTGCTTATATTTGTAAACTAGTGATACATCTTTCAGTCTTATACAAATGTGTCCCAATTCTAGGTAGTAGATGGATGAGGCCAATGATACATCATTTTAGGTCATGAAAATTGCCTAAGATATTCATCATTTTAATGAGCACTATTAATACCAGTTTGTATTTCTCATGACACTTATTTGTATTCTCTCTTTTTAATTGATTTTATACATTTTTAGCATCTCTCTTTTCACTATTTTGGATGCCTCTTGAAAGGCTCACATCTCTAAATAAACTGGCATATTCCTCTTGAGGGACCGTACAAGATTATTTTCCTAGTCACACTTCTATTTAATGCTATCTGGAAGGCTAATCTTCCATTTGATTAAAATAGATACATATCAGATATCATTGTAGATTCATTATTATGCCTGCTTTTTGTTTCAACTTCTTCTTTCCCCAAGATAGTTATGGAAGAGAATAGTCACTATCTTGTTTCTCTTTCTGAAAAGCAAAACCAAAAACATGTAAACACATTTTCCCCCTTATCATACAGTTAATGTTTTCCTATAATGGGTAAACCTTGCTGTATGTGTATATTCTTACTCACATCAGTTTAATTTTCTTCTGGACTATAACTTTCCTACCTTTCTTTAAACAAAATCTACTTCAAATTGTTGCTAAAGGACTCTGGTTATCACCAATATGATGATATGTGTAGTTTTAGAGGTATTTCAACCAATATTTAATCTGAGGGGTAGGGGCAGAAGGAGGAACATAAAAATGAAAGCCAGGGCACATTCTATTCTGTTGGGTTCAGGTTTTCCCTGAATACTATGTAAACCTTCTCTGAGTACTTCCAATATCAGTTATTTTCATCTCTGAACTCTTTTCTTTTTAGGATTTTGGTAGTTTTAAAGCTATGTTCATAAGCTTTACCCAGGCTCTAGGGATATGTCCAGATGCTTCAAGGATAGCTCCAGTGGGAACTCTGAGCAGGCTGTTTTCTGATTTTTTCCTTTACCTCTGCCTCAAACAAACACATTCCACTGTTATATGCCTTATATCTTGAGCTTCTACATATAAATTTAATTGAAAATTCATTCTTATGCTGAGGAAAAAAACCTGAAAGTTACTGGGCACAGGCTTATGTCAAAATTTTACTCTAGGAAGCTATATCATTTTCCTTATTACTGACATCCAGCACTCCAAATGATTTGGGGTATTGCTATTGAGCCCTGTATCAAATTGCAAGCACATGTTGTTTATTATTATGCTTAAAGTCAGAATATGAACATTATTATGTGGTAATTTGTCACTTCATTGGTCACCCAAGTTGATATACCCAATTGGGTTGGCCTGGGAAACATCACCTTCTTTCTCATTCCATCTGGATTGCTGTCCAAATTATCCAGATAGTGGAGGAATGTGCTTCAGTCAGGAGCCTAAAAGAGGGCTGCTTCACTGGTGAAACACCAAGTCCTTGTCTAATGCTTACTGGCCCCTCCTTTTAATATGATTTTTTGCTACTTCCTTATTTTTCTGGTCTTTCATATTGGGATGTTACAGGGCTCAGCTATTGGACCTCTTCTTTTCTTTCCCTATACTTACTCCCTTAAGTCTATATACTGAGGATTCCCAAATTTATATCTATAGCCAGTACTCTCCACTGAAATCCTAGGTAATATGTACAGCTACCCACTTGACATCTCCATGTATATGTCTAAAGGATATCTCAAACTCAACATGTTGACAATTGAGTTCTGGATCTTCCCTCCAAACCTGATACTTCTGTAGTTTTCTCCATCTCAGCTGATGACAACCTGATTCTTTCATTTCTTTAGGAAAATTATTGGAGTTATCTTTGACTCCTATTTCCCTCATATCCAAATCTACCTTCAAAATATTTTTGGAGTCCAGATATGCCTCACATTACCTTCACCACTGCCACCCTGTATAAACCACAATTAGCTTTCATCTACATGGCCAACTAGCTTCTTCCCCTCTAACTAACCCTCTGCATCCACTGTTCTCAATCCAAAAGCTAAAATGATCCTTTCAAAATCTTGGTCATTTATTCAGTTATGGCATCCCACTGCTCAGATCCTTCCAAAGTTTCATTCAGCCTGCTTGCTGATCTTACTTAGAATAAAAATCAATGTCCAATTAATGCCATGCAAGAACCAACACAATGTGGATTCTTGTTATATCTCTGCTTTCACCACCTACTACTCCCTTGCTCACTTACTCAGTTTGGATAAACCCCTCTTTCTTCTTCAGTCACACCCTAGCTATACTGCCTACCTAGCACCTTTGGATTTGCATCTTATTCTCTGCCTGTTATGCTCTTTGAGCCCTCTATGACTCCCTTTCTCACCTCATATCTGTTCAAATGTTAAATTCTCATTGAGGGGTTCCCTAATTACCTATAAGATATTTTTTCAACTCCCCTACTCCTTCTCTCTGATTTTCTCCCTGATTTCTTCTACCATGATATATAAATTGGTTATTTATTCTATTGCAAGATAAACTTTATGAAGACAATTTTTTTCCCGTTTTGCTCACATTTCATTCCACACCAATTCATATAGCTTTAGAAACTCAGTAAAATATTTGGTAAATGAATCCATGACTTTTGGAACATCATTTTATTTTTCCCTTTAATGTCTAAACAGTGTATTGATTTTACATGGGTATCTCAGTGACCTTAATATTTTAGAAGATGTCAGAGGAATGTTTACATTTGCCTGAAACCTTTTACTTCAGATTCATACTTCAAGCTCAATTCTGATTACCTTAGATAATCTCAGCCCCACTCCTACCAGATTCTGTCCTCTGCTGAGCCTCTTTAATGTTTGCACAAATGCATCCCATTGCATTTCTTCCCCAATGTGTCACTAAGGCAGATTTTCACTGCTAATTTTAGGACAGCACAAGATATTACATCATCAGTTTAAAATCAGTAGTAGATATCTAAGTTCATACGGTTCGTTAGGCATTCTCTGGCCCCAGAATATGCCTTTCTGGCTGTCTCTCACCTTAAGCTTTGGACATTTGTTTATATCTTTATGGTTCTGGGTTTTAGTTATAGTTTAATTACCAAAATACAAAAAAAAAGATGCATTAAAACATCCATTATAACATCCCTTCTGGATCCAGAGGAAAATTTTGAACGATGTGAATCATTATTGTTTGGAGTTTTCCTGGAATAAACTTTTTTCCTTAAAACTGTAAATTATGATTTAGCTGTAGCATATTTTACTTTTGATACATCTGTTTTTATTGTTTTTCAATAAGCCAGTCTTAATTTTTTAAATTATTTTTTATTTATCCAGTCAACTTATCTCTACTAGAATTGCCTTTCTTCTTTTTTTTTTTTTTTTTTTTTTTGAGAAGGAGTGTCACTCTGTGGCCCAGGCTGGAGTGCAGTGGCGCGATCTCGGCTCACTGCAAGCTCCGCCTCCCAGGTTCACGCCGTTCTCCTGCCTCAGCCTCCCAAGTAGCTGGGACTACAGGCACCCGCCATCACGCCCGGATAATTTTTTTGTATTTTCAGTAGAGACGGGGTTTCACTGCCTTAGCCAGGATGGTCTCGACCTCCTGACCTCGTGATCCGCCCGCCTCGGCCTCCCAAAGTGCTGGGATTACAGGCGTGAGCCACCGCGCCTGGCCTGCCTTTCTTCTTAAATGGTCAGATTTATTTTGTTTGTGACCACAAGGAAATATTGTGAATATTTAGTATCGTGAATATTAAACCTTTGCAGCTGAGTATCAGGAATATTAAACCTTAACAGCTGAGTAGCTAAAGCTTACATTTTCCAATGTGTTTGCATTTTATCTAACTGGGAGAAACTCTAAAATTTCCAGAAAAATGTATTTAGCATTTTGTTTGCAAAAATAATGAAGATCTTACTTAAATTTATTGTTCCAGAAAAATGTATTTAGCATTTTGTTTGCAAAAATAATGAAGATCTTACTTAAATTTATTGTTCCAGAAAAATTATTTATTTATATTCCCAAGTAGGAAGTAACAGATTTTTTTACTATCTTGCAGTAAATTGATACCAAGTGAAGATATAAACTAGTCCTACTCACTCTTGAATGGGCACATTTTTGAAATCAGGTCATGTCCAGGTAGAAATTTAGAGAAGAAAAAACGATACTTACATCTTATGGCATTTAAGTGGACTGCTTTTGCTGGGTTGTATGACAACTTGAATTGAAAAGTTACATATCTAACGTGTATGATTAACCACACTTTATAGATCTATTTCACTAATCACTTGAGTGTCATTGGACTCAGGACCAGAGCTCCTAAGAATAAAAGGCACATTTGCCAATTCACATGTTCCCAACCCATTACCAGAGACGGATGTTTTACTTCGCTTGTAGTCCAAAGAGAAGAATGTAGTAAGTAACATATAGGACAAAAAAAATCAAGTTTCTAAGGCCGTTACTGAATGATGATTTAACCCAAAGACAGTGTGGTGATCTTCACAAGCAATTTTTGTGTTTTATTTTTATAATAATGTAGATAGAGCATTTTAATAATTAAGAATGACTTTAAAAAATAACTGTTTGTCCTTTGAATTGTATTCCAATGCTTAATATAAAGCCTAGACTATTATAGGTACTCGACTAATAATTGTTGAATTAATGAATGAATAATATCACTCAACAAATAATTGTTGAATTAATGAATGAATAGAAGTGCCATGGGCCGGGCGCGGTGGCTCACGCCTGTAATCCCAGCACTTTGGGAGGCCGAGGCGGGTGGATCACGAGGTCAGGAGATGGAGACCATCGTGGCTAACATGGTGAAACCCTTTCTCTACTAAAAAATACAAAAAAAAATTAGCTGGGCGTGGTGGCTGGTGCCTGTAGTCCCAGCCACTTGGGAGGCTGAGGCAGGAGAATGGCGTGAACCTGGGAGGCGGAGCTTGCAGTGAGCCGAGGTCGCGCCACTGCACTCCAGCCTGGGCGACAGAGCGACACTCCATCTCAAAAAAAAAAAAAAAAAAAAGTGCCATGGGTATCAAAAGCAGGTTTTAAAATGAAAGTTCTTTTAATTATTCAGAAATAATACATTAATGAGTAAATTTCAGTTTTCTCTACCTTTTAAATTTAATAATCATTAGCTAAAGCTAACTATTACCTACATTAATTTATTTAATAAATATTTATTGACAACTCTATGCCAAACTGTTCCTACATACTAGGAATGAAACAGTTAATAAAACAGAAAAAAATATATTTCCTCATCGAATACACACACACACACACACACACACACACAGATTTACACATAGTAAAAATGCAATGAAGAAAATAAAGCTGATTAAGAAAGTAGAGAGCTGTAATGTGGGAGTGGAGGCATGCCTTTTTACACTGTTTAGACTGGGCCTCTCAGAAGTGTTGACAGATGTTTCTGTTTGCACAGACACTTAACTGGTGGAGGGAACCATTGGGTGGACTGGAGAGAAAGCAAGGCAAAAAAAATCAGCAACTGCAAATGCCCTGAGAAAACATACTTAATGGAGGATTTAAAATCACAACTCACGAATCCCTTTATCCTTTGCTCTAGTTCTTGTCCCTCCACACCACCTCTACTTCTTCTCATTTTCCTTTCCCCACTGTCACATACAGTTTCATTTACTTTTTACATGTTTTTCTGCACTTCTCCCCACTACAGTGGAAACTCTACACAGAAGAATATTTGTCTATTTTGTTCACTAATGTATCCTAAATGCCTAGAATAGTGTGCAACTTATAGCTGGTACTTAATAGGTCTTTTATGTATCAATGACATTATGCTTTGTGAACTGCAACGACACCCATGTTGCCTGAGGATAGTGTGTAAGGAGATAGTGTGAAATAAAGTGAGGACAGAGAGAGGACCAGGGCCATATATTGTACAGCTTATAGGCTGTGGATAAGACTTTGGATTTTCTCAGAAATGTGACAGGAAACTATTGGAGGATTGGGATTAGGCAAATGGAGTGGCCTGATCTACATGTTTACAGGTATCATAGGCTACTGTGTGGAAAACAAGTGGAAACAGGAGAAACACAATTCAAATTCTCTAGGAGCTCCAAGTTGAAGGGGCAGGCACAATAACATGTGAATAACTTGCCTACTGCAGACCTTAAAAGGGATACAAAAGATCTACAGACTAGTGGTGGGAAAATAAAAAGAACCATTCCTCTAGACTGAAGGGATGACATGACAGAGGCGACACTGGAGCTGGATCTTGGATAAATGTGAAAAGATAATTTTGGACAAGAGAAAAACAATTAAGAAAGGGACAAATTCAACACAATCTACTGGGCAAAAATAAATTTAGAAAGATGAAGTTTTTTCTTTTCTTTTGAGTGACTAGGGTGGCAATGACATAAAGTGCTTTACATACATTATTTCCTTTAATTTTTGCAAATGCCCTAGTAAGTTAAAAACCTACTTTAATTCCCACTTTTTAGAGAACAAAACTGAGGCTCAGAGAAGCTAACTCAAAGTTTTGTTCATCTAGAAAGCAGAAGAGTGGCAATTTGAATTTGAATCTCTTTGACACTAGAGCCCATGCTTTAAACTGTTATACTGGGTTGTTGAGTGAATAATAATGCAATCAGCATTCAGAGAAATATCTGACTCTTTGCACCTAATCAGTTCAATCAAATTAATATTAATTTTGCATGACTGTGACTGCCAGTGTGTATAATGCTGTCTAAAGCACTGTAATCATGTTACTGAATGTGTGCCCTTTTGATATTAAAGGAAAGCATTTGTAATAAGAATTTCTGAATTTATTATGAAATATTAATATTTATGGTTCTTTCCTTTAAGTAAATGTGTGGTGAATGTCAAGTAGAGAAAGACAAATTAAAGAAATTAATGTATGCCCATAATTTACCATGATGTAATAAATTTAATTCTGTATCTACATGGCCTCCTAATCAGCAAGCTGCAAAATTGTGATTTGATCATAGTATTTTAGGTGTTTACATTTCCAGTTAAGTGGTTGTGATCCATGACGTTCTTAATAATTCAGTGTCAATATGTAAAAATGAAGTTTTGCTGGGATCATTCTCTCTCTAAGTGATGTTTAACCCCTTTATTTCTTACCTAGTCATTTTAATTAATAATATACTTGTTAGACTTGCCTAATAATATAAAACTGGTCACATGGCCTGGAATTAGAAGAGACCATCAGCATAAAATCATAGAATTTGACGGAGAAAAAGGTAAAATGACCTCTCAAAAGGAAATATTAGTTAGCAGATTTTGTGGATAACGTTCTACTAGATCAATTTTTCAATCTTGCTCACATCATGATACAGATAGAAAATCATGTTATTTCTACAATATACTGATATAGACAGAGAAGGATGCTGAAGCCTTGAATTGAATCCTTCACTTCTTAAACATCCAAAATTCTCTCCCCCAACAATACTCTCAGCTGATATCCTGGCTTCTTGATTTTCCAAAAATGTGCACAGACTCCCATCACCACAATTACCAGCATGTAAACCCACATGCTCTGCCTTTCCATCTGTTATTAAAGATAGTACCATTCTTCACCAAATCCAGTCTCTTCTCTTGTAGATTCTTTCTCTTCTCATCTACTCAAGGACATGGCTCTAGTGATTATCCACTTTTCATCCTACATCATCAGTTTTTCATCCTCTCCTGGAGCCTCTCCCTCAGCACAACATGCTCTTATTCCTATTCCTCCTTTCTTTGCCAGGGGCTGCCCATTTCTTTGCTTCCCTTTGAAACAATGTGCTAAAAAAGTGTTGCATAAGAATATGGATTCCAATTTCTCTCCTCCCATTTATTTTTAAATTTAGTTCAATCAGGCTTTTTTTCTTAACCCTCCAATAAAGCCAGATTACATTGTTGAATCTGATGGTCAGTTCTCAGTCCTCATCTTAGTTGACCTCTGAGAAATATTCAGGTTAATTACTGGATTAACGTGAGCAATTTAGTTCACACTGCTCTTTTGGTCTTCCTCCAATGTTAGCAATTGCTCCTACAGATTTTTCTTTGCTGGTCTCCCAGGGCTCTAATTGTTGGAATCCACTAGGGCCTCCAGCTTGGACCATTTCTCTATTTGCATTCACTTTCTTGATGACCTCATTTCGGTCTTTTAAATTTCAGTCTATATGCTAATGTGGTGTCCAGATTTGTATATCCACCTGGCTATGTGACATCTCTATTTAGATGACTAATAGAAACCTCAAACTCAACATGTGCAAGAGTGAGCACTTGAATTTTTCCTAAACCTACTACTCCTGCAGCCTTCCCCATCTCAGTTATTTTATCCTTGCATTGCATAGGCCAAAAACGGGAGCAGCTGCTCAGACCAAAGCCCTTGCAGCTGTCTTTAATACCTTTCTATCTTTCCCAATCCATTTGCTCCCTCAGAAAAATCTGAACAATTACATAAAATTAAAGACTTAATCAGATAGCCAGTCACCTAAAAATTGTTTTATGTATGAAATCAATTATTTTTTCATATTCTGCACAGATTTAAAATCCGTGTCACACAAAGCAGTACCAAGATGTAATTTTAATTTATACTGTGGCTTTGTAATCAGGTAGATCTAATTTCAAAGGATGTGACTTTCCAACTTATTAGTTACGTGATATTAGACAAGTTGCGTAATTTATCTAAGACTCCTTATGCATAATTGAGGAATAAATAGAAGGTTTATCATTATTATCATTATTATTACTATTCTAGAAGATTTACTAGAATATTTTATAAAGGGCAACCTCATATTTGGCATACAGTATTCAATAAATGGTAACTATGGGGTCATTGTTATTGCTCTTAGTAGAAATAAAACAAGAGAGTGATTGGCTTTGTCTTTAAATAAAATTCTTGGAAAAAGTAAAATTTAGGAGAAAATACTGTATTTGCTAGCAAGGTAAGAGTGGCAGTAGAGATCTTGATGAGTAAGAAATAAGGTGGCCTAAACATTGTGTTAGTCTACTCCACAGTTTTGCCTAATATTGTCTTGTTCCTGTAAAACCAATAATCTTTCTCATCTTAAACATGGGATTTTGAATGTAATGTCCATTCATATAAATTACTGGGTTTTAAAATTTTGTTCTATGATTCCATGCTACCCATGTAAATATTATCCTAAAGTCCTTGCATGTAATTGGTTATTATCCTGATTCTTCTTTTCTTCTCATCTTATCATTTACATCTGTTTCTTCTGAGATGTTATAAATAAAATGTATGCTAAAGCATACATTGAAGAGCACGAAAACATCTGCTTTCTGTTTTTTAGACCACATATTTCTTTTCATTAATGTCATATTTCCCCCAATACTCTGTGAATATGTGCAGGGGGATTAGCATACTGTGTGTGCATTTAGGCAAGTGGATGTATGTAGGAATGCAAAGGGGCATGTCCCTATATTTAAAAACAATCCATAAAAATCTTTTTTTAAAACAATCTAACCTACTAGACAGTACGAATTCATAGAAATAATATAGTTTGGTGGTTAGAATATCTTGATTTGGTCATGGTTTTGCTTGTTCATTCAGTCACCAAAATCTAGCCTGTTAAGTACCAAGTAGTGCATTCAGCCCAAAGTTTAAGTGTTAGATGTACCACATACTAACTGTAATAATCTTAGAATAAGTATTTTCTAATTCTCAAGACTATTCAGCAAGTCTAATGAGATAATTAATATTAAAATGCAACTCACACTCACAGAGAAGCAAAACAGCCAGAGGAAGATGTCTTTAACATTTCCTAAATAGTTATTGAATACCAACTCCATGCTATGCATTATTCTAGTCCTTAGCAGTGATACACTAGAAGTTCCATAGATTCCATAACTTTTGCACACTAAGGAAACTTATTATCTCTTAAACTGTGGCTAGGAATTATGCTTGTAGATTTAAAAAATCCAAATTATGTATGAGAGACTGAGAATTCTTTGTATCTTGATTTAATGATTACTGCACAGTGTATCATAGAACCTACATGGACGCTGAACAGTAAATAAAGTGGATAATTTAAATTTATCCAGAGAAGAAATATTTTATTGAGTCAGGAATGTCTAAGAATTTTAACAGTTGCTAACAAAAAGTGGTTGAAATTTAACAACAAAAGTGCACTACATAATACATAGATGAGCATGGAGGGCGTGTGCAAGTTGAAGTTCAACATCTAATAATCTGTATGTGGTTCTCATGTCATAGAGTGGGCCCCAAATTGCTCAGGTAACTCTTTTTGTGTTTATAAAAGTCATGGTTTTAAAAATCCTCCAGGTATTATTTTAAACTCTGGAACTATGTAGGCATCTGGTATCCAGAGTGATAGGTGAAGAAATAACATTCCGCTCTAGAGCTTTAATGTAATTTCTATAAAACTAGTTGATGACATATATTTCAAAACATGAAATAAACCTAACAGCATATAATAAAATGATTCTGTTATAATATTAGAGTTCTTCTAATCAACTAACATGTCTGTCAAAGGACCAACAAAAACAAAACTCTTAATCCTGTATTTTATATGATTTAACATTATAATTTAAGCATAAAGGTCATTATGGGCTATCACCATGATAATACATGTAAAAATTTGTGAAAAATTTGGTTTAAGCACAGAGAAAAACAGTTAACAAATAAGAAGAAATAAAATACGGAAAGAAAACACCATTTTAAATTTGTGTGTGTGTATGTTTGTGCACGTGTATTTATGTAGATAATGTTCACACATATACATACACACATATATATGACACATCTATGTACATTCATATACATATTTTATGAAATTATGTAAAAATAAAACATCATCAAAATGTGAGTTTAACCAGATTTACTAATTTTGTCTTATTATAAACAGAAGTTTTAAATTTCAATTTTGACATGCCTTTTTGTTCACTTGCCTGTATATCCTGTTACCCCAGTGGAGTCTAAAAAATGTCTTCATTTGTGTGACATCCTCAATGAATGGTGAGTTAGCTAAAATAAATTTCTTGATCTTGGAAGAAAGACTGAGGTATTCGAAGTTTTTTTTTCTTTTTCTTGGGATCCTCTAATCCAATATCTAACTGCTAAAATTGACAACACTTGCTGAATGGAGTTTCTCATTTGGGTGCCAAAAAATGCAGAGTTTGTCTCCCAGTTCACCTGCAGAATCATTTCTGCTCTAACTGTAGCTGTTATCTGGCACATCATAGCTCCTCAATAATGATTTGTTGAACAAGTGAGTGAGTGAAAGAATGAGCACTACAAGTGAGTGAGTGAAAGAATGAGCACTACGATCCTATGCATAGCCAGCTGTGGATTGTCTGGAAGTAAAAGCCCAGGAAGTAGAAGGCCCAGAAGTAGGATGTATGAGTAAACTCAGGAGGACAAGATGGCTGACTAGATGCAGCCAGAAAGCACTGCTCCCACCAAGAGAGACCAAATTATTAAGTCAGCCACCATAATTTGAGCAGATATTGGGAGAGAAAAAGCTGATAGTGGATGGAGATGTGACTCTGAAACTGAGGCTGAATAGAAAGGAAGCTGGCAGCCCTACTTAGGGTACCTGATCACTAGGGCCAGTTCCCAGCCACTAATGGCTCGTGGGAGAGGGGTGAGTGAGGGAAATGAGATTTGGTTCAGTCTCCCCATGGACCTCTGGGAACTTAGTGACAGGGGACCCTGCATCCCCTATGGACATGTGAGATGTCAGGAGATCTCTCCAGGGAATAGGCAGAGACAGGCCTTGAGACGGCATGGAGCCCAGGAGTTTTTGTGTGCTGGCAGCTCTAGTGAAAAGCAGCCATAAACGCCCATCACTTGGGCCCGCCTCCCCACTCCCCCAGAGGCATTGGCCCCAGCTGACTTCTGAGCCAGAAGAGAGCTGAACTTTCTTTGCAACAGATGTGACCGGGGCACATCTGTTCTGCAAACCCTTCCACATGCTGTCCCCTGACCCCCGCAGGGCCTGTGCCTAGCTGCCCTGCAGGAGTGGGTGCACCCCACAGCCTCCACGGCCCTGCTGAATGTGTTGCTGTATATGAGTACTTTCCAGACAGCACAGGAACACAACAGACACCCTGGCACAGCTAGAACCCAACCATGAACCACGGATGTCCTGGTTCCCCAGGGCTGCAGTGAAGAGCTCAGTGCTGCGGCCAGCACTCAGGCAGGGGAGGAACCCCCCTTGCAGGAGAGGAAACCCCAGCTCAGAACACTGAGAGGGGCCAGTTGCTGGGTCCCGGGCCCCAGGTAGGAGTGGAGTATGCCTCCCTCTGAAGAGCTGGTTCATAAACGGTGCGGCATATCTCCCTGTCACAACCTTTGCCCAAGAGAGGCTCGTGGCCTGGAACCCCTACCAAAAGAAACCGAGGCACAGCGCTGGTGACTGTAGAGGGCTCCCCACAAGGCCCGAGAGCAGACATGGTGAGCGAGCCATCTTTATTCCTCCCCGCGAATGCTAGGAAGTAGAAGAGTCAGGGACTAGGTATCAGCCTAGCTGCCAGCCATTACTCTTAAGTGCCATCTACAGGATCACAGTCCAAACTACAGCATCAACAATTATCCTATTAATATATACACCTGTGAAAACAAGCCCAAGAATTCACCCACAACAAAAATCCTGCACAAAGCCCTGGTGCTCTGAAAGCATCCAGAAACAAAGCAACTGACTATACTCAACTTATACTACAGTTAAAGGAACATCAAAACTCTCTGATGAGAAAGAATCAGTTCCGGAACTCTTGACAATTCAAAAAGACAGTATCCCCTTCTAACAAGTCCACTAGCTCCTCAGCAATGGTTCTTAGCCAGTCTGAAATGACTGAAATGACAAACATAGAATTCAGAATCTGGACGGCAAGAATCTCATCAAGATTCAGGATAAAGTAAACCCATCCAAAAAATCCAGGGAATCTAGTAAAATGATCCAAGATTTGAAATATGAAATAGCCATTTTAAGAAAGAACCAAACTGAACTTCTAAAGCTGGAAAACTCACTACAAGAATTTCATAGTATAATTTGAAGTATTAACAGCAGAACAGACCAAGCTGAGGAAAGAATCTCAGAGCTTAAAGACCAGTTTTTGAAGCAACTAAGTCAAAAAGGAATTGGGAAAAATGAACAAAACCTCTATGAAATATGGGATTATGTAAAGAGAATAAATCTATGATTCATTGGCATCCTGACAGAGAAAGAAAGAAAATAAACAATTTGGAAAATATATTTGCAAATGTAGTCCATGAAAATTCTCCTAATCTCACTAGAGAGGTTGACATGAAAATCTAAGAGATACAGATAACCCCAGCTAGATAAGTTGATCGTCCCCAAGGCATGTAGATTTTTTTAACAAAAAAATCTTAAAGGCAGCTAGAGATAAAGGTCAAGTCAGGTACAAAAGTAACTTTATCAGACTAGCAAAAGACCTCTTAGCAGAAATCCTACTTGCCGGAAGAGATAGGGAGACTGTTATCAGTGTCCTTAAAAAATCAACCAAGAATTTTAAATCCCACCAAACTAAGCTTCATAATTGAAGGAGAAATAAAATCCTTCTCAGACAAGCAAATATTGAGGGATTTGTTTTCAACTAGACTAGTTTTACAAGGGATCCATAAAGGAGTGCTAAACTTAGAATCAAAAGAACAAAACCTGCTACCACAAAAACACATTTAAGTGCATAGCCCTCAGGTACTATAAAGCAACTGTAAAATCAAATCTACATAGCAACCAGCTAGCAACATAATGACAGGATCAAAAATCACACATATCAATATTAACCTTGAATGTAAATGGGGTAAATGTTCCACTGAAAGGACACAGAGTGGCAAACTGTGTAAAATACAAGATTCAACCTTCTGCTTTCTTCCAGGGACCCATTTCACATGTAACAACACCCACAGGTTCAAAGTAAAAGAATAAGGAAAGATCTACCATGCAAATGGAAAACAAAAAAGAGAAAGCGTCCCTATTTCTATATCAGATGAAACAGACTTTTCACCAATAAAAATTAAGAAGGACAATGAAGGGCATTGCATAATATTAATGAGTACAGTTGAACAAGGAGACTTAACCATTCTAAATGTATACATACCCAACATTGGAGCACCCAGTTTAATAAAACAAGTTCTTCTTGGCCTATGAGAAGACTTAGACAATCACACAGTAATGATGGGAGACTTCAACGCCCCACTGACAGCCTTAGATTGTCAAAGCAGCAAAACAACAAAGAAACTGTGGACTTAAACTCAACATTTGACCAATTGGTCCTAGTAGACATCTATAGAACACTCCACCCAACAACCACAGAATATACATTATTCTCATCTGCACACAGAACATATTTTAAGATTGATGACATGCTTACTCATAACAGAAATCTCAATAAATTAAAAAAATTAAAATCATACCAACTACATTCTTGGATCACAGTGCAATAAAAATAGAAATTGATAGCAAAAAAAATCTATAGTATACAAATACATGAAAATTAAACAATTTACTCCTGAATAATCCCTGGGTGAACATTAAAATAAAAAAAATTCTTTGAAATTAATGAAAATAGGTATAAAACTTATCCAAATCTCTAGGATACAACTGAAGCAATGTTAAGAGGGAAGTCTATAGCCCTAAATACCTTCATTAAAAAGTTAGAAAGAGTTCAAATTAGCACTCTAACTTTGCACTGAAAGGACCTAGGAAAAATAAAAAGAAGAAACCAACCCCAAAACTAGCAGACATAAAGAAATAACTAAAATTAGAGAACAATAAAATTGACATGCAAAAATATATTTTAAAAATTGATGAAACCAAGACTTGTTTTTTGAAAAAATAAGCAAGGTTGACATACTACTAGCTATATTAGCAAAGAAAAAAAATAGAAGATCCAAATAAGTACAGTCAGAAATGATAAAGATGACATTACAACTGATCCCACAGAAACACAAAGGATTCTCGGAGAGTATTACAAGCAACTCTATGCACACAAATTTTAAAATCTAGAAGAAATAGATAAATGCTTGGAAACATACAATTTCCCAAGATTGAATCAGGCAGAGATTGAAACCCTGAAAAGACCCATAACAAGTTCTGAAGTTCAATCAGTAATAAGAAACCTACCAATCAAAAAAGCCCTGGACCAGATGGATTCACAGCTGAATTTTACCAGATCTATAAAGAAGAACTGGTACCAATCCTACTGAAACTATTCCAAAAAATTGAAGTGGAGGGACTCCTCCCTAACTCATTCTATGAAGCCAGAATCAGCCTAATACCAAAATCTGACAGAGACACAACAAAGAAATAAAACTACAGGCCAGTATCCCTTATGATCATAGTTGCAAAAATCCTCAACAGAATACTATAAAACAGAATTCAACAGCACATCAAAAAACTAATTCACCACAATCAAGTGGGCTTGATTCCTGGGATGCAAGGTTGGTTCAAAATATGTAAATGAGTAAATGTGATTCATCACATAAGCAGAATTAAAAGCAAAAACAATGTGATCATCTCAATAGACACAGAAAAAACTTGTGATAAAATTCAACATCTCTTCATGATAAAAACCCCCAACAGACTAGGCATCAAAGGAATATACCTCAAAATAAGAAGAGCCATCTTTAACAAACACACAACCAACATCATACTGAATGAGCAAAAACTAGAACCGTCCCCCTTGAGAAATGGAACCAGACAAAGATGTCCATTCTCACCACGCCTATTTGACATAATACGAGAAGTCTTAGCCAGAGCATTCAAATAAGAGAAAGAAATAAAAGGCATCCAAATATGAAAAAAAGTCAAAATATCTCTCTTCACTGATGATATGGTTCTGTACTTAGAAAACTCTAAAGACTCTGCCAAAAGGCTACTAGAAATGATAAGTGACTTTAACACAGTTTCAGGATACAAAATCAATGTTAAAAAATCAGTAGCAATTCTATACATCAATAATGTTTAGGCTAAAAGTCAATTCAGAACACAATTCCATTTACAGTAGCCACAAAGAAAATGAAATATGTAGGAATTCAGCTAACCACAGAGTTGAAAGTTCTGTACAAGAGGAACTGCAAAACTGCTGAAATAAATCAGAGATGACACAAATAAATGGAAAAAACATTCCATTCTCATGGATTGTAGGACCAATATCATTAAAATGTCCATACACCTGAAGCAATTTACAGATTCAACTACTTCTATCAAACTAACAATGTCATTCTTCACAGAATTAGAGAAAACTATTCTAAAATTCATATGGAACCAAAAAAGAGCCCAAATAGCCAAAGCAATCCTAAGCAAAAGAACAAAGTTGGAGGCATCACACTGCTCTACTTCAAACTATAAGCCTCCAGTAACCAAAACAGCATGGTATTGGTACAGGGACACATAAACCAATAGAACAGAATAGAAAACTCAGAAATAAAGATACCACCTACAACCATCAGATCTTCGATGAGGCTGACAATAGCAAGCCATGAGGAGGTGACTCCCTATTCAATTAATGGTGCTGGGATAACGGGCTAGCCACATGTAGAAGATTGAAACTGGGCCCCTACCTCCCACCTTATATAAAAATTAACTAGAGATGGATTAAAGGTTTAAATGTAAGACATCAAACTATAGAAATCCTAAAATAAAACTGAAGAAATACCATTCTCAACATCGGCATTGGCAAATATTTTTTTGCCAAGTCCCCAAAAGCAACTACAACAAAAGCAAAAATGGACAAATGGTACCTAATTAAACTAAAGAGCTTCTGCACAGTGAAATAAACTATCAACAAAGTAAACAGATGACCTACAGAATGGGAGGAAATATTTGTGAACTATGTGTCTGACAGAGGTCTAATATACAGAATCTTTAAGGAACTTAAATCAACAAGCAAAAAACAAATAACCTCATTAAAAATGGGCAAAGGAAATGAACAGATACTTTTCAAAGGAAGACATTCAAGTGGCCAGCAAACATAAAAAATACTGAACATCACTAAGCATCAGAGAATTGCAAATGAAAACCACAATGAGATACTATCTCACACCAGGCAAAATCGCTATTACTACAAAGCCAGGAAACAATAGATGCTGGTGATGCTGTGGATAAAGAGAACACTTATACACTATTGGTGGGAATGTAAATGAGTTCAGCCACTGTAAAAAGCAGTTTGGAGATATTTCAAATAACTTAAAACAGAGCTACAATTCAACCTAGCCATCCCATTACTGGGTATATACTCAAAGGAAAATCAATCATTATACCAAAAAGTTACATGGACTCATATGTTCAGTGTCATTCTATTCACAATGGCAAAGACATGGAATCAACCTGGGTGCCCATCAATGGTGGACTGGATAGCGAAAATGTGCTCCATATACACTGTAGAATACTATGCAGCCATATAAAAATAATTAATCTTGTCCTTTGCAGAAACATAGATGGAGCTGGAGGCCATAATCTTAAGTGAATTAGCACACAAACAGAAAACCAAATACTGCATTTTCTCACTTACAAGTGGAAGCTAAGCATTGAGTACAGAGGGACGTCAACATAGGAGCAATTGACACTGTAGACTACTATGGTGGGAAGGGATGGAGTGTAGCGTGGGTTGAAAAACTACTTATTGGCTATTATGCTCACTACCTGGGTGCAATACACTTATGTAACAAATCTGCACATGTACCCCCTGAATCTGAATAAAAGTTGAGAAAATAAATCATAGAGTAAACTCAGGATTTTGGCTATCTGTAAAGGGTCATTTTTGCTACATATTGTAGAACTCATGATATAAAGCTAAGGGTATGGATACTGTTAGAAGTGGATAAATATGAAGATAGATTAAATAGAGATAGAGAAATTATAGACAGATTAGATAGATAGATAGATAGATAGATAGATAGATAGATAGATAGCTGGATGGATGGATGGATAGACAGACAGGCTAGTGATATTACATACTTAACTAGCGTTCATATGTTATCCATATAAATTTACTAGGATGTATTGTCCATCTGGGCTGCAAATTTCATTCCATATGGCATGAATTTTAACTGAATGTTTGCTTGGAAAATGCTTTGTTATCGTGTAATGCTACCATGCAAAGTGTAATATCTGTTTCCTCCCCTCGCCTCCTCTCTCCTCTCCCTTTTCTCTCTCACCTTCATCTTTCCCATTTACCTACTTTCATCTGTCTCTCTCTTTCACCACTATGTTCTTCTCTTCCTTCTTCACCCCATTGTTCTTTCAGTATGACCATTTTCCCCTGACCATTTATCAAAAATTAACATAAAATAAGCAGCCTTTTCAGTGTATTTAAATCCCCAAATTCTTATCATTTTAGCAAAATTTTGAGCTTTACCCACAAATGAATGAAAGAAAGGCTATGTCAAATTGCTGGTCTTAAAACAGAATATATCTCACAACTATTTCTTAAAACAAAATTATTTTCCAGGATTATAAAAATATGTGAGTTGAATTTCCTGATATAAAAGCATAGGCTCTAAGTATTTTTGGAACATTGATTAACACCAAGCTGATAACATGCATTTCAGATGGCATAGGAGTAATTGTTCCTAAGGGCACAAGGGTGTATTAGATAATTTCTTGGGGTCTTCTCTTAATTCTATTAAGAGCAAATGTCTGGCTTCAGGATTTTTAATTTACTCCGTTTTAAGTTAAGTATAGTTTAGTCATACTTTTACTGTTTCATTTTCAATTCCTTTCTGTAAAAATTGAGGTGGTTGTGATAGCTAATATTAAATTTCCTGAAGCTCAACTTCATAATTTACCTCTCTTGGAAAAGATACATCTTAAGAAATTTTTGGTAGTGGTCTGTCTGTAGCGATTAAAATGGGTATGTTATTTACCCTTCACGTAAAGTGGTAGCCATTGCCTGAAAACCAATGATTGATAACATAAGCACATTAAATTTTATTTGAGGTGTGATATTGTAATATATATATATAATTTTCGATTGAAATAGTTTTATGATAAATTGAAAGCAATCAAACTAAGAATGAAGTTTCTTCACAACCAAAAATAATCTTGGAAAGCTATTTGGCAAACTAAAGAAAGATGTTAAAATATACTAACCAAAAGTGTGAAAATGTGACTCAACATTTCATATCTTTTTTTTTTCCAAACAGGAATGTTCTAATTTTATTTGATTTTATAGGAAAAGGATGATGACCAGATTAAGTGTCTTTACTAATTTTACTTGAAAAAACTGTTTGTAAATACAAATACACACCTAGCACAGTTACCTCTTATGTCCTGAAATGCTTTCAGCCATATTTTCCCAACCATTTCCATGCCATTTCATTTTGTTTCAAACATTGATTCTCTTTTTGGAAATCCTTTAACCTCCTGCTTTTGCCATGGTCACCCACTGGAAATCACCCACTGGAAATCAGTGATTTCCAGATGAACTCAGTATACATTACATCAAGTCAATGGTTAGCATTTGTCAAACTACATTGCAGTTGTTTTGCTACTTAACTACCTCTCCTTAGCTGGTATCTCTCCCACAAAATTTAAAGTTCCTAAAGCACTGATATTGTATCTGATAATCCTGTCCCCAAAGCCTGGAAACAATACCAGGCAAATTTAAGGCATTTGGTAATTAGTCTTTGATTAATGCATAGTTGAATAAATAAATAAACGAATAAATGTGGAAGAGAAAGGAAAACAGTAAGGGACAGGTGTAATGGACAGGGCTTTTTTTTTTTTTTTTTTTTTAGTCAGAATAGTGATTCTGTCCTTGAAAAAGGTATTCTACTTTCTTAAATATCAATGTTCTCATATGTAAAATCAATATATTACCCAGGCCAAATGACAGTGTATGGCTCAAATTAAATGCCATGTGTCCATGTCTGACACACAAGTACTGAATGTTAGTTCTTTCTTCCTTTCTAGATTTTCAGGTAATGTAGCCCATGAAGTCACCCTAATTAATAAGCCTAAATTAATGTCCACATTTGTTTATATTCTTTAGAATGGATTTGATATATATAATGCTCTTAAAGTAATTTTTCAAAAAGTGTATCTGTTTTTTTTTCCTCCAATATAATAAAAGCTCCTCAAATGTAAACATACTTTTGTGTTTACCATGAGTACAAAGGCCATGGTAAACACAAGACCAAGTTCTGGTTTACCAAGAACAGTCTTCGTGTCTATTGTCTGAAATAATGATTGATCGTTCTTCTTTTCCCCTCAAATATGTGCCAGTTACACTATAAATTATCTACTATATGCAATTAATGAGACATTGCAATTAATGCAAGACATTGCAGAGAATGGAGACAAATTAGGGTCTTACTATCTTAATTTTATTTAAATGTTACAGAAGACTTTGAGTGAGGCAATATTCTCCCCATTTCATAAGTGAGGAGATTGAGGCTTATTAAGGAACAATGAACTCAGCGTGGTCACTGAATTTTTTCCTCTACATTCTGAGCATATGCTGAAGTTTTGAATTTCTAATAAGACTATGACCAGGCTGATTTTTAATTTTTGATTATATTGATTAGAAATGATGTTTAAAGCAATTACTTAGCCATATTGTGTAAGCAGCACATTCATTGAGTCAACATTTATCAACCACCGGAAACGTATTTGATTGCAGGGATAGATGTTTGATAGTTATTTAAAATTAAGGTATGAAGACTGTCCAAGAAATACAAGGACATGGATATTTGCAAGGGATTCATTTTCTTCTTCTATATGTACCCTTTTCTAAAATTTATTATTCTGAGAACAGTGCCGCAATTAAGGAGTTCTGTCTGCATTTAAATCAATCTTCTCTTTCAGAGTGTATGTTTCTCATGAATCTTAACTGTGTCGCATTACTCCAGGGTCTCAAAACTTCAAGGACCAAAATAAGAAACCACTCAAATTATAGATTTAGGTGTTAGGAAAGTGAATGACTTTAATAGCTACATAAGAAATCCTTTTTGAAAGCCAGATGTTTTCTGGTTGTTAGCTTTCAACAAAATCGGAGGTTGATTTAATCAAGGTATTTAATGATTATTATAAAATATATCTTTATTCTAGTATATATGCAGAAGAAATCAGAAAATTTGAGTAATATTGCTGATAAAAACCATAACAACAACACAACCTTTTTTCTTTTCCATCTACTTACTTCTGGGAACAGAGTTTCTCAACAATAAATCTACAAAACTGAAAATTAGGACTCTGTCTAATTCTAATAGGATGTTTGAATTGAAACATAAGCTAGTTTAAAAAAGATAAAACTGCAGTTGTATTATACAAACATACATTTTTTGTGTTATCCAGACATAATATTGTATTTTCTCTGTTTATCAGCATTTTAATATATTTATTCTGTTCTGGTACATTGTGTGGTAATAATATTTGTGAATGCTGCTCATTTCAAGAGACAAGTTTTAACACTTACAACCATATAGTCATTTAAAATTTAAAAAGAAAAATATTTTAAGTGTATATTATATATTTTTGCAGCAACAAAATATAATATTACTGATAAAATACTTTAAGGCACACAATATAGAAAGATAGTACAATATAGTAAAATAAAATTATGTGCAGGAGAAAAGGAAAAAAGTTGAAGGAATAAAAGGGATGGTATAAAATTTCAATTTTTAAGAGCTCTTGAGGTTTTTAATAGAAGATGGGCATTAAATTGCTAGATCATCTTTATTCCATTTGATTCATTTAAATGAGTATCATCTGTCAATACCTATGAGGTACTGTAATTTAAATCTCTTAAAATATTTAAATTTTGACAAAGAGAGGCTTCATAGTTTTTCAAACTGTATGTACCTAAGGGTACAAACAAACCAGGTTTGGAAAGTACAGTACTAGATGAAATGTTGGGCATGGAACTTAGCACAACTCTGAGCCTGCTCCAAGACTGTTCAGTTCCTGCCCATTAGGACTTCTTGGGCCTGACTGAATGGGGCTTCCCTACAGAAAAAAAAAAAGTGTCAAATGTCCCTGACTAAATTTAATACTTATTATTTCCTTTAGGCAGTTAACATGAGTTAAAGGGATGTGTTTTTTAGTGAGACAGAAACTTTTCCATCCTCCAGCAACTCCAACTCTCATGGCTTTTCAGAATGAGAATGATGGGACCGTACCTTGATATATAAGCTTTGGCCTCAACCACAATGGACAATGAATAATTCTAAATCTTGGCAATTTTTAGACCTGGACAACACCTTTCCTATTGCTACCAGGCAGAAGAGAAAATTGAGTTGTTTCCAAATAGACATTCAGAATTACGAGATAACATTATTATCAAAATAATCATAGGAAAAAATGTTCTGGAAAAATTGTATACTTTGGCAATTTCAGTAACATTTAGAATAAAGCATTGTACTTAAAATAATTATATATTAGTAGTACTATTTCTCCCTCCTGCCTCTTTTAACATTAATCTATACTATTTTCATCTCCTCCCCCACCAAAGAAATATGAAAAAGAAAGTGTATTCTTATTGGCTGGAAAGATTCATAATTCCCAGCTAAAATAAAATAGTTTTCTGGCTGATGCAAATGCAGCAAATACATGAGATTATATTAAGAATATGTGATATTTTACCAAAAACATTTGATTTATGAGTTCCTCTACAATAACAAGGGATCTGGTGAATTTTCTGATCTCAATTGTGTTAGACCCAGTTTACAGGCAAACATAAAAGTACATGGAGTTTATATTTGCATGGTAAAAATCTATTTGACAAACATTCTTTTTTCTTAAAACTTCGCTCTTAAACCTTGAGGTTTCTGTTTGAGGGATTATTTCTACTCACAACTCTGTGGGGAACATGAGTTACATGGCCTCGCTAACCATAAGAGGAAGTAAGATCCTAACACGTATCTAGAATATTTCACATATATAACTTATTTCCACAGCTAGTAAATCTATTTAGTCATTTAAAAAATTTGATTATCATTTGAATAAATCCCATGTGGACTAAGATATCAGAAGGGAAAAATATTAATTTGAAAAAATTGAATAATATAGCTGCTTAAAAATTACTGGAAAATAAAACATAAATTTTCAAGTTTACTCACAATAATAATTAGAGTTATAGTTAAGGAAATAAATAGTTTCAGCAAATCATAAGCGATTTATGCAAGAGAAAACCATTTTAAAAAAATAATCATTGAGTGCTCTAAAAACAAAAGGATGGGAGCATGTCAAGGGACACAGGAGACAACCTGAAATAAAGGAGCTACCAATGATTAAAGCTGGGACAATATGAAAAACATATTAAATTATGTAATATTAAATTTCAAACCAGAGTGTAAAGTAAGTATACATGAGTCTATACTGTTGTAAGTAAATAACTGAAAAAGTAAATAATTGAAGGAAAAGAGGCCAGCCATTACAGAAGAAATCTATTTAATATATGTAGGTACTCTGTCTTCCAAGGGGCCAAGCTTAATTTCCGCCATTTCTTACCAACCCTGTTGAGGGTGTACTACTTTCCAAATAATAGAGTATGGGAAAGGGAAAATAGTAACTTTATAGTAGAGAAACCAGGCAAAAACTTTGTTTGTCAAATGACAAAGGTTGACATCATTAATAATGTTATCTGGATGTCATGTACCACTAATATGATGTGATTGAGGACACTTCACCTTTGTGGTATGCTTATCCATTCATAGCCCAGTGTAATCAGGATGAAAACAGGCAAACATGTATGATTTCATGGGATTAGGGGATATTCTATGGTACATTTGGCCAGTTCCTCTCCAGACCATCAAGGTCATGAGAAACAAAGAAAAGCTGTCACACACCAAAAGAAACTGGAGAGACATGACAACTAAGTAAATATGGTATCCTGAATTTGAACCTAAAATACAAAGAGCACATTAATGTCAATACTAGTAAAATCCAAGTAAAGTATTGAGTTTAGTTAATAATAATACACTAACATCAGTTTCTTAGTTTTGACAAGTGTCCCATAGTTAATGTAAGATAACAGTTAGAAAAACTGAATGAAGGACATACAGGAATTCTCTGTACTTTCTTTGCAGATTTTCTATAAATCAGAAATTATTCCCAAATTAAGATTTTATTAAAATAATTTTCTGGTTTATTTAGCAGTTTGCTAGTTAAATAATTACCTACACACTTAATTTATCAGAATGTAGGAGTCCCATCTAAAGAATTGAGGATCACTTTTCTGCATCCTTTCCATTGATGTTATAAACTTCATGCATAATTGGAGAATCAGAAATACTAATGAATAATAATTTAGGTTGTATGTGTAAATCATCATCCTTTACAGCCTTCAGGTTTAAAGTAGGTGGTTTTTATTATGTATGACTATGTCATCTTAGATACATTCACAAAGACACCACTTTTGGCTTATTCTGTTTCCTATCCTACTGAAGTCTCCACATTTGAACGATGTGTAAATGGAACATTTATTTTTACCTCTAAAAGTTGTCAAGTCATCTGAATATGATCTTTTGTACAAATTGAAGAATTTGTTAAAGATATACAAAAAGAACATATTTTGCAACAAAACCTACATGTTTGCATTCAATATTTTTGGATTTTTGAGTTGAAAATCTTCATGTGTATTAAATATTTTTATTAATTCTTGTGTGTATATATGTATATGAAATAAGGTTGTGATTATTTAAAACAAATATGTGGTACTTTTTGAAGCACTGATTGTCAAACATAATGATTTTTTAGCTAAGATGGGGAAATGAGATAATAATAATTTCATTCGTATTCATGACATTCTATAGCAGTTCAGAAAAGTGGAAAATATTTGGTACATTTTATTTGATAGTACTCCTAGTATATACAGTCTTACTGAATTGTATGCAATTGCCTCTCAATATCCGGGCCAGCTGTAACAGCTGTAATATACTTTGATCTATAAATTATAAAAGAACTCCCTTTAAAAAAAAAAAGGCTTTGTAAAAAAAAAATCACATCTTGTTGAAAAGTCTGGGAGTGACTAAAAGATTTAGAAAGATACAGAAATAAGAGTGATAAAACAGCAATTTGTTACTAAGTAGAGCTTTAAACAGTATATGAAACATGCTTCAGGTTAGTCAGAAGAGGTCCTCTGAATACACTGTGCATGCTTCCCTGAAATGAAACTGTATGTTATTGGTTAACCAGGATATTTAGCATAATCACTCTGCTAGACTGTGGTGGAGGGAGGTGATTATCACTGAGAACAGATGGGCAGGTCCACAGCACTGCCAGATTCTGCACAAGCTCCATTTATCGTTGGTTCTTGCTTTTTTCCTTCTGTGTTTTTAATTTTTTAAAAAACATTGTATGTTCTAGAGAACTAGCTTCACAAAAGGTCGGTGGCTGATGATCTTTCAGCTAAGATTTCAAATGTAGAAGAACAATTCAAAATGCTATCACTGTGTATGTAAGAAGGATGGGGCAGATTTCATTTTACCCTCTAGTCTCCCTCAATGCATGCACGGATTTATCTGTACGCTAAGCTCTCTGCTCTGCATCTGTAGCTCCTTGTGGATTATATTGTCTCAGTGATCAGAAATGATTTTCTCGGATATGAACACCGTTTCTGGCTCCCCTAAAGTGCATCCTCCTAATGGGACCCGGTTTTACACTTTTCAAGTAAGTGTGCTTTAAATGGCTTCACTACTTAGTAAGTTAATGTATTGTCAAACTTTTAACAAAGTGCTATATAAAGGAAGAAAGACTTAAAAAGGTTGGAAGTATTGAAGAAAATGTATGGAATGAATAATGTGCATGTCAGTTTAATCTACTTTAAACTGTGGGTATAGGATGGCATTAGGAGTCTCTGTGAATTAAAAAAAAAAATAGTGAACACAATTTTCCACAGGAATTTTTAAATCTGCTACAGTGTCATCCTTGAAGGTTTATGAGATGTGTTGTGTCTCCTGATATTGTTATTTATGGTTATAATATGGTAAACATTGTAGAGTTACTTTCCTTGTGCGTCGCAGAAAGAGTAAGATTAAAACACATTTTATGAACTTTGCAAACTAAGTCCTCTTGGCTTAGAAAAATATTTTGCATTTCATATACACAGTTTAACATAATTCCCATTATTTAATTTTCTTATGTGTATAACATAAAGACAATAAACAATACAGGAGGTTTAAGAACCAAGTTTAGTATGCTTTCCAATTTGAAATAGAGTAGAAACTCATTAAGATGGAAGATTTTCTGTGTTATCGAAAAGTCAAAATGATTTATAATATAAATATGAGTTAGAAAGCTGTTACCTACTAAATGTATTTCAATTGCCTGTGAATAAATCAGCCATCAGTCTAGAAAATGGCTAAGTCTAAACTAGATCAGATTCTATCTTCTTTTTATCTTCAAATTGTGCCTTTCATTCCTAAGGTTTACTTTGTAATTCAGTCATATCATCGTTACATGAAAAAGGAACTTGATATTCTTTTCCCTGTATATTATACATTATGGAAATATAGACAGCCTGACATTTAATTATTCTGGCTGTATAATTATACCATACTTGGAAAAAATAAGTATAACGGCCTAGAGAATTAATATAATAAAGGTGGTCAGAATTTTTTGAAGGGATCTCTAAATAAATGCACATCTGAATTATAAGTCTCTTGCCTTTGCAAACTGTAGGCAGTAGATATAATTACTCTTTCTCTCTCCCCTTTCTATACTTCTATTTTTAATTCTGTTGCCTCTTCTGTTTTACACTGATGTCTACTGATAGTGCAAGTCTGTGGTTTTACAAAATATATTCTCTTCCTACTGGTGATCTGCTTATTGTGGCAGTGATTCAAAATGCAAGTGCCCTGGGGCTGCTGTACAGAATTATTACTTTTTTTTCTCCTCTGTACACTGAGATATGAACACCTCTTACAATATCCTGCAGCTGGCTCTTTGGGTAGCATTTGACATTAGGTATTCTACTTCAGTCTCTTAAAGTTTAAGGGTCAGTTCATTCCATATGCTCGGTCATGACAGAGGCTTTTTACAATTCTTTCAGTAAAGATCTTACTGACACCTTTCTTGGCAGGTGACTTTCTTTGAAAACACACTGCAACGATTTTTAACTACCCCCTTTTTGTCGATAATAACATATTCTTGTAAAAACCGTAGGAATTAAGATAAGATATAAATTTTACCAAACATAAACTCTGTTCTTCTACATTTTTAATTTCCTAAAATATTTGATCCTGAGGTCTATAACAGACAATATGTGTTTAAGTTTTGATGTTTATCTTTTTGTTGCTATTGTCATTTGTTTTTGCCTTTGGTGGAAGAAAGAGAGAAAGAAGATTTTTAAAGCACAAAGATTAAGGTATATAATAGTCAACTCTTGGCTTTTTTTTTTCCAAAAGAAAGAATTAAATGATTATTACAATTATACTGAATGATTATTAGAATTATATATTGATTATAAAGAATTAAATGATTTTCTTACCTATATACATTAACCCATATTGAGGCAGCATATTTTCTTTGGTTGAAATGCTATAAAAACAAATGAGATGCTGTAAAGTAACAGACCATTTGTCAAAAACTGTATCTTGAGAAAATGATTAAATTTTCAAAAATGGTTGTCATTATGAAATGGTGCAAATGTACTTCTAAAATGATTCTGCATCAAGGAGTTGGGATTTTAATGCTTACTTCCTTAAAATAATTCTAGCACAGGAGTTAACATATGCAAATATATTTAAGAGAGCTTAGCATGAATAATACTGTGTTTTAGCTCCATATTCTCGTTAAACATCCAAACTATCCTGTCATTTTTTTCTGACATGGTATGCTATCACATTTTAAGAGTAAGATTTAGAATGTATTTGACCTAAGCAGTTCAAAGGTGAAAAGGCAACAAATAAGAAGTTGAAGGATATTCTTAGTACAAGACCTTGCTCTTCATTGCATCTTTAATTTAGACAAACACATTCATACTTCTGTGCAAACACATATGCCTTTTTTAATAGAATATGTAACACTCAATTTAAGCTAATTCCCTTATGTGTGAATCATCAGTTTTATATTACTGTGAATATACTTGTGCCTGCAGTTTTCTACTCAGAGGTGCCTGGACCCTGGATGATGCCAGCACTCAATTTGCACTGTATGTCTAATGAATGACTTCTCATCAAAAGTCAAGTTCTAGAATGTAGTTTCTAAAATGCCCTTTAATTGACAAAAGTTAAAATTAAGAGCTACTAGAGGAAAATAATATTTGCAGTATTCTTATGCATTAGAAGTGTCAATTTGTAGGACTCAAATATATACAAATGGAAAACCTACTTTAAAACAAACATATATATATATGTTTGTTTAAAGTATATATATATATATATAAACACAGTGAATTTTGTTACCTTTATGTCCATAAAAATGATGTCTCAACATGATTCTACATTTGTTCTTTCATAGCTTTATCTTTGTAAATAACACCATCTATTTGCTCTACTAACCCTACTGAGTGGTTAATCATGACTTAATGTGTTCCTCCTCCCAGATATCCTGGCCACCACCATGGCTCCCCTCATTTCCTCGAAATTAAATACCTTCACTCAGCTGTTTTCAAACCATATCTGCACAGTCCTAAACTTTCATGGGAGTTTGTCAGTAGTTGCTAGCAACAGCAGGGAAAATATTTTTATTTTATTTTATTTTTATTTTTAGACAGCATCTCGCTCTGTTGCCCAGGCTGGAGTGCAGTGGCCCAATAAAAGCTCACTGCAGCCTCAGCCTCCCAGGCTCAAGCGATCCTCCCACCTTAGCCCCACAAGTAGCTGGGACTATAGGCACACACCACCACACCCAGTTACTTTTTTAATGTTCTGTATAGATGGAAGTCTCACTATATTTTCCAGGGTCTTGAACTCCTGGGCTCAAGCAATCCTCCAACACTGGCCTCCCAAAGTGCTGGGATTACAGGAGTGAGCCACCCCACCAGGCTACGAAACATTCTTTTGAGGCTCACCAAGTTTCTCTATTCTACATTTACATTTTTTATTTATGAGTTCTCTGTGGAAACTTTCATAAATAACAACAGTGTGTTACTATCACATACAAAACAAAACGAAGTTCGCAACCCATTTCTTCAAACCAAAGGAATAATTTCTGATAGAAGGCATTTTATCTCCTGGGCCCATAGAAGAATTATTTCTGTTTAAGATATATTTATTTATTTGTTTAGCCATTGAATCCTAGCATTAATAACATTATCTGTCAGAACTATGTATAGAAGTGGCTAACTCTTCATACCTACTGAAAACAAGAGAAAGAAACTTTACTATAGGTTTGGAAACATAGTAACCTCCTGCTTCCGTGCTTAAAATACTTCTCTTCTCCAACCATTCTGGCACCAGACACTGGTTTTCTGGAAGACAATTTTTCCATGAACTTGAGAGGGGGACGGGAAGGGATGGTTTCAGGGAAGGGATCTAAGATGTTCCATCTTAGATCATCAGGCATGAGATTTCTGTAAGGCAGGTGCAACATAGATCCCTCACAAGCACAGTTCACGATAGGGTTCACACTCCTATGAGCATCTAATGCCACCACTGATCTGACAGGAGGCAGAGCTCAGGCGGTAATGTGAGTAATGGGGAGCAGCTGTAAATACAGATGAAGCTTTGCTCACTTGCCCACTGCTCACCTTCTGTTCTGCAGCCTAGTTCCTAACAGGCCATGGACAGGTACCACCAGTTGGGATCACTGCCTTAAATGACAGAAATTATCTTCCCAGCTTGGCATAAAAAAGACCTTCCTGATATGGGACACACTCTACTTTCTTTCCTAAAAAAGTTGTTTGCATGCTCTTCTGTGTGATTGTCTTTGCCTCTTCACTCAAAGTGCCCACTGGAAAATTTTTCTTAAAGACTTATCTCACATGCTACCTCCTCTGTGAAGCCTTCACCCATTCCTGCACACTGTATTAAATGCCTTTTGTAAAAAATCCTCTTTATTTGTTCATACTGCTACCAAAACAAATTTTATGCTTCGTTATAATCCCCAAGACCATTTTATTAAGCTGTGTTCCTCATACATGGAGACCAATATTATGTGTGTAAGGTGGAAAATATATTTCAAAAATAAATGATTTACCTATTAAAATTTAACACAGTAAGCAACTAATTATTTTTCTTTTAACTATATAGGCAGTTAGTGAGACGTAACTATTTATTAATAGGGATAGTATCTAAAGATGTATAAATGTAAATTTGCTTGTGTACCACACAAAGTAAGATTATTAAAAATATGTAACAGATACATGAGTGACCAAGGAAATTTTTTAATTTTATTGTTTTTTAATATTTCTATGGTAGCTAGCCAAAGCCTTTTTGAGGATTTTTAATACCTCTTTACCATTTTTATTAATTGGGGTTTTTCTTATTTTACCAAGAGAACTTTAAATTTTTATTGTATATAGTCTCATACTTGGCAGATAGGATTAGCACCTGAAATAGGAGACTGATATGTAAACTGAAAATCTCAATTGCATGAAGAAATTTTATTCAAAAAGATACTTAGCTGGGCATGGTGGCTCATGCCTGTGTTCTCAGCACTTTGCAAGGCCAAGGCAAGTGGAACTCCTGAGCTCAGGAGTTCAAGACCAGCTTAGGCAACACAGAGAAACCCCGTCTCTATCAAAAATACAAAAAAATTAGCTGGGCATGGTGGTACACACCTGTGGTCAAAGCTACTTGGGAGACTGAGGTCGGAGGATCACTTGAGCCTGGGATGCAGAGGTTGCAGTGAGCCAAGATCGCACCAGTGAATTCCAACCTGGGTGACAGAGTGATACCCTGTGTATTAGTTCGTTTTCATGCTGCTGATAAAGATATACCCAAGACTGGGAAGAAAAAGAGGTTTAGTAGACTTACAGTTCCCTGTGACTGAGGAGGCCTCACAATCACGGTGGAAGGCAAAGAGGAGCAAGTCATGTCTTAAGTGGATGGCAGTAGGCAAAGAGAGAGCTTGTGCTCTTCTTTTTAAAACCGTCAGATCTCATGAGACTCATTCACTATCATGAGAATAATAAAGGAAAGACCCACCACCATAATTCAACCACACCCCACTGGGTTCCTTCCACAACATGTAGGAAGTGTGGGAGTTACAATTAAAGATGAGATTTGGATGGGGACAGAATCAAACCATATTTTTCCATCCCAGACCCATCCCAAATGTCTTGTTCTCACATTTTAAAACCAATCATGCCTTCCCAACAGTCCCCCAAAATCTTAACTCATTTCAGCATTAACTCAAAAGTCCACAGTCCAAAGTCTTACCTGAGACAAGGCAAGTTTCTTCTGCCTATGAGCCTGTAAAATCAACAGCAAGTTGCATACTTCCTAAATACCATGGGGGCACAGGCATTGGGTTAATACAGCCATTCCAAACAGGAGAAATTGGCCAAAACAAAAGGACTACAGGCCCCATGCAAGTCTGAAATCCAGCAGGGCAGTCAAATCTTAAAGCTCCAAAATGATCTCCTTTGACTTCATGTCTCACATCCATTCATGCTGATACAAGAGGTGGGTTCCCATGGTCATGGGCAATTCCACCCCTATGGCTTTACAGGTACAGCCTCCTTCCTGGCTGCTTTCATGGGCCAGTGTTGAGTGCCTGTGGCTTTTCCAGGTGTACAGTGCAAGGTGTCAGTGGATCTACCATTCTGGGGTCTGGAGGCAAGCAATGGTGGTTCCCCAGTAGAGATTGACCCCACATTTTTTTCTGCACTGCCATAGCAGAGGTTCTCCATGAGGACCCCACCCCTGCAGAAAACTTCTGCCTGGGCATCCAGGCATTTCCATACATCCTGTGAAATCTAGGCAGAAGGTCCCAAACCTCAATTCTTGACTTCTGTGCACCCACAGGCTCAACAGCATGTGGAAGCTGCCAAGGCTTCAGGCTTCCACCCTCTGAAGCAACAACCTGAGCTGAACTTTGGCCCCTTTTAATCACAGCTGGTGTAGCTGGGACGTAGGGCACCAAGTCCCTAGACTGTACATAGCAGAAGGACCCTGGGCCCGGCCCATGAAAACACTTTTTCCTCCTCTACCTCTGGGCCTGCGATGAGAGGGGCTGCCACAAAGGTCTCTGACATGCCCTGGAGACATTTTCACTATTGTCTTGGGGATTAACATTCAGCTTCTTGTTACTTATGCAAATTCCTGCAGCCGGCTTGAATTTCTCCTCAGAAAATGGGTTTTTCTTTTCTATAGCATTGTCAGGCTGCACATTTTCAAAACTTTTGTGCTCTGTTTCCCTTTTAAAACTAAGTGCCTTTAACAACACCCAAGTCACCTCTTGAATGTTTTGCTGCTTTGAAATTTCTTCTGCCAGATATCCTAAATCATCTCTCTCAAGTTCAAAGTTCCACAAATCTTTAGGGCAAGGGCAAAATGCCACCAGTCTCTTTGCTAAAACATAACAAGGGTCACCTTTGCTCCAGTTCCCAAAGAGATCCTCATCTCCATCTGAGACCACCTCAGCCTGGATTTTATTGTCCATATCATTATCAGCATTTTGGTCAAAGTCATTCAATAAGTCTCTAGGAAGTTCCAAATTGTCCCACATTTTCCTGTCTTCTTCTGAGCCCTCCAAACTGTTCCAACCTCTGCCAGTTATCCAGTTCCAAAGTTGCCTCCACATTTTCAATTATCTTTTCAGCAATACCCCACTCCTGGTACCAATTTACTGTATTAGTCCGTTTTCACACTGCTGATAAAGACATACCCAAGACTGGGAAGAAAAAGATGTTTAAAGGACTTAACAGCTCCACATGGCTGAGGAGGCCTTACAGTCATGGCGGAGGCAAGGAAGAGCAAATGACATCTTAAATAGATGGTGGCAGGCAAAGAGAGAGAGCTTGGGCAGGGAAACTCCCATTTTTAAAACCATCAGATCTCGTGAGACTCATTCACTATCATGAGAACAGCACAGGAAAGACCCACCCCCATAATTCAATCACCTCCCACCGGGTTCCTCCCACAACACATGGAAATTGAGAGAGTTAAAATTCAAGGTGAGATTTGGGTGGGGACACAGCCAAACCCTATCACCCTGTTTCAAAAATAAATAAATAGATAAATAAAATTGGAAAGAAAATAAAAAAGAAAAAGAAAAAAGATACTAATGGTAATTAGTATATGGATAGCATCATATCTCTGTAATCAAATGAGGTTGAGGTAATTCTGGCTTTTCATCAAAGAACAAGATTTTCTACATTCTGTCATTTTGTTGCTACCTAAGAGTCTGCCATTATTTTTCTATTATTTGGAGGACCATATAACTTCTTATGGTAGATAAATTTTAAATCCATCTGGAAATACCTCTCAGAATGCTTGGCATGTGTTATGTGTTCAAATAAAATTAATGAAGACAAAGTAACAATATACAGATGATACAAAATACCTCTTAGCTGCAAGATTACCCAGTAATATAGGCAGAGTTTCCCAGCCAAGAGAGAGAATCAGTATTTTGCTCTGTCACCCAATTATATGCATTCATGCTTATGAATGGCAGAGATAATACAAGAGATGTTTAAAATAACTGGAACATAACCTAGAGACAGGAAATGGCTAAAAATAAAGTATGCAACCTCCAAAATACAAAGATAGCTTTAACTGTAATCCCTAAGACCTTGGATTTGGGTTTAAGAATTTTCAGTGAGGAGTGAAAAAAAGCTTGGATTTGCTGTTAGAATACTGGATATTTCCTTGGTTGGGATTTGGACGAGAACAGAGGGAACAATTCAGTAGCTTTTAAAAAAAATGCAGATGAGTTGTCATGATTTCCCACTTAGAGATGAAAAAATGAAGGTCCATAAAGGTACCCAAATCAGCATTTAATAACGCAAAGAGGGAGTAATATAGTTTTTCTGAATCCAGAGCTATAAAACACAAAAATCCATGCTCTTTCCATTATATTCTGCTGCCTAAACTGTTAATTATTACATGCAGCAACAAAAGTATTCTAAACTATGTAATTTCCAATACTGTTTACCTATTAGGGCAGACATTTACAGAAATTTGTCTCCATAACTTGAAAACATTGCCTCACTGGATTTTTAAATTTAAGGCTTTTATTTAACTACACCCCCTCATGTAGTCGTTACTGATAGTATTTTCCTAGTTGCAAATACATATTTATTATAATCAAATTTCCAATAAACTTATATCCTGAAATTGCACTGAAAGATATAAAGGGCAACTCAAGGAAAACATCTGTCATAAATACACACCTTTGTTTTTTTAAGAATGTTCTGTATATCAGTGATAGCAACCATAGAAATCAATGAGTAGCCTTTGGGGCTCCAGATAGGAAGTTATAACTCTTCCATTTGCAGAAGTCTCTACCTAATACAAGTTAGCTAGGCTGTATATTATATGAGGGCAGGTGCTGCATCCTTATTCTCATTGTTAATTCACAGACATCAAGCAGATTGCCTAATACAAAACCATGATTAGTAAATAGGTGATGAATTTTATTACAAATTAAGAAGAAGAATGTTTTACTTAGTGTCATATAGTCATTGCTGGTATTCTGATTTAGTGCAACCTCCTTAAAATCACATAAATGCTTTTATGATTCTCAGGTTTAGGCATACAAGTGTATTTCACTTGTACCTAGCTAAAATAACTCTATGTTTCAGGTATCATCTGGAGGGGAAAGAAATTGGAAGTATGTAAATGACTTGGCAAGTTCTTGATATAAAGTATTTAATACACTGAGTACAGTCCAGGTGGTTAGAAAGAGCCCAATAAAGCAGCTACTGAAACAGTGGTTTCAGTGGTATGGTATGGTCCATAGATCACACTAGAGTTGGCAAGGATGTGAGCTAATAAAAGAGAAAGTAAAACATATTTAATAGGTATAATAAATATAATTCAAAAGAATTTATAAAGTTGCTGAATATTATAAGAGGCAAAAGAGGAAAGGTCAGGTTTATCTTTAATATTTCTAGTGAAGGAGAGATGAATATGGAGAAGGAGCCGTTTGGAAAACAATATATTAAGTTCAGTTTTGAACAGATTGATTAGACAGCTGGAAACACAGGTTTGGCTCTCAGGAAAGAGGTCTGCCTGAGTAGTAGATGTTAATGTGGGAGACATCTGGTTACTGGGTAGAGGAAGCCATGGAAGTAGATGAAATGGCTTTAGCAGAGAATGAGGAGATTGGGAGTAGGGTGGGGCTGGACACATTCACTTACACAGAATTATCATTATTTTGAGTGTGTGTGCTTGGTTTACTTTGTAAGTACATTTTGGAAGTTGTTTTCCTTATCACCCCTCCTTGAATATTACCCCTGAAGTTACTTAAAGTTAGATACTCCTGACTCCTAAATGTGTGTATTAGCTTTATTTTATAAATACTTTCTGGAAGCTTATATTCCCATTCAACCCCATCCTGGACTATTATCCCTGAAACCTAATTCAAGATAAATTCTCCTGTTCTTATACTTCCTTACCATAATAAAGATATGTGTATTGCATTATTATACTACCCTTAGTTTTTTGCTTGTCTCTCTGCACCACTAGATTGGGAATTCCTAGAGAGCATATAATTTATTTCACTTAACTGGTCACATTTTTATTGACACCTAGCATAATGCCTGTCATATAGAAAGTTTCTATGCTTTTTGAATGAATAAATGAATTCATATTTAAATTTTAGACTAAAATTAGTTTGCTAACTTTGACACACCTTGTTGTGAGGCACCATTATGTCAGACTTCAACAATGTTGAGAAAAACACTAGGCCTCTGCACTCAA
Organism: Homo sapiens; assembly: GCF_000001405.40. NCBI lineage: Eukaryota > Metazoa > Chordata > Mammalia > Primates > Hominidae > Homo > Homo sapiens. The sequence goes on along the minus strand of NC_000012.12, from coordinate 81,587,809 downwards.
GGATCTTAGAGTTACCCCAAGGAAAACTATCAAAAAGTCACAATAGCATATTATTCTGTTCTCTAGAGTAGACAGATAAACAGAAGTGCTTTGACTTTAAATGTACATACAGACAATATTATTATAAATTGGGTAATTTCAATTACATAATTCTACTTCCAAATTTACTTTTAATTCTAGTTCATATTTAACTTTGCTACCATTTTTATTGCTTTTTCCTTTTATATTTTCAAAATACTTTACAAATAACAAGAATTATTCTAAAAAATTCATAATAGTTAAGAACATTAATGTATTAGTCCATTTTCACACTGGTATAAAGAATACTACCCAAGACTGGGTAATTTATAAATAAAAGATGTTTAATTAACTCACAGTTTCACATGGGTAGAGAGGCCTCAGGAAACTTATAATCATGGTGGAAGGGGAAGAAGGCACGTCTTACAAGTGGCAGGCAAGAGAGAGAAAGTGTGAAGGAAGAACTGTCAAGCATTTATAAAACCATCAGATCTCATGAGAACTCACTATCACAAGACCAGGATAGGAGGAACTGCCGCCATGATCCAATCACTCCCCTCCCTCGACACATGGGAATTACAGGTCCTTCCCTCTACATGTGAGGATTACAATTCAAGATGATATTTGGATGGGGAAGCAGATGCAAACCATATCAATGACCATTGGAATTAAATACATTATTCAAAAACAGGTTCTACAGTTTGCTAGAGTGTGACTATAAGCAAGTGAAATTATTTCTCTATTTTTACTTTCCTAAACCATTGGAAAATAAAAAAAATATTTAGGTCATAAGGTTATTCTAAAAGCTCAATGGAATATATATGGAATCTTGTAAAAGTATTTACTTCCAGTAAAGATGGAACTCAAGATTAACTGTTGTTTTAATGATGAAGGTACTTTTTAAATAATAGCATAATTTATTTCAAGATTACAAATAATCTTTTTATTGGCTTATCTTAAATTTAGAGAAATGTAATGTTAAGTGAGCACAGGCACTACTTTAAGTATTTTATATATCAATTAGGGAAGCTCAGTAAAATATATTGACTTGTCAAGATCCTTATAATATATACATTATTTTGTGCTTATATAATATAAATTTTCAGAATGCTAAGTATCCTTTTGAAAGTGTTCTTGTATTTCTTTATAAATGCATTTCTTGTGTATTTTTAAATTGTGTTATATAATTCATTTTGAAGTTTACCATATTGAATCTTTGTTATGACTTTTATTACCATCTTAGTTTTATAGTCATAAATATGTATATTAAAATTACCAATTTCTGAATTTAGCTAATTTTAAAATATAATTTACTGTATCTACAAATTAAAAGAGAATAGCTGACTTTGTATGCTAAGTGCTGCATACAACATGTAAAGATTTAAAGAAATTTGTATCACTGGGAGTCAAAAAGAGTCAATGCTATTACTGGCATGTTAAAAGAATATCACAAACTGATATTTTAAGTTATATCAAAAAGCAAACCTCAGCAACTTTAAATAGAAAACTGGACAATGACACTAGGAAGCAATGGACATAACCTAATTATTGTATCGTAAATATTCTTGATTGTAATTATTTTGGTGAAGAAAAGACACATGATTCATAGAAAACATTGTATTTATTGGTTGTTTTCTACAAAATAAAATTAATGCAAAAGCAACAGTTCTGAACTACAGTGTAATGTTTGTATATACAGTCATACAACCACTTAATGACATTGTGGTCAATGACAAAGTGCATATATAATGGTGGTCCTATAAGATTACAATGCAACTGAAAAATTTCTATCACAAAGTGACATCATAGCCATCATAATATCATAGTCATCATAACATCATACACATCATAACGTCATAGCACAATGCATCATGCTGGTGGTGATGCTAGTGTAAACAAACCTACTATGCTGCAAGTCATATAAAAGTATAGCACATACAATTATGTACAGTACATAATAACTTGATAATGATAATAAACTTCTATGTTACTGGATTATACATTTACTATACAATATTTTAATTGATATTTTGGAGTGTACTTCTACTTATTAAAAAAAACTTAACTGTGAAATAGTCTCAGGCAGGTACTTCAGGAAGAATTCCAGAAGAAGGCACTATTATCATAGGTGGTGACAGCTCTGTGGGTGTTATTGTTCCTGAAGACCTTCTTGTAAGACAAAATGTGGAGGTGGACGACAATGGTGGTGATGATCATGAGCCTCTGTGGGCCTGGGCTAATGTGCATGTCTGTGTCTTATTTTTAATTTAAAAGTTTAAAAAGTAAAAACAAAAATCAAATAGAAAAGAAGCTTATAGAATACGGATATAAAGAAAGAAAATATTTTTGTCCAGCTATACAATGTGTTTATGTTTTAAGCTAAGTGTTATTACAGAAGAGTCAAAAAGTGAAAAAAATAACCTAAAGTTTATAAAGTAAAACAGTTACAGTAAGCTAAGGCTAATTTATCATTGAAGGAAGAAAAATATGTTTTGTAAATTTAGTGTAGCCCAAGTGTACATCGTTTACTATGCCTGCAGTAGTGTACAGTAATGTCCTAGGCCTTCACATTCACCAACCACTCACTCACCAATTCACCCAGAGCAATTTGCAGTCCTGCAAGCTCCATTTATGGTAAGTGCCCTATATTTATTCTTTTTTATTATTTTATGCTATATATTTATGCTTTTTATTCTTTTATATATTATATATATTATATTTATATATTATATAATTATATAATATATTATATATAAATATAATTAATATATTATATATAAATATAATTAATATATTATATATAAATATAATTAATATATAATATATTATATATAAATATAATTAATATATAATATATTATATATAAATATAATTAATATATAATATATTATATATAAATATAATTAATATATAATTATATAATATAATTATATTATATTTATAATTATAAAATATGTAAATATAATAAATTTATTGTATATAATAAATATATATATTATATATAATGCTTTTTATTCTTTTATGCTATATATTTACCATATGTTTTAGATAGGCCTTATATATATTTAGATATACAATTACTACCATATTACAATGCCTACAGTAATCACTACAGTAGCATGCTGTACAGGTTTGTGGCCTAGGAGCAGTAAGCTATGCCATATAGGCTAGATGCGTAGTAGGCTCGCCATCTAGATTTATGTATTGTGTCATGATGTTTACATGACAAAATCACCTAATTACGCACTTCTCAGAACACAAGCCAGTCATTAGATGATGTATAACTGTAGCATACTTTATCCTGTACTTCTGTCTTCTTTGGCACATTATTATTCTGCTCTTTTTAAGATGATCCAGCTCTGAGGTTATAATAGGACTATAAGAAGCCATAGGTGTAGTTGGTTGATGTTACACAGATGCTGAAAATGAAGCCATCTTTGAAATCCTAAATGATATATGGCATCATAAATAAAATATTATACATTAACTGTATTTCGAGCATTATAATTTATCACTGTCTGACTACATTATTTGTTTTAACACAATTTTGTTTAATGTTAAATATTTAATATATAAGGAATCACATGTTTTAACAACAATATATTTCAAATATTTGCATACACTGTTCTTTCATTCAGGAAACACTTATCAAGAACTTGCTTTAGATGTGAAGTATATTTTCAGGGAGCAGTTTTTGTAAAGCATAAGAGGTTAAAACAAATATTTTAATAGACGATTGTAAGATGCAGTTATATTGTGCTAAAAGAATCAGTTAATTCTAAATGTGTCAATTGAGAAAGAATTTGAGGAAGAATTTTATTCTTTAAAAAGTCTTGAGGAATTTTGAAATAATTATATTACAAAAACATAAGTAAAGAAGTATTTTATTAATACATACATACCAGCCATGGTTTATGGCTGGCCAATGGGCCATGAACTGAGGGACCATTCTAGGCAGAGCTTCTCCATGGCAGACATTCCCTAGAATTTTTGTTTTCTTTACCTTCTTGAAGTTCTAAAACATACTGTGGACCCTAGGCCTCCAGATCTTTAGGGATGCCATTCCCTGTCTCCATGTTGTGTTATGCACACATAGACACACTCATTCAGTACAACCCATTGGTGATGGTAATTATGAAGAATACTCCATCAGCTAAGAGCCTTGTTCTGAGAACAGGCTAGTTTCTGTTTTAGCATGTTTTACTGGAAAAAGCAATGGCCAATTTGTTTTAATAAATCTTAAACATCCTATATTTATTTTTAAATATTCTTCTAGGTTATTTGCATGACAAGAAGGAAAATATGTATTTTCTCTGATCTTTACTGTATTTATTGATAGAAGGCAGAGAATGCTGAAGAAATTGAAAAGGGTGAGGTTAAGAGCTAGCACATAAACCTTGTAGTGACTAATGCTTCATTTTCTTAGAAAAAAAAAAGGAAAAGAGAAGATGGGTAAAGAGACGTAATAAAACTTGATAGAAAGCATTTTGAAACAATTTACATCAAATGGCTTTATCCTAATCACTGTACCAAAAGTAAATGGCACAGGAATGACGTTGCATGCTTCAGGAGAGTGGGAAATATTGGAAATAATGTCTTTTTGGGGGATAATAGATGTTAGCAGCAATGAGAGTCAAGGTGCAATTGGAAGCATAGATGTGTAGCTGTCTTTTAAGTAGATTTCTGTGATTATCTTTCTAAACAGAATTGAAATGGAAATACGTATTGGCAGATGCCACGAAATATTAAGGAGGCAAGGAATTCAAGGTTTCAATGAGTAATGTTGAACTGACTGAATATGGGTTATTCTTTAGGTAATGAACATAGGAAGTGATATTTTTATTGAAAATATATTTCACTTCTCAAAAAAATAGAAAAACTCCCCGGAAAATTGTACTTTGCTTAATGTTATTATAGTACCATGTTACAGACATAAATTCCAAGAAAATGTATTTTATTCAATGATGATTCCCAGGACATTTCATCATATGTGACACTCCAAAAATATATGTGAAGTGAATAGATGTTATTTGGTAATACAAATTTGAAGATTTTTTTTTACCTTGTAAAATATTGTAACTGAAATAAAGTTAATATATTTTGCACTATTAAGTAATCCCCAAATTTAACTTTTACATATATCTAATAAGAAAGAATAAGTAGCAGTATGAAACATGCATTGAAGGACGTGTGAGCACATCAACCATTGTAGATAATGATGAGAGGGACAGTCATAGTGTTTTTTATAAGCTAAACGAAAGGTAGGAGAATTTGTGCTTTTGTAGAGAAGGGTCAAATACACTCACAGGCCTAGAAAATTAGCCTTATTTTTAATATTGCGTTAATCTAATTTTATTAATATAGCCAGTTAGTATATTACATTTTCAAAAAATATAGAGAAATATTTAATATGAAATGCTGCCAATATAATTTACTAAGTGAAAAATAGATCTTAAGAAGAAAGGATGAAGAAAATCACAGGCATTATGTAGTCTGAGGAAAAGAACATGGAAGAGAAACTCAATTCCATCTATTCAAAAGCAAGACTCTTTGATTTGAATACATTATTATTGTTCACCATGTCTGGTGAGAAACCTGTGGGAATACATAAAAGTGAATGTAAACAAGATGTTTCAATTGGATATAAATATGAATCAATAAGTATTGGAGTAAAATAATCATTAAAAATGGAATCTTAGTCAAATCTCGATATTGGGGATTTTCTAGATGAGGCGGACTACAAAATGCAAGGAGCAGGAAATATGAATTTGGGCCTTATATCTAAACTTGAAACGTTAATATGCAAATATTGAATTTCCCCGAGGTTCAGTTTATTTTTAAAGTAATAAAAATAGTAAATATGTTTCTCAAGGTTGAAGAGAAAATATATTGGAAGGCATTTTATACATTTTAAAACACCATTCAGTTGAGGCTTGCAGTTGAAAGCAGCAGAAACTTATGGGCACATTAAACAAAATAAAAATGTATCAGAATGATACAGAAACACTGAAAGAAAACCAAAAATATCAGGGTTGTTTTTGTTTGTTTGTTTGTTTGTTCGTTTTGTTTTGTTTTGTTTGACTCACGTGACTATTATGTACAAAGTTCTATTCTAGTTACTGGATAAATTACGGCAAGGAAGTGAAACATGGAGCTTATATTCTAATAGGATAAAATAGATAATAGCAAAATAAATAGGATGATGTATAGCATGCTGGGCAGTGATAAAAGCTAAGGAGAAATAGGGAACATAGGAAGTGGGAAGGGAGTGTTAGAGTGTGCAGTTTAAATGATATGGGGAGGAGAGGCCTCACAGAGAAGAGGACCTGCGCGTAAAGTCCTGGAGGAATCAAAGCAGCTTTGGAGATCTCTGTACTAGAATGCACTGAAGGGCAGTCTCTTTACAATGTCATCCATCACTAGATAGTTTAACTGTACTCACAGCCCTCTACTCAAGGCAGAGAAAATGTGGCTGGCCCAATCTGGACCTCGTTTAATCATGTATATGCTGTGATCTGCTGGTCTTGTGCCTGGCTTGCTCAACCCCTGTCCCAACACTGTCCCACCTGCTATAACAAGGTACACCACAGATTGTGCTCAAGGAGATTTTAGATTTCCTTTAAGACCAAAAAAAAAAAAAAAAGTGTCTATGACATCTGTACAGTCCTCACTTCTTCTAACACTTTCTTTCTGTGCCATCCTTTCCCCATTTTCTACTTCTGTGTGCTAAAATCTCACTGTTTCTTCAGAGTCCGGTGCAATATATGAATGTGTCACAGTCCCTCAATTTAGGTTCACCATTACTCTTGTTGAGATTGCATATAATGTTGCGCTTACCTCAATTATAATAATTACCACATATCTGATTTAATTATGCATATCTGTTTTCCCATGATTCTGTGAGTTCCTTAAGGAAAAAAATACACTTTTTTAGGTGAACAAATTGTGGGTGTTCAATAAATGTCTAAATATATAAAGGATATATGTAATTATCTCAAAGGGCACAAAGCACATGTTGTACCAAGCTTTATGTTGGCGATATATTCATTAAAGTTGACATCGTTTCTATAGAATATGAAGTATCTAACAGGATATAATTATCATTTATGCATGTGTGTAGTTGTTGATGTTTTTGTTTATTTGGTAGAGAGAAGTTATAAGTGAGGGAAATAATTTATTATTGTAAGCATTTTAACATAAAAGTTTTAAAATATTTTAAAATTTAAAATATATTTATTTATATTTAATGTGTATTTAATATCAGGCTACCTGTACTTTATATAAATACCATATAAAATATAGATATTCCATTTCAATCTGTTTGATGTTCAACCATACCGTGCTATTCAAATCAGCTTCAATTTTCTTTTAATAGCAAACCGTTTTCCCTAAAGTTATTAGTATGGAATCCTTATAGCATTTGAAGTCATACAGAGCTGAGTGTTAATCATTCTTTACCACCTTCTGGACAAGGGATTTAATCTTTCTAACTTCACTTTTTACATCTGTAAAATGGGGCAGATAGGAATACCAACCTCAAGGGATTGTCATCAAGGTGAACTGAGATACTGCATATGTAAAGAACCCATCATGAGGCTTGACATGCACGAATGCAAAACAGGTGTACTTACAGTACTATTTTATTAATATCATTACAAAGTATCAAATATTTAAATGAAATACTTTGTTCCTTAATAATATAATTAATTGTTACTGTCAATTCAAATTCTCTCTAGAAATTGCCTGTGAGTTTCAGATTTTATTGGCTGCATTTTATTTTATCTCTTCTCTCTCTTGGATCAGAGTAAAAGATCCTTGGAATTGTTACAGTGATTCTCGAACTTCAGAATGCATAATTATCCAAAATGCAGACTACCAAGACTACCTCCAGAGATGATGCAGAAAATATGTAGGAGAAAATGAATTAGCATTTTTAATCTGAATCTGAGGTGATGCCTATGCAAAAATATCACAAATTGGAAAATAGTGTATAAGAGATGGAGTATTTTTAGCACTACAAACGGTACCGTCTATGTGAAGAATGGTGAATGGAAGGTTAAATATTCACAGAGCCTTCCTTCAGTTATAAATAATTATATTTTAGAAAGATGTGCTTTGATTTGTGTGATGAAGTCATTTAATTATTTCCTTCGTAAGCCAATTTGTAACTCCAATTGATGTATGCATTGTGAGGATACCAAACTACTTTTTTCACATGAAAATAAGCTAATTAAATTGTGGAACAGCCCTCTGTAATAATGACCTTTAGCTTATACCTCCTTTAGGGCATATGTTTGTCCAGGAATTTCCAGACTTAGACTTAATATATTGCCATGTCAGGAATGATATTCGTCTCTTCCTAAATAATGATTTATCTGTCACTGAGAATCTGTTTAAAATGAAACAAAAGCTTTAAATTATCCACTACAATAAATGTGATTAGTTTTTTAAAATTCTGATTTCAAATTAGAGCTTGATTAAAACAATTAATGTTCATTACTAGAGGGGTATTATGTGGTTGCTATTCCTCGAGTACACAATCCCTCCTAGTGGATTTGGTCATTATCTTTTTACCTTTAGCTACATCTCAATAATAAGGCCTATTATGAGTGTCACTTTTGCTTTTATAAAAGTTCGAAATTACAAATTGATACAAAAAATGTAATATTAGAAAAGTCGTAAAGAAAGCACTTGCTTATGACCAGCTAAATATTCACTAATAACTTGTCTCATGATTTTTTTCAATTTAGCTTCACTTAGAAGAAAATTGGCAATCTTATTCTAATATTGTAAAATGAGCATTATTTTTAAATGTATTTTAACTATTATGGGAAACAATACTTTAAAGTACCTGAATTATTGATGTTGATTAGTGTCTCCTTCTCCTGTACTTTGTGCTTCATTTAAGAGGTGTATCAATCACTATACAGGCATTTATGATATCTAGCAAAATCAGCCCAGAGCAGACAATATTTCCTGAGAGGCATCATGATATGGCTAAAAGAATGTGAGATTTGAATCAGATGGACAGATATGCTACCATTTACTAACCATGTGACTTTGGGCAAGTTATTTAACTACGCTCTCACTATAAAATGAAAATAATAAAACCTATCTCACAGAATTGTTATAAAGATTGGAAATGATATAAAGAAATTTTATAAAGATTAGAAATGATGTAAGCTACTAAGTATTAGCCTTTCTATAATAAAAATGTTGATCATCATCCTCGTCATGAAACTTTTTAAATAAAAATAAAATAAACTCATTAAAAGTTCTTTTTAAAAGTGAGATATTTTACTATAACTTACAGTTTCTTTCTAAGCAGAGGGGTGTTAATTTTAGTAAGCTGGTTAGTTGGGATAATTTTTTATGAAAGACAAGATATTCTAATGTTCATCATTATGGTGATGGTGATGATGATGATAATAATAATACCTAATTTGGTTGATAACCTCAAGGACAACCCCCAAACACCCTCACTTCCTGATATGTCTGCCTTTGTGTAGACCCCTTCTTCATTAAATTAGAGGTCACCTTGTGTGAATATTATATGGTGCAAGTGACAGTGTGTGCCTTCTGAAATGAGATCATGAAGGCATTTCAGCTTCTACCTACCTCTCTTGATTGCTCACAAACCAGCTACCATGCTTAAAGACACTTACACAGCCCTGTAGAGATGCCCACATAGAAAGTCACTAAGGCCTCCAGCCCATAGCCAGCACTAAATTGCTGGTCCTGTGAATGAAACACTTTTTTCATTCACAGAATGAAAGAAGTGGATCTTCTCGTAATAGAAAGATTCCAGATGACACTTCTCAAGCTGACCACTGGCTGAAACCTCATGAGAGATCCCAAGGTTGGACCACTCAACTAAGCCATCCCCAAATCCTGAACCAGAAAAACAGGCTAAATATAATCACTGCCATAAGCCACTAAATTTTGGGATAATTTCTTATAAAACAATAGTTAACTGATACAACTGCCAAAGTTGAAAGTCAGCTTTGTTGTCACTAAACAAGTTCACAGTAACCAATTATGTTCATCTATATTTCATTACTGCTAACACGGCCTTTCTAGCTAAACCAACCTGCTCTTCCTCTCCACCCAATTTATCTTTGCACCTCACTTTACCTAAATACTTTATTGTCATAAATACTCTAATTTTAAGGCATCAATATCTTTCACATTCAATCAATTTAATGAAACTTTCTTGCTGAAAATCTTTTCTAAAAAGTTTACATTATATACTTCTATGTTGTTTGTCAACAGGTGTCCAACCTCCTCTTCTTTGAATTGTTTTGAACAACTCACTCATATGGTTATATTTCCTATTATGGTGGTTTAATGAATGCTCTCTGGCATTTGCCAATGGCTTCTTCTTAGTAGGAAAAATATGTTTGACGGTTATATCTACTTGCTAATACTGTGCACAGGATAGGAACCTTTCATACAGGAGGGAACCAATCCAAAGAGAAAATGTGGAGGAAAACAATAAAAGAATAAACTTTTTAAAAGCTCTTCTTAAAAGTGAAATATTTTACTATAATGTCTGGTTTTCCTCTAAGCAGAGGAATGTTAATTTTACTAAGCTCATTATTTGGGATAATTATTTTATGAAAGACAAGATATTCTAATGTTTGTCTGTTTTGGAAACATTTTCTGTTGAAAGAATTTGAATTCCTATTAAGTAAATCTACAAAGGAAAATAGCCTGTTTAGTAAAGCACTTTATTATCCTGAGTAACAAAATTAGATAAACATTTATTTTCTTATCTCTACAGCTCAATTAATTTATACTTGAAATATTATATGTATGTGAAATTCTAGTATCTTCAGCTGTATTATAAAAAAATTCATGCTGAGTCTGGATGTGTCAAAAACAAATGAATGGATTAACAGCATTTGAAATTATTTTGAATAAATTACCAATCCCTCCCTCCAAAAAAAATACAGGGAATATTTTCAGATGAAATCATACTAGTTGAATAACTTGTTTTAAAATGCTTTCCAATTTCCTAAAATATGACGTGATTATCTAAAAGTTTTCAAAATCTTTGGTATAGTTCAGCAATAAGAAATACTTCAAGAAGCTACTTATAAAATTTGTATGCATTCTAAAGACATTTATATAGCCTTGATAGAGATTTATTTACTTTTGGGTTTGTGATATTAGATGCTATCATAAACTCATGGTAAGAGTAAACCTGCTATTATTAATAAACAAAACAAAACAAAAACCATTAGTCATGCATGAGACCCAGAAAAACAGTAAAAATAGAATAAGTAGGCCTTATCTAAAGGGTCAGCAACGGTTGTTTTATTTGGTAGGATTAAGTTCAATCACATATGTTAAAAATCACAAAATGGCATTGACTGAAAGAAGTTTTGTTTCCCACATAAAGACTGCTGGATACAGGAAGTTCAAGTTCAGTTGCAAGTGAGGCTGGTGCAGCCATGTGTCTGGACTGCTTTTCAGTCTTCCCTTCCTCACTCCATCTGGCTAACATCTCTTTATCCTTCAAATCTCAGATCCAAAGTCATTTTCTCAAGACATCTATGATAGGTACTGCTACCTGCCTCCAAATATCCATTCTTTTCTTCTGCTTTATTGAAGGACACCCCATTCTTAATCAGGCACATTTCACATGACCACACCAGCTTCCCTTCAATTGTAAGGGAACTTAAAACTGAAGGGAAGCTGGTGTGGTCACGTGAAATGGGATGGCTATGGTTGGCTGTATGACTAAGTGTTCACCTGCTAATGTAAGGGAACAGGTTGCATAAAGCTTTCCTTCTACTTGCTAACTGGAATGCAAACCTGATTGCTGGGGCTCAACCAGCCATCTTTGTTTATAAAGTGGAAGCACATGCTTAAAATGGCAGAAACAAAAGAGAAGGAGTATGGACCTTTGTCAACTTGCAGCTTCTGTGCATGACCTTGGAACACCTATATTCAGTAGTCTTTTTTATAAAAGAGTAGTAAACTTCTTTCTCATTTCTGTCACTCTTATTTCGTGATACTTACATATGCAACTGAATCTCATCATAGCTAATATAACAGCCTTTCCTGACCAAATAGATATGATCATGTTCCTCTGTTTTATAGGTTTATAACCCCATATTTTTTCTTTCATACAGGTTATCTCAGTATATAATTATACATTTATATATATTGTTTTTTCTCTTTTTGAATGGAACTTTCCAGAGAGCAGAGCCCATATATCTTTCTGTTCACCTTTATATCACCGATGTCTATCATAGTGCTGATGACAAAATAAATGTTTCATAAATACCTGTTAAATATGGTGTGATCACATTGCCAATATTTATAATCTAAGACTCATAAGCTTAATTGAGACTTTAAATTTCTCATGAAACACTTTGAATAAAAATTATTATACAGCACTATGCTTGCATTGGTTGGCTGTTCAGCAGTAGTAATGAATTTGTAACTATCTGCTTTGTCATAAAACCTAACTGATGAGAGGAGTGGTGAGAATCATTTGGTGGAACGATTACATTCACCATCTATAGTTTCCAGATATCTTAAATACATATATCTTCACTTTCAGAAACTATTTCCATTGTGGATAAGGGGATATTGAAAAGTAATGATTAAACGTGCATTTACAAATCAACAACAAGATAGAAATGTAACATTCTTAGGTGATTTAAAAGTCAGTGGTCTCACAAATATTTCATTTTAAATTTTAGAGTTCATCTGTGTGAAATGATTATATAACCATCCTCTACATAAATTGCAGAGGTGTGAGTGTGTGTTCTTTTGCTTCACAGAAAATATTCTGCCAGTTTTCAGAACCAAGAGAGACATCAATTTATTTAGCATTCAAATTAGTTTTAATACAATTCCATGAAAAGAGGAGAAAAATCAAAGTCTTTTTGGTTACATGTTATCTAACCCTTGGTAACACAAAGGCATACAGCAGCAAACAATTAAACTTTGCATCTGTAAGAGTAAGGTGAACCATAAAAGTATCAGTTAAATTAGGACTTTGTTTCTATAAATACACGTGACTAATTGCATGCAAGCCCTATCAGAAGAGTGGTGTTTTTTTTTTCCCAATAATAATAAAACATTTATAAAAACACCATGGTAACTACAGGCAAAATTTTATTTACACCTGTGTTATTCATGGGAACTGAAAAGTCATGGGGTATTCTGGAGATATGACTAAAAAGGTACTTAGTAGGTTTTGCAATTTTTTATTGCATTCAATTGGTCTTAATAGAAGGATGCAATCTTTTACACCAGGGATGGTGAACATAGTGGCATAGAAATAAGGATCACCTCTTCTGATTCTGATCATTTTCTATTTTATGGGATTTTTGTAAGCTCTTTCTTTAAAAAAAATACAAGGAATATCAAAACTGATGAGCCATCTGAAATATTAAGGAGAATGTCAATAATGTTTCATGTAATTTTAGTACTCAAGTATAATCTAATTCTTTAAAAAATGATCATCTTTTGCTATTAAATAGAATCTTATCCAGAATGTCCCATCAATTCTCTGATTAAAGAAAAATATATTAGCAAGCAATACATTGACAGATGGTAAGGAGTGGCATGCAACCTTCTGGCTGCACAGAAGTAGATGATAAAAGAGGAAATGTGAAAGTTATTTCTCCTGGGTGTCTACAGAAAATGGATATGCAGCCCCTGATAACTATTTTTGTATTGTTACATTAGAAAATGTAGCATTAAATGTGTAATTGAGTACCATCTGTCTAGTTGTAAGCCAAAATTATGATCTCAGATCTGGACATATTAAGTAAAACTCTAATAACAGGGTGAAAGTCAATGATTCAAATCCAACTTTGAGTGTTTCCAGCATAGAGCAGTTTACAAATTGTTTCTTTTTTCTTTCAATTATGATATTAGGCTGTTTTTAGGTTACAAAGAACTACTGACCACAGTAGGACCTTGGAGTCGATAAAAGCTTCTTTAACCACAATAAATATTTTAAAGATAATTTAATATCATTGAGGACTAGGATTAACTGCTGTTCTACAGGAGCATTTTAATTAACAATTTTGAAGCCCCTGGCATCAGTGATTAAAGACATGCTGTTCTCTTTGGGGGAGTATACATTCATAGTTGGGGAGATAGAGGCGTGCTTCATGATTGTGGTGGTTAAACCAAATATCAGAATCACAAGATGAAAGCACTGAAATCTGAGTGTGGAGATTCACATTTACCGGAAATAACCTAGAAATAGAGACTGCCTATGGAACCTAGTTACTGATTCTGCAGTTCCTTCTTTGAGAATGTACTCCTGCTAATACCAAATGTGGTTTGAGAAGCAGAAGAATGGATGTCTATAAACATTTTTTTCAACATAGATGGTTAGCATTCCAGAATGGCGATCTAAGCTCTAAGTATAAACCACTTTTGTGTTGTTGTTAGCAAGAAATTGACTATTTTCTCACCGCTGCAGAGAATGTGAATGACAGCTATGTACCCACTCTGTAGGGTATCATTAATTTAAAAAAATACAGAATAAGATATGCTACTGTTTTGTGTGGTGCTCCCTCTTCTGTTAAGTCTGTGGCCTCCACCCTTCATGTTGAGAGCTTATAGAAAGTACACACATGCTGTTTCTGCCAATTAATCTGCAACACGCTCTGAAAATCTGAAGTCATATTTGACATTTTGGACATGTCATTTAATTAACTTATTATTGTCTTCTCTGAAACCAATGAAGCTGTATTAGTTCCAGTGTTGCAAATGAGTCTCAGTCTCTCTCTCTCTCTCTCTCAATATTAATACACTTGTGTGTTTTTCTTTCTTTGTTGCATTAAAATAAATTACACTCACTTCTTTTTAGTACACAAGTCATCCCAAATTTTGCCAGTGAAAGCTCCTTCAAGTTGATCCATATGTCCTTTGACATACTTCCATTAGTCTTTGTATGCGTATTTTCTGAACACACACACACACAAACACACAACTATCTCAGGCTCGCCTTCTTTAGACCTGAAATCAGCCAGTTCTTCAAAGGATCTCAGTTCCTTTTAATGGGAAAAGGTGTTTAAAAAACAGATCTGAGCACCAGGATGTCCCATTGCTACTAGAGAACTACCACTAATTTGTAGTGCTCATTGGGCATAACTCCAGGTTGCTGCAGGTTCTATTTAGTTTGCACAAAAGAAAGCAAATAGCCCAAGACACAGGCAAATAGATAAAGTAACTACATTTATTCTAAAGTTTATTAAACATTTGGACATGTGATATGTGGTAGGCACTGTTTTTGGCATTGAGTATACAAATAGAGTGACTGTTCTAATTGAGCTTACACTGTATGGGAAAGGATACATAAAGAAAATAAATATGTCTTTACATGTAAAATGAAAACAATACTTAAGGAAACACATATTTATTATATTACAAGATGATAGTGATAAAGAGGAAAACAAAGCAGGACAAAAATGCTGAGTATATGGGAGAAGTTGCTATTTTTTAAAGGGTGGTCCAAGGAAGGCTTACTGAGAACTTGACTTTTGAGTTGAGACCTGAAGGAGATGAGGACATGGGTCAAGCAGATTGTGTGTCAGAGCAGGGATAGAAGTAGGGAGATTAGGAGAAGTGGAGTGCTCTAGACAAGGAGCAGCAAATATGAATCTCCTGAGGTGGAAGATTGTTTGACATGTCCTAACAAAGCAAGGAGACCAGCATGGCTGTAGCAGAGTGACAAGGTGATCAGACAGATCTGCATATCTGTTATGTCCTGGGGGATACCCTAAAACAGGTTCTCTCTTCAGTGCTCTTGCATATTAAGACTACATGATCCAGCATTGGGTTTACCACTTTGGCTCAGATACGGAATTAGACAACATTTCATTTGGAATGCCACTTCAGTATATGAAAGAAGTAGATGGAATACACTGGATTTCTCTTTTATTCAATTCTTAATACCTACAATGTGTCGACAAAAATTGTTGCTTGTCACATTGGACAAAATTATTCTAGGCCCAGAAAAAAAGTGAAAAACAGTTATAGTACTCTGTAAATGTTTTCTGAATATGTGAATGAGTAGATTATTAAATGGATATAATTATTTCAAGGTTATAAATCACAAGGAATGAGATTATTTTACTTTAGAAACACATATATTTTGTGTACCCTGTGTGTTCTGTCCTAAGTGGTTTACCCATGCATATTAACCAGTTGACCTTTATTATAATCCAGCATGCTAGGTTATTTGCTTGTTAAACTACTTCCAGATGAGTAACTTGCTTAAGATGGCACAACTTGTAAGTGAAGAGCTGGGATTTCAACCCAAGGAGTCTGCTTCCCAGTCCTTGAACCAGTATAATAGACTCTTCAAATAAGCTGCTCGGTTACGTTGCTGGTAGCTAGGTCAAATGGCAGCAGGGAGAGGTGGTAGGATGAATATGAATATTTTCCTTCTAATATTCTGCCTGTTTTTGTTTACTAGTTACTGGGATATTTTTTCCTTCTTCCTTCCACTCCCAAGACAAGTTTAATGCCAAGAATGTAGTCCAGAAATGTTAAAAGCAGTAATGGGCCACCACAATTAAATTCAAAATCAGAGTTGATTTGGAAGAATATTTTAAAGCATTTTACGCAAGAAATTTTCAATCCTGGAATCATTCTCCACATAGGCATACTCTAATTAGATTCTATAAATGCTGGTATCATAGCTATTTCATGTAATCATAGCACAGTAGAGTAGGGAAAAAAATTCTCAGTATGAAAAAAATCAAATGCAAGTTGTTACACCATAATGAATAGAATAAATATTCTAGATGATTTTTTTTACTAGGGGATGCAATTAAATATGACCATATAAATGAAAATACCTTGTGAATCTAGATTTCAATGAATCTAGCCAGTCAAAACTTTAGAAGAATATAAACCAGTAAGAGATCATATCTTCAGTTAGTTTCGAACCGGCTTTCTATGATGGGATGATATCTCCTGGTAGACATGGTGAAACTGTTTTTATAATCCACATTACAGTTACTATTTTGAAATTAATACATAAATTTTTACCTATAAATTATATTAATTGATATATTTTATATATTATAAAATATTATATTTTTATGTAATTATAAAATTATTTTTTAAAGGAATGAGATAAATTCCCCCTTTTTAAGAAAAATTTTCACAACTGATGAATGTTAAAGAATGCTTCAATTTTTAAAACCAAGATTGCATAAAAGACCCACAATAGATTTTAAAACCAAGATTGCTTAAAAGACACACAATAGATAATTTTTAAAGAGTCATGTATATTATACTTCTCTTGGCAAAAATAGCAGCAGCCCTTACTGCTCACAAACCAACTCTCATCACCTCGCCCAAACACATTTCACGATTTGGCAACACAGCACTTGTCTTTCTCTAAATTTAGTCTGGCAATAAGTGAAGGGGGAGGAGAAAAAAACTTTAGTGTGGATTTTTCAAAGGAATAAATGGGGCCAATGAATTTTGAAAAAAATATTATCAACATTTGAGGAAAACATACAAATCAATATTAAATGTAATTGTCAAGTCAAAAAACAGCATCTCTTGTTCTATTATCACTGGGTTTAGTGAAAACTTATCTTTCAATACATCATCTTTGATTCCCAAGATAATATATATGATGTTAACCATATGGTTAGCCATCATATATTTGAGAAATAGGAAGTAGTAATGAGCATAGGTTGGAAAATAAGGGGAAGGGAAAAGAGTGAACACTTGCTTTGCTGGGTTTTGAAATAATTCAGGATAACTGGCTAGCCTGTGTCTAGATTTGGAAACAGGGAGAAAGAGCTTATAGGTATGGCTCATTCTCTCAGTTATCAAACTTGGGGTTTAAATTGTGGATAGTTTAGAGTTCAAATGCCCTCACTGCCTATTACCAGCTTTGTAACCTTGGATGGTTGACATAATCATTTCTAACCTATCTATAAAAAAATCAGTAAAAGGAACAATAATAGCACTTACTTCCTATATTTTGTGTATTAAATAAAATTTTAGCATATATAAATAAAGCTCTTTGCAGTATCCTTGTATTGATTAAGTGCCAGTAAGTAGAAGCTATTGGTATTATTATATAGTTCTTTCCTAATTCCACAATGACAATGTTCCAAACTTGTTTAATATTCTAATTTTGTTTATTATTTGGTGTTAAATTTAAAATATAGGACACAATATTCCTCTACAGTGTAATATTATTGTTATAAATGTTTTTCAATGAATGCATTTTGAAAAATCTGCAAGTATACCTGGAAAGATATTAGCAACTAGTTTTGTTTCTCTGAACCATAGGATTCAGTGATTTTACGTATTGGAAGCTAAAGGCTTTTTTGTTGGAGTAGTCGGAGTTTAGATTATTTCACTTTTTATTCACACTTTCAAATCGTTGTGGAGTAAATGCACATTACTTTTTGTTAGGGAAGATAAAAGTTACGTACAATTCTCATCTTAAAATAGCAATTTTATCTCTCATTTGTACAGCAGAACCAATATGGTATAAAGTTTCTTCAAATTGTAAGAAATCTAATGCTAGGTATTGATCATGTTTTTATTTGTTAAAGATAAAAAAAGCAACTCTATTATTCAATGAAATATGAACACATAGAAAGAAGCTATGATTCTCACCAACCACACTACTTTAAATTTTCAGCAATATTATTTAAAAATCATGATTCAAAATGAATGCATGTTGATAACTAAATTAAATAGTTTAAATACTGTTTTGTCTTTAGCTGTCCTATTTGAATACCATTATGAAGAAAAGTAGAACAATATCTAATATATTTTTATCAAAACAGTGATTTTCTATTTTGGCCACATACATGTTTTAATTCTTTAAATATATAAATATGAATATTTATCTTTATTTAACAAAAGATACCATTTTGAAGAAATTAATCTGAATTGTTTTAATTTCCCCATTATACCATGTAGTTTTTGACCTCTGACACTGAGTAACGCTGTAGAGAATAGGGTAGAGAGTCTATTCCTCTCCATCAAGATGGGGAATGGAAGAAAAGGAAGGCCAGGCATGAAGCTGATGTAAGACGTATTTGATAAAAAGAAAGGCATATCAAGGTGGAGGGATGGTTTCTCATCATGCATTCTTGTTCTGTATATGAGACAAGACACTCCCTTGTATCCCCTGTAGGATGGAAAGACTTATGAGTTCTCAGATCAAATCTCCCTGAGAGGACACGCTGAAAGCTGCAGATTTGAGTGCCTGAAGGCCTGCAATTGGGCCAGCCATGGGAAAAAGCAACTTAACCCAGCAGTAAAGGTGGAGGGCCGGCCACCCATTCAGGAAGCTCTATAGAGCTAGGGGCTTAGCTAAGGAAAGTCTAACTGGCAATGGCGACCAGGCTTCAACAGAGATCCCAAGTTATATTAACCCCAGACAAATGTTTGAATACAAGAAAGGAGACCCACCATCAGACAAACAAGGGACAGTGCCTTGGTGACAGAAGAGGCAAAAGATAGCACATTCTAGGCCTCTGACTCTTGTCCTTTTTCATGAGTTTATATATGACCTGTACCCTGCACTGTCATCTCAGAGAGTAGCCAGAGCAGGAGATATGGAAGTCCTTTATCTCAAGAAACTGTTTAAATTATCAGATTGGATTAAATTAATGTTTTATCCACCCCCTAGTGGGTACAGCTTCTTGAGGAAGTTTACATGAATTGCATATTAAACAAACAACTTAATCTGTTCATTTAAACCTAGTGTTAGTCAGATTAGGAACATGATTACTGCAATGCAATTCTATCACTACCTGGAATTAGTGCAGACTTTACAGGTTAAGGACACAGGCATCCACAAGACTATGCTCACTTCAAACACCAGTTGAAAGCTCTGAGGTTGCCAGGCCACCTACATTTCTGATCAAGTGTCTATAAATGTGAAGGTTTACATTTTCCACCGAGGTTCAATAATTCACTAGAACAACTCATAGAATTCAGGAAAGTGCTATATTTTCAATTACAGTTTCAGTAGAAAGGACACAAATCAGGACCAGCCAAATGAAGAGACACATAAGCCCTGGAATGGGAGGGTCCCAAATTTGAAGCTTCTTTGTTATCAGGATGTATCACACTCCCAGCACATCAGTGCATATCATCAACCAGGAAGTTCACTTCAGGTGTCCAAAGTTTTCACTGGAGTTTTATCATGCAGGTATGATTAGGTGAATCATTGGCCAAGTGATTGGACTCAATCTGTAGACCCCTCCTCTCACTGGAGTCAGGAGTTTAGTCAAATATTACATGGATCAAAGCCCCAAATCCACTAATCACATGCTTCATATTTTTGACATGACCATCTCTTATTCTAAAACTATCTAAAGGCCCAGCATAAGTCATTTTATTAGCACAAAATCAGGTATTAATAATAAAAACACTCCTATCAATTATAAGGGTCTAGAAAGTCTCTCCTGGCCGGGCGCAGTGGATCACGCCTGTAATCCCAGCACTTTGGGAAGCCGAGGCAGGTGGATCACGAGGTCAGGAGATCGAGACCATCCTGGCTAACACGGTGAAACCCCATCTCTACTAAAAATACAAAAGAAATTAGCCAGGCATGGTGGTGGGTGCCTGTGGTCCCAGCTACTCGGGAGGCCGAGGCAGGAAAATGGCGTGAATCCCGGGAGGCAGAGCTTGCAGTGAGCCGAGATTGCGCCACTGCACTCTAGCCTGGGCGACAGAGCGCCACTCAGTCTCAAGAAAAAGAAAGTTTCTCCCAGGGAGGGAAAAAGATCAGACAAATTATTATACAACAATTACATATTTTATAAACTGCATTACTATTATAATTTTATTCTTACAACATGCAGTTGTTTCCTGAAACAAACTTATACCATAAAACATTTCTTACAGTACACACGTATGTACAGTTGAGTACTGATATACATCTATGTCAGTGTATAAACATAGATATATGAGAAAGTGTATGTAGTAAGTGGAATGGCATCAGTTGCACATGTATCTTGTATAAATACAGTCACACATGTTCTACAACAACAAAAATATGGGACACAAATAACCACTGAAATCTTACAGGAATCCATTGCAATGAGTGTATATCCCCCTAAGAGAATGTGAATACGGAAACTTGAAAAATGTGTCCTTCTCTTGAAGTGAGCACTCTCTAATGCTGAATGTAATCCTAGTTGATAAAGACACTTTTCATACATTAAAAAGTACATGTACTTTTCTTTTTTTCTTTTCTTTTCTTTTTTTTTTTTTTTTTTTTTTGAGTTGGAGTCTCACTGTGTCACCAGGCTGCTAGGCTGGAGTGTAGTGGCACAATCTTGGCCCACTGCAACCTCCGCCTCCCGGCTTCAAGTGATTCTTCTGCCTCAACCTCCCGAGTATCTGGGACTACAGGCACCCACCACCAAGCCTAGCTGATTTTTGTATTTTCTTAGTACAGATGGGGTTTTACCATGTTGGCCAGGATGGTCTCGATCTCTTGACCTCATGCTCTACCTGCCTCAGCCTCCCAAAGTGCTGGGATTACAGGCATGAGCCACCGTGCCCGGCCAAAACGTACATGTACTTTTCATAAGACAAAGCCCTTATGGCAGGGCAGGTCATTTACTGGGTCCTCTTGCCTAGGAGGAGTGATATATTCTAACTCTGAAGAAAAATGCCTGGAGTGAGCATAGTGGGACTCAGTATTTGATCTTCAGACTGGTGCTTCCCTGAGGGACCATCCAGGGTGGTTTTGAATACATTGACTTTTGCCTTATGAACTAACTTTAAAACCTAATTCTCTCCCACAGAGAAGATGTGCTTTCCCTGTAAATATACATATGTGACAGGTTTGAATACATCAAATTCTGGTCTGCCTCTGGCAAGTAATTATTACAAAGGAAAGTAAATAGTTATAGATTTGTCCTAAAATGAAGTGATCAGATGACAGATAAAGAAAATATTTGTGGCATTACCCATGACATTTTTGGGGGGCAGAGCTTGTAATTTTTATAAGATATGAAAGCTGTTTCTAGGCATTTGATTTCCTTATTAATTTCTTAGGGCAACACAATCTCAGTTATGTTAAGTAATATCTATTTGAGGATTCCTGGGAGTTTAACACTGTGTTTAGGAGTTGGTCTATAATTTTATAATTGGAGAAAATGAAGTGGTGGCAAAACACACACAGTCCTCATTAAAATATTTTTCTCAGGCTATTGTAAATACTTTCAGAAAGGAGTGTATGCAGTTGTATTAGTTAGTGTTCTGTAGAGGGACAGAACGAATTAGGTAGATGATAGACAGATAGATAGGTAGATAGATAGACAGGAGTTTATTATTAACTCACATGATCACAAGGTCCCACAATAGGCCATCTGCAGGCTGAGGAACAAGGAGAGCCAGTCCGAGTCCCAAAACTGAAGAACTTGGAGTCTGATATTCGAGGGCAGGAAGCATCCAGCACGGGAGAAAGATGTAGGCTGGGAGGCTAGGCCAGTCTAGTTATAGGTCTAGAAGCAAACAGGAGTGTTGGGGGTGGCTCCTGAGGAGAATCAACATTATCTTGCCTGGCAACTGCCTCAGGGGAGGTCATCACTGTTGCCTCAGGCAGCACAGGGTTTATCTCCTCAGACAAAGGTGGAGAGGCTGATGGCAGCATGGATCGGGGAGGGGATGTTACCACTACTGGGGATGGGTAAGCTGTTTCTTCTGGCAAAAAAGGTTCATCAGAGTTTATAAACTCAGTATCTCCAGCTTTATCAGGGTCCTCCCACACATCCCCATTCCGAGTTGCAGGGTCCTATTCTTTTCCAATCAATGCCCTCACTTTAACAGTAGACAGCTGGTGAGGTTGTGCATGCACCTTTCCTTGCAGGTCAGCCACTTGTATGATAAGAGCTTGTGTCTGTTTTTCCACAATTTCAACTCTTTCTCTACAGAGAGGATAAGACTCTCACTCAGGGCAGTCTTAGCAGATTTGAGGCTCAGTATCTGCTTTTGAAGCCGGGAGTTAGCATCCCTGAGTACATCATTTTCTTTCATCACTTTGTCCACTGAACTTAGAAACAACCAACCAGCTTCATTATGTTCCTTGGTTCTCCGCATATGGTCAAAGGTATTAGGTATAGGGTCAGTAAACTGCTTGCCTCTCACAAGCAGTGAATCAGGAATGTTAAATGCATTTATTTTGCATAACTCTCTAAACAGTTCACACCAAGGACTATCAGTGTTCTACATACTATTGGAAGTAGAGTCCTTAGCATTTTTGGGCCTAATCATATTAAGCAGCCAACTCCGGAAACCTCAAAACCAACAAAAGAACTCCATCCTTAATAGCAGTTCACTGTACAGACAACCTATTTTGGTCAGTTTGCATTTTGGTAGAAAGGTCACTAGCAGTAGAGCAGGCTCGCTTCTATTTCAGTTATGCTTCAGAGAATTTGTGTGCAAGTGTCTCCCAGAGCATCAATTCCTTCTTTGTAAAATGATGAGTGTGGACCAAATAGTCTCTAAGTTTCTTTCCTTCAGCTTGAAAAATCTATAGTTCTGTAAATTTTCTCATTTCAAATGCTCTGCTTTTGAAGTGCTATTTGAATGATCAATGTCATGAATGTTCAATGAAGATGAATGATTTCTATGTACAATGTTTATCAGAATTAATAATACATTCAAAATAATTGTTTTTCATACTTATGTCTATTTTGCAAAATGAGTGTGTGATGTTTGATGTCATTCACACAAAAATCTTTAGAAGCCAATTTTTTATTCCCTTTTAAATAAAAAGATTTATGTTGAATACTTTTTTATTGTTTTTATATACTTGGACACAATGATATGTATTAAAGGTTTTTTGTAAGTGACTCATCTTCTATGATACCATACTGCAATGGCAAATATCTCTATTATAGCATAACACATTTTATTACAATTATTTGTGTACTTTTTCCCCTCACAAATGCTGGGACCATATGATTCTCAGCTTTATAACTTAGCATCTGTAATGATGCCTGCTGCATGATAATGGCTTTATATCTTTTAAATACACAAATTAATGAATAACGACTGACTAGTGTATCATCATAGATGCTAAGATTTAAGTCATTTATATTTAGAGTAAAGCAGTTCAATTAGCTGATTTTAACAGCGTGTGTTGATTTCTTCTGGTGAGCTGTAGTCTGTTTTCTCAACAGACCTCCATGCTGAGTAGAGGGGTTGTTCTTGAGTCATATTATGTCACATATTATGTCATATATTTAAAAGATTAGATGTGAACTAAGAAGAGGATTTTGGATTTAATTCACTAAAAAGGAAACCAGATTGCAATGAGTATGGAGTAAACACGTTTTTCCACAAGCAAGTTCCACAAGCTTTTCCACTTGAAAAGCAAGTGGAAACAGTGAAGTTGGACTACCTCTTTAAGAAGGGTAATTGTGGAAAAGAGAAATCTAAGACAGTAGAACAGAGGTTGTACATGTATGAAAAGCACGTGTTAGTAAATCCTTAAGTGCTGTCAATAGTGTATAATGTTTGAAGTTCAGGCTCAGGATCTAGTGGAGATGCCAGAAGAAAGGGGGACCCAGACTAAGTAGTGGAGTCACAAACCAGAGGAGATAAAAGACAGAAGCAATGACATAGACAAACTGATATACTTGGGCAGGAATATGTAGTGAAGTTTCTTAGGAAAGATAATTTAAAAACAAGAAGAACATATATATAGAAAAGAGGACAAGATGGAGACATTCACTCCTCAAAAAGAAAGACAAAAAATGAGGGCCATGACATCTCTGTTTAGACAATGTTCGTTGTCTATTGACATTGGCAATGACTTGCAAGAATATCTTTCCTTGCCTAATATCCTGAAAGAATGAATGTTATATTATCCTATTGGAAATATTCACTGTAAGTAGTTATTGTACATTCAACATACTCTCTCTTTTTTTTTTTTTTTTTTTTTTTTTTTTTGAGACAGAGTCTCGCTCTGTCGCCCAGGCTGGAGTGCAGTGGCGGGATCTCGGCTCACTGCAAGCTCCGCCTCCCGGGTTCACGCCATTCTCCTGCCTCAGCCTCCCAAGTAGCTGGGACTACAGGCGCCCGCCACTACGCCCGGCTAATTTTTTGTATTTTTAGTAGAGACGGGGTTTCACCGTTTTAGCCGGGATGGTCTCGATCTCCTGACCTCGTGATCCGCCCGCCTCGGCCTCCCAAAGTGCTGGGATTACAGGCGTGAGCCACCGCGCCCGGCCTCAACATACTCTCTTACAAAATGCCTACATGTTCTTGAAATATTCCTCAGTGAAACTTATTTACCTATCATCTTCAGTTCTAACTATATAAGTTTTCAATGTTTTCCCCTAATAGTGTTTTCTCTGTGACTATCTGTAGAATAAAAATAAACACTTGGCAGTAAATATAATAGGGTACCATTTTCAGAATTATTTTCATTTTATGTACTGGCCTAATTATTTTTGGCTATAATTATAATTTTATATTCAAAGAACATCAAGACAATTAACCCTTGGCTTAAAGTAGCATAATTTATTCTTCTTATAACTTACTACTTTTAGATGTATTCAATTTTTATGTTTCTTTCACTGGATTTTATAATTTTCTTTTTGTACCCTCTAAGTTACATTTCTTTTTCTGGAATGCTTAGCAACAGACAATCTGTTACAGACCTATAAAACTAGATCTGAAAAACATAAAGGCCTATCTTTTTAAGAGACAACAAAACTTTAGAATAAAAGAAGTACTGTCAATATTAACTTATTAAATGATTTTTATCTTTGATGATACCTGTTTTCTGACATTAGCAAAACATAAATGTGAACATGAAGTATTTGTTAAGGTTAAAAGAAAGTCTAGTTAGAATTTTGTTTGGTAAAACTTCATCAAAAGAATACTCCAGGTAGATGCATGGTTAAAGATAATAAGCTATTCAATGCAGACAAGATAAATCAACTCTTAAGCAGTTAATTTTTTTAAGAACATATGGTAAAGTTTGAACCAGACTCAGAAAACAAAAACCAAGCAAGCCTAGAAAGTGGAGACCCTTTGAGAACAAGTGGCTTTCACATAAGAAACCGAAGTTGGCAGCTTGCGTCTGTTACTAATTCCATCTGAACCCTATGCTATAATTTAAAAAAAGTGATTTGTAAAATTACCCCAGACAGCACTCCAGAGAATATAAAATTTATTTATCAGAGAGAGGGGAAGTAATAGGAAGATAGCTATATGAGCCCTTTGGACAGGAGTTTTTCTAACATACCAACAGATTTGCTTAACGTTTTTTTTGGGGGGGGACTCCCTCCTGTATTACCCTGGCACATCACAATCTCTACACTTACCTCATTAATTCATTACTGTATTTCTATTTGCTTCACATGAGAGATTGTAAGTTTTTGAAGCATGAACTGTGTCTAATTCTTACTTATACTATCATAGTTGCCTATCATATTAAAAAGCCTCCAAAATTGTTTTTCTAAATTATTAGCTATGCTAATTGAAATGTTATGTCTGAAACTAGTGAGATTAAATTTGCTGCAATATCATAAGGGAAAGGTGGAACATAGGAGACAGCATATTCTGTTCATGAAGTTTGCTCTTTGCCATCTCATATCATATACACAGCCTGGGTCTTTCTTTCTTCTCATGTAAACTACAATAGAAATAGATGCTGTTATCTTAAATGAATCATAGGAAAAAATTTGGAATGCCATTACACTTTTAAACTTAGTGAGTTATGTAAATCATTGCATAAAATAGCTAAGATTATATATAAATACACACACACATACATACACAATTAGTTTTTCATTTAGGAACAAAGCTCATTGATTTAAAACGTGGGCAGAAAGTCTTTTGCATAAAAGGTGATTTGTTGATATCTATTCTTCCCTGATCAGAAGTTTCAATAGATTAAAAATTATCAGCTGTTTTCAGATAGATTTATTTCTCTAAATTTTATAAATTTAAGCTTGTATGTTCATTAATAACTTATTCCCATCTTAATAGAATCAGAGGCACCTGTACTAGAGCTGAGAAATAGACTTACATCTCTGCGATTCCAAATACGACCTTTTTCTTCTATTCCATGCTTTTCTGTGTTTATAAATCTAGGGTTACATGATGTTGAAAGGCAGTAAAGGCAAATTTTTGAACACATTTAAGCTCAGTTAAAATATTTAGACCAAAATTTTAAGATCTGAAGAAGTATTCTCTGAGAGAGAGTCTGGTTTTCTGCCTGACACATAGGCTCTTACAGGACATTTATTAAATAAGTCAATCCAGTTTTTATTTATGAAAGAAGTAAGTCATCCTAATGAATTCTCCTAGTTCTTTTTTAAAACACATATGACTCTGCTAGTATTTCTATAAAAACAATCAGATGGTGAGGTCATGTAAGAATGTAAAACTAATGACATATGATTACCTTCCACCTTTCACATATAGTTCTACATCTAAAGCTAAATTAGGATTTGTTCTTTCTCTCCTTTGCCTGTTCTCTCTGTCTCTCTCTCTAGCTCTCTCTCTCTCTCACACACACACATACACACAGACACACACACACATACCCCCCACCACAATTCTGTTTTTTTAAAGACATGCCCGTACTTTTGATAATATTTTAAACACCTTTACCACACTACCTCTAGTATCTGTACCATTTGGACCTTACTTTTGTCTCTTTTACATTCCAGTCTACAGTACCTGTATTATTCAGGATCACAGGTATACGTCAATTCAAACCTCAGTTTAAAAGACAAGAATAAGAAAGAAGGCTCATAGCTCTTCAGTGTCTGTTAGTGCAAAGTGTAATAACGTGTTATATCTTGGATAGAGGAGGCCACATGTGTCAGCCCACAAATTAGGATTTGAACTTTCTATTTTGGCCAAAGGAGTCCACTGAGATAGGATGTTAATTTATTTGAAACGATGTGTGTCAAATTATTTGGGTTGGGGGAAATGAGACAGAAGATTGCAAAAAAACAACAACAAAAAAAAAAACAACTAAGCATCATGTAAAAAGCATTGGGTAAGAAAAATAAATGAAATGTAAAATCACTTAATAAGTATCTTGCATTTATAATTTCAAAGAGGTTTACAAGATCTCACCTAAATATAAAAAAGTTTTCCTTTTGATGTTTTTGAGAAATCCTTGACACAATAGCAATTGAACCCATTCTTAAGTTTATAACGGAGTTTCTAAGAAAAAGAGTCTTCTAATGGTACGTTTATAATTATAAGGGTATAATTTTTAATGTGCTTATAAAATCTCATTAGATCAAAGTCATCATTTTGATTATGCAACATGAAAACATTAACTTAGCTTTGGAATAAAAATTATTTTTCTCCCAATAGAATACAACAAAATAAAATTTGAGTCCTTTGAAGGACCCATAACACACAACAACTCTGGAATGACAATATTGTGTCATGTTTTATTGTCCTATAATATCCTTGCTAACTATTATATGTGCACACACACACATGCACGTGCATGCACATGCATCCACACGTGCAAATGCACACGCTGTTTCTACCACACCCACATTCCTTTTTAATAATGAGCATCAAGGTCCTTTAACCCTCTTATTGTTGAAATATGATTAGCTGATATTACCCACATTTTCTATCAGTTAGAGTACCTTGAAGCAATTCTTAACTCCTTTAAATAAATGAAGGGTAGTATTTTCTCTGTGTGTTTTAAAATTGTTTCAGCTATTGCACAAAGTATGTCTTTTTCAAATGGTTCAAAGATTTCTTAATTTTCAGGGCTATTAACTCTGAAATGAATTTAAGAAAATAGATTAAGCTAGCCAAGTAGCCATATATTGTAATTCAAGAACTTATCAGAATAAGTATTATACTTGTTCTAGTTTAGAAGGGACTATATTTTGGCCTTTTGAATACACAATACACTCTTCTAGAAATGACACTAATGCCATTGTGTGATATAGAATGGAAAAACACACATATTCGTAACATATATTATAGTGTGTGCTTCCCCAGGCCACTCCAGCCAGAGTGGAAATTAGAAAGTAGTAATCCCTTTTTCACCAGCTCTGCCCACACCTGCCATTACAGGATCAGAAATACATAGCCACCTCTTCAAGTATTTTTCAAGTCCCTGTAGATATCTTGGAAGTCCTCCTAAACAAATCCTTTGAGAGACTGTTAACTCCTTCTGCTGTCCTGGCTTCTTTGATGTGCATTGTTCTACAGCTCTGTGATCACACTGGGATGGGCTGTCTCCACTACCACCAATGTGCGAGGGCCATCCTATATTCCATGTGAAAGCACGGGAATGTTCTCTCCAGGTAGTGTAACTATTATTGATTTATTTGTATTTTGATTGCCTGAATTTTCTAATTATTGTCAGCAAGCTTGTATCAAATTGTAATGTGTATGAAAATATAGTTGCCCTAGGATAAAGAAATGTAGATCACAGTAACTACTGATCAATCTTCCATTCATTCTAAGTACTGGCTTACGTCCAAGCTCCACAACTTGAGAAGTACAAAGAAAATGTGGAAAAGCATGAATATGATTCTCTATATATTTCAACTTAGTTGCTAGAAGAATTGGGCATTATGCAATGATATTATTTATACACTAGGCAGAATGAGTCATCTACATCCCCTTTGAGAAATGAGCCACAACCTGGGAATTCAGAAAGTTTTATTTCATAAACTTGATAGATTCTTATCTTTTTAGGGTGATTTGAGTATAAATGGAGTATCTTAAGAATAACAAGAATAATGCAAAAACTGTTTAAACATTACTTTCCCTATTATAATGGTAGATTTGAGACAGGACCACCAATTCCAGAGATAATCCCCTATAATTGTGCTACCCAGATTAGGCCATGGCATGCCTTTACACACATTTTCTGAGTCTCAGATGGTATTAGAAAAATAATTTATGGCCAGAGAGTTTGTAATTATATTTTAGCATAAGCACTAATTCTCTCAAGACTATTAATACTTTTAAGTAAATTACACATTTAGTGAGCTAAATGCCATTTAATTTGAGAAGGCTCAGTTATAATCTGAAAGTATTTAACTCTGAGTAATGACCTAGCTTAGTGTATTTTTATGAATTAGCTTAAATTATAGAGAAAGGAAATTTCTATACCTATTCACCTATACAAAGACTAGTTTTAAAGATAGCTGGTGAAAACTGCTGAAATAATGCTGATTCCTGGAACAATTGATAGCTTTAATGATGAGATCTTTGAGTAAGAAAGCATTCACTGTAGCTATTAAATAGCTTGCTAGGGTTGACCAGTTTTAAAGATACTTCTCCACTTTGGTCAATGGGAAAGAAAATATGCAGGGATTTTAACCAAAGTAAGTTTGAAATTGGATGCCTCTATAGAAAGGATATAAATATCCATTTAAGATATGGGGATTTGGGGAGTCTTTACTCTATCAGAAACTGGGATTTGGGAATATCATGATGAATAAAAGATCTTGTCCCTCCACCCACAGAGTTCAGTCAAATTTCTAGACAAATATTTATTTAGAAATTACTCTTTATATTATTATACCTATACATACGTATAATATCTGTATTTTTATGTATATGTATACGTGTGTGTGTGTGTGTGTGTGTAGATATAAGATCTATATCTGTCCTCTCTAATGCATAGCTATTGATCAGGGAGAGAAATACACTTCAGTAAAAGCATATAAGAATGAGACCTGATAAATACTTCCTGTTTAATTCCTCCTTTTACTGCTGATGGTCTCATTGAGGGAAAAAAAAATGCCAGTCATCAAGATAACTTAGATCACTTCTACAAATATTTTAAAAAATATTTTCAGCAGTTAAGAAATTAACAGCTTGACTTTTATTGAAACTAATATTGAATTTTTATTGAAATAAAAATTAATTTTCAACATTCTTGCTGATTAAAAATGCAAATAAGTGCAAAAAGTGAAAGATGTGCAGTCCTCATGTACATCTTATATTTTAGCTTCTATTAGATTGATGGTGAATTTCAGTAATAAGGATCCCAACAATGGGTAGCCCCCAGGTTTTAGGCCATATGTGGAATTTCTCTCTTAAATTGGTTGATTATCACTGATAAAGTTTTGCTTGATTTTTTTTTTAATACTCCACAACCACGGAAGTTAATGTAGGGGGTAGATATATTGAACTATAATAACCTATCAAAATATTGATTAAAAACTTGCACAAATTTTCCCACTTGTTTGATGTCCAGCACCACTTTTCAACTTACCTAATCTCACCTTTAGCAATTAGCCTTCACTTGTAAGATAGCCTATTAAGTCCTATCAATATATGTTATGTTAGTTTGTGGAAAACAGTTCAGAGTTTTGCATCTTCTAATGTGCATGAAAAAAGGGTAAGACATTCTGTAGGTGGTTATGAAAGCAGAGTTAATTAAGTTTGACATGTATGTAGTTTAAAATGTTAGGACCCCAATAAACCCATTTGCATTATTCATGATAAGAAGTATTATTCAATTGACAGCCATAAACTTTTATGTATTCATCTGATTAATTTTGGTAAAATGACCACCGTGCATTTATCAAGGAATATTATTAGGCTACCATCACTTCAAAGTATTGGTCTAATTAATAACATTTCATTTTGATGAATAAGTAAAGATAATTGAAAAGTTGGAATATATAATATAACACACAGTATTTACAGTATTTGGAAATAGTAGCCAAATGATCCAGGAACACCCAGTCCAGTGTTTCCCACATATCATGGCTAGTTACAGACCAGTGATGTCAGAATCACCAGAGATGCTTTTAAACATAAACATTTCTTAGTTCCATCCCAACTAACACTTAATTTAGAGGATGAAACCCCAAGGGTCTCTATTTTTAAAAACTCTGAATTATCCTGATGGGCGACAAGGTTCAGAAAACACTGAATTTGACAGTGGCCTATTATATTTTGTTAGAGCCATATTTAAGTACCCAGAAGAAGCATAGCAGTAATATGTATCAAGTCTGTACCTTTTTATTGATCTGCAGACATGAGTTGTGGGATTCTGTATGTTTTCTTCTCTTCATTGCATTAAAATACTAGATGTTTTAAAAATCTCAACTCTATTAATTTACTGACTTACAGATTTGTGCTCTAATTTTATTCTTATCCTCTATAAAAAGAAATTGTAATTTTTTGTGCTTTGTCATCCCAAATGGTGAAAATATTAATTTAAACAAACCTATGACTAAATATTTCTTTTCTCCTCATGAAAGTCTGTCACTGTTTGAAAATTGTGCCTGTTAAGATTTATAAATTATCAATTTCAAGAATTGCAGAATAATAAAGCATAATATCTACTGGGAAACAGAAAAGGATTAATGTGCCAACATCATTCATTAATTAAAGTTATATCAATAAAATGTCATTTGACTAAGAGTATCAGTGAAGACGTTTTATACACATTATTATATCTTATGCTATATTACATACCATATGTCTTAAATTGGGACAAAAACTTTCCATTTTGAAATCATGGACTTAGATATCTAAATCAATATTACTTTATATGAATTTCCTACAACATATAATATGGGATATTAGAAAGACTATTAAAAAGGTTGTCAAATACATTAGAAAATACTAGTTTTAGAAGCATGTGTGTGTTTACAGATTTCTTAGAGCTTTTAATCTTCTCATCTATATAGTGAATACCTTGAAGGCAGACATAAAATATAGCACTTTGAGGATTCGTGTGACCACAAAACTGTGTGTCGTATTTAGAGGTGTTCTCTTTGAAAAATGCTGTTGTAAATGCAATAAACTTTTTTGAGATTTGATCACAAACTGTACTCTGAGATCCTATTCCCCCAAAAATGTCTATCTTTAGAGAAAGAGAAGACCAATACTTATTAGAAGGTTGACTCATCTCTGTTACTGAGAGTTTGAAATGATCTCACATGGTACTGAACAAGAAAAACTTTGGTATACATTTCTGAACAGCCTTCAGTTCTTGTGCTGAAATAACTGTATACGTTTTTAGTTCAGAAAACATTTATATTTCAAATCCCAGAACTATAAATGTCCACCTGATCTAAGATCAAGAATTATGTTCCCTTAATTGGAATACAATCGTTGTTCTTCTAAGAAACTATTCACTACACCTCAAACTCCCCTTGTTGCTTTGAGGACATGAGCAAATTAAAATCAATTCTTTTCAAATATCTGATCAGAAGATTTCTTGAACATTTTGTTCCTGGATCTGAGAAAGAGATAGTAGATTTTGTTGGATCTTAAAACTATTAGATGTAAATCTTGGTCAATTTGGAGGCCATGTGTTCCTCCATTATAATAAGAAAATTGGAAGAAGCCATGGTACAGAGAAAGAAAATAAAGATTTAGGTAGGAGCAGAGTTAAAAAGTGGAAAGTGACATTTCGGTTCCCAGTTCCAGTTGTCCCTGAGACCCAGACACATCCCAGTCTTTGAGTTCCAAGAGAAGCACCATTATCCTGAAAACATATCCCACTTTGGCTTAGGAAAATTTGAGTTGCCATCACTTTTTACTAATTAAGTACCTAAAATTATATCTCTCCTATACAACTGATCAAGTCCTACAAATTTTATCTCCTAGGTAAATCTTGACATCACTTGTATCCCCTTCTTCCTACTGTTGCCATTTTAGTTCAGACTTATCATTTTTACTTCAATTACTGAAGCACCCTTCAACTGAGTCTCCTCATTCTAGTGCTCACCTCTTTTAATTTATATTGTGATATTTAGTATAAATTGGATCAAATCCCCATTTCTAGCAAAAAAAAGTTGTATTAAATCAATTAATTTCTTTTTGCCATAGCATTGCCCTTAAAACTAAAACCAAAATCTTAAATGCCATGAAAACCATTCTTAATCTGGTTCCAAGTCACTTATCCAGCTCTTACCACCTACTCCATCATCACCATCAAAACAGACACTTTATATC
This sequence comes from Homo sapiens, assembly GCF_000001405.40. Lineage (NCBI taxonomy): Eukaryota > Metazoa > Chordata > Mammalia > Primates > Hominidae > Homo > Homo sapiens. The sequence goes on along the minus strand of NC_000012.12, from coordinate 81,553,861 downwards.
TCAGTTATTTACTGTTATTGACAAAAACTCCAAAACATGGAGGCTTAAAACACCACCTTATCACTATTTTTTCTGACCAGGGAGTTGATTGGATAATTCTCACCCAAAGTCTCTCAATGCAGTTCCAATTGGAAAGCAGATGGGACTAGCATCATGCAAAGTCTTTGATGGGCTGGTGTCAAGCAAGGATGGTTTCTTCACTCACATGTCTAGCAGCTCAGTGCTCCTCTATGGCTCCTCTCTTCCGCAGAGTCTTGTGGTTCCTGAACTTCTTACATGAGGTCCAGGATTAGGGCTACAAGAAGCAGAAGGTAGAAGTTGTTAGGTAATTGAAGTGCTATGCTTGTGTCTTTTATGCTACCAACTTCTGCCACATGCTATGGGTTAAAGTGCTCACAGGGCCTGCTAAGATTCAAAGAAATGAAGTCCAGTCTTCATCTTGATGGGAGTAGGACAAGCTAACGTTCAAAAGAGTATGCAAAGATAGGATATTTTCTGGTATCCATCTTTGAAAAATACAATTTACCACCATTAATATTACAGGCACAGTTTTAATTATTAATGTATTCCTGAGTTAGTTACATTCTAATGCTTCTTGGTTTTTTTTCCTATTTTTATTTCCTTTGCTTAGAATGCTTCAATTTATTTCCCTTATTTATCTGGCTAAATCCTATTCATTCTTCAAACCTTAGCTCAGATTACAGCTCGCCTAAGATACCTTCTCTGGCCTCTCAGCCCGTGAGATTAATGCTTCTTCTCTGGAATTTCATGTATCCATGTGTTCCTGTCATACCACACTCTGTACATGAACTGTGGCTCTTTCATTAGGGGGAAAAAAAAATCGGTCTTTGATTTCTGTGTCCTCAGTGATGAGCAAAGTGAATGGCAGAGGACTCAGTTACTATTTATTATATGGAAAAAATGTGAATTACTCATTTGATTTTTAATAGGCTACATTACAACTACTTGTTTCGTTGTCGATGGACTGAGTGTAGGTGGCATAGATCTGTAATATAGTTTCTCTGGGTAACCTACATCATCAAAAATGACTAAAGCTACTTTACTGTTTAGCGTGAATGGGATCATATCTTCTAAATAGGAAACTACTTTTTCACTTATGTAAAATTTAGTCAAAAATTGAATTTAGAGTATTAATTGAACTGAGTTGTTTATTTGAATTATTATCATTTTGGAAAGCTACACACATGAATTTTTGATATTTAAACCACCAAACATTAAATAACAAAAGATTCATATTTTTCATTATATTGTTCAAACATATAATAAGTTTTTATTGATATAGTCATCATGATTGATAACTTAGATACTAGAAGGTACTGTTTCTTGACATTTCAATTGTAACATGTTTGGCAAGTCAGAAACCTATACATTGGTTCCAGAATAATACTTTCAATTTAGTTGCATCTATATTTACAAAGTAAATACCTGTCTCTGTAATTAACTGTTATGACTAAGTCTGTTCAAGAAAAAAAAAATGTGTATATTACACAGTGCAGTTTACACTTAGAAGGGGACACAATGTAATATGAAATAATTTACTTAACCAGAAGGTTTTCTTACTTTCTCCTCCTGCATAGAGTTCTATGCTTACATATTTAATAGTGTTGATTCTTCAATCCATAATTTCTGAGGTTCTGATTAACCTTATAAAGTAGTTTTGCCATTTATTTCTAAAGTTCAATAATTTTGGTTATTATATAGTATTATTTTGGTTACTATAATAGTGATAAATATTATTGAAATTATATAAACATTGTTTTTAAATTAATTATTAATTTTATCTATTAAAATTGTGTAAGTTAAATAATTAAGTTCTTTAAATTGGTTATACTGAAATAATTTCTTAGAATTTTTGTGTTCAGAATATTCATCTAGGCCTCAGTATAGGCATTTAATTTAAAAGCATCTTGAATAAGAGAGAAATTAAAGTAATTAATCCAGTTGTAGTTATCTAATAAAAAATAAGATTCCACAGTATCACCTTGTTTCCTTGTTCTTTTTGAGAATGAGTGAATAAAACAGAGATTGTAATTAAGGAGGTCGTAAAAGGATACATAAATATGCTTATTTGAAAAGACTTTATATATACAATACAAAAATCACTTCTAAAATAACAGTTTCACACACTCAGAAGTAAATATGATAGTACACAAATAAGTAACTATAAAAACATAAGATTTCAAGAATAGATTACTGTTGTCCTTTGCTATCCATGGGGGGTTTATTTCACCCCTCAGAAACCAAAATCCATGGATGCTTATCCTTCACTATACTTTAGATCATCTCTAGATTGCTTATAATATCTAATACAATGCGAATACTATGTAAATCATGCAATGTGAGTGCTTTGTAAATAGTCACTTTGTTTTTATTTGTATTTTAAATTGTTTTATTGTTATTTTTAATTGTTTTTTCCTGAATATTTTTTATCTGTTTGGACATGGAAGGTGGACTGTACTTTCTAATGACAGAATAGCTTCCTTTCAAAATGATAGTATGGTAAAATAATGAAATTAACTAAATTTAATAATGCAGCACCTGATAGTAAAACATATAGTCCATGTTTCATTTTGGATATGGCTCACCCCAGAATTTCATTTGCCATTCATCTTTTCATTCATTTATACCATAAACTTTATTGAACATCTGCTACATGCTAAGTAAGTCCTGCTGTCTGACCTTGATGTGTTGGCAGCAACACCAAATTCTGAGCGTACATTTCTAGCCTGATCATTTTCCACTCACTGTAATGTGTTTATCCTAGTCATGCCAATAAAGTTGCTTTCTCTATCTTTTCTGTTCTTCTACTTGCCAAATTCAATAACTATTTTTTACTCTCTTATTTGATCTCAATGCATCATAATGCACCATTTATCACCATTGATAACTCCCTCCTTCTTGAATTCTTTCATTAGGATTCTAAGAAAGCGCTATCACCTGGTTCTTCCAATTTCCTTCTGAGACCTCTTCCCATCTCAGATTCTTCCTCTTTTTAGCCATTAAATATAGATTTTCCCCCCAGAGTTCAGTCGTTAGTCCACTGGTCTTCCCCCTTAAATGATTTCCCCTTGTATCTTTATTGACATATTTGCCTTTGCTGTTTTAATGGCACCTTGAGTTTATTTTGATTAGTTCTACTAAAGAACTAACCTCAACATCCCCTATGCACATCAATATCAGCATAAATCAAATGTCAAACTAAAAATCACCATTGGATATTTTAATGCTGTTCTGCAGAGATGCCTCAGCCAGAAACCTGAGTTCCTTGAAACCAAACTCCCAACAGGAAATCTGTTTCAGATCCTCTACTGTTTACTTCCACAGCCTGTCTTACTTAGACCTTCAAAATATATCACTTAAATCCCCTACCTTCTGTCTAATTGGATCACATCGCTTCTATACATACCCTGTCAAAGATATCCAATTACTATTTTTTCAAATAAATTATCGTTATGCCTTGACAAATGTTTTCCCTGGATCTGGAATGCCTTAATTTCCCAAGTGCCTAGCAAATTCTTATTCATTCTGAAAGTCTTAGCTCAGATGTTTCCTTCTATGTGAATCTGTGAGCCCCTAGACCTCTAATCCCCAGATTTTCCCTGCTCCTTAAACCCATACAACTCTATTATAACACTTAGTGCATTGTCTGTAACCTTCTTCATTTGTACATTTTCCCAGGTAGACAGAGTTTCGAAAGGGCAGAGATTTTTGTCATTTACTCTAAGTCTCTAGTGCCTCCTGCTAAGTAATTCGTCAATTTATTTGAGATTAAAGACAATATTTAGACTAAACTGTTTTTGTAATAGGATATTTAAAGGGTCCTTTCAGAAAGAAAGCTATCTTTGCCTTGGAATATACCTTAAAAATCTTAGTTTTTTGTTTTTGTTTTTGCTAAGATAAAAATTATTTGGGGATGGTTTAGTCAAGCGAGGGGAAATAGAGATTAAAAAAATAGCTTCATATAATATGTTAATTGGGATATATGGATGTGGAGAGAGAATAGAGACCCCAGCAGGAAAATGACCAGCCAGACAGCAAAATGACCTGCCAGTGAGTAGAAAACATGGCTAAAAAAGAAAATCTTAAAATAAGAATGCCTTATATTCTGATTGCTATTGTTTATGCATATTACTATTTGATCTATGATTATTGTTTCTTACCTCATAAGCACACAAAAGCCTTATGTGAGTGATGTTTTGAGAGTGTCTAATGGAATGGGACATATTCAAGGATTTAGTGAGATAAGAACATTGGAGCGACCAGGTTGTTGCAAGAATGAAAACTCCTGTATACTTAAAAGCATCAAAGAGGAATGCATTAGACTTCCCATAGGCCATGATATGGGGACAGCAGTTAGTATTATTTAACTATCAAAATGAGGAAGACTCTAGTTGACATCTAGGTCATATTTTTAGAGAAACCAAAAGTTCTATCCATTCTTGTGGTGTCTCTAATGTGTATCATTATGTATCTTAAAAGTAGATTTTTTTCTTAGAATATACATTAATTATCTTCTAATCAATTCAAAGATTTTATTTCTAATTATGAATAATAGTGACTGATATCTTTCCAGTAAAACATATAACTCTTACTCAACATCACAGAAGAACTGAAGGCTCTAGGAAGATAGCAGCAAAGCTAGAACTGTATATAAATGAAAGTAATAATAAATATACATGCCAACGCTCTTCCCAGAAAGGCAGATATCTCTAAGGGATATATTCAGGTTGGGACAGATGGGAGAAATGATTCACTACTTGTGTGGAGGCAAGCTATGGCTCAGAGACATTAATTTTTACTATTTATTTCTCTTGCAGGAAACTAAGCTTCCTTATATTTTTGCTAATAAAAAGCTTACCAATGAAAGCTTTGAAATAACACAAATATTGTCTTTGCATATTTAGTTGTATAGTTCCATAGTAAGTACCTGCAGTTTCTTTGTTTAAAATCATGATGTCTATTCCAAATGGGCAAAAAGAATATGTTTTTAAATGCAAAATAAAATTTGCTTAACATTTATTCAACATACTTATTGTGTTGCATTCTTTTGGATTTTTTTATCATCTGGCACTACATTGAATTTGGGAAATATGTCAAATTCTGAAGGCTACGTGCATTTTTACATACAAGCTTTAAATATTATAAATGAGGCTTTTGAAAATTCATTTATGGATGAACCATTGACTAACATTAATATATCCCAATTTAAGCCAGGTGGGATGGTGCATGTCTATAGTTCCACCTACTTGAGAGACTTAGGTGAGAGGATTGCTTGAGCACAGGAGTTTAAGTGCAGTCTAGGTAACATATTGAGACTCCCATCTCTAGAAAAACATATAAAGGAAAACATTGTTTTGAATATATCAAACTTTATTATTCTCCAGCTTTGGACAAACCTAAAAATCAGAATCTTGATGTGAAAACTTAGAAATTCAAACAAGCAGACTTCTTGATGGCTTTTTTTGAAATATTAATTAAAACAGAAAATAAACTTGCTCTTGCTTTCTTTTGGAAAAAAGAAAAATTATTGGAAGGCCTTAGATGATCGAACATTCCCCGTGTATTTCCCTGTGTAAATTCCAATGTTGCTGCTAATCCCCTCTTACTATATAGGCAGTAAATAGAGCTTAGAGTTTAGAAAAATAGCCTTTGGAGTCAACGAATCTTGGGATCTATCTCCTACTCTGGTGTTTCTTGATTATATAGACTTTGGAAAAATTACTGATCTTTTCTAAGTTTTGGCTTGGAAATTACGATATATAGTAGCAATAACCTCATACCATTATTTGGAAAGCTGATTGAAATGCAATATACAAAGCACTTGCTATAGTACCTAGCATGTGCTCAATGAATGTTAGTTTAGTGACTTCACTCATAAATCCTAACAACAGCTATGGGAGTCATGAATTAAAGTTTTCATTATTTAAAGGAAAGTAAGTATTTGAATATTCTTCTCATTATTTTTAAGTAAGGATAGTTCTTTGCCAGAAAACCACATTAGTGTTCTAGTCCATTTCCTTGTTTATTACATATTTTCTAGGTACTGGTTATGGTTGCTCTAGAGAACAGTCATTATTCCTATTTTTCTGGTTAAAATATTACTCACATGGAATTTTTATAGAGTGTCAACAGATTATGGTGGACTTGCACCCAATTCCCCAGTTATCTTTGTTTTTTCTCTAACTCTTTGTTACTTCTTCAAATTAAATGTAGCACTGATTCATTTAAAACTTAGTCAGTAAGTTCGAGACCAGCCTGGCCAACATGGAGAAACCCCGTCTCCACGAAAAATACAAAATTAGGCAGGTGTAGTGGCGCATGCCTGTAATCCCAGCTACTCAGGAACCTGAGGCAGGAGAATCGCTTGAACCAGGGAGGCAGAGGTTGCGGTGAGTGGAGATCATGCCATTGCACTCCAGCCTGGGCAACAAGAGCAAAACTCTGTCTCAAAAAGAAAAAAAAAAGGAAAGAAAAAAAAGTTAGTCAATAAGTTAACAGTTGTTACCCTACAGTGAAGTGTGCTGAATTTTGTTTTAGATTGAGAGATTGAGGCTCGACTTTTGTTATCTGAATTCAATATTATGTAAAATGTATAATTAACCAACAGGAGTTTTGGTTAGTAAAATTGGAATTCAACTGAAATTTACACAATATAACTTTGGTTTCTAGTTAATTTAAAGTGAGTGTAGTTCATAAATTGAGCACAGTTTCCATAAAAGATAAATGCAGTTTGTCACGGGCAAATAATTTTCCTGCCAACACCAAAATCTAGGCACTGGAAAATATTATTTTCTTTTCCCTTCCAGTACGCCCACCCCTAGCATCTGCCACGCTTCTCACTGCCAGGCTTAGGGCATGATTAGGAACTGAGAAGTGACGTCCTGCTAACTCTTTCCCTATTAGAGAAGAAGACAGGTAGAGAATCAGAAGTTCTCTGGACCAGTGGTCCTCACACTTTCTGGGCCCAACTGCTGCGACTTACCATAAATCCATTGCTTTCTAAGCCAATGCTCTTTTACTTCCTAAATCTAAACACATAAAAAACATGATCTATCTAAAGAAGAAATATTTTTAAAAAGCCCAGTTTCTCTGAAATGTTAAAAAAAAAAAGAGGTAAGAGAAAGTCAATGCATAATAAATAGCACATATTTTAATATGTAAATGTTCAGGCATGACCAAGCATAGTGAATTCATTAGATGCTTTTACTTATACCTAAGATCTCTGTGGGTGTGATAGATGGGGTATATTATATTGACAAATTGGGCGATTGGTAGTGGGACTTTCCGAAATGTTTTTAAATAAAATAAATTTATCCTAGATGTACATGGTAATTCTACGGCGGGGAAATTCATGTATGTTAAAACAGTGTAGAAGTGACTTTCCTTTTACTGGAGCTCCTGGCGTAACTGCACAGAAGCATGCACTACCACAGCCTGCATTTGCCTCTAGTAATTGCAAGCTCTACACTGGGCTGGAAAGACCCCATGGGAATGTGAGAGTGATTTAGATATTGCACACAAATTTAGAAAAAAACAGTGGTAAGCTGTAAATGCTATGAATCCCCTGAACACCTGTGTGTACAAAGAGGTTCCTGTGGCTTGGAATATAACTTAGGTTGTATGGTCTTGGAACTTGGCCTGAAGAAATTCAGAATCTGGAAAACACCACAGCTTTACCTCTTTCTCGGATGAATTTTTTTTTTTTTTTTTTTTTTTTGAGACACAGTCTCACTCTGTTGCCCAGGCTGGAGTGCAGTGGCGTGATCTTGAATCACTGCAACCTCTGCCTCCCAGGTTCAAGTGATTCTCCTGCCTCGACCTCCCGAGTAGCTGGGATTACAGGCACATGCCACCACCTCTGGCTAATTTTTGTATTTTTGGTAGAGACAGGTTTCACCATGTTGGCCATGCTGGTCTCGAACTTCTGACCTAAGGTGATCCGCCTGCCTCGGCCTCCCAAAGTTCTGGGATTACAGGCATGAGCCATGGCGCCTGGCCTCTCAGATAATTTTTATTAGTGGTACTCTGCAGATTCCTGTGGCATCAGTGGATTGATTACCACTGTGGTGCTTCTACCTTGTAGTTTATAGACTGTTCCTAAGCAATGGTCAATATTCTATGCCACCATATTCTGAGTATTGTGCATTTCCCACCGTTGTCAGAAATTCACCAACTGAGCAGGACCCCTGATGCCAGTCTTTATTCTGCATTCACAGGACTGCAGAATTCTAGCCATGGTGCAACTTCTATTTTTGACTGTCCTTTTGCAGGACAAGCATATGAAAATTCTGGACCAGGATTCTGGACTGGTGTGGGAACTGGAGGAATATTGGGTATTTGTTTGGCAGCAGTATATCAGCAGCACTCTTTTTAGACATGTGGCACCCGCCCCCCATCTTATCCTCCATTGTACTCTAGCACATGGAATAATCATCCTACTGCTTAGAGGAGGCCCAGGTCAAACTCTGACCCGAGAACAACAACTGCCTCAGGGTATGGTGGTATCAGAAGATGATAAAGTAGAAAACTGAAGGAAAATATTGGTTGCAAAATTTCTGATTTTTCTTCACTTTATATTTAAAGAAAGTGCATCCTGTTAACAATTGTGGAAAGGGAATAGTAAACAGTTGTGTTCTTTGAGAGTTAATATATAACCAAATACTTGTATATTGTAAGTTAGTGTAGCATGCATATGTGTATCTCAGTTTTTGAAAGTGTTGATTACTGTGGAAGGCTGAAAATGTATTGTTTTATTTCTAAAACCTGTGAAGCCATAAGAAACATTAAGAATGAAAGTGTTGTACCAATAGAAAGCAGATACCAAAAAGTTCTATCTTAGGTGGTTTTAGTTGATGAGTCATTACCTCATTGAGACAATAATATTCTATTTGGTGTTATATTATTTGTAGTTTGCTATGATTTAAGCATTTAACTGAAATTTTGTACTATTAATTATGCTACCTTATGGGTTCTGATTGCTTTTGAGCTCAGGACTTTGAATTCTTCAGTAGTAATGACGGTGATTTGGAAGCAGCTTGTATAGGAAAAGATAGAAAATAAGCATCTAGAAGGTTGTTGTGAATAATTGTGTGCTGATGGAAATGCTTGAAACCTCTATATTTCATCAGTTCCTAAGAGATAATATTCAAATACTTCAACAGTGGTCTTTTAATAGCAAAAGCATGCAGTTCTCTGTGGAATCTCAAGAATAGTGGTAACAGTCTGTTTCAGTCTTACATTAAAATGGAATAATTACATAATTATATAAATTTTCATGTAGAATCAAATTAGGTACAGTCAGATAATTATAAACAAAGTGAATGTTCAAAGAGACATTCAAAAGCTATGCCGGAAGTATGTTGGGCTGCCCCATTAGCTAGAACAGCTCCTCTTCATCCTAATGGCAATAGTCATTTGCATAAAAACTGCTCTGGAGACTGGGCATGAGGTACACTATCACTCCATTAAGACCATGCTGCCTGAGCACATTCTCATCTTGGGGATTATAACCATCAGTTCTGGGGAAGATAATGAACATTCTTGTAGGAAACCTGGACCTTATTTCTTTATCTGCTGAGAAAATCAACTCAAAAATAAAGATCTATTTTTTAATAAGCTTTTATAAGAATACTTTTAGGGTTACAGAAAAATTGTGAAGATAGCACAGAAAGCATATACCCTCACCAAGTCTCCCCTGTTATTAACATCTTACATTGGTATGGTACATTGGTCAGAACTAATGAAGCAATGTTGATATATTTTTATTAACTAAAGTCTAAGCTTTATTCGTATCTCTTTGGCTCTTTCCTAAGGTCCTTTTTGTGTTCAAAGATCTCTTCCAGGATACCACATAATATTTATCTTGGCTGTTTCTCAGACTTTGCTTGTTTTTGATGACCTTGACAGTTTTGAAGTATACTAGTCACGTGTTGGGAAGAATATCCCTGAACTTGTATTTGTCTGATATTTTTCTTATGATCAGATTAGAGTTATGGGTTTGGGGAAGAAGACCACAGAGGTAAAGTGCCATTAACATCACATCATATGAAGAGTACATACTGTCAATATTACATATCACTGTTGATTTTAATCTTGATCACCTGGCTGAGGAATTGTTTGTCGGGTTTCTTCACTATAAAGTTATTTTTTTCCTGCCCACGTCCATACTCTGTGAACTCATTCCACTTCCATTTGTCTTTGAAAGAAAGTCACTATTGACAGTCCACCTTTAAAGAGTAGGGAGTTATGCTCCACCTACTTAAGGAAGAGTATCCATATAAATTATTTTGAATTCTGCAAACCTTTGTAAGATTTCTATATTCTTCACATTTATTTACTTATATCATCATTTATTTATGTGATTATGGATTCATGGATATTTGTTTTATCCTTTAAGTTGTAATACAATACTACTTTATTTCTGCCTTTTTTGTTGCTCAAAATTTGCACACTTTGGTCATTAGGAGCTCTATTCACTGCTGTCCTTTTGACAGACCCCATCATTTTTTGTGTGTGTTTATGTGTGTGTTGGTGTGTGGTTTATTTATTGCTATGTTGCTGTTGTTTTTAGCACTTCTGGCACTACAAAATGTTCCAGGCTTGTCTTGTATATTTCCCAACCCAGTCCTAGAATCAGCTATTTCTCCGTGGATCTTTAACTTCTTTTATTGGAGAATGGTGTTAGAAACCAACAGCTAGGCTCTAGGTATTGTCAAAGCCAAAACTGTGCCTGGCAAATTTAAACAGTAAAAGCAGTAAAAGGAAGATTCATTCAAGGCAACTGCAGACATGGAGAGAGGCCACAAGTTAATCTGAGCTTAATTCTCCTTAAAACAAATGGCGGAAGAAATTTTAAGAGCTGGGATAGGGGAATCCTAGGCCACTTTTGTTTTCTAATTTTCCTTATCCAATGGAAAAGTAAACTTTCTCTGATCTTCATGACTGAAGGTAGTTTTATAGCTTGAACCATCATGCCCTAGGAAGTTGGGGGCTCATTCTCCCAGAGCCTGGGAGATGAGGAAACTATTTTATGATTACATTGCAAAAGAATGGCTTCCAGATTCCTGAAAAAGACATTCCTGGCTATAAAGCTGGCTAGAGGCTGTTTAAAAGATTTATATCTCAAAGGAACATAGAAATATTTATATTCACAAATTTTCTAAGGTAAAAGCTTTAGAAAAGAGGTCAGGAGCCTAGAGTCAGGAAAAAGTCTGTTAAAATTTAGTCCAGCTGAGGGAAACTTTAAGGTTATATTAGTCAGCATTATCTTTGTTACTGGGGTCCCATTACTTCTAGGATCACTCAGCAGATGGAGCAAAGTAAACATATGTGCATTCTAACCCTTGTATATGCACATATTTATAAAAACTTCTACGTATCTATTTTATTTGTTTCCTGTGTCTGCCCTGTGGTAACAAATTACCACAAAATCAGTGGCTTAAAACGATATAAATTTATTCTGTCACAGACTGGAAGCCAGAAGTCCTAAAGTGAGGTGCTGGCAGAGCCATGCTCCTTTCCCAAGGCTCCTAGAGGAGAATATAGTCCTTGCCTCTTTCAGCCTCCTGTGGCTTTAGGCATTCCATGGTATCTGCACTCACCCCAGTCTCAGCTTGCATGGTCTCATTGCCTGCTCATCTGTCCCAAAGCTCTCTCTTGCCCTGTCTTAAAGGATACATGTGAGTGCATGTAAGGCCCACCCAAGTACACCAGAATAAACTCTTCTCAAAATTCTTAGTTAAATCACATATTTTGCCATATAAGGTAATGTTCGTAAGTTCCAGGGATTAGAACAGATACATTTTTTTTTTTTTGGAAGTCACCAATCAGCTCACTGCGGTATCCATCTACATCTATATTAAACTGAACATGAGTTCATCCTGATGTTTCTAACCCTAATCCAGTAATATACCAATCATTCTAGTCTTCAAAGCTTGCTTGTCTGTAACTTCCAACTCCAATATGAGAAGCCTGGCTCCCAGCATCAGTCACCATTTACTTAATTACCCAATTCCATCATACATGTATAGTGGTTTCAGAATTGTTCACTTGTAGCCTGGAACAAGTCAACTCCTGAGGAAGACAACTCAAGAAATAAAAGTCTTTTTAGTCCAGCAGTCTGATCACAAAAATGCCAAATATTCAAGGAACTATTAGCAGGGTTTTTTTTATTGCTTTAAAGACATAATTTGTCTAATTAATATAATGAAAGAGAACTATTTGTTGAGCAGTAACAATTTTTTCACAAGTATTTTTTTATTTTTCAACAAAAGAAGAGAACGCATTTTCCAAATTGGCATAGAACCTGTAAAATCACCTGGGAAATCACCAAAACTGATTTACTTTGTTGCATATTTCTTCTTTGAGTTTATAGTTTTCCTTTGGTTCTTGACTTCCTACCACAGAAGACAACTCCTCTCATGAGGCCTTCTTATGGAAACATTAATTTTACATAAAATTATCTTGCATTAGTAGGGACAGCTGTTGAGGAGGAGCCCATGAACAGAATTGTCAGATGTGAATGAGCCACAAACAATTTCCCACAGCTGAATTCATTTGAATAGCACTCATTAAAAAAAGAAAATGCCTGCCAATGAACTGTTTATAATATGGGGAAAAATGTGGAAACAGCCTAACTGATTCTGTGTAGCAGCCTAAATAGTTTTATTCTTATAATAGAAGACTATTTAACAACATGTATCAACACTGATAAATTTTAAAACTTAATGTTATGTTTAAAAAGTAAGTTGTTTATGCAAATGTTTAAATACATAATGATAATATATGTTGTTTATGAGTATCTACCTATGTATATAATGTGCAAGAATTTGCATGGGAATAATAGATTCCAGTTTCAGGATAGCAGGCACCCCTGGGGAAAGAGATAAAGAGAAATGGAATGCGGAGGCACCAACTTTAATTGTTTTTGTGACATATTTGTCTTCCTAAAGAGAGATCTAAATATAATATAGCAGTAGGAAAATACTTCTTAAATCTTAATGATAGATATAGGGTATGTCATTTTATTTTCTACTCTTCTCTATGTTATTTTCATTTAAATAGGCCAAAATAGCTTAGAATTCTAAACTGCAATAATATTTGAGTATAGATACTTAATTATTTAAGTATATGAATTTTTGTTTTGAATACTCCATTTGTATCAATAAAACAATGCCAACAATGTATATCAAGACTATATATATGCAATCTTCCCTTGAAATATTTTTTAAACTCCTAAAGAGCTACATTTATTTAAAATTTAAAATTGATAAATTCTCCCTGTCCTAAAGTTTCTTCCCTTAATGAAAGATACATTTTAAAAATTTATTTTAACATCAATTTAATCTCTGCTTAGTTCTTCAGCTGACAAAGCATTTTCCCATATAAGAGACCAAGCCCAGCCTTTGTGGTAAGTTTACAGGGAATATTTACTTTCTGTACACATTTGTATCGTTAAACATGCAGAAACTCTGAGAGGTTAAATCACTTTCCCCAAATCAGTTGTTGAATTGATATAAAACATAGCTCTTTCCATTCTTAATTGCTAAGTCTTATGATAAATATTTCTATTTAAATATTAAAGAAGACTTTAAAAGGTTTACTTCTTTATTCCCTGGTTTGGTGTTTTTATTACCTTGTTAACTGTCATTTTATTTTGGTTTGTTTGCTTTGATAGGGCAAGAGAACAGGAGTTGGTGAGAAGTACAGAATCTGCCTGAAATTGGCTATAAACACAAATATCTATTGGTCTCTCTCTTTCTCTTTCTCTCTCTCTCTGTCTCCTCTCTCTCTCTGTTTTTCCACATTGTGGGAATTCTTGCAGATAAACAAACCCCTCTTCTGGAATGCTAATAATGCCTGGATGTTTAAAACCTTAGTTAAATTTGAGTTTCTTTAATCAGATTTAATGGAAAGAAATTGAACTTAGTGAAATCAAATTGAGGGAATAAAACTTATTCTAAGCAATCACACCTAACAGCAATGGAAAATGAGAAAATAAGAAATATAGAGTGTGTGAAAACATTAATCTAAGTGTGGTAGCATCTAAAGGTGGAGTGCTTGAGTTTGAGCTCAATGAGGGACTGCTTCGTTCTGTATCTAGTTGAGTTATTCCTCAAAGAGGTTCAGTGACACTGTATTAACATTTAAGGAGATTAATTAAAATTCATAATTTTTACCCCAAATTCTACTGCCCCTCTACAGCAGTGGTTCTTAAACTTTAGCATGCATAAGAATCACCTGGAAGTTACTAAAACACAAATTGCTGGGCCCCACTGATTCGTTATGGCATGGGTGGGGTAAGAGGTTTGCATTTCTAGCAAGGTCTGTTATGATGCTATTGATGCTAATTGTGGGAAAACCACATCAAGTTTTACTCCTACATCGCTTGTTTCTTCTCAAATTTCATTGCTAGCTTCTTTTCCTCTCCAGACATCCTAAGACTGGAATACTGCAAATGCAGACCTTGGTTATTTGGTGATCTCATCAAATGTCACCCAACCTCGTGACTTTAAATATCATTTTGTAGGCCAAGGCTCTCAAATGTATATTTCCTGCCCAGATTTCTCCCCTGACCTTCAGACACATATATGCAAATGTCTACCCAACCTCTCCATTTCTATTTCTAATAGGCATCTCAGTTGACGTATCTTAAAGCAGAACTCTTGGACTTCATCTCTCAACTGCTCCCCGCAGAGTCTTCCCCATCTTAACTGATAACAATTCAATTCCAGTGGATTAGTATAAAATCTTGAAATCATCCTTGAGTTCTCTCTTTCACACAATACAACCCATACAGAAATCTGACCACATTTCGCCACCTCTATTGCTGCCACCCTGGTCTGAGCATCATCTTTCATCTGGATTATTACAATAGTCCTCTAACTACATATCCTAAACCATACTTCTACCCTGGTCGCTCTATGGTCTGTTCTCAACACAGCAGCCAAAGTGATGCTAAAACTCAGTTTTTGTTATTATTGCCCTCAGAACCCTCCAGACTACCTGTCTTACTCCAGATGGAAGCCAACATTCTTAGAATGACCCATGGACACGACTCATGCTCTGACTTCACCTCATACTATGTTTTCCCTAGTTCACTCCATGTTGTCTGCACCAGCCCCCATCCTGTTCCACAAAACAGACAGTACATTACACCTGAGGGCCCTTGTATTTGCTGTTTTCTATAATAAAATACTTTTACTCCTGATATCCACATGTTCACTTCTTTCAAGTCTTTGTTGAAATAGCATCTTCTCTATGATACCTACTGGGACTTCCCAACTTAAAATGGCAATACCCCTTCCCTCATCCTCAGCATTTCCAATCTTCCCGAACATCCTCTATTATATTTTCCAAAGCATATATCTTCTCTCTGTTACATAAAACATATTTATTGTGTATTTTTATTGTTTATTTCTATCTGCACTAGAACCTAAACTCCATTATGTTTTATATAATAATATATCCATGTATTAAGAATACTGTCTGACACCCATGAACATGCATGTAATGGAGGAATGGATTGATCATCAAGATCTACAACTTCTTTTCTTTAATATTGTCATGATAATATCAACATTTGTTCTTTATTATCAATATGCAGTAATTATGCTATGTATTCACCATACCTTATCATTTTTAATCTTCACAACCAACTATTGAGGTGACTATTTTTATGCTTATTTTGCAAGGGAGGAAACAAGTTCATTGGGATATAATAACTTTCTAACATTACAGCCTAGTGGGGGTAACATTTGATTCAATTCAATCCAAGAATTGTGCTCTCACCTACTATACTGTGAGGTTTGCTATTCATTTCTTGGGACTTTTGCTTATTATCAGATTGCAAACATGGATAATGTGAGTCTACGTTTGAGAGATTGATCCACTGTTAGTGTCCTGAACAAAATCAAATATTTAACCCCAAAAGATTGCGGGGAAGGCACTGATCTAGGGAATATTCAGTAAGAAAATGTTACATCTTGAGATTCCTTTTAGCCAGCCAGTTCTCTTCTCCCTTAGAGCTCATCTTTTGTTCAGATTGAACATTTGCAGAGGTCAGACATGGGGCAGGCCAGGCATGGTGTCAGGCCCTGGAAAAATTGGTAAAACGAAGAACTCATTAACAGTCTAATAGGAAGAAGGGATTCTTAAAATACGTCTTGATATGCACTCTAATTGAGGCATGTTGACATTAGAATACGTGGTCTGTAGAGAACATCTAAGTTTACCAAGAGTTATAAGGGAGGCATCTCAGGTATTAGGTTAGATGAGTAAGTGGTCCACAAAACATTGGTGTGAAGGGCAAGAGGGAATCCAAGTACACTCAGTTCTTTTATTTGGCATTGCATGGCAAAGGCACACAGTAAGGAATAATTGATTTTTCAGTTCTGTATTTTTTGGATGCCTTTGATTATAATTAGGGCCATACTTTCTTTTTGTTCACTTCCTCCCTTAACTCTTTCTCCTCTTTTATTTATGTCTCTTTTTTACTTATAAGTGTTGAAATAAGGAGATGGTGTCTCCATTGCCAGTGGGGAGGATTTGTGAGATAATGGGAAAAGTCAAATGTCTAAATACTGAAATTCATATACTACATAATTGTCCCAGCAGAATTTTTTTAAACTTTAAACACATCAAAGAATTATCTTCTGTTGCCTGGTTTCTCTACAAGTGTTCCATATTAAATTTTTCATTTTGCCTACAACATACATACATAATTAAGTGCTTCATTGGAAGATGCTTATTTTTCATTTCTTTTGTAATTCTCCTTCTGCTTTCCACTCAGACTTTAGGGCTGTATTGTATTCTATAAAGAGTATATACTTAATAAATCAATATTTACTAACGTAAAACCATAAACCTGTCAATAACCGGTGGGGAACTTATCATGAATTTTAAAAAATGTTTACTTTCCCATCAGTCTTAACTGCTATATTTGAAATATAGCGTGTTTTTCTAGCTATGTCATGTTAACCTAAAAAAAAAAAATTCTTCATTTCCTCTTCTCCTTACCACATCTCAGAGATAATTTTCTAATGGAGAAGTTATTTTATATTTTTCTTCAAAACTATATATATATATATATATATATGTTTATGTATATATATTTGTGTATATATGTATATTACATGCTATATATATATAGCATGTATATATTAATTGAATAATCTGCAATAAACTCAATAAATATATTTATTACTAATTGGTTAATCTTCAATAGTCAATTTGCTGTTCACTTTTTTTGGTTTCCCTTTGGGAAATTGAATAAATTGATTTTTTTCAATATAAAATTTAAAATTTTGGAACTTTAAGGAAAAGTTTTCTTTTTTTAATTTTCTGTAATAAAGATATTTGGGGAAACAATACTTGTCTTTCGTTGGTATCTAAAATAAGGTTGTTGATATTTCTTAGTGTGGCATTTGAATGGCTTGGAAAATATAATTGAAAGCGATTATTTTTATGGTAAAGCACCATAAAAGTTTCAGATAAAATACAGGCTATATGTAATATTAAGTATTTATGAGTATGTTAGAGTGAAATTTGGAAATTATACTGAGCCAGAGATGATTACTGTGTAGGTAGTTCAGAACAGATGATACATTTATCTTGTTTCACATTAATCTTCAACTGATCTGATATGGAAGTAAATAATAGTTGTCAGCTTTGTTGTGATTTTGATGAATTTTAAGTGCTTTGGTAATTAATTCTCATAGTGTATTCTTTGCAGGCTGAGATGCTGACTATATTTATAACACTCATATATTCACTGAAGACTTAGATTTGATGATGTGTGAAAATGAATCTGAGGAACAAATTTGAAAATGTGGCTTTGCTTGTTTTTTATGACCTGCCTGATTTAATGAAGTGGCTAATAGCACGGTTTGCTAATGCTTTCTTCCTAGATGTTACCTTGTGTTATATTCTGGTTTTATTTAGAAAAGGTAGATATATACAGTTACCACAAAGGCAGCATGAATGAAGGAGTTTGCCAAGTTATAGTTATAACAAGTGAAATTTTCATGCAATTTCTAAAAATAAAAGAAAATACATTCCTGTAAATTTTCCTGTTTTCTATGATGAATATCTTCTTGCTCCTGAACTTTCATTTCCTCATATAAAGTAACACGTGTCATAAAAGAGATCTCAGTCTCTTTTAGTTTGAAACACTCTCACTAGTTTTGTGTGTGTGTGTGTATGTGTGTGTTTGCTGTGGGGTGGTTCTGTTTTAGGAACTTTTTTCCTTCCTCCCTTGCCAAGGTAGTATCTAGAAGGACAGAGAAATGTATGTATTTTTGTGTTATTGAGTTAGATGTTCTTCATTTTAGGTGTCTCAACCTGATCTCATGGCACCTGCTACAGTGAGATTCTGCCTTTCAGGATATTGAGCATCATGACCTAGTGTCCACTGAGATATGGTGGGTACCATCTTGTCTTTCAAGTGTTGTTCTGAAATCCAGTGCTGGTGACTATAGATCTGGCCTTTGCCAATAATCAAGAGTTCCCAAACTCCGGAACCCTCTTTTCCTGAATCCAGTCCTCTTGAAATCCACCAGCATTCTCAGAACTTCTTGTGCATGCTCTGCTGTCCATTGCCCTTAAAATTTCAACTACACATTTCATACTCCAAGCTGTAGTGTACCAGACCATCTGAGGCTGCTCTCATGTCTACTCAACTAGGCAACATTTCACCCAATATAGGCAATTTTGCCTATATGGAGACATATATATGTATATACCATTATAATCCAAGAAGATCTTTGCTATAACAATAAGTTCAAATTTATTGTTCACATATTTGAAATCTTCTTGTTGCATGGTGGCCATAACACCTGCTAAAATGGGAACTTCTCTGAAGACGTTAGAACTTGCCGGGACTGTACTGGGGGAAGCAGGAAACCTCCCCCTAATTATCCATTTCTCCAATCAACCTGAATCTTTCAAACTACTCCATCTTCTCCCTCCCTAGAATTTCAACACTGACTGGGGAGCAAGCCATTTGCATATCAGCACTACTCTCTTTTTTCTCATCTTCTTGCTTCCCTCCTCTACTTCTGAAAGAGTTCTTGTGTGGCAATTACTTTATCTGCTCTCACTTCTGACTTCATGAACTGTCTTCTCAGCTTTGGTTCTTGATGTATATCAAGTGTGCTTGGGTTGTTTCTAGAAAAGTTCTTTTTCTCCCTCTTGAAAGAGTGCCTTGCTATGAATTTTTGAGTTAAATTTGAAACTCAAAGTTTAACAGTAAATTATTAGTGCTTAGGGTCCCTTATAGTCTTTTTTAAAAGAATGAAAAGTAAAAAGAAACCAGTATAATTTCCAAGAGGGAAAATGCATTAATAGAGTTTCAAAATATTTTTTCCTGATACATAATATTTGTACATCTTTATGGAGTACCTGTGATATTTTGTTACATGCATAGAACATGTAATAATAAAATCAGGGCATTTAGGATATCCATCACCCTGAAAATTTCTCAATTTTATGTGGTGGGAACGTTTTAAGTCCTCTCTTCTAGTTGTTAACATTTTGAAATATATGATAAATTTTTGTTTACTATAGTAATAGTCACCCCACTCTGCTATGGACTTTTAGAACTTATTCCTTCTATCTACCTCTATGTTTGTACCCATTAATCAACCTCTCTTTATCTCCCTCTTTTTACACACACACCCTTCCCAGCCTCTGGTAACTACCATTCTACTCTCAACCTCCATGAAAGGAAAATTTTAGCTCACACATATGAGTGAGAACATGCAATATTTGTCTTTCTGTGCCTTGCTTATTTCACTTAACCTAATGACCTACATATCCATCCATGTTGCTGTAAATGACAGGATTTCATGTTTTTATGGCCAAATTGTATTCTATTGTGTATATATGTCACATATTCTTTACCCATTCGTTTTTTTATTTTGGTAAAAAAACTAGCAAGGGAGTGATAATTTAAAGACAAATATGATATTATTGTGCAAATTTACTAGGATGATACAGTGACTTCAGGAAATATATATATATCCTGATAATTCACAAATTATCATATATATACACACATTTGTATATACACAAATGTGTATATATATATGTAGATAGATAGATATATAGATAGATAGATAGATAGATAGATAGATAGATAGATAGATAGATTTGTGAATTTAGAAACCGTTACAATCAAAGAGGAGTTTTGGTATAACATTGATAAGTTCTAATTCATTGTTCACATATTCATAACTATAAAACTATTTCTTATTCAGAGCAATTTTTGCATCCAAATTCAGTTTCTGCCCCCCAAAATTCACGAATTTTCAAAGGTGGAAAATTTCAAGTTGTGGAAAATCACTGCAGAAAGTCTGTAACTCAGTGTAATCTACCAGCACTTAATTTGGCATAAATTTGAGATCTTCTAGGTTGTACTTTTTTAAATAACCTAGGCCTAAAGAATAGGATAAGAAAGGCATTGAATATACAAACTATTTAAAAATATATGCATAAATTTGATAAATTATACAATCGTAAGTAAGCTTTGGAGAATGTGAGTACCTTTATAGAATATCCTTTTATACTAAAATATTGTGATGTCATCCTTTTATATTAAAACGTTGTGATGTCATTTGTAACCATTATATACTTCAATACCTAAATGCATTTTGAACATTTTATCCAATGCCCTTTCCATCATGGTTAAACATTTCATTTTATTAAATCCCTTTCTTCTACCAAGATATTGGTAACACTGGATATGAAACTGAGCTCTAAAACTTTACTCAGAAAGTTAAGTGCCCCTCACCAACATTATGATACAAAGTTGCACTGTCAGCTGCATTTTGGCCAAAAACCAAATACATAAGAAACACATTACTAACAAAAAAAAATTAAATGATATTTGTTAAATGAAGATGCCTTCTTGGTTGAGATAAAGGGGATTTTATTCTATCAGTGAAAAACTGCTTCAGTTAATATGTTGAGAGGGGAAATGCAAATAATAATTTTAAAAACATTTTTAGGCACTCTGCTTAAGAGAAGGAGGTTATGGCATGAGGAAAACAAAGAAACAAATAAGAGTCATAGCTCTTGCTTTAAAAATAAAATGGGAATCAGGATAAATTTAATCATAATAAAAAGAATTGGCTGCAAATATCTAAATTCTGCAAATGGGATAGATTGTAATCAGAAACAGTTATGCATGTGGTCACTGAAAATATTCAAGGAGAAGCTAAAAAATTTCTTTTGTAGGTAGAGTAAAAGATTTCTAACTGTATAGTATTTTATCTATATCATTAGTGGTTCTTTGCATTTTCTACCCAGAGCCTTTTGTTTGCGAGCAATGGAACCCATGTAAACTAGATCAAGAACAGACAGTAAATTGTAAAGCTTTGAAGGGCCTCACAAAATCCAAGGATGGTAGTGAAAGGACTACTTGACCTCATGGCAACTGGCAAGATTTTGGGAGCTGAGCTGCTCTGATAGTCTCTCAGGGACTATATGATTTTCATCTCACTTTCTTTTTTTCTCTCTGCTCTGCCCTATCCTCCTATTTCTACAAATAGACTTAGTCATCAGCTTGCACAAATCTGAAAATGTCCACCCCACAACCCAAGGGTATATAATCTTCCAGCTGCAAAGTCTACAGCTTGCTAGTGGGAATCTTTAAATCTCTAATTTGACTGGATTTGCTCATCTGTTAAAGCCAGGCCACCAAAGTGAAAAGTTTTCTGTATAACAAATGTCACGGCTGCTTTTATTTCCAAAGACAATTTTTGATTCAAGTAACTGTGGCCAGAGGTTGTGGTTTGGGGTTGCAGCCATGGATTGCATTGAGATCATGCTGACCTTTTAGGAATTGAGCAGCTCATTTATCAAGAAATGTGTCCATTATACTTATTTTCTAATTAATATCAAATTAATTCAAAATTATTTCCACAAGTGATTTAATAAACCTTGCTCTTTGAATTTCTCATTTTCAGATTCTACTGTCCTCATTATTTCTTACCAGTACCATTATTATTAAAGCCTTTGAGTTCATCTCTTTGCCTCCAGTCCTTCTCCAGTCAAGGGTACCTTACCTGTGTTGCTCTCTTGTTTAAAGAAATAAAATAATCTTTAAAACCTCCTCATTACCTTTAGAAGAAAATCTATCCTTTAAATATTCTACAATGTTCCTGGTACAGTAGACCCTGTCTTCCGTTCTATCTCGTATCTTGCTATATCCTCATATGCCAATATCTCAATCATCCTTATCACTTATTCGTTATTAATTATCATCATTCTCTTCCTCATGATTGTTTTGTTTTGTCCTTTGTAAGTTGACTAAATGTGATCTATTTATAGCCTAGGGGATTCTTCATTTTTATTCAGCATTCCACGTAAGCTTTAATTCACCCAGAAAGTCCTCTGTGATCTCTTGATGTTGGGTTTTGTTTCCTTTTTTCTGCATGTGTGATTTCATGGTACACTCCATTTATACTATTATCATACTTCTACCCTAGTGATTTAATTATCTGTCTCTTCCACCATTCTTTAGTTTTCTGAAGGGCAGGGATATTATCATTCATCTCGAATATGTAGTGCCACATTGAATTCTAGACAAATTACAACTAACTACTTAATTGGTATTTTTGGATGAATAAATTTTGTACTATTTATGCCAATTTGATTTACTGGCATGGCTTCTATTCGCTGGGAATAAGTAAACTGGTTGCAAAGTAATTCAAGTTATTGCATTGAAATTATTTTTGTAACTCAGACCAAAGAATTGAAACTTCCTGCATCTTGAATTTATAAAAGTTTAAGAGTACATTAAAAAATTTATTATGATGTTGTCTGTCAAACAACTTAGATAATTAAAAGGGAAATCAGATAACTTAATATATTGAAATCTGAGTTTTCTTAATTATGTAAATACTGCATACAAACATAGTAAGATTTCTGCCTAAAGTCACAATTCTAAATCATTTTAAATTTCAATCACGAGCCTGACTTCTATCTCTAATAAGGACAGAATGTCTAAAACATTGCAAATACATAATATTCCAAATATGTAGAGATTTCTTTTTAAACACATATATTATATAATGTGTTTTTTTTTTTCTCTTTTTTATCCTCCTCAATTTTCTCTGGGCTTATCCAGGCTTACTATTTACTGTGTACTACTAAGGAGACTGTACCCTCTTCAGCTGATGTGCTGACTTTTCAACTAGAGATTGTGGCTGAGCAGGAGTTGAATAGCTGTGGACATTCCGAGTGGTTTTTCTGTTCATTCCAGTTGCCACACTTCGCCCTCTTTTAAAATAATAAACTTGAACAATTTTTTTAAAAGTTGCTCTACTGCATCTTGCAGTTCACAAACTCCAGGTCTGTTCACAAAGCTTACATTCCTGACCTAGGCTATTACATCATTAGATTGGATCTTGCATTTCTTTGGCTCTTAGGAGAGAGTATTTAAGTTCTATTCACCTTCTGACAGAATTCTGCCTTCTTTTTAAATTTCTTCCTATCTTGAAGCTCCAAATTTTCAGGATACTAAAATTGTGTTCATTTGTATTCTGAATATCTGTCAAAGCTTTGCTTAACCCAATAGTAGTTAGCAAAATTTTCTGTAAAGAGCCAGACAGTTGATATTTTGAGCTTTGGGAGGTCATAGAGTCTGTGTCAGCTACCCACCTCTGCTCTTGTGGCTCAAAGGCAGTGACAGACAATGCATGAAGGAATGGGTGGTCATGGCTGTGTTCCAATAAAACATCTTTATGGATGCTGAAAGTTGAATTTGATATAATTTTCATGTCATATAATCTTTGAAAGTTCTTTTTCTTCTTATTTTAGTTTATAGCATTGTATGTGTTGGTCTACATCATTTTTTTAAAAAACTTTTATTTTAAGTTCAGGGGTACATGTGCAGGTTTGTTACACAGGTAAACTTGTGCCATGGTTTTTTTTGTACAGATTGTTCCACCACCAAGGTATTAAGCCTAGTACCCATTAGTTATTTTTCTTTATCCTCTCTCACCTCTCACCCTCTACCCTCCAGTAGCCCCTGTGTGTGTTGTTCTCCTCCAACTGGACAATTTAAAAGTGTAAAAAACATATTTAGCACCTGGACCATGCAACAAGTAGTCAGCTGTATTTAACCGGAGGAGCTGGAGTTAGCCAACCCCCATTGAAAAATTACAATTTTTAAAGGCATTCAGCTGACATTGAACAAAAAATGGCCTTGCTTGCCTTTGTATTTTTAGTGCCTGGAGCAATCCTGGTATATGAATCTCTCTCTCTCTCTCTCTCTCTCTTTCCACTGCCCCCCCGCCACTCTTTGTGTGTGTGTGTGTGTCTCTCTCTCTCTATTTACTTGGAATAAATATACAGCTTATATTCTCCTTGGGAGGTTATTTCTTCCTGGTGGACTATTGGATTGGGTTTTTCTTCTCTCATAGAAGATTGAAAATAGCAGAAAAATATAAATTCAAGAAAATTAAGACATTACTTTATCACTTGATGCTGAAAAAGTAAATAAAATATTAGCAAATAGACTCAGGTGTCTTTTTGATTGACTATAGAAATCTATGATGACTTTGTTTTTATACTTCATGGCTTATATCTTTATGTAACACAGAAAAGTACATATTTTGTAGTATTTTCTTTGTTTAATGTAGTCCATTAAAATAAGAATAATTCTCTTGAGGGTTGTCAGTTTTATCTTTTCTCTGACACATTGACTCTGAGAGACTGTGCCTTTCTTGATTCCAGATGAAGTCATGCTAGTTGCATTAATGAGTTACAAATTAAGATGTTTGATATGAGTTTTCATTTCTTCTTCTAAAATTGGGTCTCCAGCTACAGTGCATTAATTTTAGAAAAATAATCTCATATTAGAATATGATACATTTTACTGACACTAAAAATGTCATAATTGTCTCTTTTCATAGCTGTTAATCTATTTTTTGTACTCATTGATTTCTATATAATTGTAGAGTGCTCAATTACTCTTTTATACATAAAATATAATTTTCTGTTGTTTTTCATGCTGCTGATTCGGTTGTGTGGGTGAGCACTGCAGTCCCATGATTCTGAGAAAAATAAAGCTTGGCTTTAGCACATTTTCTCTACTGCTGATTATAGCGATAATTATTCTGATGTTGCTATGGAAATGCTTTTCACAACACATTTGTAGATTGTTTCTAATATTGGTGTTATTTTTCTGTGTATTTATTAGTAAATATATTTATAAATTCGTGAACTTAAATTATATTTTGTGGTCATAGACAATTATAAAGCATTGCTGCTTAGGGATGAACACATGTACTCAATAATTTGAATAGAAAGCCAATTCTGTTGTCAGGAACTTGTTTTATTTCCCCTCATACCTAGAAGTTAGTTATATTTGCCTGATTCCACTTATAAATCAGCCAGGTTTGAAATAAATTCAGTCTCTAGACTATATAAAGTGCGTACGGATATTTTCTTCAGTAGAAAGCTGACACTTTACCTAATTCTATTCTGGAACATGGAATTCTGTGCATTTTACCTAATCATTTTGTTGCGCTTCTGAATTCTTGTTACCCATATCACTATCTGAGTTCTTGATTTCTCTTAATTGATCTGTCTGCTTCAAGATGTACCCTCAGATCCTCTGTCTATTGTTGGTGACTGCCCTAATTTTTGCTCACTTGATCAATGGCACTCTCTCATTCATTCAAAAAAATACTGAATATCTGCTAAGGGGTAGGTACTATTCTAGGAACTGAAATAATGAGGTTAATAGAATAAATAAAAAACCCTCTTTCATGGAACTTACATTCTAGTAGGAGTGATTGGTGGTGATTATAAATGTTGTCTTAGTTCGTTCAGGCTGCTACAACAAAATACCATAAACCGAGTAGCTTATAAACAACAGAAGTTTATTTCTCACAATTCTGGAAGCTAGGAAGTCCAAGATCAAAGTGTCAGCAGATTTGGTGTCTGGTGAAAGCCCAGCAGATTTTCATTCATAGGTGGTGCCTTGTGTCCTTATATGATGGAAGCAGGAAGCAGGCTCTCTTAGGACTCCTGTAAGGTCACTAAACCCTCATGACATCATCTAATTCTAATTACCTTCCAAAGACTCCACCTCCTAATACCATCACATTAGGTGATAGAGTTCCAACATACGAATTTGGGTGGAACATAAGAATTCAGTCCATCAGAAATATATAATAAATTGTAATTAAATAAGCATTAAGCACTAAAGAAAAAAATAAAGCAGGGAACACCGAAGGTATGAGGAAAGGCTTGCCTGAGAAGGTTCCATTTGGACATAAAACTCAAAAAAGGAAGTAAAGAAGGAACTATGCATATATTTGAGTAGGGGGAGGGGAGGATGTGTTCATGTGGACCTTGCTAAGATTAGTCAGAAGGCTTTGAAAGAGACTAAGAAAAGTGGAAGTCAATACAATGAAGAGACAACTTCTTCAAAGAATTTTACTCTAAACAGAAGCATAAAATGGAGCTCCCCGGGGTGTATATAGTAGGAGTAAATACCTAGTGTTAGAAAATGGAAGATGAGAGTATTAATAATATGTTTTCTTAGGATGATTGAAATTGTGGCATGGTGGGAATGGTTCAGGAAAGAAAGAAAAGTAATGATGCATCAGATGCCCAATGCTGGTTTCTTGGTCTGTTTCTGTGTCTTACTTTTACAGTGCTGACACCTATTAAAATAAAATATTGATTAGCTGAATTCTTGAAGGCAAAGAAAATGACTAAATTAAGACACGAATATTTTTATTGTATCATTGGCATGGATTTTGCAAAATTAATCCTCCTTGCCATCACCACTTTACAATTATGTGAAGTTCCCACCATCTTGGTATTGGTATTATGTGACCCTATTTGTTCTGATCAAAGGCTAATTTAAATTCTCCCAGAGAATAATTCTGTATTTTAACTTTTAGGTCATACCTTCAGCTAGAAGCATAGGTACAAATCTGTTATGAGAATTCTAATATATGAGTGACTGTATCTACCAATTAAAATAGATATCAATGATATGCAAACTAAACCTACTCAGAACCACTGGGTATTGAGGAGCTAGAGATAAATACTAAGCAAAAATGTTAAATATTTTAAAAATTTGTTGCTTCTATCTTTACAAATCAACATTAATCTAAAAAGTCATAGTGTTCTATTTCCACAATCATAAAATATGAGGATGTATTAACAAAGTTGTCCATTCAGCTATTTGACATCCTGTAAATAATTAGTTGAATGACCAAATGTTTGCTTTATACCAATCCTAGTGATTCTTTGATAATATAGTTTTAGAAATGGCCTCATTTAGGACTATATGTTAAAGCAACAGAATCCCAGCTAATACTGGCTTTAAACAGTAAAGAGATTTACTGGTGACTCAAATCCAGAAATAAGGCAGGATTCAGCAATGGTGGTACAGGTCTTCAATCATGTCATTAAACACAATTGATTGTGTTTCCCTGCTCTTCAGTTCATGATATTATTTCCATCCCCAAACAGGCAAAAGCTCACAGCCACAAATTGGCCTGCATTAGCAATCAGGGCCACATGCACCCTTATTCTCAACTATCAGGAAAAAGACCACTCTGTTTCTGGCATTCCAAGTAAGAGGTTCACTGAAATCACATCCCTATGCTGACATTTGAGATTAGGGGAATAAAAAATGCTGTCTCAAGCTAAAAGAGTTATCTGAAGGTAGGAGATTAATTGGCTTTCCTTAAACTACAGGGGTGCATGTAAAAGGCTAAATACCTAGTCTAATATCTAAGTACTTGGAAAGGAAAAAAGGATTCATCAATGTCTGCTATTGAGACCTGAGACCTGGATTTTTAATAAGGAGTTTTTGATTTTCTAATTTTATATTTTTTTTTAACCAATGACTAGATTACTTAGACTAGAATAGTGGGAAAATTTCTAAGAATTTTGTTGTGTATCTATATTATTCTAGCCAAAAATAAAATATGTTCTGATTACTGAATTTTATAAATGAGATATGGTTCTTGCCTTTGTGGAATTTGGAATCTCACTGGGAAGAAAGTCACTGATGAGCAACAGTTTTTCATGTCCAGTGTTGTAATGGAGTTAGTAAACAATATAAGGAGAACATATATAAGGGTTCTGCATTAATTTCCAGTGCTTGGAAATAAATCACCACACATTTAGCAACTTAAGACAGCACACATTATCACAGTTTCCTTGGTTCAGGGATCTAGACACAATCTAGGTGAGTCTTCTGCTCAAAGTTTCAGAGGCCAGATTTGAGTCCTCAACTGGAGCTCAGAGCCCTCTTCCAAGCTCACAGGGTGGCTGCTAGAATTTAGGCCCTGTGATTGTAGTACTGAGACCCTCAGCTCTTAGGGGTTACCTACACTTTCCTTCAAGTTCAGCAGGAATATTTCCCTTACCTGCAGGGTGCTTCATATCTTTTTTCAAAAGAGCTTTTACCTGGTTTAGTCAACCTCATCTAGAATAATATTCCTTTTGATTAACCCAAAGGCAAGTGATTTGGGACCTTCATTACATGTGCAAAAATCTTTTCACCTCTTCACCTTGGTGAGGGGCAAATCACAAGTTCTGTAACATAAGAGGGAATGTATAGAAAGTGAACACCAGAGGAAAAAATACCAGTGTCTTGACCTTGTCCATAGGATCTATCCATCACAGGAGCCAAATTGACTCTATCTAAAGGGGTAGAGAATTATTAAGGAATGTGTCTTAATCCTTTTGAGTTGTTATAACAAAATACCATGAACTGGGTAACTTATAGACAGCAGAAATTTATTTCTCACAGTTTGGATGCTTGAAAATCCAAGATCAAGGCACCCTCAAATTCAGTGTCTAGTAAGGACTCAGTTTCTGTTTCATAGATAGTTGTCTTTTCACTGTAACTTCATATGGCAGCTTTAATTGGTGAGGAGTTTCAGACTCTTTAATAAGGACACTAATCTCATTCATGAAGGATTTGCCCTCATCAGCTCATCACCTCACAAAGGCTTCATTTCTTAATGCCATCACCTTGGAGGTTAGGGTTTGAACATATGAATTTTAAGGGGATATATTTAGACCATTTCATTCTGCCCCATCCCCCAAAAAGGCATGTCCTTCTCAAATGTAAAATGCATTCATTTCAATTACCCCAAAAGTATTAACTTGTTCTAATATCAACTTAGAAGTCTAAAGTTCACATCTCATCTAAATATTATCTAAATCAGATATGGATGAGACTCAAGATACAATTCATTCTGAGGCAAATTTTTGTCCAGTTGTGAACCAGTGAAATAAAACAAATTATGTGCTTCCAAAATATAATGGTGGGACAGGCAAGGAAAGACATTCCCACTGGAAAATAAAGAAATAGGAAAGAAGAAATAAATGATAGGTCCTGAACAAGTCCAAAACATAAATGTTGTGGAAGAATCTTCTTTGACTCAGTTGTCTGCCCTTGAGGCCCACTGGGGCAGAGGTCTCCTTGTGGACACAGTGGGGTAGAGGCTCCATCTTCTCAGCTTTACTGGGCAAATGGGCTCCAGGGCTCCAGGCATCCCTGCTTGGTTTTGCTGGGTGCGGCCCACACCAGAGCTCTTCTGTGCTGGAATAGAACTCTGGTTGCTCTACCAGTCTAAGGTCTTGAGGGTAGAACCAACCCTATGGCTCCACTGGGCATTGACTCAGTGGGGACTGTCTGAAGTGACCCCACCCTCATGGCAGTTCTCTTCCTGGGCACTGATGTTCTTCATGACTTCCTTTGAAAACAAGATGGAGGTAGTCACTCCCACAGCTTTGCTGGGGGCAGCAGAGGCATCATACAATGTGTAACATGTAAGTATGGTAGTGGAAAATAAGAGAACTTTTGTAAGACAGATAAAGGAGGGAAAGGCATCTAGGTAATTAGATGGTCCAAAGTTCTAAAGGTTCAGTTTTGTTCTAAGAATTTTTCATTGTTTATATTTTTGGAAGGTATGGGCAAACTGATGTTTCATTAACCATGGTAGTAGATGTAAAAAAAGCAAGACTGTGACCAAGGTTTAGCAGCTATTGGTGGGTTAATTTGAGTTTAGCAAGAAGTATGGGTGGAAAAGTTTAGTCTTAGGTCTTGTTAAGTTAGTAGAAAATTTTCGTGTTCTAAGCGTTCCTCACATTGTAGAGGTAAGCTCTAGGTTTTTTTGGCAGCACAGTGTACAGATACCACCCCCAGGAATGAGAAGGGTAGTTTAGTGAAGATTTTATTAGAGGGTTCTATTATTTAATGAAATAATATTTCCCAGAGGCATGTAGATGAAAAAAAGGATGGAGTATTCAATAATTAATAATAATTCAAGTGTTCTAATGACAAAAATGTGCTAAGTGAGGTGCATGCATGTCCTTGAATATGACTAGCAGAAGAGGTAGACAGTAAAGAACATTTATGTTGAAATACTTTTGTGTTTTTAATTAGGAAGATACGTTTTGGAATGGGTCAACCATGTGAAGATTAAAACATCTCACAGGGATAAGAATATAGGGGGTGGTCAATTCTAAGGAAGATGTAGTTTGTACAAGTGTCCTAGGAATAAGGAACTATTTACTAACTAGAAAAATGCTAACAAACTCCTGTGCCTAGTATATGTGAAGTCTGTGGGACTGTGAGAGACTATTTAGCTATTTAGCAAAACTCTTCTTCTTTCTTGCTGGGCACTTGGCTATAATGTATATCCCATCCTCCCTTTCTGTCAGGAGCAGCCACATGACAGATTTATCGCCAATGAAATAGTGGCAAGATTAGCATACATAGGTTTCTGGCCTGGCCAAAAAAACAATCTCATGTAATCCTCTGATAGATGAGTGTTGATCCTTTGAGCAAACTAGAAGCAGCATGTTAAAGATGGCAGAACCTCCATCAGCCTGGGTCCTTGAGTGAATGTGGGGAGAAAATTCCCCCAGTCCACTAATTAGAAAAACCTCTATTGAGATTTCAGGATTTATTTGTTACAGAAGCTACCACTACCTTAACCAATACACAATATTGTCTCTGTGAGTGAGGATCATAGGACAGTGATGCACTCTAAATAAAGTTTTTGCAGTCAAAGCAAGCTGGAGAAAAACCGTTCTGTGAAGAATCAAGGTAGATAAGAGTTATTTGTCATGGAAAAGGGCTTCTGAGGAAAAATTTGGACGGCAGGGAAGTGATTAGGTTAAAATTTGGTGAAATGAAGCACAAAATATTAGTAGTAGTGCTGTAATTTTTATAAAGATATATTTGCAGCAGTGTAGGATGAATTATAGCACTGAGCTAGCAGGAGCCTGATGACAGAAAGCATGTGTAATTTCTCATTCAGAAATTTTCCTATTGTATACTTACAGAGATGTAGTGCTGATTGATTCAAATTTTTGTATTTAAATCGCTCTGTATAAGCCCTTTTAGAACTTTTTTTTTCAGAGAGTGAATCTTCAGAAAGAATATTCTTTTAATATATCATATTTTTCTGATCATGCAAGACATATGTAGTTGCATCCAACTTTCCTTATATTGTAGTGTATCTATAAAATCCACAGTAGATGGTTAATATTTCTAAAAAGAAGGTGTTTGTACACATAGGAGAGTATTTATTTATTCCCTGTTAAGGTGTAGGCAGTGGAATCAAGAAGAAAACAGTAGCCTACAACAAATTATTTTGAAGCAATTCAATAGCTAGCTTTAAATATCTTGCATAATGAATGTTTGTTGTCCAGTTTCAGATTTTTTATATTTTTGCTTCTTTCACATCTATAGATTTAATACTTTCAAAAAGCTATTATGGAACAAGTATATGTACAATGACTTATTTCAAATATTTTATTTGATTCATCTTTATTCCAATAGGTAAATGCATTTTATGATCATGTTTGGTTGGAAAAAGAACAATTGCAAAAATTAATCCTTTATGTAACAATCTACAATGTAAACTTTATAAACAAAATTGAGCAGTCCTGGATGCAATTTAGTTTCATAATACAAGATCATAGATTTTTACAAAAAATGTGCAATAATTTTTTTTTTTTTTTTTGTGAGATGGAGTTGCTCTGTCGCCCAGGCTGGAGTGCAGCGGCGCGATCTCAGCTCACTGCAAGCTCCGCCTCCCGTGTTCACGCCATTCTCCTGCCTCAGCCTCCGGAGTAGCTGGGACTACAGGCGCCCGCCACCATGCCTGGCTATTTTTTTTTTTTTTTTTTTTGTATTTTATTAGAGATCCTTGTTAGCCAGGATGGTCTCGATCTCCTGACCTCGTGATCTGCCCGCCTCGGCGTCCCAAAGTGCTGGGCAACGATTTTAACAAAAGGCTATGAATACTTCAAACACTGTTCCTTTGGATGACATTACTTTTCAAAATTGTTCTCAAATAAGAAAATGTTAGTATATTGCACTTACTGCATATGTACACTGTACTTACCACTGTGGATGATACATTGCAGATGAATCGTTTCCAAAGAATAAGTGTTTAGTAAATATCAGAATAAACCATCACCAGCTCAATTAGATGATAAATACGTCAAGTTATCACTCACGACAGTTACTATTTTAAACTGCATTTGTGAGGGGCTGTTAAAGAGGGCATGCAGAAGGCTCAAAACTCACCTTGATCTTTTGGTAGCGATCTTTACACCGCACTTTTTTTTTTTTTCTCGTGATTCCTGAAATTTCTAGAAACAGTCAAGAATGCATTGTATTCCATTGACTCTAATCATTGAGTTATAGTCTAGTCATTCTTTTGTGAATATTTAGGACCTCACTTTTGTAAAAACATGGCATAATTTTTGGAATTATATGATTCCCTAGCACTATATACAAAATAGAGCAACATATAAATAGACATTTCTGCTATTATGTTTTACAATGTTTATATCATATGACACCTCCCTTCCTCACCCCCCCTAAAAAAATCTGCTATAATGATTTCCCATTGCAGTTCTAATAGGAACAAACCCTCTTCCTGGGCTACCAGGCACTGCATGGTATAAATCCTGCCTACTTACTCTCTCTCTCCTCTTGACACATGCACTGTCACTGATTCTGTGTTCAGCACCCTGGCTCCTAGAATATACCATGCATTTCTTACCAACAGAAGTGTGTGGGGATGCTCTCAGGAAGGGTGGTCACCACCTCCTGACCCTCTTCCTCTCAGCTGTTGTCTTAACTGACTACTTCCTATCCTTCAGATCTCAGTCACCTTGTCTGTCTTGTTATGTACTATTCTGCCAGACATGTCAAAGCACCTGACATGTAGTAGGTGACAAGTAATATATGTCAAAAGAAGAAACGAAGAAGAAAAGAAGAAAGAATCAAAGTGAAGGAAGGAAAGAACAAGTGTTTATTGCATACTTTGTGAGTTACAAGTACAGTAGTCCCCACATATTCATAGTTTCACTTTCAGTTCAGTATTGTGGTTTCGGTTACCTAAGGTCAGTTGTACGGCTCAAAAATATTAAATGGAAAATTCCAGAAATAAACAGTTTATAAGTTTTAAGTTGCTACCCACCATTCAGAGTAGTGTGATGAAATCTCATGCCAACCTGCTTCGTTCTGCCTGAGACATGAATCCTCCCCATATCCAGCATATCCATGCTGTCTGCACTACCTGCGCGTTAGGCATCAACATCATCTACTCCTGACATCCAGCCATCAACATCATGATAGATCAGTGATCCAGAATCACCTAAAGCAGATGATCCTTCTTCTGACATATTGTCAGAAGGGCCAAGTAACCCAGTGTTAAATGCCTACATCTTTTACCTCATTCCATCTTATCACATAGACATTATATCATCTCACATCATCACAAGGAGAAGTGTGAAAACAGTGCAGTAAGATAATTTTTGAGAGAGAGACCACATCCACATAACTTTTATTAGAGTATGTTGTTATAATTGTCCTATTTTATTTTTGTTAATCTCCTACTGTGTCTAATTTACAAATTAAACTTTATTACATGTACATATATACAGGGAAAGACATATATAAAATTTGGTACTACCTGTTTTCAGACATTTACTGGGGATCTTGGAATGTATTCCTCCATGGATAACGGGGGACTGTATATAAACTGAAAAGTCCATTTTAAAATTAATCTTTCTTCGTTATTATAAGTTCTGAATAGCAATTTGTGTTGTTTGCTTCTATAGCTAAATGCTGTGAAGGTTTTAGGAGCATGTTAGTTAAACAAGGTCTTGAGACATTTCTTTAAGTACACGATTCCATGCCATTTGATATATTGTAGGTCACTTAATGGTTCATTATAGTAGCGGAAGCGACATCACTGTAAACAGTCAAAGATACAGACCTGCGACTAACTGTACCCCTATAGGCTGTCCTATTGCATGCTTATGTAATGTGGGTCTCTCTATAATTAGATAATCAGTTTAAATAGTTTTTACTAATGTAATTTTCTTCTCCATTTCCTATTAATAGCTTGTCATGGTTGATTTACCTGATGTAATTAATAATTTGGGAACTACATTGTGACTGCTGAAAGACAGCATTAAAATTAGTCTTTAAGTATTTTCAAGTCTTTTAATATCCTTCCTTAAAGACAGATTGAGGAGAATAGAATCAATTTGAAGATAATCAGTTCCAGCACAATATTAATATAACCTATAGTTATTTTAATGGACCAATGTAAGAGTTTATTCAATTAGTTATCTCATATATTTTTAATCTTTGAAAATCATATTGTTGCTTTAATTGAGGTAATTTCCATTTAAAAGGTAGGAGATTTAGGAGGAAAAGTTTTTAAAAAGGGAAGAAAAGTTTCAAAGTATGTTATATGACAAAAAGAATAGAATACATTTGTTTATTTTGTATATCATTGGCTTTACACAATTGATTTTTCATTCTACCTTCAATGAGTAGATCAAATAGGCTTTAAAGGTTTGTTTTATCTTAGGGTTTATTCTATATGACTCATTTATTCAGTAAAATATTTGAGCAGCTTTAACCTGACGGACAATATTCTAGTTAACCTAAAATATTATGTCATTAATTTACTCAGTAAATATTTATTGAGCTCTTATTACATACTAGCCACAGTTTCACCATCTGAGACAATAGCAATAAACAGAAGAGTCTTTGCCCTTGTGGAAATTATGGCCAAGTAGGAAAAGAGGCAACTATTAATAGATAGATAGATATTATAAAAAATGATAAGGCAGGGAAAGTTTGTAGGGAGTTCTGTGGAAGAGAAAGAAATGCTTAGAAAGGTGAAGGTGTCAGTAAGAAAGTGCTTACCATGATGGGTTGTACTATCTAAGATGAATAGCTAAATGCTTAGAAAGGTGAAGGTGTCAGTAAGAAAGTGCTTACCATGATGGGTTGTACTATCTAAGATGAATAGCTAGGGAGGTGAGAACATGAGAAAGCGTGGAGGAGTGATCTGCAGTGGATTTGGTACTCCTAGCTTTGAAGAATTACTGAATCTTGGCTATTTGAGGGAGTAAAAGCATTGGAAATAGAGAAAACTAGTAGATAGAGAATGAGATGTTTAAGGTTGAGATTATGGAATTGGGGTGTACTTGTTGTTATTAGCAGGACATAGATATGACCTTGAAAGTAGATGGCTGAGATATGATTCAGGATCAAGTCATTGTAAAAGAGATGGTCAATATCCTTCCATGTTGGTATTGGATCATCAAGAATTTTGACTGGAATAGTGAAATTGGCCATGATCCAGGTGTTAAAATCTTTAAGGAAGTAAATCTGGGGCATTTTTTGTGTGTATGTTTTGTTTTTTGTTTGTTTGTTTTATTATACTTTAAGTTCTAGGGTACATGTGCACAACGTGCAAGTTTGTTGCATATGTATACATGTGCCATGTTGGTGTGCTGCACCCATTAACTCATCATTTACATTAGGTGTATCTCCTAATGGTATCCCTCCCCCCACCCCACGACAGGCCAATCTGGGGCATTTGTAAATTATTACAAGGAAAGGTAGCAGGCAGTGTCACCTGAGAGTAGCAGCCTCAAAACTGTATGTTTTCAGGAAAGAGAAAGGCTAATAGCTTGTATGTGGTAATGAATAGTAAGAATTCCTAAAGTCGAGGCTGCATCAGGTAACTAAGAGAGTTTCATAACTAACCAACGTTTCTGTGTTATTTGGTGAGTATAGTGGCTTGGTGCTCAACACCATACCAATCTCCTTTTAATGGTCCTTGAAGAATTGCAGAATATGGAAAGCTACAATCTACATCTTCAAGATTCTCTTGCAACTAGTGTTCTCAATGTGATGGAGGTTCAGTCAATCTTAACCTTTCTCAGATAGCCGTATTTCAGTCGCTCCTGTTCTATCTGCCAACAAGCACAGTCAAAGGCATGTGGAGTGTTTCTTGGCAGCATTAGCCGAGGTCTCGGCACCTCGTCAGCAACTTTGAGGATCTTGAGAAGTGTGTGGAATGATTTTCACTGGTGCAGGCTGTAGAAGACATGCTGGGTTTCTGGAGCTGCTACAGCTACATATCCTTCCTCATCGTTGCAGTAGTGGTGGAGAACTGAAGCTGGTGACTTCCTAACTTTGGAAGAGACAGTAATTCTCCTGGATCCTTGTTCTGCCGGGTAGCTTTAGGATTAGTTACTAAATGTTTGGCTTAAAGTCTATTTAATCATCCCTACCAGTGATTCGGTAAGACATTTAACATGTGTGACAAATTTCCCACTAGTTTGAGTGGATTCTGTTGTCTTCTACTAGAGCTCTGAACAATGCAAAACAGCCAAAAAAAAAAAAAAAAAAGCTACAATGTGGGGTTAAGGAAAAATGCTGCATATTTTATTTTACTTGTCTTTTAATCATGAAGCCTTCTCTTTGGTTCTGCAGAATGCGAGAGCAATTCATTAAACATATTTTCCTCTTGGTTTCATGTCTAAGATTATCAACATCTTTCATGAATTGCCTAGTTTCCTGGGGTACTTCACTAAGTGATATGACAAGTTATCTGTGTTTCTGGTTCAGATCTTTCCTTAGTTAACCTTCCAAAAAAGTTAACATAAGAATGGGCACATTTATATAAAACATAATAAAACAATTTTATTAGTTGGCTGAGGCTGCCATAAGAATGTACCACTGTGGCTTACACAACAGAAATTTGTTATCTCACAGTCTGGATGCTAAAAGTCTAAAATCAAGGTGTTTGCAGGGTTAGTTCCTTCTGAAGGCTCTTTGCAAGAATCTGGTCCATTCTTTGAACTTTTGATTGCCTCAGATTCCTTGTGTTGTAGATGACCTCTCCCTGTGTCTTCATATTGTCTTCCTGTGTATGTGTTTGTCTCTGTCCAAATTTCTCCTGCTTATAAGGACACAGTCATATTGGGTTAGGACCCAACCAAATCACTTATTTTTAACGTCTGCAAAGACCCTATTTCCAAATAGGTTCAAACTTTAAAGTACTAGGGTTAGGACTTCGACATATTTGGCAGAGGACACAACTCAACCCATAACAACAAAGTGAAATTTTATTTTATATATCAAATTATAATTGGAAATGTCTGGTAACTGAAAGCTAAGTGGATAGAAGAGTTGATAAATGAAGACAGGAACATTATATATTACATCTGATTTAATCTCAACAAGAACTCTTTCAGGAAGAATTATCCTCCTCTTACAAATAAGTAGAATCTATCTCCTGGTAGTTACAATAACTTGGCCAACTTTAAACAAGCATAAAGACATTATTTGAACTTAGAAATGATAAAACTAATCTATCTGAAACAAATCCAATATGCTTTTCCACTCTTCTACTCTTCCCCAAATAGAAAAGCTATATAAGAATTATAAATTTGGAGAACATCTTTTCCTTAATTCCCACAATCCATGTGGAAAAAATATAATATCTTTAAAACCATTTAAACCATGAGATACAAAAAAAAAAATTTGGCATGCTGGGAGTTTAAGGTCTTTCCAAGTATATGATGTGCTGGTATAGTGGAAATTCAAGAAAGAGTTTTGGTAAGAGATGATCAAATGTGAGAAAAGAGAGAAAAGAGTGAGACTCTAGAAATCTATTTGGGGTAGAAGTTTTAGGCTTTGGTGATATACTGGATGTACTCATGAGAAAAATGAATGTAGAATGACTCCCAGATTTCTGATTTGAAAAATAGAATTGTTAAATAATCCAGTGTTTATCAAACAATATTCAAAAAGAGAAAATGTGGGGGAGGTAAGTTTTGAAGACATTGAATTTGAGTTGACTTTAAAACATCCAGATGACACTCACTGAGAAGGTGTAGTATAAGCATCTAAGCTGATGAATAAAGCAAGTGATAGTCTTCAGTAGCCTAGACTGGCCATCAGAGTAGTTGAAGAGCAGCTAAATCCAAACCCAAGTCAGAAAGAGAAATTGATGATAAAGCTAAAATAATTGTAGCAAAATCTTTAGAATTTTTGCTATTTACATTTTTATTAATTTGTGTAAACACAGCATATTTATCAATATAAATAATATGCTTTTAGATTTGTATGTTATTTGCATTTACCAGAGTGTGTTTACATCTATGTTGGGTAATCTTCAAGATTTCAGAAACACAGCACGCTTTCTATCCTACAGGAAAGGTTTCTTTTGATTTACTCTTTGGTACATGTAGCTGGTAGGAAAGAAAGGGGTAACCTTGTACCCCCCATTACTTGAATTAGCATTAGTTACTTCAGCACCTCTCAAATACTGTTCATTATAAATAAAGTATAATTTTAATTGGCAGTTTGTTTTTTATTATGATGATTTTATGTATCTTCATTTTTCAGTGTAAAAATACCAAAGCAAACCAGTGATATAAAATTCACGGCAATGCCAGTAATAGAAACACATACTTTCTCTCTCATTAAATTTATTTTAGCTGTATATGATCTTAAAGATTGAATATAATAGCAGAAAACAACACTTAAGGAATGCAAAAAAGTGGATAAGAAGAAAGTCTCTAAGAATCCACCAGAGATTCTTCTCTATAATAAAAGCATAAGTGACAGCTTAAATGATAAAATGTCATAGAATAATAAATGAGTTAATTTATTTCTACCAATCTTGTATCAAGGAAAGCACAGTGGATTTAAACAAGGAATAAAGGTAGCCCATGCAGGATAATTTAGTATATTTAATTTTTAAAACAGACATCAACTTTATCATTGTATAAAAGTAATTATTTTGAATGGTCATATGTGTCAAAAAAAGTATCATTTAGTTGTATCAGAATTGCATGATTTAAGCATACCAAATTTCCTTAAACTGTTTTATTTCTAATTTCAGCCTTAGTAAGTGAGTTTACTTGCATGTGGATACAGTATAAGACAGTGCATACCTCCAAAAATGTCCTAAAGTTACATGTATGAAAATCCTAATTTTAAAAAAAGCACTCTTAGAAGTGTCAAAATAAAGTAACTTAACTTACAGTTAATTCATTTGCTCAGATGATTACAGAAGAAAAGTTACAGGTGTTGTCATTATTTAGCAACTTAATATGTGAATTGCACTATGATAGAATGTAACAGTGAAGACCTTAATTCTGAATTTTACTTATTACTTAAATTAATTTTCTTTTAGAATAAAAGAAAGATAAGGTGTTTTAAATGCTAACATCAGTAGATGTTCACATGTGGGTAAGGTTAATAGGAGAGAGGACATTTTCTGAGCAATTCTGCTCATTGCACTGACCCTATATACTGTATTTGTTCAGGGGGGGAACTTGACTGGGATAGAAGAGGGCAGAATCAATGAATAAATTTTAATTAAATTCTGGAAGTTCTAGTGAGGCAGAGATAAAAGATTTTTTGTCTGTTGTAACAATTCCAAATCAATCTGCTCATGTAGTATTAATTCAAGAAATAATCATATGGGTAAACAAAAAGATAAAAAACAAATACTTGAATATGACTTTGTGGTTTCTTTGCTTGTTCATTTTTGTAGAGCAATGCAGTTTAATTCTGGCACTGAGAGGAAAATCATTTATAAATCAGGCTGCTAATTTATTGCCATTTAAATGTCATAGATGACAAATCTGGATTCACTTCATAATTTGCTAATGGAAAATATAGAGAAAACATTCTTATGACAATGATCTTCAGAGAAAGGTTACCCACCTATGTATGCCTGATTGTTCTATCTTTATTATATATTGTTGACCAATTTCAAGTGGCATAGATTTTTAAAACTACATAAAATCATTTTTAAAAATAAAAGTAAACTGTTACACAAATATTAATTTCTTAGTATGGTGAACATACCATAAGATGTCAACATTAGAGGAAAGAGGATGAAAGGTACATGTGAACTCTGTGTACTATCTTTATAGCTCTTCTATAAATCTAAAATCCTTTCAAAATAAAAAGTTAACCACTGGGTTGATGGGAACTTAGGTTGGTTCCATATCTTTGCAATTGTGAATTTTGCTGCTGTAAACTTGCAGGTGCATGTTTCTTTTTCGTATAATGACTTATTTTCCTTTGGGTAGATACCCAGTAGTGGGGTTGCTGGATCAAATGGTAGTTCTACTTTTAGTTTTCTGTGGAATTTCCATACTGTTTTCCATAGTGGTTGTACTAGTTTACATTCCCACCAGCAGTGTAAAAGTGTTCCCTTTTCACCACATCCATGCCAACATATATTGTTTTTTGACTTTTTAAATTATGTACATCCCTGCAAGAATAAGTTGGTATCTCATTGTGGTTTAACTTTGCGTTTCCCTGATAATTAGTGATGTTGAGCATTTTTCCATGTTTGTTGGCCATTTGTATATCTTCTATTGAAAATTGTCTATTCATGTCCTTTGCCCACTTTTTGATGGGATTATTATTATTTTCCTTGCTGATTTGGTTGAGTTCTGTGTCAATTCTGGATATTATTCCTTTGTCAGATGCGTAGTTTGTAAATATTTTCTCCTACCCAGTGGGTTGTCTGTTTACTCTGCTGATTATTTATTTTTCTGTTCAGAAGCTTTTTACTTAACACCATGGAATACTACTCAGGCATAAAAAGGAACAAAATAATGTCTTTTGCTACAATTTGGATGAAGCTGAAGGTGATTATTCTAAGTGAAGTAAATCAGGAATGGAAAACCAAATACAATATTTTGTTCTCATTTATTTATAAGTGGAAGCTAAGCTATGAGGCTGTAAAAGCATAAGAATGAGGTAATGAACTTTTGGGACTTGTGGGGAAGAATGGGAGGGGAGTGAGGGAAAAAAGACTACATATTGAGTATACAGTATATTGCTCGAATGACAGGTGCACCAAAATCTCAGAAATCACCACCAGAGAACTCATCCATGTAACCAAAAACCACCTGAACCCCAAATATTTTGAAATAAAAATAAGCAATAAAAAGTTTAGAAATTAAACATTTTTGAGAAAAGCTAAAATTATTTTTAAGTGCAATAAAAACTAATGAGTTAACTTTAAAGGAAGATTAGAATTTAGATTAAAGAAAAATTCCATTTTAGGCTGGGTCCAGCATCACAAAGTTTAGAAGGTAGAATGCTCAGAGAATGTAAGTAATTTGTTTTGGCTGCAGGTACATAAGAGATAGCAGTGGGAGATGGGAAGGGAGAGCCAGAGG
Source organism: Homo sapiens (assembly GCF_000001405.40). Taxonomy (NCBI): domain Eukaryota; kingdom Metazoa; phylum Chordata; class Mammalia; order Primates; family Hominidae; genus Homo; species Homo sapiens. The sequence continues at coordinate 81,512,299 of NC_000012.12, read as the reverse complement.
CCGACCAGGACATCAGGTATGTTTTGTGTCAGCATGAGGTGTTTAGATTTTGTAATGAAGGCATTAGGGAGCCGTTAAGGGACTTTAAGTAAGGGATGATAAGACAGCATCTGCTAAGTATTAAACACATTGTTAGCTAACATGCTGACATTGACGGACACTACAGAAAAAAACTTAAAAGCAGGCAGAAAAAGAAAATCACACAATACATCTCTATAGGCCTTGAGAGATTCCGTTTACTGGAGTAACTGCACCTCTGATTTATTTAGTGCTATGTGTTTATATGCTAAATGTTTTTCATGCCTTGTGTCACATAAACTGCACAAGAAACCTAAAAAGTTGTTAGACTATTATCTTTTTTTTTTTCAAATTAACAAACAGAAACATTCTACTGCCCAATTTAGCAAAACTAAGAGTAGAAGAAAGGACTCTTTCTTTGAATAGACACTGTCTGCTTCCTGTAGAAATGTTTGGTCTATTCAGTTAGACAATCAGCTCAGGACTTGGAAATGTTGGGTTCTTAAAGGACTGCTTACCAGGCATATATTGAATATATATGAAGGGAAATACATGTATTCATTCATCATTTAACTTTCTTTTTTGTACCGAGCATTGATTATGTTCCATATACTGATGTAGATGCCAAAGGTATGAAAGTAAACATCAGGGTTGTTTTTCGTTTTTCCCCTCACAGAACCTACAGTATAGAGGAAATAGCTTGATGCAACTTTGAATATATTTTTGTGTATTTGAAATCTACTGGTAGATATAATCCTGTACAGTCCTTTTTAAAAATGTACTATTATTTGAAATATTTTCCTATGTTATCCAAATTTGCATGATTATAAATTACATTTTAATCAATTTTACCTATGGATATTATTGTTTATAAATCTTGATGTTCATTTCTAATTATTTTCTTATAATGTTTTCCTTGAAGATGTATTATTTTCTTAATAATTTTCCAAAAGTTTGTGCTAATTGACACACCCATCACAAAGTGTCTGTTGGCAGTGGTGAGAGGTTTCTTTTTTCCTTTGTATACGCATTTTCAAATGTAAATGATGTCTCTTGACACTATTGGAAAATGCCCAGATATGGGTCAAAAATGGTCACAAAATTGACCCAATATTTTTCAGAATCATCTCTGTATGCTAGGGAGTGTTCAGCTTTCATTGCTTTGCTTGAAAATTAACAGATTTTTTTGTTATGTATCTTGCAATGAAAATCTTATTGAACATGGCTTTCCTTTTCCTGGTAAATTATTGTTGTGTATGTAACTTCACCACATCTACCCAGCTGCCATTTGAAGATTAAGGAAAGGATAAAGATGAAAAACAAGGAAAACTATAAAGAAAACTAATTAGAATGTTTTCTAATTAGTTGCACATCAGCCTCCCTGGCTGATTCTGAGTTTAATGTTTCATGTGGGTGAACATGATTTCAGACATGGCCTTATTTTTATGCTTGTTAGTCATGAATATTTTGTTTGTAATAGCAATTTCTTTGAAGATTTTTTTCTTTTATGATGACTATACAAAACTAGTACATCACTATATTAATTTTTTAAAAAACAGTTAAGAGTGAGAATTCTTCTTCCACCCACAAATCAGAAATTCCACGGGTTATTCTTAACTCAGGGTTATCATCTGTTTAAATTCCTGCTATGCCTGCCACACACATTTGTGACTTTCCATATCTCCTTTGTTGTTGCTAAAATTGGTACAATCATAGAACCTATCTCATGATGTTGTCTTTAGAATTAAAGAAATAAAATCTGTAAAGAGCTTTGAATAGTGTCTCATACCTAAGTAATTAATACATTCTAGATATGATATTGTATATACCTGTTTTAAAATTTATTTCAGCTTTTTGCTCTGCTGATAAAGATTACACAATTACCAGATTCAAATGTAAAACGAGTTTGAGTTTCTATGTGATTAATTGGAAAAGTTAGTATGAAGACAAGTTTGGTAAAGTTCAAATTACAGGAGCTCATGAGAAATGTATGGTTCCTGTGGGAAGTGTGATTGGAGCTCACACACACATACAGAAACACACACATTTGTATGCATCTGCCTGCCTCATCTGTTTATTTGTATATATGTTATTAAGGAAATATATATAATAGCTGCTTGGAAAATATTGATATATAATAAATATATATAATAGCTGTTTGGAAAATATTAATTTTTTGGATTCTGAAATACAATTGACATTTTGAATATGTGTAAAGATAACTTTTGGAACCTGCCAACTGAAGAAACCAAAACGTGAAGCATAGGAAATTAAGCAGTTGGAGTGGTGAGGTTGCTTTTATCTTTGGTGTGTGTTCTTTTCTCCTCTTCTAAATTCCAGTTGCCTTTAACATCTAACAGATAGCATAGAATGGTTCTGAACTTTCAAAAACATTCACTTTTTACTTCTGATGAAGAAAGGCAAGGTTGAGTTCTCACCAAAATGATGCTGAGTCCTTTGTATTCAGGGAAAAAGGAGAACATTTTCTTTAAAGATGACGTCCAAGTTCCTTTCTTGTTCAAGCTAGATTCCCAGAATTCCAACCTGTTCTAGGTCCACAGAAAGCATATATGGTTGTAGAAGTGAGTAGAGGTGATCCACAACTTTGAGATGGGGACAGACTTTATATAGTTTGAGTCCACAGAGGAAGTCAGGAATCAAGAGCAAAAAAAAAAAAAAGGTTAGGTGGAGTGAGCAGGTTCAGAAGCAAGACCTCGAAGTATTTTCCTGAAGCAAGAAAATATGGGTGAAGAAGACAGAGATTTCAAGGGCACCAAGGCCCCTAATCTCCTTGGGACAGAGAAAAGACCCTATATAAATGCCTGCAAATAAAAGCTTGTTCACTTGGGCTCTATACCTGGTATTTCACCCTGGTCTCAACTTTTAGTCCAAAAGTTAGAGGAGGATGAAATAGGAATCTTTCAATAATAAAATTTGAAGGTCTTTTGTCATCAAGATGATGGCTAAAATGGAAAACCTTCTTTCTCTTACCATTTTCTAATTTCTGTGTAATATTTGGAAGTCTGTGAGCCACTGAGAAGGGGCATAATCTAGAGTTTCACCATCTACACATCTAAACAAACATCTCACTGATAATAATTGGACAAAAGGTTCTGCTTTGGTTTGGATCCCAATGAAGTAACGTTATTTCTATTCTTTAAATACCTGTGAAAGTAAACTCTTGCGATAGTTTACTGAGAATGATGATTTCCAGTTTCATCCATGTCCCTACAAAGGACATGAACTCATCATTTTTTATGGCTGCATAGTAGTCCATGGTGTATATGTGCCACATTTTCTTAATCCAGTCTATCGTTGTTGGACATTTGGGTTGGTTCCAAGTCTTTGCTATTGTGAATAATGCCACAATAAACATACGTGTGCATGTGTAAACTATCGCAAGAACAAAAAACCAAACACCGCATATTCTCACTCATAGGTGGGAATTGAACAATGAGAACACATGGACACAGGAAGGGGAACATCACACTCTGGGGACTGTTGTGGGGTGGGGGGAGGGGGGAGGGATAGCATCGGGAGATATACCTAATGCTAGATGATGAGTTAGTGGATGCAGCGCACCAGCAAGGCACATGTATACATATGTAACTAACCTGCACATTGTGCACATGTACCCTAAAACTTAAAGTATAATAATAATAAATAAATTTTAAAAAGAGAGAAAAAAAAAGAAAGTAAACTCTTGCTATTTATAATTCTTTAAGTTTTACAAAGCTTTTTTTTTTTTTTTTTTTTTTTTGAGGTGGAATTTTGCTCTTGTTGTCCAGGCTGGAGTGCAATGGCATGATCTTGGCTCACCACAACTTCCGCCTCCTGGGTTCAAGTGATTCTCCTGCCTCAGCCTCCCGAATAGCTGGGATTACAAGCATGTGCCACCATACCAGGCTAATTTTGTATTTTTGGTAGAAACGGGGTTTCTCTATGTTGGTCAGGCTGGTCTCGACCTCCCGACCTCAGGTGATCCACCCACCTCGGCCTCCCAAAGTGCTGGGATTACAGGCGTGACCCACCGTGCCCGGCCCCACAAAGCTCTTACCATAAATGTTATCTCATTTGATCCTTGCAGATAATACACGAGGAATATAGTATTTATACTATAAACTTTATTTCAGAGATGAAGAAGCATACATATATTTATATATTGCGTACCTATAATAAAGTTAATGCCCCACCCTGAAGTTTAATACAATGTGACTACTAGAATTGAGATCTAAGGAACTTAGCACTTATTTATGTCAGAAGTAGGAGTAGATACTCTTTGGTATTATTTTTTTTAAATGTCTAATACTAAGAAAACAAATAGCACATGAATTTACATTTAGAAACTTTTGGTTATGTGATAGGGTTTCAGATTCAATGATAGATGTTTGTGCTCTAGTGCCCAGACCTACCAGTCTATGTGACATTGGACAGGTCTCTCCCGTTTCTCATAAATTTTTCTCCATCTAAAACTGATTACTCTTTGGGTTTTGAACAAAGGAGAGACAAATATGTTTTATGTTTTAAAAGGACTCCTCTAGCAGTATGCCTAGCGTAGACTAAAGGAGACAGGGACAGAAGCAAAGATCAGTTAGGTTACTACAGTAATTGAGAGGAAAGATAAAGATGACTCAGACCAGCATGGTTGCTAGTGGTTATATGCTGGATGTGTTTGGAAAAATAAATCCAACAAACTTTTCTAACAAACTGAATAAAAAATAAAAGAGAGGAGCTAATTGAGAGTTCAAGTTTTGGGCCTTGATAACATCTACAGAGCTTGGATGGAGTATTGGATACAAAAAGTCACTTAGGAGGTACATATAAAACTCAATTAAAAACAATTTCTCAGACATTTTAATAATAATTATGTTCTGGATTTTAGTTGTATATATACAATTTCAAGCTCATAAGATATAGATTGAAAAAAATACTGCTTTATTATGGAAGAAATGGGAGATTTTCTTTATAAAACCAACAAGAAAAGAATTAATAATGATAAATATGCAGTTTCCATTTAGATATAATAAAACAACTGAAGTATAAAAGACCTAAGCGGATTTGTCTGGAAAGAAAATCAATATGAACCAATGATAGCTTGTGTTAAAAATATCATATAGTCTTAGGCTTATCTATGAATGGAAGTCTAGTGTCTAGATAAGCATTTCTGTCAGCCAGCATTGCTCATCTGAACCATAGAAAAAAAAATACTATTTGAATAACTATTTTCTCAATTCTCTTAAGATAGTACATAACTATCACCATTCTGTATGTGTATGAGGGAAGTTAGTGTGTAATTGGATGCTTTAAAGCATTAGGACTTATTCTCTTGTGTAACCATGTTTAAGAAGTGCTGGTATAGATCAGGGCCACATCTGGCCTGCTACCTGTTTTTGTAAATAAAGTTTTACTGGAACACAGCCATGCCTGCTGTATACATATTATCTGTGTTGCTTTTGTGCTATAACATCAGAGTTGAGTGGCAGGAAAGAGACTGTATAGTCAGAAAAGCCTAAATTATTTACTATCTGGCCCTTTGCAGAAATAAAGGTTTCCAAATGATTGGCTGAATCAATAAAGATAATTTGCCTACTTTAGACCATCCTGGTTACATAATACCTAGAATATTCTGTCACATTTTCCACAAAAGATCTTGACAAAAGTTAGTTTCAAGAAAAAGATAAACAAAACAGTGTAGGAATAGGAAACTTAACATATGTGTTTAATTCAATTCATCAAAAGTTAGTTGTATCCTTTGTATATACCAAATACTGTATTTGGTTTGGGGTAAAGAAAGAATGAGCAAATATCATGTGTTCAGTGAATTTATATTCTAATAGAGAAAATACATATACCTAAATGTAATGCTGTGTGGCAGTGTTAAGTTAGAGTTATGTATAAAGTGCTATCTAAACATAAGTTAATTCTGCTGATGGAAGATTGGGGAAAGTTTCATACAGAGTATAAGTTTGACCTGGGCTTTTAAAGAAAACTTGCAAAATTTTCAGGCAGACAAGAAAGAAAAGAAGTATTCTAATGGAATGATAGGCATAAGCAAATAATAAAAGTTATAACTGAGGTCTTTGTAGAAATATGAGTACAAAAAATATTGTATAAGCCTAATGTAACTTTGCAGATAACTTCTGACATCCTCATTCTGGTTCCTTCCACCAGCATGGAAACATTTTCATGATACAGCAGCTGCTAAATGACTTATTGGTACTAAATGCTTACTGTACATCAGGGACGTGAGAAAATCGAGGCAACCCTGTCGGATGCTCTGTGCTTCAGCCCTGCTCTGGTCTTCTTTTGGTCTCATTCCTTACCACTAGAACAGATGTTCCTGAGGCCAAGAATCTAGATCCAATTCAGTATCCCATTACCTCTTCTACACCATCTGCATGTACCAGGAACCCTGAAAATCCCTAATCCAATGCTCTGAGCCTATTTCTAAGGACTGAATGGGCCTCCTCCTTTGTCTGCAAACCTCATCTCTGACATATGTATCCTTAGGACCATAGAGCCAAAAGGAGACTGCTTGTAGTTGAGAAGCTGGTACATGTGGCTCAGGGCATACACATGTACAAGAGGGAACTCATTGTGTGGAACAGAGGTGGAGGAAAAAGAAGGGGTCAGCACTGAGCCTCCACTTGCAATTTTGTGGTAGACCTTCCAACTTTCATGGACAAGCCTGCAGCCAGAGTCCAGAAAATAACAATCAATTGCTAGACATTGCTCCAGAGCTGCATATAGATTAGGCTCACTTGCAGAGGAAGCAAGAGCTCAATAAAACACCAAACAAAAACCATCCTGGGGAAAACACTTGGAAAGGAAATAGAGTAACGGATTCTGACCTTTTGATTAATCACCAAGATTTTCTATGTCTTTGCCAAGATGAAGCATTAACAGCCCCTCTACCATTACTTTCAACATATTCAACTGAACCTCTTATTTTCAGCATTCTTTTGAGTAGTTTGGCCCTTTCTTCCCTTTTCTTTCTTTTTTTTTTTTTTAATTATACTTTAAGTTCTGGGATACATGTGCAGAATGTGCAGGTTTGTTACATAGGTATACATGTGCCATGGTGGTTTGCTGCATGTTTCTCTTAAACCTAGTTGCACATTAAATCATTCGGAGGAACTTGTCAAAAATACTGATTACTGGGACGTACAAAGACTCACTAAATCAGAATATATTTGGAAGTGGGAATGTACCACTGCTACATGCATCAACCCGTTATCTACATTAGGTATTTCTCCTAATGCTATCCCTCCCCTAGCACCCCACCCCCTGACAGGGCCCGGTGTGTGATGTTCCCCTCCTTGTGTCCATGTGTTCTCATTGTTCAACTCCCACTTATGAGTGAGAACATGTGGTGTTTGGTTTTCTGTTCCTGTGTTAGTTTGCTGAGAATGATGGTTTCCGGCTTCATCCATGTCCCTGCAAAGGATATGAACTCATCCTTTTTTATGGCTGCATAGTATTCCATGGTATATATGTGCCACATTTTCTTTATCCAGTCTATCACTGATGGGCATTTGGGTTGGTTCCAATTCTTTGCTATTGAGAATAGTGTTGCAATAAACATAGCTGTACATGTGTCCTTATAGTAGAATGATTTATAATTCTTTGAGTATATACCCAGTAATGAGATTGCTGGGTCAAATGGTATTTTTATTTCTAGATCCTTGAGGAATGACCACACTGTCTTCCACAATGGTTGAACTAGTTTACACTCCCACCAACAGTGTAAAAGCATTCCTATTTCTCCATGTCCTCTCCAGCATCTGTTGTTTCCTGACTTTTTAATGATCGCCATTCTAACTGGTGTGAGATGGTGTCTCATTGTGGTTTTGATTTGCATTTCTCTAATGACCAGTGATAAGCTTTTTTTTCATATGCTTGTTGGCCATATAAATATCTTCTTTTGAGAAGTGTCTGTTCATATCTTTCGCCCACTTTTTGATGGGGTTGTTTGATTTTTCTCGTAAATTTGTTTAAGTTCCTTGTAGATTCTAGATATTAGCCGTTTGTCAGATGGATAGATTGCAAAAATTTTATCCCATTCTATAGATTGCCTGTTCTTTCCATAGTTCCATTATCTCTGAGCTTCAAGAATTTATGAGGAAGAGAATTTTGCATTGATTAAGACTTTTAAATATATGGGAAATACCTAATTTATTTATAATTACTTTATAATTTAATTATTTCTCATTAGCTGCACATAAAAGTATCTCAAAACAAATAATAATGTCTCCAATATATCACTGTCTAACTTTAATCATCTTATTTTAAATATATTGTTTTGCTCAAATTAAATTTATTTAATTGTACTTAATTGTATTTGCTCAAATACAATTAAAAATTGTATTTTTTTAAATGCTACAGTAACAAAAAGAATTTTGTTTTTAATGAGTCTTAAGACTAAGCATTACTTAGTTTGCCCCAGTTTTTCATACATTGTAGATTCTGCTTAAAATAGCTTTGCCTTGTTTATACATATGCATTTACATGGCTATTTAGGCTTTTAGGTCAATTTTTAAATATAAAATTTATAACTAGAGAAAAATAAGCAATGTGCTCAACTTATTAGGGACCAGAGATAATTAATTACTGTACAAAACTAGATTTTAATTCACAGTTTATCTATAAGTTTATAAAAATTTACATAAATGACTAAAAAGTTTTTTTTTTCTTTTATTTCCTCATGGAATGAAACTTTTTTTTTTTTTTTAGCAAAATAACAAAAGGATGAGTAATCCTGTATATCTAGACTTGGCTAGCTAGAGCTGCACTGGAGAATTTGACCAGAGTCAAGTTCTAGAAGACTGTGTGTGTCATGCTAAACCACTTGGTCTTATGATGTGGTCAGTGGGAAAACCATTTGGTCTTTATCATGTGGATGGTGGAAATTTGACAGAGTTTTTGTTTGTTTGTTTTTTGTTTTGTTTTTTTGGACAGCGTGGATGAGCAGATCTGGATATCAGAGATATTCTTGGAATAGTGAAGGACTATTTGGAGGGTGAAGCTTCTAAAAGGAAAAATAAAAATAAAAATAAAAAAATTTAAAAAAATCAGTTAGAAGGTTGTTACCACAGTCCTCATCGGAGGAACTCCAGACCAGGGCAGTGGCAGTGGGAGGGAGAGGCAGAAAGGACTCATCAGAGAGAAAGAAGTGTTATTTATGGGAAGTGGGAATGTTTAGTCTAGAGAAAAGAATCCATATGCAAGGTTTTGAAGTGGAGAGTTTTTGTCTGGTTTTGAAGTGAAGTTGAATTCTCTTTCTCTTCCTCTGTCTCTCTTAAAATTTCCATAGACATACGGCTTTTGATGGAGGGTGTGTTTTGTCCTAGAGGAGGCATTCCAAACAGGGAAGCAGTGGAGTGGTACAAGTTGCATTAGATTATAGATGACTAGTTATACTAGATCTTAGATATTATTTAGATAAATGATTACAAATAAATTAGATTAACTTGAGTGAGGATAAAAGGAAAGAAATTATCAATAGTGTGTTGTTGAGATTAATGTAGCAGTGGTATTAACATTTGAGTAGTACTTTCTGCTCTTCTGCTCAATGTTATTTTTTCTAGACTACAGTCTAAACCCCATCACCTTTTTCCCCTAGCACAGTTCCTAGCACATAGTGGGTACTTGATGTAATTTAGGATGAACGAATGAATCATCAATGAAGAGTATTAGGCAGATATGCCTGTATACATTTTCTCCCACTACATGTTTCCCTTAAAGTTAGTTGCACATTAAATCGTTTGGATGAACTTGTCAAAAATAGTGATTACTAGGACCTACCAAGACTCACTAAATTAGAATATCTTTGGAAGTGGGAGAAGTATAGACATGAAATACCACATACTAATATTTTCAAAAGTTCCCAGGTAAACATGCAGCCAGAACTGAAAACTGATTCTACATTGCACAAATGTTTCTTAATCTATAACCAATTTTCCTTTGTTTTAGGGAAAAGGCTGATTCTTAAATGGCAAGTTTGCAGTTCCATATCGTTTTTATGTAGGCAGCAACTGCTGGTAAATTTTCTTGCAAAATAATTTCTGGGGAATTAAGTTCAACTACTTACTTGGTTCTCTGAGAGTCAGTATTAAAATTATCAGTGGTGAAATGCTTGTGGTGGCAGCAGTATGATCTTCTCATAATGAGAAAAGGGCATTTGAACTATTTTCTCAAAATTATAAATCAGGTCAGGGCATGGTTTCTGTGAAAATATGGTGTTCCACTGGAAAACAGAGAAGTGTTCCGAAAACTGCACGTCCCTTTTTCTGAGAGAAAATGCCCTATTTTATGAAACTCTCCCACCGCCAGGGCTCGGATATATTCCTCTTCAAAGCCACATTAATATCTCCTAGCTCTATGCATCCTTGGCTTTCAATTTCTCCTTTGATCTTTCTTAGCAACAAATTGACAATAGCAGTGTTAGGAGCATTACATATGCCTAAGAGCCAACTTTCACCTTGAAAAGAATACTGCCTTTAGCATATTCTTTTTAAAACTTCATTTGAAAATAAAAATACTAATGATAAACCTCTAACAAAAGTGTAAAGTTTTAGTAAATATGACCACATAAAATTAGCTGTATTAGCTGGCTAGCATTATTGGGTAATAATAATACATGCCTCAAACATTTGCAAAAATCAATAATGATGTGTCTATTCATTTACTTTTTCAGTCGTGTGATAAATGTGTTTTGGTAATCTAGTAAGTGCCAGGTACTTTTAAGGCTCTGTAATACAACAGTGCTCGAAATAGAGAAAAGTGCCTGTATCATGGAGCTTACACAGTATTCAGGAGGCATAGACAGTAAACAAAAGAGGTCAAGCAAATGTATTATATGCTAGATAGTGATACATGTTCTGATTAAATGTAAAGCAAAGAAGGGGTGTCATACATTTAAATAAGGAGATCAGAGAATGCCTTGATGAGAAGGGGGCATCTAAATAAAGGCTTGACTGAGGTGAGGGAATAACTATCTTGGAAAAGGTGAAGGGAATATCAAGTGCAAAGGCCCTGAGGTAGAAATAATCCTGGCATACTTAAAGCAAAGAGGACAATTCAGCTGTATGAGAATGAATTTGGATTTTTAAAAATCAGTGACAAAAATCAATGGAAGGGAATTCAAATCATGTAGGACATCATAGGCTAAAGGATGACTTGGCTTTTACTGTGAGTGAGGTCGGAAGCCACTGGAGGCTTGTGAGCAGAGTGCTAACAGTAGGGCTGATTGGACTTTGGTGTGAACAGGATCTCCTGGCTACTCTGTTGAAAATAGACTGAAGTAGGGCAACTACTATTTTTGGCAACGGTTTTGACCTCTTCCCTGAAGCAGCTTTATCTGAGTTAATCTGATTATGAGGAGCAGAGGTCAGACACAGAAGAGGCAAGTCTATTTACAAAGAGAAGCTGCTGCTGAGAAATCAGGGTTAAATTAACAGATAAAATTCAGGAAAGCCTATGGTTTAGAGATACAAGTCACATAGCGGGTCAGGATAGGATTGTCATTAGCACACATGAATGCATGACTTTTTGAAACGGAAACTCTATGTCTCTGGGATATATGTGCTTTAACATACTCTAATACCCAAATAACACAAAAATCTGATTGTATTAATTTAAGTTAAATTTTAAAAACAAGTAATTTGTTACAGTTTTGAGGACTTTAAAAACTGGGCTATTTCTACTAGGTATCAATGGAGGAACTTTCTTGGGTTGACAAGATATTGGTTGCTGTATACGCAAAGCGTTGTTATGCCTGGGATCTGTGCCCTTTGCTCTGGAAACTCTCCAAATTAAAGTGGCTAGAATTTTAGGTAAAAGGTACAAATGAACTCAAAATCCATAAACACTCATGGAAATGATTTCATTCAGCACAATTTATGAAGTGTTTTTTGTGTTCCAAGCACTTTACTATATGTGGAGGCTAAAGTTGGGAGGGGGTAGTGTAGTACTAGGCTCTATAGGATAGGGAGGGTATCTTGCAGTGGTTATGAGGTCAGAGTTTGGGCCAGAGAGACTAGAATTCTAACTCTAATACCTGCCTCAGTTTTTTTGTGTGTCTTATAACTACCAAAGGGCAGGATTTTGATTTGAATATGGCCACACCTAGTTTCAAAGGGGGAAGATAAGTGCGTGTTCACTATGTGCCGGGAAAACATGAGGCCGTGAATATTTGTTAGTGGTGAAAATAACAACAGATGGCTTCCTGCTTTGAGGGACTGGTCAGAGTTGAGGTGGCTGAAGTAGTTGTCAGTGCATGGGGGTCATGTCCTTTAGTTTAAGAGTTCCTGGAGAGGACTGAAAATAGCAACACAGAGTGTTGGAAGAGTGGCGTTTTGGAGAGATTATCAAGTAGATACTTAGGCATAGGAAATCATCAGGGACCCAGACACAGAATCTCATATGAAAAACAATTTCTTTCTTTTCTTTCTTTCTTTTTTTTTTAGGAAGCACTGACAAGATGTCTGGCTTTAACCCATACTGAGGTGGTATGAATGATTTATTCTTCCAGGTGAGGGAGAGAGAAAATACTATGACCTGTGGTCTCTACTCATTTACTAACCAGCTAACCTTGAAGAATTTTTTAAATTCTACTGAAGTCCACTCTTCTCATCAGTCAAATAGAGAAAATGATACTTACCTTATAGGCATCTCAGATTTAAATGGGATCTGACAAAAAGTGTTTAGCACAGTACAAAGCTATCCTGGTAGGGATTATAAGTGGTGACTCCTCTCCCCTTTGTCCTCTTTCTCTGTTCCTCAAAAATATAATTATTATTAGCTGATCCTATACCTCCATGATGAGAATTAATTTGGGAAAGAGTGCGTACTTCCTGAAGGCATTGCTTCTAACCATGGCCCCCTGCTCAGATGTAGGGTAAAAGAGAGGAAGAAGATAAAATGAAAGAGATAATAAGAGTTAATAGCCCCTTTTTTGAGATTATCATCAATTTTCTTAACTGGAACGAAAGAAAACAAACAGTTGGGGATTCTCTCTAGTTTTTGTAGTGGTTGGTCATAAAAGATAGAGAACAGATGTGGAATGGTGCACCCTTTGAAGACACATTACAGGGGCATGGTACAGAGGCAGATGTATGTCCTGGCAAAGGATGCTCCATGAGTTAACTGCAGGGGCGGCAAGCCTGCAAAGATTAATGTGGCAGAAGTATTGACATTCTTGCAGCACCCTACCTGCTAGTTTATAGTATTGGCTTATGGCCAGCAGGCCAAAAGTGCCAGTAAAAACAGAATATTGATTTTTTTTCTATTGCTTGATGCACAGTTCTTTTCTTTACCTCACTTTCTCAATGGGAAACATGCATTTTACAATCCCCATGATGCCGGGCACGGTGGCTCACGTCTCTAATCCCAGCAATTTGGGAGGCCAAGGCAGGGGGATCACAAGGTCAGTAGTTCGAGACTAGCCTGGCCAACATAGTGAAACCCCGTCTCTACAAAATATACAAAAATTATCCAAGCATGGTGGTGTGTGCCTGTAATCCCAGCTACTTGGGAGGCTGAGGCAAGAGAATCACTTGAACCTGGGAGGTGGAGGTTGCAGTGAGCCGAGATCACGCCACTGCACTCAAGCCTGGGTGACAGAGTGAGACTCCGTCTCAATAAATAAATAAATAAATAATGAATAAATAAATTAATAAGTTAAATAAAATCCCCATGGCTGTATTCCCTGAAAGGATACAATAAGAAGGACACATCCTCTCTGTGCTGCTCTTCCAAAAATTCACAGTGTAATCATGAGTAATCATGAAAAAATACCAGAAAAATCCAAACTGAGGGACATTTTACAGATTATGTGACCAGTACTCTTCAAACCTGTGAAGATCATGAAAGACAAGGAAAGACTGAGAAATTGTCACAAATTAGATGAGACTAAGGAGACCTGATGAAATACAACATTTCATCTGTATCCTGAATTGGATCCTGGAACAGAGTAATATTAGTAGAAATTGAAAAATCTGAAGACAGTCTGTAGTTTTTCATTAATTTTAATTTATTTGATAGATGTACCATGATTATGTGTGATGCAAACAGTAGGTGAAGCTGAGTAAAGAGTATATGAGAACTCTTTGTAGTATCTTTGTAACTCTTTTATACATCTAAAATTATTTCAAACTAAATTTGAGAAAAAAATCTGTGACAGACTACAGCTTGCTTTCTTGCACCATGCCAACTCTGTAAATTTGCAGAACAGCAGCCCTTAAGGTTTTTGGTTTGTTATCAGCATTTGGGATACTGTGCCCTCCTCCTTGTCTGTGTCTTTTCCAAACCAATTTAATTGAAAGGCCTGGGAAAGGAAAAATTATGGAAAAGGAAACTGAGCAGTGCTCATGGAAGGTGAAGGAAACTCTTTAGAACTAGAACTTAGGTTATATTTCAGAACATCAAAAAAGACAACTATGAGGGTCAGGTGTGGTGGCTCATGCCTGTAATCCCAGCATTTTGGGAGGCAGAGGCAGGCAGATCACCTGAGGTCAGGAGTTCGAGACCAGCCTGATCAACATGGAGAAACCCTGTCTCTACTAAAAATACAAAATTAGCTGGACGTGGTGGCGTGTGCCTGTAATGCCAGCTACTCAGGAGGCTGAGACAGGAGAATCGCTTGAACCTGGGAGGCTGCAGTGGCAGTGAGCCGAGATCGCACCATTGCACTCCAGCCTGGGCAATAAGAGCAAAACTCTGCCCCAAAAAAAAAAAAAAAAAAAAAAAAAAGACATCAATGAAATAGGGATGTCACTTAAAGACTAACATGGGGAAGGCAGGAGACCCTTTTTCTACTTCTGTCTCTATTATGTGTTCCTATGTTAACTCATATACCAAAAGTGTATAAGAAAACTTTGCCCTAATGAAGAGACAATTAATAGAAAGGAGTAATTTACAAATAATCTTGGAAAGATAAAAAAGGAAGACACTGGTCTCAGTTAGAAATTTAGAAGCATCTCGTGAGCCACAAATAATCATAAAATGATCTGAAAATGTGGGCTTGGTGCAATTGCTTCTATTATCATTTTAATTTATCACAAATAAAAATCAGTAAGAGGATTATTTCTGAAGTCACACTTGTCATTGGTGAGTTAAACATTTGGTTGTCTCTAGGGAGGTGGCACTGCTGGCAAGCAGCTCATATGCATGAAGAACCAAGCATGAGTTAGGACATATATGTTGACCTTTATTATTTGGGAATTTTAATTATGACAACTTTTTATTACTGATTGTTGACTTAAAAAAATTGTAAACCCTTCCTCCAGGTAGATGGAGCTTCAGTAGGGCTAAAGCCATTTTAGAGCCTCTCGTGTCTGCTTTATTTGCTCTGGGGCATGTCATACTCAAGAAGAGTAGACTGTGGTCTGTGGCATAGGATATCCAACTTCTCAGATTTATTTTTATGCCTCAAAGTTGGCTCCCATTTTTAGCATATTAAACCATTCTTCTGGTTTTACTCATATAAATGTAACAACATTGACCTCCCATGCTATACATTTACTCAGCATATTCCTTCAGTTTTATTTCTACATGTTGAATTTTCCCATTCTATCCCAGAGGGTTAGAGCCTAGAAACATTGGACTCTCTGATCTTGTATATTAAAGCTGACAGAGTATGCAGAAAGTATTGTTATTGATTCCTTTCATTCACGTGGATTTATGATTGTTTTGCCACATTTACCTCATCTATTTCTTTCCTCAACACATTTTGCTGACATATTTGATACTACAAAGCAGAAAATATGATCTATCACTCCTAAAGTCTTCAGTGTCTCTCTTCAGTGACTTCAGAAAGTCTCATGAGGACTTTCTCCTATTATAACCCCAATACCATTATTACACCCAAGAAATTTCACATGATATAATAGCATTATCTAATATATTGGCAATTTTCTGCAATTGTCTCCAAAAATATTCTTCTTCTTTATAGTTTTTTGTTAATTCACTCCAAAATTAAATCACGGATCACACATTGCTTGTGGATAATTTAAAACTTCTAAGAGCTCCTTTCCTAAAAATGATTTGCCTATTGAAGAATCCAGTTGATTCACCTTTCTCATATCCATTTTAAAATGCTTATCTCCTTCAAATAAAAGAGAGAAGCGGAGGAGGGAGGAGATGCATCACTTTCATTCATCCCAAATTCTTTTATTGTGCATTGCTCTAAGTTATAAAAACTCCTGGGTCTCCAAACAATACAACAAAACACTGCATTGTCATCTGTGAAGTAGTTCTCAATTAAGTCATAATATCACTTCTTATCTTTGTCATTATACTATATATTGCCAATAAAATTTACTTCCTGTCTTTCATATTTAAACATTAAACTTTATAATATGTGTTTTTAACATTTTCAATTAATAATAATTTATGAGAATTCAAACACAAAAGAACATTTTAAAATTGGAGCCTTATAATATTATACTTTTGTTTTGTTTTGTTTTGGAAACAGGATCTTACTGTGTTGCCCAGGCTAAAGTGCAGTGGCACAATTATAGCCCACTGTAGGCTCAAACCCTGGGGCCCAAGTGATTCTCCTGCCTCAGGTTCCTGAGTAGCTGGGACTACAGATGCTCACCATCATGCCTAGTTAATTTTTATTTGTATTTGTATTTTGTGTAGAGATGGGGTTTCACTATGTTGCCCAGGCTGATCTTGAATTCCTGGGCTCAAGCAATCCTTCTGCCTGAGTCTCCCAAAGTGCTGGCATTACAGGCATGAGCCACCATACCTAGCCCTACACATTTTAAAATCAAAGTATTTAAGTGTATTTATTGCAGAGAATTATGTTAGGTGATCAGTAAGTGGCTTTAAGTTTAAAAATATTTTCTGTGTTATAAAAAAAGGAACTACAATTTAGGCAAAATAAAAAAATATAAATTTTCTATTTTAAAGAAGAATTTATGTTTTTTTTATTCATGTAAAATGGTGAGGGTAGAATAGCAAAAATGTTATGATTCAATTTGATATATGCCAAAATTTACATTATATCAGAAATTCCATACTTGGCATTCAGGTAAACATAGAATAACAAATTTTAGATGTTAATTTATAGATGTGTGAGGAGGCACAGTTGCTAAATTTCTGTTAGGGGATGATTGAGCAAACATGTTTGAAGACTGATGTCCTAAACGACACTTTTTCTTTTTTTTAAAATTTTATTATTATTATACTTTAAGTTTTAGGGTACATGTGCACAATGTGCAGGTTAGTTACATATGTATACATGTGCCATGCTGGTGTGCTGCACCCATAACTCATCATTTAGCATTAGGTATATCTCCTAATGCTATCCCTCCCCCCTCCCCCCACCCCACAACAGTCCCCAGGGTGTGATGTTCCCCTTCCTGTGTCTATGTGTTCTCATTGTTCAATTCCCACCTATGAGTGAGAACATGCGGTGTTTGGTTTTTTGTCCTTGTGATAGTTTACTGAGAATGATGATTTCCAATTTCATCCATGTCCCTACAAAGGACATGGACTCATCCTTTTTTATGGCTGCATAGTATTCCATGGTGTATATGTGCCACATTTTCTTAATCCAGTATATTGTTGTTGGACATTTGGGTTGGTTCCAAGTCTTTGCTATTGTGAATAATGCTGCAATAAACATAAATGTGCATGTGTCTTTATAGCAGCATGATTTATAGTCCTTTGGGTATATACCCAGTAATGGGATGGCTGGGTCAAATGGTATTTCTAGTTCTAGATCCCTGAGGAATCGCCACACTGACTTCCACAATGGTTGAACTAGTTTACAGTCCCACCAACAGTGTAAAAGTGTTCCTATTTCTCCACTTCCTCACCAGCACCTGTTGTTTCCTGACTTTTTAATGATTGCCATTCTAACTGGTGTGAGATGATATCTCATTGTGGTTTTGATTTGCATTTCTCTGATGGCCAGTGATGGTGAGCATTTTTTCATGTGTTTTTTGACTGCATAAATGTCTTCTTTTGAGAAGTGTCTGTTCATGTCCTTTGCCCACTTTTTGATGGGGTTGTTTGTTTTTTTCTTGTAAATTTGTTTGAGTTCATTGTAGATTCTGGATATTAGCCCTTTGTCAGATGAGTAGGTTGCGAAAATTTTTTCCCATTTTGTAGGTTGCCTGTTCACTCTGATGGTAGTTTCTTTTGCTGTGCAGAAACTCTTTAGTTTAATTAGATCCCATTTGTCAATTTTGTCTTTTGTTGCCATTGCTTTTGGTGTTTTAGACATGAAGTCCTTGCCCATGCCTGTCCTGAATGGTAATGCCTAGGTTTTCTTCTAGGGTTTTTATGGTTTTAGGTCTAACCTAAATGACACTTTTTCAACTTTGCTTTTTCTGAAATTTCTAATAATAACTTTTTCATGTTTATTTTCTTATTGACTCTGCTTCTTTCTCTGAGAAAACAGCATCTCTGAACATCATATCTCCCCACCTGCCTTCATCTATGTTTCTATGTTCAAAATGCTGTTATTTTTTCCAATGTGTATATATATATATATATATATATATATATATATAGACACACACACACACACACACACAAACACACACTCAATTCCATCTGTGCTACTAGTTACCTTCCATCCTGATTTCTATCAGTTCCTTTACAGCAAAGTGATTCAAAAAGTTTTGAATGCCCATTATCTCCAATTTTTCTCTTCTGTATCTTCCCAGGCTGTTGCCCCCTATCTCTTCAGTGAACCTGACAATATTAACAACATCAGTGATTTCTGTGTTGCCAAATCTGGTGACAGATTTTAAGTCCTCAGGGCTATTTCTCAGAGTTAGTAACTTCCTCCTTGTAACATGTTCCAGGCTCCCAGTAACACACTTCTCTGGTGTTTCCCATCCCTGTAATAGCCACTCTCTCAGTATCTTTCATTAGCTCTCTTCTTGTCTTCCCAGCATCTGAACACTGAGAAGTGTACCAAGACTCAGTCCTTGAACCTCTTCTCTGTGTATTAAGTCTATCTCATACCTTTAGCAATTTGGGCTGAATTAGAGATTTAAGTACCTTTTTATAAATGATGACTTCTATATTAGCGTCTCCAACTTGGACCCTTCTCCCAAACTCCAGACACCAAAAATGTGTATCTTAACTTAGTTGTCTAATTGACATCTCAATTTAACGCATCAAAAACTGATTCCTAATTCCCTTTCCCATTCCAAACCTTTTCTCATAATTTTTCCAATCTCTCTTCTTATGTTCCAGCTGCTTTGGCAAAAACTCTGAGTCATCTTCCATCATCTCTGACTTTCCTCTTTATCTCTCACCCACATATAATTGTTCAACCTGCTGACATTATCTTGAAAACATATGCATAATCTATCTACTTCAATCACTTCCATAGCTAACACTTAGGTTCAAGTCACCTTTATCTTTTTCCAGATTCTTTCAATAGTCCTCTCATTGATTTTCCTACTTCCTCTTTTGCCTCACCTAAGTCTGTTCCTCAAATAGCAGCTGAAAGGATTACATTTATACAGAAATCTGACCATGTCAATTTTTGCTCTAAATCTTCCATTTGCTTCCCAAAAGCCAAGTTCTCATAATAGCCCATAGAGTCCTGCATACTTGAGTCCTAAGTTACCTCTGAGATGTGGTCTCCTCTTCATGGCTCCTTCTGCTTCAAGTACTCTGTCATCTCTGAAATATTCCAACTACCCCTTATCTACTCACATGTCTTACTCCCTTGCTGTCTTTAGGCCTTTGCTCAAATGCCACACTCCTCCTAAGTGTTTTCTGCCATCTCTATCTAGATTGCAGCTCCACCCCTCCCCGTTTTATTTTACTCTATAGCACCTACCACCATGTAACACACTCTGTATTTGTCTGTCTTCTTTAATGTCTTCCTCTCCAACCCCACTATCATCCCTGCAAGGATGTAAGCTCCCTAGGGGCAAGGAGTTTGATCTGTTTTGACTAAATTTAGTCTGCTACTATAATCCCATTTTCTGGCAGAATGCCTGGACCTCTTCAAGGAAACCTATAAATGTGTTTGAATTAGTAAATGCATGAAGGAATGTGATAAACTTTTGAAAAAAAAAGAGTAATTGAGACTTTTTGTGGGTTTTTTTGTGCAGATGTTATTATATCAAACATAAGCCGTGTAGTACTTACATTATGCTTTTATTTCCTAAAAAAAAATGGTGAAGCTATTTTTACTAAGTCTACAAAGTCAGGCACACAAAACTCTTTCTGCCTCGATCTTGTAATTATGAATAAAAATTGAAAGATTATCAATTGGAGAAGTATTCAATGAAGTACTACAACTTGAACTAGGCCTTAAATTAAGTATATAGGATTTAGAAACATTGAAGGGTGAATAAGATAATGTTCCAGGCAAGAGAAATGATGTGAGGCTAAATTGAACAGCAGAAATGTTGTAAACATTCTTTCTTCCCTGAAGCAGAGTGTTCCTTTTAGAGAAGTATTAGACATTTTGGTTTAGGGCTATAGGTAAAGACTAGTACATGATGACCTTGATAAAGTGCTGTCTTCGACAATTTAGGATACTAGGACAAAAATACCATGGACCGAGTGGCTTAAACAGCTATTTATTTCTCACAATTCTGGAGGTTGAGAAGTTCAAGATCAAGGCACTGGTGGATCCAGTGTCTGGTGAGAGTCTGCTTCCTATTGTATCCTCACGTGGCACAGAGAGAGAGCGCAATATCTCATGTCTCCTCTTTTCATCATGAGGGCTCCACCCTCATGGATTTATCTAACAGTAATTACCTCCCAAAGGCCCCACCTCAAATTCCCATCAAATCGGGCTTAGGGCTTCAACAAATGAATTTTGAGGGTTCACATTCACTCTCTAGCAATAAATAAAGACAATTCATTTTATCCTCTAAACATGAGGGATTTATCAAATGGTGGGGTGACTTTTTTTGGGGAGAATGAGGAAATAAATGGAGATGAGGAAATAAAATGTCCAAACAAGGATTTGTGATAAGTAATAACCTACCTGTAAAATGAATTAAATATAAGAAGGTTTGAAAGTAAGAAACCTGGATTGGCAATTATTTCAATACAGTGGAGACAAAGCAAAAAAACAAAAAAAGTAATTCCAGAAACATTAAAAGGTAACTGTCTTAAAACATGAGAGGAGAGAGAGATCATAATTGGTAAAAATGAGTTGCAGAAACCTACTGTAGAGTGGGTGAAAAGGGAAGCCTTATCTCAGAAGATGACATAGAACAGAGTATTTCAGGCAGAAGGAAAACAATTGCACAGTCCTCCTGGAGAGTATAAAGGAACAGGTGAAAGCAGCATTGTGTTCAGATGGGACATGGCAGAAGATAAGGCCAAAAGTAAAGTTAGAGGCCTTGAAGGAATAAAGTTCTGTAATGCCTTAGAGTTAACAAATTAGGATGTCATTTGCTTCCATAGACGAGGTATGCTTCAAAGAAAGTTGAGTCCATTGTGATGTTAAACAGGAGGAAAATCTATGGGGACCAGTATAAGCAAATGCCTAAGTGGCATAAACAGCAGTCAAAAAACAAGAATAAAGCAGGAAAAGACTGATAAGACTGAACAGAAAACAGTGTGCTGGAATGGCAGAATGGGGTTCTGTAAGAAAAGAATCTGACTGAAAGTCTTAGAGGTATGAAGAGATTTTTGTTGTTGCTTTTCCTCCTGCAGTCAAGGCTGCTTAACATCAATTTATGTCTAATGAATGTGAATCTGGCATCCAGAACGCCATAGGAGCTAAATACACAAACTTCAGCAAACCTCTGTTTGCACTTAGTGCTCTTATTTTTGCATTTTCTCAAACATAAACATTCAAATGAGAAGAAGTAGTATGTTGGCCATTTAGAAACATTCGTGGTGGCAAAATGGTGAGAGACACTACCAAGGAGAAACATGATGCTGACAGCCTGCATGCATTTCTCTCCATTTGGTAATTAAGGACTTCCACTGAGGCAAATGTTTATGCTGAGATTGTAATGTTTAGATTGGCTATTTTCAGTGGGTTGCGTTTCTAGAAATATCCTACAAAGCAATATTCGCAGGAAATAATTAAAAAACGAATTCAGAATTTTCCAAAGGCTGACCTTATAACTCCTAAAACTCCACGAGTAAACCTATCTTTGGATTCACAAACATAGTAAATTTGAATTGTGTGTTTCCAACAACTTAATTCGCTTAATTCAACATCAGCCATGTAGCCAATACTGCTAAGGTGTTTATTCTTAATAAGAGGAGGAATGCTAGGTCTTATAATGGGGAAAATGTTACAATGGGTTAAGTGGATACATACAAAAGAAAGATTGTAATAATAAGAAAAAGAGATAGAAAAATAGATAGATGGACAGAGAGAGAACTTTCATTTCTATCTGAGGGAATATTCAATTGGCCTTCTCTATAGTGTTAGAACACAGAATGGATCTTGAAATACAGGTAGCATATAAATAGTAAGTTATGCCATAAGAGTTAGAAGGACAGACTTGTCAACCTCCACTCATAAATGTTTTGAATTAAGTGTGCTGCATCGACACATTTCAAATAACAAATACAATACTTTCACTATTCATGTATAGCTTGTACACTATAGGGTGCTCTGGCTAAGATTATACTTGATAGAAACGTTTCAAACACAAATATATGGAGCAGTGACTAATTGCATCATTTCAAGTGAAAATGAAACATTTCTCAAAGATAGATTTATTTTTTCTTTTCTGTACTGTGTGGCAGTGGAGTATGGTAACTAAGAGAAAAGTAGGGAAAAGGTTAATTTTTTAAACTACATTCTTTTTCTCCCAGTTCATAATCAAAACTGTCTAATGATTTTTCTCTGTGTTATTTTGGTTGCTTTCAACAGGTGCATTGAAACATGTGCAAATGCAAACATTCAAATAAAGAAAGCTAAAAGTAATGTCCTTGATCATAGGGAATGCATCTTGAGTTTTACGGTTCCTTCCAAAGCATTTTGTGAAATACTTAAAAAATAATGATCTATTATGAATATTTTACCTATTAA
The DNA here is from genome assembly GCF_000001405.40 of Homo sapiens. NCBI lineage: Eukaryota > Metazoa > Chordata > Mammalia > Primates > Hominidae > Homo > Homo sapiens. Next base: position 81,489,285 of record NC_000012.12, on the reverse strand, counting down.
TAATATATATACACCCATATATATTATTAGATGTATATATAGATACAGAAATAGATATTAGAATACTGAGCAACTAGGGAACTAAATTTTAAACTCTTTCCAATGCTTTAAGGATACTTTGCCTAAAATTAATGAAATACCTGAGTCATTAATAATTCCAATTACTGTAGTTTATTATTTTTGTATCTCTCAATGTTACCAAGTCAGCACATATTGAGAATATGGTAAATGGTATATCTGGTCCAAGAAAAGTTGGGCATTGGTGATCTGGCCTAATTTGTCGAAATAGGACAGATACTTGTTTATGTGGCTAACCTGCAGTCATAGAATCATTGCGCTGTGCCTAATTGTATACATATATTCCATTAGGTAGCTTATTCATTCTAACACATTAAGACCCTGCCCTTTTCAGAAACATTGTTGTGAGAAGGTTAAAATGAAAGGACCATCCATCCCTTCAGAGTCATGTGTTCTCGTGTGGGAACTAGACAACTGTACAAAAAATTATAGCCCCATAAATATATATTCTCATCAATGGGAAACCTGAGGAGAGGTTTCCAAATTTTGTCTGAAGATCATAGGCTTCCTAGAATAGGGGATGTGACATCAAAGCCCTAAAGAATGAAGAAGAGTTTTCCAAATAGACAGGGCAAGGAAGAGCACCTTAAACAGAAGAAACAATGCAAAATTAGTAAAATCAGTGTCTTAAGAGTAGGCTGTAAGGCCCGTGGGCTTTTGAGTGAGTGACAGAATTCACTCAGATAGTATCAGGTGCCATGATAATGGATATGGTGACAGAAAGAGAGGGAGATAGCTTTGTATTGTCCTTTGTCTCTCTGTGGGTGTGTTTGTGTGTGTGTTGGGGGTAACTTCAGTGAAATCCCCTGTTATGACAGAGCAGGGAGGCATAGGATATGATCCTTGAAAACCTCCCAAAAATGGCAAAATGTCAGGTGAAAAGAATTGTGGTGGTAGAGAGAGGAAACAGATGAGAACGTAGTACACTTTACTCACTTGTCAATAAAAATCGGAGTTCATTCTGGCTTTATTATGGTCCTATTCTGTATATGACAAAGGTTTCATGTTTGTCTGATTCTATTCTCCAAAGGCAAATATAACAAGAAACTGGAATAATAAAATAACAGGAACAGACAATGAAATATAGACCATCAAACCTCCCTAACTGTTATGTATAGTAATGTTACATAGGAAAACTACTTTCTCTGGTTTAAATAAAGGAATTATCGGCCACAACTAATGTATCCACTAACTAACTATATTACATGGCTTTTTAAATCAATACTTTAAAAGTGATAATGAATACAAAATTAAATGGAAATGCAGATGTTAAACATAAAATCAGATTATGGGCCTCATTGTCCTCACACACATTTCAGATTACCTTTAAATATGATATATTTCTTTTGCCTTCTATGGTCATTTATATTAATTATTCTTTCCATATAGTTTTGTCAGCTTTTTCAGATATCACAATGGCCATTAAACATCTGTCATTTTCATGATATTATGCCTACACTGTTTGTTTCTTGCCTTAAAGAAATAACTGGAATTGACTGTGAAAGAATCCTAAGAGTGGGCCTGATAGAATTCTGAAAGCATGGGTGTGAGATATCAGCCATGGAAGCTGATTATTGCCACTGCTATGTGGCAATATCGGTACCTATAGATTGGCAGGACTTGGAGACATACAGCTTACTCCTAGAATCGCCAGTGACAAGGCCCTCCCACCCTTAAAAATACAAGCTTTGAGTTTGTTCCAGTAATTAATAATAATAATAATAATAGTAATTCATTGTTAACACTTACCAAGTGCTCATACTTGTCTAAGCATTTAACCTGAATAACTTAGTTAAGTCTCACAACAACCCAGTAAGACTTTGCTTGTTTCTGTTATCCGTGTTTTACAGATTAATAAGATAAAACACAAAAAAGGTAAACTAAATTTCCCAAGAACACACAGCTAAAAAAGATGGAGCTGGAATTCAAATAACAAGCAGTTGCTTCGAGAGCTGGAGACTTTAACCTCCTTGCTACTTCGTCTTTCCAGGGGTCACCTTTCTCCCTCATGTAAATAGACAGATAACCAACTCACTCCAGTGGATATTCTAGGCCAGTCCAGTCAAGGCAAATTGAGGTTCCAGATGCTCCAAAGCTTAACACACTGTGCTATGCATGATCACGTGTTTTTCTTTCCTAAGGGAAACTTTCTAAGGACAGAAATCACACCGTGTTTTGCAAAATGTAAATATGCATTGAGTAAACAAAGGGATTAATGTATTTTTAAAAGAAATCTGGTACCAAGGCTTTATATGGTTTATTATTTGACTATAAGAAGGGGATGGAGTTGATTGGCATATGTTTTCAGGTTCAATTAAGATCTTATATTTTTCTTTTAGTTTCATTTTTATTTCCTCATCAAAAAATTGGAGTTGACAGTTATATAAAAATTATTTCTTGAGGTGGACTAAAAAATGTTATCATCTATTATTATTTTAATGATTACTGTCAGCCAAGAGTGGATATGAGTACTACTTTTCTAAACTGAAGTTGTGTGGCTGATGTCCTACTGTTGATGATATGAGTTACATGGATAAAGCATGGCATACTTATTAGTTTTAGGATGTAATGACAAGCTGATTTAAATATCCAGCATCTAAATTTGAAAATCTTTGTGCAAATTTATTGAATAGATCTATCACTAAAAATCTGCAGTTAAAAAAATTGGCATATGTTTATCATAAATAGAATTTTTTCCTAAGGCAATTTGTACCTGAAAATTCTATCAATAATATAATTTCTAGAAATACTATGTTTTTAAATGTTTTATATGTGTTAATATCCTGAAAGTTTTCTGCATGGCATATTAGTTTATGTTGCAATGTTCATGTTATAATAATAAAATGAAAGTAGAAGTACAGTCTTAGTGATTAAACTGAACTTTTGTTACCAGCTAGCTGGGTTCGAGTACTAATTCTGCCACATAAGACAGTAAGGCATGTAAGGCACTGAGAAAATCACTTAAACTCTTTGTGCCACTATTTCCCTACATGTAAAATGGGATCATCATGGTAGCAACACCATATGGTTATTGTTTATAGTCAATAAGCTGATACATATTAAGTGCCTAGAACAGTGCTTGAAATATAGTGAAATTATATTTACTATTAATCCTATGTGTTACATTTCATTTAAAAATTAATTTATAACGCTAAAAATGTATGATAATATATCAGAGATTGTGTACAATGAGCTAAATGAAAAGTAAAGTCAAAATAGGAATGTTCTTTCAGAATGACCTCATATATGCTGGAATTATCTGTGTTATAATTTAATAAATTTAATTGCAGATGGGGTACTTAGTCTGTTTTAATGGAACTTGCCAAGTCATTTAGTTCCAAAAATTATGTCGCTTATATTATTATACATTTAACATTCAATGTTCCTTAAATAAAGGGTGTCAAATTATTTGCAGTTTCAGACTTTCATATTTTGCAATCAATAATGGCAAAAATTTACATTTTATCGTCTCATAGAAACTTATATTTTAAGTGATTTGTTTACTATTTTGTGACTTGTGTTATACATTTCTTGCACAAAATTTGAAATACCTTTATTAAAACAAATTTTCATGTGAACTTGTGATTCATTTGTGTTCTAGCACACAACATTTAGATCTAGGCTGAAGTTAATAGAGCACAGAGTTTTAAAATAAATATTTTTCATTCACAAAAGGGGTGACAGATTTGAGGTGAGAGTTGTATATCTGAGTGAGTTATTTGGGGAAAGTACTCTTTTATTTCTTAGCACTAGAGGAAAAATATATTGGAAGTGACACAGGTGCAACTAACTTATAGGTTAAGGATTTTTAAAAAATATATATTTATTGAGTATGTAATATGTAAGAATAATTATATAAAGTGTATTAAGGAGTTAAAAAAAGACTAAATGATGATGAAAAGAAAAACATAACCTGTACAAAAACGATATAAATAAGAGAACAACTAAAATAAAATGAGATGTCTTCTTAAAAGTGCATATATTGACTAGATAATGCATTGGGTTCACATTTATGGAAGTATCACTTTGAATTAGAAATTTGAAGACAAGCAAAAACTTCATAATCCCTATACTCATTTACTAGGCTGGCTTTTTGAAATATAGCTCAAGCTAGTGATTTCCTTTTGGCCTTAAAAATAATTTGAATCATTAATTTTAAAGTAGTTTTTAGCCTATAATTTTCACCTACTATATAAAATAAGCATTTTCTTATGTCTCTAAATATCCTTGAAATAATTATATTGTAGCTATATATTATATTGTTAATTTTATCATATCACTTACTGAATCACTTTCTTTGAATTACTGATTCAAAGAAAGAAAACATTTTAAAACATTTTGATACATGTAGTTAAATTTCATCTCCAAAATTAGTTATATGAAAATCATCACAACTTATAGCCTTAATAGAAATATGGGAATTTAAAATTAGCAATGCTATTTTTATTTTAATGAAAGATATTTAACATATGAAGTTTTAAATTATGCCAAAGTAGAGATTTAAAAGCTGAGATCAAGTTTGGTCAAATGCTTCTCTTGCTAGAATAAGGGTCTGGCCTAGCATGTATATTCTCAATATTAATGGTAATTCATTTCCGTAGTACTCTAATGAATAGTGCTATTATGTGAATTCATGGGAGTATACTTAAATTACAGAATGTGAATTTTAATTGTATAAATTCATTATGGCAAATGAAGCCTGGAAAAATTTTGAATATTATTGTACAACATGAAAATATTAATATCTTTGAGGGTATTTCTGCCTCCCACAGTCACCATTAATCCCACCTCCTCCAGAGTGTTCCTAGAACACTTTGCACACATCTTCATCACTAGCCTCTGTCTCATTGTATATAACTATTTACGTGCTTTGTTTTCCCCACTAGGTAATCAGCATCACTGTGGTTAAAACCACCCCTTCTTCCAAAGTGTCTAGCATAGTGCCAGACTCAAAATAGTGTGGACTATTTTTTTTTATTTGTCCATTACAGCCACCTCAAGAGTTTTTGACTTCTATTCTGTCAGCATTTTAGGCTTTTTATTTGGTCTTTCATAGGGCAGAAAAATGAAACTCTGAAAGTACCAGGATATTGTAGAATTATTAATAAGGAAATGACCTTCGCCCAGGTAATGCCACATTATTTTTTTGTCAGTGTCCTTTAAGAATACAGCACCATCAGTGAAACAGTAGGACATTTTAAAAGTGATTCCTACCCCGAGGGATACTTCAAACTTCTGCACAAGGGCAAGAAATAATTTACTTTTATCGGTCACCAAACCCAAAAAAAAGGGAGGGGGGAGAAGGGTGATTCTATAAAATACTTTGAAATGATTACATTTATAATGTTATAAGTTCCCAAGTGTACAGCAGAAATTTCATTAAAATTGAAATATATATCTTATAGAATTGAAAATATTAAACTTCAGAAATAGAACCTTCTATGAAAGTTATTTTCCATTTTGATTTTTAAATACCTTAGATAGTTTTTTCCTTACAGTTTTTCATAACAACTGTATTAAGAAAAAAAAATAGCATAAAATTCACCTTTTAAAGTGTATAGTTCAGTGTTTTTTTTAGCTTATTCACAGAGTTGAGCAACCTTCACCACCATCTAACTTTAGATCATGTGCATCACCCTCTTCTCTGTATCTATTAGCAATTATTCCCCACTTGCCCCACCTCCAAGGCCCTGGCAACTACCAGGCTACTTTCTTCCTCTATGGATTTGCTGTTCTGGACATTTCATATACTGTAACTGAAATTTTACAATATGGGGTCTTTTGCTTTCAAGATTAATCTTTGTTATAGCTTATAAATACTTTATTTCTTCATATTGCCAATTAATATTCCACTGCATGGCTGTACAAATTTTATTTATCCATTCATTAGTTAATAGATATTTGGGTTGTTTTCATTTATTGGCTATTATGAATAATGCTACTATGAACACGCATATAAAAGCTTTTTTATAGACATGTGTTTTCATTTACCTTGTATGTATAACTAGAAGTGGAATTGCTAGGTTATATGGTAACTCTAACATTTCAAATAAATTCTACGCTATTTTTCAAAGTGACTGTGCCATTTTGCAGTTCTGCCAGCAATGATGAATTGCTTAATGTAGGGTTCTACATAACTTTTTAATATGCACAGCTGTTGTGGCAGAATTATTCTATCTCACATTTATAAAACACAATTCAATTTTTATCACAAATAATATGTATCATAGTATATCCTGAAATTGTGTCTTCTTAAACTGTAAGCAGAATTTTAGCACTGGAACACAGTTTATTCTTTGTGATCCCAGCACAGTATATATATATATATAAGTTCTGGGATACATGTGCAGAACCTGCAGGTTTGTTACATAAGTACACATGTGCCATGGTGGTTTGCTACACCCATCAACCCATCAGCTACAGCTATTAGGTATTTCTCGTAATGCTATCCCTCCCCTATCCCCCACTGGCTGACAGGATCCAGTGTGTGATGTTCCCCTCCCTGTGTCCATGTGTTCTCATTGTTCAGCTCCCCGTTATGAGTGAGAACATGCAGTGTTTGGTTTTCTGTTCCTGTGTTGGTTAGCTGAGAATGATGGTTTCCAGCTTCATCCATGTCCCTGCAAAGGACATGAACTCATCCGTTTTTATGGCTGCATAGTATTCCATGGTGTATATGTGCCACATTTTCTTTATCCGTCTATCACTGATGGACATATGGGTGGGTTCCAAGCCTTTGCTATTGTGAACAGTGCTGCAGTAAACATATGTGTGCATGTGTCTTTATAGTAGAATGAATTATAATCCTTTGGGTATATACCCAGTAATGGGATTGCTGGATCAAATGATATTTCTGGTTCTAGATCCTTGAGGAATTGCCACACTGTCTTCCACAATGGTTGAACTAACTTACAATCCCAACAACAGTGTAAAAGCGTTCCTATTTCTCCACATCCTCTCCAGCATCTGTTGTTTCCTGACTTTTTAATAATTGCCATTCTAACTGGCATGAGATGGTATCTCATTGTGGTTTTAATGTGCATTTCTTTAATGAACAGTGATGATGAGCTTTTTTTTTCATGTTTGTTGGCCGCATAAATGTCTTCTTTTGAGAAGTGTCTGTTCATGTCCTTTGCCCACTTTTTGATGGGGTTGTTTCTTTCTTGTTAATTTGTTTAAGTTCTTTGTAGATTCTGGATATTAGCCCTTTGTCAGATGGATAGATTGCAAAAATTTTCTCCCATTCTGTAGGTTTCCTTTTCACTCTGATGATAGTTTCTTTTGCTGTGCAGAAGCTCTTTAGTTTAATTAGCTCCCATTTATCAATTTTGGCTTTTGTTGCCCTTGCTTTTGGTGTTTCAGTCATGAAGTCTTTGCCCATGCCTATGTCCTGAATGGTATTACCTAGTTATTCTTCTAGGGTTTTTATGGTTTTAGGTCTTACATTCAAGTCTTTAAACCACCTTGAGTTAATTTTTGTATGAGTTGTAAGGAAGTGGTCCAGTTTCAGTTTTCTGCATATGGCTAGCCAGTTTTCCCAGCACCATTGATGAAGTATGGATTTCCTTTCCCCATTGCTTGTTTTTGTCAGGTTTGTCAAAGATCAGATAGTGGTAGATGTGTGGCATATTCTGAGGCTTCTGTTCTGTTCCATTGGTCTATGTATTTTTTTTGGTACCAGTACCATGATGTTTTGGTTACTGTAGCCTTGTAGCATCGTTTGCAGTCAGGTAGCATGATGTGTCCAGCTTTGTTCTTTTTGTTTAGTATTGTCTTGGCTATGCGGGCTCTTTATTGGTTCCATATGAAATTTAAAGTAGTTTTTTCTAATTCTGTGAAGAAAGTCAATGGTAGTTTGATGGGAATAGCATTGAATCTATAAATTACCTTGGGCAGTATGGCCATTTTCACGATATTCGTTCTTCCTATCCATGAGCTTGGAATGTTTCTCCATTTGTTTGTGTCCTCTCTTATTTCCTTGAGCAGTTGTTTGTAGTTCTAGTTGAAGAGGTCCTACACATCCCTTGTGAGTTGTATTCCTATGTATTTTATTCACTTTGTAGCAATTGTGAATGGTAGTTCACTCATGATTTGGCTCTCTGTTTCTCTATTATTGGTGTATAGGAATGCTTGTGATTTTTACACATTGGTTTTGTATCCTGAGACTTTGTTGAAGCTGCTTATCAGCTTCGGGAGATTTTTTTGCTGAGACTGTGGGGTTTTCCAAATATACAATTATGTCATCTGCAAACAGAGACAATTTGACTTCCTCTCTTCCTATTTGAATACCTTTTATTTCTTTCTCTTTCCTGATTGCTGTGGCCAGAACTTCCAATACTATGTTGAATAGGAGTGGTAAGAGAGGACACACCTCATACAGCTGAGCTCTGGCTGGCATCTGGTAGGTGCCCCTCTGGGAGGAAGCTTCCAGATGAAGGAACAGGCAGCAATCTTTGCTGTCTGCAGCCTCCTCTGGTGATACCCAGGCAAACAGGGTCTGGAGTGGACTTCTAGCAAACTCAAGCAGACCTGCAGCAGAGGGGCCTGACTGTTAGAAGGAAAACTAACAAATACAAAGGAAGAGCATCAACATCAACAAAAAGGACATCCACACAGAAACCCCATCCGAAGGTCACCAACATCAAAGACCAAAGGTAGATAAATCCACGAAGATGAGGAAAAAAGTGCAAAAAGACTGAATATTCCCAAAACCAATATGTCTCTTCTCCTCCAAAGGATCACAGCTCCTTACCAGCAAGGGAATAAAACTGGACAGATAATGAGTTTGATGAATTGACAGAAGTAGGCTTCAGAAGGTGGGTAATAACAAACTCCTCTGAGATAAAGCATCATGTTCCAACCCCATACAAGGAAGCTAAGAACCTTGAAAAAAGGTTAGAGGAATTGCTAACTAAAACGACCAGTTTAGAGAAGAACATAAATGACCTGATGGAGCTAAAAAACACAACACGAGTACTTCATGAAGCATACACAAGTATCAATAGTGAAATCGATCAAGTGGAAGAAAGGACATCAGAGATTGAAGATTAACTTAATGAAATAAAGTGTGAAGACAAGATTAGAGAAAAAAAGAAAGAAAAGCAACAAACAAAGCCTCCAAGAAATATGGGACTATGTGAAAAGACCAAACCTACGTTTGATTGGTGTACCTGAAAGTGATGGGGAGAATGGAACTAAGTTGGAAAATACTCGTCAGGATACTATCCAGGAGAACTTCCCCAACCTAGCAAGACAGGCCAAACATTCAAATTCAGGAAATGCAGAGAACAACACAAAGAGACTCCTCGAGAAGAGCAACCCCAAGACACATAATCATCAGATTCACCAAGGTTGAAATGAAAGAAAAAATGTTAAGGGCAGCCAGAGAAAAATGTCGGGTTACCCACAAAGGGAAGTCCATCAGACTAACCACGGATCTCTCTGCAGAAGAGTGGAGGCCAATATTCAACATTCTTAAAGAAAAGAATTTTCAACCCAGATTTCATATTCAGTCAAACTAAGCTTCATAAGCAAAGGAAAAATAAAATCCTTTACAGACAAGCAAATGCTGAGAGATTTTGTCACCACCAGGCCTGCCTTACAAGCGCTCCTGAAGGAAGCACTAAATATGGAAAGGAAAAACCAGTATCAGCCACTGCAAAAACATACCAAATTGTAAAGACCATCGACTCTATGAAGAAACTGCATCAACTAATGGGCAAAATAACCAGCTAGCATCATAATGACAAGATTAAATTCACACGTGAAAATATTAACCTTAAATGTAAAGGCTAAATGCCCCAGTTAAAAGATACAGACTGGCAAATTGGATAAAGAGTCAAGACCTATCGGTGTGCTGTATTCAGGAGAACCATCTCACATGCAAATACACACATAGGCTGAAAATAAAGGGACGGAGGAATATTTACCAAGCAAGTGGAAACAAACAAACAAACAAAAAAGCAGGGGTTGCAATCCTGGTCTCTGATAAAACAGACTTTAAACCAACAAAGATCAAAAAAGACAAAGAAGGCCATTACATACTGGTAAAGGGATCAATGCAACAAGTAGAGCTAACTATCCTAAATATATATGGACCCAATACAGGAGCACCCAGATTTATACAGCAAGTTCTTAGAGACCTAGAAAGAGACTTAGACTCCCACACAGTAATAGTGGGAGACCTTAACACCCCACTGTCAATATTAAATAGCTCAATGAGACAGAAAATTAATAAGGATATTCAGGACTCGAATTCAGCTCTGGACCAAGTGGACTCAATAGACATCCACAGAACTCTCCACTCCGAATCAACAGAATATACATTCTTCTCAGCACCACATCGCACTTATTCTAAAATTGACCACATAATTGGAAGTAAAACACTCCTCAGATAATGCAAAAGAAAGGAAATCATAACAAACCGTCTCTCAGACCACAGTGCAATTAAATTAGAACTCAGGATTAAGAAACTGACTTAAAACCACACAACTACATGGAAACTGGATAACCTGCTCCTGAATGACTACTAGGTAAATAATGAAATTAAGGCAGAAATAAATAAGTTCTTTGAAACCAATAAGAACAAAGACACAATGTAGCAGAATATCTGGGACACAGCTAAAGCAGTGTTTAGAGGGAAATTTATAGCATTAAATGTCCACAGGAGAAAGCAGGAAAGATCTAAAATCTAAAATGAACAACCTAAAATCACAATTAAAAGAACCAGAGAAGCAGGATCAAACAAATTCAAAACCTAGCAGAAGACAAGAAATAACTAAGATCAGAGCAGATCTGAAGGGATAGAGACGTAAAATCCTTCAAAAAAATCAATGAATCCAGAATGTGGTTTTTTGAAAAGATTAACAAAATAGATAGACTGCTAGCCAGACTAATAAAGAAGAAAAGAGAGAAGAATCAAATAGACACAATAAAAAAAATGATAAAGGAGATATCAGTACTGATCCCACAGAAATACAAACTACCGTCAGAGAATACTATAAACATCTCTATGCAAATAAACTAGAAAATCTAGAAGAAATGGGTAAATTCCTGGACATATACACCCTCCGAAGACTAACCTAAGAAGAAGTCGAATCCCTGAATAGACATATAACAAGATCTGAAATTGAGGCAGTAATTAATAGCCTACCAACCAAAAAAAGCCCAGGACAAGATGGATTCACAGCCGAATTCCACCAGAGGTACAAAGAGGAGCTGGTACCATCCCTTCTGAAACTATTCCAAACAATAGAAAAAGAGGGACTCCTCCCTAACTCATTTTATGAGGCCAGCATCATCCTGATACCAAAACCTGGCAGAGATCCAACAATTAAAAAAAAAAAAAATTTCAGGCCAATATTCCTGATGAACATCAATGCGAAAATCCTCAATAAAATACTGGCAAACTGAATCTAGCAGCATATCAAAAAGCTTATCCACCACGATCAAGTCGGCTTCACCCCTAGGATGCAAGGCTGGTTCAACATATGCAAATCAATAAATGTAATTCATCACATAAACAGAACCAATGACAAAAACTACATGATTATCTCAATAGAAGCAGAAAAGGCCTTCGATAAAATTCAACATTCCTTCATACTAAAAACTCTCAATAAACTAAGTACTGATGGAATGGATCTCAAAATAATACAAGCGATTTATGACAAACCCACAGCCAATATCATACAGAATGGGCAAAAGCTGGAAGCATTCCCTTTGAAGACCGGCACAAGACCAGCACAGATTTTCACACATGGCCATCACTTTCAAAATATTCAATGAACAAATGGTGGAATATATCATTTTGTAAAAATATGTTTTCCTGACTTCTTCATAATCATTCTCTGTCAAAGGAACTTTGTCAAAGGCTTTCCAGGTGAAAGCCTTTTCAAATAATTGAAAGTAGCTCTCTCTCCTCCTTTTCTCTCAATCCTGAGGTTTTGTCTTTCTTCTTCAGACTAAATTTCCTTTTTTTTCTTTTTTTAAATTTTATTTTAAGTTCCAGGGTACATGTACAGTATGTGCACGTTTGTTACATAGGTAAATGTGTGCTGTGGTGGTTAGCTGCCCCCATCAACCCATCACCTAAGTATTAAGCACAGCATACATTAGCTATTTTTCCTGATGCTCTCCCTTCCCCCGCTACCACCCAGACAGGCTCCAGTGTGTGTTCCCCTCCCTGTGTCCATGTGTTCTCATTGTTCAGCTCCCACATATCAGTGAGAACATGTAGTGTTTGGTTTTCTGTTCCTGGGTTAGCTTGCTGTGGATAATGGCTTCCAGCTTCATCCATGTCCCTGCAAAGGACATGATCTCGTTCCTTTTTATGGATGCATACTATTCCATGGTGTTTATGCACCACATTTTCTTTATCCAGTCTATCATTGATAGGCATTGAGTTGGTTCCATGTCTTTGCTGTTGTGAATACTGCTGCAATGAACACTTGTGTGCATGTATCTTTAAAATAGAATGGTTTATATTCCTTTGGGTATATACCCAGTAATTGGATTGCTGGGTCAAATGGTATTTCTGGTTCTAGGTCTTTGAGGAATTGCCACACTGTCTTCCACAATGCAGACCAAACTTCTTAACAGAGAGCACTTTCACTATTGAAATGTGAATCTGTTTTAGTTGACTGAATTATTTTACAGTTCATATTTATGTGATATAAATATAGATTTATTGTATTTTTCTTTATGAACTTAATTTTTATGTCACATTTAATCATGTGTCTCACAAACTAGGTAACTGGCAGAGAGAAAATAAATACAAATTTTCAGGGATGATTCTGCAATGGCTTGAATTGCTTTTAATATTCAGTATTGGAGCTTAACATCTATAAATATTTCATCATATTCAACTTCTGCTTTAGACTGTGTGGCAAATAGGAAAGTCTGAAAGACTTCTCACTACAAAAACCTAGACTAAATGCAACACAAATGCTTTTAAACTCTCAACATCACTTTCATGAAAAACCAAATCATTAAAAACCAGCAGAGTGTATTCTGAAAGCTGGAGCACCCTGTAGATATTTGCTGATTCCAGGAACTAGAAACTTGAGGAATGAAAGGAGGTCAAACTAAAACTTCAGCATAAGTCCAGAGCCTCTGAGGAGCTTCACTCTGAAAGACATAGACTAGCCTAGAAGAAACTTATCATCAACAAAAAGACATCAGTTTGACCATTAATATAAGCTTGAGCTAAGGTGGAGGGACAATAAAAAGTTACCACATTGCTGTCCTTAAAAATGATCGTCACAAGGTCAGGTGATTGAGACCATCCTGGCTAACAAGGTGAAACCCCGTCTCTACTAAAAATACAAAGAATTAGCCGGCCTTGGTGGCGGGCACCTGTAGTCCCAGCTACTCTGGAGGCTGAGAAGGAGAATGGCATGAACTCAGGAGGCGGAGCTTGCAGTGAGCCGAGATCGCGCCACTACACTCCAGCCTGGGCGACAGAAGGAGACTCGTCTCAAAACAACAACAATAACAAAAAGATCAGCGTTCACATTTTTAACCCTTTCAACTTAAAGTAGTCCTTGATTCATAGTGCCTAGCAGAAGGAAAATATATATTCTCTCTGAAGTGCCTTCAGGTGGACATTACAGAAGAAATCTCAACGGATTAAAATAACCAAATATGAGCTTGCAAGTCAATATTTAAAATCACGGGAAGAACTATGTTTCCTTGTGCTAGAATCAGGAGAAATAATAAATAGCAAATTGTATTCTCGAATTTTAAAATTATAAAACACATTATATAAAATAAGTTTAAAATGTTTACAGAATAACAGTTTTAAAATAATGAAACATATATGCCATGTTTTAAGATTCATTCACCAATAGGTTTATCAGGAACAAATTTTTTGTTCTTATTTTTACTTAAATAAAAATGCTTACTAATCTGCATCAAACTTTAGTTACTAAATGTGATCCTTTTACCATGGTCCTTTAACAAATACACAGTCTCTATTTCAGGCCCTATGTAAGGAGCTGGCAAAATAACGAAGGCCAGAAAGTTTTAGTTCTGGTTCTCACAGAGTTTATCATCTAGATACAGAGGTTTGTATGACAGAATAGAATTAAAGCTTCTAGTGTTCTGTCTTAGTGGGATCTGAAGATTGACTATCCAAGATTACTAACAAAAATCAAAGAAAGAGTAGTATGAATAATTAAAATTGGAAATAATTCACCTAGAAATCTCATTAATCTTAAAATACCATTTTATTTTTGTGTTGTGTATTATTCTATTATAAATAATTCACATTTTCAACATCTATCTAGATTTTTCAGTCAGTCAGAGTCCCTCTTTTGTATCTGCTAGTGACTTTATCACCTAAATGATTCTAAGAGTGATCTATACAAAACAATAGGGCAAAATTAGCAAACTTATAGTTCATTAGAAGAAGGCTAAACCTTCTTTAATTCATGGAAAAACATTTAGAAATAATAACAATTTTTGCTTATGAAGTGTATTACAGGATTTTTAAAGAATACAGTCAAAAAGTAATAATTATATTTCACAGCAGTTAAGTTATAACAAAATGATACTGGTGCTAGTATGTATTTACAAATTTGGGATTGTTTAAAAGAAAAATTTTAAACTCCACAAGAGGGCCAGGCTCAATAGCTCATGCCTGTAATCTCAGCACTTTGGGAGGCTGGCACAGGCGGATCACTTGAGGTCAGGGGTTCAAGACCAGTGGAGCCAGCATGGTGAAACCTCATCTCTACTAAAAATACAAAAATTAGCTGGGTGTGGTGGTGCATGCCTGTAATCCCAGCAGTTTGGGAGGCTGAGGCCAGTGGATCACTTGAGGCCAGGAGTTTGAGAGCAGCCCAAAAAACATGGCAAGACCCCGTCTCTACTAAAAATACAAAAATTAGCTGTGCTTGGCGGTAGATGCCTGTAATTCCAGCTACTGGGGAGGCTGAGGCACAAGAATTGCTTGAAACCGGGAGGTGGAGGTTGCAGTGAGCCGAGAGAGCACCACTGCTCTCCAGCCTGCTTGACGAAGTGGTGAGACTGTATCTCAAAACAAATTAGTTAATTAAAATTTAAAAATAAAGAATACAATTCTACACGAAGGAAATGTTGAGAATATTTTCCTACCTTGGTGTTAAACATTTTTTCCTATTAAAAAAAGATTGGAGTTCTTACTTGAAATATAGTCTTTCTCTTGAAATATATTGTTAAAGAAAAATGTGAGAAGAAAGAACATCTGAATACACACTTTGACACATAGCCGTTTTTCCATTTTCCCAGGTAACATTATTTATTACATAAATAAAAATGAGTAAGGAATGCTATGGCCCTGCAGTCAAATAAGGTGATTATCTTATGTTGATTTCTGTGCATAACATGGACAACAGTCAATCATTCTAATGTAATTTATTGATATAAGTAAATAATAAGCAAAGTCATGGTTCTGCAGTTGGACAATTTTTGGTAGGATATTTTTCTAACTTGGACTATGATCTATACTTTATATTTTGAAGGAGATGTAAAAAATTTACAATTCCAGAACAGCATGGCCAATAAAATTCATCTTGGGTGCCAGTTTGGGTTATTAAGTAGTTGCTGCCTAAAGTCCAGCATCAAGGAATATTATGCGGCTGCTTCAGGAAAAATGTCATGATAATTTCATGTCTCAGGCGAAGGAGTACAGAGTGTTATCACACATGTGGTTTATCTGATGAAGCTGTAGGAAGATGGTATAAAATAGCAAAAATTCAATTTGTTATATACCCAGTTATATATTTTGCTACCAATATGGAATTTTTTTGTTTGTTTGTTTGAGGTGGAGTCTCACTCTGTTGCCCAGACTAGAGTGCAATGGCTCAATCTCGGCTCACTGCAACCTCCGCCTCCCGGGTTCAAGCCATTCTTGTGCCTCAGCCTCCCTAGTAGCTGAGATTACAGGCGCCCCCACATCATGCCCAGCTAATTTTTGTATTTTTGGTAGAGACAAGGTTTCACCATGTTGGCCAGGCTGGTCTGGAACTCTTGACAGCAGGTGATCCACGCACCTCAGCCCCCCAGAGTGCTGGGATTACAGGCGTGAGTCACCGCACCCGGCCCTACATGCAGTTTTATGTACATATATGTTTCTGTAGCAATTCAATACTTACAAGGCTTGTTCCATAAATGAGTAAATAGCTACAGGATAGAGAGAATTCAAGAGTTATTCCTACTATGAGTCTTTGCAAACTGCTTATGAATAATTGCAAAGATTAAGATAATATGTGAGTAATTTTATATATTTTTTCTTTTTGAAAATTGTATTTTACAAAGTGCTTCCCAAGAAAGCAGAGTCATCTGAGATTCTTTCTGCTTCTACTGACCAGCAAGATACTCATAGCAAGGGAAGTCCCCTAGGAACAGGAGAGAAAATGGCATATTTTTAATGTGAAGCATTATTTGTTTTTAGTTTTTTTTGTTCTGTTTTGTTTTGTTTTTTTGCTGGGGAAGGAGATGTTAAGATGGTCATAAGGATGGGTCCAATGGCAACAATCAATAAATGCTATTGATGTTAAAAGAATTAAGTGTCCACAAGCATACTGGTTACTAAAAAGAATATTTCAGGGTTACATTACCTTGATGAATTTGGTGAGGTCCAGAGTCTGGCCCTTAGTCTGGCAAGTCCAGAAATTTAGTGTTTTAAATTTCCTTGAGTGGTTGCTAAACTAATAATAAGGAAGATAAAGTTAATAATGTCATTCACCTGCCTAAATTCCTTCCATGGTGCCCATTATTGCCTTTTACCAAAGACCAAAATAACTAACATAGCTTACCCTCCATTCCATCCAAACTGAACTACTGTTATTTAAACAGCTTTATTGCAACAACACATACCATTTTATTCAGCCATTAAAAATGCAATTCATTGGCATTTAGTATATTCGCAAAATTGTGCATCCTCATCACAATTAATTTTGGAATATTTTTGTTACCCCAGAAGGAAATCCAGAGCTCCTTAGCTCTCACCTCCTCCAATCTCTCCAACTCCCCTAGCCCTAGGTAACCACTAATTCATTTTCTGTTTCTGTATATTTGCCTATTCTGGACATTAAATATTAAGAGGATCATACAACAATATGGTCCTTTGTGACTGGCTTCTTTAACTTAGCATATTTTTCAAGGAGCATCCATATTATAGCATGTATACTACATTTCTTTTTATTGTTGAATAATATTTCCTTGTGTGTATTTGTTTAAAAAAACTCTTCATATAATTAATGTATACAATTTTGTGAGGTTGGACATATGTATATACTCATGTTACAATCACCACAATGGAATTCAGGTAATAAACATGTTCATCACCTCAAAAATTTCCTTATGTCACCTAGTACCTGTTAGAATGGCTATTTTCAAAAATGAAAAGCAAAAGAAAACAAATGCTGGCAAGGTTGTGGAGAAATTGAAACCCATATTCACTGTTGGTGGAAATGTAATAGGGTACAGCCACTATGGAAAATAGTATGGAGGTTTCACAAAAAAATTAAAAATAAGATGAGCATATGATCCAGCAATCCCACTTCTGGGTATATAACCAAAGATATTAAAATCAGAATCTTGAAGAAACATCTGCACCCCTAGGTCCTTTGTAACATTTTTCAGAATAACCAAGAAATTAAAACAACCTAAATGTCCATCAATAGATGAATGGATAAAGAAAGTGTGATATATTCAAACAATAGAAAATTATTCACCCTTGAAAAAAAAAAAAAGGAAACCCAAGCCAGGCACTGTGGCTCATGGCTGAAATCTCAGCACTTTGGGAGGCTGAAGCAGCAGGATCCCTTGAGCCCAGGAGTTCGAGACCAGCCTGGGAAATATAGGGAGATCTCTTTTTTACCAAAATAAATAAATAAATAAATAAAAATAAAACTACCTTTGAGTAGTGGAGTGTATCTATGGTCCCAGCCACCTTGGAGGCTGAAGTGGAAGGATTCCCCTTGAGCTCAGGAGGTAGAGGATGCAGTAAGTTGTGAGTTGTGATCATACCACTGCATTCCAGCCTGGAAGACAGAGCACGACTCTGTCTCAAATAAATAAATAAATAAATAAATAAATAAATAAATAAATAAATAAAGGAAAGACAAAAAAATGAAGAATGAAATCCTACCATTTGTGACAACATGAAAGGACCTGGAAGACATTGTGCTGAGGGAAATAAGTCAGTTACAGAAGGACAACTACTGCATGATTCCTCACATATGTGGCATCTAAAATAGTTACAGAAATAGAAGTAGACAACAGAACATTGGTTACCAGCAGATGGGGGAAGGGGTATGTGGGTAGCTGTTGTTCAATGGGTATAAAATTACAATTGTGCAAGATGAGTTTGTTCCAGACATGTACTGATCAACATAGTGCCTTTGGTTTACAATTTAGGTATTGTGTACTTAGAAATCTGTTAAGAGGTCAGATATCATGTTAAATGTTCTTATCACAGAAAATAAAACGATATGAAATAAAACAACAAAAAAGTATATGCATTTTAAAAATTCATTCCTCCACTGTTGAACATTTGGATTGTTTCCACCTTTTAGATATAATGAATAACACTGCTATGAACATTCATGTACAAGATTCTGTGTGGACATATGTTTTCAATTTTCTTGGGTATATACCTAGTAGAGAAATTGCTAGACCATACGATAACTCTATGTTTTACCGCTTGAGAAACTGACAAACTGTTTTGCAAAGTGGCTGCACCATATTACACTCCCACCAGCAGTGTATGAGGCTCCTCTGCATCTTTGCCAATGCTTATTTGTGTTTTTGATTATAGCCATTCTAGGTTATGTGAAATTGTATTTCACTGTGCTTTTGACTTTCATTTCTCTGACGATTAATGATGTGGAACAGCTTTCCATGTGCTTTTTGGCTACTTATCTTTAGAGAGCTGTGTATTCAGATTATCTGTTCATGTATAAATTTGGTTATTTGTCTTCTTATTATAGAATTGTAATAGTTATTTATATATTTTGACAACCAGCCCTTTATCAGATATATAGTTTGCTCATATTTTGTCTCATTCTGTGGATTGTCTTTCACTTTCTTAATGATACTACTCGAAGTGTAAACATCTTAACTTTATGGTATATTAATTAACTCTGGCTTCCATAACAAAATACCATAGACTGGATGGCTTAATCAACAAAGATATATTTCCTCGCAGTTCTGGAGGCTGGAAACCTGAGATCAGAGTTTCAGCATGGATGGGTTCTGCTGAGACCTCGTTCTGGCTTGCAGATGGCTGCCTTCTCGCTGTGCCCTCACATAGCAGAGAGAGAGCTCTGGTGTCCCTTCCTCTTCTAAAATGGGAAATAATCCCAGCTGGAGAGCACTACACTCATGACTTCATCTAAACCTAATGATTTCCCAACGTTCCCATCTCCACATACCACCATGTTGGGGATTAGGGCTTCAACATATGCATTTGGTGACACAATTCAGTCATAGCATATGGAGTCTGGACTATTTTAACTTGTGTTGTATGAGCTTTTGGCGTCACATTTAAGAAACCATTACCTAATCCAAGATTGCAAAGATTTACCTCTATGTATTTCTGTAAGAATTTTATAGGTTTAGTATGCTTAGGCTCTTTTGGATCTTAGAAAGTTGCTCATGATGCTCCCTTTATCTGGAAGAATTTTCATTCAACATACATTTTGCCTGGCTCTTACTCATTTTTCACATTTCATCTTAGATGCCCCCTTCACGCACATACCCTCCTACAGGGGTGCATGCGGGGCACCCTGGATATAACCCCATCACAGCGTTTATCACATTTCATTGTAATTATTGTTCACTTACTTCTATTTACGATGTCTTTTTCACCATTGTACACATTGTATTGTCTGAAAAATTTCACAGGCTCTCCTACATATTAGGCATCCAATAAAATTTTGTCGAGTAAATAGAGAAATAATCAAAGTGTCAGTTTTTAAAATTTGCAGAGAGAAATGCATTGTCAAGTGAGCCAGTATCCAAACTAGGCTGACAAGGGCAAGCTCCTTCTCTACAGTAAATGACATAAAAAATTGAGTAATTAAAAAATATCCCTCAGTATCTATGGAATTAGAGCATGTTACATTATTTGAACATTTGATGACACCGTGTCATGTTAGTGTGTCCTAACAATTCCAGAACTCTCATACGCCTCTATTGCCAGACAACTACAATTCTTAGGCTGGGATGTACTTTCACAGAGAGAGTGGCTAGAAGAGTCTTTCCAGATTTCTCTCTCATGGTTTGCTTCTTTTACTCTGTTATTTAATGCTTTCACCCCCCACCCCCCAGTGATAAACTTCTTAGCTGTATATTGATATAACATATTATAACACAAAGTGCTATTTTCTGAGCTACAGTGTGCAATTTTAAATGTTGTACACAGTTAAATTCTTCAAGGCAGGAAAATATGTTTCAATAGATTTTACAACTTTTATAGCACCCACTACAGCATTTCAGCTCAGTGAACAGCAAACAATGTTGTAGCCCAAATATTTTTGGTTATATAATTATAACTGATTGCTAGAGATGTGATTTTGTTTTGTTTTGTTTTGTTTAGAGTTAGAGCTTTGTTGAGCTATGTTGGGAGATTTAAATATTCAGCTCGAATGCTATTTTGTGTGTCTGGGAGTGTTTGCCACAGCAGGTGTTACCTAACCAGATGCTAAAGTCTTTTAAATTAATATGCAGCATCTTGTCAAACATGCCTCCTGCTTTACACTGTCAGAGCTGTTGAAAATTGGCTTTTCCTGCCAAAAGAGTTTTTGGTTGGCAATGACTCAGCCCTGACATGCTTTAACTACAATGCTTACTGGGCCTGGTGATTGTACTAATGTACTTAGAATGTCGAGTTTTAATAAATGTACAAATGCATGAAGCATCAAATAAGCAAATATATCTTTTGGGCATTTATAGAGATTGAAGATTCTTTCCCTCTCCTCCATAAAGATGAGTCAGAATTAAGGACAAGAGCATTAATTGGCTGAAGAAGTAGGTTGGTTCCTCTGTTAGAATTGCTTCCTGATGACCTCCCTCTCTCTTCTTTCATACAATAAGACCAGAACAAGGTTTTGTTTTATTTTTTTCTATTGGAGAAAAATGAAGGGGAGATGGAGCAAGTCAAAGGAAAAGGAAACTTGGAGTGAGTAACTTCAGTCTTGGTTCTAAGCCGTTGGGTTTGTCTCCTTCTCATTCTAGTAATATTATGCAGAGGGACAGGATATGGGAACAAGGCAGCCACTCAAACTTAGAGCAGGAGCCCAAAGGGTGAGGTGGGAGCTTCATTCAATAGGGAGCATCCTTCCCACCTGGGTCAGGGAATCTGTGAAAGACTTCAGGCTTTAACCCTGGATTCTGGTCAGACTTGTAGGCAGCTGGGCTCCTCTCAAAACAGCATCTCAGAACAAGCAATGCAAGGGTTCATTAAAAAGTTCTCAAATATGTTTTATACTATCATTGCATTTCAGACACCAGAAAACATCTTGAGAGGTGTGTGAGCCCTGGGTTAGTGATAATAGATGCAATCAGAGAGATGAGGAGACGATAATAGAAGATAAAGGACACACTGACATGACATGGTGTCATCAAATGTTCAAATAATGTAACATGTTCTAATTCCATAGATACTGAGGGATATTTTTAATTTTTTTGTATTTTATTGGAGACAGGGTTTCACTGTGTTGCCCAGGCTGTTCTCGAACTCCTGAGCTCAGGTAATCCGCTCGCCTTGGCCTCCCACAGTGCTGGGATTACAAGCGTGAGCCACCACGCCTGGCCAGAGACATGTTTAAGAAAGCTTTTAAGAACTGTTTTATGATATCTAGAGAATTTCCTCATAGGCTCTACCCTTATATACATTAACATTATAGAATGTCACTTGATGTGTCTTAGGTAGTCGTAATGTAAATTTTTGATCAGCAAGAATTACTGCAGGAACACAGGAACAGAGGGGTACAGTAAGATATATTCTCTCCAAAAATGTGCTGAGTATTTTTACTGTATCACACTAATGTCAATCACTTCTGCCATGCTAGTTTGCTAATGATATAGTAGAACTCTCTCTTTTTTATTATTATGCTTGAAGATAATCCTCTTGTCCCTGATATAAAATTAGTTTCAGTATTAGTGCCTTCCAAAGAAAAAGGGCAATGAGTAAAATGAGCCTTGGGTAGGTGAATCTCGAGTTACGTTTCAGTTACCATTAAAGAAAAAAACTGCATGGTTTTTAATATATATATATTTATGTATATTATTTATTACATTTAATATTATTTATTATATATTATATTTAATATAATATATTATATATATTAAAAATTATATATATTTTTTAATAGATGAATGGGCCCAAGAAGACAAATGTGACTAGGGCCCACAGAAGCAATGCAGTGCAGCAGAACAGCCATTGTGGGGATACTGAGAAAACCCTACCTTGCCTCCAAATACGTTCCCAACCAATCTGTAGTGACCTCTCCAGGATTTAAAAACAATCTGTAGTACCGGCTCTCCAGGGTTTAAAAACAAGCTGACTCATCTCTAGCAAGCTATTGTCAAAGAAAGCCTAATACCTGGGGCAGCTCTCTATATACATTGAGAAATTGGTGTCCACAAAGCAAAGCAGAGTGGGAATAAGATATAAGATAGGTACGTTTCAGTAGGAGCATAGTGAATGATTCATGGCTTGATGGACAGACAGCCTGAGACTGCTTGACAATTTTGATTTCCACAAACATCCACTTTTTGAAAGATTCTAAGTACCTTGATTAGAAGATTTTGAAAACAAAAGTTACTAAGTATCCAAGTACACATCTACCAAGGGAATGACTTTTGTAGCATGTTGGATTTTAAATAGGCTTGCATCCCCCAAGTCACCATGATATGTTAACATAGTCTTCTATTATGCAGTTTTAGGAAAAAGACCAAAAAGCTTTCTAATTAGAATATAGATACATAAAAATTCAAGGGGGCACAAAATATAATGCACATGGAATTTAAACCCAGTTTTCTTTTAACTTGAGCCATCTTACCCAATGATTTTTGTGAAAATTCTGAGTCCAGTTGTGCCTGTCACATTACATTAGTTATGCAGGCGATTCTACCTTCAAGCTGTCTAGCCCAGGGCTGACCGTGAGACATTACTGTTTTGCACAGTAATTTTGGATGACAGCATTCCCTGGGCTCATGTGAGACCAGAAGGCAATTATAAAAACAGAGGTCATTAACACTGCATTTGATTACATAATAAAATAAAAATATTGCATATACATAGTGATATAATGATTACGTATTAATTTCTATATGCCTTTCTTCCCAAACTAAATGATTTCCAAACTGAATTTCTAAAGACTCCTCTGAATTTTTACCAGCAAATATACTAAGTGTAGATATAAAATTTGAGAAATATATTATCTTTTTGTTGCTTTGTTTATATCTCTCAAATGTAATACTTCTGTTATTAATCGGTTCTAGAAAGTATGTCCTGTGGTTTGGGGAAAAACATACATATTTTTTTACATGTAAATTTATGTGAAATTATATGCAAATAAAAATAGATTTAAAATCCAAAGCTTTCCACTGAGTATTACAAATAGAATTGCTAGAAGAATTATTAAAGTTCAAAGGAGGAAACACCAAACTACAGTAAATGAGGGGCCTAGACTAAGGAAGTCATTATAAAAAAAGCATTTTGAAGCAGTTAATTTTGTCTAATTGAAATGCTAGATGGTCAAATCAGCATGCTTCCATGCCATATGCTTTCCTGAGCGCTATTTTTGATTTGCACAAATGGTTGAAGAATAAACTTAAAAGATGCTTTTTTGTGGTCGGTGAGGGTGTTGGCAGTGTTTAGTGAAGCTGAATTCCAACTCACCATTTATTTTTCCTCTTCTCTCTCAAACTGGTTTGCACTCACGATTCTTCAAGGCAGGACTTACTCAGATAGATGGCTGCAGAAATAAGGCCATTGTCAGTTCATTAATTAAGTGGCCCACAAGATTAGAAAATGCAGGTTTAATTGAAAGGTAAAGAGTATTAAAATTGTAATCAAGATGAATGCATTGTCAGAGATTTCTCTGGAGACTGTCTGGTGTCATTGACTTGAAATTGAAAGGCTGAATTTTCCTCTTACCATGCAGCTTCTCCTAACCAGCTTTCCTGAGGTGGGGACTTACCTATTAAATCAAAGCCTTTCAAGCATTTAGTAAATGAGAAAATATGTCATTTTTTTTCTCAATTAAACCTCCTCAAGTAAGCATACCATCTGAAATGAGTCAGGGAAGTTAGAAGTTTTTTTTTTTTTTCCAGCTCTATTATGTTTATTACTAAATATCAGAAAATGAGTTTAAAGATGAACCTGTATAAAAATAGAATGCTCTGTGTCTGTCTGAGAATGGGTAGCCCGATAGGCTATGGTGATATACCAGGTGGAAAAGGCATACGTTAAAAACAAGAGGAAAGTTGACCAGAAGAGGTTATACACTCTTTAATTTCCTGTCTAGGAATGTAAATAGGCACAAGAACTGAGTGAATCTATGCTTTGCCCCTGTATTTTTCACTTTGGAAATAACATATGCAGAGATCAAAACAAGAGAAGCCTCTTTTCATTAAACTCACTAAGAACAACATATTGACCTAAGGCCTGTCATTTGAGATATTTGCAGCACAGACACTTGAATTACTCAAGCTCATCCTTAGCTTAGAAGTCAGCACAAAAGAGTGAAACCACTGATAAGATACAAGACAGCTTATCTTTGCTCTGGGATATGACAGGTTTCAGGGATGTTGGCACCAGCATTGCCATACAATAGAATGGGTTTTGATGGAAACAATCTCTTCTACTTTTCTCATCTGTGTTCTGTGAATAATAACACTGCTATAATGATTAAACGACATAATAGAGGTAAAGTTCATAACAATGTACCCAGCATATACTTAGTACTTAAGAAATGATAGTTAAGTAAACAGCAAGGCTCAGTGGCTTACACCTGTAATCCCAGTGTTTTGGAAAGCTGATGTGGAGGTGGGAGAATTGCTTGAGGCCAGGAGTTTGAGATAAGCTGGACAACATAGCAAGACCCCTGTCCTTTTTTAAAGACAGGTGAGACCCTGTTTTTAAAAGAAAAAAATGATGGGAGCGGGGAAGAAAATAAGTAAAAAGGTAACAACTGGGAATATTAGCTGAAATAGAAGAGCTTTAGATTTTATGTAATTTAAGAGACTTGTAACAAATTCAGGAGTGCACAGAAGTTAGATGTCCTATGTTGGTGTATAAGAAATGATACTTTCAAAATTTTAAGATATTAACAGAAAAGAAAGTTATTTTATTTTCCTCTTTTTTTAAATAAAGAAACTATTGCTTTACACCATGAGCTGAATTACTATTGAGAGGGATAGAAATGGCTAGAAAAGATTAATTTCAGAGAAAAGTAGTTTGAATGATTAATTCCCTGAATGCATGTAAACATATCAAGAGCAGGGACTTTAACTTGCTTCTTTGCTTGTCATCTTCCCAGCACTAAAAACAGGGTCCACTACATAGTGAGTGCTCATATAAATGTGTTTGTGATGTGCCTGAGGACACACTAAGAAAGAGAAGGGCACCCCTCCCTTCGTGCTGAGGGTACTGTTGTGGCACTGTGTGGTCTAGATCTTGACTGTTCTTTAAAATTCCAAAGGACAAAATATAGAGTGGGGAAAGTCACTTTGCTCTTTGGAAAAAGAAAGTATTTGCCATGCATAGGTTGGTGAACAAAATAGTCTGAAAAGTTGTTGAGTATGCTTAGTAGTTGGCGACTGACCTAATTCTCTTATCTCACTGATTTTAACACACTTAGCTCTTTCTACAGATTCCTTTTAATTCAGACTTGATGAAGTATGAATAAAGTTTCCTTCTAACATTGATTTCTCACTACTTTAAGCTTCTGATAATACTCTGTGTTATACATTGTATTCTGTTTCTTACCTTTTTCACTCAAAATTATATTTTTGAAATCTTTCCATGTTGCTGTACAAAGATCTAACCTGTTTATTCTTCCCTTTGCATAATATTCCATCATGCACATTTACTATATTTAAATCATACATTTTTATATATATGGAAGTCTAGGTTGTTCCCAGTGAATTCCTTTCTGGGAATCTTGTGGAAATACTGTTCTAAAATCATAATTTGAGAAATGCTAGACTAGAGAAATACCATATTAGTTAAACACATACTTTCACTTTAAGCATGAATAAGACCAATGTGATAGATCCAATGAACAAATGATAAATTTAAATGCATGAATTATTCAGAGCAATAGGCCCAAAGCACTACGGAATAGAAAATATTTTCATTATTTCTCCTGCCACATTCATTTTCTCTCAGGTGCATATGCTCTCATTCATTCTAGTATCTTTGCATTCAACACAAATATTTATATCACAAAATTATGCTTTCATAATAGTGAGCTTCAGCACTAGAGCTAGCCTATTCCTAGGTGGGAGGTATACTGCAGATCTCTTTGAAGAAACTACCAGGATCAGAGAAGATTTTCTGAATAATTTGTTGAATTTGGCAGTTTCCAGGTAATCGCTATATTATATATATATATATATATATATGTATATATATATATACACATATATATACACACACACATATACATACATACATACATATATATGAGTGAAAAAGGTAAGAAACAGAATACAATATATAATACAGAGTATTATCAGAAGGTTAAAGCAGTGAGAAATCTTAGAAGGAAACTTTATTCATACTTCACCATGTCTGAATTAAAAGGAATCTGTAGAAGTGTGTTTGAATCAGTGAGATAAGAGAATTAGATCAGTCACAACTACAAAGAGCAAAATGACATATATATGTATGGGTCTTTTAGAAAACATATATATATATATATGTTTTCTAACATATATATATATATATATATATGTTAGAAAAGCATGGCAGACAATAATGTCATTGCCGTGTAGAATATAGCATATTTCAATATAGACAAAACAACAGCTACAAAGTAAAAAAGAATATTATATCTGTTATATGTTAAGCAAATTATAGTGATCTCACTTAGAAAAATTTAAAAAAAACCTCCAATAATATCTTCTAAATTTATTTTGGTATCAAAGTCCAAAGTTTGAGGAAAGTAAGCCATTTATTTATTATCACAACAAGGATTTACTGTTTACTTAATTTTCCAGGAACTATGCTAAGACCTAAGGATATAAAAATACTCTAACAACCTTGCCTTAAAGGATTGTACTGTTTAGGTGGAGGAGACGAACACATAATTCAGTTATAAAAACAATACAACTAGGTATTTTAAAGCATTAAGAAGGCTAACTAGTGCTTTTAAAAATGAATTAGTTAGGCAGAGGGATGATGAAGAGTATTTGAGGCACAGTAGGTAGTTTGTGAAAGAAACAAGAAAAAAAGTTGAAAAAAATGAAAAGGTAGAAATGGAAACAGGAAAGAGAAATGTTTCACAGTAGTTGCAGAAGATAGACCATCTAAGAAGGAGGCTTTTGAGGGACATATGACTTCTAAAGGGCATACACTGGTATTACTCTGTGTGGCACTTTGGTGATGGGTTTTGAGTGCTGGTTAATGATGGAGATCCCTGATGGGCCTCAAATGTGAATTCTGACATTTCTATGAGGTCAACTGCAACAACTGTTCTATGTTATCTTCATATCTTCAGCATCTAGCACAGGGTCTGATATGTGGTAAGTGGTCAACAAATGTTGTATGAATGGCTGGATAGTTAGACGGATGATAATCCCAGAATGCTTGAGACATTTGATAAAGAGACTCCATTTTTAGCCAGAAGGAGGCAGTGTTGCAGAAATCTAAACGTTTTAGAATCAAAGTGGGTCATATTGAGCGGTGACCTTGAACAAGTTATTCATCACTGCTAAGCTTCAGTGTCCTCATCTGAAAAATAGGGAGTCGATGGAGTTATTCATGTAAAATGGTTAGCTTGGGGCATGGCAAAACAAAGTGCCAACTGCTCAAAGTGGTATTAATAGTTGCTATTGTTCTGTAAGTAATAAAGCTAATTAGTTATGAAAGGGTTATGTTTTGGGTGGTTTGAATTTTGAAAGTTAAAGTTGGTTTAAATTTGATATATTTGAAGGTAAAAAGCACTGAAAGTTTGATGACCTTGGGAAATATAATTTTTCCAAAAATTGAAACACAAATCAGAAGGGAAAATGTGGTCAGGGGAAACAAACAACTTATCGTAATCACCCAGTATGAGTTAGATTGTCTGGGTTCAAAGCCCAGCTCCATCATGGACTAGGTGTGTAACTTTGCACAATGTACTTAACTTCTCTAGGCCTCAGTGAGATTTTAGTAGTTTCTTAAGGTGTGTTATTAGGATAGATGAGGTAATTAATATAAATTGCTTGGCAGAGGACCTAACATACTGTAAGTTTGCAATCAATGTTAACCCTATTTGCTGTTAGTGGTATCTTTGTAAGATGATGTAAGCCTCAGTTCATGTTCACAGTAAGGAGAATAGGTATAGGAAAGAGAACTGTCAGAGGAAAAGTGTTAAAATGTTTGGTGGTTAACTCCATGTGAGATATCTGCCTCTACACAGTCTCAGATACATAGAACAAACTTGTCTAACACTTGTTGCTCTGTGTGGAAGGTATACTATACTTTGGACCTTCTAGTTCCCCACACTCTTGGACTAATTAAGGGGGATCATGCAAGATAATTGTAGTTGTGTTAGTTCTTTTTCACGTTGCTGATAAAGACATACCCGAGACTGGGTAATTTATAAAGAAAAAGAGGTTTAATGGACTCACAGCTCCACGTTACTGGGGAGGCCACACAATCATGGTGGAAGGTAAAAGGCACTTCTTACATGATGGCAGCAAGAGAGAATGAGGACCAAATGAAAGCGGTTTCCCTTTATAAAATCATCAGATCTCAAACTTACTCACAATCAGGAAAGCAATATGAAGGGAAACTGCTCCCATGATTCAATTATCTCCACCTGTTCCTGCCCTTGACACGTGGGGATTGTTACAATTCAATGTGAGATTTGGGTGGGGACAGAGAGCCAAACCATATCAGTAGTAATATTATTTAATGTTTCAGATAAGGAAAAAGGGTACCTCTAAATGTACTCCAGATCTGAATAATATAAACCCAACAAACAACTAGGTTCAAAGTGAAATAGTAGAAAAGCACTAAACTTGCAGTGGAGAATGATGCTCAGAGCTAACTCACTCCCTATGGCTTGTGAGTTTTGTGAACTTAGACATACAGCTTACCATTATTCAGTATCCTCAGCCATAAGATGGGAGTGAGACCTCCTCACTAGGTATTTAGAGAGCAAGGTGGTATAATAAATGTGAAAGTAGTGCCTGAAAGTTGCTAGGAAGTTAGTAAATGTAAGACTAATCTTAATACATGGAGTCACTAGCCTACTCAGAATCAGTGCCATGATAATAAAAAAGGCCGAGCTTTCTGTGGCCTATAACATCTTCACTAATTTCTCCCCTCTGCTTTAAAAACTTGATTGTTTCAGTGCACTTACAGGTTTATATTTTCTCTTATTTTCAAAGCACGAAAACATATTTCTCCATTGTAAAAAGTTTGATGATAGAAATACTTGGGTGGAAGCCAAAAACCAAAATTCATTCATAATTTCACTGCCTAGAGATATCTAATGTTAAAATTCTAATAGATGAATAAATTTTTTATAATTAGTATGATAAATATACAGATGTTATGTTTTATCTTAGTCAATGTTTATAATATACATAAGTATAAGATTTTTTCTGAATGCCTACATGTTAATAATGTGCAATAAAGAATCTTTAGGTATCACTTCTTTTCTCTATCAAAACTATGCTGTATATGAAGAAAATTTTATTTTCTAGAGAAAGGTTTATTGTTTTCTATTTGCTTTATTTCCATTTACCACCTAAATAATATGCTCAGAGTATTAGCAACATTTAAGCAGGCGGCAATCAGGGAAGAAAACATTTATCCCTATGTCAGCCAAAAAGCAACAACAAACTCTGTCATCTAGAATCTAAGCCCTGAAGCCTACTCTGAGATCTTTGAAGTACTCACTTGGGCTGAAGCCCTTTAGAGAAACTAAGCAAAATAAATGATTTGAAGCAAACAAAAATATAAACTCCAAACCTTCCCCAGCTTTGCATAATCATCATATTCATTTACTTTTTATTAAATTTGCCTCCCTGGAGGTTAGGTTAACCAAACCTGTCTCCTTCATTTTATGTTTTTTAATCTTCTGAGTGACTTCTCAGCATGGACCTAAGTTTTCCCAAATACTTAAATATTTGATAAGCATCAGTGTTACTACTGAAAATCACTCTAAAGGGTTTGGTGATAATATGGATCTATTTACTATATTTAAAAAAATAAATATTTGTTTATAAGGTAGAATAGCAGAATAGTTGCATTTTTTGGTCTTCTTATTAAATAACCTTTTCTGTGTGTTAACAAACTCTCTACCTATTGGTAAAAATACCATATCATATGATCTCTGATCCCATTTAGGGGAAGGAGGCCAATGAAGATTCCTTCACAGTGTCATTAACCACATGAAGACAGAATTACTCCAGAATCCCCAATTTTTTTGTAACAATATGACCTATTTCTATCAACTAAAAATAAATACCATTTGAGCTCCCACTATGTCTTAGACACTGGTGGTGTAACCGTGAACAAGTCAAAGCCCCTGTCCACATGGAGCTTACCTTTTAGAAAGACTGAGCAATACGCAAATTAATAAGAAAATCTTAGATAATGCTATCAAATCTTAGGCATATTTGTTATTTTGTTATTTTGTAAAAAAAAAAAAAGGTAGATTCCTCTGCTTCATCTTGTTAACAAATAAATTTGTTAATTTCAAAATAGCATGTTTAGCAGGGTTTTTTGCGGTTGTTCTGAAGATCCACTGTACTCTGTATAAACATTGCTGTATAGGAATTAAAGTGTAAGATTTTGGGAGCTGTTCATAAAATTAGCCAAACTTAAATTTACTCTAGGAATAAGTTATCATATTAACGTTAGGCTCAGTGTGATGTATCTGATATATTTTGAAATATACTTTATACACCCATCTAAGCAGTGTACTGTAATAAAATGCATATGACACATATTATGGATTAGCATGTTTTGAATAATGTATTTAAGATACTTCATAACAGCAACATATGTTGACCAGTCAGTGGGGTCATTTTTCCCCATTCTTTTCATTTTGAAATTTATATTTTGAATTTTTTTCTGCTTTTAGATCTTGAATATTTCTTCAAATATTTTTATTACTTTTCCAGGAATTTGCTGCACTGACAAAAGAATTAAATGCCTGCAGGGAACAACTTCTAGAAAAGGAAGAAGAAATCTCTGAACTTAAAGCTGAAAGAAACAACACAAGAGTAAGTGTAAAGCAGCCTTTTTGGAATTAATTCTATTTGTAGTTCAATGCATTACATGTAACACACATATAAGAAGAAAATATATGCATTTTAAAACTTTATAATTACTTTAAGCAGATAGTAACTCAGTTACTTAAAGTAAAGGAGGATATACTATAAAACTCAAAACAAAAAGACAGGAAACCTAAATTATAGTCACAGCTACTAAATCACTATGTTGCTTTACAAAATGTTCACATTCCTTCTGGCCTTTACTTTATTTGGCTTTAAAAAGAAGATCTGGATTTCAATAATGGGTTTCAAACTTTCAAAAGGTTGTTTTGGGGGTAGGGTAATCCCTCAGAGGTTGGAAATGGGCAAAAGAGGAGAGTTTTGGAAAAGAGGAAGAGTTTAAATTAAGGGCTGCTACAAAAGAGTGGCCTGGGTTTGGTTCTCACCTCCTCCCAGCAGAAGATTTTTTTAAAAAGGAAAAAAAAAAAAAGGCCGGACGCGATGCCTCATGCCTGTAATCCCAGCACTTTGGGAGGCCAAGGCAGGCGGATCACCTAAGTTCAGGAGTTCAAGATCACCCTGGCCAACATGGTGAAACCCCATTTCTACTATAAATACAAAAGTCAGCCAGGCTTGGTGGCACGCACCTGCAGTCCCAGCTACTTGGGAGGGCCTGGGAGGCAGAGGCTGCAGTGAACCGAGATTGCACCACCACAGTCCAGCCTGGGCAACAGAGTGAGACTCTGTCTCAAAAAAATAATAATAATAAATAAAATAAAAAGGAAACAAAAAATAGTGTCAAGAAAAAAAAACTGAAAAAAAAATCTGCCCATTAAAAGAGGAGTGCCTTTATGTTTTAATAAATTTCCAAGGGAATGTCCAGCCATGATATTCTGATTTCATGAAACTCATGGAATTTGCTAGATTCTACTTTTGGAAACCCATGTATTTTCATCAAGCATATGACATGCCATGTAACATTAAAGTTCAGAATTTGATAAACATGCTATATTTTCTTTGAGAAAAAAAATCACTAAATTTTATAAACATGTAAATTACCACATTACCCATAGAGGAGTACAGTTTACTAAAAGGAAGTAGAAAAAAACCACTTCTATGTGGATGTAAGTTCAATTTAAATACAACTGAAGTTGGTGAAAAATAGTTTAAATGTTATAGCTATAATAGATCAATCCTGAAAAAAATAGGTATAGCTAATGGCCTATTCACTTTATGAGTCTTAGAGAGTAATATAAAATACAGTTCTACTAACTGGGAGCTTGTGCCTTTAATGAGAGATAGGGTTGCTTGCATAATGGTTACATGATCAAACTGAATTTATGTCCTTATTTATCAAGGTCTTATTTCATGGTAAAGAGAATTCACATACATGCATACATTGAATTGGTTTTCAATGATACTCTGATGAACCTGTCAAATGGATTGCCTCAAACAGGGCATAACAAGGGCAGTTTAGATCATATTATCAGGTATCAGACAATTTTTTTCTTTTGCTGTCTTCCTCTCTATATATTTCCTACCCTTGACTTTTTTAACTTAACACTGTGTTTTCGTGCAAATTTAAAATTTATTTATACCATGACATTTATTCTGCCCTATTCCACTATGTTATATTTTAGTACTTTAGACTACATTCCTTGATTTAACACAGCACACTCAAGTGTAAAAGTAGGAGCAGAAAGCTGAGAATGCAGGGAAATACAAAGCTTTGGTTAGGTTTATAACTAATGCTCACATTTAAAATGCACCAGACACTCTTTTATTAGCTGTGTAGGTTCATCTAGCCTTTTTTCTTCAGCCCCTTACTCCTTTCTACACCCCTCTGGAGATGTTATAATTATCTCAATTTTACAGACCAGGTAAGTGAGCTCAGAAAAGGTCAGATAACTTGCCAGAAGTCACACAGTTAGTAAATAGCAAAGAATGAATTTGAAAGGTAAGGCAGTCTAAATCCAGAGCCTGTGCACTAACCATGAGGCCATCAGCATTATTACTCAAAGACTTACTACAGCTAGAGAGGACATTGCTTAACAGTCAGACCACCACAGTATCTAATTGTGATGAATTTTAGAGAGCTAAGAGATTTGGTGACAGAATCCGTACAATTTTCATCATATTGAACCCCATGAGAACCAGAAATACCCGAGGCTATTGTGTTTGCAAAGGAGTCTTGGATAATAAAGGGAGGAAGGTGAGCCACATGTGAAGTACCTATTTGGGAGTCAAAATTAGAAAAATACAAAGTTCCTTTAAAATAACAATAACAGATATTGAAGCCATTGATTTCAACCATGCATAATAGTTACTTTGAAAATATGAATAAGGCTGGAAAATACATTTCTACCTTCTTTAAAGCAGTGATGTGGAGGATTTTTGTTGTCGACTGCATCAAGGAAAACAGATTTATGAAAACCCCCTTGTACACAGTATTAATTATATAATAACTCCTTAAGTTACATAACCACCTCTCACCCTCCTCCATCCCCCAGAAGTAGTATATCCAGAGCTGAAAATCAAATATGTCTCTCTTCACACCAGATGCCTTATCAAATGTTGCTAAATAAAACCATTTTTATAGATTTTATAGTTGTTTCTCTTTCTAGATGTTGTGCTTTTCTTCTTGCTATAAATATCTGTGTGCTGGTCATAGAGACAAAGCAACAAGCTAGTGTTTCCTTCTCACATGTAAAGAAACTTTAATTGGTGTCAGATTGTGAGCAAATTTAAAGCGCAAGTGATAGCTGGGCATGGTGGCACATGCCTGTAACCTCAGCTGCTCGTGATGCTGAAATAGGATAATCGCTTGAATCCAGGAGGGTGAGATTGCAGTGAGCAGAGATCGTGTCACTGCACTCCAGTCTGGGCGACAGAGGGAGACTCCATCTCAAAAAATAAATACATAAATAAATATATAAAAGAAAATAAAATATAAAGTGTAATTGAGCATTCCAATTTCCAAAGTTCTGATCAACTTGTGGCTCACTTTACATCGAGTAGTTAGGATATGTTCATGAACTGAGCTAAATAACATAAAAAGCCAGTCCATGAAACCATGTGTGGATGGGGTCATTTGTATTAATTTTGAATGTTATCAAAAACAATAGATCAGAAAAAGTCCTTCTGTATAATGATATTTGGATGAATTATACCATCTTCCAAAATAGAAAATAGAAGTTCCAGTGGGAATTGAATGAAGATAGAGAGTAATAATGATAATATAATAGCTAACATTAAAATCTAAATGTTTTTATGAATGTTTTACATGTTTAACTCACTTTATTCTCACAGCAATCTCATTATTCCCATTTAATTCAAGAGAAAACTAAGGTAGTAAGTAACTTGTCCCAGGCCTATAAATGGCTTATAAATGAAACACCCAGAGAGTCCACTACTTCCTTCTCAGTTTACCCACAGACTATGTATTTAAGAAATCATATTCCTATGTCACCCACAATTCACATGTGATGCAAAGGTATTATGTTCAAAGAAGAATACAGTTTGTTCAAATTTATTTTTTTCTTTTTTTAATTCTTTTGAGACGAGGTCTCACTCTTGCTCAGGCTGGAGTGCAGTGGCACAATCATGGTTCACTGCAGCCTAGAGTTCCCTGGACTCAGGTGATCTTCCCACCTCAGCCTCCCAAGTAGCTGGGACTATAGCCACATGCCACCATACCCAGCTAATTTCTGTTATTTTTTGTAGAGATGGGGTTTTGCCATGTTGCCTGGACTTGTCTCGAACTCCTGGGCTCAAGCAGTCGGCCCGTCTTCACCTCCCAAAGTGCTGGGATTACAGGCATGAGCCACTGCTCCTGGCCTATTTAAATTTTTGTAATTCAATCCTACTTTATTTTGTGTTAGTCATGTGGAAAGTCAATCTGCTATGTTTTTATTCTGAGGTCAAAGCTGAAATGTATGTCCTGGCCATGTATTATGTTTTCTCCACAGAAACACCTCGTTGACATTGCAAAAATTTGAGTGAATGAAAGAAAATCAGTCATCACTGCAGTTGTTCTTAAATCCAACTGCCTCAAGTTATTAAATTAAGAATATCCTAATAAAATCATTATAATATTATAAACAATTATACAAAAATAGAAATTTCAAAAAATTATAGTGGATATTTATAGAAACATACAAAGAAGTTTTTGTTCAATATTTTTATACTGATAAAAATGTAGAAAAAATATTGAAACAAAATTTGTTATTCCTAAAACTCCTCTGACCATACTTTGGCAAGTATATATTTACAGAAGGTTATATTTATAGAAAATAATTTATTCCTGATGTTATTTCAACTCAAAATGATCAATAAGACATGTTTTGACAAAGTTATCTGAACTAATGAAGAGGTAAAGAAAAACTGGGAATTTTTGTATAGTTATTGCCTGTGAATGTCAGCGTGAAGAACATTTTTATTGTCGGAGTTGTTTCAACTATTTTTATAGCTGAAGATCTCAAAGGATGTTTTAAATTGTTCATAATGTTTTAGAATGTAACTATTGTGTGACTTTGAATTCTCACTCATAGGTGGGAATTGAACAATGAGATCACATGGACACAGGAAGGGGAATATCACACTCTGGGGACTGTGGTGGGGTGGGGGGAGGGGGGAGGGATAGCACTGGGAGATATACCTAATGCTAGATGACGAGTTAGTGGGTGCAGCGCACCAGCATGGCACATGTATACATATGTAACTAACCTGCACAATGTGCACATGTACCCTAAAACTTAAAGTATAATAAAAAAAAATTAAAAAAAAAGAAAAACGTTATGGTTTTGAGAAACAGTATTCATATTGTTATGATTTCAAGAAACAGTATTAATACCTAGTTATAAATAATAAAGCTGTAACTTAATCTCATGGATCATAAACTTAAAAAGAAGACATAATTGCATTTGACACATTTCTTACCATGCCCTCACTTTTGTTTTGAGCCAAAGGAATTATCTTAACAGATATTGAGATACAATTAGACACCCATCACTACTAAAGAAAAATTTTTTCTTATTGACAAATCTCTGCCTGTACGAGTTAATAATGTCATCCAAATGTATTTCATCAATGGGTAGAAAATACGGTCCAATTCAGAAAAGGAAGACCTTCTCAGCTGAAAACAGATAAAGATTCTACATATGTGTACATGCATGTGCGTATATAGTTATTTATGAAAGTTCTATGATAGGATATGATCAGTACAAGAGTAAATAGGATAGGACATACGCCCTCCCAACAGCTATTTCAATTTCATAATCAAACATGAGCATAAGAAACATGGGATTTTAAACGATATTTGAGGGTAAAAGATATGGAGTGGGTTGAGTAAGAAGGCAACCAATTTAAAGGTTTTCGTTTTCAGATGTTAATGTCATGCTATATGACCATATTACAGCAGCCACATTAGTCTACAGGGAAGAATGTGTTTCTGTTTCAGTGCCATTTATAATTGGAAATAACTATTCACAAGGTTTTGTTGAATTAAGATCTAATAGGAAGTTATATAGTTTTAGAAATCCTTACAGAATCATAGTAAAATAAAAGATTTAGATTACCTGGGCCATCTTGCTTTTCAAGGCAAAACTTAGTCCAAAAAATTCCCAATGACGCATGATGTGTGGGTTTGTGTGGGTGTGTGTGTGTGTGTCTGTGTGTGAATATATGATACATATGTGTGTATACACATAGAACCTGTGGTCATTTAAAGAAAATTCAAACATAGGATTCATGGCCATTCACATAGTCTCTACAATCCTTTGAGTATACCAAAGAGAGTTCCATTTGTACTTTCTGTGAGAATTATTAAATATTAGGCTAAAGTTGTAGCTCCCAGTGAAGGTGTGTAATTAGTAGATTGTTAATGGTATCTTAGCTAAGTATCACTTTTTGTACTCTTAATTTATTTACTTTTATTTTTAACCTTAAATTAGGCCATATATATATGCCAGATGAGAACATTTTTGTCCATATTCTTCAATCTGAATAATTGATGTTTATCATTAACCCAATTCAACAAGTATTAAGTACTTATTATGTAGAATATTTTCCTTGGTATTGGGGATAAGTGAAATCGTTCATCCCTTAAGGAGTCTGTTTATATTAATAAAAACATATTTGGTTTTTATTATCATGTAGATGAGAGTTCCTAATTGCACAAAACAGAGTATATAGCTTGGCTGTTTAAATAAAGACATTAATTAAAGCATATAAGAAATCTCTAAACTGAGCTTTCAGACAGTCTCTAGGACCACATTTCTTAGCTTTGTAAATTTTTCTCACAAGCCCAGTCCCAGAAACACGCAGCCTCTGCCACTACCCCTTCCCAGCATGGTTCCTCTCTGCCCCGTCAGGCTAACTCCCAGGGTGGTCAGGTCTGGTTGACTGATCTTAAGTCACAGGTCTGCCACCTAGTGGTAAACATTCCCAAGAAATGTTACTGGGAAGATGGGATTTGGATTGTGAGGAACTATCAAACAGTCAGGGGGAGGGGTAGAAAATGGGGATAATTAATGGGTAAAAGATGGTAACAGGGTACAGAAAACAGAAAAGAGAATAATGTATTAATGTACATTATATATATATATTCACACACAAACATGCATGCGTGTGTGTATATATAGTGTGTGTGTCTGTATGTGAGCGTGTGTATGTGTGTCAACAAAAAAGGAATGATCCTCTTTTCTCCACTAGTCACAGGTCCTAGTTGGCAGTTATGAATTCCAATTATAAACCTTGGTTTCTGGACTTACATACATGGATCCATAGCTATTCCAAGAAAGAAACTCTATCTTATTTCTATCAGTAGTTCTGAGGATATACTAATTCCAGGATGATAGAATTCCTACTTAGCAATGTATTATGTCCAAGCTTGAATTGTGCTGGGTCAACTGGCTAGCCACATGTAGAAAGCTGAAACTGGATCCCTTCCTTACACCTTATACAAAAATTAATTCAAGATGGATTAAAGACTTAAATGTTAGACCTAAAACCATAAAAACCCTAGAAGAAAACCTAGGCAATACCATTCAGGACATAGGGATGATAGGACTTCATGTCTAAAACACCAAAAGCAATGGCAACAAAAGCCAAAATTGACAAATGGGATCTAATTAAACTAAAGAGCTTCTGCACAGCAAAAGAAAATACCATCAGAGTGAACAGGCAAGCTACAGAATGGGAGAAAATTTTTGCAACCTACTCATCTGACAAAGGGCTAATATCCAGAATCTACAAAGAACTCAAACAAATTTACAAGAAAAAAAACAAACAACCCTATCAAAAAGTGGGCGAAGGATACGAACAGACACTTCTCAAAAGGACATTTGTGCAGCCAACAGACACATGAAAAAATGCTCACCATCACTGGCCATCAGAGGAATGCAAATCAAAACCACAATGAGATACCATCTCACACCAGTTAGAATGGCAATCATTACAAAGTGAGGAAACAACAGGTGCTGGAGAGGATGTGGAGAAATAGGAACACTTTTGCACTGTTGGTGGGACTGTAAACTAGTTCAACCGTTGTGGAAGACAGTGTGGCAATTCCTCAAGGATCTAGAACTAGAAATACCATTTGACCCAGCCATCCCATTACTGGGTATATACCCAAAGGATTATAAATCATGATGCTATAAAGACACATGCACACTTATGTTTATTGCAGCACTATTCACAATACCAAAGACTTGGAACTAACCCAAATGTCCATCAATGATAGACTGGATTGAGAAAATGTGGCACATATAAACCATGGAATACTATGCAGCCATAAAAAAGGATGAGTCCATGTCCTTTGTAGGGACATGGATGAAGCTGGAAACCATCATTCTCAGCAAACTATTGCAAGGACAAAAAACCAAACACCGCATGTTTTCACTCATAGGTGGGAATTGAACAATGAGAACATTTGGACACAGGAAGGGGAACATCACACACCAGGGCCTGTCATGGGGTCGGGGGGAGGGGGGAGGGATAGCATTAGGAGATATACCTAATGTAAATGACGAGTTAATGGGTGCAGCACACCAACATGGCACATGTATACATATGTAATAAACCTGCACGTTGTGCACATGTACCCTAGAACTTACAGTATAATAATAAAAAATAAAAAAAAGTCTTGGCTTATTTAACCATTCTATAAGTTCAGCTACTTCTAAATGATGTAATGGTGTGATAAAATCCGGGGTCCCTGGGAGCACCCATCAATTGCATTACTCTTTTCACTGTAAAATCAGATTTTTTTTTGTTTTTTTTTTTTTGTCTGAAGTAATGTTGTATATCATAACATGACTGTAAGCAAAAACTCGGTAAGATGGTGTTTCTGGTAGAAGTATGGTCATTAGAGAAAGCAAATCTATATCCAAAAAGGGGGTTTATTATAGTGAGGAAAAACTGCCTCCTCTTTAATAAAAAGTATTTGATATAATATGCTTGCTTCATGGTGAATAGCTGGTCTCCAGCTGTACTTTATCATGACAGGGCTCAAGTTAGATTGCTGCAGCTTGCCACTGGGCCGTTCAGCCATGGTGGTGTCTCCATCAGTCTTAATCGTGGGAAGCCCATTTTGTCAGGTTTATAACCCTGAAACCATGGTCACTTCTTTATGCACATTGAGAAATACGACATGGTGGCAAGGGAAATAGGCTGATATCTACAAGGTGAATCAGTTTGTCCACCAGGTTACTGAAGACTCTTACAGAGTGAGGATCAGAAAATTACTCCTAGCTCAGAGGTAATATTCAAGAAACTTTGATATTTTATTGTCCATAGTACTATGACTCTAATAAATAGTTACAGATCCTTTGGGAGAAGGTTTTCTGATTACCTATCATGATATGACAAACTATCCAAAAACTTAATGACACAAAGCAACATTTTAATATGCTAGGAAGGAGATATCCAATGTTGTAGGTAACCAGGGAAAGCCTCATTGAAAAGTGGCATTTGAGTTAAAATATGAAAGCGAAGGTGAAGTGAGATAGTCATACAGATTTCTGAAAGAGAATGTTTTAGTTAGAGAAAAGAAGAAGTACAAAACCCCTGTTGTGGGGACATGGATGTTTAGCCTGTTAAAAGCAAAACTAACAAAACTAAACAAACAAAAAACTGCAAGGCAGCCAATGAAGCTATACCAGAATGAGCAAGAAGAAAAATAGGAGATAAGTTCAGAAAATTTAGATCCCTTTGGGATGTATAAGGACTTTGACTTTCACTTGAGCTCAATAAGAAGACATTAAAAATTTGAGCAGAGGTATAAATGACCTAACTCACATTTTAACTGAAATAGTGTTTTGAGAATAGCCTGAAGATGAAAGGCTGAAAGGAGGAGGACCAGTTAAGGAGCCATTATAATCCAGGGGGAGATTATAGGTCTTGGACACAAATGTAAGCAGTGGATGTAGTGGCAAGTGATCAGATTCTAGAAACTGAGGGAGCATGAAAGAGAGTGCTTACAAATACTGAATTGTTAACTTTAAGCTGGGTAAAGAGACAATGAGGACATGAGGGTAGGGAGAAGCAGTTAAAAAGTTCCACTTGCCAAATGTGAAGAGTGTGATCAAAAGATTTAGGTAGTCTCTAATAACAGATATCCTTTATAGCATCATTATTGTGTTTCTTTTCCTAGAGGGTGGATATTTTATATTTCTAAATCTTACACTGTATTGTGCAAAATTGGATGCTGATATGTTTATTGAACGACTATATTATGCAAGATGACTCTAATTTACAATTAGAAAAAAAAACAGTTTTCATTGTGTTGTAAAGGTTTCATTATTTTTGTCATCAGATTGAAGGATAGATGTACATAATAATGTTAATTAGCCTAAGCTTTTAGGAAATAATGCCAATTAACCATGGCCACAGGCTTAGCTTTCATATAGGCCAAATCTGTATGAGATATATAAAACTATATGAGGTATGTAAATTTAACTCATTTAACATTTCAGTTCACTCAACAAATATTAATTGCATACCTATAGATGTTGGGAATTGAGCTAACACCCAAATCCAGAGAGGATCAAGAGGATTAAGGCGGACACTGTGCCAACTCTCATGGAGCTTTTATTGCAATGGGAAAATAGAATGAAATTTGGTAGAAAAATTTGTTTAAATTGCATATCATAAAATATTCTGAAGAAAATTAGTAAGGGATTGAAATAGAGACTTGCGGAGGTGGGGAAAAGGAGAAACTTACTTTAGACAGTAGTGAGCAAATGCCTTGTTGAGAGATGATGTTTAAGCTGAGACTTAAAGAATGAGAAAGAGCTGGTTAAATGAGGAACCAAAGAAGGAGTGCTTTGGGCAGAGGGTACAGCATAAGCAAAGGCTTGACATACTGAGGAGCTAAAAGTAGGTCAGAAGTCTGGAACATAGTTTGCCAGCGAAAGATTGACATCAGATGCCACTGGAAAAACAGACATTATTAAGTTCATGCAAATCTCCACAACCTATGTAAAACAGCTTGGATTTATGCAATGAATACATGTATCTAAAGAATTTGAGAGAATAGAATACCATAATATAATCAGAGATTGATAAATTTTAAAGGGCTCCTTGAAAATTTCAGGTTATTTTCATACTGAAAAACTACTATTATTATTATTATTATTTTAGTAGAGACGGGGTTTCACTGTGTTAGCCAGGATGGTCTCGATCTCCTGACCTCGTGATCTGCCTGCCTTGGCCTCCCAAAGTGCTGGGATTACAGGAGTGAGCCACTGTGCCCGGCGATTAGTTTGATCCTTAAATGTGACTCTTATCTACTGATTTATGCATGTTTAGTGTCTCAGATACTGGTGTTCTTTGTGCCCAATAATGGCAAAGTTTTCTAACATTTTGAGTCATAATTAGTGACAGCAAATGTAGAGAAATCAACCAAAAAATATGATACTAATACTTGACAATGAATCTAACAGTGGTATAGTGAAAACCAAAATTTTTCATTACAGTTAAACTTTTAGAAAATATCTTGAAAAGAAAAAAATAAAGTTGTTTTCTTTATTCTTTCCACCTTCAGTGTCTTATATCTGTTTTTAAATCTTTTGTTTGGGTAATTTCTGCTTTATTTTCTTCTTTATTTTGCATAAGTAGACACCACTTGTTAGCCTATGCTTTTCACTATGCTTCCGAAGACCTTTCCTATAATGCTCACCAACTGTGTGTGGTTCTTCACTAGTAAAATTATAATAACTGAAAATAATCAAGCAATTTCTGATTTTCTTCTCATGTATCTTTGTTTTTTAGCAGTAGAACTTCCTTTTGAAATGAAAGCAAATATGAAACCCCAATTCACAAAACATTTCAAAGCAGAACTCCTCTGGCAAAAGCTAAGAGTGTAAAGCCTGAAACAGCCTGGAAAGTCTTCAGGGACTTTCCCTCCACCTCTGTCATGGCCCCAGAGGCTACTCTGGGAAATCATAGATTCTAACACAGGCAATTTAAAACTGTATCCTTAACTTCCTTTTCTGAACTGACAATTGAGAATCTCAGTTACTATGTTCTAATTGGTTGCATATATTTTTCTATAATTAATCTAAAGACTAATTGTGAATAAAACCATGTGATTAAGTTAAAGTAACATTTTAATGATTATGCTCATTTTATTCAATTCAAATTATTTTAATGGCCATATGTAAATGAAATAAATTTTGACTGTCACTATGATCCTCTAAAAAGATCATGATGCATCAAGCAATGTTCTTTCATCATTATCATACATATTTTTCCAAGTGTTCTATTTCTGCTGAATTCGTACTGAAATTATTACATTTGCTAAAGGACTGCATTACATTTGCATTACATTTTTAAATTCAGTAACTTGTTAAATGATCAAATACAATTTATCTTTAATGTATTTTATAAACCCTGTTTTAAACAGGTCTGTGCTTCTTTGTTGCTGCTTGCAGTGTAACCTGCAGCTAACATTAGATACTATGTAAGCCTGCAATAATTTAAGGGGGAAGTCATTTGTAAGTATTTATGACTTGTATTCATAAGATAATTGCATTTTCTGTTAAACCCAATAGCTATTACTGGAGCATTTGGAGTGCCT
Organism: Homo sapiens; assembly: GCF_000001405.40. Lineage (NCBI taxonomy): Eukaryota > Metazoa > Chordata > Mammalia > Primates > Hominidae > Homo > Homo sapiens. Next base: position 81,445,694 of record NC_000012.12, on the reverse strand, counting down.
TGTGTCACGACATGAAAGATCACTAAGAATGACGGTGGTAAAACGGCAAGCCCAGTCTCCCTCAGGAGTATCCAGTGAAGTTGAAGTTCTCAAGGCACTGAAATCTTTGTTTGAGCACCACAAGGCCTTGGATGAAAAGGTATAGTATGGAAAAAGAGTTCAAGCTTAACTACACTTCTGTCATCAGCATCAAGCTCTTTGTCTTCATCCATTGACTCACCTGACTCCTAAAGTCAGTCAGTTGAGGAACACTTTTGAGTTATATGAAAAATCATTTTTTAAAAGTGAAAATGGATTACTGTGTGGATGTTGGTAATATTCATAAACATCTTCTTTTTCTAAACCACTGAATCTATGGCTTATCAGAATTAGACTTCTATTATGGTACATTATAACCCTACTTCAGATGACATTCAAAATGTTATATCATTTAATATTATTATTGAGCCTCTCTCTCTCTCTCTCTCTCTCCCCCCTCCCCCCCCCCCACCTTGGTCTTTCTTTATAGATTCCAAAATAAGAGACCACTAACTGAAAATTATGTATATTTTGATATGCAAATTGATGTACTTTAACTTTTAGACATTTATTTTAGAAGCATCTTATTTTCTAATGTCTCTAATATCATAGTTTTAAATATTCATTTGAATATTCTCTGCATGTAACATCACAAAGTATTAGTAGAAAAACCTGTGTTTAGATATTTTTAAAAGTAGCTGTAAGCTTCTCTTAGCTGTTACTCGAATAAGTTCTACTGACATATATAAACCAATATGATGATAATATCCTTAGGAGATTAGGAAGGCTTATGACGTATTTCAATTTCGTGAAATTTCAAAGACTGAACTTTTAAAAATTAGTAAATCTTTAGGAGTTAGAGTGGAAATTGGGACACTTCATTGTAAAGTATCCGACAAGTTCTGAGCATTAAAATCCAAACTAGGGATTATTTCCCAGTTATATCTAGTTTTTAAGCATGCAAATATTTTTGTTCTATTTAATATTTATATACATTTATATTTTTATCATTGGTCTTTCAGATGTTCTGAGAACAGGGGATTATGTGGAGTGTGTATGTAAGGATAACTATAATTCTGTCTTCTAGAGTATTAAGAAGAAATTGTATCTCATTTTTATTTTAGCAACGAGAGGCAATTAGTATAAGAATTATTTTGAATAAAACAGAAATGAATATTATATAAAAATTCTTGCTAAATATGACATCAAATAATTATTTAATATTCAATATTTAGTTTCATATTATATTTCCTCTCTTTTTATAAAAGTGCTAAGAATTTGCAAGAGTTTATATGTATAGAATTTTTAGTATGTGTCAGGCTCCATAGCACATGTTTGACACACAGAGATAAATAAGATATGCTCATTATGACTGAGAAGTTCAGAGTTAGTGCTAGGAATTCACATATCAATGAAAAACAACTCAAAACAGATGTATTTCCATCACAATATGTAGCCACAGAAAAAGCTGTGACTGTGTGAGTAATGACAAAGACAAGGATGTCTTCAAGAAAGGTTGGCATGGCCGGGCGCGGTGGCTCACGCCTGTAATCCCAGCACTTTGGGAGGCCGAGGCGGGCGGATCACGAGGTCAGGAGATCGAGACCATCCTGGCTAACACGGTGAAACCCCACCTCTACTAAAAATACAAAAAATTAGCTGGGCGTGGTGGCGGGCGCCTGTAGTCCCAGCTACTGGGGAGGCTGAGGCAGGAGAATGGCGTGAACCCGGGAGGTGGAGCTTGCAGTGAGCCCAGATCGCGCCACTGCACTCCAGCCTGGGTGACAGCGAGACTCCGTCTCAAAAAAAAAAAAAAAAAAAAAAAAAAAAAGAAAGGTTGGCATTTGATCTAGGTATTAAAGAATGATTAAGGGTTTTTTAAGCAGAGAAAGATACTCTAAGCAGCAGGACCCACACAGAAAATAACCCAGAGCTGTAAGAAGAGAAGGACCTATCCAGAGAAAATTCAAGAGTTTTGTGACTTAAATGAAGGTACTAGAGAATGTATGATTTGAGATGGTCCCATAAGCATTCCCATATCACTTGAGGGATGCTTTTACAAAAGAATGATTCTTTATCAGAATAGAGGTAATAAACAGCATTTAAGACAAATAACCTGGTCGTGTGAGTACATTTAAGAAAAAAATGGTTGTTGTACAACGTAATCTAGAAATAATTTACTTTATAGAAGTTCAGTGGGTTTAGCATAACTATATGAGTTGTTCCATCGTATGACCCTAGGAGCTATAATAATATGTATTAACTCACCATAGGTATTCTGAACATTGGTGAGTTCAGGGACAACTGGACTGATTATCAACAAGTAATGCTCAGTGGCCTAAAGAAGAAATGAATTGGGGCTCTGGAGTCAGACAGATCTGGATAAGTGACTTGATCATTCATTCTCAAAGCATCAATTACCTCTTATCTTGAATTAAGATAATCCTAGTACTGACCTCAGAGTCATCATGAGGATTAGATATGATCTGATATGCAAAGCTTTCAGCCAGTGCTTAGCATATGGCAAGTCCTTAGTGAACGTTTATGAATATTATTATTAGCAGGAGTAAGCATCAGCATTTGATAAAACTTTCAAACCAAGTAAACATGTTGGTTTTACTGTTGATCCAGATGCTTGTTTACAATAGCATTTCATTTAGTTGTCGAGGGACTCATATGTGTCTAAGTGCCTTCATAGACAATTTCCCTAAGAGTAACTCACAGTTTCTCATAGGGATGAGGAGGGATGTGGATATAGATATATAAACAAGTAATACTATATATATATATATATATATATATATATATATATATATATATATATATATGAAGTCAGAAAAAGATGCAATTAACCATGCCTTGGGGACAGGAAACAAACAACTTTATCATAGAGGGATTAGTACATATGCAGAGCTAAATAAACTCTACAAGGATTGAGCATAGCTGTAGAGAGTTGCAGTGATTCATAATTTTCATCATTAATGTCCAATTATTTATACAGCCACCAAGTTGTAGCATAGAATATTCATAATTAGCTAAGACCATCAGTAATTTTGAAATTACTCTACAATATATTTACCAATTCCAAGGGTTGGAGAACATGAGAAATATACTTGTGTTTTTCAATTACTCAGAAATCATTGACTATTTAAAAATAACATATCAGACATGTATGGGAAATGTAAACCAAAACAAATTAAATATATATGCCTTCCCTATATATTTTTATTATCAAATATCTTAGTGTCAAGGAATGAATTAGAGCTTCTGGTCTGAGGAGATTTCCACAAGAATATTTTCTGTTGTAGGAGTGATAATTCCCCAAATGCAACCCTGCCTTATATTAATTTCAGTTTGCATTATTGATATTCACAGCATCAATTTTTCAATTTATAACATAACTCAAAATATATTCAGAATTTTTTATTTTCTTGTAAAACAGTTTTAGATTTATTACTTCGTGGACAACATAATCTCAATTTGTAAACCACTATTCTAAATATATGAAAGATGATTATTTCATTTTCATATTGTTGGATAAATTCGATAACTTTTACTCCTTAAAAACTCACTATAATGAAAATATAAATGCTTAACTTGTAGTAAATAGAAAACAGTTTGGAACAGTTCTAAGAGTTTAAGTTTAAAAAAAGAAAGAAAGATATATTAACCTACCATGTAGCCTAGATTCAACCATTTCTTATATTATGCGAATGACTTTTAGAAAGATTTTAATGTGTTGATATTTTAAAATATGGTAACTTCCTCTCTCTACAGCAGCTTAAGTGTGATATGATCAGCGTTGTGTATGGAGAGATTATTAACATATTTAGATTGCTTCATATTGCTGTTCTCATCAACTAGGTTTACTAGGCCTTCTTCAGGACACCCGTATTTTACAGTTGGTATTTTAGAATATGGGAATCCCTGTTAAACATCACACGTCTGTTGAAACGTTTTTTGATATATGCATTCCACACATCAGCTGTCCTGCTCATTTTCATGGCTTCGGGATATTTGCTTCTTTTTCATGTATTCAAAATTCATAAAAAAGTATTCTCCAAATCAAATCATCGAAGATTTCCTGCTATGTAACTAGTGTTTGGTTATTAATCAGCATTAATCCTATGTATTTTGTTAACAATTGGATATTTGTCTAACAGGAATGATACTTGGCAGTTAATCTCTAGCTCAATATGATGAAAGATCCTGTGCAACTCTTTTAGAAATCAAGTCTCCATTTATGTGTGTATTATTGTTTTTAGAGAATTTAAGCATAACAAAATATAATTAATATTAAAACCCCTACTTGGATATTTTTATTGCTGATTCAAGGTCTATTTCAGGAATTAAATGCATCCATTCATCTGAATATACATGGTATTGTAATACAATACTAAAATGTGACTTAGATTCTTAAAAATTCCTAATAGGATTCTAGGTTAATAGGACATTACTGACTTTTTGTTTGTTTGCTAACTGGAAAAATAATATTATAATTCCAATTTAATTTTTATGTATCTGGGTTTTTACATATTTTATAAATTTAATCTATATTCCCAGTTAAATCTTATTAGAGGAGAAAAATACCATTTATTAAAATATGCTGTCAGTTAATAAAATGAAAGCTCATAGGAATATAATTATATGTTAAAACACATCTTAACTGCACAAATACTATAGCATTCCCAAGAAAAATCTAAGTTAATTTATAAATAATCGAAAACCCACCATGAATTGCATCTTAAGTTAAAGCTATAAAGTTTTTTGATTTTTTAAGGAAAATTAAACTGCTATAGTCATTCATTTTAATTCAGCAATATTTCTTTCTCTGAATTGTTTTATATATATATATATATATATCAGGACATATATATAGATCTAAACATAAAACAACTAAAACAAAGTTCTAAGAAAGCAAGAATCAAAGAAATACTTCTTCGAGTTTCAGTTATGTAAGAAACAAGCATAAATTATGACTTTCAAACTAAAATATACAGAGATTTTTGTTCTATAAAATACAATGGTTTAACCTTTGGTATCTGGAAGCTAGTTGGAAATTCCAAGATACTTAAGTAGTTTACAATTCCTCAAAAACAAAGTAGACCTCTAATTAATAAAAAACAGAGAAGCGAAGAACATTTTTCAGGTTCTAAAAGGCCTTTCCTTCAGGCAAATAATTTTTGAAATTAGATACTAAGTACCAAATGAAAATTCACTTGTTATTTTACAGAAGTAGAGAAAAAGGTGGGGTATTTTTTTTTCCTATTTGTCATGCTTAAACAGTGACTATTTTTTAGATGAATTCATAATATACTTTTAAACTTTGTCTCCACTTACTATGAATCAGAATTCAGAGCAAGACAAGTCAATCTCCAACCCCACCTGAAGCTCTATCAGGGAACTACCAAAAGCATTTGCTTACAAGGAAATCCCTTGATACAGTGACAATACGAGGTGACAATGCATTCATTGTATTTCTGCCAGATTTAGTATTCTGAGCACGCAGGGATATAAATACTTTAATAATTTGCCAAATTGACTGTCTCTGATGATGTTAATTATGGATTCAGCACAGTTTAATATGTATGGGATGTACATTACTGCACATATTTTGATTTTTCTTCTAGGTAAGGGAGCGACTGAGGGTTTCTTTAGAAAGAGTCTCTGCACTGGAAGAAGAACTAGCTGCTGCTAATCAGGAGGTAACCTGCCACACTTTCTCCTCTTTTGAGGTGCAATATCGCTGACATTACATCCCTTGTGTTTCACGTCACTTTTATTATAACTGTCACAAAAAATAAATTACATTCTGTCTATGCCATTGAACAAGGCTTGTTGAAATTAGTTGCCGGAGTCTTGTTTTCTGATTTTTGGTTATTTATATGTGTCACTACTAGACCAAAGGAAAATTATCAAAAGCTAGTGACATGTGAGCTAGGGAGATGAAGATTTAGAAAGACTACAGGCAGAACGTCAGTCGTTTCAAGAAGGAAAACACAGCTCAAAATTGGAACACATATCAAATAACTGTTAAACTTAGAAAATGCTACAAATAAAAGTGAACTCCTTGGAGAGATATACTTGCCCTCAGGTCCTGCCTATTCTTATCTTCTAAAAGCACTGTACTCATATTTAGTGACGTCACTGAATCCACTTCTGCTACTATTCACAACCCCCAAAAAAGTTTTTTCAATCATCTTTTTAAGATTTAAAGAGTTATTTTATCTTCGGAAGATTTTACTTCTCTTGGGTTTTAACGCACAAATTATCTTGGATAATTAGGTATATATAGAGAGTACATAAATTTGTTTATATATACATGTATCTATCTATATTTATCTCTCTCTAAATATGTATGTATATAATACCTAAGATATAAAACTATATATATATATATTTATCCCTGAAGTATTATTATAGTCTCCTATAGACAGTGTGGTACATTTTATTGATATTACATAGATAAAATAAAATTATATATATATATAGAGAGAGAGAGAGAGAGAGGGAGAGAGAGAGAGAGAGAAGTTTAACCTGTGTCAGCCATTAAAATAGTCCCATCTCTCTTTTTCTCTGACATTTATAAGGCTGCATTTTTCCTACAAGTTTATTCCAGTAATGTAATATTGGTATTACTAGTATTGGACATACTAATATAAATTAGCAAAATCTTCTTACTCTTAAATAACCAAGGGTAGAGGGGAGGGAATAATGAAGAGGGTTGATTAATGGGTACAAATTTTCAGTTAGATGGAAGAAATAGGACCTAGTGTTCCATAGATCTAGATCAGTAGGTTGATTATAGTTAACATTAATCTAATATACATTTCAAAATAGCTAGAAGACAGAATTTAAATGTTCCTAGTAAAAAGTAAAGATAAATAGTTAATGTGGTGGATACTCCAAATAACCTGCTTTGATCTTTACACATTATATGAATGTATCAAATTATCACAAGTACCCCCAAAGTATGTACATCTATTATGGATCAATAAAAAATAAGTAAATATAAATAGATTTATAAAAATATATGAGGCTAATATCAGTAAAGATAAGTCTTATAAAGGGATTTATAACAAGATAATGTTTACATATACATTATGCATACAGACAAATACACATTTTCAAACCACTCAATAAATCTTCTCAGTACAAACTCCTTTGTTTTTTGTTTTGTTTTGTTTTGTTTTGTTTTTTGTTTTGAGACGGAGTCTTGCTCTATCACCCAGGCTGGAGTGCAGTGGTGCAATCTTGGCTCACTCCAACCTCTCTCTGCCTGCTGGGTTCAAGCAATTCTACTGCCTCGGCATCCCAAGTAGCTGGGATTACGGGCATGTGCCACCACCCCTGGCTAATTTTTGTATTTTTAGTAGAGACGGGGTTTCACCATGTTGGTCAGGCTGGTCTTGAACTCCTAACCTAGTGATTCGCCTGCCTCGGCCTCCCAAAGTGCTGGGATTACACGCGTGAGCCACCGCGCCCAGCCACTCTTTTGTTCTTCAAAATAAGCTAGATTAATTAAATGAGTGTATATATGCTTTTCTTTGTCCCAGCCATAACAATTTAACCTTTAGAAATAATGGACTTTCAGCTAGTAGGAGAGTAAACTCTATGTGAATTAAAGGCTAGTAGTGTTAAAACCATAAATGATGAAATAGCCATCTTTAAAAAGGAAAGAAAACTTTTTGATGACCAGATTCAGCTTAGTAAACAGGATGGTTTGGGGGAAAAAAAAAAAAAAGAAATAAGAGATTGGTACCTCTCAGTCATCATAGAAGAAAAGAACCTCTGGAATAATAGGTAATGAGAAGGAGTACACAGTCTTTGAAAGAGATGGGGTTGATAAATTATCTTCAGGATGGGGTGTACTTGTTCCTGGAACTATCAGAAAAAAACGTAAAATGTGTATTCATATTATATTTTATTAATGTTAATTGTGATTTTTATATGTGATAAAATTACATTCATTTTGGATGCATTTCTCAAAATATTTTATTGATAAGGGCAAACAAACAAAAAGTTTGGTGGCTACTATTATAAAAGCATGGCTTAATATGAACGTGATAGAATTTCTGTTTGTCATAAACAAAGGTGTGATGAGACCACTTGGCTAAAGTAAGCTGAAATAAAAGTGTCCCATAGGCCAGGTGTGGTGGTTCACACCTGTAATCCCAGCACTTTGGGAGGCCGAGGCGGGTGGATCATGAGGTCTGCAGATCAAGCGAGACCATCCTGGCTAACACGGTGAAACCCTGTCTCTATTAAAAATACAAAAAATTAGCTGGGCTTGGTGGCGGGTGCCTGTAGTCCCAGCTACTTGGGAGGCTGAGGCAGGAGAATGGCGTGAACCCTGGAGGCAGAGCTTGCAGTGAGCCGAGATCGCGCCACTGCACTCCAGCCTAGGCAACACAGCCAGACTCTGTCTCAAAGTGAGGCTCTGAAAATTTGCTCCAGGAATAGCAACTAAGTAGTTACTTCAATTATACATAAAATTGAACAGCAGCCCTTGAGAACAAAAGTGGAGGAAAGATTTACGACTGTTTTCTGGAATAGAGTTTTATCCCTCGAGTATTATTATAATCTCCTATAGGCAGTGTGGTACATTTGATTGATTTTACATAGATAAAATAAATTTTTACTTTTTAGCACTCCTGTGTATCTACTGCAGACTTTTCTGAATGCCATTTGTTTTGCTTAAAATCATTTGTACAAATAAGAGTCACTTGCATAAGTAAAAATCACGTCTGTTAGTAATTATCGTGCTCATTATTAACTTCCATTTTGGTTTTGTTGTTGATTTTAACTATTGTCCATGTGGCTTAACTCGAATCCCTATTTAGAAATTCACAAGCCCAGTGATAAAGAAAATTTACTTTAGTTTTCTAATAATAAATCACTTATCAATAGTGATTCTTTTAAGAGAGTAATTAGAAAAGAGTCAACTTTAACTTCTTAATAAAATTGATATTTCAAAATGAAATTACGAAAAAATCAGAAGACACTTGCAGTTTGAGTTGTTGATTCTCTATAGTAAGAGCAATTGGTATAAGAAATCACTGTAAGTAAAGCATCATGTATTGATGATAAGAAGATATATTTAGAAACCTGATAAAATACATTTAGAAAAATTCATACTATTAGCAGCTTTAGGATAAGAACTAGGTGACTTTTGAATGTTGGAGGCAATAACTGAAGAAGATAGTTTTTAAAAAAAGAGCAAATTTTCATGAAAAAGTTTAAAAAATTATTAAGAGCCGAATAATCAGGAACCAGAGCAAAAGTCCTGCGTATGACTAAATGAGCAAGGAGCTGGAGAAACGTTTATCTGATGCATCAGATTTAACTTTTTTTTTTTTTTTTTTTTTTTTTTTTTTTTTTTTTTTTTTTTTTTTTTAGACAGGGTCTCACTCTGTTGCCCAGGCTGGAGTGCAGTGGCACGATCAAGGCTTACTGCACCCTCCACCTCTTAGCCTCAGGTGATCCTCAAGCCTCAGCCTTACGAGTAGCTGGGACTACAGTTGCATGCCACCATGCCCAGCCAATTTTTTTTGTATTCTTTATAGAGATGGAGTTTTGCCATGTTGCCCAGGCTGGTCTTTAACTCCAGGGGTCAAACAGTCTGCCCAACTCGGCCTCCCAAAGCACTGAGATTTCAGGCATGAGCCACCTCACCCAGCAACGTTTCAGATTTTAAATTAAATTTAAAATGTATTTACAAGTGTCCCTTAACATTCAAATCTATTTGTTTTCTGAGTTCATATTGCCATCTTGAAGAGTAAGGGTGCTATATTATGATAATCTGCTTGGTTCTTGAGTTTCTCCTTGTTACAGTGACAGTTTAGATATAAAATCTTATCCAAACATTTTTTTCTGAATTAATTCAATTCCCAAATTCAGAACGGATAATTAAGAGAAGAGATTTAGATTGTGAATGATATCTTGATATATTCATACATACGCATATATGCATATGTAGAATCTGAAAAGACCATACAGTTTATTCTATCATCATTATATGATTTTAATATGCTTTATTCTCTCATCTATCTATCATTATTATATATAGAGTCTCTTTCTCTCTCTCTCTCTCTTTCTCTCTCTCCTCCTCCCACCACCACCACTTGTCTTATTCTCACGGATGGGTTTGGAGTTATCACCTCCTAATATCTTTTCTTTATATAATCTCTTTCATTGATCGCTCATCTATTCTCCCCAGACATCCAGGAATTCAACCATGACTTCTGTAGAAAAGAAACTAAAATCTATAGCTCAAAGTTTATATACTCTTCTGAGCTCTACAGAAAATTTCAAACATCCCTTTGGCATTGCCACAGGGCTTTGTTAATTATTGTATAGATTATTCTCTCCTACAAATTTCCAGCAGGGAGGTCAGTGGGAGCTGAAATATAGCTCAGGGTTTGCTAATCCAGACATGCACCAGAGGACATAGCCACCTACAAGGAGTACATTTTCTAATTTACACAAAAGTGCCTTATGCTCTGGTGGGTCAGAAATGCCACCTAGTTTTCCTGATGTCCTCTTAGATTCTATATGGCACATTAATGTAATAAAGTGAGTTGCCTCATTAAAAAGAATACAAAACTACTATATGTTCTTTTCTGGAAAAAGCCCCAAAACATTCTGCTATGTAAAAAGAATGAAGTTGCATAGAATAATCTCAATATTTTTCAAATATAAATAATAATAATAATTCATTATGACAGGAATAGAAAAAGTTTTAGATATAAGTGCCAAACTGTTATTATTTGTTTTCTCCATTGTTTGCAAGTATATATACCATATGTTTCTGTAGTGTTTGAAATTTTAATAACTTTTCATTATTCTTATAAACAAATAAAATAATAAAGTTGTTTTAGAGTCAGATTTTATTGTCCATAATGACATCAATACTAGATCATTTTATGGAGCACTTAATAGTAATCATAGTTAATATTTATTGCTAAATACATATATGTCAGTACACTAATGCTGGAAGGTACATACTATTATTTTACAGATGAGACCAGAGAAGTTATTTCTCCTAATGTACTGCTATTCCCTCCTACTTGAAAATGTATTTATCTTTGAATTTGTCTTAACTCTCTGCTTTCAGGTTGTTTCAATTTATGTATATAATTGTGTCTATAATGTTCCCCATATCTGTTTACTCTCATCTTTTTCCATATGTATTAAAATTACAATATTTCAGGTCTTCATGCATTCTCACCTGACATATTACAGTAGGCTTTTATCTGTTCTTATTGCTTATCTCTTTTGCTGTGTAATTCTGCAAGGTTAAACTTGCTAAGTGAAGCCCCAATTATAATGATTATTTTTGTAATATGTTCTCATCTATAATATGTACTTATATATGATATATGCCATATTAATACACTGATAACATAATGATCTATTATGCTATATTAATATATGTTAACAATATAGTGATATATGTTACATAGACTTGTAACATACCATCGAAAATTTCTTCAGTGTTCCTAACCTACAGATTCTACTTTAACTCCACCACCCCTACTGCTCTGCCTGAGTCATTCTAAGGCCTTAAGTCATAGAGTGTATTTTTTTTTAAAGAAGGCAACATTTTTCCTAACTCTAAATCTTATTTATGCTAAAGTCTTTCCTGGAATACCTCCATAACCCCAAATCACTCATTGAAAACATATTTCCTCATTTAAGCTCAAGCTCAGATGTCACCTCTTTAATGAACTATTTTATAATTCTTTGCCAACAGGCTAATTAATTAATGGCTAAAGCTCATTACTTCAGCCTGTATTACGACTGTTCAACAAGTATTAGGGTTAATTTTATACTTGTGTAAGCCTATGTAGTTAGTTTACTGAGAAATAGACTTCATCTCTCTCCTTTATATTTATTTCACTCAGTAACAGTGATATGAACCTCTTGATCAATATATGTTTGTCAAATTGCATTATCTACACTTCATTCTGACTAGTGTTTTCATGTTGTTCTTTGACTATTCTCTTAATGAACCATTTGAACAACATTCAGTATGCTCAATAAACAGCAATATGTTGATCATATGTATCAAATGAACAAGTTGTTTCGTCTTTCAATTTAATTAATTAATCTCTACCATGTGCAGAAAATTTTGAGAGTCTCTGAAAGGAAGAAATGGAAAGAAAGAAAATAAATGAGGTATTAAGTAAATTTTCATATAACTTGCCCTCTAGTGAAAGAGACAGACGTATACACGTATAACTAACATGTAATTTAGTGCAAAACTAACTAAATACAAAATACAGGCACAAGCAAAATACAGAAGGGAACAGAGAATAAGCGTATTCTGTGCCAAAGGATCGGAGAAGACTTCAACCTAAAAAGACAGCATTTGAGTATATCCTTGAAGGAAGGCTATGATTTAACTTCAAAACTGTGGGAAGTATTTCAGGCTGAGGAGACAGAATGATTAAGAAAATCTGAAACTGCTGTTTCAAGAATAAGGAATGTTGCATTGATAAAAGTCAGGGTGTGAAAAGATACAGAAGAGGAGGGTAAAGAGGTTGATGGGATCCAGATTCTGAAGAGCTAAAAATTTGTAGATTTTATGCTTTCTGAAATGAGAAAGCACTAAAGGTAATATTATGGGTTTTTTTCTGTTTTTTTTTTAATTTTTGTTAAAGTGAAAACCATTAAAGGTATGTTTTTGTGTGGTTTTTTTTGTTAATGTTTGTTTTTTGTAAAGTGTAAGGCTGACGTGGCAAAGAGCTAGAAAGTTGGCATAATTTGATGCGTTTGGTTAACATAATAATATAATATGTGATTCTAATCATGGTACTTTAACAAATACTTATTGGGCATCTTCCAGTTGCCAGGCATTTCATTAAGTACTGGGTATAAATATGTTAACAAACTCATATTTGTAAATAGTTAGTTCTAGCCGGGCGTAGTGGCTCACGCCTGTAATCCCAGCACTTTGGGAGGCCGAGGTGGGTGGATCATGAGGTCAGGAGTTCAAGACCAGCCTGACCTACATGGTGAAACCCAGTCTCTATACAAAAATCATCTGGGCATGGTGGTGCGTGCCTGTAATCCCAGCTACTCAGGAGGCTGAGGCAGGAGAATCGCTTGAACCCGGGAGGCAGAGGTTGCATTGGGCCAAGATCACGCCACTGCACTCCAACCTGGGTGACAGAGCAAGACTCTGTATTGAAAAAAAAAAAAAAAAAAAGTTAGTTCTGCTCCGAAGGCCAGTATGTGAGATAGACCTGTTAATGTTAAAAACTAATTGTAAGCTGGGTGTGGTGGCATATATGTGAAATCCTACCTACTCGTTACACTGAGGCAGGAGGGTCGCTTGAACTCAGGAGTGTGAGACCAGCCTCAGCAACAAAGCGAGACCCTATCTATTTGTTAAAAAGCAATTATAATGAAGAGTTAGTATTTAATGTGTACAGAATTTCAGTTTGGGAAGATGAATGAAGTTCGGAAGACAGATGATGGTAATGGCTGATTAACAATGTGAATGTACTTTATGCCATTGAGTAGTACTTAAAGGGCACACTTAAAAATGATTAAAAAACTAATTATTTATCTTGTTTTATCACAGTAAACATAATTATAATACAGTATGACTAATGTGAATATAAAAGTAGGTACAAGGTTTAGTAATATTACCAAAGGGAGGAATTCATTGTAGGGGTATGAATAGGAAAAACAGATGGTGCTACAAAAGTGACTATAAAGAGCTCACCAGATGGACTTGGAGAAAGAAAATAGAAGCAGGTAGAGGTAGGATTGGGGAGGAGGTGACAGAGAGAGGCAGATCTGAGTGAGGGGTGGCTAGAGTTGGGCTTTGTCCTGCAGACAGCAGTGAGCCAACAGAATTTTTAGGAAGAGAAGAGATGTGATTGGATTTTCGGTTTTATAGACTAGTGGTATCTCAAAAAGTTAAAGGTAAGAAATGTATTAGATGGTCAAGGTACTGTGTTTAAGGATAGATTTAAAAGAATCTTCATGATCTTAAAAGAATCAAGGGGACAGTGTCAGAAAATACAGCATTGAGTAGACCACAGGTATTATTTAGTGTGGCATTTCTTATGTTCTTTTAGTAATGGCAAATATAAATTTTAAAAATCAAACAAAATATTGTAAATAAATATATACATAATGAAAATGTGTTGTAATTTTAGGCCTTTTTGAATGGCCCCACTTAGGCAGATTGGATTGTTAATGTTGATTACATGTTCCAGGCCATTGTCCTAAAAAAGTGAGCCCAGACAATTTAGACACAGAAAATACAATAAAGTCTTTATTTTTTTGCAGAGTATTATTGTTATTGCTTAAAATTGGAAAGCCAAAAAAAAGCACAATAAAGGGAAGTACAAGGGGTAATAAATAGATTACATCCTAACAATGTGTTCTCTTTTATCAGAAACCTGTACACTTTTAAAATTATGTAATTAAGCCAGACGAAATGGATTATTCAGAAGCACCTGTAAAAATTCAATTGACAGACTAATTTGCAGTGAATACACAGGCGTGCTTATTTTAAAAGCCTTTCCACATGATTACATTATACATAAAAAGAACTGGCAAGTGTAGTTGCAGGCTGAACTATATTTTTTATTGCCTTTACTCTGTGCATACTTATTCCAACCACTGAATTTACCAATTTTCAATTAGAATTTTCCAAGGAAATTAACAATTATTGTACCTCATCTACAATCAGCTTTATCTCTGAAGTCTATTTTCCTAAGGAAAAATTAAAGAACTTGCATGGGCGTATTAAGTAATATTCACATTTAGAAAAATATTGCATCAGGATGTTGAAAGGAGATAGAGGCAGCAACACACATTTTGGGGGCATTACAGGCCCATGGATCATAGCCATTGCATCATACACATTATTCCATGTAATCATCCCCCAAATCCTTTGAGTTAGGTTAACAACTAGTATTCTGTTAAATGCATGGAATTAAATGGAAAACTGGAAAAGGTGAATAGATACAGGCAAAGGTGGAAGCTATTCTAAAAGCAAAAGGCTGGAATGAAGGAAGGAGAGATATGAGACTCAAGCAAGTCAAGAGTCACTGAACCAAATTAGAGATAGAAGTAGTGAGATAGCAAGATATTGAGAGAGAGAGAGAGAGAGAGAGAGAGAGAGAGAGTTTTAAGCATAAAGATTGGAGGTGTTCAATGTTTCTTGAAGGCATGGAGGATTATGTCTGATATGAAATGATTTCACTTATACTTAAGAGGTCACTGGAAATGTTTACAGAGATAGTTGCAGTAAACTCTAATGAAAGTAGAATAGCTGCGATTAAAAGTATGTATGAGTTCAGATAAATGAAAGAAGGTAATACTCTTTTGAGAAATTCAGCAACGAAGGGAAGGAGAGGGTATATGCTGAATGATTCCAGACAGTATTGAGTGACAGCCTTGTTATAATGGGACAAAATTGAAAATGCTTATAGCCATTGAAAACAAAGCCACAAATGAAGGACATGAAATTATGGATGGCAGCACAGTGGAGGATAACTATAATTTTAAGATCAATGGCAAGTAATAGAACTCCTTCCTCTGAGAAATGGAGGAAGGAAAATAGAACATGTAGTGTAGTGATGAATGAAGATATTGATTTGGAGAGGATTTCTTTTTCATCAGGGGTTCTTCTCAAGGAGATGGGTTATCTGCTAAGGAAAGTGAGAACAGAGTTACTTTTTAGGAACTAAGGAGACTGTAAACGAGACAACATAGAACATAGCAAGGAACCAATAAGACTAAGCGAATAAATTTTAGTATGGGATGGTGGACCCAGATGAGGTTCTCATTAAGTTACCCCAGCAAATTAAATAAAAGCCAGTATTTCACAGCTCTTATCAACTGAAACAACATGGATTCTCCAATGGTATTTCCTTATTTAAATCTATAAAGTTATTTTATTCATCATAATTCAAAAGGAAGAGATACAAATATTGAGCTAAAGTTGTCTTTGATTGCTTTGGCCACTTAGAATAAAATCAGTGTTATAACTTTTCCCTAAAATTTGACACGGGTAAAAATTAGGGAACTTCTGAAATCCATGAGTAGTTCAGCTATATTTGAATAGTTTAAAAGAAACTTAAATAGCTGATAATTATGCAGAAAAACATGGAGAAAGTAGGAGATTTGCTGAACAATACTCTATTAAGGAATTTGCCTAGAGGGAAGTAATAGAAATACTCATCTGAAGTTATAGGATCGTTTATTTGAAAAATTAATCAAGTGACTAAGTCAGTTTTCTCTTCAAATTAAAACTGCCATATCTGTGAGTAGAAAGCTCCAGATGTAGAAAAAGAGACCACTGCAAAATCTCTTAAGTTAAATTATTTCAGAATCCTAAAAATAAGAATCATTTCTTTTGAGGGGCCTTTGCAAATTACTCACTTTTGTATTTTTAAATTCTATCTCTTCCTCAGTTCTGGGAGATGAAAGCAGATTTAATTTTGTATGTCTATCACTGCTTTATAAAAATGATTACTCTCATAATGACTTTCTAATTTTCCACATGTTTATGCATGCTACATATTCTAATTCCACTGATTAGCTTATTTTAAACATTAGGAATCATATTAGTAAATTCCATGACCAATTTTCAGTTAACATTCGAACAGAAAGTCAGATAAAAGAGATTTTTTGTTTGTTTGTTTTATTAACAATTGAAACAAGTCGCCATGACTAAACTTACCAGATGACAGTATGCGTTTAATGACAACAGTGTTTGCATAGGACAGTGACACCCTTGGAGCTCTGAACTTATATTCCTTAAAGATAATGCAAAACTGTCTGATGCTATGCTTTTAGCTTGCCTGCCAACAGTTGTGAGATTCCAAAAGACCCACTTATTGGGAACGTATTATTCCTGTTGGAAATGTATCATTTTTGGTTAGAAGATTGTATAGATTTTAATTTCCTAGAAAAGTTGAATAATGGTTGAACAATGGATTTTTTTTTAATTTTAGATTGGTAAACTAAAAGTTTCAGTATTGTTAAACCAGTAGTTATTTACAAAGACCTATGATTTCTTATTGTACCTCTTGATTATCCTTTATGATGATATTGTATTATAAAGATAAATGAATAAACTGTAAATTGTCCAAGTTATTATCATGAATAGAAAATGTATCTTTTGCTGTTGATGATTGTACTGTTATAATACAAAGAATCTTTCCCAGACAAAAAAAATCAAGGTGTTTTATAACAATACCTGTTAAAATCCAACAAAGAAGATAGGTAACAAAATTGCTGTTTGCTACTTCCACTAATTTTACTAGTTCCAAGTCTTGTGTGAAGCAATTATCTAAAATAGAAGTTAAAAGTGTCACCTACTGTGTATAAGACATTTGAAGTTTGTTTGCAAATCTTTCCAGACTCTCTCCTATTTTGATTAGAATATTTTCTTTGATGAGAGCATAAGGTTTTTTTTTATTTGTGGTAGCAGACATAGTTCTATTGTTGCATGTGGAGATTTTGAATGCTTTTTTTCTCTATTAATAGTAAGATCGTGTTTGATATTAATACTTTGATCATAAGCATCATAAATTGACCTATTTTATTTTACCCATATTTATTCTTATTGTTTTTAAGCTAACATTTTGAGAAAGATTACTTATTGCTTAGAAATTTAGATGAAATATTGAACTTTGGTGAGAGGCAAGATAAAAAGTTAAAGAATATTAACTTTAAGTCAGAAGATTCAAGATTGAATTATAGAGCTATCATTTACTAATTCCATAGCACCTGGCAATTAATTCAACTTCTCAGTGCCTCATTCTTTTTCATCCATGAAATAGAATGTATTAGTAAATTTTGGACGTATCTTTCAAAGAAGTCGTAATATTTGGATGAGACAATATACAGGGAAGCACTTTGTAAACTTGGCATACTGAAGTTGTATTGCTATTATTGGACTCAAAAGTAAACATTAGTTATTAGTTGAGCAAATGAAAATACTTTTCTGTTGATACTTTGAATGTGATAAAAAATGAAATGATAGTAGTACTCTGTACTTTATGTTATACCCACGACTACATCTCCTTTTTTTTGTATTTTGAAATCTTCTTCTTGTGAATAAACAAATACCTTATTTGTTCATAGAATAATTCTGTAGCACTATATGCATTTTATAAATGATATTGCATTTCACTTATTCACATGTTTGATAAAAATAATAGCATCTGCAATTTTAGAGGAGGTTACTGTGTGCTTGGTACTACAGTAAGGACTGTAACAATACCCCGAACCCACACACATTTTTTAGTTATCATAATTAATGTATGAGAAAAGGATAATTATTACTAGCATTTTGAAAGTTAAGAAATTGAGTCATATAGAACCTAAGTGAATTGTTCTGAGTGTTATCACTAGTCGACAGGAATCCAAATCCAAGATGTCTGACTTTCAATTTCGGTGTAGTTACTATGTCACCTGGCCTTTCTCCCAACAATATTTCCTCCTGTATAAAACTGGTATAGTTTCCTCATCTTTCAGTAATTTGAATCCATCATGATATCTTCATATCTAGTATATATACATGAATTATCTCAAAATTTATAACTCCATTACACTGAAAGAGACATAAAATGTGTAAATCAATAAAGCATGTATTCAATCAATTAATCAAATTAAACTACCTTTAAAAATGCCAAATACTTTGATAAAATTTAACATTTAACTATACATAAAAGATTAATTAAAGCATCCAGATATTTACAGTTTTTAAGATACATTTGATTATTATATCACAGTATAGACTTCAGTATAATAGTAATAAATAGCATGAGAACATTGCAGTGGCCACTATGTTTTAAATATAGAAAATGTGACACCTCAGGTCATATTAAACAAGATGAAAGGATTTCTGCAGTACCTATTTGTTCCCATGTCATTTTTAACAAGAAAGTGCAATAGCTCTCAAGTCTTGAAAACTGTGGAAGTTCCAAATAACTGAACTCTTGGAACACTAAATAAATAAATAAATAAATAAATAAGATGGATGAAAAAGATATACATTAATTGACTTAATTTTTTAATTGATAATTGACTGCTAATGATTTTACTTTTAAAAAACTTCCTAGCAAAAAACAAATATAACTTGATCAGTTGGTATTTACCATATACTATTACCTGAGTTTAGCCAAACTGCAACATCTGAGGGCACAGTCCTCCATAGGACCTCCCTCACTTCTGATACCAACTGCAAGTTCAGGAAATTCTCACATCCACCCTTAGGTTCAATAAATCACTAGAAAGCCTCACAGCACTCACTGAAATCTATTATATTATAGTTATGGTTTATTATAGGTAAAGGTTACAGATCAAAATCAGCCAAAGCAGGAGAAACAAAGTGCAGAGTCCAGGATGATTCCAAACACAGAGCTTCTGTTATCCTCAGGACGTATTACCCTTCTAGAATTGACACATGACAGAGTATTACCAACCAAGGAACGTCAATCAATCTTTGAAGTTTCAATCAAGGCTTCATTACATAAGCATGATCGATTAATTACCTGTTTGATTCATCACAGCTTTGAAGTTGGGAGAGAAAGCTCCCTAAATCATCTAGTTGGTCAAACTGGCATAACTGTCCCTCAAGCTGGATTATCAGGTGTAGTCAGCCTCACTTTAAAATAACACTTTTATTGGGTATGACAAGATTATCTCCTTAAGGCTGAGGGCAAAAGCCTGACCTCCTTTGGGTAAGGTCAAATTCTTTACCACACAACTATAAATCATCTTAATTTTTTTAATTGAATATTTTTACAAATAGTGCTGATAGATCTCTCATATTATGAATTAATAACATGTTGATAAAGCCAAAATGGTATTTTTCATGTAGAAAACAGTGTCATTGGGAGATAAGGAAGAAAATAACTTACAGTACAATCAGAAAATGTGTCGTGGAAGTTTTGTAAAGCCAGTGCAGAGAGAGAGAGAGTCTTTTAAAAGAAAATTACAAAACAATTAAATAATACTGTAGGGGCTGGGTGCAGTGGCTCACGCCCGTAATCCCAGCACTTTGGGAGCCCAAGTTGGGTGACCATGAGGTCAGGATTTCGAGACCTTTGAGACCATCCTGGCTAACATGGTGAAACCCCCTCTCTACTAAAAATAAGTAAATAAATACATAAAAATACAAAAATTTAGCCGGGCATGGTGGCACAGGCCTGTAGTCCCCGATACTCGGGAGGCTGAGGCAGGAGAATCGCTTGAACCTGGGAGGTGGAGGTTGCAGTGAGCCAAGATTGCGCCACTGCATTCCATCCTGGGTGACAGAGTGAGGCTTCATCTCAAAAAAGAATAAATAAAAAAATAAAATACTGTCACTAGCAAGTTTGGGAAAGGCAACTGGTGTTTTTGAGGCATAAGGCTGAGTCAAGTATATTTATGTAAGTGCTGTTTTATCGTTCTCAGAAAGCTCCAACCACTTACTTACCTTTCCCTACCTTCAAGTTGATGGATCCCCACATTACGAGGTTATTGCTGTTATTAACAGTGAAAATGTATTGAGATCTTGCGATTATCTAATCACCTTTAAAACAGGGAGTACTATCACCACTTTAAAGATGCAGAAAATATGGTTCTAATGCTTAAAGTAATTCACCTGAATTACATAGTTAGTAAATGCCTGAGCCATTTCCCTTTTCTTGGATGTATTCATTTCTTCTAATCTCTCCTTTTAAAATCTTTTCTCCAGGTTTTGGTTAATCAACACTTATTCCAAGAAGCATACATTTGTATCTATCCATGGAATTAGATGGATTTGCACCTGCACTGATATGTCTGTTGTATCCAGAACAAGTGGGCTGAGGGACATAAAAATACGCTGTATGGGTTAAAGTGCCTGTCACAGATGGCACTACTTCCAGCCAGCAGGTATTATAGGGAGCTAATAAACATATAAAGAAAACTTTTAAGGGCGAGATCAGGAAGTAGCACACATGACTCTTACTTACATGCCATTGAAGAAAACTTGGTCTCACATCACTCTAAGCTGTAAAAGAGACCAGGACATGCAATCTCTATTTTCATGGCCATATACAAAAGTTCTATTGCTAAAGAATGTGAGAATGAATATTAATGTACAAAAAGCAGACTCTAGAACACACAAAACATAAAGAATGTTTGGAATTTATTAATGAACTTAATAAAGTAATATAAAAATGTATATGTAAATATCAGTAGTATTCCCACACCAGCAATAAATAGAAAGCATTAGTGAAAAGCATATTTCGTTCAAATAACTATAAAGATAGATATATAGATGTATTTTATATGTAAACACTGAATTATGTTTAGAAATTTTTAGCTAAAGTAGCAAATCCCATTGTTTTAGGAAATACAAAATGTCCTAAATACATGGAAACAACAGTTTCATTTTTGTGTCTGGAGCTAGATATTGTAAAGATATCTATTTTTCCCAAGTTATTTTATAGGTGTAATTCAATCAAAATTCTAATATAATGGTTTTGAGATTTAAATAAAATAATTCTGAAATTTCCTTATTAAATATTAATGTAAAACATTTAATAATGTTATGAAAATTAAAAGATTGTTGAGTATGGGGTTTCCCTAGAATGCACAGATATTAAAATACATTTTAAAGTTTTTTACCACTTTGATTAAGTTTATTGCTAAGTATTTGATTCTTTTCATTGCTATTATTAAGGGGGTTGTTTTCTTAATTTCCTTTTTATATTGTTGTTTGTGTGTGGAAATGCAACTAATTTTTGAATGTTGATTTTGTATTCTGCAACTTTACTGTTTTGTTTATTAGTTAAAATAGATATTAGTTATAACAGTGAGCCTTTACAGTTTTTTATGTCTGTGGTCATGTCATTTGCATACAGATTATTTACTTCTTCCTTTCCAATTGTTTGCTTTTTATTTTCTTTCCCTGTCTAATTGCTATGGCTAGGACTTCAGTACTATGTCAAAAAGAAGTAGTAAAAGTGGGCATCCTTTTCTTGTGCTGGATCTTAGAAGGAAAGCTTTCAGTTTTTCTCCACGGATTAAGATGTTAGCTATGTACTTTTCCCGCATGATCTTTATTGTGCTGAGGTAATTTTCTTCTATACCAATTTTGTTGAGAATATTTTTCATAAATAGATGTTGAACTTTTTCATTTGCCTTTTCTGTATCTGTTGAGATAATTCTGTTTCTAAAAAATTTTGCTGATGTGTTGTATCATATTGATTGATTTGTGTATGTTAAACTATCCTTGCATTCCAGAGATAAATCTCTCTTGGTCATGATATGTGATCTATTTAATGTTCTGTTGCATTGGGTTTGCTAGTATTATATTGAGGATTTTTGCATGTTTGTTCATCAGAAATATTGGCCTGTAATTTTATTCTCTTGTAGTATCTCTGATTTTGGAATTAGGGGATCCTGACCTTTTAAGTGTTACTGCTTCTTCTATTTTTTGGAAGAGCTTAAGATGAGTTGGTATCAATTCCTCTTTCAGTGTTTGGTAGAATTCATCTGTGAAGGCATTGGTTCATGGACATATTTGGGTTGGTTTATTACTGATTCAATCCCCTTATTTGTTATTTTTCTGTTCGGATTATCTATTTCTTTTTGATTCAGTATTGGCAGATTGTATGTTTATTGGAATTTACCCATTCCTTCTTGGCTCTGCAGTTTGCTGGGTTATAATTGTTCATAGTAGTCTCTTATGATCCTTTATATTTTTTAGGCATTCGTTGTAATGTCTCCTCTTTCATGTCTGATTTTATTAAATTTATTAATTTTGGGAACCAGGGGCAGAAAGCTATGGCTTGAATACATCTCCCAAAAGTTCATAGGTTTGAAACTTAATCCCAGTGCAACAGTTTTGGGAGGTAGAGCCTAATGAGTGGTGATATGATTTGGCTGTGTCCCCACCCAAATCTCATCTTGAATTCCCACGTGTTGTGGGAGGGACCCAATGGGAGGTAATTTTATCATGGGGGTAGGTCTTTCCTGTGCTGTTCTTGTGATAGTGAATAAGTCTCATGAGATCTGAGGGTTATTATAAGAGCTCCTGTATGAGCTCTCTCTTTGCCTGCTGCCGTCCATGTAAGAAGTGACTTGTTTATCTTAAAGAGTAGCCCTTGACTCCCTTCCATCTGTAGTAATTTCTTTAGCAAATGGTTGCTTGGCCACATTTTTTCACATTTTACCTTCCCATGCTGTGAATTTTCCAAGGTTTTTCACTCTGCTTTCCTTTTAATTATAAATTCTGCCCTTAAGACAATCCTTTTCTGTCACACTTCACTGTAAACAGTTAAAAGTAGTCATGCAGCAGGGTGAATGCTTTGCTGCTTAGATATTTCTTTCACCAGATATCATAGTTCCTCACTCTTAAGTTCTTCATTCCATAAAGTCCAATAATATAGACACAATTCTACTAGTCTTTGCAGAGGTGTAACAGGATGGCATTTACTTTAGTTTCCAATACCTTGTTTCTCGTTTTCATCTGAGATCTCATGAAAATGACATATATATATATATATATACACACATATATATACACATATATATACACACATATATATACACATATATATACACACATATATATACACATATATATACACACACACACGTATATATATATGTATATATATATACCTGTTTATATAATCACCTTCTTGCCTCTAGAGACAGTTCTAGACTTAAAGTCTATTTTGTCTGATATAAGCATAGCCATTCCCAGCTTTCTTTTGATTACCGTTTGCATGGCATAACTTTTCATGATATAAGCATAACTACCCCTAGCTTTCTTTTGGTTACCATTTGCATAACATAACTTTCTTCAGCTCCTCATTTTCAAACTGTGTGTGTCTTTATATGTAAAATGAGTGTCTTATGAAAAATAAACCACTGGATCTTGTTATATTATTTTTTTCCTTTAAATCCATTCAGCCATGCTATGCCTTTTGATTGGTGATTTTAATTCATGTATATTTAAAGTAATTATTGACAGGTGAGGAATTACTAATTTCTTTTTGTTAATTGCTTTCTATACATTTTGCCATTGATTTTTCTCTCTCTGCTCTCTTACTGTCTTCTTTTTAATTAGATGGTTTTTTGTAGTTATTTGCTTTGATTTTTTTTCTTCTTGTATATTTTATGTATATTGTGGGAATTTTATTTGTGGTTAGCTCAAAGCTTTCATAAAATATCTTGTAGTTACAACAGTCTTTTTTAAGTTAATAGCAACTTAACTTCAATTGAATACAAAACCTCCACACTTTTACTCCCCTTTTTACTCTGCCCGATTTGTGTTCTTGTAGTTAGAGTTTCTTTTTATATTGTGTATCCATTAACAATTTTGTATCTCTAACCTTTATAGTAGGATTAAAAGTAATTTATACAATACAATTATAATGTTACTTTAACCTCCATTTCTCTGTATGTTTACCTTAACCAGTGAGATTTATACTCTTACATGCTTTCATGTTGCTACTCAGCATGTTTTTGTTAAAATTTGAAGAACTTCCTTGTGCATTTCTTTTAAGGCAGGTCTATAGTTGAAAAACTCCTTCAATTTTCATTTGTATTGGAAAGACTTTATCCCTTCTTCACTTTTAAAGAATAATTTTGTTGGATATATTGTTCTTGGTAGACAGTTATTTTCTTTCAGTACTTTGAATATATCATCCCACTGTCTCTTGGCCTGCAATGTTTCTGCTGAGAAATCTACTAATAGTCTTACAGGGATTCTCTTTCACATAATGAGTTGCTTTTTTCTTTTGGCTTTCTAATCTCTTTGTCCTTGACTTTTGATAATTTGATTATAATTTGTCTCGGTGCAGTGTTTTGGGGTTGATCTTATTTGGGAACTTTTGAGCTTCATGAATTTGCATGCCATTTCTCTCCTGAGATTTGGGGATTTTTCAGCTGTTATTTCTCTAAATATGCTTTCTATCAATTTCTTTCTTTCTTTTTCTCTTTTTGGGACTCCCATAATGCATAAACTGGCCCACTTGATGGTGTTCCATAGATATGATAGGCTTTCTTCCCTTTTTTTCATTTTTCTCTCCTATGACTGGTTAAGATCAAAAGACCTGTCCTTGAATTTTTAGATTCTTTCTTCTGTTTGATCAAGTCTGCTATTGAAGCACTCTATTGTAGTTTTCATTTTATTCTTCAGCTCCAGAACTTCTGTTAGACTCTTTTTTATGATTTTTACCTCTTTATTGAACTTTTATTTTTTTCATGTATTGTTCTGCTGATTATTTTCAAGTTGTGTATCTGTGTTTGCTTGTAGCTTGCTGAGCTTCTTTAAAATAATTATTTTGAATTCCCTGTCAGGCAACTTATTATTCTCCATTTCTTTGTGGTCAGTTACTAGAAAATTATTGTGTTCCTTTTGTGGCATTTTCTTGATTTTTCATATTCTCATAGACATGCATTGATGTCTGCACATTTGAAGGAGTTGTCACCTCTTTAAACTTTATGTACTGGCTTCAGTAAGGAAAGACCTCACCTATGGGAAGGTATGAAGCCACCAACTGGGTGGGTATGGTAGCTTCTTCTCTGAAGGACACAGTGGCTGTTCCAGCTCCAGGAGTGGGCAGCAGTTAGACTCCAGGTAGTTCCATCAGCTGAGGTCAGCACTGGTGAAGACTACAGCGTTTTTAGTAGACAAGGCTGAGAGTGTCTGCAAAGGCAGCAATGACTTGCAGGGTCCCCAGTCATGAAAGCTTTTGAAGTCCTCCTGCTTTCCTTTTCACCCACAGGAGAAGTTGTGGTAGAGGGGATTCTTCTTGGTGCCTGTGTCTGAACTGTGAACATACATCGAACAATGGTGGTACTAGGTCTGGAATGCAGGTTCATATGGCATGGCTATGGATTTGGATATGGATGCAAATGCACATGGCCAAACCACTTCATTTTTAAAGCTAATTTATATCCAGAAGTCATGTATATACTCTTTATTCCTTCTCAAACTTGAATATCCAACATAAATAAGGTGAAAAATGAGTTAAATATAAAAAGTGAAATTATAACTAGGGAATGAAATATTATTTGTATTGAAATAATACACTGACATCTTTCAAACAATACAAGGTATAGCAAAAGAAAAACTGGGATTCCATCTTAGAAAAGTTAAAATTTTTATTACAATAAAAAAACAGAAAAAAATGAATACCATGTAACATGATTAAATCAAAACGTGTATACAAGGGCAATATCATGAGACTTTATGTTTATTGTAAGAACATTCATTCAATAAATATTTATAAAAACAACAATAATAACACTTATGGATTCCCTACAACATGTGAGGTTCTCTTGTAAGTACTTTATATATTTTAACTGATTTTCTTTTTTTCATGAATAACATTTCAGACTGATGTTGCAAACATCATTACTTTATAGATAGGAAAATTGAGGCAGAGCGTAGTTGAGCAACTGGTTTAATTTCAGTGTTAGTAAGTGGTAGAACCAGAATTCTACCGCACAAATCATAATCTTAATCAGTACTTTATACTGTCTACTTGGTGGATACCAAGCAATGTTTTGGATGTCAAGGGCATATCAGTAACCAAAGAATAAACTGCTTTCCTTAAGGGTCTTATATTAGAAATATATAAGTTAAAACTATTTTTATATACTGATAAATTCGGTGAAATAAATTTCACCTCTATAGAAGGAGAATATTGAAAATGCAATTGACATTCAATTTTAAACTGTTTTTTTTCTGTGTTCTCTCAACTGTTTCCATTTTAATATTAACCAACATCATTATATTATCTGAATCTCTGCTATTTAGACATGAGTAGACAAAATAGCATGTGAAAAAACACATTATCACTATCAAATAATTTCATTTTCAGGGGTAATTTTTTCTTTGTACTTATGTGAAGGAAATTAGAAACAACGTATAAACCTAAAACTCAGGAATTTTAGTTATAGTTCTGACTTTAACTGTATCCATTTGAACAGTTTTTTTTTCCTTAAAGAGATAGACAAGAACCACTAGACCAGGTATCAGCAAACTTCGGTAAAAGTCCAACTAGTAAATATTTTTGGCTTTATGAGCCAGATGGTCTCTGTCACAACTTCTCTACCATTGTGGAGTGAAAACAATCATAGACAATGTGTAAACAAATGAGTTTGGCCATTTTCCAATTAAAATTTATTCATGGACACTGAAAGTGAATTTCTTATAATTTACACAATATTATTCTCTTTTAATGTTTTTCAACTATTCAAAAATGTCAAAACAATTTTTAGCTTGCAGGTCTGACAAAAACAGAAATAAGGAGCAATAAAAGTATGAAATATTTTATGGAAAGTGGATAGCTTTGAGTAGTTAGAAATTAGCGTTGGCAAGTAAGGAAAAGTGGTAAATAAAAAAACCTTTATTCTAAATAGAGTATTTACTTGGTTCCAGTAAATATATTCTACTCTGGAAATAGAAGGCTAAGGAAAGAGACAAACCTACTCCAAAGAGGAGCTATAACGCCCACCAAGTGAAACTTACTTTCTCCCTAAGTCATTCTGCTATTCACTAGCTTTGTAACCATAGGCAATTTCCTTTTTCTTTTTACCTTAATTGGCTGAACCATAATAATAACTTATAATGATGTTGTGAGTTTTAAATTAATTAATACATTCAAACAACGTAAAACTGTGGTTGGCATAAAGAGTCTTTCAGTAAATATTATGCTTATTATTGATTTTGGTAATGTCATTGTGGTCTTTTTAGATATGATACTATCCATCTCCTTTAAAGGTAATTGAACTGAGATTTAGGGAGGCAGAGTGTCCTGTCTACAGTGAGACTGACTAGATGGCAATTTGTTGGAGACAAATAGAATTATCACTATTCTCTGTAAATCTCATTTTCTTTATTCATAATAGTAAGGGTGTAAAGACCACTTAAGTTCTGCTTCCTTCTCATACTGACATTATTTTGATATGTGCACATTTAAAAATCACATAAAAATAAAATGGAAATGGGTACAGATAAATGTAACATGATAATTACCATTAGAACTGAAGTAAATGGATTACTTTAAAAGGAATTGGCCAGAACAATGGGTTTAGTATGCTTTTGTTATTTCTAAGAAAGGAACTAAATGAATAAATCCTTTTTATTGCCCTAGCTTGCTTTGTTATATGCAAGATTGATTAATGAATATTGTTTCTGCTTTCTATATTTTTTTCAAGCACTTTTCAAACACTTTGAAACGCTTTTCCCTAAAACTCTCTTCTTTGCCATAATAGAACTAAAATAATAGATCTAGGACACAGCCTATAATTTCGACACATTTGCCATGATTGGAGAAAAAACAAAAAAACACATGTATACTTACAGTGTTAACCATGCACGGCTGAAGAGGTCAAATTTCATGATGCTAGAGGAAGAATATAGAAATCAATAAGTCCATCTTCAGAGAGATTCATTTCAGTGTAACATTTTAAGAGACTCAAATTGATGGAATTATAGTGTGTTTGGATTATTAAAGCAGAATGTTAGTTCTAAAACATCCAAATATTCCCGAAAGCAAATGGAATACACTTGAATAAACAGAAGACAAAGACATGATTAGAATAGGGCAGATTTATCTTTTTAAATTTAATACTATTAACAGTGTTTGCTCAAAGTATTTTTATACTTCTTAGCATACATAAAGTAAATGAAATATAAACTTTTAGTCATATATTAACATTTCATTTTATTTAAAAATAAATATTTATTGAGACTTTTGAAAACAAATGCTCTCATTCACAGAGCATGTTTCCTGCTTTATAAAATGATCACGTACACACACATTGGATTATTTAGTTTGCATTCACTCTCTTCTCAGCCTAACTCAGTATCTTTAATTTTGCTTTTCCTTTTTATTGTAGTTGGGGAGATAATTAATTACTGCAGTCAGTTGTCATTTATGCCCTTAGCTGAAACTAAACCAAGTTAGCAGATTTTGATACCTCTGACTTTAGAGGGCAAAGAGCCCTGTGGGAGTGATTGTGAGGAACCAGTATGAATCAAGATAGCCTCCATTCTGTACAAAGAAGTACTTTATAATAATCAATACCTTCAGTAAGTTCTGTTTGCTGTTTTCACTGTGAGACACCTATTTCCCTTTTTGAATAGGATTTTTCTGTCTTGTTCAAGGAGGTGAGAAGTTATTAGCAATAGCATCTTCCTTGGTGATGGAGATTTTACCATATTTTCTTTATGAAATTCAAAACTTTTAACGCAATTACTGCCAATACTGTCAGCACTCAACACTGAATTATTGCAGTTTCTTTATCTTTGGTAGGGCACTTCTCAGTACTGTTTACCTTAATGAATACTCTCTACCCTTCCTTATTTATCTGCTTATATATATTCTAAATTGAGTCTTGCTTTCATGCAGTGATACATACAAGTGGTTAAGAATGTGTTTTCCTACCACTAACACTTTTGAAAAACTGTTTAGAAATTGGTGTTTGCTTTCATTCTCTGGATTAATTCTTTCACTTTCCTGTATTAACAGCTTCCTTGGCTATTTTTCTTACTATTCTTCCATATTATGCCACTCTTAGTTGCTAACCTAGTAAAATAACAGTCTTGCCTTAACAATGTCCACTAATTCTTCTGACCAATATAAATTGTTTTGTATATTCTGTAGCCTTTTACATGCCTCTAATGAAGATGCTAGTATTTTATTTTATTGTCATTTTAATTATTAGGGAACTACATAGATGGTTAAAATAAATGATGCATTATCAAGCATCAGAAAATGTATTGACTGAAATACTGATTAGACAAAAAGAAGAGAGATGTTAGTACAAAGTTGTAATTTTCATTAGAATTACATGTTAATAACAATGACAAAGTATAGCTATTGTCAAAATTACTATTGTTGAATATTATAATTCTAAGTTAAATGGATAGTGTAAACATCTCCTGCAAAAAAGCAAAACTTTCTACCTGAGAATATATTTGATTTTTTTTTTTTTGCTATTGGAATCATTCTGTTTTAAACTTAAAACTAAAAATAACAGTTTTGCATTCCAGTTACTGTTTTAGGAAGATTTCTTTTTTAAAAAACCCTTTAAATATTAATTTAAAGAGGATTTTTTAATCATTATAAACTAACTGAGTTTGAATTCCATGTGTATTTAGATACAAGAAAGACTAGTTTAGATGTAAAATTTGGAAATAGCCAAATTTATGTACTTTTTATATGATGTATTTTCAATTAAAAGGTCACCAGAAACTTACTGGTAATGTGCATTTAAATTTTAGCACTTAGGTAATTTATCTGTATAGGAATTGGGAGTACTAGTCAGCCAAATTTGGGGTGGGAAGTTTAAAATAAATAAATGTAGAATATTCTTATTCATCCAATAAATATTAGTTGACTGAGTGGAAGTATTTTATGTAGTAAAAATTCTTACAAACATATATATATATATATATATATATATATATATATATATATATATATATTTTTTTTTTTTTTTTTTTTTTTTTTTTTTTTTTACCTGAACCAAGATAAATTCTCACAATGCAAACCTCTCATTCTTACCTCAAAGCAATTTGATTATTCACTGGAACAGTTTGGTGTCACAAGCTTTCAAAATCTGCCCATGGTTAATGAAAGCCATTTAAATTGAATGTTACATGTAAGCTGATCAAACTGCACAGACTACATGAAGTTGCTCTCCATTGGTTTTAACGTGCTTCAGTGATGCTTATAAATCTTATTTCCAAATGCAGAGCTAGAAAAGGAAATAGTTACTGGCTTGGGTTTCTTAATTCTATTTAAATAAGTGTTTCAACCTTTATGGTTTCCCAATTAATAAATAGCGATACAAATGCAAACTATTGTGACTGAAAGTTGCTTAAGTTTAAATTGTAAATCCCTACTGTTTTACTAGTTTTTTCTTGTTGTTTGTGTGTGTGTTTCAACTTCATTATAATCTAAGCATGGAATTCAGCTAGAAGTAGAATAAGTATCTGTGTAGAAGCAAATTATGTGTTGGTGTAGTGAGACTTCAATAAGTGTCACCCTGGGAATTGTTAATTGAATTTGGGATAAAAATAGATGAAAAGAATCTTTGTTAATTAGATGTGGGCACTATCTGGAAGTTGTTAAATAAGTAGAGACAAATATTAATTTAAAAACATGAGAATGAAAATCCCTGTAGAAATAGCATGAAAGATTTTATGTAGATGTAGTTTATTTTAAAAAGTAGTTAATTTTTTTTCAGGGTAAGTTTAAGTGCTTATGCTGTATACGAGTTATAAATGAAAATAATCAGTAAGGTAAAAACCATGACTTTTTTTATTTTGGGGAATATATGAAGACACCTTTTAAATGTTTTTGAAGACATCTTCTAAATTGTTTGCCAACGCAGGTCAGGAAAAGCCCCCTGCAATCAGACCACAAACTTGTAGTCCTGACCTTGATAAATATTTAAATTGTGTATGCAATGAATCATTTCACTGATTACCAAAAGGCATTACAGCATAATATTTTTAAAATGTTTTGAAGGAATCAGACCTGAATCAGAAATATCTCTGTTGTGTCTTTTTCTGTATGACTTCAAGTATATTACATATTTCCTCTGTGTTAGTTGCCTCATTTGTAAAATGAAAATAAAAATACCAAATTTACAAGGTTACTGGAAAGATTAAATGAGGTAATGTATGTAAATTGTTTTATTTCATATGGGGCATGTAATAAATGTTCAAGACATAGCTATTATTACAGCTAGAAGTTCTTAATTAGAAATTTAATTTCTCAACTCCCATTTCTTCATGTATATTAATATTTCAGAAAGACAAAGGAAAATGAAGTGAATACTAAATCAATTTACATTGCTTTTCCTTTTTTATTGGAAAATTCTATTGGCAGAAATTAGTTTCTTAGACACTCTTAGAATTCCATTTTTCTGTCCACAAACAACGATTCATTCTAAATCTAAAGCAAATACACAATGTGCTTCAATGCATGTGAATCATATTACCTAAGCTGCAGTATACTTGAGAATACATTTTAATGTTATATTTTAAGATGCAATGAAATTGCCTATTACTTTGAGTTTACAAAACAACTCTTGATGACTTTCATTAAACTGTCCTTCCATGATCCTGCTGCTAGCCTCCTTTACAGTTGCTTATGCCTTCTACTTTATCTGCCTCCTCACGCTAGAGCAGTGACTTTCCTACAAAGCCATTGCAGTATTTCCCATTCTTTTATTTCTTTATTTCCCCAGTGAGCTCTACCCAGAATCCTTTTTAACCTTGAAGCCTATAATATGAACATTTGAAAGACCTTCAAGTTCTTATATTCCTCTATATGGATAACTAATTTTCTTCTCCATGTATACATCCTGTGAACATTTCTGTCCAATTTTTCCAACTCCTCATATGCTTTTTTTTCATTCATGTAGCCTGTCATCATTTTTTTTGACATTCTACAAATATTTCTAGAGTGCCTCCTGTTTGTCAGTCAGTGTCCTAAGAACTGAGAATAAGTAATGAATCAGAAACAGTTTCTAGTCTCAAGGCACTGTGTCAAAATGGTTGGTGAGAAAACTAACATCCAGTTGTGATAATCACTTGCATGACATGAGTTACTGGAGATTACTAAGGCATTCTGTAACTCCTTGGGAAGATATTGTCCCCGAATTCATCTGAAAGACTTAAAAGCTAAGTGACTAAGAGGCAGTTAAAGAGGAACAAAGGTTACCCAGGTGAATATAAAAACTCACAGCCAAGACGGCACTTTTTATATGTGTGATCGAAGCCTTTCAGTAAGCTAGAGCACGCAATATGAATAGAAAGATAAAATTGAAGAGGCAAGTGGAAGTCAATTCATTATTGTCATTGTCATTACATAGCAAGTGTTTAATGTACATCAAATTTGACTAAGTATTTTACAAACAAATACAATATAAAGTAGATATTATTTGCCCTCCATTTGATATAACAAGAACCTGAACTTGAGGTTAAATAGCTTGTACAAGATCGTACAACCAGCAACAACTACATGGGCCAGGATTCATCCTCAGCCTTTCAAGCATATTTAAGGAATGTTTCACTTCCAGGAATCACCTTTCAAACTACTTGTACCTGATTATTATTAGGTTGGTGCAAAAGCAATTGTGGTTGTTGCCATTAAATATAATAGTCTCAGGGTCTTTTACCAAGAAATCTCAAACCTGGAAAGAAAAGATAATGTAGATGCAAAGTTTATGAAAAGAAGCAAATTTATATAATGTACTTAGCACAGTTTCTGGCACATTATAAGAGCTAAATAAATAATTGCTATTTTGTTATTGTAGTCCTACTGCTTCCTTTTTTTTTTTTTTTTTTTGCCTCCTTAACTAGAATGTAATCTACACAAGAGAAGGAAACTGTCTGCATTTTTCCCAGTATTTTGTGATACTTAGAACAGTGATCAAATGAATATTTGTTGAATAAATGTATTAATATTTATTAAACCCTCAAGAAATCCTAAAATTTTAGCATAAAAAGATATTTAATGGTCTTTGTTATTTTTGCCCAAATCATTTTTTTCATGATAATATGTTTCCTTAAGTCTCCAAGGCATCAACTTGCACTGATGTTTTACCTCTCTTTTAGGGAGGACATTTTACATCATTGAAAGAACTCCCTGAAATATTGTTATAAATCTCAATATTTGTTTTCAATAGTTATTTACATTTTCTAGAAAGTTATTCTCCCAGATATCCACATTGCTGTTCCCTCTTGTCCTCAAGCCCATACTCAGAAATCACCTAATTTGTAATCAAATTATACCTCACAGCATTCCTCACTTGGTTTGATTTTCTCTTTTCTGTTAACACCATTTAAAAATATGCTCTACTTATGTTTGTTTATAACTTATTTTCCCCAATGAGAGTACAATTTCCATTAGGAAGGATTTCTGCCTTTTCCTCCCATTGTGTTTCCCTAACGCCTGGTATGTCATCAGTGCTGAATGAATATTTTTGAGATAAATGAATCTCTCCAGGATATCAAAGAAAAACAGTTGTTCACAGGCAAGGAGCTAGAAGAGAGTCTGTTGCAAGACATAGTAGTGTTCAAGCTGGTAGAAAAGAAAAATGAAGGCTAAAGAATTTTGCAGACTGGAGGCCCAGCCGCCAAGACTACCAGTTGTCTATTGTGTAGGGTCAGAGCTTGTCAGAGCCAAAATCAACCTGACAGAGGCAAGGATATGAATGAAACCTAGAAGATTGGCTTGAAAATATAACGTGTTTGAGAGTGCCTAGAAGGAATGGATCAGGCTGTTATAAGCTTATGAGCAACCAGAAAACACAAATAAGGATCAAGACAAAGCAATAAGCCAGAGAGAAAAAGCACACAGATGCCTGAGATTTAGTTGAAGCACTTTAGCTTTGCTAGTCCCATCATTCCTCCAACTTTTTCCAGGTACTTTTTGCCACAGGAATATTAAACAACTTACAGTGCGAGGAACACAAAGTTGTAGAAACACAAAATGCCTGTGATCTTCTACACACCTAAAAAAGTCTTCTACCATGTCTGTCTGGTAAATTCTTAGCCATTCTCCAAAATCCTCACTTAGGTATTGCATACTCTGTATTGTCTTCCATGTTTCCTGCTGCATTTGCAAGTCACTTTTAGTTGCAAGTGACAGAAAACCATTTCAAATGAGTTGGGGCACAAAAGGGGAAATTTGGGGCTTGGATCATATTACTAAAATGCCAAGGGTAGGAATGATTTAAGGATGCCTAGAATCAGGACCAGAAGCAATTTGTTAGGGCCTCATCTCTTCCATGTGTTTTCTGCATGAATAGGAATTAATGGCAAAGAGTACCCCTTTCATATTCTACCAGCTTACCTTCCTTAGTAGATAGAGAGAATCGTTTCCCATAGCTCAGCCAGAAACATGTAAAGTAATAATATTCTGATTTCCCTGGCTTGGGTCATGTGCCCACCCATTTGCCATGGGCTCTTGGTTCCTTCATTGACAGTCTCTGTGGGATTAGAATAAGAAAGGAAAAGTCTCCAGTGAAAATATAAGATGTTATTATCAAAGAAATGTGAAGGGATACCTGAAAGCAAATGTCAACAGACACTTGATAAATGATGATTGAACATTAAAAACAGTTGTGAAATATTTATCTTGAACAGAGTTCCATGAGCCTTCAGTGGGTTGCTAACTCACTGAAAATATATGCAAAACTTTGCCTCCATATGAATCTGTCCAGGGAGACGTCCAATCTTAATGACATACAAAGGATTCCAGCAAGGGTATCAGCCCTTGGAAATAAAATGATTATGCTTCCTATCCCAGCCCGCTATTAACTTCTGATTTAGTAGACCCCAAATTTAAAAGGGGAGCCATTTGAGCCAATGTTACAAATTAGGAAGTATAAGGATACGGAGTTAAGTTTTATTTGACTCTTACTTCTTAGTCCATTTGTGCTGCTGTGACAAAATGTCTGAGACTGCATAATTTATAAACAATAGAAGTATATGTATCACAGTTGTGGAGACAGGAAAGTCCAACATCAAGGCATCAGCAGATTTGGAAGGACTGCCTTCTACTTCCATTATGGCACCCTGAACAATGCGTCCTCACATGGCAGAAGGTGGCTGGCAAAAGGCTTAATTAGCTAGTACCCTTGAGGCCTTTTATATTGGTACTAATTCCATTTATCGTCTCCTAAAGACCTTACCTCTCAAAACTATCACATTGAGCCCTAGGTTTCAACATACAAATGTTGGGGGTTGGAGGAGGGCATATATTCAAACCATAGCAGTTGTCCCCATTAATCTTTCTTTATCTTAATCTGATCATTTGTTAAATATGAATCATACCCCCTTAGCAGATAAAAATAGTTTAGCACAGTACTTGTACATAGTGAGTTTTTCAGTACAGTTATATAAGAACTGGGTAAACAACAGGACTTGTACATAAGTGGTTCCTCCTACTCAACATGTAATCATATTTGGAGTAGTGTCTTAGTCTGTTTTGTGTTGCTATAACAGAATATCACAGACTGGATGATTTTTAAAGAAAATAAATTTATTTCTGAAAGTTCTGGAGGCTGGGAAGTCCAAGGCATGACACTGGCATCTGGCATGAGTTTTTATGATGCCTTATCCCATAGTAGAGGGATGGAAGGGCATAAAAGCATGTGAGATGATACAGAGAGAGGATGAGGGGCAAACTCCATCCTTTTATCCAGAACCCACTCCAATGATAAATAACCCACTCCAGAGATAACAGCCTTAATCCATTTATGAGAGCAAAGCCCTCATGCCGTAAAAACCTGTTAAAGGTCCCACCTCTTAATACCATTACAAAGGCAATTACATTTCAACATAAGTTTTGGAGGGAACATTTAAACCATAGCAAGTAGGCCATGTTGTTTAGTGGTGAGGCATCCAGACCTACGTTAGTTTTCTTGTAGGCAATTTGCTTGGGCCCTCCTTCTGACAACATTCCCTCTCAGTGAGAGCCTAGGGAATATTTTGAGGCCATTAGCTTCTTTTCATTCTATTTATTGTCCCAAGCTGGTTCCCTAGCCATCTCTTGTGTTCACTTCTCAAACCAGCTAAGAGAATTTCCTAAAGAAGTCTGTGCTACCTTAGGCTCCAGTTATTTATTGGTGACCTCTTCACTCTTTAAAACAGATTGAAGAAAATGCTTAACACCCAAAGGGGAATTTTTAAAAGAGAACTACAAACTTTCCCCCTTTCCCCAGTGTCAAAAATAATCCACTTATTAACACCCACAATTAAATCAGGTGCTGAAACTTTGGTTTCATAACTACCCAGGATAATTTGTTATTGGAGAAAATAGCATATTACAGTGGTAGAGAATATAGAATATGTCACATTTGTTCTTCTGTATCAAGAGCCAACATTTTTAGCCTTGATTCATTTTTACAAAACAAAGTTTGCATGTTAGTGGTTGAAAATTATGTCATTTTTGGAACTAATTGTCATGTATACACTGTAGCAAACTTGAAGTTTAGAATTTTAAAAATCATAGTGGCTCAATTATATTTGTACTTTTTTCTGAATGAATTTGATTTTTTGATTATTTTTTAATAGGGACATTAATTCATCTTTTCACTGATTCATTCAATAAACTTTTATAGATGGCCTGCTTTATTTCAGGCACCAGGACATATTTGAAAGTCATCTGTTTATTAAACAAATGTAAGCTAATCTGTAAGCTGAGAGTTAAATTTGTTCTTTAAATATTTTTTAAATGTCTCCCTTCACTTCTGAGTAGATTAATAATAGAACAAAGCATATAATTTTTAAATGGCCTGGTACTTTGTATTAGCATTTCTGTTAGTCATAGATGTTTTCTTAGTGGAATGTCAACAAATGATACTTGAATATTTTAAAATTTATAATTCATAAAATCTCATGTATCAATTGTAATATTTATGCAAAAAGCAATAAGTTAAGAGTGTAATATAAAAATGATATATCTAGGAGCTATTTTATTCTTCTTGTCATTCCTTTGATGTAATCTATTTCCATGTTGACTAATGTGAAAAGAATGTTTCTGAAGTTTTTTTTACACTCCAAATCTTTATCTTTTGTTATTTTTTGAATTAATCAGGTTTAGATTCTTTGTTTTCCCATATCCATGTATTATTTAATTCAACACATTTTTAGTGAATACCCTGCACATAATAATTTGATGTGCTACTTCATATGAAAATGCTGTTTTCAATGAAGCATTCTTTTGAAAATTATTTTCTCAGGAGATATTATTAGGACTTGTGCTAGCTAAATAAATAAGCAAATGAGGAAGTGGAGAAATGGAATAATAAACTTTATTGAGTGCTACATGCACAAAAATAAATAGGGATATATTGTACAAAGTGTTTGATGACAACACACATTCACTCTGAGGAGTTGTATCTCAACTGTTTTTAAAGCTGGGATTGTGTCCCCTGTGATAGCTGAGGAAGAATGTTTTAGACAGGAAGATCATCAAATTCCTCAGTTCTGTGTAAGAAAGAGACAGATATGTTTGAGGGATGGAAAGGAGGCCAGTGTCGCTGAAGCAAAGGGCTCAAGTAGGACAGTATAGACCTTGTTAAGAAGTTTAAATTTTGGCTAAATAAGCTGGGAAAACTTTAGGTTTTTTTAACAAAATTTTAAAGTATTTTATTTTATTTTATTTTATTTTATTTTATTTTATTTTATTTTAAGACAGAGTCTCCCTCTGTCGCCCAGGCTGGAGTGCAGTCGCGCAATCTCAGCTCACTGCAATCTCCGCCTCCCAGGTTCAAGGGATTCTCCTGGCTCAGCCTCCTGAGTAGCTGGGATTACAGGCGCCCACCATCACGCCCGGCTAATTTTTATATTTTTAGTAGAGACAGGTTTCACCAGTTGGCCAGGGTGGTCATGAACTCCTGACCTCAAGTGATCTGGCCACCTTGGCCTCCCAAAGTGCCGAGATTACAGGCGTGAGCTGCCGCGCTGGGCCAAACATTAGTTTTGTTAGAAAGCTGAAGGGTTACACAATCTAATTTAAGTTTGAAAGATGTACCTGGCTGCTTTGTGGATAATAGATTGTAGATGAACAAGAGTAAGCGTGAGGGAGCCAATTATTTGGTGTTTACAGTTATACGAGAGAAAAGAACATATACCTAGAGAAGGATATACCAAATGCTCAAATACCAGAGATCATATAGCTAGATCAACTGATGTCATGGACACATGGTGGTAATATGGCATTGAAATAGTGTCAAGTAGCAGGGCAAACACCCAACCCCTTGATATCATGTTTTTTTCAGTTAATGATTATTCGTCTTGTGACATGTTGGTCTTGTAATTTCCACATGTAAGTTTAATATTATTCAGATCTTATTGTGCACTAAATACTATGTACCTTTATTTCTCCCAGAACTAATATTGACTACTATCTGAGTTGATAATACAATAAAATATGCCATGGAATAAATAAGTTACAGCATTAATATAATGTAAAATATTTTCAAAGTGATATATATATATATATTTAGCAAATGTATTTTAAAACATCATTTTAAAAAGACTGAAATACTATTTTTCACTCTATTACTAGGATCACTTATGCTATAAGTACCCGAGAATTTGTTTTTTAATTGAAATAATTATGTCATTAAAATTGAGCTGAAAGTTTGCAAGAATAACTGCTTTCTTAATTTGTGTTTGCAAATTAACTAAATTTGGTAAAATAATGGACATTAAAATTATAATAATAAAACAAATTTAATACATGCTCATGACAGCATTACAAATTTTTTTTTAAGTTCAGCTGTGTGTCTGCTTATATTAAATTGCAGATGGGCTATCAGTGTAGGCGAAATTGCTGTGCTCATAATTAGTCTTTAACCTTCAATCTTTTATGTTTCTTGTATACTTTAAAAATACAGACCAAAAAAACATTTTTATTACATCCTACAAATTAATTTAAAAAATAATTTCTGAATTAACATCACGTGAATACAAATATATCATTGATTTTAGATACATTTCCAACAAGAAAATATTTTCTTAGGTAAATTTTACAGTGCTTTAACCTCTTCTTAGTAGAGATATTATGAATTTT
Source organism: Homo sapiens (assembly GCF_000001405.40). Taxonomy (NCBI): domain Eukaryota; kingdom Metazoa; phylum Chordata; class Mammalia; order Primates; family Hominidae; genus Homo; species Homo sapiens. The sequence continues at coordinate 81,406,095 of NC_000012.12, read as the reverse complement.
TGTAAATATTGTTCAAAATGGTGACCTACATTGAAACACATATTTTGAATAATAATTCAGTAAAATGTAATGTTCACTTTCTGGTTATTTGTTAGTGTTCATTAGTTCTTAACCACATTGAAGTAAATTCATTTTCTTTTTATATTTTATTCCCTATTTAGACTTTAAAGGCATAGTGCTTTTATTTTGCAGATTGTTGCCTTGCGTGAACAAAATGTTCATATACAAAGAAAAATGGCATCAAGCGAGGGATCCACAGAGTCAGAACATCTTGAAGGGATGGAACCTGGACAGAAAGTCCATGAGAAGGTATGACACACCCCACATGCTCTTACATGGAAATGTTTACTTCTTATATCATTTGACAGGAAATATAAAAACCACATAATGAACATTTTTTTAGTATTTGTTGATTCTTTGGTCAAAGGTTCAAGGTTTATGGTTATTTCCTTTCTAATATTTGTTCTTATTTTGATTCTCTTAAATATAATACATATGTGTATATGTTGTGTGTATGCATATACACATATTCAAATTTTTTACCTGCTCTTAATTGATTTTCTTAAAAGTATTTAAATTATATAGAATTGAATTTATAATATGTATAAAGAATATAATTTAAAGTACATATATACACATTGTGTGTATATATGGCATATGTATATATATGTACATATATAGGCAGGACTATTTTAAGTGCAAAACAACACTTTTGAATTGTAAGTGATATAATATACAATTGGTAACTTATTTGTTGTTTATGACTGCGAAAATTGTTGGTAATCTTTTATTTGATTAGTATTTTTCTTGCATTGTTTGAGGCCTCAGCAGTACTCTTGTTAATGAGAGATAACATAAAATGAAATGTGAAGTCATGGGACTTTTACATTTTTTATAATGGAATGATTCTCCTTTTGGGTGAAGTTTAGTCCCACACAAAGGAAACTAGCGCTCTGTTGCTCCACTAGCAAAAGACAAAAGGTGTCTGTGCTGGACCACCTCTTTCCAACAGAAGAGGAAGAAGGTAAGTTATTGGTAGGTCTAGAATCAGATGAAAATTACATGGAGGCATTCACACATCCTGTGTTGGAAACTCAGGAGAATCATTTGCCTGTAACAAGTTATATCTTTGGATTCTTAAGCTCCTAAATGAAGACCACATGAATCAGCTAGCTAAATTGCTGTAATTGAAAATGTCAAGAGTTTCTAAAACCTAGCGATTAAGAAGCAAGTGACTGGACAATACAATAAATAGCACTAGAATTCTTACTATAAATTAAGTTTAGCATTTCCTCACTTATGTGGTTAGAAAAAATAGAGGGACTTCTTATGTTTCTTCCTTCAAGTAGAAAAGCAAAATAAAGTAAGTAAATCAGATGAATTTCCGGAAAGAAGCTTCAATTCTGGTGGCTGACAAATGAACAGATCTTCACATAAGACCACGAATTTAGCCTTTATCCATGTATTTTATAGAAATCTTAAGCTAAATATAAAACATAAACTACAATTTGACGTATTTCATTAGCTTTATCTGAGATTAGAATAACATTATTTATCTTTCCTTCAACTAAATAAACTGATACTGCTTCAGTAGATACACCACCAAGCTCTTTAATAAGGCATTTTCACTCAGCACTCAGTTTAGGAAACCAACATGTAATTTGATATTGCTCTTTCATTTTAATTATGTCATTAGTAGTATACCTCTCCTCAGAGAATTATAGAATCACAATTGGCTGGTTATAAAAAATGGATTTTATGGTCATCTAGTCTTTTTCATAAAAGGCTACAAATTATTGTTTTCTATAATAATGCTGTATTTATGCTAATCTACTCCAGAAATGAAGAAATATACCTTTCTCAGACATGAACAACTTCAGATTTTTTTTATCCCCTAACAGGTTATTTCATACTTGAAGTGTTCTTCTTATGGAGGAGGAGGGCAGGGAATGCTCATACATATATATTTTTTTCAAATATTTTTTCATCAAGGTACTGTTAGCAGCAGCAAATCCATACAGGTCTGCAGCAACCTCAATTCTTGTTTTCTCAGAAGAAAGAAATTGACTGTGGGGCATGAGGCAAAGGGAGAGACCAAGGCAAGTTTCAGGGCAGGAAAGTTTTAGAGCAGGAACAAGAGGAGATAAAGTACAGCTGGAAAAGGGCCAAATGGGCAACTTGAGAGATTCAAGTGTGCAATTTGACCTCTGAATTGGGGTTTTATACACTGGCATGCTTCTGGAGTTGTGGTACTTCTGCCCTGATTCTTCCTTTGGGGTGGGCTGTCTGCATGCACGGTGGCCTGTCAGCACTTGGGAGGGGCCGCATGCACAGCATGTTTACTGAAGTCCTATACATGCTTACTGGAGGCATTTTTCCCTTACCAGTTGAGTGTTCCTAGAGGAATGTTCTATTCCTATACCAGTTAAATGCTGCCATTTTGCTTCTCAGTGCACATGCTTGAGTCCACTTGCCCAACTCCTGAGATCTTATCTGGAAACTGCTGATCACCAGATTCAATGTTTTCTATTTATTACAGTCTGTCTTCCCTGGCACTGGCAGCAACCAATAATTGTTTTACAGAGAGAGTTTAACAACCACCTGACCATCACCTATTGGTTGCCTAACTACCTACTCTAACAATATAACCACTAAATATTTGAATATGCAGACATTAGAGAATGTAAGACAGTTTATGACAGATTATTTTTCGGGAACTGGTTACAGAATTAGGATGAGGATTTATGCATAATTGATATTTGTCTCTATTGGTCTTCACAGATATAAGTGCACATATGGAGGATTTTGAGACATTGGTGACCCAAAGCAATTGTCTTTAACTTTTTTTGACTTCCAGTTCTTAGTGAAGGCATTTCAGCCAGTGGAGAAAAGAAATTGTGTGCCAATGCTAAGTCATTCACTTCTTGTGTTGGTGTAACTAAAGGTTTTTAAACATTATGATTACTGGTATTCATTTGCTTTTTTCAGCTTCCTTGAATTTCTAAAACAGTGATTTCTAAATGCTTTAGAATAATTATATATTATTATCATGCATAATATCATGCCCATATCCTTTGGTGTAAACCTAAAATGTGTATAATGTATCATATATATTTAGTCTAAATTTAAAAATATGTAAACATGTTTCAATTTATATTAATCCTGTGATTGATTTCTCAGGATGTTCCAATAAAGTGTTGTAATAAGAAGTTTTATTTATGCCACATTTTTAAATTTATTTTTATTTACATATTTTTGAGACAGTCCAGGCTGTAGTGCAGTGGCATGAACTTGGCTCACTGCAACCTCCTTCTCCTGGGCTCAAGCAATCCTCCCATCTCAATGTTCCAAGTAGCTAACATTACTGGCGTGAGCCACCCTGCCTGGCTAATTTTGGTAATTTTTGTAGAGACAGAGTTTCATCATGTTGACCAGGCTGGTCTTGAACTCCTGAGCTCAAGCAATCTGCCCACCTCGGCCTCCCAAAGTGCTGGAATTACAGGTGTGAGCCACCGTGCTCAGCTATACCACATTTTTTTACCTGACATTTCTTGATAAAACATAAAACAGTATCCTGATTATTATTTTCATTGTCCTTATATAAATACTCCCAAGTTACACACATATAATATTATAGAGCATTTTTCTTATCAAAATCATCCTCCATGACATGATTATTCAAGGTATATTAATGCCATAAAACAAGTTGTCAAAGGATTGTAATTTAAAGCCTAATACTTATTTTTTTTTTATTGAGAACTTTTAAAAAGGTATATTCAAACAAAAGAAAAGAAATTATTATTTTGGCAGATTATCAACGATGACTGTAGTGTTAGTGTGTAAATTGAAAAGTGGTTGATCAGGACAAAAATGTAAAACTATTATTAGATACTGATAGAACTAAGAAAGTGACTTCTAAATCCTAGTTGGAAGGATTACCCTTTGTTTAGGGCAGTTAATTTGCTTAAGTTACACAGTCAGGGTGGGTGATTAGCCCAAAGAAGATGTTTTGTGTCGGTGGATTGAGAACTCTGTTGACAAAATAGTTGACAAAAATAGCCTCACAAAAGCACAATCTGAAATAGGCCTTATTATTCATGGAAAACTCTGGTAATTATTATCAGCCTTTTTAAAAGAAAAAATAAAAAGAAAAAATACACTTAACTGAAACGAATTTAAATATTTCTGTGTGGTCTTAAATTTAACTGATTGAGAAGAATATAAATATTCAAGGATAATACAAATTTTCATAACACTAAATTCCACCTTTTCAGAACCAGGCTCTAATAACTTTTTCCTATTTCTTTCTAGATGGAAGTTAATTGGTGAATTTTAAAAAGTAAACATGCTACTCTTGTAAAGTTTATAATAATGCTCATTACTTGTATAATCTGTACTTCTAATTATTTTTTCAGCTGCAAGTATTTGCTAACTGATGTGAATCAGTAGAATATTAGATATGTTAGAGATTCAGAAGATATAGTCTGTAATAAATTTGATAAGAATCTACAGTGAGAAATAAACATGCCCAAATTAATATCATAAAACATGATAAATATTGTGGTATCAAAAATAATATTAGAGTTTAAAAACAAGGTTAATTAATCCTCATTGAGGGGTGTCAGAGAGGCAATGTGGAATAGCGATTTGTTTGAAGTTCCTGTCTCTGCCAGCTACCAGCTGTATGAACCTTACCCTTAACACCGCTGACTCTGAGTTTCAGATAAAATAGTCTTGCCAACTTACAGAGTTATAAGAATAGAAACACTATATTCAATGAATTACATCATCTTAGGCATATTGTATAGAAGCAATAAATGCTTATTCTATTTATTAATCCTGTGTTTTCAATCAAATAAATATTTAGTGGCAACCTTATTAAAGGTGCTAAGAAATGGGCCCTATTCTAGGTGGTAGGAATATAATGATGATAAGACAGTTGAGGGTACAGGCAATAAACAAATATACACAGTGTAAAAGGGCATAGATATGATCAAGGGACCCGTACAAGGTGAGTGGTGAAGACATTAAAGAAGGGATCTTTTTAAGATGGTGGGATTTGAACTGATGCCTGAAAAAGTACCAGGAGTCAACAATATGAAAAACTTTCACAAAACAGTAGTCACACTTAACTATATGCAGTGAATTTTTATACGTGTCATGTATTAGTGACTGAGACACTAGTTCTTCATAGATCGAAGAGTGGAGTTGACTGATCCTTCAATGACCATACAACAAATGAGGCACATCCTCGGCATGTCACATGAGGTTCTTCCCAAGCTGGCTGGCCTCTTCTCGCCTCCCAGGCCTGTTTGCTTATCATTCCCACTTTGAGCTTAATTACTAAGTGAACTAAGTTAAAGCTTCCTTTTTTAAGTTGTTGCTCTTATTCTTCTCTCCTCTTTGAATCTGACATTTATTCGTGACTGTTCTCTAAAAATGCAACATAACAATTTAAGCAACAGTAATATGGAAATGTGAAAGCTGAATAAATGTAAAATCAGAAATAGATTTTTGTTTGCATGTTTTCAGTTCTTTAGTTCTTGTCAGATAGAAGAATTATGGACAAAAAAGTACATAAAGCAAAATGAAGAATCAGTGGCAAGAATAATCCTCAGATCGGTAAATTTAATAAATAATTGTCTAGTATTTTTATTATAGAACTACTGTTCATGAAGAATATTGAGCCAAAGTGATAAAAATGGAATACGGGATGTGCCTTTATCAAAATTAAGGGTTTTGTGGACTTTTAGCAATACAATGCTGTTTTAGAATGAACAACCAATGACAAAAATAGGTACTTAGAACAAGCCAACATAGCTCTACAAGCAATGTGATCCTCAGTGGAGACAAAGTATTTCATTCCATCATGCTATTGTGAAATATTGAGATATCATAGTGTGAAGATTTGCACACTCTCATGCAAACCTGTCAGCTGTCCAGTTAAAAGTTTGGCTTATCAATATCTCATCCTATTTTAAAATACTAATAAACATCATTTATCACAAATGCCATTCTTTTAATCATTCTCACTAAGTTCTGACTAAAAGTCATCATCCACAGGCATGTCTTCAATATATTGACTATATTTTGTTCATTTTTTTGTGTTCATCAATACATGTTAACTACGGCCAACAACCATTCTTTCAAAGATTCAGTCTTGTCAACTGTAGCTCATTTTATGCATTATTGATTCCCTCTCTCAAAAATATAATTGGGCTTATTTACAAATGGATTGCACTCACAGAATATTTTCTTCTGTGTATTGATTCCATATATTGTATTCTAATTCCTTACAAAACATAACGACTTGAATGTTTCTCCTTTATTCTTCAATTGAATTGTCAAGCAGTGAAACACCAAACTGAATGGAGTTTATGAATTTGCCAACTTGGAAAGAGCAGGTCTAAAGATATACATGGGCTGGACTGGCCCAGAGGTTCAATGATTGGCTAGAAAAGGGACCAAAAGAGTAAGGTTAGGATCTTCCATGGCTTATCCATATATACATGAAGTTGTATCAATTTTCTAGAAGCTGAGTTGGCGAGGAAGCACATAACGAAAGGTCTGGAATCTTCTATATGCAATGGCAAAAATAAAAGTCTTCTAATGCTGTGTGGAAACTCATTAGGTTCAAAACAAATCGCTCTGGGTGCAGTGACTGGGTTATTGTGTGTTAACTAAGACCTTGTTAGATGGAAAGATGAAGTGAAATCCACTCTGCTGTCTTCAGTAAGAAGTATCATTTGTATTAGCCAGGATTTGAGGTACTCAGAATTTTTTTTTTTTTTTTTTTTTTTTTTTTGTGAAGAAGGATATTTCCAAAGACTTTAAAAGACTGACTGACTGGAAATTTGTTCAGTTACCTTTATCTTATTAACATAATTGGAGGGTTCATTTTGTGCCAAGGAATCTGTTGTCTTTTGGTGATGTACACAAGAATAAGTTCTTTTTCCTCTGTTTTGTTTTGTGCGATCTGTTAAGCAAGGCTAGGAGAATTTTTAAGTTTTTCATTCAGAAGTTCCTCAGTTGATCTAATTGTATTTTTTCACTTTGGTAGAATTTATCTATTTCATCATTTCTCATGAAACACAAGCTCCCCAGAAATTTAGTGGGTGTTTGATAGGACCCACTCACCCAACAAATGAAATTCCCAGGAGAAGCAGATTAGGAAATATTGTTGTGTACAATTTTTAACTGGTGTAAGTACTACAGTATTTATATTTTAACTCTTAGTATTGTCGAGCGTCAAGAAAGAAACACAGTATGTAGTGTTTCCAGAGACGCTCTTTACCCACAGGGAAATAAGAGTATCCCAGAATGAGAATTCAACAGGACATGCCTTAATATGGAATTAAGGAATGCTGGTGCTTAACCTTTAAAGTTAGCCAAATTGTTTTTCAAACTTGTCTGGAAACCTCATTAACAAAGCGGCTACGGGTCTTTAAGAATGAGATAAGTAACCAGCATAAAGTCCTTTATGTGAGTTGTTTTATTTGATCTCTGTAACAACAACCCTGTGAGGTTTGCAGAGCAAGGATCAATGGCTCAAAGTAATGTAGCTCATGAACAGGGGGATTGGAGATAAACAGGTAACAAGTAAGTAAAGAATAAATGTGAACTATGGAGGGAAAAGGCAGCATAAAAACTACCTGATTTTATAGATTTCAAAATATAAGATTATTTACTTTAAGCAAAGTCTTAAACCTGTCCATGTTTCTAAGAGGATGGAAGAGTTTATTAGACTGAGCATGAGGCTTACAAAAATTTCAAAAAAGCCTAGTCAAAGAAAACTTTGTTACACCATGTGTAATGTCTTCAGCAAACATTTAATCAAGTATATTTCCCCAGCAAATTTTACTGCTCTTTCCTTTGCCATCATTTTCTTTTCTTTGTCTACTCCAATGGTCCCCAAAGTTTTTGGCAACAGGAACCAGTTTTGTGGAAGACAATTTTTCCACCAACTGGGGGTGTGGTTGGGGATGGTTTCAGGATGATTCAAGCACATTACATTTATTTTGCACTTTATTTAAATTATTACATTGAAATATATAATGAAATAATTATACAACTCACCATAATGTAGAATCAGTGGGAGCTCTGAGCTTGTTTTCCTGCAACTAGATGGTCCTGTCTGACAGTGACAGATAGTCAGGCATTAGATTCTCATAAGGAGTGCACAACCTAGATCCCTCGAATGGACAGTTCACAATAGGGTTCACACTACTTTGTGAATCTAATGCTGCCGCTGATCTTACAGAAAGTAGAGCTCAGACGGTAATGCAAGTGATAGGGAGTGGTTGTAAATACAGATCAAGCTTTGCTCACACCTTTACCTCCTACTGAGAAGTCTGGTCCCAAACAGGCCACAGACCAGTACATGTCCATGGCTTGGAACGTGGGCACCCCTGGTCGACTGTATTCTTATAATATACAAAGTTTCCCTAACTTAAAAAAAATTATCTTTTGGCCCCACATTTTAAAATCCCTTATAAACCTATTTCAATAAGGTTTTGCCCCACCATAGCACAGAAGCCACTCCTGCTACAGTCATCACTAAATTTATAGTGCTAAATATAAGGCCAATTCTCAGGCCTTGCTATAGTTGATGTCTCAGCAGTATATGACATAGTTAATAGTTTTCTTCCTTCATATACTTCTTCACTTGCATTACAGGAAACTACATTGTTTTCCTCTTACTTACCAGTGGCTACATCTCCATCTATTTTCCTCCCTCTGACTTCTGAATGTTGGAGCATCTGCTCTCTGAAGAACAGATGATAAGTCTGTCTTGGCATGACAACTCCCAGTTTCTTCTCTTCTTCTCTTTCTTTCTTCACCCCAGGGCTCAGCCCTCCACATGTTCTCTACCTACACTCTCTCCATGATTCCAATCAATCTCATCCTATTCATATACTAATAATTTATGAATCTTTACCTCTAGTTCAGACCCTACAACCAAATGCATATATCCAGCCACAATCGAACATCTCCACTTGTATATCTAAAAGACTTTGCACATTTAAAATATCAAAAGCTTACGTATTTGATATCCCCCCTTAAAAAATTTGATCCATCATCTCCAGTTTACATGATGAAAACTTTGCCTTTCCAGTTGCTCAAGCTAAAGAATTTGGAATTACTCTCACATCCTCCCTATGTCTCACACCTCCCATCCAACTATAAAGAAATTTGATTTACTCTACCTTCAAAATATATCCAGAATCCTACCACTTCCATTGATCACTCTGTTTTGAACCACTGTCATCTCTCAGCTGAATTATTGTAATCAATCACTTTTTATGAGGTCTCTCTGCTTCTCCCATGGGCCATCTCCAGTCTATTTTTAAAACAGCATGAATCAGAGTAATCTGTTCATTTTCATTTTTAAAAAAATGTCTATGGATATATTCTAATTATGCATATTTATATGGTGCATGTGATATTTTGATACAAGAGTGATGTTTTAAACCATATATCTGAACACATCAATCGTCTGCTCAAAACTCTGCAACTTCTTTCCACTTACACAAGGCTCTACATAAATCTCACTGTCTTTATCTTCTGACTTCACATCCAAATCCACCCCAGCCACACTGGCCTCCTGTTGACTTTTGATTTCCTCTTTCCTTTGTCTGAATTGCCTTTCCTCCAGATACATGGCTAACTTCCCCACTTCCATCCAGTCTTTGTTCAAATGTCATAACATATTCTAACATAGTAATGTATTATAGCACAGCATGTGTTTATATGCTTTACTTATTTATAATGTCTGTAATGTATTGTCTGCCAGCCCAGTTAGATAATAACCTCCATAAAAGTTAGGATCCTTGTTTTATTCCTGATGAAGCTCAGGTACCTAGAATAGTTCCTAGAACATGATGAACACTTAATAAATACGTGTTCAAGAATAAGAAATAAATATCACACTGTTTTAATGATTAACTTTATAAATCTTGATTCTTAGAGCTTAATTATAATATCAACTTTTCAAATTCCATTTTTCAACTCTGTTGAGATTGTAGGGGCCAAGGAGAAAATTTTCTTCCACCCTCTAAAGGTTTGCTGAAAATGAATTGAGGGAAGGCAGATTAATGTGAAAAAAGGCACACAAAACTTATTTTAACACGCATATGGATATAACTGCCATTTACAATGTATTAGACTGGAAGAGGGGCCAGAGGGCTGATGCTTAAATATTCTCGACATAGGAGATATGTATGGATTCAGGAGGCAGACATTTTGCAAATGATTCTTTTTGGAAGCTGGGTGGGACTGACAAATTAAAGGAAAGTAAGGGGAAAGACTGTGCAGGAATAAATATTGCTTTATTATTGCAGATTAAGTCCCCTGGGTAATCTCTGGGAGCTGTCCTCTGAAGAACAGATTATAAATCTGTCTTGGCATGACGACTCCCAATTTCTGCTCTTCTCTAGTGGTTAATCTGACAGGATTCCTGAAGAGGGGAATCTTGAGACAATTACATTCCTTGTGGAAAGAAGTGTTTTCAGTCAGATAAGGAAATTCCAGAGAGAGAGAGAGAGAAAGGGAGGAGAGGAAGGTCAGAGACAGATCTTGGTTCTAAGGATTATTTCTGAGGCCTTTCAATTTTCAAAGCGCTCAACAAGCCAAAGTCATATTTGGGGGAATCGTTTTCTGTGCCCCAACAAGATTTTTACTGCAATTGCTTAAATTAATAAATTAACTTCGGGAAGTTATTGCCTCTATTGTATACTGTTTTACCATGTGTACATATGGCTTATGTCTCCATTCATTTGTGTATTATTTTATGTTCTTCAATAAAATTGTTTAATTTTTCCCATAGAGATCTTATATATGATTAGATTTATTTCTAGGCATTTATAGTTACTGTGATTGTTATCTCCTTTATATGTTTTTCCTAATAAATTAATACTGGCATATAAAGATGCTATTGATTTTCCAATATTGATATGGATTACAGCAAACTTGCAAAACTATTAGTTCTAAGAGTTTGCTATACTCTTGGTATTTTCTAAGTAATTACACAGATTGGGAGGATTTACTTTTCTCTTCTCTTCCTTTTCAGTTTTCATTTATTGTTATTGTCCAAGACATATAAAGCTTGTAAAAGTATAGACTTTAATAATAATGCTATTCATTAATGTGATGCTTATCATAGTAACTGGTAGATAGCTTTTATCAGGTTTGGAATTTCATTTACAAGTTTGCTAAGAAGTATTTTCAGAATACAATATACTCATCTTTCAAAAGTAGTGGATTTCATGGACAGTTTTTTTTTTTTTTTAACTTCTGGGACACATGCAGAATATGCAGGTTTGTTACATAGATATACATGTGCCATGGTGGTTTGCTGCACCTATCAACCTGTCTCTAGGTTTTAAGCCCCACATGCATTAGGTATTTGTCCTAATGCTCTCCCTCCCCTTGCCCCCAACACCCTGACAGGCCCCAGTGTGTGATGTTCCCCTCCCTGTGTCCATGTGTTCTCGTTGTTCAACTTCCACTTATAACTGAGAACATGCGGTGTTTGGTTTTTTGTTCCTGTGTTAGTTTGCTGAGAATGATGGCACATATTCTTTTGGAACTGTTTTTCTTTTCCTAGGGATAAACAACTTGATTTTTTTTTTGTATGCATGATTCTCTGACAGAAGTGAAATTTTTAAAAATAGAAAATAAATTAAACTCTGTTGTACTTGATTAGTGTTCATTATTTCTATGCCTACCATTAATCCTTTACATACATAATTTTTGTGACCTGGATACAGGCAAGTTGAGCTCTTTTTTGACTATCTAAAATATATAAGAGCCCAAGTAATCCAAGTAACAGTAAGTCTGGTACCAGCCTCTTGGGGCCAATGTTGTTCTGCCTAAGTTATCTAAAAACTTTCAAAACTTGATCAGACCAAAAAGGAATTTTTTTGTTTGATTGTTTGTTTTTGTTTTTTGTTTGTTTACAATTCATGAAAAGATAACTGGAAAATGTGATAAAGTAACAAGTGAGTAAATTTTTAAAAAACTGCTATTGCATATTTTTAGCCCTCAAAGTATCACTTTTGAAACAAGTGTTCCCTCAAAATCCAACACCATCCATGCACCACTGCAATAACCCACTGTCATACAGGCCAAATTAAACCATCTTATGCCAATAAATGGCCTAGTTTTTCCAAACTAGTTCCACCAGCAGTAGTGACAACCTCTACCAAAGTGATTCTTCAGGAAGAATTTTCCATTCTCCAAGTTTTACCAGTTGAAGTTTAGGTTCATACTCATGTTCCCAAATTCATCAAGATGACTGAGCCAGGAAGGTCTTTCAGATTCCATGCCAGAACCACCACTGGGTGTTGGACCATAGTTCAAATTCATACTCTTACTTCCCTCATGGTAAGTTCTCTTTGTGGACTCTTGGTACTCCTTGTGATCTAGTCAATTGTCAGTCTACCAGAGAATTAAGAAAAACATTGAACTTCACAATTGAAAGGGGAGCAATCTGTTTTTTCCTCTCCTTCCTGAAGTTTCCTGGTTTATGTCAAATATCTTCCTCCTCCACTCTCTTAATATCAAGACACAGTAGAGGAGACACTTTTTGTCAGGGTTCTATTAAATATTCTTCCTTGGGATGTGGGAGCCTACTTGACTTATATTTACACATCTAAAAGGACTACTTGGTAATTCATCCAGGAAGAAAGATCCACTCTAGTGTTGATTCTTTATTTTATAGATGAACAACAATAGCAACAAAACATTTGAAAGCTTTCAATTTGATGACTTTCTCTAAAGAAAAAAATAAACTCAATATACACAAAATAAACTCAATATACACACTTCTCATCTCTTCAAACTATACAGAGTAAGAATTTCACAGATGAATGTTTTTCTCTATCAATCATTAACATGTTTATTTCATGCTGTAATGTGGGACCTAGCTATTTTTTATATTTCTGATAATTATTAACATTTATCATGGGAATATTCACTTAACTGCAATGTAACAGGATCACCATGAATCAGTCTGACTGCTATAAGAATGAAAATAAGAAACAAGGTTAGAAAAAAAGAACCAGTTACAAGATTGTTACAGTAATTCAAAGGAGAGTAGATGACCCAGACAAGGGTGACAATGGTGGAGGTCATGACAGTGGGTCACATTCACATATTTTGTGAAAAGAAAGCCAACAAGTTTTTCTCATAGATTGTATAAAAGATGGGAGAAAAAGAGAGAACTCAAGGATGACTCCACCGTTTTTGGAGAAAGTGAAAAAGTGAAGTTCTCACTAATTGAGTTGGGGATGAATTAAAGCAAAACATATTTGGGGGAGAAGCACGTTCTGAACACAGATTTTAAACATATTGAGTTTGGAAAGTCTGTTTGACAGCCAAGTGTGAAAATTGTATTGCAGTTGAATGTACAATAATATATAAGTTAAGATTTAAACTTTTAATAGAGATAAAAATTTTAGGAATATATATTTTGGTAGGTGAGAAAGACAACAAACATATTTTGTAAATATATAATATGGCAGGGGTGAAAGGCCTTTCTGATAAAGTAACAATTGAAGAGAGTTCTACAAAGACGTTATTAGTCATCTTTGACGACCCCCTACTTCACTCCACAGGTGATCTCATCCAATGTTATAGCTGCTTGCAGAAAACATCCATATATTCACTATTCTTTACTGTGGGCTTATACAATAGCTTGCCTGACACCTTTATTTTGACATCTAATTAGTCATTTCAAACATTGTTTTCAAAACCCAGTCCAGGATTTTGCCCCATCCTAACCACAAATCTGCTTCTCCTACAGATTTTCTCTTCTCAAAAAATAGCAACTCCATCTTTCTAATCGAAGACTACAAATCTTGCAGTCATCCTTGAGTCTATGCTTTTTGTCCCATATCATATTCAATCCATTCAAAGAATATGACCCCTTTTATAACCTTTAGTCCTATTACCCTGGTCTAAGCCAACGTAATTTTTCACCTCTTAATTCATTTTCTTAAATTCCTTTTTTTGTCCTGTCTTTTATAAGAGGACTGAGGAATCCATCGAAAATGTAAGTGAAATCATGTCACTCCTCTGCTCAACACCTTCCTATAGTTTTCATATCACCTTGAGCAAAAGCCAGTCTTAAAATGATCTCAAGAACACACATCATATTTCCATCTATATCCACTCCCACCCTCTTGCTTTATTTAGTCCAGTCCATTCTAGCTACAATGGTCTCCTTGAAAATCCTAAACCCACTTGTGTCACTTTGTCTTTGATCTTTCTGTTTCCTCTGCCAGAAAACTGCATGATTTATGCTTGTATTGCAGGGTTTAGCTCAATGCTTTCTTTTCATTATCAATTCCCCTAGTATAAGCTTGACCCAAATACTGCATGTGACATCATTACACTCAAGTTTTTCATTGTTTATTGAAAATTCAAATCTAACTGTACATCCTATATTTCATCTGGCAACCCTAGCTGTGAGGATATTGAACAAACAAGCAAAAATTATCCATTACAGATAGGAATGGCTTTATCTGAATTACCGGGTTTGTGATGACAGAGTAACAGTTTACTTGCACAGTTTTACATGTTACTTCCCTGTTCAAACAACTTTGATGGCTCCTTGTCATTCTATCTGGTACCCAAAGTTTATTCTATTCAGTATGGAAAAACAAAGGCCATCGTAATCTATGCTGGCCTTCCCTGTCAAGTCTCATATTTTACCATTTCCTTATAGCACATGTTTTCTGCTCTGCATACAGGACGACTTACAATTATTCTTCAGGGATATCCCCCTCCCTTTGCTCATGTTATTTTCTGCTCCTAGAATAAGTACTCCCCTCCTTTCCTTTACTTGAAATATAATAACTCATCTTTGAAGACCCAACTCAAAGGATATCACAAAGATATTCTCTGCTTTCTGCTCCCACACATAAATATGAAGCAAAATAAAACTTTATGATAATACTTTATTGCAATGCATATCCTTGCCTATTTGTGTATTACTTCTTTGCTTGATAGAATTGCCTTGATGTCAGAAAAGTATTATCACCTTTTAAAACATTCTAAAACTTATTATCTTCCACTTGACACCAAAGTAGGTGATTAATAAATATTGATGAATGAGTAAATATAAATATATATTTTAAAATTTAACATATGAGACACCATTGTATTTGATCATTAATAATTTCAAATATATACTTGTACTGCTTTAAAAAATTGAAAATCTTTATGACCTTCTGTTGGGGATTGATTTTTTAGAAATGACACCGTGAGCCCAAGCCACAAAGAAAAAAAAATGATAAACTGGAACTTCTTAAAATTAAAAACATTTGAAATTCAAAGAATACTATCATGAAAGAAAGTGAAAAGATGGTCTACAGAATAGAGAAAAGCTATTTTCAAGCCATATGTTTCATAAAATACTTGAATCAAAATATATGTAAAAAATTCATGTAAATCAACAATAAAAATACATGTAAATCAATTAATATGAAGGCAAATAATTTAAATAGACATTTCTCCAAATAAGATATACAAATGAACAATAAGTACATGAAAAGATGTCCAACTTCATCAGTTATTAGGAAATGCAAATCCAAACCATAAGGAAATATCACTTTGCACCCACTAGAATAGCTGAAATAAAAAGATAGACAATAATAAGTTTTGGTGAAGATGTGGAAAATTAGAACTCTCATACATTGCTGGTAGGAATGTACAATGGTGCAACCACTTTGGAAAACATTTCCTCAACATGTTAAAGATAGAATTGTCATATGGTCCATCAATTCTACTCTAGGAATCGATCCAAGAGAACTGAAAACATTTGTCCGTATAAAGACTTATACACAAAAGTTCACGGCAGTTATTTATAGTAGCCAAAAGGTGGACACAACGTTAATGTCCCTCAACTGATGAATATATAAATAACATGTAATATATCCCCATGATGGAATACTATTCATCAATGTAGAAATGAGGTGTGGATAACATGCTACGGTACTTGAACGAAATTCAAAAACATCATGCTCAGTGCATAAAACTAGTCACGAAAGAACACATGTTCAGCAACTCCACTTCTGTGAAAAGTCCAGAACTGCGAATCTGTATGACAGAAAGTAGTTAGTGGTTGTCTGGGGCTGGGGGTGTGTCAGTGATTGCTAATAATTATAAGATTTCCACTAAGGGTGAAAAAATGTGAGATTAACTAATGTTGATAGTTGCGCAACTCTGTAAGTATACTAAACTCCACTGAACTTTTTATGTTTAAAGGGTGCGTTTTATGGCGTGTAAATTATATCCCAGTAGAGCTGCTTAAAATAAGTACTGACTTTTAATACAGCCATTTGTCATTTAAATTAAAGTGCCACAATTTATTTTAAAGGTAAGTCAAGTTAACAATGGTTTGGAACAAAAACAAGATCTTTTTCTAAGATATAAATCACAGTTTTAATATGACTTTTTATTCTGATATTATTAAGACACACAGTAAGCTCACGATACAATCTATTTAAGGTAATGAGAACAAATAAAAGATTATATATTTTCTGCAAATGCAAGTTTCATAAACACTATGGAATAAAAATTGAGAGTTTTAAAATCTCCTCATGGGTAATCCCAACACAGTAGCATAAAGACTATGCAGTGAACATTTACTGCTTAATGGAATTTAAAAAGTTAACATTTTAAAAGCGTTTTATTTTAATTGCCTGATTACTATCTATAGTTAGTTAAATTTCTCTTACCTTGAGCCCATTTAAAAGTATGCAATTTTCTTGTTAAGTGCATTAACAAGATTTTAATGGAGCGCAGGTGCACAGAATTGGAACAAACATTTTTCAAATTAGAAAATAAATATCGTTCATTTGCACCAAATAAATATTTATCAATATTATATATATATAATATATGTGTATATATATAAACTCCACTGAATACATATATGTGTGTGTGTATATATATATATATATATAAAATATTGAATAAAATTCAAAAACATCATGCTCAGTGCATAAAACTAGTCACGAAAGAACACATGTTCAGCGGCTCCACTTCTGTGAAAAGTCCAGAACAGCGAATCTGTGTGACAGAAAGTAGTTAGTGGTTGTCTGGGGCTTGGGGTGTGTGAGTGATATATATATATATAATGGTGTGTGGATGCTTGGTACCTGCTTGGTACATGCCTATACCATGCGTCATATATAATTTTATCCTGTTGATTTATATGTTCTGATTAGAGGCAATGTGGTAAAGCGTAAATTAACTGAACTGGGAATAAAAGTTCTGCATTTTAATTCAGATCACCTCTATGTGATTACCTGAGTCTCAGTTTCTCCAAAATTCTTCAGAGCTCTAGAATCTTAAATATGATTTTTCAATTCTATGAAACATTTTTCAAAATAAAAATTTGTTTTTCAAGGTTTTTATAGGCTTTTAAGCAAATGTATTAATGTACAAGTAACATACAATTTAAGTGCACAATTCTGTCAATTTTGATAAATATATGTGCCTCCGTAAACACCCAAATCAAGATAAAGAACATCCCCATAAACCTTAGAAGTGCTCTCATGCCCCCTTGAAGTCAACCCCACCTCCCCCATTCCAACTCCCAGCCCAGGCAACAACCAATCTGTTTTCCTGCCATGATAGATTAGGATGATCTTTTCTAGAATTTCAAATAAATTGAATCACACATTATGTACTCTTTTGTATCTACTTTCTATTTCTCAGCTTAATGTTTTTGTGATTCATTCATTGTATTGGAGAGATCAGTAATATGTTTGTTTTCATTGTACAAGCATATCAAGTTATATTTGTTTACCCCAAGAGTACAATAGTTTCTTCTATTTTTAAGAAGTGTGTTTGAATTTAATTATTTAGCATGATTGCATTGTACTTTTATTTATAGTATGTAAACGTTATTTCCAAGGAATCCCTGTTGGTTACTAAATTGTCTCTTAAGATACAAGTTGAATCTACAGACCTAATTCTTTGAAGATATCATTCCATATCTGAACATAGAACTCCTGTATTTTGGGTGCCAAATTCTATTTAATAAAAGGGGTAAGTGCTGCTACGAATATGTGGGAATGTTGGAGTGCATACTGCAGTTCATTAATCACATTTCCCTTTAGAGTCTGTATTCCCCTTTCTGCTGGAAATGTTGCTGGTTGAAGGATCAGAGCTGAACATTTCTCTGGGAATTGCTCTTAGAGGGAGGGAATTGTGAACTTCTACAGTACACAACTATCTGTACACTGAACTCAGAAAGGCCAGTTTATAATCATTAGGCAGCACCCAAGATCTGGATTAGGGAAGATGGGTGGAACCAATTGCCAGTCAGTTATTTCCAAATTTGAGATAACTGAGGTATGATAACTGATTTTAGAGGGGTTTTGCCATAATTTTAAATATCTTCAAATCCTGTATAAAGTCTACAAGTAACTAGACCACCATAAGATTTATTAGAACTTCTACCTTCTCACATTGAGAAATTCCTCTAGTCAACTTTAAAAAGGCAATTGTCTCTATCTTTCTCTGCTCTTTTAATTTTGATTCTCTCAGCTATTTCTCCACACTCTCACATTGTTTAGGTTATTGGACTTACAGTACTTCTTGCCATTTGCCTGCATTTCCTTTCTCTGTGTTTTATCTTTCTCACTGCTTTCATGATGCTTTCTGTTCTTCTCATTCTTCTATAGTCCATTCTACTCTATGTGTCATTTGCATTCCTAAATATCATGAACTATGCAATATTGTGCAATAAAAATCACAGGGCTTAAGGGGGTAATGAAGTTTATGGCACAACACTAAAAACTTTATCAGTGTCACATTAAAATAAAAGTAAAAAAGCTAATAAAAATGGTAGCACAATTTTACACCTGTTAAATAGTTGGAGATAGCACAAATACAGTGATAAGTATTTTTTTTTCCCCGAGAAAGAGCTGAAGTTTGCTTGTAGAAGTGTTAGAAGACTTAAAGGCTTTCATTTCTTGTGAAGTGGTAGAAGGAAAGGTATCTGAAATCAGAAAGTTGTAACACAGGTGTCGATGGGCAAATTTATGACATACAAGGGGCATTGAGGTCAGTTTTAGATATTTGAGGAATGGGCATGTGTGCATTTTATGTGTTCCTATGTGGCTTGTTTCAGCCAGGTGTGGTTTTCTGTATTTAGCCAGTGCTTCTCAGGAACAAAATTGCATATTAAAAAAATTTGCATTACATTGAAATTGTTTTATAATATATCTATCATGTTGAAACAAATTCATGTTTTTAAACAAGTGCTGAAAACATGAGCGGAAATGACTGTACTTTCTGTATTTTCTCTCCATACTTTTTGTTTCTACTTATGTTCTTTTTCTCTTAGTTATTTCTCCCAAATTGCTGCACCGTCCTCACTACAAAACTTCTCCAAAGTAGCTAGGCTGAGGAGCATACTTTTATTTATCATTATTATTATTATTATCATTATTACTATTGGTCAGAGCCTCACTCTTTCACCCAGGCTGGAGTGCGCTAATGCAATCATGGCTCACTACAACCTGGACCTTCTGGGCTTAAGCAACCCGCCCACCTCTGCCTCTCTAGTTGCTGGGACTATGGGTGCGTGCCACAACACCTGGCTAATTTTCCTATTTTTTAGAGTTGGAGTCTCCCCATGTTGCCCAGGCAGGTCTCAAACTCCTGGCCTCAAGTGATCCTCCCACCCCAGCTTCCCAAAATACTGGGATTACAAGAGCCAGCCACCACATACAGCCCATACTTTCTTTTCTTTTCTTATTTATTTATTTATTTATTTATTTATTTATTTATTTATTTATTTAAAGGTTGTAAGGCTCTGTTGCCCATGCTGGATTGCTGTGGCATGATCATGGCTCACTACAGCCTCAAACTCCTAGGCTCAAGCCATCCTTTTGCCTCAGCCTCTTGAGCAGCTAGCACTACAGGTGCATGCCACCACACCCTATTTTTTTTTTTTAATTTTTTTCTAGAAATGAGGCCTTGCTATGTCACCCAGGCTGGTCTCAAATTCATCGCCTCAAGCAGTCTCCTGCCTCAGCCTCCCAAAGCACTGGGATTAAAAGAGTGAGCCACAACACCAGGCCTTTTACTTTTTAATTGACAAATAATAAATGTACATATTCGTGAGTTACAATGTAATGTTTTGCTATATGTATACAATGTGGAATGATTCAATCAAGTTAATATATCCATCACTCACTCACTTATCATTTTTGTGGTGAGAGCACTTAAAATCTACTCTTCTAGCAATGTATTATTTATTATTAACTGTAGCTATCATGCTGTGTAATAGACCATTATTCTTACTGTATAATTGAATTATTTTACTCTTTGACTAACATCTCCCATTAACTCATCACAGCTATCCTTTTTTTCCAGCCTCTGGCAACCACCATTCTTCTATCAACTTCTATGAGTTTGACTTTTTAGATTCTACAGATAAGCGAGGTGAAGAAGTATTTGTCTTTCTGTGCCTGGCTTATTTCACTTAGAATAATGTCCTCCAGGCTCATCCATGTTGTCACAAATGACAGAATTTCCTTCTTCTTAGAAACTGAATAGGATTTCATTGTGTATGTATGCCACACTCGCTTTTATCCATTCATCCGTTGATAGACACTTAGTTAGGTTGATTCCGTTTCTTGGCTATTGTAAATAATTTTGCATTGAACATAGGAGTGCAGATATCTCTTCCACACAGTGATTTCAATTCCTTTGGTTATATACCCAGAAGTGAGATTTCTGGATCATATGATAATTTTGATTTTTTGAGGAACTCTCATACCTTTTTCTGTAGTGGCTATACTAATTTACATTTTTACTAGTAGCATACAAGGGTTCCATTTTACCACATTCTTATTCTTTTACCAACACTTATTGGCTTTTTGCTAATAGCCATTCTAACAGGTATGAAGTGATATCTCATCGTGGTTTTAATTTGCATTTTCCTGATGCGTTGTTGGTATTGAGCATTTTTTCATGTATCTGCTGGTCATCTGTATGTCTTCTTTTGAGAAATGTTTATTCAGGTCTCTTCCCTGTTTCTTATCTGGGGATTTATTTTCTTTCTATTGAGTTGTTTGAGTTGTTTATATATTTCGGACTTTAGCTGTAGGGCATACTTCTGAAGACATATTTTTAGAAAACCCTGGTTTCTAAGCAGTCCTTTCGGAAAGAAGAAAAATCAGCTCTCAAAATATTTAACCCCTTTCAACCTCCTTCCTGTGAGTTGTGTGCACACATGATTTTATGTTAATAGCAATATAGAAATAAAAACTTTTCTATACTATATGTTTGTTCCAGCTAGGTCAGATTCACAGCAGGAATAATCTTTGATAAAAAATATTTGGTAAGTTATTCTTCTGGGCATCATTGAAAATAAAACTTAAAAATTTACAAGGGATCTTGAAGAAAAATTTTAAAATTGTACACCTTATAGGTCCTTACCCATTAATTAAAAATAATGTATGGTGTTATATCATAGCATTGTAAATTAATAATAAATTATATATCTAATTTATAAAATAGTAGCTAACACTTAAATGTTTAGGATACATCAATGTTTTATGCTATGTTTTATATATAGAGAGAGCATAGCATAGCATATTTCAAATACATCTATTAAACTGTTTGAAAATTACTGATCTACCTTCATATTTTAATGTCAATTAACAGTTTCCTTAGAAACTTAGTTTTTCGGCAAAACTAGTTCTTTTCAGAATTTCTTATTTCTCACTGTGAAAGCAGTGTCAGTTTAATTTCTTTAAGTTTATTTTAAATTTTAAATTAAAGATGAAAATTCTTAAGTGCCATTTCTTTTTCTATTTCTGCAGCGTTTGTCCAATGGTTCTATAGACTCAACCGATGAAACTAGTCAAATAGTTGAACTACAAGAATTGCTTGAAAAGCAAAACTATGAAATGGCCCAGATGAAAGAACGTTTAGCAGCCCTTTCTTCCCGAGTGGGAGAGGTGGAACAGGAAGCAGAGACAGCAAGAAAGGATCTCATTAAAACAGAAGAAATGAACACCAAGTATCAAAGGGACATTAGGGAGGTAAGTGATTCATGCCACTTTCAGTCTTTGATTTCTGAATGCTGCTTCTGAGATACTGTTTCCATAATTTCCCGTAATGACCATACACTTTTTACTTCTCAAAAGACCATACTTTGGCATGCATTATATTAGTTATGAAACTTGTTCAATAGCGCAAACATAGTTTACTTCATGAGCATTTTAAATGCCCATGATATATGGAAAGAAATTTGTGCTATCAAGGGTCAGATATAACAAAGACATTCTGAAGCTGTTAATAAAATTTTTTAAATGTAAGCTTTTAATTTTAAATAACTCTAGATATGTGTATGAATCATGAATTGCTATACTCTTAGCATATAGGAATACTACAAAAATGCCTTAAATTGTTCCATTGCTTATTTTGGTTTTGTGTCATGAAGGGGAATGTATCTCTGTTAATATACATATACACGCATATGTATAACATGACCTTTCTTTGTCTATATATTAAATTCCTGTTAGACATAACATCCCTTTTTCTACTTAAAAAAATGAGTACTTTAGTCATTTCTCAGTCTCTTGGCTAATATCAAGTGAAGAGAGTACTTTAAGTTACTAAAAAAAAATACTAGGAGATGTTTAATTTGTAACACTGTCAAATCATTTTACCTGCTAAGGTGAAAGTTTAGAATCTTTTCACTTTTTCACCTTTTCAGTCACAACTGAAAAGAAAATTATATTTGTGGAAATTGCGTTTTCTGACTTTTTGCCTTTTCCATTTTTACATATTCTTTTAAATGTATTTTTATCTTTTAAAAGTATCTTTTGTATATAACTAGCTAGTTGTTCATCAAGTTGGCCCTATTCTATGTGTCCAATTCTTTTCTTCCCATTCTCTCGTAAGCCAATTGTATCTTACTTTTTCCCTGACTGTTCCACCAAAACTCTTCTCATAAAAGTCATTACTGACCTCCATGTTACTGAATCCAAGGTTCAATTCTCAGTCTTCTGAAGCACTTGATCCATTTTCCAGAGGACTTCTTCACTGGGCTCATAGCACATTATCCTCTTCTGGTTTTCATCCGTATTTACTTGCTTACCTCTTCGAAGGCTCCTTTACTGCTTCTATTTCTCCTCCCCGACCTTGGAGTGTCTTCCCTTCTCTACCTACCTTTATTTCCCTGGTGAATTTCTGCAGTCTCATGGCTCCAAAAGCCACCATCATCTTAGGATTCCCAATTAATATCTCCAACTTGTCCTTCTTTCCTGATTTCCAGATGTTTCTCTCTCAGTCACTAAGGGATATCTCAAAATTAGCACTTCAGACTCTTTTCTTGATATTTTCTCAGCAAACCAGACCCTCCTGCAGTCTTCCTTATCCATTATTATTGTTGCTCAGGCCAACAATCTTGAAGCTGTCCTTAAGATCTCTCCCCTCACACACTTGCTTTGATTCAGCAGTAAATCCTGTTATTTACAATTTCAAAGTATTCATAATGGGACCTCTTCTCAGAATCTTCATGGCTTTTGCTTTTTCTACACAATCACTTTCTCTCACTGGATTATTTCAATGGTCATCTGTTTCCTGGTCTTCCTGCTCATGCGTTCAGCTCACCTCAGTCTGTGCTCAACACAGCAGCTTGAGCAGCCTGCCTATAAGTCAGTTCATGTCACTTTTCTGCTTAAAACTTTTCAGTGACTACCTATTCTACTTACACTATTATCAAAACCCTCACAGTGGTCTACAAGCCATGTACAATCTCTCTACTACCACCTTCCTGACCTCTTGGAGATCATCTACTGTCTCATCCTAACATGCTCTGCTCAACTGGAGTGACCTCTTAAGCAAGCCAGACCTGTTTTGTTACATTTTCTTTTCTCTCTGCCTTTTGTTCAATGTTGTTTTCTCAGTGAAATGTCCCCTGACCTTGTTATTTACACATATACACTCTCCCTCTTCTTTTGTTTGCTTATCCCACAGGACTTTCTATCACCTGACACAATGTATATTTTACTGATATACTTGGTTATCATATGCCTCCCACCCCAACTATTCGTAAACATCTATAAGAGCTAGGGTTTTTTTCTTGTTTTGTTCACTGCTGTCTTCAGAGAACCTGCGCAGCTATTGATTGTATAATAGGCACTCAAAAAATCTTTGCTGAAAGAATAGATATTTATAAGTAAATATCAGAAGGTGTGAATGATATCAGAATATGTACTACGACAATGCCTGAAAGCAAAACAAAACAAAACAAAACAAAAAAAAGAGATAGATGAACCATGAAGTGGTAGACTGCTCCACTGCAGCACAGATAATGATACAACTTTTTATGAATTAATATAATAGTTCATGGATGCATCTCTTCTCTTCACTACTCCCCACAATTCAAACTCAGAGAATTCATAAAGTAAAGGCAGTTTAACCCCTCTTCTGTATCACTGTTAAGGAATTACTAGGATTTCTGGCTATCAAATCACCGGGCTCACTTCTTGGTCTGTTGTTCATTCTCTCCATCTTCATTCTCTTGGCCCTGGAGATTTAGATGATTTCCTTTCATCTTAGTACTCATTGCTCTATTAATGCTTATCTAATCCAGCATCACTTACAGGTAAGGCCCAACATTCAATCCCCATTTTCTAACTGCCTATTTAAAAATAACTCCTTGATACTAATAGCCTCTGAATGTAGGTAACAAAACACCCAGTCAGATGGAAAATGTCACTCCTATGATGCCAGGTGTTCTTTTATTAAGAATCCATTCTAATGGGCAAAACGTTCTCCTTTCATGTGGAATTATTTTAAAATACAACTACTCTTATCAGCCCCATCGTTTCTATGTATATATTTTAGAAGAGTTTCCTGAGAAAGGAATATCTCTCATCATCCACCTTTGAAGGGAGGTTGCAAACACAAATGTTTTCAGAGCCAGGCTGGCAATGGAAAAGTGTAAAGTGCCAGGTGCAAGACTGTAGGAACTGATGGCGTTGATGAAACCTGTGAAATGGCCTACACTCAGCCTGCGTTACTGCATGCATCACTTTTTTTTTTTTGTATACACACACACACACACACACACACACACACACACACACACAGCACTGTGAAAGCTAAATAAACGAATTCTGAAATATTCAGGTCTCAAGACCCAGGCCCATGGTTTATGAAAGATTTTTTAAGGACGAGTCACATGTGAAAACTATTACGGGTGTATTACATGGAAAGTCTCAAATTCCTCACAACTGGCAAAAGGGGCAATGCTAATTATTATCTCCATTTTTCTCAGATGAGACCCACAAGGTTCAGTGAGGTAAAGTAACTTGCCAAAGATCTATGCAGTTCCCTCCTCGGCAGCACGGAAGAGAAATAAGATCAGCATGGCTTCAAAACCTGTGCTTCTTCCACTATGAACTGCTTCCAAAATCAACACAGCACAATAAATAATTCAGTGATAGCAACTATCATAAAATGAAGCTACAACATAACTGTCCTCTAAATAATCAATATTTGGATCTTTTTTTTTCAATAAGCAGGAAGATGTGAAAATCACGTACTTAAAAAACAAATTACTTAGCACTTAAAGCTTTTATTTTCCTGAATAATATTTTTCCGGGTTATGGTCACATAGAGTCAACTGGATTGCAAGTTTCTTTTCCTTTTCTTAATTATTCTTTTAAAATATTATTTATTTATTTTAGAGAAAGAGTCTTGCTCTGTTGTCCAGGCTGAAGTGCAGTAGTGTTTTCAGCTCACTGCAACCTCGAACTCCTAGGCTCAAGCAATCCTCTCACCTCAGCCTTTGGAGTAGCTAAGACTACAGGGCACATGTCACGATGTCTGGAAAATTTTTGTGTTTTTTGTAGAGAAAGGGTCCCACTATGTTGCTTAGGCTGGTCTCAAATTCCTGGTTCAAGGGATCCTCCCACCTCATCCTCCCAGTGGGCTGCAATTATAGGCATAAGCCACGGATTGCAAGTTTCTTAGTAGAAAAAAATAAGCTCGTTTTTCTTGATACTCCTATAGCATTGCTAGCATAGTATGATTTATAAATTGTACAGGTAATAAATGTATGTTGTAATAATTGAGTAAAAATTAGGAAATAAGAAAAAACAACCATATAATAAAAAACAGAAATATAATTTGCTTTGCATGTGAGGACATTCTAAGGTATCTAAAATTAACTATTACTTTGAATAGCAAAAACTGCAATTACTTTTGCACCAATCTAATTTATAAATATGTTCCACTGATGGCTTCAGAATATACTTTTGTAATTTTTCTTTGTCAAAAAAGAAATTATCCAAAATTTAATTTCATTTTACATTTTGTCTTCAAACAAAACTCCTTAAATTGATTTTGATCTAGGAAGAATACGTGAGTTGGATTAAAGCTAGACACAGCACTCAAATTAGAAAAATAGACAATCTCATACAAGTGGATTATCTCTCCAGTTTTTAATCAAAAGGATTATTAATTGTGTATGGATAATGATATATCAAATACATAGCTGTGCCAGTAGCTAAAATTTTCAGTGGAGTATTTTAATTACATTTTGTTTTGTGAATAAAACCATCCTGTATTTCCAACTTCCTATTAACAGTTCTTCAGAATTTCACTATGTGATTAAATGAATTAAATACATCTCAGTGTTGCCTTTTCTGTTATCTGAAACATGTAGTTATATTTTTCACTTTAATAGATCTAAATTACCAGAGAGTTATATTTATTAAATATGAACAAAATCCAATTTATACATGAACTTCAGGTCAAGAGATCATTGAATCTTTATTTTTTCTCATTTTTTTTGTAGGTAGCAAGTTTTAGGGACTAGAAAAAGCTTCCTCTTTCAGAATTTTTCAAATGACAGAGGGAAAAGCTATTTCTCTGACTTGTAAATCCAGTTTATTTTTGGCAACACAGCCTGCAGTTAAAAATTGAATCTCCCACATGAATCACTGAATCAAAAAATGCAGTACCAAAATTACAAAATGCAAAAATTCCTGCATGTAATCTACGTCATAGAGTGAGATCATCTAATTGTGTACATAATAGTAATTAATAATAAATAACAGCTATTATTTATCGAGGGTGTTTTCTGCATGAGACACCATACAAAGCACTTCCTGATTCTTAACAACAATGCTATGTGCTACATATTAGAATCTCAACCCACACAATATATGAAGAAGGTGAAGCACGGAAAAGGTGACCAATACTGATCCCTTATAACAGAGTTAATAAGTGTCCCAAACTAGCATTTGGAGCAAGTATGTACTACTTCAGTGCTCACGTTCTTGAGAAATGTGTGTATATCTTTTATTGACTTTATTGCTGTTAAAATTTAGTAAGAAGTTTATTTACACAGGTTAGCTTTAGACTTTTCTCTTCAGACCACAAAATTTTCCCAGAGTTCTGTTTGCAAATGAAACTGACAGAATACAATATTAAGCACTCTGAAAAGATCCTCTAAGATAAAAACTCTACCATCATTGAGATAAAAAATATGTAAAGTAGAAAAAGTCAAAAGTGAAAATAAATAGCTTTTTAAATAGTAGGCATTATTTAGGATATCTAAAATCTAGGAGTATGTATATAATATTTCTTAAAAATTAGTCTGGCTATTTTTTGCTGAATTCATAGATTAAATTTAATTTTTTATGTTTGCACTTTAATGTCAACATAATTAATCAAGTAGCTTTTGACTGGGTCTTGGTGGTCAGTAGGATTGAGCTAGACAAAGAAGACAGCACACATTCCAGGTAGACATGATGTCAGAGTGCATTAGTTTTGTAAACCTGCCATAACAAATTGCCACCAACTGGGTGGCTTAAAACAACCATAATTTAGTCACTCACTGTTTTGGAGGCTTTAAGTCTGAAATCAATGTTTCAGCAGGGCCATATTCTCTCTGAAGGCTCTAGTGAGATTTCTTCTTCCCCCCTTCTAGCTTCTAATGGTTACTGGGAGTCATTGGCATTCTTGGCTGGTAGCAGTACAACTCCGTATAACGCAATTCTCTGACTGACTTCCTCCTTCTTCCCGGTATATCTCTGTGTCCCCAAATCCCCTCCTTGTAAAAACACCAGTCATTGGATTTAGGGCCTATCCTAATCCTGTGTGACCTCATCTTAACTTGATTATGTCAACAAAATCTTATTTGCACATAAGGTCACATTCACAGGTTCAGAGTGGACACGAATTTTGGGGGGATGTTATTAGCCCCAGTACACTGAAGTAAGGAAGTATCAGGTCACAAAACCACTTTTATTCCAGGCTTTGTAGCTCAGATTTTACCCTGAAGATGGAGGGGAAGAAATAAAAGTATTGAAACCAAGAAGCAATATGATCATTTAGAAATATCTCTCAGGCAGCAGCGTGGAGGAAAAGTAAGGAGAATAAAAGACAAAAAATACAAGAGAGAGAGCTAACTTGTGGGTGGGCAGGAGACTAGGGACAACATGATGAGTTTCATGGTGGATCTATTCCTTTTTCTTTTTTTTTTTTTCTTGAAATGGAGTCTTGCCCTGTGGCCCAGGCTGGAGTGCAGTGGTGCGATCTCGGCTCACTGCAACCTCCACCTCCCAGGTTCAAGCGATTCTCAGGCCTCGGCCTCTCTGAGTAGCTGGGATTACAGGCATGAGCCATGATGCCCAGCTAAGTTTTTTGTATTTTTAGTAGAGACGGGATTTCACCATGTTAGCCAGGCAGGCTGGTCTCGAACTCCTGACCTCAAGAGATCTGCCCACCTTGGCCTCCCAAAATGCTGGGATTACAGGTGTGAGCCATCGCCTCTGGCTGATCTATTACTTTTTAATTAATTTTAATTTTTTATATATACAAAAATTCTCAAAGTCAAATAATGGCACGTATAAATATGGTACATGTATAAACACACACAGCATCTCACTTCAAGTTTTCATCCCATTTCCCTGAAATTCTTAATTTCAACCCTTTTATCCACTACTTCTGGTATTTTCTCTCTTTATTTAAACAAAATTTATGTCTTGCTATTATATTAGATTAGGACATTACCTATTTTATTTCTTATTTTACTTTTTATTCAACCTATCTTTTCATTAGAGTTATCATCTGAAAAAAAAAAGAAAGAAAATTGGAAGAAAGGCTGTCTGTTTATCTGATTATTATATGTGACAGGACTGGCTCTGGACCCTGTAGGAGAGTGACAAAGGCACTGATTAAGAATAAGTGATGAAATGATTCTGGATAATAAGATATGGAAACTATAGCCATTTCCTCAATTCCAGGATCCTTATACAAAGAAGCTTCCCACATTCTCAGGAAACAATTCCAGGCCAATGAGCCTCACTTCTGCACTTGATTTTCACCCAACATCTTGTCAATAAAGTAGGTTATCTAACTACCAATAAATTTCCATGTAAGCTGTGAGGTAAAATTATCTCCATATTACTATCTATAAATTCTATTATTTAAAAATTACTGTTTAAAATATTATCAATGCCATGATTTTCTCCACTTGAACTTGATTTTTTCCTATATTTATGTGTTCATGGACTTCTTTAAAATCTTATGTAATTGAAACATATATAACTAGGTAAATGGCTAAGTTTCTAAGTCAGCTGGTAAACTTATAAATAAGATCCAAATGTACTATTTTTTTTTTTGGCCTGGCCTTTTAACCACAGAGTTCCTCTTTCTTAATGTAAAGGTAAGAATACGGATGGTATTTGTTATCTATTTGAAGACTGCTTTACAATTTAGAACTGTAGCCACCATTTTAACAATTTTATGATTTGCAACTCTACTCATTATTGTACTTAATTTTACTGCATAATGAACTAATTTATCTGCCACTTGTCTTACAAGAATGCCAATTCTACAGTAGAGAGTTTCAAAAGCTACTCCATTGCATTCTTAGACAGCAGAAAGCTTTTGGTTAACCGAAGATACAAAAATAATTCTGATAGCTAAGTTGGGAACATGCACCTGCAATCTCACATTCGTTCAATGAAAAGAAAGGAATGAGTATTTACTTCAAGAATGCAATAGTTTTTATGTTTCTTTTTTATTTAACTAACAAGACAATAATTAAACAATCTGAGAATCTGATTTGCTTTTTCTAAATTATTTTAATTGTAGGCCATGGCACAAAAGGAAGATATGGAAGAAAGAATTACAACCCTTGAAAAGCGTTACCTCAGTGCTCAGAGAGAATCTACCTCCATACATGACATGAATGATAAACTAGAAAATGAGTTAGCAAATAAAGAAGCTATCCTGCGGCAGGTTCAGTATCTCTGTCTTGGTTTTCTTCTGGTCTGTGCGTTCTCATCATTCTCACAAAACGGAGTAAATAAAATAGGGTACTTCTTGACAGATGTTTGAGTAATCATTCTCTAAAATTTGAAATTCTCTAGCAAAACAAATACGATTTTCAGTGTGAAATTTACTTTCCAGAAAGATAAATTATTTATCTTAATAGTAATACAAATAATGACTCTGATTTACTTTTCATATAGGCATGAGCCAGAATCTGTGCTAAACAGTTTTCATGTATTACCTCACTTAATTCTAACCACCACCTATGAAGTAGGTGGCGTTATTGTAGTAAAGACACTACAGTTCAGAGACAGTCAGACTTTCCCAAGATCATACATCTGCTAAACACCAGAGCCAATAATGGAATACTAAGTTTATTGGGCTCTAGAGCAGAAACAGGCAAACTATAGCCGTGGGCCAAAGCTGGTTGGTTGCCTGCTCTTGTTAATAAAGTCTTATTGGAACACAGCCATGCCCAATCATTTAATCATTGTCTATGACTGTTTTTGTGCTACAACGCAGTTGAGTATTTGGGATTGAGGCCATATGATACAGGAGGCCTAACATTTTTACTATCTGACCTGTTACAGAAAATGTTTGTCAACCTTATCTCTAGAGCCTGGATCATCATGCTACATTACCTCTCCAACTCCAGTCTAAATACCATGATTTTCAATATTTTGCTACGGTGGTATATCTGATGTCTTAGTACTGAGCTATATTCCCTTTGTTAAAATGTATACTCATGAGTAATTTCTTTCCTTTTTGCTGCCAGTGGTAAGAGCTTCTTCATTGTTTTAATGTGCTGAAATGTATGAAGGAAACAGATAAGCAATATATGATAACAAGACAACAATCAACACTTTGCACATTTAGGTGTGGTAGTGGCTGATTTAAATCTAGAATCATGGCTGAAGTGCAAAGCCCCTGGCGACTGGTGTTTGCTATCCAAACTCTGACTCTTTAAGTGTCTCTGCTCCCATTCCCATTTCAGATGGAAGAGAAAAACAGACAGTTACAAGAACGTCTTGAGCTAGCTGAACAAAAGTTGCAGCAGACCATGAGAAAGGCTGAAACCTTGCCTGAAGTAGAGGCTGAACTGGCTCAGAGAATTGCAGCCCTAACCAAGGTACTGCACTAGAACAACTGGTCAACCTAGATATATTTGTAGAAAGGACTTGTAATCAAAATGGAATGTGTAAAGATTTTCTATAGGCTTTATGAAAATTAAGTTTAATCTCTATTATATTGAGCTGTTATTAAGTCAATTTTTTTCTTGTCATACATATTTATGCCAGCAGGAATAATTGTTATACAAATGTGATGATCCCCCTGCCTATTTAAACATTAACAAAACAAGTAAAATTTCATGTCATTGTTATAGTTAATTTTCCATGGTAATATTTGTATAATAATCCTGGAGATAAACAAAAAAGATAATGTTATATGAGACATAACAATTTAACAGGCTTCACATCAATTGCTATTAGAAGTATAGAGAATATCATAACTTCTTGATTCCTCTCCAACTACAGTATAAAACTTGTTAGAAGTGGGAAGTTAGACTTATAAAAGTCTGAGGTCTAAAACAATTAAAAATCAGAAAGCAGTTTTATAGTTGTAATTTCATCTGAAAATTAAAATCAATAATACGCTGAAGAGTGTTCAAAATTTTCTGTATAATATGGCCAGTAGATTCTGCAACTATCTGAATATTTTAGAATTTTACAAGCATTATAATGTTAAAAAGAACTATTCTGACCTCTGACAATCAAACGGAAATGGCATCATTTCAAAGTGTATGTATATGTCACAAGTTATATAAAACTACATTTTGTCACTAAAAGCATGTTTGACATTTAATATGAATTCAAAAATAATCACACAATTTATATTTTTATACAATCATTAATATTTGCTAAGTTTTCAAGGCCACTACAATAAGTGAGTATGATAGGTATCTGGACTTCAAGTTTAAAATTACGGGATTAGGATTTACCCAAAATAATTGATGCAGCAATGAAGTAGACACACACATCTGATTTTCTAAAAAAGCAAATAATTAAAAATGAACAGTGGACTGATCTTCCTGTTGGTTAAAATAGGACAATTAACCAGGTAATGAAAGACAAACCTTTGACTGCGTAGAGCAGGATTAGAGAGCATTTAAATAGTTGCTTGTTTACAGAGTGTTGGAGTAACTAGTTGGATAAAACTGATTAAGATGGGATTATAATTTGGATCGTTCTGTAGTCACAAACCATGCCAGTAAACCACTCTGGCAATTTCAGGAATATGTGATTTCTAAGATAAAGATTAATTTATCATTTAATTTGAAAAAATATTTAAACATGTTCATATTATTTCATTTTTTCTTGCAAACACAGATCTTAAATGACTATAACCTAGACTAAGATATGCATAATTAGGCCTTTCATCTAAAGAACATAAAGGACTTTCAAAAAGAGTTATCTTTTTCAATTGCACTGTTTTGGGGGGTTAGATGAGTTACTGAATAAGAAAAATAACTTTTGTAAAATTGTAGCTTAAAATAATTATCAATATTATCTTGACTAAAACACAAGAAAATCTGCAATTTCCCCCAAGTAACACAATTTACAATTCAGAAAATCACTGCCCCACATTAACCTTTGATAGACTGAGAATAAAAACAATTTAAAATATAATATTTGACATAAAAAACACTATATTAAATACTCCCAAGAATTATTGATTTAGAATATATAAAAATAACTGGAATTAGGTGCCTTATATTTTTTCCTCTTATCTTGTCTAGTCTGTTAAGTTGATATATATATATCTTGGGCACAATATTACCTTGGGCACAAAAAATAGCTCCCCTCAGCTTTCTCCTCCCTTTACTGTCCCTGAACCTCTTTGATTTCATTTTTCAGAAAATTGGAATTCTTCCAAAAAGTCTTCAAATGCTCTGATTCACTCTCCTTTTTATCACTTTCTCTTCTGACTGGTGCTTTGTCAACAACATATTTTAAATATATACTTTTTATATTATGACCATATTTTATTCATTATGAAAGCTCCTTAAGTACTGAGATTTTATCCTGAACACATTCCTTTTGCCTGTCATTTTTTTTTTTTAAACATTTGAGGATCACTCTTTCATTCCTTTTCCCAAGTTTTGTGGTTTCAACAGCCTTGTACTTTTTCTTGTACTCTGTTCTCAAGACCTTTAGGGTCTATTTTTATATCTGTTTTTTTTTTTTTTTTCTGTTTCAATTTGTTTCTGATATTTCCTTATTATGGATCATCATAGTCTTTTTCTGTTCATTAACCTTTTGACTACTCACTAAAGTAAAAATATTTCTTCTTAGCTTAAACATGGGTTCCTCCTCCTATATTTTGAATGATATTCTTAATAACCCCTCAGACATTTTATTTCACCAATATACGTTTTTCTACTTTACTGTCACCTTTTTTTCTTCTTTTTTCTAGGTCTTTCTCTTTAAATTTAATTTCTTCTCCCTTTCTGAGGTTATTCATGTTCTCAAAACCATTTCTGCCTGTAGTTCATCCTAAAACTTTAGTATATTTTAAATTTTCCTATATCATATTAAGGAGTGAAACTAAGATAAACAGTTTTTCACCAAGGAGTATAAAAAATAGCAGACTGTTTCTGTGTGATCTTTGTATTTACAACAATTGCTAAAACTATAGTTTTCACATAGAATGCAAATCAGTAGTGTTGGTTGAAAATTGGTCCCAGTATATATTATTTAGATGGGATGTCTGAATGCATTCTTTGGTTGATAAACTATTTTTCTCCTTCTAATGTGTTTGTGTGTGTGTGTGTGTTTGTGTGTGTGTGTGTGTTTGTGTGTGTGTGTGTATAGGCAAAGCTTATTTATGTCTTTTAGAAAGTCAGAATGATTGATTAATGGTTATGGATACAACTAAAAGTTTTGCTTTGGCGAGTTTATACGCAATTAACCAATAAAGATTACTTTGGGCTCCCAGTCTTATGATTTATAATATCTACTTTTTAATTAAAATGCATATTCCTTTAGCAAGGACATAATTCATCTTGAATGAGGTATTTTATTTATTTCTAGTACCAATAAAATGTATCAGCAATAATAGGAATTTAAACAGGACCAAATTCTTTTTTTTTCTCTGAAGGGAATTTTCACAATTTTGGTGTTTTGTGTGTTTTTTCTTTTTAAGTTTGATGTGTTTTTAATAAGTAAACAGAAACAACTAGAAGTTTTAAAGACCTCTAAAAACTTGTATTTTTGAAGACACAGTTTTGGCAGCTGAAATATTCATGTCTCAAGTGTCTTGAGTCAGTCACCTAATTAATTTAAACACTACTAACTGCATGTTAAAATGTAATTTTGAAGGATCACAGATATCTTTATGAATTTAGATTATATAATTTCAACAACATTTTGATCCACTTACTCTAAAATTTAAATAATATTATTTAAATTTTTATTTTTAATAAAATATATTTTTAAATAATATTATTTAAAAAATTATGGCATTTGGGGACCATGGTAACTCTGTATAGCTTCTAAATTGGAAATTTGAGGACGACTTGGAGGAAAGGAATTGGTTATCATGTCTTTATTATCTTCCACATTTATAAAATAAGAATATCAGAAGGAAAGCCTTACAAAATGTAAATGTTGAATTGTAGTTTGCATAAGCACACCAGAATTGAAATGTTAAATGTTTGCTTTCATAGATTAAATTTGAATTTATTGCATAAAATAGTATATATGCATCTGAATCAAATGAATAGGTTACTATTTCTTTTCAGTTACTGCATGACATATTTATATATAGTTCTATATTGGCATAAAGTGAGTTTCACTGTTTTAGAATGAGCTTATAAAATGTGACAGAATATGCTGTGGAGTTAAATTTGTAGTCCTGACATAGAGTCCTTTAAATGTAATAATTACTTAACTTGCAATGATTAAAATGTTGATATAACTTCATATGTAATCCTTGCATAACATACTAACAATTTTGCTATCAGCAATGTCACATGTGTTGAACACTCTGCACCTGTGGTAACCTGACGGTCACCTCCAAGACATGTATCTAACCTTGGCACTGGGCAAACATGAGCTTACAAGGAAACTGTGCTGCCTATTCACTTTAGGCACTATTTTGTTTCCACAGCAACAAATCAATGCAGGAACAGTTTGGGATTGGCCCCTAATGTCATTTAGGAGAGTCACAAACAAGATTTCTTGTTCTCACAGCATTGTTGTCAATTGATAATTTGAGGACTTTCAATCATTTTCATTTAAAATTTCTAATTAAACCTATCTGAGAGTAAGCCATTAAATTCTAGACCAATATCTGAGAGTGGACCGTTAGACCAATATTTGAGACCAAGTATCTGAGAGTAGGCCATTAGATTCTAGACCAATGACCATAGTGTGCATTCAGAGACCAGAAGTCATTTCATAAGTTTTCCTGTTGCTGAGGAAACTCAATCTTGCTTGAATTGGGGACTACTCACAATAACCCCCAGGCTTAGTTTTTTTATCTTTTTTTCTACAGAGCAAGGTTTAGAATAAATTTTGTTCCAAATTAATTACACCTGAGTCATTGTCTAGCATTTTCCTCAACATTGTGAAACTACTGTTTCCATTATTTTTAAGTAATATAGACAAACAAACCCTAATACAAACTTTTAACAATCTATCAGAGACATATTCTGGTGTTTGGTTTCCCATAATTCCAATTATTATATAACTCTTTCAGAGTTGCTTTATTCATTCTGTAGTAGTCTTTCATTGCCAGCCATCACTAACCTTTCATATCTTAGGTTGATAGCTTTTTATTTTAGTATATTATTGTTTTTTATTTAAAACCATCAACTGCATCGTGTTCACCAAATATCAATGTAGTTCTTTCCACATAAAATTCTGTCTATTAAAGTATTAAATTTGCTGTCACACTTTTCTTTTAAGCATTCTGTGCTATGTTCTGTTTGGTGTCAGTGTCTTTAGTTCTGATTTTTCAATTTTGTCCCTCTCCTTTTCCTTGACTCGTTAGTCTGATCCAACCTCTTCTACCTCATCTGATGATTATCAATATGTTATGGAAGCTAAACTACAAGAAATGATCTCCATACGTAGGAAGGTAGTCCTACTGGACTTTACTTTCTATTGCTAAATAGAATCCATCTAAGTTTTTCTTTTCATTTATAAAAATTATGTTACTTTTATTTATTGATAATCAACCATCTGTGCAGTTCAGTGCTTCAGGAGCTTAAGATTGGACAATGGCAGGTTTGTGTTCAAACCATGCACAGTCTGCATGTTACATTTGGCTGATTTCATTGCTCATAAATAACTCCAATGTTTTGCTGATGCTTGGATGTAACAGGCCTTTGTAGCTGACACATTTCAAGCAATGCTGTTCAGCTGCCTGTTTGAAGAAAGTTTATTTTTTAAAAACTATGTTTGCAGTTGGTAGTAGCTTGCTTTACATTTTATTTCAATTTATTTAGAGGAAAAGTGTTAACCAAATCTTACATTTCAGGTGTATTCTTCATATTTCTTAACAGGCTGAAGAGAGACATGGAAATATTGAAGAACGTATGAGACATTTAGAGGGTCAACTTGAAGAGAAGAATCAAGAACTTCAAAGAGTATGTATATTAAGAACTATTACCCCCCAATCATTGGTTTATGAATTCGTATTCTGTATATAAGAAGAAAGCCTTTAACTGAGTATGGGTTATATTTAAAACTTACAAATATGACCTGTTGACTTGAATAAAATGTTTCCACCACTTTAATCAAAACAGATGTAAAATTAAATTCAATTTAAAACTAGCAACACTATAAAAATAATCTCAAACAGTTTTTGAATGGATTTTTATGTCATTTTTTAAAATGTAAGGCTAGGCAAAGAGAGAAAATGAATGAGGAGCATAACAAGAGATTATCGGATACGGTTGATAGACTTCTGACTGAATCCAATGAACGCCTACAACTACACTTAAAGGAAAGAATGGCTGCTCTAGAAGAAAAGGTAAAACGATAGAAGGGTAAAATCACATGAATATTTTGCAATGCTCATGTTTGTTTTATATACAGCTGCAATCATTGTAATGGTCAGATGATCCATTTACTTAGTTTTTAAAAATGCCTGGTATATTCTTAGAAAGGAATGCATATTTTTTATTTAAAAAAGTGTAAGATCAAATTTGGGATGAATAAAAAATTTGCATGATATATAAATCTTTTATATTCACATGTTCATATGAGGCAAATGTATTAAAATATGCTGTGCTTTTATGATGAAAATATTTTATATATCCTTTGCCTGGTATGCAAAATAGAAAAGTGATGAGACACAAGTCAATACTTTTTTGGGGGGAAGGTGATTTGAAATATTCACGTGTCAAGTGACTGATACCTACACACCAGTCTAAAAGTCAAAATGTAAGTGAGTTTATATCATCAAAAGAACTAGTATCAATCCCAGTAGAGGGTTTAGGAACCCAGTATTTTCAGCTGCATTATTTCAGAAATAGTGCTTCTGTACAGTCTGCAATGTGATTTACAGTTATATATGTCTCATTGATAGTTGGCAGCTACCAGACCAGCAAGAGTTATGAGAGCTGGTTACCAATTCCAGAGCATAAATTAAGGTAGGGTATAAAACCCGGATGATCACATCATTTTAGAAATCTAGATTGAATGCCAATCACTATTTTAGCTAGACATTTTCCATTAGTACATAAAATAAACCAAAATAGGGAAAATGTTTTGACAAAAAGTTAGTTTGATTAATTTACCCATTAGAAAGTAATAAGACATGACTTCCTCTCATACAACTTCAAATACATGGCCCCTATGCAATTACTACACTCTTAGTTTAATTTTATTCTATAACTTTGAAAAAGAATACATTATTTTAAATAATGTCTTATAGTACTTGTGTGTTTTGTAGAAAAATAAATAATTTTTAACAACAAAAATAATTTTCTGGCAAGGTTTATTTTAAGTATCTATGATGCCAACTTATTTCCACTGACTTTGTGACATGTAATATTAGGTTTCTGAATAGCTAGAGTTTGTTATTTCTCTAATAATTTAAGTATCATTATAAATTGTTAATTCCACATTGCAGTAGATGTCCAGAAAGTGAAATTTTAAAAAATATGATTTCATGATTTCTTCTTTCTTCAGACAATAGAAGTGAGTTCTTCTGAATTTTTTATAACACCTCTAAGATTTAGCTTGTTGCTCACTTTTTCTTACTTGAAGAATAACCAATAGTTTCTGATTTAAAATGTGGTCTGAGAAAAGGCAAACAGAAGTAGCTTAAAATGCAATATTTATTTCATTTGTTCATTCAAGTGTTACAAAATAGCATTTCCCATTTAAATTATGTATTTTTTAAATGTGAAGGTCTCACATTTGAAAATTTCATCAAAGCATGGTTTCCATGGAAACCAAGAAATACCTGAACTAAGGAAGGAATCTAAGAGGATTCTTGAGTGATAAGATATTAATCAATATATTTTTAAGTATTTTATGTTTAATTTATTAATTATTTCTGCTATTTTCTTTTCTTTAGAATGTTTTAATTCAAGAATCAGAAACTTTCAGAAAGAATCTTGAAGAATCTTTACATGATAAGGTATAATGGAAACTTATGTTTTGGGCCCATTTTCTATTTTTATTTTCTATTCCACTGATGAATGTTTTGTTGTAAAATAAATTTGAAAAAATAATTTTAGTATGCTATCTTTGTAAAACAATTTTAACTTTTTAGAATATGTGCAGAAAAGCGTACATAGAGAGGAAGAGCTTCATGAATCTTTGTAACCCAAATTCACCAAAAATTAGCACTTCAGAAACTCCCCCCAAATTAGTCTATACTCATACTCTTCCATTAAAGGATAATCACTATCTTGACTTATAACATTAAAAAATGGTTTTGCCTTGCTTTATGCCTTATATAAATAGAATTAAAATATATGCGCTAATTTATGTCAGTTTTAGATATTCTTTCAGCAGAAATACATTAAATACTATTATAAATAGAATTATGCTAAGTTATATATGTCCAAACATAATCCTAGTTCCAAAGGAGCTAAAAAAATCTAACTGAGGAGAGAGAACACAGCCCTTACAAACCAATGAGGATGCAGGGTAGCAGATGCCAAATGCCAAATTAGTGAAGTAGGCAGTAAGAGCTACAGGTAGGAAAGACCATGATATATTGCTGCTGTGAAGAAGACTTCAGGAAGGAGGGACTTGACTGAAGATTTAAGGGAAAGTAGGACTCTGACCCCAGGCTTTCAAACATAGTGCATGTGGCATGATCACAGGTGCTTGGTGGGGTGAGGGGATGGGTAATGAGTGTGACATTTTAAATAATAGGCACAACTATTTGGCTGGAATCAATTATTCCTGTTGTAGGGTATGTGGTAGAAGAGGAAACTAAGGGCAGATTGTGAAATTTTAATGGTAATTGCTAATAGTATTTTCCTTCTTCATTAGCCTTTAAAGTTATTGTTAGCAATTTTATCTTATTTTTTTAAAGAAGAAAGGATTGCTAACTTAAGAAGTGATCTATAACTGTATGTTGAGAAAAGATAGAAGAAATGGAGAGAGAGAAGGAAGGGAAAAAGAGAATGAAGGAAAGAAGGGAGAGGGGGAAGAAAGAAGGGAGGGAAGGGAAGGGAAGGAAAGGGAAGAGGGAGGGAGGGAAGGAAGGAAGGAAGGAAGGAAGGAAGGAAGGAAGGAAGGAAGGAAGGGAGGGAGGGAGGGAGGGAGGGATAGTATGGGATATAGAAGGTATTGGAAAAGATGAAGAATAGAGGAAAGAGAACAATTATACATTTAACCCTACTGGATGCTGCATATTATGAAGCAATTAAAAATAACTAATTCTACAGTCAAGGTGTCCACAATCTCCTGAAAGATAGGTCTTTAGAACAATGTAATGTGGGGCCTAGAATATAGTATCTGATTCTTTCTGAGGTAGTTCACAAAAACAACACAGAGATTACATTTTTAGTAGCCTCTTAAAGACATATATGATCTTCATAAAGGTAGAGCATTCTAAGTAGAGGATGAATCCTCTGCAACGGCACAAAGAAAATCAAGATGATTGATTTGATGAATCATCAGAAGTTTACTGTGACTGGTATGTATTTAAAGAAGTAGTTTTTGAGCAGATTGTGAATTTTGGACGTGATGCTGTTATGCATGTTATGTTATCCAAAGCTCTGTGTGCTCCTGGCAATATCCCCAGAACCCACTCCCCCACCACCTACCAAAGCCTTGTAACTCCAACAATCTGCCTAAGCAACCAAGAGTACTAATCATGCCATGCTTTGCATCCTTGCTTATGTCAGTCTCCAGAGAGAGTAAATCCCAGATCATATCTCATGTCTGAACTATCATCCCATTTAGATGGGCACATTCACTAATCTGACCACATCTTCTATAATTCCTCAAATTTCCACTAAACTAACTGTACTCACAGTCCATTATCAGCAAAACCCTCTGTAGGCTCAAACTCTTTTCTCAGTGTTTCCCTTTCCATCTTTATCTCTACAATTTGAAGTTTCTAGGTAGCTTTCCTTTCTTCTCTCTGATTCACCCCTAGTGACTTCATCTGATCTCCTGGATTTAAACACCATCTATAAATTGAGCACATCCAAATTTAGATTACCTACTGGGTCCTCTTCCCTGAGAGAGTTTATATATTCTATTGCCAACTCAATATCTCCATTTGGACACCTAGGTACCTCAAATGTAACATGCCAGTCTATTCTCACCCCACTCCCACACATCAAACACCACCACCATCTAACCTAACACACCAGCAGTCTTCTCAGTCAATCATAATTACAATTTCTTTCTTTCTTTCAGTTACTCAGGCTAAAAAACTTGGACTTAGTCTTGACCCCTATGTTTGTTTCATATCCCACATCTAGTCCAATATCAAATCCTCTTATTTCTACTCTCACGATATAGCCAAAATATAGCCACTCTTACCCTAACACCATTCTTGTCCAAACCATTACTCTCTTGCCTCAAAATTTCCTCTCTTTTCTGACTCCCAATTCAACT
Source organism: Homo sapiens (assembly GCF_000001405.40). Classification (NCBI taxonomy): domain Eukaryota; kingdom Metazoa; phylum Chordata; class Mammalia; order Primates; family Hominidae; genus Homo; species Homo sapiens. Next base: position 81,364,660 of record NC_000012.12, on the reverse strand, counting down.
TGACAATCTATTTCACAGCCATTAGAATGATCATGCCACTTCTCTGCTAGAAAATCCAGGAAACATAGCAAGACCCCATCTTTACAAAAATAAAAATTAAAAACAAATTAGCCAGGTGCAGTGGTGCACACCTGTAGTCCTCCTAACTACTTGGAAGGCAGAGGCAAGAGGATTACTTGAGCCCTGGAGTTCAAGACTGCAATGAACTGTGATCACAGAACTGCACTCCAGTTTCAGTGGCAAAGTGAGACCCTGTCTTTAAATAAATAAATACATAAATAAAATAATTTTTTAAAATCCTTCAATTGTTGCCTATCTCATGCAGAGTAAAAGCCAGAGTTTGAAGTGGTTTACAACCTCTTTTAGGACTACCATTCCTGAGTTCTGCAATCATACTTTTAAAAAGTATCCTCTATTTGTCAATTTAACCTCTGCAATCCAGCCACACTGGACTCCTTACCCTCTACTCCATTTCCACTAAGAGGCGTATGCACGTGTTGTTGCTTTTATCTGCCATGCCTTTTCCTAAGAGTCTCATTTTTTAATTTCTCCTTTATTTAGGTCATTGTCCAAGTATCACTTTATTGAAAAACCCTTCCATGACTCCCCTGTTTTCTCCTTTCTAACAACATGCTATATTTCTATATTACTACTTGTTTATTATTCATCTTTTCTACTAAATTCTAAATTGCATGAGGGCAAGACATTTGTCAGCTCACTACTGTATCTCAGGTGCCTGACACACAAGAGGTACTCAGCGCACTTTTGTGAAAATAATGAACAAAGATATTTACAAATCAATAAGAAACTATTGAACATTTTAAAGCAACACATTAGTTTATTGTACATGTGTTTTGAAATTATATGTCTAGCAGAGAAATGTGTAGGAAAGAGACTGAAGCTGGTAAAAATCATTCAGGAAAAAGATAAAAAGGGCTTAGAGTAGGATGGTAGTGACGTAGTGAGAATAAAAAGAACAGAAAAGAGAAACATTGCAAAGGCCACATTAACAAAAAAAAATGTGGTGAGAAAAGTTTGAGTAAAGTAAAATATCAAGCACTGGCCACTGGGAAGGGGAAAAACAGTAATAGAAAAATCTAGAATGATACATTTAGACCTGTAAAACAATATAACAGTTATAATCATTAAAACCAAATTGAATGCTTACATGAGCAGTTAATTAAAGCTCTAAGACAACCCCTATCTTCATAAATTTATAGACCAGAAAATGCCAATTTGAGAAAATTATAATTAAGTACAAATAATGGTGACAATATCAAGCTAATTGGTTATTAACTTTACTTTTTAAGGTGCACTCCAGCCTCAGTGACAGAGTGAGGCCCTGTCTTTAAATAAATAAATAAATTAATTAATTAATTAATATTTTTTAAAAAAATCCTCCAATTGTTGCCTATCTCATGCAGAGTAAAAGCCAGAGGGTTTACTTTCCTTTTTCTTTCAATCCAATCATCTTTTTCCTTCACCCATATGTCCTTTAACCCTCATAGAATAATGAAAGTTCTTCATTTACTGCATAAATAAGACATTTTCTTTATTTTCAAAACTGCATATGATTTCTACTCTGCATTTTTAAGTGACATCTACATAGCTAGTCATAATTTTAATATTCCCACGAATTTTCAAATATTCAGGATTAGTGAATGCCAGAGATTGTAGATAAATTTTTATTAATTTCTGCTATCCACATTTTTTATTACAAGGGGAAAATTTTGGCGTGCTTTATTATTATGTGTAATAACCTTTAATAAAAATATATCCTCAGTTTTTCCTTTTTAAAAAAAATCATTAAGACTCATTTATCATAATTGCTTGCTGATATTACTGGCATCTGAGTAACACTGTTTTGATTTTTTAGGAAAGATTAGCAGAAGAAATTGAAAAGCTGAGATCTGAACTTGACCAATTGAAAATGAGAACTGGCTCTTTAATTGAACCCACAATACCAAGGTAACATTAAACTAAAAGCTTATCTATAATTCACTGAAAATCAACATGAATTCCCTTATGGTTTCATATGTCCTCAACTAAAATAAATCAGTACTTCCTATTGCTCACTAGTCATTATCATGTTTTGACTCTTCACTGATTTGCAGTTTTTACATTCAAAAATAACTTTTTAACTTAGAGATTATTTCTGTAGATAATCAATAAAAAATTAAAATGTTAACTTTTGTATTCTGCATTTCATTATATATATAAATATATTAAAAGATTCTTAATTGAAGAAATTGAACTGTGTACAGGGAGATTGCATCTCATTCAAGAAGAGGCGTCAGCCCTTCTCTTTATATGTGTTCAATACAGAAATTGAATTCGACATAAAATTTTCTATATGTGTTCAGTGTAGAAACATGCAGAAATATGTTCAATGCTTATGTGACTAAACAAATATTATTGATTATGGTCACTTAGCATCTACCTATTTCGGTAAAGTAATTGCAAAAAAAAAAAAGAGGAAAAGAGAAATGAATCAGATAAAAGAAAAGAAAACAAAAACTTCAAATAAATTTAGCCATACTCATCTACTTTGATTCACTATCTCATCTTAAGAAAAAGAAGCAATGGATGGCAGCTTACTTGATAGATCATAGATAGATAGATAGATAGATAGATAGATAGATAGATAGATAGATACATAGATACATAGATAGATACATAGATAGATCTATATGTTAATAATTCACACATAATTTCCTTTTGTGTTTGAGATGTTTTATTTAAAGTTGTTAGAAACCCTAGAAGGACACACTCATTTAGTCACTTATTTACTAGGCAACACAGAATAATAGCAGCCGTTTGAAACTTTCCACTACCATAGGCTTTTAGTAGAAGTTCATCTTTCTTGGTGTTATGTTCATCTTTAGAAAGTTAACTCCACCAGAGGATGGGTTTGTATTTGTTTTGATAACTACCATAATCTCAACACCTAAAAAACTATCTTGCATATAGTATGCTCTCAAGATATATTATAGAATGAATAAATGAATATCTGGTAAAGCATTTTTCAGATTCTCAAATAAAAATTCAAATTGAAAAAATCCTGAAGTGTCTTAAATTCTTTTCAATATAAATGTAAGGAAAAACAATATTTGATATTTTAAGTACTTCCATACTCAATTGAATATGAGAAAAAGTTCGGCAGGCATAAAAACACTCAAAGAACTTTTACATATGTAAGTCATTAATTGAGAAAATCGTTCTTATTTTTCACATTTTTAAGATTCTGATTTTTACATGTGAACTGAAATTATTATTTCAATGTTATGTGTTCACATGGTTATGATGATTATAATGAGGATGGTGGAGAAGGAGAAGGAGAAGAACTGGTAAAATATCAGGGGAGTCAATGCATAGAATAAGCATTATCAAATCAATAGATTAAATATATTTGATTAAGAATAAATGGCCATTTCCTTGTTTTTTTGACCTTATGTCTCAAAATACAGAGTTTCAAAGTGTTGTCTAAAAGTCTATCACTGCACTGAGTCATTATGGGCAGCCTAACAATGTGACATTTATCTACAATGAAGGATGATTTGGCCTATATAGAACAATTATTCTTTGATCAACAGATTGTAGTGGAAGGAACCCTAGACCAAGAATAAGACAATCCACATTCCTAGGACTCACAGATAATTACAAGCTGCTTCATTTTGGAAACCTGTTTTCCTTAATAACATTCTAAATAAATACATATTTGTACCTAAATATGCATAAATGATATTTTTCTGATTATATCACAGGCTTGGTTTGCAGATAAAATAAGACAAGCAGTAGGGATTATATGTATAGTAAATCATATCACAAGTATAAAGTATTATAGAAATAATTAAGGTAAGCTAGCTAAACAGAACTTATTATAATAAGTTACAGGATAACTGAATATTTATTAAACAACAATTATTTATAGAACATTCATGCTTCTGAGGACAAGTAATTTCGTAAAAACAATAATGGAAATAGGAGGTGCATGAGAACTCAGTCTACTAAGTTTTGATCTAATAGGTGGAGAGGTGAGGAGAGATAAGCTAAGGTGAGTGAATATCAGTGACCACTCTTCTCTCTTAATATCTCATCTAAGAAGAAAGTAAAATGAGTTCCAGAGTGACTACAAAGGGCTTGATTTGGCTCAACTCTGAAAAAAGATAGACTCTGGGTAATTGGAAAGGACAACAGAGAACACTCCAGGAAGCAGAGCGATGGGTAATAGGTTTTCTCTAAAAAAATTCTTACCTGGCTTATTTATGCAAGTTCTTTAATGAGATTACATGCAAGAGTCACAGGAGATTCAGGAGGAGAAGCTACAGGGTTCATTGCTTAAAGGAACTGATGCCTATTTTGTGACTTACTTAGACCTTCCAAAAGCCTTTCAAAATACTGAACACCTAGAATGATTTAAAAATTGAACTAGTATGATAATATTGCCTCTGTTTTCTCCTGTTAGAGAACTAGCTCAGAGAACTGGAAAAAAGAGGAGAGAGATGAGTTTGAGGACTGGTACAATAAAAAAGAATACTAGGAGCTAGAAGGGTAGATGGCAATAGCACTTTTAAACTGAGACCTTAAAACTGTTAACCACATGTGTTGAGACTGTTTTCAGGAGAACACAAACAAACAAACAAAAACAAAAGCATGTTCAAAGAAATGAAAAGAAAGTGTGAGTTACTGGAATTGAAAGAAGGTCAGTACAGCTGTATGAAAAGCTAGGCAGAGAGTACCTTAAAATGAAACTGGAAAGTGGCAAAGGCCCAAGTTATAGAGGGCCTTTAAGGACATTGAATAATTTTAAGCAGGAAATTGATATGATTAGATCTGTGTTTTGCTTTTTTTTAAAATAAATTATCTGGAGCTGTGAAATAAATCAACAAGAAAACAATGCTCCTAGGATGATGAGTTATAATGTTAGAAACTTCACCCTGATGCCTAAAGGGACATTAAGGTAAGCAGCCACAGGAAAAAGGAACCCAGACTGATCACAACAAGACAGTTTAAGCCTGTCTTATAATCATTTCTTTTATTTATCATCTTGCCAGATATTTATGAAGTGCTTATTATATGCTAGGAACGCCTTCCTGGACATAGGAAGGTGACTAAAATCTGATCTTTGTTCTTCATGAAACTTAGAGCCTCTGCCCAAGAGATAAAGACAGAGTTGTGTCCTTTATGAATATGGCCTAGTTGTTTTTTTTTTTAAATGTAACTTATCCATGATAAAACCTGTTTACTTGATTAAGTCTCAAATACATTGCTACAAAAACAATAGCTGTCACCTATTTGATGGAAAATGTTTTAGTTCATTTGTTCTAATGCCCCATTTGGCAAAACAAGAACTTTCTTAAGTTAGTGTCTTCTGCTGTTGCAAACACCCAAACCTCACCTCCCCTTTTTAATGTTACCAGATATTTGGAAGTGCTTGTCTTTGTTCACAAGAATAACTGAAAAAGAGAGTATAGTCAATCAGCAGGAGCCTCAAATTCAATAGAACTAACAGCTTTAAGTATATTTCCTACTGATGATAGATCTGTTATTTCATTTTATAGGACAGCATTATGTCACTGTTATTATCATCATTATTGTAACAATAAAATGAATTTGCTATAAATCTACATATAAGTAATATGCCTGGAGAAGCCTTTTCTGCACTTTGATTATAGGGTACTTTATTACCATGTTTATTGAAAACTAGTGTAATGATACTTTCCAACTAAAATTTTCCGACTCTTTCATCTTTAAGCAGATTTAAGAATCAAATGTGCTTATGAAAAGATTTTTCTTCATCCTTTTGAAACAATGTCTTATTAAAAACTTAAAAAATCCTTTTGGTAGTATATCCTATTTTCTTTTATAAAAATAAGACCATAAGCCTTGGGTCCATCTAAATTTAAGCATTTTGTTGATTCTCTAAATTGAAAAATAGAATGTGAAAAATAGACAATGTGAATAAATTTCTCCAAAAATTTTAAGATTGGAAAAGTTCTGGGACCCTCAAATTTCAGACATTTTTAGCTAGATGTATAAGAAATATTTAAAACAAATACAGTAATCAATAGCACATACTGTGATATACACAAAAGAGCTCAAACTAAATTGCCAGAATTTAACCTAATGGATTTTGATTATCAGTCTTATTATGATTCATTTTACTACTGCATTTGAAAATGATAATAAACAGAAAGGTTATAAGCACTGTATATTCTAAAAGAAGAAAGTGCACTTGACTTTCAGGAATGGACCTAAGACTGCAGCTTCTGACATAAGTCTCTAAAGAGGCCTCAGAGAGTCATGACAATTTATCGGTTATCTTTCTTGAGGTTTATTTCCTTGAGGATTTCTGCTTTATTGCCAGTAAAACAGCAGATAGTAATTTCCTGGTAAGTTTAATTTTTGAGATTGGATTATTTTATATTTTTCCTTTTTTCCAGAACTCATCTAGACACCTCAGCTGAGTTGCGGTACTCAGTGGGATCCCTAGTGGACAGCCAGTCTGATTACAGAACAACTAAAGTAATAAGAAGACCAAGGAGAGGCCGCATGGGTGTGCGAAGAGATGAGCCAAAGGTTAATCTTTTAACTTCAACTCTTCTCTAGTTTTATTTAAATACATAGTTTCATTTTTGATAGAATTTTAACACTGAGATAATTAGAAAATGCTAGCATTTTTATTAATTTGAAACACAGAGTATGACATTTTTAAAAAAACTATAAGTAACATAAAGCCCCTACTATGGGCCCAAAGTTGAATAAGCATTTCCCATGTATTTATTCATATAACATTATGAAGTGGGTACTACTTGTATACTAAGTTCAGACATAAAAACACTGAGGCTCAGAAAAGCTAAATGTTCAACATTGCACAGGTAGCAAAGTAATGGAGTCAAAACTTGGGCCTATGTTTGTGTAGTTTCCAGTACTATTAGTAGTGTAATATTAACTATTATGCTACATTGCCAAACATGTAGTCTTTTGATTTTCTTGGGCACTTGAGCAATGGCATTCATGTTGTTCATTCAAATTAACTTAATTAAAATTGGTATTTTAAAAACACTTTGAAGAAAATGTACATAGACTATTCCTTGTGTTCATAAAGAACTATTAATGATAAGGGGCAGTGCTAGCCTTCCATTCAGTCAGTAACTTAATTTAAAATTTGCAAGCTGTTTGTTGAATAATGTAGTTGTATTTTACAGAGAAGTAAAATAGTCCTTTGGTGCCTAAGCATAGTTTATTCTTTCAACCACTTTTATTCACCCCAAATACTATATAATCCATTTGTCCATATTTGTACACAGGCCCTTGATGACTTTTGGGTTTGAACTGGCACCAGTATGCCATGTATTAATTAATCCATCATAGTAGGCATTCAATATCTGTTGAATACATGAATAAATAAATGAGCAAATGAAGACTAAATTAAGTTAATCTCAATTCTTTTCTCATTATTATGTGACAAATTAATTAGTGCTACTTGATACCAAAACAAATTGTAACACAAATACTAATTCTGGTTCTCAATTCTTAACTCAATGCTCAGGGAAGTATCATGTGGTCTTCCATAGAAATCATTTTATATGATCACAAAAATAAAAACCAATTTTTTAAGAAGCAGAATAAAAGAGATCTAGGATCTGTCTTTTATGCTCAGCCTCCTCATACATTCAGATAACAGCTTGAAAAACACTGGTCAATTGCTTACTTCAAATGGAAGATTTCTTGTATCCATTTAAAAAACATAACCATGTAAATTAGCATGCCTTGGGCTTAAAAATTACAGGTATACCTTGTTTTACTGTGCTTTGCTTTATTGTATTTCACAAGCATTATGTTTGTTTGTTTGTCAGTTTTTTACAAATTGAAGGTTCCTGATAACCTTGCCTCAAGCAAGTCTATGGATGCTAGTTTTTCAATGCATGTGCTCATTTCCTATATCTGTCTCATATTTTGGCAATTTTCACAATATTTCTTTTTTTTTATTTTTTTGAGACAGGGTATTATTCTGTCACCCAGGCTGGAGTGCAGTGGCACGATCATGGCTCATTGCAGCCTTGAATTCCTGAGCTCAAGCAATCCTCCCATCTCAGCCTCCCAAGTAGCTGGGACCACAAGCGGGCACCACTATGCCCAGCTAATTTTTGTATTTTTTGTAGTGATGGGATTTCACCATCTTGCCCAGGTTGATCTCAAACTCCTGTGCTCAAGTGATCTGCCCACCTCAGCCTCCCAAAGTGCTGGGATTATAAGCGTGAACCACTGCACCTACCAGTTCTCGAAATATTTCAAACTTTTATTATTATTATTATATCTGTTATGGTGATCTGTGAACAGTGATCTTTGATGTCACTATTGTAATCATTTGGGTACACCATGAACCATGCCAATATAAGATAGTGAAGTTAATCTATATGTTGTGTGTGCTTCTGCTCCAACAGCCATTTCCCACTGCTTTCCCTTTCTTTGGGCCTTTGTATTCCCCAAGACACAACAATATTGAAAGTAGATCAATTAATAACCCTACAATAGCCTTAAGTGTTCAAGTGAAAGTAAGAGTTGCACATCTCTCACTAAGTCAAAAGCTAGCAACAATTAAAGTTAGTGAGAAAGACATGTCAAAAGCTGAGTTAAGCCAAAAGCTAGGCCTCTGGCATCAAACAGCCAAGTTGTGACTACAAAGGAAAAGTTCCTGAAGGAAAATAAGAAACAACACGCAAGTAAGAAAACAAAACAGCCTTACTGCTGCTATGGAGAACGTTTTAGTGGTCTACGTAAATTTGATCATTTAGTGATAAACAATCAAAGCATGGACAACATTCCCTTAAACCAAAGCATAACCCAGAGCAAGACCATAACTCTCCTCATTTATATGAAGACTGAGAGAGGTGAGGAAGCTGCAGAAGAAAACTTTGAAGCTAGCAGAGGGTTGTTCAGTTCATAAAGTTTAAGGAAGGAAGCCATCTTCACAACATAAAAGTGCAAGGTGAAGCAACAAGGGCTGATGGAGAAGCTGTTAAAAGTTATTCAGAAGATCTAGCTACGATAATTCATGAGGATGACTACACTAAACGATGGGTTTTCAATGTAGATGAAACCACCTTCCATTGGAAGAAGATGCCAGCTAGGACTTTCATATATAGAGAAGAAAAGTAAATGACTGGCTTCAAAGACTCAGAGGACAGGGGTGAATGAATGCAGCTAGTGACTGTAAGCTGAAGCCAATGCTCATTCACTATGCTGAAAATCCTAGGGTCTTCAAGAATTCTGCTAAATCTACTCTACCTGTGCTCTATGAATGCAACAACAAAGCCTAGATGACAGCACATTTGTTTACAGCATGGTTTACTGAATATTTTAAACACAGATTTGAGACTTACTGCTCAGAAAAAAATACTCCTTTCAAAATATTACTACTTATTAACAATGCACCTGGCCACCCAAGAGCTCTGACAGAGATGCTCAAAGAGATTGTTTTTTTCGTGCCTGCTAACACAACATTCATTCTGTAGCCCGTGGATAAAGCAGTAATTTTGGCTTTCAAGTATTATAACTTAAGAAATACATTTCACAGGGCTATAACTGCCATAGGTAGTGACTCCTCTGATGGATTGGGGCAAAGCCAATTGAAAACATTCTGGAAACGATTCATCATTCTAGGCGCCATTAAGAACATTTATGACTCATGGGAGAAGGTCAAAACATCAACCTTGATCAGGTTCAATGGCTCACACCTGTAATCCCAGCACTTTGAGAGGCTGAGGCAGGTGATCACCTGAAGTCAGGAGCTCGAGACCAGCCTGGCCAACATGGTGAAATCTCATCTCTACTAAAAGTACAAAAATTAGCTGGGTGTGGTTGTGCACCTCTGCATTCCTAGCTACTCTGAAGGCTGAGGCATGAGAATAGCTTGAGCTCGGGTGGCAGAGGTTGCAGTGAGCCGAGATCAAGCCGCTGCCCTCCAGCCTGGGCAACAGAGCAAGACTCCCTCTCAAAAAAAAAAAATCAACCTTAATAAGAGTTAAGAAGACATTGATTTTAACCCTCATGGATGACTTTGAAGGGCTCAATACTTCTGTGGAGGAAATAACTGCAAATGTGGTGAAAATAACAAGAGAACTAGAATTAGAAGTAGAGCCTGAAAACGAAACCAAATTGCTGCAATCTCATGATAAAACTTGAACAGATGAGGATTTACTTTTTATGAATGAACAGAAAGTGGTTTCTTGAGATGGAATCTACTCCCAGTGAAGATGGTAACTACTCTTGGTGAACATTGTTAAAATGACAACAAAGGATATAAAATATTAGATTACACAGTTGATAAGACAGTTTCAGGGTGTGAGAGGATTGATTCCGATTTTGAAAGAAGTTCTACTCTGGGTTAAATGCTATCAAACTGCATTCCATGCTACAGAGAAATCTTTCATGAAAGAAAGAGTCAATCAATGTGGCAAATTTCATTGTTGTCTTATGTTTAAAAATTGTCACAGCCACCCAACCTTCAGTAACCATTACCCTTATCAGTCAGCAGCCATCAGCATCAAGGCAAGACCTTCCACCAGCAAAAAGATTAAAACTCACTGAAGGCTCAGATGATCATTAGCATTTTTTAGCTATAAAGTATTTTTAATGAAGGTATGTTCATTTTTTAGACACAGTGCAATTATACACTTAATAGACTTCAGTAGAGAATGGGCATAACTTTCATATTCATTGGGAAACCAATAAATTTGTGTGACTCTAATGTCATATTCACTTTATCAGGGTGGGCTGGAACTAACCCTGAAATCTCTGTGGAGTATACCTGTACATCATTTTGCAATATTTTAAATAATATTTTGTTAGAATCGATGTAAATAAATGTTGGGAAGAGAATTCCTGTGTAATTTCTTATGTGATAATATTTGTGGTCTGAGCTTATAATAAGAAAATATAGGAAGACTAATTAGTTTAAGTCGTGAGTGCTTGAGTACAAATAAATAGATTGTTATATTTGGAAATAAGGAAAAGTATTACAAATACATGCTTTAAAGTAATTGTTACCTTGGAATATGATTGAACTATAAAACATATAGAAGTTTATCATCTTTATTTCTACTAAAATCTTGATATTTATACTGACAATCCCTCACATTACTTAAGATGTCAAGGAACTATTTTATGGAAGCAAATAAATTAAAATGTTAATAATTGGTTCAGTTTTTGCAAGGTCAGTTGTAAAAGCATGCCTGTTGTTGTTGCTGTCTTTGAGATTAATGCTTTGAAAATGAGCAATATGATAAATATTCTGCATTTTTTCATTCACCATTCAGGTGAAATCTCTTGGGGATCACGAGTGGAATAGAACTCAACAGATTGGAGTACTAAGCAGCCACCCTTTTGAAAGTGACACTGAAATGTCTGATATTGATGATGATGACAGAGAAACAATTTTTAGCTCAATGGATCTTCTCTCTCCAAGTGGTCATTCCGATGCCCAGACGCTAGCCATGATGCTTCAGGAACAATTGGATGCCATCAACAAAGAAATCAGGTAACTTCAATTAGTACTGATGATTTCAAGAAATTAGAAGACCTTGATACTGTACTAAAAATGTAATTACTAGATCAGAAGCATTAGCATTAACTGGGAGCTTAATAGATCTGCAGAATCTCAGACCTCACCCCGTACACACTGAATCAGAATGTGTATTTTCAGAAGATTCCCAGGATATTGTATATCTCCTTTATAATATTAGGACAGCCTTTGTAAGGAACATACATGAAACATATAAGATTAATGACATCAGTGACAGTACAGAAGAATAAGTTAAAGGCAAAACTTTCTCCAGTGAATTTTAAAGCACTTTTTAAATTAAAATTTACTACTTAAAGGGAAAGTGTGTGTGGTAATCACGTACATTCTTCAGATACATTACATACTGCAATAAAGGTACCAAATAGTATGCAAATTAATGTGCATTCAGATTCCTTAAAATATTTCAACATTGGAGTGAAATTAATTTACCATTCTTTTTGTCAATTTTATGCCATTTATATCAGGGACAGCGTGTTTCTTGGAAGTTTATTAACATTAACAGTTTTAGAGGCTGGAAGGTCCAAGATGAAGGTATCAGCAGGGTTCAGTTTTTGGTAAAGGCTCTCTTCCTGGCTCCAGGGAAAGGGAAAGTGAGGCAGGCAGTGGGAGGCAGAAAGACAGTGGGGGGAGAGAGAGAGATAGAACATTAATATATTAATTCTATAGAATTAAGCCTCTCTCTCTCTCTCTCTCTCTGTCTGCCCCCCACTGCCCACCCACCTTTCCCTTTTCCTGGAGCCAGGAACAGAGAGCCTTTACCAAAAACAGAATCCTGCTGGAACCTTGATCTTGAACTTGTCAGAAGAGCAAATTAATTTCACTCCAATTTTTAAATACTTTTAAGGGATCTGAGAGCCTTTACTAAAGAAAGATTTATGGAAGACCTCATGTAACCTCAATTACCTCCTCCAGATCCTATTTTCAAATACAGTCACTTTGGCCTTTACAGCTTCGGCCTATGAATTGAAGGTGGGAGATAAAATTCAGTTCATAGCAAAGCAAATGCAGAAAGCAGGATAGAGTCCTCTTCTCTGCCTGGAACACTTGAGAAAAAATAAAAGTTAATGCCTTTAAATGGGATAAACCAAACATATTACTACTATTCTTAATAATAAAAATTACATTTCTGTATTAACATATTGCATGAAAATTCAGATTTTTTTTTATTTAAATAGGGTCTCACACTGCTACCCAGGCTAGTGTGCCATAACTCAGATCTGGCTCACTGCAGCCCACAACCTCCCAGTCTCAAGCAATTCTCCCACCTCAGCCTTCCAAGTAGCTGGGACTATAGGCATGTGCCACCATGCCTGTCTTTTTTTTTTTTTTTTTTTTAATTTTTTGTAGAGACATAGTCTCCCTTGCCCAGGGTGGTCTTGAACTCCTGGGCTCTAATGATCCTCCTGCCTTGGCCTCCCAAAATACTGAAATTACAAGTGTGAGCTACCACACCCAGCCTCAGATTGTTAATCTTAGTGCTTGTGGCTGTTTAATTGTGTTCACTGGTGCCTAAAACTTGCGTTTGAAGTTGGGCTGCTACCATATCTTAAACTGAGACACAATTCTTATAGAGTTTTTTATGATTAATATTCTTACATCAGTGAAAATACATTTTTCACATATTAATGCTGAAGTTTATAACAAATCAGGCTGATCATTAAAAATCCCCTAGCATTTTGGGGACATATGTGCGAACATTTTCTAAGTAAATGGGGACCAAATTCATTTGCATTCTTTAAATATAAAAGGCTTACTATATCTGTGAGACATAATTTAATATTATAGCCTAACAAATATCTTTATTATATTTTCATTTCAAAGGCAATAAAACATATGGTGATATGAACTATTTCATACTAGTTATGAAAAAAATGTACTGTTGCTATATAGTACCCTAATAATAGATGGTTTTCATTACAATTGAAATTGGACAAATTAACATTTCAAATATTGAGAAATGTTGGCACTCTGATACTTTTATTTTAATTTAATATATGGTTTCTTGAATTCCAATGACATCAGCTTTTTCTGTCATTTCCTTGACTAACCCCAGTGATGAACCCAATTGTGTCAGGTAGATTTGTGTTCTTCTGAATATCAACAAACCATTCTTAACTTGTTTTTTCAATGGGTGAACAGGTTTTAAGTCTTTTGAACAATGCCTTTCTTTTTTCTTTCTGGGTCTAGCTAAATCAGTTGGCTTCCTTCTACTATTATTCAAATTACCTATCATCACCCTACTGCACTTTAGAATAGTTTTTTACCTTATGACAATAACCATTACTATCTGGTTTCTTTGTAGTATGCTAGTTCTCCATATACCAACCTAACTACAGCCAGAGAAGACTTTTAAACACACAAATGTGTTTATGTAATCCCCCTTTTTCTAACCATTCAATTGTTCTTAGGATACCAACCACACTTTTTAATATGGTCTACAATACCTCACCTGTCTCACCATTCTCTAACCATTTACCTTGCCTACTTTCTAGTTCCTTGATGTTCCATGCTCTTTCTTTTGTTGTGTCATCCCTTTCTTCTGGAACATTCCTGTCATTCCACACCCTTCTACCCTAACATTTCACTCATGTTACCCTTACTCACCATGGACAGCTCCTCCATCACTTCTTCAAGGAACGTAGTACTGTCCTTCAGTTCTTTACCTTCACTAGATTGTAACTTTTATACAGGAGCAAGAAATGTATCTGGCTTTGCTCACCTTTATTTGCAGGTCTTAGCACTTCGCTTGATATTTAGAGAGTGCTTCATAAATATTTGATTACTCTAAATAGAAAAATAATGTAAAACAAGTATTAACGGAATAACGGAATAACACTTTCTGAGGCTGTTCAGCTAATGGTCGAATTTACCAAATTAAGTTTGAAATCAAGTCTATATTCTTGTGATATTTATTTGCACCAAAGAGATCAACACACCCTCCATAACAAGCTATTTCTCTTCAGTGACTCTTAGCTTTGTAACATTAGGGTAGTAATTTCTAGTAACAATCTTGGCCAGTAGGTTAATATAGTTGTTTATTTGTAAGATTTTAAAAATACATGAAATGAGATTATATCACATTTAAAAGAAATAGTCATCTTGATTCAAACCAGGTGAACTGCTAATAACAACCAGAATTTTTCTGTGATTAAGATTTTTCTTCTTTCATAAACTAATCTAGCCATTAAAAAATGCATGTTTTCTGTCTTCACAGCTCGCTGATTCAAATTACTTCAAACTCATTTGCCACAGCAATGTTCATTCATCTGTGCTTTTATAGTTAGCTACTATTGTCTGTTAAATTAAACTTCAATATACTCTCTTACCCAACTTGTTCCTCTAGGTTTGGCTGTCTTGTACAATTTATAGAATACCTAAAGTTAATAACCAAAATTTCTGTGTACAGCATAACCATGTTACATCTCACCAGAAAAAAATTTCTAGGAGTCATTTTTCTACTAAGTATTTTAAAAGTACAAAATGTCTTCTTTTTTTTACATTTTTATTTTTTGAGGGTGAAGATAGTTTTTTCTTTCAAATGTGTGTTAAGCTATGTTACTATGTACTATGTTACTTGATTAAACCTTTCTTTGGAGTTCTGACCTTGGGGTGAAGTTAAAAAATGCATTCATGAAAATAAACTTTGAGAGTAACAGAATTCATGTTCTTTTTCTAAGTGAAAGATTATAATTAAGTGTAAATGTGCCTCATAATGTTTTAACCAAAATGAACCTTTGTGAAACATATTTGATTAGATTTTAAGTCCATACTTTGTAAGATTTTTAAACAGCCTATTAAAATCACAAAGATCACTTATTCCAATGACATGTAAGTAGACTACCAAAGTACTTTCTGCCTGGCCAGCAAACACATACTACTTAAAAACTGAAAGATTTGCAGAATAGTTAGTGAAGACACCAGCAGTGAGTTAATAATCAAAGAGCTGGTGAACATATAAAAACAGGTGAGTAAATGTAGCTCAACTTCCCATAGTAAACGTACACCAGAGAAGTATTTCCTATTGAATAAATTTAGCGAATAAATTTAGCAAATAAATTACATTCTCCATTCTAAATATGTAAAAAGAAAACTTTGAAGTGATCATAAACTTGAAGGTACAGGTTCTATATAAGAGGGGATCCCAATAAACCATTTGTAATCAAGAACAAAATAGCTCAGGAGAATTTTACGACCCCCTTATCAAACTATACTGGTACACAGTTTCATTATAACAACATACAAAATGTGTATAGATTTAATTCAGGATTCAAATAGGATTTTTACACAACCTAGCTAAAGCTCTTTCCTATTTGTGCCTTTGTAATAAATAATTTATATAATTTTTTTTCTCACTCTGCCACCCAGGCTGGAGTGCAGTGGCGCTATCTCGGCTCACTGCAAACTCTGCCTCCCGGGTTCAAGCGATTCTCCTGCTTCAGCCTCCCGAGTAGCTGGGATTACAGGCATGCACCACCATGCCTGGCTGATTTTTGTATTTTTAGTAGAGACGGGGTTTCACCATATTGGCCAGGCTGGTCTCGAACTCCTGACCTCATGATCCACCCATCTCGGCCTCCCAAAGTGCTGGGATTACAGGCGTGAGCCACCACTCCTGGCCTAGTTTTATTTGCAAGTTACTTTTTCATTATTTATGTATTCATCATCTATCTATATAACTATATTTTCACATTATTACCTTTTCTGGTACTTATTTAAAGGAGGCTTGGCTAAGTATTAATATTAAGAAAAGACTCAGGGTTTTATTTGGCTAATTATGAATGACCATTTACTGAGGATACTATCATTTAAACTTTTTCATTAGGTAGGAGGTAAGATTCAATGACTTTGAATCTTAAGAGGGATATTTACATGTAATTATAATCTTTCACTTTTTCTAAGCTATTGCTAGTCCTTTGCCATCTCAAGGCTGAGTTTCTAAAGTCTCTTTTAGTGGTTCCTGAGGTCAAATGTAAGATTAGGATTAATGGTAGAAATTAATTAGGTTCAAGATTTTTAAATAGTTTTAGCAGGTGGTAGTATACAAAGAAGGTAAAACTGGAAGTTGTCAGGAAAAAATGTATCATTTGAAAACAATTTTCTAAACTGCAGCCAGGAAGTCCCTGGAATTTACTGCAAGTTACACTATTTAGAGAAAAAAAAAAGATGAAAAAATTAGATTTGATGTAAAATGTTCAAGAATAGTTTCTACTGATTTATTATGTGAATTCCAATGATCCTTACAGCAGCATATAATGGATCCATATTAAATTATATATGGATCATAATTAAACTGTATCTTTCAGGCTAATTCAGGAAGAAAAAGAATCTACAGAGTTGCGTGCTGAAGAAATTGAAAATAGAGTGGCTAGTGTGAGCCTCGAAGGCCTGAATTTGGCAAGGGTCCACCCAGGTACCTCCATTACTGCCTCTGTTACAGCTTCATCGCTGGCCAGTTCATCTCCCCCCAGTGGACACTCAACTCCAAAGCTCACCCCTCGAAGCCCTGCCAGGGAAATGGATCGGATGGGAGTCATGACACTGGTATGGTGATGTGTCCAGAGAACCTTTGCCTCCTGTTAAGATTAATGATGCTTTAGCTAAAACTTAACTGGGTGTTTGTTCTAGTCTAAGTACTTTCTGTGTATTTTATTGTTTATTTATTTTCTTATTCACAACATCCCTATGTGATCAGTACATTTATGAATCCCATTATGAGATGAAGAAATGGTAACCCACACAGGTGCTGTAACTTTCTAAGGGTCAAATAGTAAGTCAATGGTAGAGCAGAGATCTAAATAGCACATTATAAATGTCAATGAATTTCTGGGCATAGTGGCTCACAGCTATAATCCTAGCGCTTTTGGAGGCTGAGGCAGGAGGATTACCTAGAGGCAAGGATTTCAAGACTAGCCTAAGAAACATAGCAAGACCGCATCTCAAAAAAAAAGAAAAGAAAAAGAGAAAAAGAAAAAAATTAGCTGGGTGTGGTGGTGGTCTGTACCTGTAGTCACTGCTACTTAGGATACTGAGGCAGCAGGATTCCTTGAGCCTAGGAATTTGAGACTGCAGTGAGCTATCATGGCAACACTGCACTCCAGCCTGGGCAACAGAGTGAGATTCCTTCTTGAAAAAAATAAAATAAAATAATTTTTTTTTAAAAATTGAATGACTTAAACCATTAAGTACATTTTTATTGATGGCATACGGAGGAAATCACTTTGGACTCTGTGTGTGTGTGTTTTTAACATAATAAGTAACAAAACTTAGTATTATAATTGCTTCAATACACCAAGATAGAGTTTTATAACTTTTCAATATATAACATAAATTTCTTGCATTATTTGTGTTAAGAGCCATAAAAAACAACAGCTACTAATTCCTAATTTTGTTTTAGATTTTATATTCACATTTTCACATGTATACATTAATTCCTTATTTCATTTATCTTTATATTTGGGATTAGAAGATGGAAGCCTAAATTAGGAAGTCTCCTGAATGCAACTGAGAAAAAGTCAAATTTCCCCATTCTAAAAAATTTTATTATAAAAATATATTAATATGTAATATATGTATTTCATTATAAAATATATTTCATTATATATATTTATATATAATAAAACCTCTGGAAAATATGATTGTGATGACTGCTGAATACCATGATGTTAGTCATTTAATTCTCGTGGCAAAACTGGAGGTAGTAGGGCATTATCTCAACAGAGAGTGGAGGTTTTGAGAGTATAAATGGAGTGCCCATATTCAACACAGCTAATAAATGGAGCTGGATTTTTCCACAAATTTGCCTAATTTAAAAGCATGTACTACCATGTCTTTCTGTTTCAGTCATTACCTAGAAATATAGTATGTTGAAATGACACCAATGATGAAGATTAAAACATTCTGAACTGTTTATGGAGGTAAAATTATGTTTTTGTAGTGAATATGCATTGGCATACTTACAATTTTGAGGCTTCCAAGCCATAAAACTTATGTAAAAGAAAAATTGTGAATTTTTTTTAAAAAGAAGACAGTTACCTCTTTAAGCTGCTGAGTCCACTATTTTCTGCTCATTTCCAAAACTTCCTACTAAAAATGTTTTTTAAATAGAATAGACAATGGCCAACCAGAAAAAATGCCCAGCTAATCAGAACTGATTCCACTTGGATACAGTACAAACTTTTAGCCAATGTGCTGAGATATACTAACCAAACATACGGAACTACATTGTGATCTGCTTATTTTAGAAATTTAGGAACCATTCATCTGATTTTGTTAGTTAAAAGTGTTATTGTCTCTTGCTTAGTTTCTGCCTATATAAGATATGCTACATAGTATTAATGAGCAACTTAGTACCAAACCTATAGTAAGAATCCTGGACCACAGAATAAAATTTAGTCAGCATTCAAGGCAGGAATACTTTGATTATTTTTGTATTGCTTTTATTTCTGACATTTTTACAACACAGTTTTACACTTTTAAGTCTTTTTATAAACATAAGCATCATAACTCTTGATAGTGCTATTACTTTCATAGCAATAAAATATTTATAATCCTTTAGATGTGATTGTGTGTGTGTGTGAGAGACAGAGAGAGAGAGAAAGATGCCAGTGCTTTCATGAATTCTCTTGAACAATTAGTAATAAATAAATCAGTGGAATATGAATATTATTACATTATAATTAGAGTACTGAAAAAAAAGGCATTTTTAGAAGAGTAAAGAAATATTTAAAGTGTTTAATATCTAAGTCAGAGAAGCAAGAAATGAAATCCAGGAAGTCCTTAACACCTAATATAATTCTGTCATCAATTGTATATTTTTAATAAAATATGGGTAATTTTTTTTAACCTGAAGAAAATGCTTTTGGCATTTGTGGGAAAGAGAAAGATTTTAGGATGCCAAAAATTTTGAGATCCCACAGGAACAGCACATCTGCCCAAAGGAGGCCCAAAGCTCTGCATAGATGGGGCAAAAACAAGAATTTATAAACTCCTTGTATATGCATTGGATCTTCACTCCCAATAATATTTTCTTGAAAAGATGCAGTCTCGTTTATTTCTAGCTAGCTCACTCTTCTAGCTAGACTCACTCACTCATTCCACAGTTTCTCTTTCCCAGGGTCCATGCCTCGTATCCAGTGCCTGTACACATGGCCCCATTATGGAAACAATCATCTGACTTATGTTACCTGAGAAGTTCCCTCTCTAAATTTAACTACCAGGCGGAGTGCTTTTATAGTAATTAAAATATGTTTATTTAGAAAATAACAAAATGAAGAAAAAAATGATAGTCAAGTTGTAGACACTATTTAAAATTGTAACTTGGTCAAATGATTGTTAATTCTTAATTAATTGTGTTTTATGTTTTTATTACTGCCAATCACAGCCAAGTGATCTGAGGAAACATCGGAGAAAGGTACAGTAAATAACTTTTACATCATTACGAATTGAATACTGTTTTATTCTATGAAAGCTTTAAAATAATATTCCCTCTAGTCGAATGTTGATAAAACATTAAAAAGTTGAGAGTATTTAAAGTGTATTGAATTGTTTAAATTTGATTATAATAGAAAATACTTCAAAGATAAAATTGTTTATGATTTCTGGAGCAATAATTAGATTATAAGAACCATAATATCCTGTTTTCCATTGAATATTTAAACCAAGGATGGTGTAATTTTATATTTTAATATAAGTATTTATATTTATTAATATAATATAGTACAAATGTTTTAATATTTAATATATAATAAATAATGCTCGTTGTTTTCAAATATTTTATTATTATTATTTTGATAGGGTGAGGACAACAGATTGGGAGAAAGCTGTCAAAAAAAGATAGCTTGTTACTCACAGTTCCCAAGAGGAGAGAGTACTCTGTGCCTCAGGACAGCACCAGCGTCAGTCAGGAGGCAGAAGGAGCAGGGCAGAAGGTTTTCTGAGGTATCTTAGGGAAAGGCAAGACAAGGCAGGATAAGCAGGTTAGGATGGATAGCCTGATTAATTTTGTCTGGCCTCAGGATGTAGGGACTCTCTCTAGTTGTCTCAGCCTGGCCCACAGGTGATTAGGGCAGAGGAATATTGCCTCTTGGAGAGTAAGAGCCAGATGGAGAAGATGATTTAGAGTATGGGCTGTGAGTTGTTTGGTTTGCATGTGAAAGGTGTACTTATAGGTGAGTGATGTGCTATTTCCAGGAATTAACTATCCCTAGGGTTAGAGGAGCATCCTCTCCAGATGCCAGAGCATCAAGACTATGCAAAATAAAAAAATATGTTCGAAACACCGCTTTTCTGTTTGGAATGAAATCAAGAGAATAAATATGGAATATGGAAAACAAAATGAACTGAAGTTCTGATTCACAAAATGACATCTTATTAGATAATTGAGTAGAGCTTTCACTCATGGGACATCAGATGAAAAAGATTTCAAAGATTCAAACTTCTATTCAGTGCAAAAATCTATTCCTCAGCATCTTCGAGATGTGGTAGTCAGCTTACACCCAAACATTGGAACACTCCTGGAACCAGATAACTTTTATGTCCTTTTTTTAAAAAAAATAAAGGAATCTATATTATTCTTACATGGCTTGAATAGATGGAATTACCATTTTATTTTCCTGGGCTATTATCTATCTACCTATAGCCTCTTCTCCTTAACACTACCAGTTCATTCTTATTTACCAAATTTACCAAGTATAATGTCCTTATTTTCTTTGACCTCCATCACCTTAAAAAGACTATATAAGTTTAATGGCTGTAAGAAATAGAAAGGTAGGATGGAAGGTTCTATACGAAAATGTAGTCTCAAATAATTCAGGAAGTAACAACATAATTTGTGAGAAAAGTCATGGAAAGAGGGACCACAACCAAAAAAATCTTGTGTATCGGGGAACGAGTTAAATAAATGATGGTATTTACACTTCAAAAGACTACATTAAGAAAAGTGTTGTATCACTTCCATTTTATTGATGAGGAAATGTAATATTAGAGCAGGTAAGTAATCAGCCTATTTATTCAACATTTAAGAAAAATCAGAATTCAAATCCCTCTCTAATTCCAAAACTCTAAGTGATATTCAGAGGAAAGTTTTGTACATGATTTATTATTATTATTATTATTATTATTATTATTATACTTTAAGTTTTAGGGTACATGTGCACAATGTGCCGGTTAGTTACATATGTATACATGTGCCATGCTGTTTTTAGAAGCTGTTATTGGGAATAAGTATAGTTTGGCTGGCAGGGAGGACAAAGAGGGTATTTTATAAGATGTTTCAGAAGCAAAATTCTGACAGCAAAAATGGCCATGCTTAGCAGAAACAATCAGAGAAGAGTCATGGTGGGATCACAGAACTGTGAAAACACTAACATGTATTAGGAATAGTTCAGAAACACGCTTAAGAGTTTAGCTGGGTTGTGGGTTTAAAAAGGTTTTCCACAGCATCAGAATCAATCCGAAAGCAGTTATTGAAAAAAGATTCTCCTGATGGCAATATGCTAGTTGAATAGAGCAAAGGAATTATATAAAAATGCCTACCTACCTAAGCTGTTAAAAGGAACCTAAGATTGGGTGACAAAAGTCCTGACAATTTCATGAAGTTCCTCAAAGTTACAAGGTCTTTATTATAGATAAACACATTTATAAATAACAGCTTTACATAAAAACAAACAAAATATTTCCCTAGAACTTTAAAAATTTTTGTTTAGCCATACTAAGAACTTTTTTCATCAGAACTCTAAAGCCATAAGTCTTTAGCTGTGTTTTCTACAATCCTGATCTCTCCATATTGTGATACACAACGATGCCATGAAAAATATGCAGCATTGTTGTAAAAACTATGTCTCTACAATTAACTTGACATTGGAAAAAATTTTAAGTTACAGCTCTATATCTTCATCTCTGACAAAATGGATAGTATCCTGAGTCATTCTGGATTCTGTACTAAAGTGTTCTTTAAGGAAATCCCTCCCATCTCATCTTCTTTTGGTTTTCTGTATGTCTTTGCCAGTTTTCCCATCATGGTAGTAAAATGGAACAATTTGAAAACATTACTATCTTACCTTTTATTATTCTCTTTAAAAAGAGATTTTTTTCTTACAAACCACAACTCATATTTTAAATACCCTGTAATAAATTTCATTAGGCTGACTGATTTAAAACACTTTATCTGATAAAGTTATATTTTATCAACTTCTCATTTCAAAAATCCCTACTTAAAAGATGTCTTTATTATGATAGCCTGAGTATGTATAATGCTATATGTTAGTGAATTGTTCAAATGTGTGTTTAATACCTTTTTGTAAAGAGTTTATATTCTGATGTTATAAAATATCATAGATCAATGTCAATAAACACTATAGATCAATAGTCAGCAACTAGTTGATTTATGGCAGCAGTGTCTAATCTTTTGGCTTCCCTGGGCTACATTAGAAGAAGAATTGTCTTGGGCCACACATAAACTACTCTAACACTAATGATAGCTAATGAACTTTAAAAAAAAGGTCCGTGCATAAATCGTTTTAAGACAGTTTACGAATTCGTGTTGGGCTGCATTCAAAGCCGTCTTGGGCTATATGTTTCCAGCAGGCTGTGGGTTGGAAAAGCTTGATCTATGGTGTTTATTAATCAAACATTTTTGTGTAGTGGGTCTATGATTTTTTTTTAATTTTAATGTGTCCAATTTAAATATTTGTGAAAATCAAACTCTTTAATGGGAATTTATGTATGTAAGACTTAAATGCCCCAAGTTTTGTTGTTTTATTTTGTATTAAAATTACTCGACAGCCTTGTTCTCATGATTCTCCATTTGTGTCAATTTCAACTGAAATTTAGAAAGGGTTTATTTGAATGTATTGTTTTTGCTTCTAGATTGCAGTTGTGGAAGAAGATGGTCGAGAGGACAAAGCAACAATTAAATGTGAAACTTCTCCTCCTCCTACCCCTAGAGCCCTCAGAATGACTCACACTCTCCCTTCTTCCTACCACAATGATGCTCGAAGGTAAGACTCTGCAGGCACACTGCACACTGAATGCCCTCCTTCCAAAAATATTCCTCTTCCTTCGTTGTTGTCGAATAGACTGCTTAACAATTTACATTATTTGAGCCAGAATTCTCCAGCTTCCCTTTCCCAGTATCACTTGTGAAATAACCAAATTTCAATTTTGATATCAAATTTGTATTTTTAAAGTTAACTGTATCTTTGTGGTCTTATTATTGGTCAATATAGATAAGAATAACTCTTCTATTTTTTAGTGGATATTTTCTATTACAATGAGATCAGGCTAGAGGAAGGACTTACTAGAAATATTAACAAAAAACTAAGGAGACTGTAGGACAAGATCATAAATTTGGATTGCAGTATAAGCGTAATTAAAGTCTGAAAAGTATATGATTGTGCCTTTTAGCAGACAGGTATGTGCATCCTGTGGGTACTGCTGCTGCCAGCAGTAATAACTCCTCAGTCAGAAAGTTATTAGAAAATAAAAAAATCCTTGGCTAAAATATTAAATAAAAAGATAAGTCTAGATGGAGAAATATGTCATTTGTCATCACAATTCTTTATACTGTCTTATCCATATGCATAAAGCACTGCAAACAGATCTCTATAATCACTGATGATATGAATATACCTAAGCATGTAGTTTATATCTGAAATATATCTTCTCTTATTGTCTCATCAATTGCAGCATCTGTAGACACATAATTAATATAACCAAATATAATGACTTAAGGATGAATGCTTCAATAAAAATATCTATCTTCTAGATATTATGTTTTACAATAAATGCTTTTAAAAGTAGGGCTTTCTGTGTTGGCAGTCATTTCTTTTTTCCAACTATTTTTTGTTGTTAATGTGGAAAAATCAGTTACTTCAGCTTCAAAATATTACTTCTTTCACTCTCCAAAAAAGAGTATATTTCAACATATAAAAAGCTATTGCTTGAAGGTTAGGGAATGTGAGTTCAAATTAATTCACATGAGTAAGTAAAAGTAAGTAATTTATCATGGTGTTATAAAATTAACAACTATAGAAACTAATAACAATGTCTATTGATCCCATCCTATTAATACGGTGTCAAATATATTGACCATAAATTGAAACTTAACCAACTGCTTGAAAAGCATTTCAGTTTAACATGTATTTAAAATAATATTTGAGTACTCTAATTAGGAAAACACATACATTGATCACGAGGATACATGGTTTGTTGCTTCCAAATTGCACCCAGATGATTTTAAATTAACTGAATTTGGCTCCAAAACTGAGAAAGGGAACGATGGCTAGAGGAAAATCAAGTAAAACTGTAGATTAGAAGAGCAGCTTCAATTTCACAATAGTTATATTTCAGTTCCTTGCTGTAGGTCATTATGTTTAAGATTAGAAAAACAGACTCTGAGAAATAAATAGACAATGGATCAAGTGCTCCATAATAGAAGGCCATTTATCATGCAGTTAATAACTCAGCCTATATTCACTGATTAGTTTGAGATTATACCAAAAAAGTAAAGAAAAAAAGACATTCGGAGCAAAAATGAATTTATCTTATGGAAATTTGGAGTTTCAGGGCCCAAAGGCTGAAAAAAAAAACTGCATTTAATATCTTAAAAGGAAACATGGGAAAATAGGGGAAAAAACAACATTACAAGTCTGCTTGTTCCTCCTTTGGTGCATTTTATAAAGGAAATGACTTTTGTGTACCTTGTGGATGTTGCATGTATTTTCCTCTTTTGTGTTTTGCAGTAGTTTATCTGTCTCTCTTGAGCCAGAAAGCCTCGGGCTTGGTAGTGCCAACAGCAGCCAAGACTCTCTTCACAAAGCCCCCAAGAAGAAAGGAATCAAGTCTTCAATAGGACGTTTGTTTGGTAAAAAAGAAAAAGCTCGACTTGGGCAGCTCCGTAAGTATGCATGTGTTAAGACTTTCCACTGCCACTCATTTTAGTCATGTCACAGTATCCATCTATCTTTCATTTCATTTCATTGCTCTTCTTTTCATTTCTTCTCTTTTCTACCTGACAAAATTTATATTTTGATTAGCTTTAAATGTTCAATTTAGCTGAATAATGCTTAATACAACTTAGTGAAAGGGTATTGTGAACTTTTCAGTCATTTTATTTCTCTCTTTATAACAATAGCTAGAATTTATTTAATGCTAACTCTTGTGACAGGCACAGTTGCCTACAAAGTAAATGCTAGTGGTATAAACCTTATTTTATTAATGAGTAAATAATGTCTTCATAAATCGCATAACTGTGATATTCATCGTGGTGCCAATGTTTCAAAATCAGCTTAAAACCATTGAGTATACTGCCACTTAAAGCATGAATGTGTATAAAAGCTTAGCTATGTAGATTTAAAGGTTTTTTTGTTGAAAGAATTGATAAGCCTACAAAAAATTAAAAAGAATTTTTAAAAAGTTAGAATAAAGCTTTATAATATGTTACATAAAATGTAAAGAACATGATTTTTTTTTGCTTAAAACTATCATAGCTTCCCCCTAATAAACTCTATGGTGTATAGTTGAGGAATGGATGTGGGGAAAAGAATAGGGCAATAGATATTGTGTTATAATTAGTTATTGTCAGTGACTAATAGAATAAAAATGTAGATCAGTACATTTGAAATGGTACTACTTAAATATGTATTTAGAAATAAGCAGATATATACATACATGATACATACTTACATAATTGTCAGAAGAATCTGTGATATTTCTGAAATGATTATATATATCCTTCACTTATGGGGGGTTGTCTTTCTATATATTAATTTTTAGAGTTATATTATTGGGAAAGAATTAAACTCCTACCTACAGTGGTAAGTGCTGAATGGAATGATCCAAATTTCTTAGTACATCCTTTGGTTTCTCAAATAGAGTAATAATTATTTGCAAGGAATACCCAACTCCAGGACTTAGTTTTCTGCCCTACCATCAAAAGAATTTCTGATTGCGATATTCATGTTTGCAGATTTATGACTACAGTATCCAAAAATGCCTTTCCTGGCTTCCATAGTGTGAAACCCACAGAAAGCATCGGAAGCTACAGGAAACTGATGTGTGGCCAGTGTGTGATTATATGTTCTCCAGCAAAGGAATTAAATCTTTTTGTATTCCTCTTTCTCAGTAGAGGAACTCTTTAGGCTATACATAATATTATTGCATGAGGAAAAAAGAGAGACACAGATTATTTTGTGTTTAAAATATACATGCCAGACATTATTTTAAAATTTGTTTTATCTTATTTGACAACTAGTGGTTGACCAAATGATCTGTCATATCCAATATATTACAGTGTCAGTCACTATAGTGTGAGTGGTTATTTTTGAGTATTAATTTTGCTAACATCATAGTCATATTTATTTATATTTCAACATATATATTCATCTTAGTTGCCATAATTGACACTTTACTTTTAAAATATATTTAATTGCCCTTATCACTTAAAATTTTATATTTTTATTTCATATTTAACTTTGATGAGAAATTCCTAAATCATTAGAAATTTTGCCAACAATATTCTGTCAAAATCAAGGTATGCAAGATATAAGTTAAAGTCTAGAAAAGTATAGAACCTTTGAGAAACTTAGCCTTTATTACTCATTTTCACTGACTGTGTGTTTTAGGTCAGAGCAGATAAGAATTAACTCAATTACTATTATATTCTCATCAACCCCACCAAAGTCAGAAACTAGCAAAAGTTAATTCAGGTCACAGTTTATACCTGGGAAAGTTTCTGAGCTCTGAGTAATATTGCTTTATTTCATAGAACAGCAGAGGTAGAGTGTAAACAAAGCCAGAATCAGCAGCTTGTTAAGGACTGCAATATGGATGAGGAAGACAGGAGCAAAATGCTATACCTATGAAACTAGGTAGAAGCTACATAAATGGTGAATCAAAGCTTCCAGGAAAAAGAACAAAGTCTTTACTGAAAATGAGACTTGAAGAAATAAAAATAAAACATAGGTCTAAACAGGTTCCAGAAAACCATATTTGCACCAAAGGAAATGATACATGGGCCCCACTGATACTTTAGTTAAGGGCTACCAGTTTTAGGTCTGCTTTGGTCCTAGAAGGGGTATCCAAGTTGTCATGGAAAGACCATGCACATTTTTCCAACCCAGGGACTACAACCTAGTACTGCTTATTCATGCATCTGAGGAACCTAGGGAAAAATCTCGAGTGATTATGATTTTAATGTCTTGATCTGGAAAATTCTAAAACCCAGGAGCATTGCCAGTGTTCTTTCTTCTACCAGTAAAAATAGAACTAGAAAATAGAATAGTATGCCAGGGAAAGAACTACGGGAAAGAGATAGTGATGTCAAAGTACCAAATTTGAAATTCTGAACCATGTGCTAAGATTTATAACTCTTAAAAGGTTTAACTCAAAAGAGCAGAGACACATGACTTAAGTTGAAAGCAGCTATACTACATGTCTATAAAGAAATATGGTGTGGAAAGGGAAAGCTGTATAAATGAAACTATGAAAATGTTTCCTTGGTTCTATCAGAAATGATGAACAGCAAAGGAGATGTTTGTAGTAATTCACAAAGGGAAATATTTGGAAAGGATATCTTGTTTGCTTTATATAATACTTCGAAATGCTAGGGTAATAACATAAACTTCAGATAGGAAGGATCAGTCGATGTGATTGTATGGATAACTCCTACCCATGAAGAATCAAACTCAATATGTGCAACAATATGTCTGTTCTTACTAATGTATTACTAGCATAGACAATATCAGTATGGAAACCCCAAAACTCAAAGGAAGCACTGTATTGAAAAGCAATTGAATAAACCTAACAGAAACCAACCAAAATTATTTTATTTTAAAATTTTCTTATGACATCCTTTTCAAATGGTTAGTTCACTCAAATTACAAAAGTAGGATAGAAAAAGCTGTGGTACTAATAGGAGATTTCAAGTTTTTATATATCTTTTGAAAAAATTATTCTGTTCTTACTAGGGTTTACAGTTCTTATTTAGATTATTATTACCTATAATGTAGGAGCAAGATTTCCCAACTGAAATGTGTATCAGTGTATGGGCAGAAAATAAATAGGAGTGATGTAGACTCAAATGAATCAGTGAGGGTTTGTTCTTCCATGTAAAGAATTCAAATTCCATTTGTAAGTACTATTCAGGAAAAATAAAGCATAATTTAAGCCAAGTTTACCTGAAGGCCACAATTGAATTTAGGGAAACCCACCTAACAGAGGAAGCATTCCTTCTAGCTTACTCGGGGATCTGGTTTTAGAGTCATTTCTATTTCTTTGTATTTTTGTTCATTGTCTTTTTGTTGTTGTTGTTGTTGTTGTTGTTGTTGTTGTTTTTAGACAGAATTTCACTCTGTCACCCAGGCTGGAGTGCAGTGGCACAATCTCGGCTCACTGCAACCTCCGCCTCCCAGTTCAAATGATTCTCCTGCCTCAACCTCCCTAGTAGCTGGGATTACAGGCACCCACCACCATGCCTGGCTAATTTTTGTATTTACAGTAGAGATGGGGTTTCACCATGTTGGCCAGGCTGGTCTCTTAACTCCTGACCTCAGGTGATCTGCCCGCCTTGGCATCCCAAAGTGCTGGGATTACAAGCATGAGCCACTGTGCCTGGCCATTTATTGTCTTTCAATGTCACAAATCCCAGGATGAAAAATTAAATAAACAGGTTTGGTTTGTATCCCCATGACAACAGGACCGATATGTACTTCTGCTGACTTCCTGGAACATAGATTCAGGATGTAATAGCATCCTGTTAAGACTTGACAGCACAATGACCATGATCTCTCCCCACCCCTCAATTTATGCATCCATATGCAATGCATCTCTGATATTTTCATTATTGCTCAAATATGCTCATGTCTAATTCACACTTTTAAAAGCTATCACTTGATCTTGCCATTATCTCCAAATATTGACTTATCTTTACCCTGCATTTAATGTACAAGACTGAGTTGTTCACTACTTTTTTCTTTCCTCATCTGTCAATCACTTTACGACCTACCACAGCATCAATTCCAAACACACTGCTACTGAAACGCTAGAAATAGGTGCAGTCTTAACTAACATGGAAAGGTAGTTAGGACACCAAAGGCTGTGTACTGTCAAAGCAATTCCAGAGGATGGTAACACACAATTATATTTATGATGATGTGGATTAAGGAAGAAGCAATGTATCTGAAATGGGAGTTTTCTGCCTAAAACAGACATGAAATGATTTGTTACAAAAATTGGAAAGTGAGAATATGACAAATAATAGATAGAAGCAAGTGGCATCGACATGTAAAAGCAGTGGCAGGAATGCCATCCATCAAAACAGACAGACAATTGGAAAAATCACCAAGACCAAAGTGAGAATTATAGAATCTATATTGTTACTTTTGTTTAGTAATGTATAAATTTAGAGAAAATGAATGAAATGAAGATTTATCTGATGTGAATAGAATATGCAAATAAGTGGAACCATTCAAAAACTCATTTTTGTTTCTATCTGTTTACTTGAAGAGAAAGAGTTCAACCAGAATATAGGCATTACCAAGAGGGCATTTATGACCCAGAGTTGAGGAGATTTATTTTTTTTTTTTTTTGGTGGAGGGAGAGAAGACATAGATAATCCAAAATAATTTATTTATTCCTACTTTCAGTGAATAGACATATATTGAACCACTCTTAAATGCAGAGTACCAATTATGGACTTTAGGAAAATGACTAAGACATGGCTATCGGCATCGAGGAGTTTTCACTTTAGCAAAGATAGTACGTAAACAAATACAAACTTTATACTTAAAACTAAAACTTCACTATATTTTTGGCCCAGAAAAGTTTTATCTGCTACATTGTCTGTCCTGTCAGAACTAGGAACAGTGGCTATGAACCCTAAGATCTGTGATCATGCATAAATAATTGCAGTCCTGACTAGCTTGACTTTTAATTTTATCTGAAGGCATTAATCTATTTTGAAACAAAGTAAATTAACCTATGTTAAAAATAGCCATGTCAGACTAATGTCCTTTGTTTGTTTGGCAACTTTACTTAGTAACAGATAATGAAAGGTGGTGAGCAAGCCATCACTCATGACATCCCTGGGGACAAGATGTCAAAATGGGGCCTGAGTGCTGGAACAGTTAGGTGGGATTTATAACTGGTTAAAT
Source organism: Homo sapiens (assembly GCF_000001405.40). NCBI lineage: Eukaryota > Metazoa > Chordata > Mammalia > Primates > Hominidae > Homo > Homo sapiens. Next base: position 81,333,925 of record NC_000012.12, on the reverse strand, counting down.
AATCCTTGCCCACTGATGAGTGGAGTAACGTCACCTGGGATCAAAGTTTCTCGTGGCATGATTAGGACTCACTCTGTTCTTGATCAGCACATCCAAAATCACTTGGATATGAATGTTTCCACAGCTCAGGTATCTGATTGATGGATTACTAATAAGGGGAGGAATCCTAAGTGAAAAGATTAGTATTACCCCTAAATGCTATCCCCCCCACCAAAAATAGAAAGAATGGATGTAAGTGGGATCTAAATTCTCCTACTCTAAAAGTATAGTTCTTGGAAGCAAGTTTTTAAAGAAAAAAAATAAAAAATTCATGTGACTCTAAAGTCAATATTGATTAATAAGTTTAGGCCACATTAACAGACATAAGAGTTGATATGAAAGTTTTTTCTACTCTACTCTGCTATGATAAAAGAACAGCCAAGCAATGGAATCCATCCTGGTTACTGTACTTTTAAAGGCACATCATCAACCTGGAGGAAGGTTGGAGGAGAAAATTAGGCACCTGTAGAGGATTGGAATCACGTTCGGAGAACATAAGTGAATGGTGTGTTTATTCCCTTTGCTGAACTACCAAGTAGCTGATCACAACATTTGAAGAGTTGTTCTGTATAAGAGCTATTGTCCTTTTCATTGTAAGTAAGGATACGAAACTAGAACCAAAGTATTAAAGTTGTACAAAATTATTCTTCATCTCGATGTAAGAAAGAACAGTGGGGTGTCAGAATTCTATACAAAATGGGCTGGCTTATGAGGTAGTGAGTTATTTGTCACTTGGAAATTGCCGAGCAAAAGCTAGGCAAATACTAGGAAGAGCTGTTGTGGAGGGGATCCAAGCATTGGAAAGCTGATTGGACTGGATGATCTTTAAGATCTACTTCAACCCTAGGAATACTGAATCTATGAATCTCTAACATTTAAGTCTTTTCTCTGGCAACTCTTCTTTATACAACTAAAACACCATAAAATATTTACTATGAAAATAAATTTCTGCTTTTAAGATTACAGACTTCTAGAGCTGTATGCCTAAAGATTCTAGAAGATATGTGAGGATCATGTAGTTGTCCACATTCTATACATATCGAAACTGAGATGATTTCAGAAGACAGAGCAGCTACTTAGTAAGAGAGTTGATAGTGAATCCTGGCTCCTACTTCCTGGTCTGATGATCCGGAAAGGAAACTCTTGGGATTATTTCAATCAAAAAATACTTCATTGAGTTCCTATCCCTGTGGAACAAGTGTGGGCACATAAAGAAATTAAAAATACGATTATTCAAGAAGTATATAACATCTTGAGGATATCCCATATAAATGAATAAATAATAACTCAAGGCAACAATAAAAAATCACACAGAAACATTATAATTTTTCTAATACAAGATACAGACATAATGTTTGGAGAGAGTTCTGGGTTAATCTTTCTCTCCCTGTATATGTTTGATTCTACTAGGATCATCTAAGTGCAATCTTCCTACGTATTTGAAAAGGTGTAAAGGTAGAGTTTCAAACGGGACCTATCTTTGAGAAAAGGGTATTGAAACTATGTTAAACAGCAAGCTCCAGAGAGAATGTCATGGAAATGGCGTTTTCTGTGGTTAAATAGGAAGTGGGTACTGGCTGGGTCAGAAGTGTGATGCCAGCTTATGAAGCAAAGGAAGTGATTAGCACCAAAGATCAAGTTACCCAGCCACAGACAGATTGGAACTGCAGAGATTGGGAGGCAGCATCTTGAAGCAGAGCCAACCACAGAAATAAGATGATCTGAGTTCCAGGGTCAAGCATCCAAGCAGAAGTGAGAGTTAAGGATTAGAGCAAACGAGCTCTGTTTTCCAGAGGCAGTTTGTCAGCTTAGAAAAATGATGATAGTGTATGGAGAAGAGACAGAAATATTTAAACATTTACTATTTCTAGGGAAATTAACTGCTCCATACCATCTTAACATACTGATTTGTTTGCCACCTGAGAAACACCAACTCTTTTGAGTCTTCACAGAGCTCTACTAATAATTACAATGAAGAAACAAGAACACATCTGACCAACTTAGCTGATGTCAATAGTGAATGGTTAGGATAAAGAAGAGGCTACTGACAGGCATAGCAAAAGATGAAACAAATCTAAGACAAAGAGATATTCAAGACAAGGGAGTGATCAAATAGAGCCAAAACAACAAAGCTATGAAAAAAATAATGAAAACAGAAAAGCACGTTAACTATGAATAAGCAGAATTCCCAATTGCATGTATAAAAATGCATATATTATTAGGTTAGGGCCACTTTAGCAAGTTTCCTTTAAATGCGTATGAAAAGCAATATACACATTTAAAGAGCTTTTTTTGCCTCTAAATGGCAATTCTTTTATGGTTATCTGCCAGTTTGTATTATAATTGTCTGAACTCATTGACCTACTATAATAGGCTTAATAAAAAAATAATTTCACAGTGACAAAAACACAGCTTCAGCAGTACACCAGCATCATTTCACAAGTACAGTCGTGCATTGTTTAATGATAAGGATACATTCTAAAAATTGCATCCCTTAGGGGATTTTGTTGCACAAACCTAAATAATATAACCTACTACCTACCCAGGCTGTATGGAATAGCCACCTACACACCTAGACTATAGGTATAGCCTGTTGCTATAAAAAATCCACAATATGTGACTGTACTGAACACTGTAGGCAATCGTAACACAATGGTTAAGTATTTGTGTACCTAAACATAAAAGGTATAGTGAAAATATGCTATTATAGTTTTATGGGAACACTGTCATAAATGCAGCCCATCATTAACAGAAAGGTCTTTATGTGGCGCATGACTGTATTTTTCTACCTCTAAAATTTGGGTGTCTGTGTCGGCCTTTACGCCAAAACTTAGATTGTTCCTTGGTGCTAAGGAACCAATAGTTACAATGTAAATTCCACAAAGTGTCCATTAGAAATGACTCATGCTCTGCATAGTGAAAGGGTCTTTCTTTAAATAAAGTAGTATTTAGCTCCAATTATGACTGTATTTGTTACATACCCTTTATGAGCCAGGCACTGTGTATAGATACAGTCTCCGGATAGCTAACAGACTAACAGATGTTGAACAATTAAGTAACAATTTATAAATTCAAATGTGTTTTAATACAAACCATGTGCTATTTATTAATGATGAAGACAGTTCTACTGAAAGAAAGATGAAGCCACCAATCATCAGCAGATTGTAGTAGTTAGAGATCTCTTTTTCACACAATGACAGAGACCTCTGCTGGACAAATGGAAGGACAGAGGCCTTGCAATATGGGTTTGTCAAGCAATTTCTACAGACTTGTATCTCAAGGGCCAATATGAAATAAGTGATTTTGAATGAAATTTAAGGACTGGGAAATGGGGAGATATTTGTCTTTGTTGACCTAAATACCAAATAGAGATGCTCTCTAAAAGAAAAGATGTTTATTTAGGAATAGAGCATTGTGATAAGAATATGTATGTCATAGTAAACTATAAACTATGTGTATACTCAGGGAAGGAAAGGAAGACAAAGATTTTTAAAGGCAAAAAATTAAGAACATTACATAATTTTTTGAAATAATTATCTTTGGCTACTCAAATTAATAACAAGCGTGCCACCAGTCAGAGGTTGGACAGGCAATTGCCAGACAGATATACCTATAAAAATATTTTTTGGCATGGGATTGCAATGGCCTTCGTGCAAGGTTGTGGCTTTCGTAGGGTCTTTTGTTGTTGTTGTTGTTGCTATCGTGCGTAGGAGCATGAGAATCCTCTGTTCATGGCCTTCCCTGGCTCTACTTGCCAGGATTTTCTTAACAATAGTGACTCCATTTTGATTCTAACAACTTCCACACCTTCACAATCCAAATGAATAGATACCTCCAACTAGTTCCATCCACAGATCTAGGCATGTGAGTTTCCTTCCTGTGCCCTGAGCCCTGAGCCTTCGCAAGCCCTACATTTTGTAGCAACTTCCTTGAAAAATTTTAAGACTCCCTCTGATGTCTGGGAAAGTTCAGGGCTGGCAGTGCCATCTGGGCAAGGCACCCCCAGCTGAGACCCGGACCCGGGGTCTAATCACTGGAAGCATCGAAATGTTCTCAGTTACCGTTCAGACACTGGGACCAGAAGGGAAGTAGTGCCATCTGGACATGTTGCCCGATCCAGCCAAACAGCAGGAGCCTGGGTCCCTGTTTCTCCCCTTCAGGGTTTTCTTTGACACTCTACGCCACGCATGCACTCGACCAGATGCCCCAGGGAGCCTAGTGAGTCGCATCTATGGAGTCATCCTGAGACAGTGGTCTGACCCTGTTTTCAAGAGGGTGGTCTGGCAATTGGATCCCTCGCTCCCACTGGCAAGAATGGTATTGTATGAGATTGAATCAGTAGATCGTTGTCCCACTGATTTTTTGGTGGTTCAAAACTGTTTACACAGGAAGAGGGGCTGGCAAAAAAAAATCCTTGACTGTGCCTGTCACACCTTAGGAGTGGTCTTGCCCTCAATAATTCCAAGTCCTCGAAGGCCTCACAAAAGTAAAGATGCCTGAGTGATAGCCAAGAAAACTTTGAGGGCAAGAAGGCTGCCTTGCTCATGCCCAACCACTAGGCGGACCCTGACAAGGTGATAAACAATTTATTATGTAAGTAGTCTGCTGAATCATGGGACTCAAACCTTCAAGCCCAAGCACTTCAGGCCATGAAAGGGGTGGAGTTCATTGTGTTCTTTCCACATAGTTTCCTAATAGACCTCCTGAAGAATGAGTAACCCCTAGTTTCCACAGGCCAGTGTTTCTCCTCTGAGGCACTCATCATTTTGAGAATGACAAGCTAGGCCAGGCATGGTGGCTCACATCTGTAATCCCAGTGCTTTGGGAGGCCAAAGTCAAAGGATCCCTTGAGGCCAGCAGTTGAAGACCTGCCTAAGCAACATAGCAAGACCTCATCTCTACAAAAAATAGAAAAACTAGCCGGGCATAGTGGCACACATCTATAGTCCCAGCTACTTGGGAGGAGGATGGGTTGAGTTCAGGAGTTTGAGGCTGCAGTGAGCTCTGATGGCACCACTGCACTCCAGTCTGAGAGAGACTGAGACCCTGTTTAAAAAAAAAAAAAAAAGAAAGAAAGAAAAAAAGAAAAAAGAAACAAGCTGCAGTTTCTCTATTTAATGAAGGATGTTTAGAATCCTTGTCCCCTGTCCAATATGTGCCAATCATTATAATACCCAAAAAAATGCACCCTCCCTCAACATACACAAACATTTACATTCCCTCTGTGGATGTACTGTATCCAGGTAGAAACTCTGGTATATAGTGCTGGCCAACATTGATACAATATAAGCCACAAATGTGAACCACATATGTAATTTTAAATTTTCTGGTAGCTACATTAAGAAAAGTTAAAAGAGATAGGTGGGATTAATTTTAATCCTATATTTTATTTAACCTGATATAGAAACAATAATCTCATTTTAACACATGATCACTTAAAATTTATGAATTACATGTATTTTTCTACCACGTTTTCAAAACCTGGTGTGTATTTTACACTTACAATACATCATCTGAATTAGGCACATTTCAAGAGCTTAATAGTCACATGTAGGGAGTGAATAAAATATTGGTATAGATAAATAGATATTTCTGAAGTTCACATAGCCATATGAGCCCACTGATGCCTAGACAAGAATGAGACAGACTCTCACTGGATTTAGATAATCATCCATAGAGTAAAATAATTAGTAAGCTGGTTTGGCTAAGGTCACCCTTACCAGCTAGTTTATCAAGTATGTGGAAAGATAAACATTAGATGAGTGAAGCAGCTAGGTCAATTCTGTGAAAAAATGTCCTCCCTCAGAAGTGTTTTAATTGGGCTGAAAATATGCACTTGCTGGGACTTTTCTCCTGGTTAAGCGCACTGGCCTGAATGTGTTGCTTAAAAATAGCTTTACTTACAATGGCCTTACGTCCCATTTGTACTTGGCATTTTTGAGTAGGATGTAGTTCCAGTTATCTATCAAATGCTTTGAAAAAAGATACTAGATTTTGCAATACTCCGAGTATTTCTAAGTTCTTCATGCTTTTTATTTTATAGTTATGAGAAAATAAAATGTCTAGATTTAACTCACAAAATATTCCTAGATTTTTCTTTGCTTTTATTTCAAGTTTTATTATTTAAAAATGTGATTTTTTTCTATTAAAATTTTGGGTATATGAATAAATTTAAATCATAATTTAAATGTTCTTATATTGCTCAGAAGAATAAAAGCCTGATTCATCTAGCCACCTGGTGGTTGAAAATCTTTCCTTGTTTATTGAATATGTCTGCCTCATCAATCTCTATGTCCCTATATGGACCATTCAAGAATTTTATAACTTTTAAGTGACTCATTCATTTTCATTTACATTTCAAGAAAACATTTTTATTATTATTTGAAGACTATGAATAATAATTTATTGATATACAGTAAGGCAAATATACAGATGAGAGAAATAAAATGAAAATATGCACTCACTGTACATAATGGAAAATTTCCCATTTGAAAATGTTTCTTTCCCAAGAGTACTTTAGTCACCAGTAGAAGGCTTTCCTAATCCATACCAAGAAGAAAAATCTTTCATAATAAAAAAAGATTTAAGTACCCGTATTCATTAAACATGTGAATAATAACTAAAACAAATTTTGGCCCTCAAACTCCACATCTCTGAATTAGATCTATACAGCAATAAATGTGTTTTTAATTAAAGGAGACTTTTAAAAAATTATATAGTTCAGTAAAAAGGTTATCAGGAATGAGATTAATTTATTTATATCAATGTTCCCAAGTTAATATTATCCAGTATTATAAATTATTTGGTAAAATAAAGTATTAAAAACAGTAACATCAAAATTTGCTTTTGGCACCTTGGTAAGATATTTTACTTTGCTAAAGAGAAACCATATCTTGGTCGAGTCCTGCAAATGTTAAGTAAGGAAGTGTCCACTACAATGAGAGAAGAGCAAAAGTTGTCTTCAATAGTTATTTACTGATATAGTGATGAAATTTCTTGCATAGTCTTTGTGAGAGTTTATATTAGCTTAAATCTTTCTACCTAATCTTGACCTTAACTGGAGTTTAATTTTCTTTTATTAAAAAAAGTATATACCTTAACTCATTTAAAAATAGTGAGCATTTTCATTTAGCTCGACTTCAGAACATAGGAGTAAGTCCTTATTTTTCAATTACAACAGATAATTTATGAATTAATTTTGTAAGTTTAGAAATCCTGTGATATGTGTTTAATGTACATCATACTTTTCTTTCTTCTTCCTTTTATTACAAAGTTATATAAGGTATACATATTATATATTGACACTAAATGAGAACTTATGACCTACTTGGTGATAACTATTTTTATCAAGCTCTTTTGAAGAAATTTAGAATTTTTTCAAAAAATATTATGAAGTTTAAAAAACAACACAAGAACCTGCCCAGAACACATCGAGTTCTGGAAGTAAGATTTATAGTGAAGGACATAGGAGTCAGCCAGTAGAGCAGAACAAATTTCCAGGAGCAGTCTATGAAGAGCTCTTAGAAGTCAGCAAATGTTTCTCCATTCTCTCAACTTGTAATAGAAAACATATACTTGAGTTCCTACCCAATTGGCTATCATTTATCCCATTATATGTGAAATATTGCAAATACTTAACGTGTTGAAAAAATAAACAAATCTCACACGCTGCATAGATATTTGCTCTTATTTTCCATAAGAAAAGTATAAAAACAGACTTTAAGACTTGGGGACAGTATATTTAAGTGTCTTGTCAGTGAACAGGCCACATTTATTATGTTGCCACTGGGTGCAACAAATTATATCCCCATAGGTACTGCTTTGTTTTGTTTTCATTTTCTCAGTGTATGTTTATGTATGTACCCATGCCATTTTATGCATCTTGGGTTAGTAATATAAGGAAAATTTTTAAATGTGATACTAAACAGTTGCTCAACTAAACCTTTAACAACCTGACTTCAGAATTGACACAACCTATGCAACATAATCTGAATACTTAGTTACTTCTCTTCACAGGAGGCTTTATGGAGACTGAAGCTGCAGCTCAGGAGTCCCTGGGGTTAGGCAAACTCGGAACTCAAGCTGAGAAGGATCGAAGACTAAAGAAAAAGTAGGTTTGGGGATTTTTCCCTCTTTTTCTAACTTTTATCAATTCCTTATTATTATTTATAGGGAATTAAAAAGAGAGTGGTTGGAAACAAAAGAACTATATTGAAGCCAATATTTTCCAGATACTACCTAAAACACTCAGGGCTTATGTTTCCTGGTTATAATGAGCTACTGTTTAAAAGAGTATAAAAATATTTGGCCTGTAGTTGAAATAAGCAGTTTCTTCAACGTAACCATCCATAGATTTGTTTCAAAATCCTTACAAGTAATGCAATGCTATTGATGTTCAAAATTAAAACCTGATTGGTTTGATAAAATGAGATTATACCATCTAGCTTTGTTTTCTCTCATGGCAATTATAAGTATCTACTCTTTGAAATGGAGTAAAGGAGAAACATTTCTCTGACTGATTGAATATAAACTTATTTTAGACTCAGAGCAGATTGTTTTGCATCTGTCAGGAAATTGATAGTGTATCTTTTCATTCATATATAATATAGGACATTTAAATGACTTGCAAAATTGGCCAATTTTGAGTTGCAGCAGCTGTTGGAAAGCAAGTAGTTCCCAAAATAACATTTTAAAAATACATAGTAACATTTTCATTGACAAAATGGCACCTTTAGGACATGTTCTTTAAATGTAAATCAATTTCTCTTTATTCCAGAATCTATTGGTTGATTATTTCTTTTCCTTCTTCTCAAATATTCCTTACATTGTGTTTTTGGTTTTCACATTTTCCTTCTTTCCTATGAAAGAATATTCACTGCTCTCATCATCATTTGGTAACAGATAGGCTCTTAGGATTATAATATACAGGCTAATCAATTGACTTCATATTTTGCTTTCTCACTTGCTTTGTAAATGTTTACTAATAATAGGGAAGTATATACTTACAAGTTGCAGAACAACTCACTAACCTAATTGTTTATTAGTTTGCTAGTTACTAAAAATTATGTACATATATCCCAATTCAGTAGGAATATTGTCCAGAAAAAAATGACTTTGAGAACATAATTATTTCTACCATACAATCAAATGCTCAGCCATAATCAATAATATATATTTATTCTTTAGTTACTGATCACTCAAAAATATATTTAAATATTATCATAATCTTTTTCAAATGTCTTCGTTTTGTTTAGTCCTACCAATTAATGATATACTCTATTTCGTGACTATTTATTGAGAAAAACATTCTTCTAAAAAATACTTTCCTTTGTTAAGATTTTTAAATGTTCGCAGTTGATTTCCAGTCTAAAAATATATAAATGATCAAAACCCAGCCTGACTAATGGACTCAGTTTATTTCCCTTGAAAGTTAATTCTCATTTCTCCCAGACAAATATTTGACAAAGAATGGCAATCTGAACAGCTTTCACAATTGCATATAAGTCTGATATTGAGGCAGTGCATTGCATACTTCATTAGTTGTTGATGGAGCCAACTGAAATATCTTTTTAAATAGCTACTAAAGTTAAACATTTCAATTATACAGTGATTTAAAATAACATATTTAAAGTTTAGCTATCATTAACCTTATACACTATTGGGTTGATTTGATAATAATTTTATAGACTCGTTTCTCAACTACTAAGTACCCTCACAGTCAGAAAAAAATACTAATTCTTCCCTTAAATATGTTACCATGCTTGACTTTGGGTTTTATTTTGCAACATGTATTGGCAAAATGTAACTGTAAGATGTGTTATGTAGAATACTTGCTTTTAATATTAAGAAGAATATTAAGAACATTCTATAAGGCAAAAATGGCTAACATTTCTTAGTACGATTATTTCCCATGGATTAATGGTATTTAGGTTCAAATGGATTTAACAAGGCAAGTCAGAGTTAATTAATGAAAGCACAAAAGTATTTCCCTTATTATTGATTATCCCATAGCAATAGCCCTGTGAGCATAAACATGCAATCAGTGTTCAAAGGACTTATATGAATAATTGTTAACACCTATTCGGAATTTGCATGCCACTGTGGCTTGATTTCTGGATTACCAGAGAGTAAGTTGTCTTCATATAATGAGTTTTATTAGAGATAGACAATTTACTTTTAAATTACATGGTTTCAAATTTTATTTCTATTGAATTTTACATTGTTAATTATTAATATTATTAAATGTTGACAGCCTATTCTTGGATTTTTCCAAGTGTTTAAAATTTCATTTAAACAATTCCAATTTTCTTTCTTTTTAAAGAAACCGTATCCTCTTTCAGTGCACTTTAATGAGTTACACTCTTTTCTGGGTTCCGATTTCATGTTTGCTAGTCTTCTATCAGGATGAAAAATAATTTTAAGTAAATTTTATTTAAAAATAAATAAAAACAATAAATGAAGCAACATTTTTCATAATGTTGAGCACTACAGATCGTACGTACACAGTTGCAACCTGTGCTATCCTATCAGTTGTTTCTAAATTCTATCCATTGGACTGGCAAAATGGTGTTTCCAAGACTTAGTACTTAACAGAGCTATGCTCACTATCCCATAATTCATAGCAGAGATTCATTAGTCTTTGTGAGGATAGCCAGAACTAGACAATATCTTATTTTCAAATTTGCTAGGATAGCAGCTATTTAGAATTGACAGTCTGTAACTTTAAATTTAATTGGGAGAAATCTCTAGAGGAGTTAATTATGGTACATTTTTTAAAAAGCCATATGGGGGAGTTACTTTCAGAGAGCAGCATTTAAGACATTCCAAATTTTTGCAAAGTTCAGAAATTTGTAACTTGGCAGTCCTAAACAAAGGTTTAATTTGAGGCACACTTACCATCCAGTAAATTTAACACACATAGGTTACAACAACTTACAAGATTTGTTTTCCTACTTTAATCCTACTTTTTCTTTGTTTTCTGATCCAGGCATTAGTTTTGCTTATATTTCTCTCTATTGTCTTATTATGAGAAATAGGAAATCAACAATATTGAATCTGCTAAACCACCCACTAGTCATGAAAATCTTGTCTTGTCCATCTTTACCTTCCTGATAATTATTAAACAGTTGCTGTTGTTGTTTCATCAGAGTAACACGTAACCTCGGCCTAAAGTCAATCTATTGTTGCTCTGCCTAGTTTGCCTTTACTATGCCTCATCTTTGCTGTACTTTTCTTTAAAGCATCAATTCCATAAATTTCTCCAGCAGGTTTATGTAGAGTATAGTTAACCTATAATAATTGTGTCAAACTAAAACTCAGCTTGTAATTCTTTGAATGCTTCACAGTAATTTTATTGGTTTTCCCTTTTAAAATTTGAGCAGTTTCTCTGTAGGCTCCTGACATTTAAGGGGTGAGTCACTTATTCTCAATATTTAGTTTCAGTATTAATATTATAATTCTTCATAGTTTATTCAATGCGGACTTCATCTGGGGATGCCATGACTCTCTGAGATCTTATCCATCACTCTCTGTTGGATTTCTTTGAACTCCAGGCACCTCTTCTTATTTAACAAAAATATCTTCTCTTTTACTATTACGTTTAGAACAACCAGACCTGAAAATTTCACTCTTTTTCTTTTATACCTTTCGCCCTCATATTTAAGAACGTATTTCCCATTCTTAGCTTTCCAGCCTATGTTTTAACCTAAAAGCTTCGAAGTTCAGGATAGCCGATTAAAGCCAACCACACAGGCCAGTAATGGTGACTCATGCCTGTAATCCGAGCACTTGGGGAGGCTGAGGTGGGAGAACTGCTCAAGCCTAGGCATTTGAGACCCAGCCTGGGCAGCAGAGTGAGACCCTGTTTTTACAAAAAATAAAAATACATTAGACAGACATGATGGCATGTGCATGTAGCCTAGCTACTCCTAAGGCTGAGACAGGAGGATTGCTTGAGCCTATGAATTCGGGGTTACAGTGAGCTACAATTACACTGTATGGAATGATAGATGGTCCCTTCAGATTTAAAACCTACATGGGCCTGCCCCCCAAAATTCCTGTGTTTCTGAATAAGGTTCAACTCACCAAATTGTACTTAGAGACTATATTTGAGTATTTTAGGGCACAATAAATAGAAACTCTCTTCTTTGCCTAAGTTCAGAATTTATTTGTTGACTAACAAAATAGTCAATTAGAAATCAAACTGTCAGCCATATTTCCAGTAAAGCTGGTAGAGCATGGCTTAGGTAAATAGTGGGGAAAAAAAAAGCATAACTGGAAGCTCCAAATAGTTAAATCTACCTGACACAGAAAGATTTGGTTAGTCACAGACTTTCAAGTTGCACAGGTATAAGCCCCCCATAATATTAAAAATAACATTTATGGTATTATAATTTGATAAATTTGTTACTTTAGAATCAAGAACTATGAGCTTACAAGGGAATTAATAAAATTTAATGTCATCAACATTCTTGCTTAAGCAAGTTTTGAATCATCAGTGTTAATTATATTTTTATTATATATCTCATTAAATTTCTTACTTTTCTCCCCTGGAATATATTTAGTTGTCAGTTTCACATGTCAGCATCTCTAGAAATGTGATGATAGGGCAAGTGGCAAATTCCTTAAGTCATTAGAGACCTGAAAATATGTGTCACACCTAACATCAGTTGATAATTGCCTGAAACATATAACTATTGGTTAAAAATAATTTGTCCTCAGACCTTTGAAGTTATGGCTCTTCTTGCTTCTAGTTATGGCTAATGATCAATTGATTGCCATTCTTTTGTATATAACATGTAGGATTTCTTTTTCCTCTCTCTCTCTCTCTCTGTTTTATTTATTTATTTTTGCTTTATCTTTGGTGTTCAGAAATGCCGTAAGTAGGTGTCTATTCAAATGTTTTGTTTCATTTTTCTACCTTATTCTTTCAAACTGAAGACTTGTTATGCTGGACTATCTGACAACTGTTACTCTAGAGGACTCACATTTCTACACTCAATTTTCATTCCAAGAACCTTAGTCTTATAGAAACTTCTGGGATTAAAGATGAGGATGTCTGTTTCAACAGTAATTCACCTCTCTAATTCTCAAGACCATCCTGAATAGGCAGTGAACATATTAAAATTGATAGAATATCCATTGAATTGTTATTTATCTCCAGCAATATAAATGATGAAATATTTAGCTTAATTCTTTATCTGCTAATGTTTTCTCTTGCCTCGTAACATTATATAATTTTTTTAGTAAAGCATATATCCATGCTGAAATCTTCTCTATTTTGTAACTTAAGTTGAAAGATATCATACGAATGTTAATATACTAATTTATCATTTTCAATCTTTAGTTACAATAAAGATAATATATTATTATATGTTAGACTTTTCTATGTATTCTGAATGGTTAACACTGCTAAAGGAAAATAGATTTCATATGTGAACAAATTTTTCAATATCATTAAAATGAAATTAACACCCCGACTCAGCTATCAGCAGCATCCTCTCTCGAGAAGCAGTTTATCCTTGGAGCAAAGCAGTCACACTTAATTACTACCAATAAATCTTTATGTTAGAATATCACAGACATAAAAGTTAAGCTCTATAGATTTACTTAATTTATTCCCATCACAATCCTGAGGGTCTCCTTCAGTGTGTAATCTTTAATGTGTTTTGAGACTGCACTTTTAATCTTTGGCATTTGGCAGGTTCAGAGTGTACATATCTGTAAGCAAAATAAATGATATGGAAAATATTTATATGTGAAGGTATCACAGAAACTCCACAATATTCTTTCATTTAATACATATTCGTTAAGTGCCTATATGCCAAATTAAACTTTTAAATGAACTGTATTCCAGAACTTAATTTATAAGATGTGTTAGAAGCTCTGAGTACATTTTCCCATCTGAGTATTCTATATACACAGAAAGTAAAAGTCTGTGCTTCCCCCACAAAAATTTGTTTTGTAGGCATGCAGTAGGAACTGTCTCTGGGTAGATAAAGCAAAAAGAAGGATTCACTTGCATGATATTAGATTATCTCACAGATTACAGAAACAACAGAGCCAGGATATCTCACAGATTACAGAAACAATAGAGCCAAGATATTCCCAAAACTTTGACAATAAGAGATCATGAGAGATTTTCCCAGTCTTGTCACAAACACATATATTCTCCTTCATCCCATTCCAAAAATGAAGTCCTTAGATGAAATCCTTTTATGGCCTAGTTTGGAACAGATATTTGTGCTTGGATCAGTTTGTTTATTTTAGTCGAGGGTTTATTTAGTACAGACACAATTACTGCAGGAAAATTCCTCGGCAACTAATTCAATGAATATAATAATATACAACATTTTAGAACCTAAAACCAATGCTTTCAAAATTTCTCTGGAAAAATATGTCCCAGTTTCCTACTTGGAACTCCAGAAGCCTGTCTTCTCTGTTTTCACTAAAATAGAGCTGCTGTTGCTTTGCCATGTGATCATGTATAGCCCTACCTACCTTCAACCAAAGACAATTATAAGAATTCCCTGAACGTAAATAATAATAATATCCCAAGGATAAGGGTCAGAATGCACTGAAATTTGTTAGTAAAAAGAAAGCTAAGGAAAACCAAAGTGTTCTCTTTTAGATATATTTAGATATATTTGATCTATTTAGAGGAAGGAAAACAGCACAAAAGGAATAGAGTTGCTGTTTTGAGCCAGCAGTTCAATGTTAATATATTAACAAAGTGAGTAGAACAGAAGCCCTGTGCTGGCTCCATAATTTCTGCCAGGAGAAACATTTTTGATCTGGAAAGAGTAAAATAAAAATTAGTATATGAAAAATTAAAATCAAGATAGTTACATATAATAGAAGATAATGTCATTTTCTAAATAAATTCTTATTTATCTTAATTGATGTAAATCCTGGATTAATATTAATAGAACATGAAAATGATAATTTTTCATTCTTTTGCTCAGTATGTCCCAAGAAATGTTTTAAATTACTGATATTTGAATTAGGTAGTTCTGTTCTTCAAAGAGCTTGTAGAGAGATGGACATGAAAACTAATTATTGCATTTAAGTATTTCAGGGTTCATGATCACTTTTTAAATCTTTGTGGAGAATGAGAAAAGTGCCGAAAACTCAAAGGCACCCTAATGTTCTTATTTACAAGACATTCTCCCAGCTAAAGACAAATAACCAAAGGGGCTTCACAAATGAATTGATGATGACTAAGTGAAACAGAAGGTGGCATAACCCAGCACTTTCACACATGATTTAAATAAGAACATCAGATTTGTCAAAGTGTGAAGCTAGAAGGCATAGCTCAGTTTTTAGATAAAGAATATACTTAAGGATGATTTTTACAGAGGCATCCAAATCTGACAAGATGAAATTTTATAGAGGAATTTTTATAATACTGCAGCCAGCTTTAGGACTATACTTACTGATTTCCTCTATATAGGGGAACATATATAATTTACCTGTAGCTCCTAAGAAAAAACTTTCTACAAGGTAGGCAAATGAGCAATGCCTGACAAATAATTTAATGTTTTTCAATATCCGTAATAGCAGTAACAGGGTCAAAATTCGATGCATTTACCAGATTGTAGCTGGGTATTGTGTTCATTTCTGGGAAAGTTACTTAAAGTGGATTAAAACCAGCATATGTTCAGAGGAACATGACCATACTAGTGAGATGACACAAAGCCATGTCCTCAAAGACTGGTAGAAATAGGAATATGTGGTATATACAGAACAAAGATATAGATGCTGCCAACAGAATGAACAACCAAACGTGTTCTTTATGGCCTTGTGATAAGACCTTAGGCCAGAAGTCAGGGGTTAGTACAGATAAATTGAGCTGACTGTAGGAGAATTATTAGCAATCACAGAGGTAGGAAGAAAGAATTGACCACTTTGAAAGGGAATTGTTCACCATAATTATGTCTAATATTGACCTGACAGGCATATGTACATAGTAGGATTATTGCATCGAGGATTCAACTTTTGGCTGAGAGTTTGAACTACCTGCTTTTTAAATTGTCCCTGCCCTGAGATTCTGTGATCCTCTGTAAAATTCAGAAGAGAACTGAACAGAGGAGAATCTTTGAATTTTTAACATATAGATGCTGGCATATTGTAAGTATTTAAAATACATTTCTCAAATAATTGAATGTATAAACAGAAGCTGGATAAGGAAAGAACTCTAGGATAAAGAAGAAAACCTGAGAAAATGTAATAGGAGTTAGGGCAGTGATTTCTACCCAGGTGACCAAACCTGAAACCTGGGTTTCTTCTTTGCTTCTGCTCTTCCTTGTCCTAATTCTTCCTCTACACACGTCCATGTACTATTACCAAATGTAGTCAATTGCATTTTTTAAAAAAAATCTCTCAAATCTGTTGATTTTCTTCTTTCCAGCTCAAGCCATCATACTACAATAGTCTTTCTGCTTCTAGTCTTGCCTTCCTATAATCCGTTAGTCACGCTTAAGCTAAACAGACCTATCTAAATCTTATTTTTTAGCTGCCTAAAACCCCTCAATCACTCCCTAACAACCCTAGGATTAATTTCAAATGGCTTTATGTAGTCCATAAATCCCTACATTATCTGCTCCCTGTGTATCTCACCAGCTTTATCTCTCTGCTTCCCATCTTGCACTTCATGGTCTTGATATACCTAATATCTATTTGTTTTGTTCCTGATTACTCTTACCTCCTTGTGTGCATATATTCTGCTTCATTTTTTTCCTCATCCTTTGCATGCTAATGACATTATCTATTTTATATGTAATATGTACATAATAATCACATTGATTAGTTGTAATGTGCTAGGCAATGCACTGTTCTATGCATTTTACATGTGTTATCTCTAATATTTTTCACAAAGCCTTTAATGTAAAAACTGCTATTTTCTTTTATGCATCAAGAAATATAGCTTTCCAGGCACTGTGTTATACAAAAATGTAGATCTCCAGAGCCCAGTTTTCCTTGGAATTATTTAGTATCTAAGAATAGGGCTGTGATTTAAAGAATATGTAGTCCAATCTCAACTGCACTTAGAATATCCTATATAACTTTTAATGTTAATGGTCTATATAGGGAGTGAATGAAGAATTCCCCAGTCTCTTTATACTCTGGAAAGGGTAGCATATTTTTTTCCTCTAGAGAATAATTAGTTTCTTATCTGCCCCTACCCTATCCTTAAAAATGAGCAACAAATGTATTCAAACCAGTCATGCTTTTAAAGAGTGGGGATGGGGAGGATTTCAAAACACGAGATGTAGCTGTTTTATAAAATTGACTTTTTCTGATATAATTAGCCACACATAATGTTCCAATGTTTGATATAAGATATAATAATGTGAATGTTCCCTAATAAATAAACCATGTAAGGAATTTAAATGTGTGCTTGAATCAATCTAAATTATTCATTCCAGTAAAACTTACAAGAGAGTGTCTAATAGCAAGAATAATTATGGCTTTTTAAATAAAAAAATCAAATTAAAGTATATTTAAATATAATGCTGACATCTTAATCTAGAATTTTCCACATCTGTTCCTGTTAATATAAAATCTCATATAAGCTTTGTATAGTATTTTTTATAAGATCTTTGGAGATTTAGTTTCTTCCCATAGTTATTTCAAATGAGCCATTCATGAAGTAAATGTATCTGTCTCCACACTTCTAAGAAGGGCAGTAATTACGTATAGTCTCTCTCTTGCCGGGGTTTTACAGACAAAAAATTCAATACAAAAAGACTTCATACATATATATGTGTGTGTGTGTGTATTAAGTATATTTTCGTAGACACACACACAAACATAAAATTAAATATCTTTGGTTCAGATTCTCCATAATTGAAATTTTAATTTGAGGCTTAACTGTATTAGGTTTGCTAGGCAGATGATTAACAAAATTCTTAGAGCAATAAAGATTTCTTAAACTCCTTTAAGTAGTCTCAAATATTTTAGTTATTTGAAGTCAATATTAACTTAAAGAAAAGTTATATTTAATGTGATGAGGAACCACATTTAAACTTCTGAACCATTTCTTTCATTTGTAAGAATCACTAGAAACATGCTTAAATATTTATCTTTAAAGGCCCCATCATCTGTCTTTAAGTAGGAATTTTAAGCAGTTCTTGATGTCACCCTCGTATGCTCTGATATCCACATAGATCACCCATTCAAAAACTAACCTTTTGATTTTACAACTTTATTGCTTCCATTGTTGTTCATTACCCCAAGTCAGACACTCTTCATGGTCCTATTCTGAATCTTGTCATCACCACAAATCATGCTTCTTTCAAACTTACCAATTCAAGCATCTCATTTCTTGCTAATCACAGTCTTCCCACCTTTGATCTTGCTTTATGAACTTTTTCTTCTATCATCTTTATTTAACCTCTATCCTTTTCCAGTGCATTATCACCTTTCTGTTTTCCCCTCTCTCCTGGTTTAGCTTAGATCACGTCCATAATTTCAACACCCTCAAAATTTGTTAAATTTCTTCACTCCACTTTCATTTGGTCACATCTACATATAACAACCACACCCAATGATGAATTTTCTTTCTCCATGTGTACATTTTGGCACATCTGTGCTGTTGGAGAAAATTACAGCAGAGAAATTAGAAATAGTTTCATTGTGAAATTCAGCATTACCTAGTAATCCCAAGAGTTTTCTTTCATTAGTGTTGTTCTACTCTCTGCAACTCTTGTTAGAAACCTCCACTCTCCTCAAACTTGAATCTTCTGCTGATGAGTTTACATTCTAGCTTAGAGAGACAGAGAGACAGAGAGAGAAACCATCCAAGTGCCCTGAATTGCTTGATGCCAAATATACACTAACACTTGCCCCATCTGTCTTATTGTAGAAAACTAGGCTATTCTTTTACTCAGATCATCCCTTTCCATTTTCTTAGTCATTTTGTGCGGAATTCTCCCTTGCTTTCAACTTCTGCTCCTGTCTTTTTTTTTCCCCCATCAGCATTTAAACATTCTCAACTTTCACCTATTAAAAAAAATATTTATTTATTTTACTTTTCCATTTCAGTTACCAGCCATTAACTACTCAATTTGATGTTAATAACTAATTTAAAAATATGTCTGAATCACCAACTTGAACTTTACAAAGCAAGAGTCAATTATATTCCAAATATAAAACTCATTTAATGAATTGTTTCTTATTTGAAGTTTTCAATCCAGAATTGACTAGTTTATAACAGAAGAAGGTTCATTCAATTGTAGGAGATCTGGAAGATCAAGGTGAGGAAACTGAAAAGTTGAAGGCTCTCATTTTGAAATATAAGACA
This sequence comes from Homo sapiens, assembly GCF_000001405.40. Taxonomy (NCBI): domain Eukaryota; kingdom Metazoa; phylum Chordata; class Mammalia; order Primates; family Hominidae; genus Homo; species Homo sapiens. The sequence goes on along the minus strand of NC_000012.12, from coordinate 81,314,583 downwards.
TATGTTTGCTGGTCATTTCTTCTTCTCCTGACTGAATATATGCTGATGTTGGCAAGGAAAACATAATGTCAATAATTGGATCTGATCTCATTCATTAGATGGTAACATAACCTATTTTTTTATGTTAATTAAAACTTACTTGCCAATTACTCACAATGGTCTTTCACTGAAGAATATTTATTCTTGACAGAATCTTTCTTACTATTAACATAGCCTTGACACTTCTGACATGGAGAGAAAAATAATGAGGCTATATGCTACTATAAATAAATATGTGTAGAAAAGAATGTATCAATATTTACAATAAGAAAAATTAATCAGAAAAAACTTCTCTGCAAATATATATTACCTCCTATATGAAGTTTATAATATATTAGCACAAAATATGGGTCATTTATAACTATAGATTTTTGTCTTTTGCAGAACACATTTGTTTGAAAGTCATGAGGTGAAATTCTTAACATTCTAAAGTGATATAGCTGCTTGAAATAGTTCTTAACTTTATTTACTATGGAAGAGAAGAAAGCTCATAAAAACTATGAGAAATCAGATAATTTATACGAATTGATAACAAAAATATTAGAAATTTGTGCAATGCTTTTTGAGCAGTATCTTTTAAATTTGTGTTTTCTGTTTATTTTCATATTTTATCTTATATTTTATATTTTAAGGTATTTATACTGTGTAAGTTTTCTATTTTAAAAAATGATCAAGGAACATCTAATAAATATTAGGTTTCACTACGTGCAAATTTAATCAACTTGTTTTATAGGGAAGTGATTCCTAGATAGCTAGTAGGCTCAGAAAGATTATGTTGTCCATGGTGATAACTAGTCCCAAATGCTTTTGGCAATTTTCCTGGAAAGCTCAGAAATTGCCTATTTTTTCAGAGCTCATCGTAGAGTTCACAGGTATGTTGACAAGAAAATCATTTTAAAATCTAAAAACTATCTCCTTTTGGTCTTAATTTCATTTCTGTGGGGTGTATGATGTGAAAAATATGATAAATTTCTTGGGACAGTGTAGTGCCAGTGTTTATGAACATTTCTGCTTTTGTTTATGTGAAAATCTAAGGAGTTTCCCACAGATGCTGTGGAGTTAAGGCCAAAAATATGCATTTTTTTCAAAGTGCCGATTTAATAAAAAGTACACGGTTTCTCTGAATGAATGCCTTGAGAGGAGGCATGTGCAGGGTGTTCCATTGCACATCAATCTTTTCTTTATAATAATTGTGCGATAAAAAAGAAGATGCTCTAACTTGCCTAATTTCTGACATAGGAATTTCTGCTTTCTATTTTGTTATATTGAACATGTTTTATGAGTTGTAGTAACAATTTTATTTTTTAATAATTAGGCTATTATGCTTGTAATATATTTTTAAAACAATACTCTCATGAATTTTTGTTGAATTATTTAACTTCCATATTTTCTCAATGCCTCTACTACATCCAGGGAGCAAGTGGGTTCTTCAAAAGCTATATGTGTATCAATGTCGTTTTAGTGATGATTTCTGGTAATATTGGTGAACCAATATAATTTATGGATGTTTCCCCAAAAACAACATTTATAAACACCTATTCAAATAATTAAATATTTCTACCACTGAAAGAGCCACAATAGACACAAACTTGATGTTTATTTTGCCAGTCAAATAGAGAAGGAAGTAATATGGCCACCGAAGAAGAGGAATAGAACATTTTTACACTTTCTTATGTTCTGATTACTAGCCATATATGTTTACCAAAATAGTAATTATTATTACAGCATTGGTTGGAATAATAACATTATGGATCTGGAATGGACTTTACACATTTCTATTGCCAGGGATTGTGTTGAGGAAATTGAAGATCAGAATCTGCTAATAATTTTGACCAAACTGTGTATGAGAAATAGAATCTAGATTTTCAGATCCTCAAACTAGGAAGGACATTCTTCACTTCAAGTTGCTGCCCATTCTAATGTCTGCTGTTCTTTTTTCTTGGGCCTTAGCAGTAGGCTTATAAAGCTATATAAAAATCTAAGTGCCAATTAATAAGTTATTGTTTCTACTGGTAAAATAGCATGGAAGTGGCCTGAGGTAAAGAATGTCCTTTACCAAGATTTCTTGATTTCCTCCTGGGATGTACTCGAGGCTGGGAAAATGTGGTCATGCATGTTTCAGAGTGGCTCATACTCAAGACATAGACTTATTGGTCAACTATTAGAACTACCCTCAGCCTGACTATGCTTTTCGACGCAGTGAGTATGTGTGTCATGATGAAATACAAAATGGCACCATGTCTTTCTCATACCTGAGCTTTCTCACATCTTAAATAATGCTCTTGTTTTATTCCATGGTTTTCTTTGGATTGAACTGTATCCATTAACATTTGTGTGCTTTTCTTTTCCATCCGTCCTTCTCCATCTCATGAAAAGCACATCTGGGTAAGTTGAATCACAATGGCTGCTGAACATGTTTATTTTCAGCGCCATCTTTTTTTTTCTTTTTTCAGAGTATTACTCTTTTGAGTTGTAACACAAGCTGCACTGCCTCTGACCTGAAATGAAAATCATGAAGCATATTTATTTCCACACAGTAAAAGGAATCATTGGTTCAGAGAAATGTTCACATTTTAATTAATTATGTAAGCTTTTGGGCACTTGTATTTCTTCAGTTTTATTATACACATGTCAAAAGACATTCTAGACTCCTTCCCTCTAGTTTTCAAGTAATTCCCTAAAGGGTCAATGTGGCAAGCAGCCAGGCTCAAGTCATACTTTGAGACCACTCAGGTACTATTGATTGTGCTGCCTGTCTGAATTGCCTCCACCTTTCTTTCTTTCTTTCTTTCTTTTTTTTTTTTTTTTTTTTGAGACAGAGTCTTGCTATGTTGCCCAGGCTGGAGTGCAGTGGCGCGATCTCGGCTCACTGCAAGCTCCGCCTCCCAGGTTCATGCCATTCTCCTGCCTCAGCCTCCCGAGTAGCTGGGACTACAGGCACCCACCACCACGCCTGGCTAATTTTTTGTATTTTTGGTAGAGACGGGGTTTCACCGTGTTAGTCAGGATGGTCTCGATCTCCTGACCTCATGATCCACCCGCCTCGGCCTCCCAAAGTGCTGGGACTACAGGCGTGAGCCACCACGCCGGGCCGCCTCTACCTTTCTTAATGTTCCACCTGTGTTATGTTCAAGAGACAAACTTATTCATCAATGAATAGAACGGCACATATCTGAAAAGGGTTAAATGCTGTTCTTCCCTGGAGAGCTTTTACATATAGAGAGCCAAGAATAATCCTTGGTTTTGGTTGAATGTGTGTTGTTCCCATTGTTTCCTGTACTACTGGTTGATTTCTAAAGCTTTAAAAACCTGAATTACTCAGATAATGGCTTCAAATTTTAAATCCTTTTCTTTGAGCTAAAATTAGAGTATTTATCTATTCCTAACAGAAATTTGACTTCAAAGTAAAAAAGTAAAATAAAATATGCATAATATTTACATTGGTGTAGACTACTGCATTTGTAACATGGTGAGCTCATTAAAACACTTTGGACTGAGAAGAAGGTATTGCTTTTAAATTTAAAGCAGTGTTATTTTTTATCAATAAAATGACTGCAATGAGATACAATTATCCAGGAAACTATTAAACATATTACTAGTTGGCTATATAAATATTTTGTATGCCAGTACAAATTCTTGTACTTTGTAATATTACTTTATTAACTAGTAAGGTTTATATTATTTTTAATATAATTTTAAGTTACAGTTGCCATTGCCAAAATGACTTGGTGATGTATTATTTGCTTCAGTTAGGATGTTTTACAATATTGAGGAATTAAGAAAAGCTCTAGTAAGGTGTTCTTAAAAATGCAAGGCAGGTTTTGTTTAGAGTACTCGTCAACCATGTTGGCCAAATGAATATTGTAAGCTCTTTTTGAAAATAACAAATATTATAGACATTGAGTTTTAAAACACAGTTTTCATGTCATCATATAAATTGTCTTCTGTTTTCTAATGATTTTTAATTTTTCAGAGGAAAATAATTTCAAGAAATAAAACTTAATTCCCCTGAGTCCTTATTGAATTAAATATTGAAAAACAATGAATGAATGATGCATTCTTATTAATGGACTGTAAGAAACTGATATAATGGACTTCATTCTACAATTCGGTTTCTTATTGTCTTACACATGCTCCTCGAACTTAAACATTTTAGGACCTTAACACCATTTCCCTAGTACAATTACTAAAAGAAAGCTTTGGATAATATAATATCAGGGAAGATAGTACAACATAGTGAAGATGACATAGGAAGATGTGAGGAGCAAACAACACTGAATTAGGAATCAGAAGATAGAGTTTAAATTCCATCTTCCCCACTTACTTGCTACATGGCCCTGAGTGACTGACATATTCTTTGTACTTACTAATATTATTATCTACTTGTCTGTACCTTCAGAAGCATACAAACTATACACTTCCAAACTGGGTAAAAGAGGGCTTAAAATTAGATGAAACACTAGAGCAATCTAATCTAAGTGGTATTCATATAACCTGAAAAATTACAATATTCTCCAGTAGGTCCCCAATTACTATTAGGAAGTGACTGGAAAGTACAGACTATGGTGTCTTGCAAAAGTGAAATTGTTTAATGGGGAGGAATATAAGCCCCTCTCATTTTCAATAACAGCATAAATAATTGTATGATTCAATCATATTTGTGTGTATGTGTGTGTGTGTCAGGGGGGTATTTATACCTTTTTAATGGCTTTGAAAATATTTAAATTCAAAATACAGTAAGGAAGGAGATTACATAACTCGCAACTCAATTCCCAAATACATTTCTTTCCTGAGACTATGCCCTATATTTCAGAGAAGCTTGAAGATAAACGGTTTAAATATGAATGAATTTTAGTTCCAATGTAATGAAATTATTTGAAATCTAAACAGCCTAGCATGTTTTACTGGAATCTGAATAAAACACTACTTAAATATGTCATGGATTTTCATACATTTTCACCAAATGTGAAAATATGCAATAATAGGATACACAGGCACACACGCTTGCACTTGCACATACACAAAATCACAGTATGCTTTGCTTTCAAATCAAGTCAAATTTAATGTTGAATTTGAAACTCTTAATTTTATGAAGCTAAATATGTATAGTTAGGTAATCAATCTTCTGAAGCAACTGATTGGAATTTGTAACATATTTCTGTTTAGAATAATTATGTTAACTAAGATATACATGTTCAGCTTGCAGATGTTAAAAAAAATAATTGAGTTGGCACCATACTTTGCATTTGCTGACCAGAATTTCAACTAGCTTCTCAAATATGTAGTTTTAGTTTTTACAGACTTAATCAAGTATGGATTCCTGAATAATAAGTCCATTCTTTGGTTGAAATTTGAGGAGGTTACATCCTATTTACCCTCTTGAAAGCTGAATTTTAGTGAAACAATATACATTTTACAATTAATAATAGTGTGAAGTCTGTGTACATTTCCTGCTACTATTATGTAAGGAAGATTTATTTTCTGTGATGCAAAATTAAGTATATTGCATTGTCACATTATTTGACTTATATTTTATTCTTCATTCTTATCAAGCCACATATGTATTTCTTCTGGTTTTATCAGTAAGTACTTCTTATGTGCCATAGTAAATCAGTAGCTCTGAAGGTAAATTTTTCACCCAGAGAATTATTTTGTATGGTTATTACAAAATCAATTGAAATGAAATGAATGGCAACAAATTCAACTTTTCTATCTCATTCATTTAAACTAGGCTAACTTTTCTCTGGCCAAGATGTACAACCTGATATTACTAGGGAATAACAAGAAAAGAAAAGCCACAGTTCGTTTGTTCTTTTATAATGCTGAGGATTGAAATGTGTGACAATAAGAAGGTAAAGACCTTATGTATTAACCAGGAAGTCAAATAAATGTATGCCACTTCTAAAAACAAATGAACCATAGGAAAAGAAAGAAAAGTAGGGGACCATTATTTTATTTTACACTTACAATAAGGAAGGTGCTATTATCCTCATTTTTCAGTTATGAAAAATTTCAGAAATGTTAATTGGCTAAGAGATGGCATGGAGGTTAAGAGAGCTGACTCTGTGGACAGGTTATTGGGGTTCAAATTCTGATTCTGCACCTCGACGGTTCCATGACTCCAACTGGCCTCTGTTCTTCGGTGTTCTCATCTGCAAATGTGTGTCAATATGTATCTTATTGGATTATTATGAAAATTAAATGAATTAATACACATAAAAACACTTAGGATAGTGCTTCATAGGTAGTAAGTGATAAATGCACATTAGTTACTGTTTTGTGTGATCCAAAGCCTAATTTGTCTGCATCCAGAACCTTTGCTCTTTCAAACCACTATATTTCATCTTATAAGAATATGAACTGGTTCAGATGAACAGGAGAGCGCATTAGATGTATCTCAATTATAGCACTTACTGTATTAAATTGTAATGCAATTTATTTAATTATATTTAGATTACATTTTAAATTTTAAGTGAAAGTATAATAAGTACAAGTATAATAGATACAAGTTATGGTATTTGCATAGAAGAGAGAGTTAATTCTGCCTGGGAGAGGACTTAGAATCTTAATAGAAAAAAATAAAGCATGAGTTCTGTCTGAAGGATAAGTTAAAGTTGTTATGATGGTGATGTGAAGAAGGATGCTCTTGGCAGAAGAAAAGGGCATATAGCAAGACATGGAGGGGTAAAATCGAATGAGGTATTTGGGTAATAGCAAATATTTGTGTTAGTTGAGCAGAAAAAGCCAGGGAGACAGCCAGATTGTGAAGCGTCTTTGTGTAAGATATTTGGCCTTTATTTTGAGGACAGTCAGGGAGGCTTTTAAACAGGTGAGTCTTACAAAAAGATTTGTGTTTAGGAAGGTCTCAGTGGAGGTTGGAAGGGACAAGTTACCAAATGAGAGATAGAGAGATTCTAGGAGCCCATCACCATCATCATCAATTGATGAGGGCTTAAACAAAAGCTTTGGCAGTATTCAGTTAGTCTAGAAAATGTCTTTCTGAATGTTAGATATAACATTGTAATCTTTTCTGCAGCCAACCTGGGTAACTGTGATGCAGAATTCTTATTTCTTTTTGAGATGCAATGAACAGTTGGAAGTTATAAAAATATAGAATACTTTAAAAATGCCCTATAATCAAGGATCCTAGGTGATTGTCAACATTGTGAGTTTTTTGGATTACAATTTAGCAGTCATTCAAAAGATGTTCTTGACTAGAACATCCAGAGAAAGATGCATGATACGGTTGAAGAACAAACTCTTATTTCCAGGATTTTACTGTCTTGGGTTGGAGATGAGGCTGCGGGCACATGGTGGTAACCAGTGATCTCTATGAGTGAGATTGACACTACAGGCTTCCAGATTTTAAAGGAGAAGAGGATAATTGTAGATTGGGCTGATCACAAAATATTTCATATAAAAGGGAAGCCAGGAGTTAAGTAAACACAAGGTTGTTGATAGTTGAAAAAGTAGCGATCAACTTACCAGCTCTGGGAAGTGGTATTTGCAAAGGTGGAATTGGTAATGCACAAACTGTGAAAGTACTTTTCAATTCTGGTTAGAAGGAAAGGTAATTAGATAATTAAATCAAGATTAAACCAGGAATCTCTTTGTAATGAAGATTAAAAATAATCTTTTAGACATTTGAGGAAAGACTGAAGGGGCTTTAGAGGACAGTGCTATGATTATTTAAAGTAAAACCTGGCCAGGCACAGTGGCTCATGTCAGTAATGCCAGCACTTTGGGAAGCTGACGTGAGCAGATCACTTGAGGCCAGGAGTTCGAGACCACCCTGGCTAACATGGTGAAACCCCATCTCTACTAAAAATACAAAAATTTAGCCAGGCATGGTGGCACGTGCCTATAATCACAGCTACTCAGGAGGCTGAAGCAGGACAATCACTTGAACCTGGAAGGCAGAGGTTGCAGTGAGCCGAGATCAGGCCCCTGCACTGCAGCCTGGAAGACAGAGTAAAACTCTGCCAAAAAAAAAAAAAAAAAAACAACGAAACAAACAAACAAACAAACAAAAAACAGTAAGAAAGAAGCTCACATTTATTGACCATTGCCTTTTGTGTGAGTTACTTTTGTAATCATATTACACATATTTTCTTACAAAACCTTTGTAAAAACCCTATTAGATGGGTTATCAGCTTCATGTTCCACATGAGGAAACTGAATCACAGCAAAATACAGTGACTTGTTATGGATGTGCAGCCCAAAAGGACAGGCAAAGGAATCAAGCTCAAGCAATTTGATTTTGGGAGCCACTTTCTCACCCACTCTGCCATAAAGTTTATCTTCCAGGCAGATTTTTTTTTTCTTTAATGTCAGTGTAAGAAGCCTGGAGAGAAGGACCAATTAAAGGCTGAGAAAAAAACTGTGGTAGCAGTGACAATAGAAAGTAAAGGAAGATACATTAGAAAGTATGAAGGGGAAAATGACAGGCATCAAATAGAAGGTGAATGAAATGGCCATCATGAGTGACAGAGGGGACAGTGCTGTATGGTATTTGGACAGTCATACCACAAATTGGCATCCCAGAATAGCATGCTAAAGTGAGAGGTCTGTGAATAAAGTCTCTTTTCACTGACAGAGATAAACCATCCACAGTAGGAAGAATGAGGAGGAGACATACTGTTCCCTATGGTCTGTGACTTTTTTGAGTAACTAATGAATTTCATTTTTCAGAATTGCAAATATAAACACTAACAAATTCAAGTTTTACCATTCCAATATAGTTGCCAATAGGATAGCTATTTATGGAAAGGATTGTCTAATAAGTAATTTTAAATAGTTGAGACATGGCTCATGCCTGCAGGAGATTATAGTGTAGCGGAAATAAGGCTGTGTACATACGGTGAACGGCCTACCAGAGTCTTGCACATGATATGAGTGGCATCACTCAAGGGATAGAGAAAATTTGAATGGTATGAATTGAGGAAAGGCCATTCCAAATGGAGAGAAAGTCAGTAGAACAGAAGAGGTAAAGTGCAAAGAATGGTGAGTATCCATTGTAGCTAGAGAGAATAGATACAGTAGGTAAATCTGGAAATGCAATTTAGGGGCAGATCAAGAATGACCTTAAAGGCCATTCTTCCAATAGTAAATTAAAAGCCATTATAGAAATTGGAGTTATATAGTAAGCTAATAAATATGTTTACTGAGTTATATAGTAAGCTAATAAATGTTTACTTTAAGGAGGTTAATCTGATGGTAGCACACACAATGAATTGCTTTGGGAAAATAAGAAAAAATTGGAGAACGGAAATTAGTTATCTATTGAATACATATTGGCTGCTAGGTGCTTTTGTAAGTATTATCTTATTTAGTTCTTATAAATTGAGATCAATTTATAATCATCTTCAAATATGGGAAAATTAAGTCTCAAAGAGATTAAGTACATAGCCAAAAAACACATAGCTGGTAAGAAGTTAATTTGCCATGCATTCATTCATTCAGTTATGATTTATTGAATGTATGCTGTGTGCCTGAATCCCTATTCCAATAACCTCTCACCATTTCTGCTGCCACAGCTCAGGACAAAGCAACCATTATCTTCTGCTTGAAAATTGAAACAACCTTCTAACTTGTATCCTTAGATCACAACTCTGGCCTGACTCAAGTCCGTGCTATCCTCAACAGCCAGAAATGCCTTTATAATGTACAAATTATTTTATGTTCTTGTGCTTAAACCCTCTGATGGCTTCTTACTATGTTTAGAATAAACTCCTCTTCAGCTCCCAAAGCCCAACATGTTCTTGCTTTTCTCTTGTCTACGTCTCCAATTTCATCTTCCTCCACCACCAACTCCCGTGTCCTTCAATTCACTCCAGTCACACTGGCCCTTCTTGGCTTTTATCAGTTGCTCAAACATTTAATTCCACTCCTTTAATAGGAATTTTATACTATGTTTCTGCTTAAAACATTCCCACCATACCCCTACTCCCTGCCACTTTTCAACGTACATGTTTCTACTCAAATGTTGCCTCGTTATAGACATCTATGTTCCCAGAACACTATAAGCATTGCCTACTTTACTGCCTTAGTCTATTTTACCTCCTGTAGAACACATATCAATGGCTCAACTTATTTTGTTTATGTATGTGTATATGTGTTTATACAAATCTTCCTTCCTCACTGGAATGTATGGTCTTTGAGGTCAGAGATTCAGTTGGCTTTATTCTTTGCTTGCTGCAAAACTTGGCATATAGTAGGTCTATACAAATCAGATGACTGACCCCCTAATCAACTCAGACACAGAGCGTACAAAGTCTCTGCTGTCAAGCCCATGGAGTCAGGGGTCACAACTTGTGAACCAACAAATTCAATGAAACATAAAAGATACTATAGAGAAAATTGCTTAGTACTATGGGGCCTATGTATGAAAGTGGTAGATAATGCCTCCAGGGCAAGAGAAGGATGGATATAGAAAGGAAGCATTTTTGTTGAATCATGAAAATCAAGACAAAGTATGTGGGGAGATAAGGCAGGGAGGCATGTGATGGCATGCAAATGCAAGAGATGGGAGCCAGAGACTCTACTCGTATACCAATTAGACCACAACAACAATCGCTAAGGAGAAACTTAAAACCTAAGAATGAAAATCCAGGCATTTCCATCTGGATTTAGTCATTCAACCAGAGTTGCACCCGCCTGGTTAATTAGTCTGCATTAAAAGTTGGAAATCTGTAGCTTGGCCAATGCTTCTAATTTATATACATTTTCTAGAACCTATTGGTCTTTTATCTAGAAATTTTTGAGTCTCGTCATTTCTTGACTGCACACCCTTTGTTTGCTCCTGTCTTCAGTTCAGGCATAGCAAGTGCAGACTTCCCTCTGCACATTTAGATACGGACTTGCAAATTATTCACAGACCTGAGTGCTCACCACATGTTGGGCCTCCTAAAATATCACTTTCTAGTCACAGTAACTTATTGATATCAATAATAGGAGAACCTGAGGCCTATGGAAGATACTAACAGCATTCTTTATTGAAGAGTGTTTCTTGAAAATGCACAATGATTCAGAAGTTGTACTGTCTCAAAATAACTGTTTCTTGCAATTAGTACTTTTCTTGTTTGTGTTTTGACCCAAGTGATAACACCTCCATGCCTGACACTTCCTCTAAAAGGAAGTACAGCTGATGCCCTCTAAAATCTATTCTGAATCTTAAACCTGAAATGTATGCCCCGAAATTTAGTGATGTACGGGTGATCCTTTGGGAAAAGATGGTCAAATATTTGATTGACTGAAATTATTTTTAAAAACACACTAAAATTATTCTTCAGGCCAACAGGGAAAGAGAGTAATTTTCATAGTTAAATTTGTACTGGGGTAAGTGATCACATTCTTTTTCTGGATGAACTGTCACTTGACCTTTAAAAAAAGTTGAATTCTGGCTACAAAGAAAATCCATTCCAGACTAAATCCCTTTACATACATTGACAGGTTGAACGGAGAACAGCAGTATATCCAAAAGACTTCTTTGTGCCAAATCAGTTTGTCATTTAGGATTTCTTATACAGTTCAGATCACTATTTTTCTGACAGTAACTCCAAAACTTGATGAGAATAAGCATGCCCTTATGTAATTAGTGCTACCCTTAATAATCTATTAGCATATCATCATGTATTAAATTCAGTTATTTCCAAGTATTATAGCATTGCCCACATTGCTTTATTTTTCTAGCATTGCTTGTCTCTCAAACCAACATGCCTAGATATATGCCTTTTATAAATTTTGTATGGTGCCGATTATTTTATAATTAAAAATAATAATGCAAGGCAATATTGCTTTGTAAATTTCAATGCTGTTCTTTTTTAAATAATTGTTACTTCTCTCAAAAGGAAAAGCACATCTGGAGTTACCATCATGTAGCACACAGTCCTGGTGTAAAACCTAGCCATCCCTCCCATCTGATCCGTTTTTCCACAGTCTCAAGTATGTCAGCCCTAAGACAGATGCTAGAGATTTTGCCCTAACTGTTGGAAACCAAAGGATTTGAGCTCCCTTATCTCATTTTCTTAGACTGCTATTACTAAAGTCATCCTGTTATTAGAGTTTGTGATTTAAACAAAACAAAAACCAAGAAAATAAAACTTTTTCAGTGGCCAGATTGCTCAATAATTTCCCAAACAATTGTGTTATCAATACTTCTGTTCATAGAACAGAACTATTTGAGCACATTGGGTTGCCTCTTAACCAAATTCTCACCAGGAATCCCAAATAGATCAGACTCTTGGGATCAGCTAGAATCAGTACTATTGTGAGAAAGTGGGAAATAAAAGCTCAAGAGGAGGTAAGATGCAAGAAAAAAATTTGTTCTTTAAAATACAAAATGTTGTACATGGTTATAAGGTAAAATAGAAAAAGCTATTTGGACTACAAAAACAAAACATTATAGGACACAATTTACTGAAACAAGAAGCACCTAAATATAAACACTGATTGGCATTTTGTTTAACATTTACACGTATTTATTTAGCACCTCTTCTGTGCCTGATCTTGTTCTAGACTTCAAATTCATCTCTGAACAGAGCATATGAAAACACAGATCCTCCCTGAGCTTACATTTTATTGGCAGATGACAGAATGAGGAGTAAATAATATACTATGTTAGAAGGGCAATACCTTGGAGAAAAATAAAGCAAACAATGGGGATAAGAAATTCCTTATTGGAGTTTTCAGGGAGTAAGGGAGGAGACATTCAGAGAACAGGTGACATTTGAGTAAAGATTTAAAGTAGCTGAGAGAGTTAGCCATGTAGAGATAGAGGGGAAGAGCATTCCAGGTGAGCTGCCAAGATCCTGAGACAGAAAAGAGGTCTGGGTTGTTTCCAAAGAACAGCAAGGAGGCCAGTGTTGCTGACTGAGATGGGAGTTTAGTCAGAGAGATGGCGCGGGTACGATAGATTGTAGCAGCTGTTTTGGCTTTTATTTCCAGTGAGACAGGAAGTGATTGGAGAGTTATGAACAGAAAAGTTACATGATCAGACTCAAAAGGATCACTCTGGCCTTTCTAGTGGGATTTTTATTAGGGAACTAGTCAGAAGTTTCAAAATGAAAGCGTTCTAATATTTAAAAATAGCTTTTGTACAACTCATAGAATACACTTCTGAAAATGTTACGTGCTCCTTAGGTTATTAGTGCATATTTACTTGCTTTTTTACTATGTGAAGCAAAAACTAATTGTAAATGTAAATTTATTTCTTCCCTTTTAATGTCACAAACCTATGACATAACTAGAAGTGTCGCTTTCCCTATTGGATGTAACATTAAAACTCTTACAACATGCATTAACTCTGTGAAGGCCTACCCTAAATTTTCTTCCACGTATTTCATGTTAAGTTCCATACCTCCCCATTAGTGCTTCTCCTGCTTGGAATGCCATCCCCACCTCTTTCCTACCTGCCCTTCGAAGCCAGCTCCATTGCCACAATGCCTTCACAACACCTTCAATGGCTATTAACCCCTTTTCTAAAATGACATACTTCACAAGGTACATCACCAAGTTTTCACGTTAGCAGCTGTTTGTGTAATGTATTGTATTATATTGTATTGTATTGTATTTTCAGACAGTTTCATGTGTTTGTTTTGTCCATCTAACAGGATATCCTGGGAAATTAGACCCATATCTATTTTCCACACCAAACACAAGTCTCAGTCCACAACAGGTGTTCAATAAGTACCTAATAGGTTATTTGTTTTTGATCCTTCAATCCATTTCTATATATATATATCTGTCACAGTGAGGCTAAGCTATTTGAAACTGGTTTTCACTAAAGGAATGTCACTGGGAGACCTGAGGGAATGGAGGATGATAGAGCAAGCCAGGTGAAGAAGTGCCTCTACTTTTTTAGATTCAGAGCACGAGTATCGCTGTTCCCTTTCCCAGGTGCTGAATAGCTTACATGCAGAACTTAACACTTCTATCCCCTCAAATGAAACAGCAGTTGATTTATGTCTCTTCAGCCACTATAACTTAAATTTGTATTTTGCACCTTTTTTAATGAATTTTTGGTTGCATCTATTACAAACACAGAAAACTCTGTGTTGAAAGGCATTTTATTCATTATATATCTTAATGTATTAATATAGTCTACCACAGTAACTAATTGATTAATAGTAGAAAATAATCAAATTATCCATTTGGGAGTTCATAAATGATTTTCATGAAATATTCCTAAGCATAAAACATACGCATTCAAAATAAAGCAATTATTATACCATGTTTTTATCATCTATGTGTAAGATCAAGGCATACTAAAGTAAAGAGAATGTATTTTCCAATATATTCCTGGCCAAGTATATATCAATTTGAATTTCAGTGAAAGCACATAGCTACTATCTTAACAATGAGTGATCTCAAATTGGCTTTGTAAGTGGATGTCAATTCTAAAAATCAGTAAGAGGGTCAGTGAAATTATAGATGCATTTTTCAGAGTTCTTTTGCATCTTTTGTTATCAAAACAACCATTTGTTGTTATTAAGATATTTTAATTTCATTAAAACAGTAGTGATTATAGATAAAAGCAAGTGTACCATTGAATTTGATACCTTACATTGCTTTCGAGTGTTAGAAATCAATTTACCTTGGAGTTTTCTCCAAGTGAGATGTAGTTTTATAGTCTAGACAAATAACTAACTCCTAAGATAGATCCCTGGACCCACAGGGCATACTAAAATCAACCACATCACTAGAATGTGACTAAAAGGACCAAATTTATCTTCTGCCTCTCTATATAAGCATTTTCTTTGCCATGGAGATAGTAAGGCAAAGAGGGCAGGGCAGATGGTGGAAGCCACATTTAGATCCCATAATGCATACTTGAATATGAACATTTGGGCCATTTTCTCATTAAAGGGATAAGATATTTGCTGGTAATATAATTCCACTTCTAATTCCATTAGCACTTAATGTTCTAATTTTCATGAATAAATGTTGGGGAAAATTACTTTTCTATGTCAATGCTTCATTCGTAATAAAATCAATGGATGATGTGTGTGTGTTACTCAAAGGAATAAGGAATTCTGTTATTCTATATTGTATCATAAAAAATCTTGTAAAGGATGATTGGTTATTTTAAAATATTATCATTAAAAATAATCACAGCCATATTTTTCCATATACCTGCCTAATAATCTTTGCTATATACTTCAGGCATGAACTTCTTGAAGAAGCTCGGAGAAAGGGATTACCTTTTGCCCAGTGGGATGGGCCAACTGTGGTCGCATGGCTAGAGGTAAGAGAATGAAACTAGGAGGCCCTTGAATCAATCACTACTAAGTTGATAATTTTTTTGAGACAGGTAACGGCAAGTTTCTGAAATCACAGCATCCCCTTAGTCTGGAATTGCTCATAAGGGACTATTTGCTTACTAGGGAATAAATTTATGATTTTATGCTGACACTTTTTTGTGATCGTAGTAGAAGAAATCATGCAGTGGGATAAAAGGAAGTGTCTCTAAATCACACCCTTTTCATTTCTAGAGCAAGAGAAGAAACAAAATTTTATTGTTGCAAGAGAACATCCATTCCCATCCATTAGGCCAGGGCCCTTCCTCATTAGCAGGTTACAGAGAAGACCCTCTCCATATTCAACACTTCTGTAATCCAAGGTAGTAAGATCACCTAGATGTACAGAGAGACATTCCTTTGCCTGTAATTTAGTTCCTGAACCTAGTTCTCTAAAGCCTATGGACCAGCTAGGTTTAGACACTTGGGATTAAACAGAAGACTTACACCTTATTCCCTTCTGTGTCCAAACTGAATGCTACAATAAAAGAAGAACTATTTTCAGCATTTCCTGTACAACATAGTGTTCTGGAAAAATAAGGGAATATCTGAACAGTGTAGGAGGCAGCAGAAACTGACCTTGACATTGACGGAACTACATATTTGACTACGAAGGGCTGTTTCATGTCACTTAACAGTACTGTTCACTGCCCCTTCTATTCAGTTCTCTATGTGAGCTGCTAGTAGCTGCTAGGATATGCCTGTGTCAGGGCAAAGAAGAATCCAGGCTTTCCTTGCCTGCCAGAGGTAATTATACATGTTGTTTTAAATGGTCTTGGATTATAAAATTATCCGTCTTCATTTTATTATAGCCAGAGCTAAGTAAATAAATAATAAAGAAACATTAAAGCCCATTTTAGTTTTAAAAATAGACTTAGATAGATCTAGAAACACGCTTTGTATTTTTTCTTGCACTGAATGAAAAATGCCTGTATTTTGCTTTTACTTTATTCTTTCACATCAGACAGGGAAATTTAGCATATTAGCCATCAGATATTAGCGATCAGCTGCTTCTTTCAACCGTGTCTTTAAAATTACTATATTTAAAAAATCAATCACAAGACAAAATGCTTAAGAAATCACACCTCAGAAATGATAGCAGTTCTTTGTTCAGTTTTTGCTCCGATAAAATGAGTTGCAGTTTGACAGAGAGTTCGCTGCTATTTTGGCAAGCGACGAACAAATCCTTCAGATAAAAAGAAAAAAGAAACAGATTTACTGACATTAAGGTGATAGGAGATGACAGACAGTGAAGTTTGTGCTAATTAAACCTATTCTGAGTACACAGAAATTGCCTATGATTCCTAATGCAACTTAAATTATAAAATGGAATAAACAAGATGAATGAGCTGAGTGATCCAATGAATGAAACTTTAACTTCATCTCCTTTCGTTCCTCCTTGAGTGCACAGCCTGTTAAGAATTTTGTGTAGGCGAGAATTCCATGCTTCACATGCCATTTATCCGCATCAAAGACTCTTTAAGGTCTAATTATGGATGACATTGGTAACAATGTATTGGCAGGCATTTGGGTGATGTTAACTAGTGTGGAAATCCAAATATCTTAGAAGACAAAGGTAAAAAAATCATTAGGGTCCAAAGAAGACATATTTAGATGTTTAGTTATTTTGAACAGTTTGAGTTTATAAACTAAATAGTCAAGTACTATCTTCTGTCATATATAATGTACCTGTCAAGGTCAATTATTTGTGCCTAACCTGCTGGAAGAAAGCATAATCTGTACAGTCACACATTGTACTTAGATCTTCCCCTTCTTTTCTCTTATCTCTATCACAACCCAGTCCACACTGACTCAAAGAGTTTCGTTGTTGGCATTTTTTTTTTCAAAAGAGACAAATAGTCTTTTAATATTGTAGAATTTTTCAACTAAAAGGATGTTTATACTGGTTAGCTATTGCTGTTTACAAATTACCCCCAAATTTGGCATTTATGATCTCATGACTTCTATGGGTCAGGAGTCTGGGAATAGCTTTGTGATGGCCTCTGCTCAGAGTCTCTCACAGGGCTGCAATCAAGGTATCAGCCAGGGCAGCAGTCATCTCAAGGCTAGACTTGGGGAGAATCCACTTCCATGCTCATTCATATGGTCAGGGTCATGATTCAGTTTCCTGCTGGCTGTTGGCCAGAAACATTAGTTCCTTGTCATATGGGACTCTCCACAGGGCTCCTGAGATCTGACTTACTCCAGAGTGAGAGCTCAGAGGGAAAGAGACAGCGGGAGGGGACTAGCAGGAATGAAACCACAGTCATTTTATTGCCTAAACTGGAAAGTGACATCCCATCACTTTTATCATCAGCTATTTATTAGAAATAAATCACTGGGCCAATCCTACCCCCAAAAGAAGGAGATTATAGAAGGGAACGGATATCAGGAGGTAGAGAGAAATAATCAAGCTTGATTCCTTCATTTTACAAATGAGGAAAATATGGCTGAGGTTTAGATGGGTTACATGACTCACCAATGACTGGAAAGGAATTAGGGCTCAGGTCTTCTGATTTGTGGTCCAGAGCTCTTGGCACTGTATTTTGCTGATTTATAGTTTTTCTTCTTTGTCTCACTTTTTCTCACTCTCACAATTCTCTCCTTTGTTCAATCTGTTTATTTCAACAAATAGAAAAAAAAATCAGTCAATCTTTTGGACATTCAAAAACAAATATGTAAGCTGCTAATTTTTTGTTGTGTTTTCTACTTCTTACTCATAACTAATGATGGAGGGAAAATGGGAGAATATTCCTGTTTTAAGTGATGTTATTCAGGTGCTGAAATATAATGCCCGTGATTGGCATTCACCCAGTGCTTGAGATGTGCACGAGACCTGTGCTGTGTAAATAGCACTGCTGGTTTAATTGTCTTTCAAGAGTCTCACAGCAAAGTTGAAAAATCAAAATATCTAATTTCTTTTCTTTTTTGAGACAGAGTTTCACTTTGTTGCCTAGGCTGGATTGCAGTGGCACAGTCTCAGCTCACTGCAACCTCTGCCTCCCGGGTTTAAGCAATTCTCGTGCCTCAGCCTCCCCCGTAGCTGGAATTACAGGCATCTGCCACCACGCCTGGCTGATTTTTTTGTTTGTTTGTTTTAGTTTTAGTAGAGACAGAGTTTCAC
Source organism: Homo sapiens (assembly GCF_000001405.40). Lineage (NCBI taxonomy): Eukaryota > Metazoa > Chordata > Mammalia > Primates > Hominidae > Homo > Homo sapiens. The sequence goes on along the minus strand of NC_000012.12, from coordinate 81,296,124 downwards.
CATGTTGCCCAGGCTGGTCTTGAACTCCTAAGCTCAGGCAATCCAGTCATCTCAGCCTCCCAAAGTGCTAGGATTACAGGCGTGAGCCACCGCGCCTGGCCTCATTTTTTGTTGTTGTTTTCTTTTGTTTCGTTTTGAGGCAGAGTCTCATTCTGTCCCCAGCCTGGAGTCTAAAGGCCTGATCTCAGCTCACTGCAACCTCTGCTGCTCAGTTTCAAGTGATTCTCCTGCCTCAGCCTCCCGAGTAGCTGGAGTTATAGGCACTCGCCATCATGCTCAGCTAATTTTTGTATTTTTAGTATTATGATGTTTCACCAAGTTGGCCAGGCTGGTCTCGAACTCCTGACCTCATGTGATCCTTCCACCTCGGCCTCCCAAAGTGCTGAGATTACAGGCATGAGCCACTGTGCCCAGTCTTAAAATCTCTAATTTCTGATGCATTATTAATTTTGTTGCTTTCTTTAGTTTTTCAATGATTTGAGTTTTAACTTCTTTCTTAGCACATCATTTCACTCTCTAAAAGGCATTTTCATATATAGCATCTAATTAAGTTCACACATCTTTCACATGGTGTAGGAAGGTAGGTGGAAATGTGGCTTAGCTACACTGCATGCTTTGATCGAAATCACATGGCTGGATGTGGCACAGCTGTCTCGTTCTGTGACAGAATTTCTCTTCACTCAGAATTCCAAAGAAGCATTATAAATTGAAGCCACTCATTAAGCAAACATTAATTGAGTCCCTTATCAAATGTGGCTTGTAGCCGTTCTGGTCCCTACATACAAAGGGGAACTTGGTGCCATGCAGCCATTACTTTTACCACTAGTAATATGAATTAGTTAAAATAGAGTCTCTGGAGCTAGCATGTCTCAATTTCAAATCTTGTTTCTATCCCTGCCTCCCTGGTGTTTTTAAATACATCATTTAATTTCTTTGTGCATCTATGTCCTCTAGGGAAAATAATGATAACATTTTATCTCGTGGGGTGAGGTCATGTATGTAAGATACATAAAATAATTCCTAGCATATGAGACACTAAAATGATAACTATTATTATAATTTGTTAGTGTATTTTTTCCTATCTAACAGCTTTGGTTGGGAATGCCTGCGTGGTACGTGGCAGCCTGCCGAGCCAACGTGAAGAGTGGTGCCATCATGTCTGCTTTATCTGACACTGAGATCCAGAGAGAAATTGGAATCAGCAATCCACTGCATCGCTTAAAACTTCGATTAGCAATCCAGGAGATGGTTTCCCTAACAAGTCCTTCAGCTCCTCCAACATCTCGAACTGTGAGTCAGTTTCTGCTCCTCCCCTTCCTCAGTGCTAGGCAAATAGCCGTGTGTCTAAGTCTACAGAGCAAAATTGTGACAGCACACATTTCAATGTCAGCTTGAATTATTCTCAAGAGATTAAGCTTGCTCTTTATTAACCTTGCTGCTACTTTTAATAGGTTTTCAAATGAGGAACTATGATTCATATCAGACGTGAAAGCTAGCATAGCAGACTTTTGAGCTAGCATCTGAAGTTTAGATTTTTCTCCCAAGCGACAAGACCCTGAGCTTACTCTTTTTTCAATTCCTTCCTTCCTTCGTTCCTTTGTTCCTCCCTCCCTTCCTCCCTCCCTTCCTTCCTTCTTTCCTTCCTTCCTTCCTTCCTTCCTTCCTTCCTTCCTTCCTTCCTTCCTACCTACCTTCCTTCCTTCCTTCCCTTCTTCCTTCCTTCCTTTCTCTTTCCCTCAGGTAATTTCTCAGAAGATAAGATATAAGCATTAGTGATTACTAAAGATGCAAGGCTTAAGTGACTACATTTTTTAGTTTTAATATTTTTTATTTTTATAGATTCAGGGGGTACATGTGAAAGTTCGTTACATGGGTATATTATGTAATGGAGATTTTGGGGCTTCCAGTGTGCCCATCACCCAAATAGTGAACGTTGTACCCAATGGGTAATTTTTCAAACCTCATCCCTACCAACCTCTTCCCTTTTGGAGTCTCCAATGTCTGTTATTTCCTTCTACCTGTCCACATGTACCCATTGTTTAGCTCTCACTTACAAGTGAGGACATGTTGTATTTGATTTTTTTTTGTTTCCAAGTTATTTCACTTGGGATAATGGTCTCCAGTTCCATTTATGTTGCTACAAAAGACATTAGTTTATTCTTTTTTATGACTGCATAGTATTCCATGGTGTGTATATACATTTTATTTATCCAATCATCCACTGATGGACACTTAGATTCATTCCATGATTTTGCTATTATGATTAATGTTGTGATAAAGACATGAGTGCAGGAATTATTTTGATATAACAATTGCTTTTCCTTTGGGTAGGTACTAAGTAGCGAGATTACTTAGTTGAATGCTCATTCTATTTTTAGTTCTTTGAGAAATCTCCATACTGTCTTCCATAGAGGTTGTATTAATTTACATTCCCACCAACAGTGTATAAGTGTTCCCTTTTCTCTGTGCCCTTGCCGACATCTTTTTTTTTTCTTAACTTTTTAGTAATAGCCATTCTGACTGAGGTGGGATGGTATCTCACTTGGTTTTAATTGCATATATCTGATGATTAGTGATATTGAGCTTTTTTATATGTTTGTTGGACACTTGTATGTGTTCTTTTGTAACTCACTATTTCTTAAGAAGTTTCTGTAATTATGAAATTATGTGAGTTTGACGTTTTACAGATACCAAATGGAATATCTGGAATATCTTTTTCTTTCAAAGTCTGTTTGTTTTTCAGTTATAAATTCCTAGTCATCTCATAATTTTTTACCTATCCTAATCCTAGAAAAGAACAAAATGTGACAAAAAAGGCATGCATGACGACAAATTCCCAAAAACTCCCAAATAGTATTTAATTATTTGTTTATTCCATTCCTAAATTATATATTTTGTTTATAAAGTATATTATTTCTGATAATTACTAGATTTCCCAAATCTCATATCTTATATAGCATAATAAAATATGGGAGAATGAGATAAATTTTAGCAATAGGTAAAATATTAAAAAGTCTTATTACTTTATTGCAGTTTTCAGGCAGAAAAGTAACAAGTATAACTTTTTTATACATGATCTTAAACAGTTGTGAATAGTTTGTTTCATTTCTATTTACACATTTTCCTTCCCAGTATACTAGATTCTAATGCCAGAAATAAAAGGTCAAATTTAAAAGGCTTATATAATTCTTACATAACTCCATTTTAAGTTCTTCCTAAATGACATGTAGGAAAAATATATAATTTTTAAAATTCTTACCTATATTATTTTTAAATAGACACAAATGTTTTTCACTATACCTGGATTATGACTCAAGCTAAAAGACAATTTAGAATACAATAGCCCCTTGAATAAGATAGGAGTTAAGGGTGCTGACCCCCCACACACAGTCAAAAAATCAGCTAGAATTTTTGGCTCTCCCAAGACTTAACTACTAAGAGCCTACTGTTGACTGGAAGCCTTACTGATAACACAAATAGTTGATAAGCATGTATTATGTGTTTTATATGTACACATATATGCTCCATTCGTACAATAAAGTAAGCTAGAGAAAAGAAAATATTATTAAGAAAATCATAGGGAAGAGAAATTATATTTACTATTCATTATGTGGAAGTAGTTCATCATAAATGCCTTTATCCTCGTCGTCTTTATGTTGAAAGTACGCTGAGGAGGAGGAAGGGGAGAGATTGGTCATGTTGTCTCAGGAGTGGCAGTGGCAGAAGAAAGTCTGTGTATAAGTGGAATGATGCAGTTCAAACCTGTGTTGTTCAAGAGCCACCTGTATATTTAAAATAAGAAACTGAGAAGACCATTAAAATAGTTATTGTAAATTTAATTTAAGTCTGATGAAGAGTTTGCTGAGTAATTTCCAGCTGAGAGAGAAGCATCATAAATAGTTTATATCCACATTTTCCTCCCAAGAGCAAATGCAAACAAAATTATTAAACATTATGAATCTTGCAAAAATAAATTTGAAGTCCCAACTTCCAGATGAAAAATATGATACATTTTATTATTTTTATTTACCAGTGTAATTCATTTCTTAATGAACAATAGGGAATTTTAAAACCATTTTTCTAAAACTATTTAACCAACCTGAAGGAATTTAAATTATACCATATTAATTAACATTCAATTGTTTAAAGAATGGGGAGAAGTAAAGAAAGCTTTATGATCTAGCCTCAGTTCACCTCGAAGGCTTTATTTCCCAGGTCAGGAACTACTTTCAGTTTTTCAAACATCTTTCCTTTTGGTCAGTTATGAGCTTTTGTAGTTGGTCTTCCCTTTGCCCAAAACTTTCATCCTACTTCAAAGTCATCATATTTTCTCCAATTCATTATTCATTTATCGATTCCTTTACATATTTCCTCTGAAAAGCTTTTGCTGAGCCCCCAAAGCCTGGGTTTGGTTTCCTTCCTGAGTTACCACTCCATGTACTTATAAACAACATTTTACAGTTCTTCTTTTCTTCATTTATCTCACACTAGACGAAATAAAGATAGCATCAGGTTTCCATCAACCCCAAGCCTTAGCAATAGTGCCTGGCAAATTTTAGATATTATGTAAATATTCACCTTAAAATAATCATTGTATAGATCACTCTACCCACATATTTCATATACTCTGCTGAAGTATAAGAAACGTGTGGCCTTGAGATCAGAAAGGGAAACTCTACTAAGGAAAATAAGCATGTTGACTGGTAGATTTAGTACAGGATTATATAGATTAACTCCAAAATGTGCAATAGAAGTGAAGTGTGATGGAGCTTCAAGAAAGGAGAAATCACTACAAGCTGGATAAGGCTTCAGACAAAAATGAACATTTGAAACATAAAAAATATATTGTTTATAGCATTTAAGTTTTATATGTTTATTGAACTAATACATGATCCTGTATAACATTTGTAAAATACAGAAAAATACAAAGATGACAACAAAATAATTTAAAAACATTAAAAAATACTGATTTTAGAGATAATCAATGTTAATTTTTTCACTATTGAAAACATTTGATGAAGATCTTGTCATTCTTTTTTCATTATCTTTTTATATAAATGGATTATTTCACATAATATATTAATTTGTACTTTTTTGTAAATTTAGTAATGTAGTGTAAGCATTTTCTTCATTTTATTAAATATGCAACTGCAACATCACTTTTAGTTATTGAATATGTCCTTTGTAGAAATGTGATAAGTTATTTAATCAAATTCCTAGTATTGGACATTTTCTTTGTTTTGTGTAACACAATTTGTTGTTGTGTGTAAAATATGTGCTTGTAATTATGTTGTTGCATAAACTGTGGTTATTTCCATTGCTATATTTGTGTATACGGAATGCATATTCTTAATACTTTTAAACTTTAATTGTTAAATTGTGTTGTGTTGCTATTTTTTCTCCCTTTGTCAACATTGGTTATCTCCTTGCTTAATTTACATTTTAAAAATCACTACTAAATGTGCAAATTTTTATATTCTTATTAATCTGGTATTTATATTAATTTTCTATTCATAACCTTCCCAACTTATCTTTATTATTATAGGAATATATATCTTTTTACTAATGTGTAATAGCTCTGTATTCACGGAATATATGTACCTCTTGCCAGATACTGATGCAAATTCTATGAGACAAGTTAAGTTGTGTCTCTAGGCTTTAAAAGTATCTACTAAATGTTTCCTCTTCCTTCTACTCACTCTACATGGTAGCATTTACTCATTTCTAATATATTTCCAATACAATTTGCATTGCAAATGAAAATTCCACATAAATCACTATTAATGAATCCACTACATAAAGTCATAACCTAACATTATGTATTAGAATTCACACTTACAAAACACAAAGGCAGATTTTTTTTTTTTAACAAAGTTATTCTATCATGTCTTCAAGAACACTACAGTTTGTTTAGATTATACAAGTTATTTTGCACACTGAGGTTTGGGCTTGGGTTCCTCAGCCAGGTATTTCGTGTTTATTAACTGAAGTTCTGAGGAGAAAAAGACAAGGTACTTGGGCTTCGGGGCTTTTTTATTTTTAACTTTTATTTATTTATTTATTCTACTACTTTATTTGATTCAGCCTCCTTTCCTGCCTAGATATAATGGGCTGGACCATCAAAAAGGAAAATTTAAATGTCACATATATGATTACCTTGAGCCAGCCCTAAATTTCCAGCTTTCTGTTTCTTTTCTCCAAGCTACTATTACTACAGAAAGTCTCTTACCTAGTAGGATAGAGATGGAGATACCAGTTAATTGAAATTTGGTTGAAGAAGGATGTAACAAAAATAAGTGCATTCTTTGAATACTTTATCTCAGGTAAAAATTACAGAAATGTTAAAGAATTGCAAATTTAGATGGAGCACCTAAAACTATTTTTGTGTATGTTTCCAATGTCTGGAGTTCCACATTATCCTTTTAGATAATCTTATCTGGAAACATGTTTAATTTCTCTAGTTGGTGTTTCTTTTTAAAGTGACGACTTCAAGATAACTCAAAAAGCCATTTGAATGAGGAATCCTTCTGGACATTTACAATGCCTTCCCCAGACTTTGACAAAATTGTATTTTATTGATAGTGTGTTTCATTCAAGATTTGCCTATCTCTGGTTTTTCCAACTAATTCAACTTAGTGTTTATATAGGAGCCAAATTTGTTTTATATTTTGCTTTATGTAACATTTATTTAAGTTGATGAATTAAACATTTTAAAAGCAAGTGCAGTGGAAATAAATAAGTTTTAAACAAAGTGATTTTTGATAACCATATAATTCAACAAGATTAAACATAAATGTAAGGTGTAAGATAGGCATTAGTCAGCTCAGTGTAATACAGAGACCTACAGAGTATTTCTTGAATTAAAGATTTGCTTGAATGGAGACTACCTAACAGAATATCTAATATAATTACAGTAGTAGCCAACATCAGCAGAATGCTCACTGTCAGGGACTGTTCTAAGCGCTTTACATGTAATAGCCCATTTGACTCTCACAACTACAGCTATGAGAAAGGTACTTTTATTATAGCTGTTTCACAAATGGGCAAAACTAATGTAAAGAAGTAAACTGACTCACCTAAGGTCATACTCCTATGTGGGTTTTCTCCTAACAAGCACATTCTCCTGCTTCTGCTTCCTGCACTCTATCAGTTTTCCTTCTTTTTATAGCATTCTTTTAGTCTGTTTGATTCCTCTTTTCATTATTACTTACCTCATAAGCCCCAACCTTTATTGAAAAGAGGGTGTGGTATAATTGCCTTTATAAACCTTAACCTTTATTGAAAAGAGAGTGAGGTGTAAATATCATTCTTATTATAATGAGAAGGATTTATCTTATAATGAGAGACAAAAATTCAGATAAGGGAGAAATGTGGATCCAGGCCATTTGAATGTGAAAAGTAATTTCAAGTTACTACTTTGTAATTCCATTACAAAGTAAAAAACACTTTAAATGACCTAGGTAGTAACAAAAGTTACTTTAACTAGGTAAGATTTAGGATTATTCTGAGGTCTGGCTGCTTTACTTATACTGTATCTCTGACAGCAAGACTACTCATTATTTTCACCTGATTAATTTTCACAAGTTATTTCTTAAGTTCATTGTAATATTTATTTTTCTGTCTTAACTCTTTCCAGAATGATTTCATTAGGTAAGTTCTTTAATTCTGATCATTTTTTAGAAATTTCCTTCTCCTTCTCCCTTGATACTTTCTCAAAGTTCTATTCCATGGGTACTAAGGGGAGACAAGCAAGATAATCTCAAGCATAAAATTTAAAGAGGCTCTCATTGTCAGATATCAACCCTGAAAGTGAATGTTTCCTTAAATTATAGCCTCCCAGGACCTCATGTGCCTCATCCTAGTCCCAGCCCTGTATAAGAACATGTTGTATCATAATGTAAACTTTTTAGTGTTTCTTTCTATTCTGGAGCATGCACTTTTAGTCCCACTTAAGAAGTGCAGAACCTGAAATTTAGACAGGCTTAGGAAATGTCCTAGAGTAGTCATTAGTAAGTGCTACTGTATAACTCAAGCCCCTTGATTCTAATTTGATAATATAATTGAAATTTTATAAATTTCATGTTAGACTCAGATGATATTAGCCACAAAAAAATGACTATTGGTTTGCATTTTCTAGCTCGCACATTTTTGGGGGAGATTGCAGCACAGACTACCAAGGGCAGTGAGTAGATAATTTTAAGGGGATCTCAGAGAACCACAACCAAGTTATACAATATTTGTTTCTTATGCTTTTCCAACCTACTTTTTGTACTGTATCCTCAATCCCAAGGTACTCATATCTTTATGCCCTTTGATTGCTCAGTTTCCCAATCTAGCTATCTTGTAGGGATGCTTTGCTCTGAAACTCTCATGCTGTAAATTACTCCGTCACAATGTACTTAGATGCAAGTTCCATCCCCTAAAGTGGTGGTGGAGAGAGAGCAATCTGATTGAATAATTGACTTACTACATATGAGCTTGCCTATAAAATAAACTTGTTAAAACTTCAGTTAATGTCTACTTGACTAGGTTGTGTAGAAACTATTTCTGTCGGCTTTTTACAAGACTATAGGGCTGGCAGTGGTCTTCACAAGTAAAACTGCATATCAAACAGAAACAACTAACATACAACTTCTGAAAGTTTGCCAGTCATACTTCAGAAAATTGTCCTGGGTATATGCTTATTTTGTGAGGAATGAAACAGATAAAACCATAGCTTCCAGCATGTTCCACATCCCAGAATATGGTGACAGACTGGCAGACACAGACTTAAAGATAATCTGTGAAAGATACTATGCATGTATCTATTCTAGTATGAGATAATTAATACAGGTAGTTTCTTAAAGAAGTAATGAGATCTTCATTATTTGGATTACGATTCAAAGCAGAAGCTACACAAATCAGTGTAAAATTGATTTTACACTGTTCTGCAAGCTTAAGCCATTTAAGATTGGCTTAAATGAATTTCTTCTCAGGTAATCATTGCTGAAACTCACTTTGAACCAACAGTATACCCACTCAAGAAAGCACCACGATAACTCAGTGTAAAGGGAATGTGACAGATGCATGTAAAGTACTTTTCAGCACAGCACTCTCCTCCTAAAGTCAATAAAAACAATTTATTCCAAGTAATGTAATGATTTATATACTCATATGCAACTTTCTGTTTATAATGAGCATCATTGTTAGAAGCAGGGAATACAAGGAAGGGACTTTTAAGGACATAAATGACTTTTATATTCTAAATTTATTTAATAGGTGTACACAGATTTATCTTATAGAAAAAACATCATCTGTACTCTAAATTCCAAAACAGTAGAAGAAAATAAATTCTATACATATATTTGATGTCTAGCCTGTGGAATTTTTATGTGCCTCGAATTTGCTTATAATTATGAATCTTTACCACCCATTTCCATTTGTTACTTAAGTATATATACAATCAAATATCACTTAATGCAGATATATGTTCTGAGAAATGAGTCATGAAACAATTTCTTCGTTTTGAGAGTACCATAGAGCATACTTACATAAACCTAAATGGTATAGACTACTGCACACCTAGGCTATGTGGTATAACTTATTGCTCCAGGGTACAAACCTGCACAGCATGATACTAAGCTGAATACTGTAGGCAAATGTAACACTGTGGTAAGTATTTGTGTATCCAAATATGTCTAAACATAGAAAAGGTACAGTAAAAATATAGTATAAAAGATAAAAAATGGTACACGTGAATAGGGCACTTAGTGAATACGAAGGCCTAGGACATTACTATATACTACTGTAGACTTTATAAACACTATACTTTATACTACACACAATTCATAAAAAAACCTTTTTATTTCCTCAGTAATAAATTAGCCTTAGCTTATGGTAACATTTGTAATTTATAAATCTTTTTTTTTGTTAACTTTTGACTCTTTTTAAAATAATACTTAGCTTAAAACACAAATACATTGTACAGCTGAACAAAATTAATATCTTTCTTTATATCCTTGTCCTATAAGCTTTCTGCTATTTCATTATTTTTTCCCCTCTTTAAGCTTTTTCGTTACAAACTAAGACACAAACACAAAAATCACTATAGGCCTACACAGGATCGGGACCATCAGTATCACTGTCTTTCATCTCCATATTCTGTTCCACTGAAAAGTCATTGGGGCAGTAACACACATGGAGCTGTCATCTCCTAGGATATCAATGCCTTCTTTTGAGATGCCTCCCAAGGAACCTACTTGGGGCTATTTTACAGTTAACTCTTTAAAAAACAAAAGTAGAGGGAGTACACTGTAAAATAATGATTTAAAAATCATGGTGTGGTAAATACATAAACCAATAACCCAGTCATTAATGATGATTATCAAGGGTTATGGGCTGCACATAGTTGCACGTGCTATACTTTTAGACGACTGGCAGTGCAATAGGTTTGTTTACACTAGCATTACCACAAACATGTGAATAATGCATTGCACTACGATGGTATAATGGCTCTGATATCACTAGGTGACAGGAACTTTTCAGCTCCATTATAATCATATGAGACCATTTGTTGTGCATGCACCCCATTCTTGACTACAATGTCGGTATGTAGTGCATGACTGTATATATGTATGTATATACATATATAAGATTTCACTTACATCAAATTATACTCATCAATTTATATGTAGTTACATTTGTTTTTAATACAGGAAAAGTTATGGTACTAGGTGAATGGCAGAAAAACCCAAAGTGAATTATGGTGATGACTTGTAATGTTTGGGTAACAACTTTGCTACACCAATTCTTTAAAGATTGGACCCTCCCCAAAACAAGTAGCAGATAATATATAGGATGTAAATTTCATTGATGTGCTTGGAAAACCTTGCAATGTTCATAAAGAAATGATGGAATTTGATGGCAAGTGGTTTCCAGGGGCCAATACCTTCAATGATATGCCTGATCTGTATGTTACTAAGTGGACTTTGGTTTCGAAACTGTACGTTATTAAGTGTATAGAACTAATACCAAGGGGTGTTTTATTTAGAAAGCAAATGGGACTTTATAATAGAATATTGCCTGCTAGAGAAAAAAAATTATTTTACACTATGTTCTTCTCTATAATGGTATCAGATACTGGTGGAGAATTAGGAAATATATGGATTTTATAATTTGACAGTTATTAGTGTGGCTAAAAAATACATTTTATTAAATTAAAAATAGCATTTCACTTCTTTCTCAGCTGCAAGAATTCAGGGACACTTACTATTTACTGAATCACACACAGTAAAAGGAATCTTTTGGGAAAAGCTGATGCTGGTTTCCAGATAAGTTACGATAATGCTTCCCGCTTTATATTGACAACCATTTTTTTTCCTTCAAAGGATATCGAGAATCAAAATTATGTGAAGGAAATTTTGATAATAACACAACAAAGTGCATGTGCCATTGTTTTCTGAGTAAAAAATTAAAATTACATTATTCTACAGTTCAAATTTAATCAGTTCACCGTTATTACAAAAATTGATCTGATAGCCACATACCATTGAAATGCAAATTTTGATGATGCTCTTTTTCTGATTAATAATTGCAGAAATGTCATTTTAAATCTACATCCCCAAGAGCTTCACAGAATGCCTCTTTCTAGTTAATCTTTTTGAGTAGAAGAAACAGGGAGCTCTGAGCAAACCAGCCATGCTGTCTCTTTCATGCACACGGTAGGGGCAAGGGCACTGTGGTATTGCTGTGTTGCTGTTAACTCACAGAGGTGCTGCCTTTCTTCTTTACCACTGCTTGCCTCCCATGGATTCCTCTGCTTCCCTCTGGGCCTCCTCACTAGCCTTCAGGCAACGTTTGGGTGACTCATGAAGAAATGGAAAATCTTGCAGCTCCAGCAAAAACGGTTAGTCTTAATGGCTTTGTTGAACCTGAAGGAAAGTGACTTTGCTGCTCTTTGGATGAGGAAACTAATCTGTTTACAATAGACCAGAGTAATAGGGTGTGTTTTTATAGTTACATGCAATGATAACTAACATTTTTTACAGTTTTCTTTTACTGCACTCTCTTGAAATTTTTTAATGAAATAGTGTTAGATTGTGGCTAATATCATAAGAGCTTATAGTACACAAACAATAAGGAAGAAAGTAATAAATAGTATTCATGTTGCAACATTGGAAGTTTTTGTAACAAATATTTAGTATTGGACATATTCACAGGTAACATGTTTCTAAACCAAATTAAATTGGTAATAGAAAAGATTAGATTGAATATTCATTTTTAATATGATCATGTGGTTTCTTGTGCTTTACCATCTTAGATACAAGCTTGACCAAAAAAACCCCCAAAAAACCAAAAAAGTGTTATGTTAATTTGGTACTGAAAAGCACAATTTTAAAGAATTTCTTGGGGACTCTTTGTCACTTTTAAAAATAAAATGCTATAAAAATCATTTTTTCATGTAAAGTAACAAAGTTGGGCATATCATATATTTTATCTTTATCAACTTCTTTTTAATTTAATGTCTTTTCAGTGTTATCCTTATTTGAAAATTGATTATCTACAAGTTTGTTAAGGATAAAAACACCAATGTCATGTACTAATTTCATTTTTAGTTTAGTTTTGTTGTACTTGGTTTTTGTCTTGTTTTGTTTTGTTGGCTGTTGTTGAAATCGATTTGATTATCACAAAGCTTTGTTGGAGGGATACAGTTTTTTCACTTCACTAATTTACTTTGTATAAGATTTCTCTATCATATATACATATATATATTTGTCATCAGAAGTTTTTATTATAGCACATTACATTTTAAAAATTACACTCATTTAAGAATTAAAAAAAGGTTTGTAATGACCAAATCAAATGTTCACAAAATTATGAATTTAACATTTAAATTAGAATTAATTGAAAATGATGTAGTTGCTGCCTAATTGCCTTTGAACTGCAAAATTGATCACTGTGGGTCTATGAATCTGTGTGTTTATTCTACCTGTTATACAAAATATTTTGTATAACAATTTTGCTTCTGCTAGAAAAATTTTACTGTATTGATTTGAAATTAATTTATATTTACCTGCTTTATTAATCATTTCCTGCTGCTAACACAGAAAGAATCTGAGGAAGGAAGCTGGGCCCAGGTAGGAGATTCATATGCTTTAAGACCCTTAATATCATTTAGTAGGCAATGAGAATATAAATCAAGAAACTGTCATAAGTCATAATATTGTAAACCTTCACTTAGCTCAATATTAGGCTGATGTGTATAGGTAAATGTAGATTATGTTTAATACTTTATATGTCTTTTTAAGTTACCATATTTTTAAAATAAGATGATTGACGTTTCATACCTTACCTCTTTTAAAAGGGTACTTTTCTTTCTTTCTCAAAAGAATGATCCAAAACTTAAATTCCTCTGAAATCACTCCTGTATATATTTAATCAGGAAGCATTCAAGTTGGATCTAAAGGGGGAACAAAAAGAAAGAAAAGACTTATTTGGAGTTGCACATGCCTTCAGATATAATGCAAAGTGTATGAAGAGAGGTTGGAGGAGCAAGTGTTGGCGTTGCAGACCACAGAGTCACTAGCATTTATTGAGATGTTTGTATGAGACAGGTGTCTATACTTGGAACAGACATATACTTTTGCAAGGAAGCTGTGCATTTTTTCTACATTTCCACATTTTGGATGACCAAAAGAGAAAATTTGTGTTATATTCAATCTGATTGAAACCTTTCAATATAAGAAAAAATTTGGTAGTTACATTAGGACCTGTATTTAAACACACAGTAGGATTGTATTTGATTTTGATTTTGATAAAAATTTCATTGTTCTTGAGAACACACAAAAGAAGAGGAACAGTTAGATTTTCCCTAGAAATGCATATTAGAATTGAGAAATTAGGGCATGATAAGGAACTAAATGGGAATTCTGTAAAAATAATAGAGAGTAATAGTTCTTTTAAAATATTGGTTTAGTGGTAATGGTTGATTTGGGTTTTCATTTTAGCTGTTTTGAACAGTATTGGTAAGAATAGTTTGTTTGTTATATTAAAGAATTAGGTTATCTGTCTTAGTTTTTGATCCTGTCCTGCTTCTTTTAGAGTCTATCTTGATTAATTTCTAGAAAAGACTGATTCTTTCCAATGATTTTTTGGAAAGCTGACGACCTGCTTTGCTAAGTAACAACAATGTCCATAAAAAGCTTCAAAATTCTGTCTCTCCAAAACATTTATTCCTTTCTCTGTTTACTGAGGTTCCCATTTCACATCAACATTTGCCATTACAATATAGCAATGGTAGTAGTGGCATTGATAAGTGGGAAATGGCAATAAGTGCATTGACAAGAGGGAAATGACAGATACAAATAAAACAAACCTATCAATTTAAAGACAGAATCTTAAAGCTCAGAGTTTGTATAATAATTTCTTTATTAATAAAATACATACTTGGACAAAATGTAATTCCTTTTGAGAATACAAAGTAAATAGCCAATCATTTTCAATAGGCAGATGCTTTAATAAATGTATGCAGAGTTCCATTTTATACCAAATCGAATCAAATGCTATCTGAATATTATTTTTGCTTTGTTTCCACATATCATAGTAATTAAATATCAGTTATAATAATAGGTAATATTATCCAATTACCATCTTATCTGATTGGTTAAGAAACTTGACTGCTATAAAACAATTCTAGTGTCCGGTTTTTCTACAGACCCTGGCTTATGGAGATATGAATCATGAGTGGATTGGAAATGAATGGCTTCCCAGCTTGGGGTTACCTCAGTACAGAAGTTACTTTATGGAATGCTTGGTAGATGCAAGAATGTTAGATCACCTAACAAAAAAAGATCTCCGTGTCCATTTAAAAATGGTGGATAGTTTCCATCGGTAGGTGTTTTTTCTTTTTTTTCCCCAAAGAATAATTAAAATGAAACAATATATTACCTATACTTTAGTAAAACAAAAATGGACGTCTAGAAGACAGAAAATATATGTCATTTGAAACATCGTTTGTATACATCTACTTGGAAAAATGTTTTCATCCAGCAAATTGCAGGGACTTTCTAATTTAGAGCTATGTGCATATTATGTGCCCAAAGTTTATGGAAATATATGTGTACAAAATTCTCCTCATAGAGCATACATCTATTTTTTTGTGAGATTCTTTGAAAATTCCATGTTGGTAATTTTATAGTTATATGTGTTTATATTAGAAAATTAGGAAGAATAAACAAATTCATAGTTTCAACTCTACACAAATATGTGGTTATAAATTTTATAATTTAGGAACATTCTAGGGAAAATTTTGAGAAGAAATTGTTCTTCTAAGACATATTTGTGTTTTTTTATTTTTCTATGTCTTTTTATGAGTTTGCTTATTTGTATATTAATTTCAGAACAAAAACAATACTGTGTTAGATAACTGTGAGGATGCAGTTGAACAAAAGGCAATGTCTTTTTTTCAAGTTGTTTACCATCCAGCAGATAAAAAGGGGTCTGTTATAATACCATATCATAAATGCTATGTTTATGTTAGGTGAAGCAATGTCAGCTGGATTTTGGTTGTTTTTTTCACATAAAGTTGATTGTGGTGATAAGTTAATAAATATAACCATAGATGATTTTGGCTTGGGAGACTGTATTTGCTTCTCTCCTGTCCAACATTTAATCAGTGGCTGGAGTGAAGATGGTATAAAAATTAGATATGTTGATGACATAAAATTAGGATAAATAGAGGATAATTGGGGCTTTTGCTTCCAACTTATGGTGATATTTTGAATTTTAATGCAGTTGTTGACACTGTTGAATTAAATGTGGTAAAGATAAATATAACAGTGTTTTTTAAAAAACCCATTAAAGTGCTGGATGGAGAATCCATAATTTAACAGAAAGTTGTGTGAAAAAGATAAGGAATTTATCCTTAGCACGAAACTCTCCATTTTGGTTAATGGCTTGACAAGGCATGTTTAGACTGTGTTTATTGGCTGAGACAACAAAAGTGCTACCATACAGTGACATAACAAAAAGAAATTGCATTTATTTGTGGGTATCAAATTGTTATAAGGTGGTAGAAGTCCAGTGGTAAAGTTGAAGTAATTAAATACATTTAAATTGGATGAAGGAAGACTTTAAATAAGTAAGTTTTCTTAGGTTTTAAGATCATTATTATGTGATAGAAGAATTATTTTTTCTCTGTTGAGCACCTCATTTTTTAGTTAACACAGATGTAGATCCTAGGTGAGTGACTTCTAGTTAATAGAAGAAACAACTTTGTACCACTCTCAGCTGCCTTGTAGTGTATACATTGTGAGGTAGTGAGTGAGCTCCCTGTCACGGGAAGTTTAGGGCTTCATATTTCACGTTTGCATTAGATTTTTGGGGTCCGGTTTTTCCGTTCTTCACTAGATTGACTTTTAATACTGTTTTATTACTTTAGTAAAATGTTTTCTATAATGATCAAATTAAAAAAAATACTCAAATGACTTGGTTTTTGTTTGTTCTGGGAAATGCCCAAGCTTCATTTTTAAGTTATGCTAATCTCCAACTTAAAGCAAGTAGTACCTGACTGTATATTGCATCCTATGGTCTTTTCGGCACAGTTTTCCATCTGACAGACATTTTCATAATATTATATGTCCTCTGTATAGTATAATTTTGTATTCTATATCAAAACTTGGCAGAAACTGACCAAGAAGCATTGGTTTAATCTCAAGCTGCCCAATATCTGTGATAGTGATTATATCAGTATTATCTAGTATATCACTGAATTAGTTTGCTAGGGATGCCACAGCAAAAGACCACAGATGGGTGTCATAAACAACAGAATTCATTTTCTCACAGTTCCGGAGGCTAGAAGTTCAAGATCAAGGAATCAGCAGGTCTGGTTTCTTCTGAGGCCTCTCTCCTGGGCTTGCTGATGGTCACCTCTTGGTGTCCTCAAATAATCCTTTCTCTGTGAATATATATACCTGTTGTCACCAAGTGTCCAAATCTCTTTTTAATAAGGTCACCAGTCAGTTTGGATTAGGGCCCACCTTAATGGCCTCATTTAACTCAATTACCTCTTTAAGGGCACTATCTCCAAATGCAATCACATTCTGAAGTACTGAGAATTAGCGCTTCCACACGTAAATTTTAGGGAACACAATTCAACCCACAACACCTGCCTAATGCAATTTTCTTTCCATTTTTCTCTGATTCTGAAATATTTGACTCAACATTGTTTTTATTAAAATGCGGGGCTTAGAAATGCATCTAGCAAGTAAGTGTAATCTGGCCAATGTGTATGTCTAAATTTGCTTATATTCCTAAACATGTAAAGTATCACTGATAATCAATGATCTTTACTCTTGAAGTCTACAGATTATTTTTTCCTATCACATCTTCTGCATCTTTATACATAATGTCACTAAACCTTCTCATTTTCTCTCTCAGAACATGCCTGGTTTATCGATTTTCCTTTCAAGCTCATGGCTGTTGTCCCTATTTTGGCAGAACTGAACCCTGAATTGATTTCTCTATCTTCTCTGATTACTTATTTCTCCATCTCCTATTTTGCTATGAGATTACTTTTCCTTAAACAGAAAACTTTTTTTTTTTTTTTGGAGATGGAGTCTCACTCTGTTGCCCAGGGTGGAGTGCGGTGGCACGATCTGGGCTACTTCAACCTCCGCCTCCCGGGCTCAAGCGATTCTTCTGCCTCAGCCTCCCGAGTAGCTGGGACTACAGGCATGTGCCACCACAGCCAGCTAATTTTTGTACTTTTAGTAGAGACGGGGTTTCACCATATTGACCAAGCTGGTCTCGAACTCCTGACCACGTGATCCACCCACCTCAGCCTCCCAAAGTGCTGTGATTACAGGCGTGAGCCACCATGCCTGGCCAAACAGAAAACTTTATTGTCACCTCTTCCTCCTCCGAAAATTGTCCAATAATTCTGTATCAATTATATGTATTTCATACTTAAACACAATTTAAGGCTTTCCTTAATATGCCCTTTTCTCCATGTATAATTGTATTCCTCCTTACTTCCTAGCATGGGTTTTCAGCCCTGGAATGTGTGTCTCGCTAACCACACCTTTAAATTTCCATCTGCAATCTTTTGTTCATGATGCTCCATTTTCCTGAGTCAACCTGTCTCTGCTACTTGATACTTTAAGGATCAATCAATTTTCTGCTCATTCCACATATCCTTTTCATTCAGTTTCAATATCTGCTGACTGGTTCTTCTTACATACTTCTGTATCATTTAGAGTTATGAGCTACTCATTTTAGTATTTGGTCTTCTATTACCTCACTTACTTATGTTTTGTGTTATTTTTCTCATCAGCTTAAGAAGAGAGTATCCATTTCTTATAAATTCCTTACTGTCTCCATAATGGGGACTTTAAATTCTTTTCAAGTGAATAAAATATTAATTTGCCTGCACCTAATGTAGGAATAGCTAAATGAAAGACAAAGACACATAGATGAACAATATAATCCATGATGATTTTAAAACTGTTTTTTCTTATTTTGAAAACTTTTTTTCTATTACTTCGAAACATTTTGTGCTTAGAATAATTATAAATGTATTTCCCTCCAATACTGAAGGATTTGGCTGCAAATGTAATTTATTAACTTGTTGCCCTAAGAAGCAGTGCATAGTGTTGACTATGGCTAATCACAAAACTTTCTCCACCTGCTAAGGTAGACTCACTGTGTTTTTTTTTTTTTAATAAAAAAAAAAGAACAAGTTTACAATATGGAATTATGTGCTTAAAGAGGTTGAATTATGACAGAAAAGAACTAGAAAGAAGACGGGAAGCAAGCCAACATGAAATAAAAGGTAATATATCTTTCTTTCATATGAAATGCCTTTATTCTGGGGTTTTTAGCTTTCACTTTTACTAACCTAAAATGTTATATGTGTTACAATGGTCAGTAAGTAGCATAAGTATTTGGCTAGAATTGTTACTGTTTTTTTTCCATTCTTTTCTAATTAAAATACAGAAACAGGTATCTCCATATTATAGGGTGAATATCCCATTTGGGGAGTAATCTTGAGTTTTTGAATTGAGACTTATTTATGTGAACCTATTAATTATACATTCTGCTTATACTAAAGATGTCTCCATGTAGATATTTTTGTCAGACTTTTAATGGAACATTCTCAGTATGATTCAGAGAAACATGGTATATCATTTTTATGGCAGTTCATCTTTGGTTTATATCATTTTAATTTTATTCCAGTGCCCCAGCAATTTTATTTTTGTAACACTGTATAGTTAAAGAAATTATATGGTGATTTTATGCAGGAATGATATAAGGATTTTCCCCTATAAACCAAACTAGTTCATTAATAATTTTAGCTGGTAATATTATCAGGAACAGTGTAAATTGCTGCAGCTGTTATGTGCAGAAAAATGTTTTATTTGAATAACAAGAAAAGACACTCCATATTGCAGGTTTGTTAGAAAAAATACTATATTTAAAAATAAATCATCTAAATGTTGAGAAGTACCTTAATATACCCGACAAAGGATAATTTCAAAAGAGAAGTACCTTAATATGCCCAAGAAAGAATAATTTCAAAAGAGAAGTACCTTAATATACCCGAGAAAGAATAATTTCAAAGAGGAATATGTTAGATTCTATTCTTAGAGACCGTTCTATTTTTATTATTGTTGTTGTTGAAGGAAAAAAATACATGATTGGAAAAAGATATAGGTAAAGGTATTTTTTTGTTTTAAATTTAAAGGGTTCAAGTGCGGTTTTCTTACATGGATATATTTGTGGTGGTGAAGTCTGGGTTTTAGTGTACCCATCCCCTGAATGATGTACATTGTACCCATTAAGTAATTTCTCATCTTTCGCCACCCTCCCAGCCTCCCACCCTTCTGAGACTCCAATGACTATCACTGCATACTCTGTGTTCACCTGGACACATTATTTATTGCCCACTTGTAAGTGAAAGCATGAGGTATTTGACTTTGTTTCTGAATTGTTTCACTTAAGATAATACGTGGGCTTTTTTTTGCTAAAAATAATCAATCCACTTTTGTTGTTTAAAGAAGAAAAAGGCCAGGTGCTGTGGCTCACGCCTGTAATCGCAGCACTTTGGGAGGCCGAGGCGGGCGGATCACGAGGTCAGGAGATCAAGACCATCCTGGCTAACATGGTGAAACCCTGTTTCTACTAAAAATACAAAAAATTAGCCGGGCGTGGTGGCAGGCGCCTGTAGTCCCAGCTACTCGGGAGGCTGAGGCAGGAGAATGGCGTGAACCCTGGAGGCAGAGCTTGCAGTGAGCCGAGATTGCCCCACTGCACTGCACTCCAGCCTGGGTGACAGAGCAAGACTCCGTCTCAAGAAAAAAAAAAAAAAAGAAGAAAATATTAAGGAAAATATAACCAAAGCTTTTAAGGAAAATTTTGGATATTAAAATACTTATTAGTTGTATTTACATTTCCTATTATCCAAGAGTTGATATGTGCAAGCATTACATCAAATGTAATGGGTGTTTCTACATTACATTAATGGTTCAAGGGTAGGCATGAATCTCTGTTTTCATCTTCACTTCTTTTAAGGCTTAATTTAGATAAGAAAGTAGTATATATTACATTCTCCAATATTAACGTTTAGTGCTGTTTTATTCTTAAGATTTTTTTTAGGTTTCTATAATTTACATTTTTGATAAACAATGTCAGAAATTACTTTTATCTTTGTCAGGTCTTGGAAAGTACATTAGTTCTAATGGAACGGGCTTGAATGCATGTGAAAGTGATTGGTTAAAAATAGTTTTCTACGTACGTCTCATCGGAGAGTAGACAGACTCACAATGGATTTCTTGTAACACTTCATTTGATGCATTACTTCGAAGCACGAAAGTGCTTTTCCATTATCAAAATTGAGTTGTTTGACTTCACTTTATTTGGGGGCCCCAGGAAACTGCAGGTTGTTTTCAGTGCATTGCTGTTCAGTTGAATTGAAATTTGGGAATTAATGGACCAAAGATGGACCCCAGAAGGAAGTTTGCATGTGACCACACAATGAATGTCTTAGCACACAGGTAGATTTTACCCATGGGATACCACTTTGTAGTTTCCTTTCTGAAGTATTTTTATCCAATTAGATTTTATTATGCCTCAGCTCACCACGTGAAATGTTTCACATATAGATAGATCTAAAGGAGAGGAATTACCCAGTTGGCCCTATACCAAATGTTATATTAGTATCTGGCAATTGCTGATTAGAGTGTAGCTCTGAGGAAAAAAAAACTGCCATGATTCATTATGATCACACACAACTCTATCTGATAAATAGCTGTGAATGAGATCATAAATAGCTTGTTTCCTATGACTGATCTGGTGACATTTACAGGAATAATTCTCAACAGTGACTAGGGGTCTCTTATTATCTGAAGTGTGAATTAACCCTGACCTTAATGAATAGTTTTCTGAAGTGAAGAGACCATGTGAATATCAAGAACCTACTAACATTTAATTTGTTGCTAAGAAGCAGTCAACACTGATTTCTAGCCATTTATTGTTTAGGTCAAGAAGATTTCTACACAGTTTTAAAGTCAGTGCATACATTGCTTGGAAACAGATTTATGGAAAGAGATCTAACTTTAAAAATGAAAAAAAAAAGAAGTATTTTGTTCTGAGGAGGAAACGTTTGAATTAATGCTTTATTTGTCTTTACCTCATAAACAGATCAGTTTAAATATTTGATCACTCTTAACTACAGGTGTGACGATGGAATTTTTGATGGGCACATATTTGCAGAAATATCACGACCACATAATATGTCTTAGACTATCAAAATATAAACCTAAGTCTAGAAAAAAACCAAATACTCCCTATTTACAAATCCAACTAGTGCAAAGAAAACTGGATTTATTTTTTATTATTGAGAGCATTGTCACGTTCATTTTTAAAAAACGGTGTGTTTAATAAAATTAAGTGGAGAACTGTTGCTGCCACCCACAAGCACTTGCCTAGCTTTTGGGATTCAAGTGTAGGGTAACCAGTTGTTAGAATGAATCAGTAACTATCAGCAGCAGCTGATTATATAGCCAAAATGTGATGCTAACCAACTCACATCCCATTTTCTGAGGTCTGAAAACCTCAATGGAATAGGCTAAGGAAAACTCGGAGGAAAAGCTACACTTCAGAACTGACTCAGAGAGACAATTAACATGTATAATATAAAATTTCCTTATATAGTAAAGAATATTAAGGAAATCCTTTGCTTTGCTGCAGACCGGTTTGGGGGGGGGCGGGGAGAAAGAGGCAAAACTCTGAGGGGAGGACAATAAATGTCCTTCTTCGGGCAGAAATTCATTCTGCTTTGAATGGAGCAGCTAATAATAATAAGACTGTGGGATGTGGGCATTCCTCTCATATTCCTTATTATCTAAATCCAAAGAAAGATCTAGGACCTTTCTTTTGAAATGAGATCATTCTATCCACAAAAGGAGTTAAGTAGAGAGATGTGAGGCTGATACATGTTCAGCTTCCAGATTCATATACAAATGTTTTGCTAGTACTGTGGATTGGCACAGACAGAAAGGACACCAACTAATTTGAAGAACTTCTACTTCTGATAGATTGGAGCATATTAAGTCAGACCAATCTTCCACTAAGAAGAAATAGAAAGGATAGATAAATCAATAAATGGTAATAAAGAGCTATTTGAAAACAGTAGAAACCAATTAAGAGGGACAAGACTTGAGAGGTTATGATCTTGGAAAAAAGAAAAATGTAAGGAAATAGTAAAACTGTCATTCTCTTCTGTTTTTCCTCTATCTAACAGAGAAGCAGGGAACGGAGTGGGGTGGTGGTGGGGATTGGAATTTAGAGGTGCCAAAACTGCCGGGCCTTCAGGAGCAAAGAATGTGTAAAACATAGTAATAATAAAATAAGTAAGACTGACCATTTATACAATACTCCTCTAGAGACATTTGTGGACTTCCAAGAAGGATGGAATTATAATCTAAAAATTGAACAGAAAGCTGAAGCCAAAGGGTAATAAATCTAGAAAGAGAACTGTTGTAATCTCATGATAATACAGTAAAAAAAATCAAAGGTCATAACCACCAAATATGCTTTAATTTGAGGTCTCTGATAAAACACACCGTAGGACTAGGGTAAACTTAAACAGATCAGGCTATTTATTATGTCTATTAATGTTAAAAATAAATTTTATTATGTATATTTGAGGTTTAGAACATATTACAGAACACATATAGGTAGTAAAATGGTTACTATAGTGAAGGAGATTCCTAAGCTTTATTTTGAAATGTTAAAATTGAAATCTAGCATTGATTTATCTCAATCTTTAATTGGAATTAAGTTGATCTGCCCTTATTATAACTTCAGAAAAACATAAAAGTCCTTTTAAGAAGAAGTTGACATTCAGAGCCTCTGCAATTTTTCAATCATATTATGTGAGAGCCAATAAAAGAAAAATTCAGACATGTCAGATAATGGCCAAAATGAGGAAAACCACGATGATAAAATCAGAAAAAAGAAACATATCCATAGTTGACCCTGACAGTGTTTATTAAAAAATATGTAAGGAATATAAGTGAGAAAATGGAGAATTTAATATAGTTGGAATCAATATGTTTAACAAATAATCAAATGGAAATTTGAAGAAGTGAAAAGTATAAAGACTTAAATTGAGAACACAATAGGTGGTTTAACAGTAGAAGAGAGTTTAGTGAAATAAAAGATCACTTGAAAACATCTAGCCCACATATGACAAGAAACAAAAAGGACGAATGATATAAAACATCACTAGAGACATATTGGACATGGTGAGGTAAGAGACAATAAGAAAGAAGCAATATTTGAAAAGATACTGGTGGAGACATAAAAAGAAAATAATTGAAATGATAAACCACAGACTCAAGGTTCTCGATGGACCCCAAGTGAGATTAAAAATAAAAGCGGAAATAAAAACACGTCTAAACACATTACAATAGAGCTACTGAAAACCATGATTTCCCACACCCCAAAATCTTAGAATCTGCCAGAGTAAACTCCACAATAATTTCAATGGCGCAACATAATATAACTGATATTGCTCAACTAAATAATGCTAGAGGAAAATGGAATTATTACCTTAAAATGCTGAATCAAACTAACTTACTTTGAAGTATGTCCATCAATAGTAAAGAGAGAATTAATAAACTTTCAGACAAACAAAATCTGAGAGACTATTTCACCAGAAAAAAAACAAATAGAAAAGAAATATTAGAATAAGTGATTCAGGCAGATGGAAATGATCATAAAGATAATAAAAAAATGCACACATGATGGAGGAGAACTGAAAAATGTATGGGTAAATGTCATAATAATAGTAAAAATAATATCTGCAGGACTTAAATTTTACATAGAATTAAAATACATAACTATAATGCAAAAGGAAGGGAATAAGTGAAATTAAATTATTTGAAAGTCTTTGCATTATCTAGAAAATAATAAAAGGAATAATTTATAGTAGACTCTAATAAGAACACATATTATAAGCTTTAAGTGTCACTACTAAAATAATAATATAAAGTGTAAATATAAAAAGCTAATAGAGGGCCGGGCATGGTGGCTCATGCCTATAATCTCAGCACTTTGGCAGACCAAGGCAGGTGGATCACCTGAGGTCAGGAGATGAGACCAGCCTGACTAACATGGTAAAACCCCATCTCTAGCAAAAATACAAAATTAGCCAGGTGTGGTGGCGCATGCCTGTAGTCCCAGCTACTTGGGAGGGTGAGGCAGGAGAATCGCTTGAACCTTGGAGGCAGAGGTTGCAGTAAGCAGAGATCATGCCATTGCACTCCAGCCTGGGCAACAAGAGTGAGACTGAGTCTCAAAAAATAAAAGAAAAAAGAAAGCTAATGGAGTGGTAGAATAAAATAAGAAAACAATAAATGGCAAGAAAGAGAGAAAAAGAACAAAGAACAGATAGGACAAATAGATGGTAGAATTCAGCACAAATATCAAAGTAATAATATTAAATGGGCAAGAACTAACTACTTCAATTTAAGGACAGATTAAAAAACAATGATATGCTGTATACAATGGACACACTTTCAATATAAGAACATAGAAAACTTATTAGTAAATGAGGTATACATGCAAATATTAACCAAAGCTACTGTGATTCTTCTAATATCAGAATATAAACTTTAAGGCAGGAAACATACTAGAAATAAGTTGGCTATTTTCAAATAATAGAAGGAAAGATATAGCAAATTAGTATACATCTAATATGTAGATTTAAAATATGGAAAGTAAAAACTGACAAACCTTAAAAGTAGCAGACGTTTTCAGTTCATAATGGGTGTTACTGATTAAAACTACAATGAGACACCCCATGTATTAGTTTGTCAGGGCTGCTGTATCAAAGTACCACAGATTGTGTGTCTTAAACAACAGAAATGTGTTGTCTCACACTTTTACACACTAGAAGTTCCAGACCAAGGTGTTAGCAGAGTCAGTTGCTACTGAAAAGAATCTGCTATTCGCTTCGCCCCCTGACTTCTGGTGATTTGCTGGCAATTTTTGATGTTCTTTGGCGGGTAGGAACATCGCCACGATCCCTGCCTTCATAGTCACATAATGCTCTCCATGTGTGCATGTCTATTTCCAAATTTTGCCATTCAAGAATGATAACAGTCTCATTGAATTTGGGCCCACTCTATTGACTCATTTTAATTGATCATTTCTATAAAGACCTGATATCCAAGTAAGGTTACATTCTTAGGTACTGGAAGTTAGGGCTTCTACAAGAATTTTGGGGAACACAATTCAACCCATAATACCACACCTACCATAATGACTAAAAAAAGCAAGACAAAACAAGAACAAAAATGAGAAATACAAAGCATTGGTAAAGATGAAGATGTTCAGACATTAATAATGCAAGGTTAAATTGTGAGAGTGGAATTTGCTTAGCAATATCTGCTAACAAGTAAACACATAACAATTCTATTCCTTGTTATTTATTCTACTGCAACATGTAAATATACAAAACAAAATCCATGTATAACAATATTCAAAGCAGCACTATTTATTGTTTTTTTATTTCAATAGGTTTTTGGGGAACAGGTGGTGTTAGGTTACATGAACAAGTTCTTTAGTGGTGATTTTTCTGACATTTTGGTCCACTCATCAACCAAGCAGTGTACCCTGTACCCGATGTGTTGTTTTTTATCCCTTGCCATCCCCCACCCTTTCCCCCTCAAAGGAACACTATTCTTAATAACCCAAAGTGGAATCTACTCACATGTCCATCTACAGTAGAATGGACACATTGCAGCATAATCATGCAATGGGATGCTAGATAGCAATGATCATGAACACGCCACTGCTATTTGCTAAAGCGTAGATAAATTCCATATTGAATGAAAGGCAGACAAAAAAGTACATATTGGGTGATTTTATGTATGAAAAGCTAAAAAAAATAAATCGGGCAAGGCGATTCTGTAATGAAAGAAGTCAGAATATTGGTTACTGTTAGGTGAGAATGGTGCCTGAGAAGTTGCATGAGGGGACCTCTGTGGGTCTGTGCTATCACTGTATTGCTTCAAAGTTATACACAAGAACATCTAAGTTGGTTATAAATGGATAAAATAAGATAAATAAGGATTTTCAAAGACTCATCAAAATAATTATTTAGAACATGCTTTTCAAAGGCTTATTGAAACAGGTATTTAAAACAGTTAAAGTTGAAGAATATTTCCTGAAAGATTTTTATACTTTGTCTGAAAGAGCTAGGCACTTCATTAGAAAGAAAAAAAATGGACAGGAAAACTTACTTTTACTTTAATAGTAATTATAGTTTCCTTTCCCTTTCTATGGGTAGTAAAAATGTTTTAATTTTTTTCTCATATCCCCTTAAGTTTCTTAAAATTCTTTCTTTTCTATGGACAATTTTAGTCCTTCGGACTATTTTACTCATTTTATATAGCATTCTGTCAACTTTTAATGGGAAGATATTGAAGAAAATAAATGATAAAACATAATTTGATGTTTTTATCTAAAAAAAAAGAAACGGCATTTTTCTCTGAAAGTTTTATTTTTAGAAAATAAAAATCAAAGAAATTTTTTCCTCAATAGAATACTACTTTCAATAGAGTGGAAACAATTTTTGACATTTGACTGAGTGCTTGAATTTTGCATTAGCATGTGATTGGGAAAAATGCATTGAAATATAATACTAAGGTAAGTATCCATCTGTTGATGCCTTATATTATTTTACCGTTCTGTTCTTATATATTACTTCAGGTGAAAAAAAATCTTCTAGTCTATATGCCAATGTTTAGGTAGTGGTTAACAAACACTTCTGATGAAAGACAGTATTACAATCTCGTCTGCTGTTTACTGAAGAGGTGTGTATCAAGACACAAATAAGAAATGTCTCCCTCTGATGGTAAAAATATTGAACTTCAGACAGACACCTAGTTCTCTAGTATGAAAACAAGAAACACAGACATCGTGTTCTACGCGACTGAAGTGCTGTCATTTTAGCTATAACAAACACTCTGAAAAATAACAACTTTTTTAAATAGAGACTCGAAAAGATTAATTATTAAAACAGTAACTACACACAAATGAAGGGAGCCAGATGGATTAGAGTGTGGATGAATCAGCATAAATGTGACCTGGCCAGATACCCATGGCTCATTTCAGCCAGTGGTTCTACTATGAAAAATAATGCGCCGGGCGCGGTGGCTCACGCCTGTAATCCCAGCACTTTGGGAGGCCGAGGCGGGCGGATCACGAGGTCAGGAGATCGAGACCATCCCGGCTAAAACGGTGAAACCCCGTCTCTACTAAAAATACAAAAAATTAGCCGGGCGTAGTGGCGGGCGCCTGTAGTCCCAGCTACTTGGGAGGCTGAGGCAGGAGAATGGCGTGAACCCGGGAGGCGGAGCTTGCAGTGAGCCGAGATCCCGCCACTGCACTCCAGCCTGGGCGACAGAGCGAGTCTCCGTCTCAAAAAAAAAAAAAAAAAAAAAAAAGAAAGAAAAATAATGCATCCTAAAATGATGCATCTCTTTTCCTAGACGTGTTGGTGTGGAGCAATGACCGAGTTATTCGCTGGATACAAGCAATTGGACTTCGAGAATATGCAAATAATATACTTGAGAGCGGTGTGCATGGCTCACTTATAGCCCTGGATGAAAACTTTGACTACAGCAGCTTAGCTTTATTATTACAGATTCCAACACAGAACACCCAGGCAAGTCACTTTCTGCTGTAGTCTCAATGTGTTCTGGTTTATATAATGATAAACTAAACTTTTAGAAAAAAATTGGCTGTGTATTCATGATTGTTAATGAAAGTTAACTCAATGTTTGAAATATGTCACTGGGGTTTTAATTTCAGGCTAGTGGATTTCTAGCCAAAAAAAAAAAAAAAAAAATCATACAATTAAACAAGAAAGGGATTTCGAAGTTATGTGGCCCAGTCTCCCACCTGAATGCCAGATTCCACTAAATGAAATCCCTGACAGATGGCCATCAGTCTCTGCCTCTCTGAGAGGCAGTCATTTCTATTTACATGTATGAATTATACAGACTCTTAGCATTGGATATGTCAGTGATTCCCAAAACTGGATAATAATTTGAATCAGTATAGTTCCTTATGAATAAAAAATAAAACCTCCAACCCACATCATAGTCCTAAGACATCAGTTGTCAAGAGATAGGGCATAGGAATCTTTATTATCAAAACTTTCCTCAAATGATAATCATTGGCCAGGTTTGAGAACTACCTACATAGATTCAATAAAAATTTGGCAGTCTCGTTTCACTTTTTATTTTGTTTTTACATATTTCAGAGATTAAACAAAATACTCAATTGAAATATAGTAACGAAGTGAGGCCAAAGCCTCTTGACCTCAGATGTTTATGCAAGACTGTCTCTCTACTGTTCACAGAAAAAAAAAAAAAAGCCCTGTTTTTTTTGTAGTTAAAATTTACAATGGCTAATAACAGACATGGAGGGCTAAAAACTTCAAAACCCATAAATAAAGTATGGTTTATAATACATTATCAGATAAATATAAGCTACTTGATTTTTAAAATAAAATGTGATTTCGGTGATGGTAACTGTAATTTGACGTCAACAGGCAAGGCAGATTCTTGAAAGAGAATACAATAACCTCTTGGCCCTGGGAACTGAAAGGCGACTGGATGAAGTAAGTCCACCTGTTATTCAAAAGAGATCTGAGAGAGTAAAAGAAAAATGATAGAACATCTTTGTTTTTAAGGAATAGTGCTTGGAAATTAATCAAATGACTGTTCTATGGTTAGAATCAATAATTTTCTCCAGGTTTGTTGTTAAATATTCAATCTTATTACTTAATTTTGGAAAGAGCTATATTAATTCATAAATATTATCATTTCAGCAGGTAGAGATACTAAACAGTAATTTACAAAACATTTTTATGAGTCGTGACTGCAAAACGTTGGGCAACATTATTTTAAAAAATTAGAAAAAAGTTAAAACACTAATGTTGATAAATTCAGCTTTTTAATAAAGAGTGCGTGTATTTCTTAAATATCAGTATATCTTGCCAGGAAATTTTAGAAAATTAAAATGAGGATAAAACTTGCTTCAATAAATGGAAAGCTTTTTATTATTTTATATATTGATACTGAGTTTTCCTTCAAAACAGATTAATAACATTTTAACAGTCATAGAATTTGAAAGCTATATTGAATATAAGAATCGCTATATAATATGTGCATATTAAGTTATTTGGAAAATAATAAACATGTAAGTAGCCTCCCGAGATGAATGAATACAAGGGATATCAGCAAATGCTGTGGACTGTAGACATTTTAATAGTCTTTCTGAGTTTTTCTACAGGGTCTTTCTGGAAGAAGTGGGAAGGAAACCTGAGCATGAAATAGAAAATAAAGAGATGCATAATTCTGTGTTGCAAAGTACAGGTGTTCCTTACTACAAAGACAAGCTGATTAAAATTATTTTGTGAAGACCTCAGCAAATTCAAATATGGACCAATCATTCTATATTCAAATAGGCAGGACAGATAATCTTGGTATTATAAAATCCACTCTGTCCTTTATGGTGGGGATTATAGAGAGATAAGTTCTACAGTCTTGAACTCAGCTAACTTCTGATAAATTCATGCTCTTATTCAATCAGCATAATGATTAATATTTTTAAAAGCCTCGTCTTATAAGTTGCATGACAGTCTTTTAAATCCTTACTAGAAATTATTGATTCAAAAAGGTAGTCTTATAAACTCATACATCTTAAAATACAATTATTCTTACTTATAAGTTGCAAAAATTTCTAATAAAAAATTATTGAAGAGTTGTCATATTGCTACATTCTCTTAGGAGCTGTCCAGGTGTGGGGTAGCTTCTTAATAGTAATGAACTAGAAGAAAAGTCTATTGAGCCAATTAAACGAGATGCGACTCGTTGTCTTTAAACTATGCTGCTGCTTTTTCTTATTTTTAAAAGCACAAAATAGAATTTTGTCATTTAAACCCTCTAGTCTCTTTTGTTCAATTTTATTTTATTTTTTAGTGTGAGCAAAAATAGCCAACTTACTTAGAACAGTAGTGGACTTATTTCTGCGGTTTTGCTGATCACATTCAGATTCCACTGAAATAATCTGAGAGGTGTCAACAAGCTTATACAGACTTTGACCCCAATTAAAAGAATTAACCCTATCTCATGAAAAGTTTTCCCCATGATGTTGTTGTTTATAGTTCTATCAACTTTCTGCAGTAACAATATGTTGAAAGAACAGAAGTCAGGAATCATAATTCAAACGCTTAACTCTAAAAACTGGCAATTTTTTTTTTTTTTTTTTTTTTTTTTGACAGAGTTTCGCTCTTGTTGCCCAGGCTGGAGTGCAATGGTGTGATCTCGGCTCACCACAACCTCCGTCTCCTGGGTTCCAGCGATTCTCCCACCTGAGCCTCCCAAGTAGCTGGGATTACAGGCATGTGCCACCACACCCATCTAATTTTGTATTTTTTAGTAGAGACAGGGTTTCTCCATGTTGGTCAGGCTGGTCTGGAACTCCTGACCTCAGGTGATCCGCCCACCTCAGCCTCCCAAAATGCTGGGATTACAGGCGTGAGCCACCACGCCCAGCCAAAACTGGCTTATTTTTAAGCCCCTAGCTACGACACTGTAAGGAGTTGTGTAGCTCTACAGTGTAACATAGTGTTTTATAAAACTGAAGACTATTTATGCTTAATGCAAAAACTTCTCCAAGAATCAAGAAGTCGTAGAGGCTGCAACTGTGAAATTCTGTTTCTTTTCTACATTTACACACATTTGGAGATCTAGGGCAATGAAAAACACAGCAGTTGGGAAGAGTAGCGGACATCTCTTAATGTGCAAAATGGCTACCACACTGAAACAAAATGTAGATTTTAATGATGATAAGGATTGAAACAGTGGATATATGTTATTATATAAAAATGATTTTATTTTTCCCTGATTGACTTTAAATGTCCCTTAATTAATATAGCAGTCTACAAAGCCTACCTTATAGAATTATTCACTATAACATAGCACAAATTACTATGTTGAGTGAATATAGACTTATTATTCCAAATGCCAGAATGAAATCAAATGAGATATTAGGATACACAACATATACTTGGCTATACCTATCTATGGCATAGATAGTCCTTCCCTAGATAAGAAACAGTGAGATGAGAAGACAAGACCTATGTGGAATGATTCATATTTTCCTTGGAATTAGACACAGAATATTCATTGACTGCTGAATTATATATTGCTACTTGCCAATTTGGAGGAAAATAATTATGTCTGTAAAAGTACTTTATGTACACAAAGAGAAGGAAGAGATTATTTTATTAAGGCATAACAAAATCAGCAACCAGAATTAAAATGTAATTGCTATGCTACATTCTAAAATGTGGATTCACCCTAGGATCTGTCCAAGTAGAGACACTAGCCTATGTGGGGTATGATGTTGCTTCCTGATAGTAATGAACTAGAGAAAAAGTCTACTGGGCCAATTAAATGGGATGTGACTCTCTGCCTCTGTGTATATTAAAATACACATTATTAAAATGTAACCAGGGTAATATTATGCTTTCGGTGGTACCCAAAGACCACATGTACTTATTGAAAGGATGGTGTCCAGGCTACACAGATTTTTCAACAAATTGCAAGTTAATTCTGTGTCACCTAAAACTTCACAAATCACATATTTAGAGTTTCTTGTACAGATATTATAATAGGCTACAGTGTCTCATATTAGCCATGCCATCTCAAATATAGATTTCCCCAAAATAAATACCTACATTGTATTTGTGTACATAGAAGTCATTTCATTCAAGTGTGTGAGTTAAATGTAGTCTACTCAACAACTGATTCAATTAAGTATATCATCTCTTTCCATAAAACCCGTCGGCATAAAGTGGAACAATGTATATACAATATTTATTTTGGAAAACATTGGTTGCTTATTTTAGGCTTTCAAGGATATTTACTGTATAGATGTCAGACCTTAAATTTGAAATTGTATGAAAAGTTTTATTTAAAAATTTATATATCAAATCTCCTATAGTCTTGTTTTGGAATCATAGAACTAACTATCTTGATAAAGCGTGATTCCATACGTATACTTGACAGACTAAATGTAAATAATCTATGTTACATGTTTCTAAGCACAGAGCTTTAAGCACATGGACTAGTTTACTTGTTTTCATAACATCACCTTATAACTGTACTGGCAGAGTGATGACAAGAACTTCAGACGTGGATCAACCTGGAGAAGGCAGTTTCCTCCTCGTGAAGTACATGGAATCAGCATGATGCCTGGGTCCTCAGAAACATTACCAGCTGGATTTAGGTTAACCACAACCTCTGGGCAGTCAAGAAAAATGACAACAGATGGTACAGTAGTTTTGCATTGCTGCTTATCAAGCAAAAAGCTTGTTTAGCCAAAGCTAGTATAATTCTCTGACCTTGCTTTTTGGAATTATTTTCTTGAGTTGGTTTGCTCTGCTTGAAATTTACTTTGCTCTCATCACAAACCAGACTCCTTTTTACACTGCTATTGCATGAACTCATGGCACTTTATTCACATTTTCAAAATAATTTATAACATCCCAAAAAGAACAATTTGGTTAATGTCCACCTCTAGGAGGAACAATAAACATCGGCAGGATTTGTGTTTCTTTAGTCTTCTATTCCCAAAATTAACAATTTGTTTAAGTTAGAGGTTGGACTTGGACTAAAGATCCATAGTAAATGGAAATTAACTCCACTGTCTCCCTACATGTTTAAATACTGCGAGTTTTATATGTCATCTTAGAAATTCACTCATCAAATATTTTTCCCTCTAGCCAAAGCAGAAGCCCTTAAATAAACAAGCCATGAACATGAGAAGAGAATTAAAGAAACACAAAACACAGTAATTTCCCAATTACTATTTCCTTCTGTGGACATTAGACTTAAGCTATCTAATTTACAAAAGAAAAGTCATTCCAGAGGAGAGACAACTTTGAAATAGTAGTCACAAAATTATTTCTGTTTGGGAGGCATTAAAGAAAAATAGTCCCATGCTATTTGTTAAGATAATCACCTAGCATCATTATTTCTTGTCAAGGTCACAGTTATTATAACTCAAATTTAGTTCCAACATAAACTGTGATCTTGATCTACATTTCTTACAACTTGTTAATACGGTGGAACATGTCAGCGAAATTCATGAGGAATTTAACATCATTACAATTAGTGTAGAAGTTCTTCAATACTTGGAAAGGAAAAAAAATCCACTATAATGAGTTCTCTAAGAGCAATCTCCATATCAAAATCAGAAGCACCCTCGGGAGCTGCTCTTGTTACCGATTTTATCTAAGGAAGAATACATAACAACTCAAAAGCTCAGGTCATTTACATTGGGATAAATTTTCATTAGGAACTTGATCTAGAGAAGAGGAATGTGAGTGGCTTATATCTGAGAGAAAGAAGGTCTACTAATATGTTCGGAATCCCTGTATGCAGGGAAAATAAATCTTTCTCATCTGAAATCTTGTACTCAATCATCCAAGTCCCTCTAAAGCCCTTTTCTCCATTTGCAGTTGCTTCATCAAGACTGCAGAGGTTAGACAACTCCACTGTTCGCACATACTCATGTTGACCAGCCACTCAAAGGAGGCAGCACTGACCTGCTGTGAGTAGTTTCCCTTTGGCTGACAAAAAAAAAAAGACAAAAAAATGGAACCTACATAGACTAATAAATATACACTATACTCTTTGGTATGCCCTAGCAGTACAGAAATGAGATAACCCTTTTGAATTGCTTCAGGGGAAAAAGAAATCTTCATATTGTAACACTTAGTCTAGCATTTCCTATCACCATCTGTCTCCTGTGGTTTAAGGTCTGCCTGTTGGAGGCCTATCACTGTATTATTACACATCAATGGGTTGCCACTACACTGTTTTCTACTTTTTAGTACCATTTCCTGTTGAGTAACTTAGCATTTTATTGATAATAATTCAGCACTTTAAAAAATCCTATCTTTTTAAGTGTATATTTTATATAAGGAAGCCAAGGTAGCGGATAGGGATTTAAGCAAGTTCACCGAGTCAAATAGCAACAGACAGGAAAATGATTTAGAGATGGTTTCATATTAAAAAATAGAAACTTGCCGAGGCAGGTGGATCACTTCAGGTCAGGAGTTAGAGACCAGCCTGGCCAACATGGTGAAACCTCATCTCTACTAAAAACACAAAAAGTAGCCAGGCATGGTGTTGCACTCCCATAATCCCATCTACTTGGGAGGCTGAGGCAAGAGAGTCACTTGAACCTGGGAGGCAGAAGTTGCAGTGAGCGATGGTGCCACTGCACTCAAGCTTGGGTGACAGAGCATGACTCCGTCTTAAAATAAATCAATAAATAAATAGTAGAAACTGTGAAAAATTCAAACCTTTATTACATTGTTTCTTATCAATCTGATTTACACTTGCTAAAAACAAATATAAATTTTAAGTATTTAAGACATATAGGAACAAAATAAAATTACTTTAAGAATGGAGAATAGGACCAGCACAAAACCTTCCTATGTAACCATAAATACCAAGCATTTGATTTTAAGGAAATACCAATTAATGAAAGCTACTTTAAAATCCATATAAAAATGAGGTTTTATTGAAAAACAGTCTTAATAGTAAAACTGTGGTTTCTTAGATTTATAAATGTCAAATGTTCATAATTTTTTTTCAACCTAAAACTATGCTTTACCAAAATATTTAACCACTTTCGATGAATCAATATTTTAGAAAAATACTTTTTAAGAGCGATATTTAGAACAAAATGTGTGCACAGGGTTAAGAGAAAACAGTTATAGACAGAGGAACAACTCACCTTGTGCTGTTTTCATTGCCTTGAACTAAAAGTGCCACACAATTTATTGTTGGTCTTTTGGGCTTAGGATGGGAGCAGATATGCTGCCTTATTTGGATCACTATTTGAAGCTGATAAAATGAAAAGCATCCCGATAAGAGATTTAATTTCAGAATGTACAACCCTTACATTAAAATTTTAATTATGGTATATAATTTGGCACCTAATTAGACATGATTTAAAGTATATAATAATTTGGCTAAATAAGAGGTCTCCCAAAATACTGTTTATATTAGATTCTACACATAGCATTATAATTTCTTCAGGAAATGAACACTTCACTAATTTACAAATGACTATTTAATATGTTCAATAGTGCTTGCTTCTTAGCTCTTAAGTGATGGGTAGAGTTACTCTATTTGCAATCTGTTTTTTGTGCATGACATTCTAGTTCATATTTCCTAGTTTTTACCATTAATTGGGATAACAGTATTCATTTACAATAATTCAATCTAGGACAACCATTTTTTGTTTGGGTGAAACAACAACACTTTTGATATTAAAATAATCCAGAGCATACTACTTGCTGTTTCTTTTGTGTCAGTAATAGCAATTGTGAGCTTTTTCTAAGTACATTATGGCTGAAAACAATCAGCAATGCCATACTACTGACACAAACGTTTACAATAGGTGACTTATTATCGTTATGTTTTTGTAACAAATAAAGGTATTTTTTAAGAACTCTAAAATATATGAACTAGAATATAAATCTACATTATGAAATAGGTCAATTCAACCCAATTTATTAATTAGCAAGTTGTAAATTTTTCAGAAGGCATGCTAACATTTTGCATAACTACCTTTGTTTACATTACTGCCATACTTTCCACAAAGTTGAGCAAATTCTATTATTTGTTAAGCTCCCCTGCACCAAATTGGAGAAAAGCAAATGTTAATTACATACGGCTGTTGGCTACATCCTAGATGATTTCCTTCTCATGATCTTCTAGGACAGGAGTAAGCAGGCTGCGTGGAGGTACACCACAGAGGAGTAGAATGAGATTTCCCAGTCTGGGACTTTTCAGTGAACTAATGCTATCCATTGTATATTTTAGATGGCGTCTTTTCAGTCTACTCTACCTAAAGTGCACTACCATCTAAGAAGACGAGCAGTGAAAACCTTTGTGAAAACTGAATTCTAAGGAAATAATGACGTCATGACTTATTAAAAGCTGAAAAATGTGATTTTTGGGGGGAGTCAGATATTACATTTGATTAGTTTACTACAAATTGTAATAAAATGCTTAAGTCATTTGAATAATAAACATCATCTACATCATAAACTCTGTACAACAGATGCTTTTATGAAATGAAGCCAGTTGTTTTTCATGTTTTATTGTAATATACTAGGCATTTATGTATTACCGTGCATTTCTTTTTAAATGTGTAAGTCTTATGTAAATGGATATAAATATGATTTTTTAAAAAATAAAATATATGGTTCATGGAGTCTCGAGTGCAAACATTTGACAATTCCAAGTACTGTTTGTATTTTACCATTCCACCATTTTTACAGTTTTTGGATTGTTAATAGTCAAATCAATATGTTTCCTTGAAGCATGTTTCATGCTTCAACGTGTTTCTCCTTCAAGTCTGTCAATACTTAAAGCTGAACAACCTGCCTCTGATCATGTAAAAAAGAATGATTTAACCTGGAACCGGAGCCAAAAATAGAGCTTTAAAGGCAATCAGGGATGTCCTATATCTTTAGAAATAGCACTGTGATGGCTTGATCTCCTTTTCAATACAAAACAAAGCCAAGCTGTTTACAAGGGTCAAAAGCAATTATTTAAAAATTTATATTAAAAAACCATAATCTTCTCTTGTTACCTGTGGACCAAGAAAAAAAAAAAGATAAAAAAACTTCTTTACTAAGAACCACATGTTCATTCAAATATCTTGAAATGCCAGCCAGTACTGGACAGTGAATGTCAACCACCGCAGAGTCTGAGGCTCATTTCCACTAGAGAAAACGAAACCCAAGATACCTTTCCCTTTTGTCAATGTAACAGGGCATTAGCCAGACTCATGTCTAATGTTATAAGCTTTTAGCCGAGATGGCCTTGTTGCGACTTCCCTGAAGTCAGTTTTATCAGAGGAAATAAATGAAAGACAGAATGATTAACATATATAGTGTATAAAAGTATAGAAGAGTAATCTCTTCCCTGTGGCTTTATTTGGTGGTGTTACTGTTGTTTATTCTTTGTTTATATGGGAGATTCAAAGTAAAGCCTATTTAATAATACCATTTATCTAACTGCTGATTTTCTGCTGCTTGATCTTATTAAGCGCAAGACCTGTCATTAGTAATTTCTTTTCTGTATTTTAATTTGCTATGTTTGCACGTACATTACATTTGTTTTGATGTCTATTTTTATTTAACAGATTCAGTCAAAAGGTAATGATAACAGAAACCCTTTCCATTGTCAATAAAAAAAATAATAATTCCAGTTCTCTGTTTAAGCTTTGTTTTCTAGTCACATAAGGCTCGACAATTTACTTAAACTATCAGGAAATGTGTTCTTTGGGTGACCCAAATATTTAGCTTCAAAATTGAGTCTGCCACAAGAGGGAGATCTAAACTTGCTTATGGGAGTGATCTTAAAATTTTTTTCTAAAAATGTGGCCTGAGTAGGAACAATGAGAAGTAGCTTTCTAAGCTCATCTAAACATGGGCATCTTGATTCATAGAAATGAAATAGAATATAGGAACTACGACATTATAATGCCATAACTAGATTTGTATCTACTATTATATAACACTCAATCACTAAAATCAATTTCTTTCTTTTAAAGATCAAGTTAGAAAGATTAATCATCTATAATAGACACTAACATATAGTGATGCAAAAGATCCAGGTATTTCCCTCAAAAAAGAAGCATAAAATATGTTTTAATTTATAAGAAAGATAACTTCTACTAGATTCTAAAATCCATTTAATGGATTAAGCTCAGAGTCTCAACACGTTACTTTTGATCATCAACATTATAAATTTTCACATTTTTAATGTTCAGGACCTTTCAAATACAATTTTATATAAACAAAACTGGTTTTTAAATGTAGGATAGGTCTCATTTAAATATGTTTAATATATTTTCACAAGCAAAGTAATTCAATGAATTGGAAAATACTATAACTTCTGAAAGCACTTTATATTTTCATTTTCCAATAACTTAACAGTAAGAAATCCTATGAAAATACCAAACGAAGACCTCACAGAATTTATTCTAGCAAGTTTAAGTATGTCTGCATTTTTTAGTAATATTATATTGTTGTTTTTAAAGATACATTTAATTCAGAATCTTTAAAGTACTATCTAGCAAAAGTGATTTATGGTTAGTAGTAAAATAGAATTTTTTCCTCCCAAATTTTAAGCAGTCTGATGATTCAGGTATATCTTTCTTGCCCTATTTTTTCATCACATAAAAGTAACAACATTCTTTGATCTTGCAATTCCCCAGTGAGACACAGGAAATAGCCACTTCCCCAGTCTCCAGCACTGTTTTCCATTCCCATCCTAGTGGAAAATAACCCAAGTCTGCTTGCTGAGATGTCGCTTCAGATTTGATTACCAGAAAAAATGTGCAAGAGGACCAAAGATGCAACCTTTACCTAATTATTGGATCTGCCTGAGCTTAAACCTTGCAAATGAACAATGATACACATTCAGGTAAATAATTTGCCATTTCAAATTAACTGACTCTTATTTGAAAAAAAATAAGGAAACACATTCTACTCCTAAGACATTAAAATGAGTTATTAATGAAGACCACAGTTGTGACAATGGATAAAACGTACCAATGAAAGAGGCAACTCAAGGATCCCAACAGCTTCAAATGAGAGAGTGTCTATGTAGCTGGTTTAATTCAGTCTACTAACATAATTAAAAGGAAAAAGTAGATGAATATATTTTTCCAGGTGTAACAATCAAGAAGGCAATTTAAGTAAATAGGAATTTACTTTGAGAAGCCATTTATTTTGCAGTCTTCAGTCCAAAAAAAGTCAACATTTTCAGAATTTTTTTATATAAGTTGTAGGTCATTTTTATAACAATAAACTTTCTATTATCTATTTATCTCTCACATACATTTCATGTATCCTGAGTATTATGTTACAACAATCTGCTCTTGATAGTAATGTTCCTGATAGATTAAAAGATTGAGAAATACTTGAAGAACGATCAAAGATACAATGAGCATGGTATACTTTTGGGTTAAAATGTATTCTTTGATAACTGATGTCATATAGATCCCTAAGTAAATCAAATATTTAATTTCCTACATCTGTCTACCTTAGTTAACTGGCCCATTCCTATAAGCTTAACAAAAACTCACTTTACAATTATTTAAAAAAAACATTTAAGAGATTTTTAGAAGTTAAATGGAAAGATACTTTTGGACATTACAATATTTTTAATGAGTTATTATTTTAAAATTAGAGATTTCACATAAAAACCAGGATTCTTTGTTTTCTCTTTAAAAAAACAGAGGCTCTTGCAACAGGAGACCTGCCTCCTTTTTGGGCCATATTCTGCTGGGTCCGCTGCTCCTTGAGGTATAGCAGGTGATCTGCAGTCTTCACCATTTTCTACTGTCCTTTGTCCCTCAAACCTAGTGGCTTAAGTTCACTTCAAAATCACCTAGACATTACACTACCTGCCTAGAAACCTTCTTGTCTTTAACCTAATGTGAAAACCTTGATGTTTCTCTCTTAAGAGTTTTCCTTGCCACCCTACCCCATTTGTACATCGATTCCTTGTTTCCACAGGAATCTGGAATCATTTGGATAAACATAGTCAACTAAGAACCTGAGACATGAAGAGGGGCTCCCAGGAGCCCTCATCTCCATGAAGAGATTGGACTAAATGATCTCTTTGTTCTCCGCCAGGCATGTGGTTTTTTTGTTGTTTTTGTTGTTTTGAGATGGAGTCTTACTCTGTCACCCAGGCTGGAGTACAGTGGGGGAACTTGGCTCACTGCAACCTCTGCCTCTTGTATTCAAGTGATTCTCCTTGCCTCAGCCTCCCGCCACCACGCCTGGCTTATTTTTGTATTTTCAGTAGCTACAGGGTTTCACCATGTTGGCCAGGCTCGTCTCAAACTGCTGACCTCAAGTGATCCGCCTGCCTCAGCCTCCCAAAGTGCTCGGATTACATGCTGAACCAGGTCAGACATGTGGTTTTCCTTGCCTAAGTAACAAAAGACCTGAAGGTATAGCTATAACCCCGGTGTTCTGCTTTCCCTCAGAAAATGTATAGAAAAGCCCTCCTACCTAGATAATAATTTCATCTGTCTAGATGATTACCTAAACTTCCCATTTCATCTATTTTATTTAAAACAATGTGAGCATCTAAAGAATACTAGAAAATATCTAAAATTTCTACAAGAAAAATTTTAATTATTTTCTGACTTTAAGTTTTAGATTTTGGATCAAAACTACAGATTCTTGGTTTCAGGAAGTGGCTCTATATTAGTGTTGCTTTCAATTAAAGTGTTCTTCTTGGGAGGTACAATTTTAAAAATAATACACTAGATACGTTTTTCCTAAAGCAGTAGATGACATTCAATAAGCCATGTTATAGATAACTAATAACAATGCTAACAGGGTCAAACCAAAAAAAAGGCACAGGTCTTTCACATGTTTTCATTAGATTTGTTTAGGCCAAGTTTTACAATTCACATTTCATTTTGCAAGTAATTTCTACTGAAATATTTATTTCTGAGAAACAACTCAAATAATTTAATTTCAATTAAGAAATTAAATCAACTCAAAATAGGAATAAGACAAACTCATTATGCTTGCTTCAGCATTTCTTCTACGTGGCCAAAAATGCTGGGGTCTTCAATTGTAGAAGTTATCTGGAAAAAAAATTAGGGTCAGGTGAATACTCTTCCTTGAATTTCTTCTACTCTTTCTATAATTAAACAATTATATGCAATGTTGTTTTCCCCATTGTCTTGTAATATTCATATGGAAAGTTTAAAAATAGGGAACTTTGAACCTAATATATTAATACTCATCTGTAGCTTTCCAGAGTAAAAAAATAAACAGTTCAGTTAGCAAAACTATTGGACCTAGATGGTATTTTCTCTAGAGTTGGAGTTCCTCTTAAGAGTCTTCTATATATTTCTGTAGAAAGAATGTTTCTTTTTTGTCACTTGTTCACATAACTACTCCTTACTGTTGCATTGCCTTTTATTATCTTAATGATAAAAATAGGTATATCTTTGCACACATAATGTACACACAAATTAAAACATATGATTGAATCAGCCTAAGATTTCCTAAAATAATTACAAAATTAGCATTTATCAGTTAGAGCATTTTAAACATCTACTGCCGCTAGCCTCAATTATTTTGCTTTCTCATTCACTAATTGCCATTAATTACTATAATAAGGAAAATGTACCTTTTAATTCAATAGGATTAAGTTTCCACAAATTTGTTTGAATTTAACTGACAATTACTAAGAGAAAAAATATTTTGGCAGGCAGCAGTGGCTCAGGCGTGTAATCCCAGCACTTTGGGAGGTTGAGGCAATCAAATCGCTTGAGCCCAGGAATTCAAGACCACCCTGGGCAACATGGTGAGAACACTACCTCTATAAATACAAAAGAAAAAAATTAGCCAGGCACAGTTGCATGCACCTGTAGTCCCAACTACTTATGAGACTGATGTGAGAGGATCTCTTTAGATCAGAACTTTGTGGCTGTAGTGAGCCATGATTGTACCACTGCACTACAGCCTGGGTAATAAAGCAAGACTCTATCTCTAAATTAAAATAAATAAATAAAAATATTTTCACACATTGGTTCTTATCATCAAAGCATATGTTCTTAACTAATCTGAGTTTCTTTCCAAAACCTTCATTCCTACAGAAGGAATGGCTATATAAT
Source organism: Homo sapiens (assembly GCF_000001405.40). Taxonomy (NCBI): domain Eukaryota; kingdom Metazoa; phylum Chordata; class Mammalia; order Primates; family Hominidae; genus Homo; species Homo sapiens. The sequence goes on along the minus strand of NC_000012.12, from coordinate 81,253,818 downwards.
CTCTCCCTTAACATTAAAAAATAGTACTATTATGTGTTTTCTAGAGATGCAATTCACATTTGAGAACCATTTTTAAGAGCTTTGCTGATGCCAAAGAAATGAAGAAAAATATCTTAGAACCCAGGAATAAATATCTTTGATAATTTACCTTGTATGGCTTGCCATTGACAATGGCAGATAAAGCTGATCGGGGGATCTTGCCAGATCTGGTTTTGGGTAGCTGTTTGACAAACACTGCATTTCGAAAAGCAGCCACAGGGCCAATGTTCTGTCTAACGTGTTTCACAATTTCTTCCAAAACTTGCTCCTCTGTTGCATTTATATCTAGAGAGAAAGTTCAGATGGTAAGCACTGAATTAACCTTAGTTAATTATTCAGGTCCCAAGCAATCAGGGAGAAAAAGATCTCTCACCTTTTCTCAATACACAGAGTGCTAAGGGGACATGACCTTTTAAGGGATCTTCCTTGCCAACAACAGCACAGTCTGCCACGGTACCATGGGAAAGGATTGACTGTAATAAGGAAAGGCATTCATTTAGAATACATTTATTTACCATATATGTATATTCAACATATAGATATAGATACAGATATAGATATACAAACACATATAATTTCAGTTGGGGAAAAAAGTGCATGTAAGACAAGCCAAAAATCCATGGCTGCCTATTGAAAATTCATAAGTAATTTACATCATTACTAGTGAAGTGAATGCTTAGAATCCCCATGGTAGTCACTAAAGGTTGACAGTAATTAAGATAAATTGCTCAGCTAACCTGGAAAGTAAGGAAATGGTTTCTTTGTCTCAGTTTATTAATGAAGTCAGAGAAAATGTGTAGTGGATACTGTATGTAAACAAACCTCTGTAAACAGGCAGCCTCATGGCGATTTGGTCTTAATGCTGGCTGCCATAGGCATACCTTCCAGAGGAATCCGAGGCTGCCCTATGGCTAAATAATAACTTTATTTCTGAGTCTGTTAGTGAACAATGAAATTCCTCTAGTGGCCACCCACCCAGAGATGATTTTCCAGGACTTGCAAGAGGCTGGATATGGAGAGAAGCCCTGACATCAGATAATCCCCACTGTTGAAGAACTATATTCATACTGCTTGCTTTAAGTTCACAAAGCTGGTATCTATCTGAAATCAAAAAAACCCACAGAGTTGAGTAACCACATAAAATACAGACGCTTAGGGTTAATATATATATATATATGGTGACGGGACTTTTAAAAATGCATATTCAAAATTTTTTTTCTGAAAGATTAACATTTATTTTGGTGACCCCAATAATCATTATTTCAGTGACTCTCTAGCTCTAATAGCTAGAGAAAACAGTGAGCAAACTTTTAACCAACAGCACATCTGGCAGTCCTTGTTCTTTCTTCTATTCATTCATTCAATGAATATTTGCTAAATGACTCCTGTGTTGCAAACATTCGCTGGGTTCAGGGGTGATCAAAAATAGCGTATTGCTTCAAGATGCTTTCAGTCTAGTAGTGGAGACAGATATTAATAAATAATTATGAATATCTATTCTAAATGTCTAAATACAAAAGTGATAAGGGCTCTGGGGAATTTTTTTTATATGAAAGATACAGCAAAAGCAACCAATTTTGCAGAAAGATATGGGCCTCAAAAACTTTTTCTTTAGGAAATAACAATGAGTAGATCTGAAGGATGAGTAGATATTTATTAGGCAAGGAGAAGGGGTTGGGGCAAAAACCCTGGGGAAGGACTTCATAGGCACCATTCATACCTCAAAGAGACCAATGTGGCTGGAAAGCAGAGAACAAAAAGAGTGAGAATGGAGGAGATGGAGTTACAGAGGTGGATAGGTATTGTGCTAGGAACTTCCAACTCATTTTAGCATTCCTGGGAAGGTGATAAATCATTTTCAGTAGTTGAGAAGGAGATGCAAGATCAGAGCAGATTTAATATCGGGTTTTTATGTTTGTTTGTATGTTTATTTGTTTGAGACAAGATCTCACTCTGCCACCTAAGCTGGAGTGCGCTGGCATGTTCATAGATCACTGCAACCTCAATCTCCCAGGCTCAGGTGATCCTCCAACCTCAGCCTCTTCAACAGCTGGTTCTACAGGTGCACACCACCATGGCTGGCTAAATTTTTGTATTTTTTTTTTTTTTTTGTAGAGATGGGGTTTCGCCATGTTCCCTAGGCTGGTCTCAAACTCCTGGGCTCAAGCAATCTACCTGCTTCGGCCTCCCAAAGTGCTGGGATTACAGGCATAAGCTACCACGCCCAGCTATGTTTATTTTTTAAAGTAGTTTTAGATTCATAGCAATATCAACTAAGAAAGTAGGATTCTCATATACATCTTACCACTACATATACATAGCCTCCCCCATTATCAAAAGTTTGTACCAGAGCAATACATTTGTTGTAACTGATGAACCAAAATTGGCATACAATTATCATCCTAGTTCATAGTTTACATTACTACATTATGGTCTACTCTGTACATGCCTGAGTTTTGTCAAATGTATAAGACAGGTATCCACCATTATAGTATCACGCAGAATAGTTTTACTGACCCAAATACTCCCTGTGCTCTGCTCATTCATCCCTTCCCTTTCCCCTAACCCTTGGCAACCATGGATCTTTATATTGTCTTCAAGGTCCTTTTCCAGAATGTTATAATTGGAATCACTCAGTATGTAGCCTTTTCAGATTAGCTTCTTTCACTTCAGAGTGGATTCTGAAAAGCACAGACTTATTTTAGTTTCATCGTGGAAAATAAATAAAGAATTGTTGAGAGTGGGTGACACAGCTTATATAGGAAAACCACCTGAAAGGATACTACAGTAGGTTAAGGTCGTGATAGTAAGAATAAAAAGATGTGGTGAGATCAGAGAGACAACTTTTACTGCCAGATATATGTTTTAGTACTTACTGTAGTCAGTCATTAGTCATGAAAAATAATACTTTGCTGTACCAGATAGGATATAGACTTGGAAAGTTAGATGCTATGAATTCTGACTTGGTATTCCCTTAATGAGTGAAGAACATCTCTTTTTCTTGGCTAACCAGAGTTTTAATCGTCAAAAATTATTAGTGTTTATTGGTGCCATGACTCTCTGTACCTGAGTTCCTAAAATGCCAAGGTATCTGTTCAAATCACTGTTAAAAAATAAATCACCCACATATTTTGTCACCTAACCAATATGACTAGAGTTTTAACTAAATTTAATGTCAAAACATCTAGTCTGCCACTCTTTCACTTTGTTATTTTAAATTTTACTAAGTTTTTGTCCTTAGTCTTAGTGCTTTTAGAAGCGGATGGGAAAATGTTGATTGTTTTTCTATAAAAGCAAGGAGTATTTTAAAATCGGAAGAAATATACAACATTTCCTATAATATAATATTACAGTTTCCCATTTTTGCCTACTGCAGATAAATTCTTAAAAATTATGAGACGCAAAATCATTTTCAAGAATTATGTGTCATATCTGAGTGAAATCAAATATTATTCATCTATCAGTTTTTAAAATGCCATAAAGGAAGGGTGGTAGCTTTTTATGTTGGCCCCATAAATATTATTTGCATGCCAAGTGATGATTTCAACAACTGAATCATTAAAAGGGAAAGCGTTGAAATATGTCTTGGCAACATTCAAGGGACAGAAGCCAACCAAATGTCCTATGGGGGGAAAAATATCAAAAACCACATTAATGCATTCCCTCCAAATAAAATCTACGAAGCATCTGTGATTAACTGGCATTTAAGTACCTAAAAAAGTCATGGAACTTAAAAGGCAATAGTCTCACCACAATTGAGTATATAAATGTTATGAGATTAGGACTAGTAAATTCCTGTCATCTGTTGTTTCTTAGGTATTGCCAATTTTGCATAGATTTTAATGAATTTAAAATATTTTAAGATTTCACTGAGCTGACCTACACAGGTTTTTCAATTACATTTTTAAGAATCTTAATTTAAAAAATCAGTTCAAATCAAACACCCTCATAAGATGGGAGGAGCCAGTTTGCAGTGCAATATTGTCTATGCAATGGTTCGAAGAAGACAGATTTTTAAAAATTTCCTCTGACACTGAAGTAATCTAGGAAACTTGTCAGAGAGATTCCAGATACTCATCAATATTCATGTGAATACTCAGGAACTATTCAGCAATGTTGCAACTACTTAAATCCAATAGTCATTTAATGCTTGGTAGAATTGAAATGGCAAGGCATCTTAGCTGGATACACAGTCACTTTATGGAAATATATTCAATGTTGAAGAATCATTCCTAAAATAGCAAACAAAATAGCTACCTTGGAAAACAAATAGTGACACTTTGGTTAGAACAACCCTCAAAAAGGCAAAAGGCATGTGAACCGTGTCCTGAGTAGGCTTTAAAGACAGTATGTTAACACCAGATTTCCAAGTTCCCACAAATATTAGTGGGATTATTTAAGAAACCTACACTTAAGCTACAAGTGAAAGAGTGAAATTAGAGAGCCCAATTTGTTTCCTGTACATTTCTTTGTATGAAAACGCCTGAAGGTTTCTTCACATGAAAAGCCACAGCAGTCAAAGAGAACTGAGCAAGAACAATCATATTAGCTTCTGCAAATTTTAGCTTACAAGTGCAGAACTAGCAGATTTTAGACACAATTTTTCTAAGAACTCCTTAACCTCCATCAAAGTTTCCTAAATGTCTAGCTCAATGCTGGGCTTTCAAAAACTAATCAACACTTTAAAAATAGACTTGATTATTACTTAATAGTTAAAGAAGGCCCTCATTTTTACTTGGATCTGCAAGGATACTGTCCTCTTAAATTGATAAAAAGCTATTCTAGAGCTCCATTTTCTTATGATGAGAACAGAAAAGAAAATAGAGTTCCCTGAAATATTTTTGGTGTAATAATTTTAATAGAATATCTGCTTGATTTAGGTAATATAAATTTTACGGTTTTTTTGTACTCGAAATTCTTTTTATAAATTTATTGGTACAAATATTTGTACATATTTATAGGGTACATGTGATATTTTGTTACATGCATAGAGTGTGTAATGATCAATTCAGGGTACTTAAGGTATCCATCACTTCGAGTATTTATCATTTCTGTGTGTTGAAAACGTTCCAAGTCCTAATTTCTAGCTATTTTGAACTATACATTGTTATTAACTATAGACACTCTACTTTGCTACTGAATATTAGAACTTATTCCTTCTATCTAACTGTTTATTTGTACCCATTAACCGATCTCTTTTCATGTCCTTTCACCACTTGACACACACATACCCTTCTCAGCCTCTGGTATCATTCTACTCTCTGTTTCTGTAAGATAAACTATCCCAGATCCCATATATGAATGAGGATAGATATTGTCTTTCTGTGCCTGGATCCTTTCACTTAACATAATGAAATCCAGTTCCATCCAAATAGCTGCAAATGGCAGGATTTTATTATTTCTTTATGGCCAAGTATTATTCTATTATGCACATTTACCATATTTTATTTCTTCATTCATCTGTTGATGATCGCTTAGGTTGATTCTATATCTTTGCTACTTGAGCACTGCTGCAACAAACATGGGGGTAAATGTAGCCCTTTGACATACTAATTTATTTTCCTTTGGATAAATACCCAGTAGTGGGATTGCAAGACCTTATGGTAGTTCTACTTTTAGTTTTTCGAAAAATCTCCATGCTATTTTCCATAACGGCTGTACTAATTTACATTCCTACTAACCGTGTATGAGTTCCCTTTTCTCTACATCCTTGCAAGCATGAATGACTTTCTAACAATAACTTACACACTTTTTTGTCTTTCTAATAATTACTCATAAAATGTTTACTTAGGGAAACTGGAAAAGTGTAGATATTTTTACTGTACTTAAAAACAATATTCAGTCTATTTTTTTCTACAAATAAAACTTTCATTGGATTAAGACCTCAATTCCTATTCCAAAAAGTTAAAGTGGAATATGGTATTCACCACTGGCAACCCTTGTCAAGTAGTTAAATAGTAAGGTTTGGGCACTTTAATAAGAGCTGGATACATCATCAAACATTTCAGAAGGAAATAATCAATTTGCTAAGCAATATTGCTAGGAGCTAGTAAAAAGTCAGTATAAAGTATCAGTTCACAATTCTCTAAGAGATTTCAAAGACAGAGAAGACAAATCTGATTTAAACTGAGATAGAATTTTCTTATCAAATATAAATACTTAATAAAAACTTAGTCATTTAATTCATATATAGAGAGAAGTTAACTTAAAGATTTAAGGTCTGAATGGTTTCCTGTTATGCACCCTAAATACTCCAAGACCCAGTGACAAAGTTTCTGTTAGATGCCAATAATTCTAGCATGTTTTTCTCTTTTTCCATTTTAACTGCCTATTTTCTGCCTATCTCATTCTGCTGTTACATACAGTGAGAAGGATTTCAGTAGAAGCATTAAAACACAACATATCTTTGAATAGGTTGATACTCCTCTTTTCATTCTAAAAACAAAAAAAGACTAAGGTTTTTGACTAATAATAATAACTATGCATACAAAATTTTCATATTTTGATTGACTGAGTCTGCCGGAAATGCAGGTGAATATTGGAAGTAATCTCTTAGAAGGAGGAAATTAAAAGTTCATGCAACCAGAACCATCTTTTGCCAACACACCAAAAGACATGAAGTAAAAATTTCAATTTCAGGTTATCACAAAATTTAGAGTCGTTTAAAAACAAGATAATATTATAATAGCACACAAAGGTGAAATGTTCTAAAATATAAAGTTCCTTCCTTTTACTCAAAAAAAATCACATTTAAGAAACACATCCCAACATGACAAGAAGTATTAAGCTGTTAAGTTTGAACTGAAGATAGGTACAAACTTTTTTAATTTTTAATTTTTTTAACTTTTAGATTCGGGGGTACATAAGCACGTTTGCTATAGAAATAAACTCATGTCACAGGAGTCTGTTGTACAGATTATTTCATCACCCAGGTACTAAGCCTAGTACCCAATAGCTATTTTTTCTGATCCTCTTTTAATTAGAGAAAGAGGAAATAAAACTTTGACTCTGCATACTCTGATCACAGTGAATTGTTAATCATGTTACTTTAAACATTTTCTTTCATTCAAATTGTAGTTTGTTTGCTCCATTCAGTTTAAAAACTATTCTGGGGTTTGCTTCTAGAAAAAAATGAAGTAACTTATATCTTCCACAATAACAATGAAAAACTCTGGGCTAAAATATATATTGGTAGACTCAGTCAGAACATAAGAACTTGAAATACAACTTGGTGATGAGTTCACTGTCATTTGGAAGTTTGGGGATTTTGTTATTTTTGTTCATTTGTTTGCTTTACTTTCTGTATAATCTGGCCCGAGGACTAAAGCAGCTCAGCATGTGTAACTGACAATGAGTACAGACAGAAAAAGCCCTAAGAGCCTGCTGTGTCTGGTCAGAGGCCCAGGAAAACAAGTAGGGGAGTCATAAAACAGGTTTTGTCCTCCCTACTTCAGATAAGTGACAACGAAGAAGCAGGGCCCACCCCTCTCTCTACAGAGCTGCAGAAAATTTGTTACCTCTCCACACCTTACACCAAGTAAATGTCAGCAATTAAGGTGTGCCCCTTCCCTTCTCCACACTAGCTGTACAACACATCCTACAGGAGGGAGCCCTGGGTACTCTCCTACCCTAAACCAAGAGAACCCAGAAAGGATCAGTGCCACTTGCTCTCTGCAGCAGCAGCCATGCTGCTCCTGAGAGTGGGTCGCTGTTGACTTACCCTGGCATGTGTTAGGCAACTGCCAGCAAAGAGACAAGACCCCTTCCTCTCCCCAGAGGCACTGTTCCTGTAGACGTTGCAGGAATAATCCTGGTAACTGTGGGGAGACAAAGCCCTGACTCATTACCCATAAGAACAGCAAAGGAGAGTTTTGTGAACCAAAGAGGGAAAAGGGACCTCTGGTTTTGGTACTACAAGTAAGAAGCTTCGAATTCACCACTCCATTCTAACAAGTAGAAAGTTAAACAAACTGAAAAAAAATAAAAAACAATAACAGAAACAATTCTTCTTAGATTTGTCAGAGAGGAAGTTCACAGGGAAAACCACTCCCCCAAAACTGTAGAGGCAGACAAGTAAATAGAGAAAAACACAATTTATTGGAGCAGAAACCTCTACAGGAACAAGTGCCAAGGTTGTAAAACCCGAGCTGTATGACAAAACACTGTGTTCCTTTTTCCAGGGCCTACCCTTAAAAGAAACTATTCTGTAACAGAACCTAACTGCTGGAGTTTTCTCAGAGCCTAACTGACATAGGAGAAAGGAAATATCCAATTCCAGCCCCCTTTATTCAACCTATTTTTTGTTTGTTTGTTTTTTTGAGACAGAGTCTCACTCTGTCACCCAGGCTGCAGTGCAGTGGCGCGATCTCAGCTCACTGCAAGCTCCGCCTTGCGGGTTCACGCCATTCTCCTGCCTCAGCCTCCCGAGTAGTTGGGACTACAGTCGCCCACCACCACGCCTGGCTAATTTTTTGTATTTTTTAGTAGAGACGGGGTTTCACTGTGTTAGCCAGGATGGTCTCGATCTCCTGACCTCGTGATCCACCCATCTCGGCCTCCCATAGTGCTGGGATTACAGGCGTGAGCCACCGCGCCAGCCCTCATCCTATTTTAAGAGGGGAAAAATCTACAAAGAACTGATGAAGTTCACAGTCCAAGGATACATGTTCATGAAACAACTAAGATTTAATCATAGGAGTACAGAATACTTCTCCTCCCCCTGCATCTTACCAATACACCAGCAAAGGCCTACTTACTGAAGTTCTTTTTACACAGTACATCATGTCAGTATTTCAACAGGCAATTACAAGGCATACTAAAAGGTAAAATAAATAACAAACCACACAAATACACACACACACACACACACACACAGTTTGAATAGACTGAAGAAGCATTAGAAACAGAGTTTCATATGACAGGAATATTGGAATTATCTGAACATGATATTTTTTAAAACTACGATTAATATGTTAAGGGCATTAATGGAAAAAGTAGACAACTTGCAATAATAGATGATTAATGTAAGCTGAGCAGAGAGATTAAAATTCTAAGAAAGAATTTTTAAAATGCTACAAAGCAATATCACTGTATCAAAAATAAAGAATGTCTCTGATGGACTTATTTGTAAACTAGATGTAGGTGAAAGAAGAATCTTGGTGCTTGAGGATGTATCAATAGAAACCTCCAAAACCAAAAATCAAAGAGAAAAAAGATGGAAAAGAAATCTCCAAACAGAACAAAATATCCAAGAACTTCAAAACAAATAGAAAAGCTGTAACAAACACATAATAGCGGTAATGAGAGGAAAAGAAAGAAATGGAAGCAATATATGAAGAAATAATGACTGAGAGTTTCCCCCAAATTAATGCTGACACAAAATCATAGATCCAGGAATTGCAGAAAACATCAAGCAAGATAAATGTAAAAAAAAAAATCCTACATGTAGGCATATCATACTCAAATTTCAAACAATCTAAGATAAAGAAAAAAATTCTAGAGAAAGCCAGAGTGGAGGGAGAAACACCTTACCTATAGAGAAGCAAAGATAAGAATCACATGTGACTTATCCTTAGGAACCATGTAAACAAGAAGAGAGTGGAGCGAAATATTTAAAGTGTCAAGAGGGAAAAAAGCACCATTAATTCTAGAATTACAGAATTCCAGATTGCTATATTGTGGAAAATTATCCTTCAAAAATTAAGGAGAAATAAAGACTTTTTTAGACAAAAGAAAAAAATTGAGGTAATGTGTTGCCCGTAGACCTGCTTTGCAAGAAATGTTAAGTTATTTGGAGACATGGAAAATAATATACGTCAGAAATTTGTATAAATAAAAATAAAGGAAGAGCATCAGAAATGAATAAACAAATGTAAAATAAAAAAATTATTTTTCTTGTTCTCAATTTACCTCACAGATAAGTTTGTTCAAAATAATAATAGCAACAATGTGTGTATATGCGCATGTGTATATGCTAATGTGCTAGCAAGTGAATGACAGCAGTGATACAAGAGCTACAAGGGAGGAATTAGAAATATTTTGCTATTTGTCAAAGATCAGATAGTTGTAGATATGTGGCGTTATTTCTGAGGGCTCTGTTCTGTTCCATTCATCTATATCTCTGTTTTGGTACCAGTACCATGCTGTTTTGGTTACTGTAGCCTTGTAGTATAGTTTGAAGTCAGGTAGCGTGATGCCTCCAGCTTTGTTCTTCTGGCTTAGGATTGACTTGACGATGCAGGCTCTTTTTTGGTTCCATATGAACTTTAAAGTAGTTTTTTCCAATTCTGTGAAGAAAGTCATTGGTAGCTTGATGGGGATGGCATTGAATCTACAAATTACCTTGGGCAGTATGGCCATTTTCACGATATTGATTCTTCCTACCCATGAGCGTGGAATGTTCTTGCATTTCTTTGTATCCTCTTTTATTTCATTGAGCAGTGGTTTGTAGTTCTCCTTGAAGAGGTCCTTCACGTCCGTTGTAAGCTGGATTCTTAGGTATTTTATTCTCTTTGAAGCAATTGTGAATGGGAGTTCACTCATGATTTGGCTCTCTGTTTGTCTGTTATTGGTGTATAAGAATGCCTGTGATTTTTGTACATTGATTTTGTATCCTGAGACTTTGCTGAAGTTGCTTATCAGCTTAAGGAGATTTTGGCCTGAGACAATGGGGTTTTCTAGATATACAATCATGTCATCTGCAAACAGGGACAATTTGACTTCCTCTTTTCCTAATTGAATACCCTTTATTTCCTTCTCTTGCCTAATTGCCCTAGCCAGAACTTCCAACACTATGTTGAATAGGAGTGGTGAGACAGGGCATCCCTGTCTTGTGCCAGTTTGCAAAGGGAATGCTTCCAGTTTTTGCCCATTCAGTATTATATTGGCTGTGGGTTTGTCATAGGTAGCTCTTATTATTTTGAGATACATCCCATCAATATCTAATTTATTGAGAGGTTTTAGCATGAAGGGTTGTTGAATTTTGTTGAAGGCCTTTTCTGCATCTATTGAGATAATCATGTGGTTTTTGTCTTTGGTTCTGTTTATATGCTGGATTACATTTATTGATTTGTGTATATTGAACCAGCCTTGCATCCCAGGGATGAAGCCCACTTGATCATGGTGGATAAACTTTTTGATGTGCTGCTGGATTCAGTTTGCCAGTATTTTATTGAGGATTTTTGCATCAATGTTCATCAATGATATTGGTCTAAAATTCTCTTTTTTGGTTGTGTCTCTGCCCAGCTTTGGTATCAGGATGATGCTGGCCTCATAAAATGAGTTAGGGAGGATTCCCTCTTTTTCTATTGATTGGAATAGTTTCAGAAGGAATGGTACCAGTTCCTCCTTGTACCTCTGGTAGAATTTGGCTGTGAATCCATCTGGTCCTGGACTCTTTTTGGTTGGTAAGCTATTGATTATTGCCACAATTTCAGCTCCTGTTATTGGTCTATTCAGAGATTCAACTTCTTCCTGGTTTGGTCTTGCGAGAGTGTATGTGTCGAGGAATTTATCCATTTCTTCTAGATTTTCTAGTTTATTTGCGTAGAGGTGTTTGTAGTATTCTCTGATGGTAGTTTGTATTTCTGTGGGATCAGTGGTGATATCCCCTTTATCATTTTTTATTGCATCTACAACTATCTGATCTTTGACAAACCTGAGGAAAAACAAGCAATGGGGAAAGGATTCCCTATTTAATAAATGGTGCTGGGAAAACTGGCTAGCCATATGTAGAAAGCTGAAACTGGATCCCTTCCTTACACCTTATATGAAAATCAATTCAAGATGGATTAAAGACTTAAACGTTAGACCTAAAACCATAAAAACCCTAGAAGAAAACCTAGGCATTACCATTCAGGACATAGGCACGGGCAAGAACTTCATGTCTAAAACACCAAAAGTAATGGCAACAAAAGCCAGAATTGACAAATGGGATCTAATTAAACTAAAGAGCTTCTGCACAGCAAAAGAAACTACCATCAGAGTGAACAGGCAACCCACAAAATGGGAGAAAATTTTCGCAACCTACTCATCTGACAAAGGGCTAATATCCAGAATCTACAATGAACTCAAACAAATTTACAAGAAAAAAACAAACAACCCCATCAAAAAGTGGGTGAAGCATATGAACAGACACTTCTCAAAAGAAGACATTTATGCAGCCAAAAAACACATGAAAAAGTGCTCACCATCACTGGCCATCAGAGAAATGCAAATCAAAACCACAATGAGATATCATCTCATACCAGTTAGAATGGCGATCACTAAAAAGTCAGGAAACAACAGGTACTGGAGAGGATGTGGAGAAATAGGAACACTTTTACACTGTTGATGGGACTGTAAACTAGTTCAACCATTGTGGAAGTCAGTGTGGCAATTCCTCAGGGATCTAGAACTAGAAATACCATTTGACCCAGCCATCCCATTACTGGGTATATACCCAAAGGACTATAAATCATGCTGCTATAAAGACACATGCACATGTATGTTTACTGCAGCACTATTCACAATAGCAAAGACTTGGAACCAACCCAAATGTCCAATAATGATAGACTGGATTAAGAAAATGTGGCACACATATACCATGGAATACTATGCAGCCATAAAAAATGATGAGTTCATGTCCTTTGTACAGACATGGATGAAATTGGAAATCATCATTCTCAGTAAACTATCGCAAGAACAAAAAACCAAACACCACATATTCTCACTCATAGGTGGGAATTGAACAATGAGAACACATGGATGCAGGAAGGGGAACATCACACATGGGGACTGTTGTGGGGTGGGGGGAGGGGGGAGGGATAGCATTGGGAGATATACCTAATATTAGATGATGAATTAGTGGGTGCAGTGCACCAGCATGTCACATGTATACATATGTAACTAACCTGCACATGGTGCACATGTACCCTAAAACTTAAAGTATAATAAAAAAAAAGAAATATTTTGCTATCATAAGGTATTTGCTCTGCCCATGAAGTAATATGTATTATTTGAGTCTGGATTTGGTTAGTTGTAAACATATATTGCAAACATTAGGGCAACCACCACAACAAGTTAAAAGAAGTATATTTAATATGTTAAGAAAGGAGAGCAAAATGAAATAATATAAAATGTTCAATTATAACCACAAAATGCAGAGAAAGAAAGACAGAAATAGAAACAAAGAGTAAGGGCAACAAATAGAAAACTGTAACAAATCTGGTAAATGTTAATTCAGTTATATTAATGATCACTTAATATCAATGATCTAAATATACCAATTAAAAGGCAGAATGTCAGAGAGTAGATCAAAAACAAGACTCAATTATATGTTTTCTGAAAGAAACCCATTTTAAATATAACAATACATATAGATTAAAAGTAAAGGGATGGAGAAAGTTATACCATGCTAATTTTTATAAGTAGGAGTAGTTATGTTAATTTCAAGCACAGAAGACTTCAGAGCAAGAAAATGTATCAAGAATAAAGAGGAGCATTACATAATGATAAAGAGGTCAATAACCCGAGAAGGCATGATGATCCTTAGGGCATCAAAGTATGTCAGGCAAAACTGATAGAATTGGGAGGAGAAACAGATGAATCAACTATTATAGTTCAAGACTTTAACACTCCTGTGTTGGAAATTTACAGATCCACTGGGCACACAATCAGTAAGGACATAGTTCAGTTCAACAGTACCATCAATCAACTGAATAAAATTGACATCAATAGGCCACTTCATTCAACAACTAATAATTAAGAATAAGAAAAAAAAGTCCACACTCAAATAACACTTCATAGACAAAGCAAGTACCTTATAATAACAAAAATTCCTAATTCCTCCCTTCTAGCCCTTGTATCACTGCTGTCATTTATTTTGCTTATACATAAGCATATATATATGTATGTGCATATATGCACACATATTGTTGCTGTTATTAGTATGAACAAACTGTTATTTTTGAGATAAATTGAGAACAAGAAAATTAAAATGTTTTATTTTACTTTCTGATACGGTTTGGCTGTGTACCCATCCAAATCTCATCTTGAATTGTGGCTTCCATAATTCCCATGTGTCATGGGAGGGACCTGGTGGGAGGTAACTGAATCATGGGGGTGAATCTTTTCTGTGTTGTTCTCATGATAGTGAATAAGTATCACAAGATCTGATGGTTTTATAAAGAGAGTTCCCCTGCACACTCCCTCTTGCCTGCCGCCATGTAAGACATGACTTTGCTCTTCATTCTCCTTCTGCCATGATTGTGAGGCCTCCCCAGCCATATGGGATTATGAGTCAATTAAACCTCTTTCCTTTATAAATTACCCAGTCTCAGGTATGTCTTTACTAGCAGTGTGAGAACAGACTAATACACCTTCATTTATTCATTTCTGATGTTCTTCCTTTATTTTTGTTGAACTAAATATCTGATTTATGTTTTTTCCTTGTCTCTGAATGAAATTGTTGAATGAAGATTACACATTTTTTTCAAACTTAAATGGAACAGTCACCAAGACAGACTACATTTTGGGCCATAAAACACACCTTAAAATTTTAAAAAGAATATAAATCATACAACATCTGTTCTGAGGTAATAATGGAATTAAACTAGCAATCAATAACAGAAAGATAGGTGTAAAATCACAAATTATTGGAGATTAAACAACACACTTCTAAATAACACATGAGTCAAAGAAGATATTTCAAGAAAAATTTAAACATATTTTAACTAAATGAAAATTATAATATAACATCAATATTTATGGGATGCAGCAACAGCATGCTCACAGGAAAATTTATAGCACTGAATTCACATATTAGAAAAGAAGAGAGATCTAAAATCAATTATGTAAACTTTCACCTTAGGAAACTAGAAAATGGAAGACCAAATTAAATTCAAAGTAAGCAGAATAAAATAAATTATAAAAATTAGAGGAGAAATAAATTAAATCAAAAATAAATCAATAGAAAATACCATAAAACCAAAAGCTATTCCTTTAAAATATCAATAAAATCAATAAACCTCTAGCCAGGCTAAGGAAAAAAAAAGGAAGAGACAAATTACTAAAACCAGAAATGAAAGAGGACATATTACTACAGATCATGGACATTAAAAAGATAATAAGGAATATTATGAATAAGTCTATGCCCACCAATTTGATTACCTAGACAAAATAAACTAATTTCTTGAAAGACACAATCTGACAAAAGTTACACAGGAAGAAATTGACAATCTGAATAGGCCTATATTTATTAAAAATTAGATCAACAATTAATAAACTTCCAAAACTGAAAGTACCAGGTGAAGATAGGTTCGTTGGTGAATTCTACCAATTCATCAGTTAATTCTACCATTTAAGGAATAAATTAGACCAATTATCTACAATCTGTCGTTCCAATGACAGAAGTCATGGGAATATTTTCTAACTCAATCTATGGAACTGGAACAATGCTGGCCCCATAGAATAAGTTAGAAAATATTCCCATTGTATTAATACTAAAATAAGACAATTAAAAAAAACTATTGACAGAGGCCATCATGAGCATAGATGCCAATGTGTGGAAAGAGTTATGTACCATGACCAGGTGGAATTTACCCCAGGTATACAAAGCTGGTTCGAAATTCAATAATCAAAGTAATCCATCGCATCAATAGGCTGAAGAAGAAAAATTACATGATCATATCAGTACATGCAGAAAAAGTAAAACATTTGACAAAATCCAATACCCATTCATGATAAAAATATTAAGTATACTACGAATAGAGGGGAACTTCCACAATTTCGTGATGAACCATCTACAAACAAACCTAGAGCTTACATCATACTCAATGGTGAGAAATTCAAAACTTTCCCACTAAGATCTGGAACAAGGCAAGGATGTCCACCCTCAACTATATTTTCAACATCATACTGGCTAGTGCAACAAGGCAAGAAAGACAACACTGAACTAGGTAGTGCAATAAGACAAGAAAGGAATATAAAAGGTATACAGACTGAGAAAGAAGATATAAAACTGTATTTGTTTGCAAACAACCTGATCGTATATATGTAGAATATCCAAATAGACAAAAGCTTTGAAAATCAAATTAACATTGAAACCACAGTCCACAGAAAGTGGGTAAAGCTATGTAGTCTGATCCTAACTGGGCTGACCACTTCCTAAAATAAATAGCCACAAGAACAGAAATGCAGAAGATTTAAATAGGATCCAGAACCTCATGATGTAATATTCAAAATACTCGGGATAAGATTTAAAATAGACATTTATCAGGAAAATCTAAACATCTTTTAAGAAAAAAAGACAATCCCTAGATACCAAACCCAACATTACCTAAATATCAGAATTATCAGAAAATTTAACTTAAATATTATAACTATGGAGAAATAAACCTCTAAATTTACCAGTGCTCCTATAAAAGCCCTAGCCTCCTGAGACTCTTGAAACATCTGAAAAATTAGACCTATAGTGATTTGCCTAATGAATTGCTCAGATCTTAAAGGATAATAAAACTTTAATTTATCTGTCAAGGCCAAATGTGTATAGTCCAGACTAGATCCCTAGTATAAACTCCCAAGAAGCTGGGGAGATTGGCTCACTATCTTCTTGGGTATTTACCTGCTAAAAAGAGATTAATTCCCAGGAGTTAGAAACATTTCTATGTTGTAAAACTGGAGATGCACAGGGCGGTCTGGCTCCTGGGGCTATTTTACTTATATATTAAAGAATTAGAGTTTTGATTAAAGACATTATGTTTTTAAGAAGAGCCTTCAGGAAGGACGGCTGCCTCCCTCCCTTTTAAGTAGAGAAAAATCATTTTTTAAACTTTCATTTATGGAGAATCTGGCTACTCATGTAGGAAAAATTGCCATTAGCTTTCATTGGGTCATAATAAGACCTAGGGTAAGGTGGAAATGACACTCTTATAAAAAAAACTGTCAAAGATGAATATTAAAAACCAAGCAATAACCATGGCCCAAGAAGAATGTGCAAAAACTCTTGGTATGAATGGAATCATAGACGTTCTCACAAATTAATAAAAGCTACAAAAAAAGAACCAAAATAAGTTAAAAGAGAGAAGGGGGAGAATGAAATAAGAGAATGAAAAAGAGAAGAATCAAAAAGAATAATAATAAACTGGTAGGCAGATATATAACTATATCAATAATTAAATGTAAATTATCTGAAAACACTAAATGATGGAGATTGCCAGATTGGATAAACATAAAAACAAATAGATGCTGTCCATATGAACTAAGTAGGTGCTGTCTACAAGAAACCCACATGAAACATAATACAGATAGATTAAAAATGAAAAAATGAAAAAAGATCTATGATTCAAACATGATTCAAAGAAAAGAATGGCTATATGATTACTACAAACAGTAGATTTCAGAATAAGGAAAATTACTATTGATTAATAATAATAACAATAATTATTAATTATACGAATCAATGTATAAAAACAGTAATTCATTGCAATCACTTAAAGTTTGTCCCAGGAATGCACGACTGGTTCAAAAGCTGAAAATTATTTAATGTAATTCACGTAACATTGTTAAAAAGAAAAATCACATATTCCTATTAATAGAGGCAGAAAAAGCATTTGATAAAATTCAACATTCATTCATAATTAAAAATAACACTTCAGCAAATTAGAAATACAAAAACAATTATTCAGTTTGATAAAGTGTGTGTTTACAGAAATACCTACAGTTAGCACCATTCTTGCCTTTACCCTAAGATCAGGATCAAGACAAGGGTGTCTGCTCTTACCAGTCTTGTTCAACATCCTATCCCAAGTTCTAGCCAGTTCCAAAAGGCAAGAAAAAGACCAAAAAAAGCATTCAGATTGGAAAGGAGGTAATAAAACTGTTTTTATTCACATGTAACATAATTGTTTACACAGAAAGTCTCAACAAGTCTACCAAAAATACCGCTAGAGCTAGCAAGCAAGTTAAACAAGATCATAGGTTACATATCAGTCTGCAAAAAGATCAGTAGTATTTCTATCCACTAGCAATGAAAAATTTCAAACCAAAGTTTTTAAAAAATGTATAATAGCTAAAAAATTAAATACTTAAATATAAACTTAACAAAACTTGTTCAGAATCTGTATGCTAGAAAGTACAAAGTATTTAAGAAACATACCAAAGAAATCCTAAAGAAAGAAATATACAAAACTCATGGATTGAACTCAGTAAGTTTGAAATAGCAATTTTTCTCCAATCAATATATGGATTTAACACAATCTGAATCAAAATTTATGCATGGGTTCATTGTACCTATAGAAAATTTTATGCTAATATGTATGTGGAATACCTAAAGGAACTAGTATAGCTACAACAAGACTAAGAAAGAAGAGCAGATGTGGAGGACTCACAATATTCAACTCTAAGATACACTACATAGCTACAGTGTCAAGGCAGTATATTCATAAAAATATAATGTAGATCAATTATATTGATCTACATAAAAAAATCTATTAAATATTTTCCATGATCATCATAAAAAAAACATAGATCAATGAAATAGAAAGATATTCTAGAAACAGACCCACTCCAATATTATCATCTGATTTTTGACAAAGTTGCAATGGCAATTCAATAGAGAAAGGGCAGCTTTTTCAACAAATGATGCTGGAACAACTGGCATCCACTTAAAAAATTATTTATCAACCTACACCTTGCACTATATTAAAAAATTAACTCAAATTTAAATTTAAAATGATATAAATGTAAAACAATAAAACTGAATATAAAACATAAAACTATAAAACTCTTAGATGAAAACAAAAGAGAAAATCTTTGTGATGCTGAGTTAGGAAAGCATTTTTATATACAATACCAAAATCATAATCCGTAAAAGAAAAAAATGATAAATTAGAATTCATCAAAATGAAAAGTATTTTTTTCTCTGTTATGGACACTTTTAATAAAATAAAAAGATCAGTCAGAAACTAGAAAAAGAAATTGCAAACTGCATATCAGATAAAGGACTTGTATATAGAATATATAAAGAACTTACAAAACTGAACAATAAAAAAGAAACAGTCCAATTTAAAAAAATGGGCTGAAGATTTTAACAGATACCTCATCAAAAAAGGTATATGGATGGCAAATAAGCTTGTGAAAAGATGCTCAATATCACTAGTTATTACAGAAATGCAAATCACATGCACAATGAGATACTATTACACACCGAGTAGAATGGTTTAATAAAGAGTAATGACACGACCAAGTTCTAGAAAGAATGGGAAGAAGTATGAACCCTTAAATACTGCTGGTGGCTATGTAAAATAGCACAGTCACACGGGAAAACTCTTTGGTGGTTTCTCATAACCTTAAACATACACTTAATATACAACCCAGAAAACCCACTCTAAGTATTTATCCTAGAGAAATAAAATATTTTTTTACACAAACACCTGTATTTGAATGTGTATAACAGCCCTATTTATAATTGCTGCAAACTAGATATAACCCATATGTCCTTTAATGCATGAATGGATACGTAAACTTGTTAGTACAGCTGCACGATGAAATTCTATACAGCAACATAAAAAGGCAAATTCTTAATAAATGCAACAACTTGGAAGAATCTAAAATGTATTTTCCTAAATGAAATAACCCAGTCTCAAAGGTTACAATACTGTATCATCTATTTATATAAAATTGGAGAGAAGACTAAAACATAGGAACAAAGAAAAAAATAAGGGGTACCAGAGTCAGAATAGACAGGTGACATTATGATGGAATTATTTGACAGCGTTGAAATTGTTTTGTATCCTTTCTGTGGTGATGGTTACAAGAAACTGTATTAGTATAAATACTCATAGTATTGTATAACAATAATGTAGATTTTACTCCATAGGAATAAGTTTTTAAAACATTTTAAAAAACCTCTTCTGGAGACTTTATGTGACTTACATTGGAAGAAAATTCTCAGGATTTAAGAGTACAATAAAATGTTTAATCCCATACCACTTAAAGACCATGTGCAAACCTGATGATTAAACACGAGTAAATCAAGAAGCTAGAGGCATTCAAGTAGCAAGTATTAAGAAGCAAATGTACACAGGCTTTCCCATAAACAAAAAATATATGTAAGTGTTTAAAACTCTTCACTACCACCCAGGGATGTGGGAGTGTAGGGAATATGAATATCTAAAAGAGAAAGTGAGGTGGGAGAGATGTAAGAGTAACCTAGCCTCTGCTGCAAATGAAGGGTGTGGTAATTTTCCAAGTGAAATAACCTCAATATTGTCTTCAGTGCAGCTCTGTGCCTAAGCACTACTTGGAATAGAATACCAATATTCATCAATACCTCTTCAATGGCGCCTGCAGAAATTCTGTGACCTGCAACATTTATTACATCATCCACTCGAGACATAACATACAAATAGCCTTCTTCATCCATGTAACCAGCATCCATGGTATCATAATATCCCTGAAAACAAGAAAAAATAACATTTGATTAGCATGTACTGTTAACTAATGTAATCATTTTAAACTTGGTAAAACACACAATGTAATAGAAATGGATTTACTGTGAACATTTGCCGTTTTTCGTAACTAGACTAGGAAATTACACTACTTTTTATCTGGAAACTGTACTAGAATCTCTTTGCTCCTCTAACAGCCAAGAATAAGTTGAAGTGTTTTTAGAAATGTTTAAGTGTTTGAATATAGAGTTGTAAAGTTTATGAATCCAATTTCTTTTTTTAATGGAGAAGTAATAGCTCAATACTAATTCTAATATACTTTGATATTGCAAAATAATTCTTTGATACATTTCTTCTTTAATTGTATTAACTTTTAAAAGCTTTAAAGCTCCCAATGAATAATTTCCCAATACAGCAGTAGTTTATTAATATGGGTTAGGATTGGACTCAAGCTTCAGTGAAATTTAATAGTAAGTATGAAATTTAATTTTTAGTCACTCAAAGTAAAACATTTTTGCTGGTCTAGAAATGACAGTAGAATAAGAATAATAAGAATAAAAAGTAGAAAAAATAAATATTATTTTTCCTAATGCTTCTGAGTTATTTTGATACCTATGTTTATGAACATGGACTTCAGTACAAATCCTGGAAAGCCACTATTGTGTTTCTTAGACTTTCTGAGACTCAGTATTCTCATCTGTTAAATGGGAAAATGAGTTCTGCCTTCTAAAGCTTCTGTGAAGCATGCATGAAACAGTGTATATAAATGAAAGAGGACAGACTCTGGCACATCCTGAGCTCTCAATAATTTTACTGCAATTAATACTTTTATTAATATTAGAGAGGCAATCTAGAGTAGTAGTTAAGAGTATGAACTCTCAAGCCTGACTATTTTGGTTCATCTCAGTTCCATCACTTCTCACTTATTTGAACTCACGGGAAGTTACTCAACCCTTCTGTGCTGTTATTATTCTGTTATTATTCCTCAAATAACAGGTTTGAGATCAGGTAAAAAGACAGAGTACAGAGTCACTTCACATAGTGTAGACATAAACAGGGGCTTTGAGGGAGCTTTTAGTGTTAAAGGTGATCATGTTAATACCACATGCACATATCATTTGCCATTGTCAGGCTATAATCAATCATCTCACCACCTGCACTCTGATGATTTAACTGTGGCCCATCATGCAGATAGATTGGGCTTACTGGAGTCAACTATACTGACAAATCTTCCCTGCCACACTCTATCAGGGGATGTTTAATCTTGGCTATTGAGGACATTCAATGCTGCAATTTCTTTCTAAAGAAAGCTATTTTAATTATTTTCATTTCGTTGATTAGGTTATCTGTCCTTCACTAACAAATAATAAAGATAAAATGCTAAGTACTTCAGCAAACTTTTTTAGTGAAATTCTGTTCATTCAGAATTTTACTTAGTGAAAAATGAGGACCAGGTGTCCCTGTTGGGGTTAGGCGGTGGGGGTGGGGGGTGGTAGTAGAGGGACAACAGAAAGATAATGTGAGCAGAACCTGATGTGCTTTATTAATGAAGTGCTGTTATAAACATAACACACATCACCATGGCATGGAGTAACAAGTTTCACACAATGACAGAATGTGAAACAGGAAGGCACTTTTTGTTATCCAGGACGCTGGGTGTTGGGCTTTGAGTACACTGTTTCTGTCCTGTATCTGTATTTTTAAAATGAGATTTAAAAATAAAGAGCTCAGAGAACATTCAAAAAATGGTGTCAAAAATAAAGAAGTGGAAAAATACAACTTCTGGGCAAGCTGAATGGATTTTGCTCATATAACCAGTAAGAGGTTAAAGGGTCCTAATGGCATTATATAATTCTGATTTGCTGCTCTCTGTCTGTTGATACAGAGGAATCCAGTAGAGGAAACATACAGAAAGTCCAAAAAACATTTTTATGTAACAAATAATGTCCTGATACTGAAGACTATTAAATTCTAGGAAAAGCTGCTAAGAAAAACCAATAAATTTCTATGTCTAGAGACTGACAATAACTATAAAATTGACGTATTTAGATAATTATGAGTTGGGCATTCTTATCCCTGGGAGCTGGAAACTGGTCCAGATAACCTTTAAAAGTTTCTTTTTGATCTACGATTCTAGGAGCAAGTTTCTCAATTTAATAGGCAAGAATTATAGAAAAGTACATAAGAAGATAAAAAAGCATATTAAAGTTCTTACAGGAAATTTTTCAAAGTATAAATGCTTGAATGCTTCCTGATTCTTCCAGAGTCCTGAAAAAGCCCCAGGTGGCAATGGTAACCTTATATAAAAACAGAGAAGTTAAAATTATGATGAAAGTGGTAATAAAGACAGGTTGATTAGAACTATTATTTTTCTACTGTGACAGATAATTACAATTCAAATCCTACATTGAAATATAACCCCTAAATCTGCTGGACAGATCATGTCTAACAGAGGTTTATGTAGCTGACCATTGTACAGCAGAATTGTTGAAGAATGACTTTAGTCTCTGGAAAGTGCACAAAAGGCACAAGTATGTGGAAATCAAATAACTATTAGCAATAAGCATTGCTTCAGTGAAAAACATAATATCTGCAAAAAAAGAACCAAAAAACGTGTCATTGAATTACTTTCTTAGAAAACTATTATTTCACCATTGAAAAGTTAATTTATTTTTTGAAGTACTAAGATATTGTCATCTTTGCCTGTCTCTCTGTGTAATAGAATATTCTAATTAAGCACCCAGTGTAAAAACTTATTTCATAATCAATATGCCTCCCTCCGCTGGGAATTCTCTCTCACTGCTTCCTCCTCTTTTTTCTTCTCATAATCATCCAGACTTATGCGATTTCTCACTTCTATAAACACATGGAAATGCTTCAGCGTAGAAAATATACAGAACTATGTATCTTTTGTTTTCAGCAAATTTCCTCCTTATACTTCTTTCATTTATAGGGTCAAACAGGTGTTATATGCATGGCAAGGGCTTAACCTCTATCTATCTCCTTGTTTATCTAACTATGTATCTATCTGTGTTTACATAAATAAATGAAATTCTCATATTTGTTCCTTGTAGGAAGTGCCTACTAACAAAGACAACCACTCAAATTGATTTCTGAACACAGAAACCTTTTAGATCCTTTAGTTTGGAATTTTCAATACTGTAAAACATAGGGGCTTTCAAAACCTACACTCCCACATTTACACAATAAAAACATACTAAATGGAGTTGTAAATTCGTAGTTCTCATGCTGAGAAAATTGAAAATGAAGCACAGATGGCTAGTGTCCACATAAGATGACATCTCACACATTCCCCACAAGCAGGATTTTCGGGTCTGACAGTACAAAAGAAAGCAGTGTGGTCACATGGCCACCTCAACATTAGAACTTCATGGCACTGAATTTTACTCTCACATTCTGTCAGGAACAAAATGCTGTTACAAGTGGAAGCAGCTGCCGATGCCTCTTTGGGCAGCCCAGCAGATATCGCCCACTTCTATAATGTCCAGCCTCCCAGTAGTGATCCTGCGGAGTTCTCCTTTGCTAGATGCTCTTTATTTCAAATTATTTTAAGACAGAGGAAATATACTACATCAGTATTTCTGGACTTCATGTAATTACATAAAATGCACGTAAGGGTATTTTAATTAATCTGTAAAATAATCCAGAGAAATGCTGTTGTGTTTTTGCTGTTGCTGTTGTGATTATTACTGTTTGCTAAATCTGTATGAAGGCAATAGGTTGAAGCCAATAATCCCTCTGGGTTCTCTTAACTGAGCTTATTATGTAAATACTTGTAAATAACAATACAAATAACATCACTACATCAGTTTGTTTTAATTGTTAATATTTGACAGAAAAGTGTAAAATCATCGATTTTTTAAGCATTGAAATAGAATATGACTATAACAAATACTAAAAATCAACTTAGCAGCACTTTCAGGATGCTGAAGGTGAAAAAGCAAAGAGGATCTTAGGAAAAAAGTGGCAAATCACATGTCAATATGGACAAAGAGAGATAACATTAGTGAGTGAAGCAAATTGTATGTAAAATAAATGATAATAAACCTGATGAAGATTCATTCTGCTTGCATATTAAATAAGAGACAATTTTCAGTTGCTCCCAAGAAATATATAATGATATATAGGGTTTTTCTGTATTTTATGGTGCCATTTTTGACATATACATTGGTATTGGAAATTATTGCTCTATTATACTAAAGAAAAAGAAGAGGTATCTGTGATAATCAATGGCAGCTGACGTTTATGATGGATTGAGGGAAATAGAGAATGGTGGAGTCTGAAGCAAATTACAGTTTACATGCCAGGTACAAGGGGAACAGCTGTTTCTTAGTTCCACCTGATTGCTGGTATACAGGAGTGCTGATCCAAATATCTGAACATGTAATATTGCCCATGATGAGAGCTATGCATATCAAAAAATATATATTAAACAGGTATTTTTTTCCCATTTTATGTACCCCAAATCAAACATTTTGGTCCACCAGCATCCACACACTATCTGCTCACAGCAAAGACTCCTAACTGTTTGCAATCATAACCTAAATGAGTTAGTATTTAGTGCTCTTTACAACAGCTGAGTGTCCTGGTAGCCTAGTATGTACCTAATCCAGAGTGTATAGATAGGACCAAGAGGACTGCATTTTACAGAAAGAATATTACTAGAGAGAAAGGGAAAATCTCATTCTTTCCAGAAGTCAATTATGTTAGCAACTTCTATTTTTAAAAGAAGATGTCCTGCTAACCTGCATTTCCTCCTGCTTCCTGAGAAAAAATAAGGTGCTAGCAATTTGTAATAGAGAGAATATATTCTTATAATTAATTGATGCCTACAGGATGAAAGCATACGTCGTCTCCCAGAAAAAACTAAGCCTTAAGGACACAGGCTTCCAGAGCTGTTGCACAAAACTTTAAATATCTGCACAAAGTTCCTGAAGAACAAGGACAATACACATTTTCATACCATCACTCATTCTTACAAGAAAGGTCTGAGTAAGTTTATATATACCTGTAGACCCTGGGGATTAAGAATAACACACCATGGGGTGCATGAACACTGAGGACTCTTTTGAACCCCCTGAAATTTAACGTAGAACTTGTCTGTATGTTTCCCAGGAGAATGTCTTTGGCTTTCATCTAATTATTCGAAGGTTGGTAACAATCACCAAATATTAAAACCTCTGTTCAATGAAAAGCCCAACCTAAAATGTACTTCAGTGGTAAAAATAGGTCATCCTAATCATATCAAAAGTACCTTTAATCTTAATCATTAAGAATAGAAAATCTCAGCTCTTCACTTTCTCTCTGGAATTAAAGCCACCCTTATAGAGGGACATCATATGTCTAGCTGGTTCCCTTTGGATTACAGAGGTGATTGCTATTAAATATGACACATGGTGCTGGGAAATGGCAGCGAAGAGAATAAGAAAAAGAGTGAGAAGTGGGGGAAGAAATAAAAGAGATAAAACTAAAAGAATGAGGTCCCAGAATAGTGAAAGGATAAAAGCAGGTGATGGTATCATTCAAATCGTCCTGTAGAGGCATCTAACAAAGAATTCAATATATGCAATATGTGGTAGACATTTTGTACAAAAGAAAACATGAGAAAGGAGTAAGCTCAAAGAATTTGACATGCAGAAACTGATCTATGATTTTGATCTTGAAGAATAGGTTCATGAAGCTGAAAAAGGAATAAGAAGGAAAGACACTTCATGCTGTGTGACCAACGTACCTAAACCCTTCCTTCCTTTCATGCGTTTCTTTGTTTCATTCATTCTTTCTATTCAGTCAGTTAATCAGCAAATAGATATTGATTTCTTAAAATATGTAAGGTATAGCAATAAGGGCTTCAAAATGAAGTGAATAATGAGTGCACAAGTATAAATGGTCTGCTCAGTCTAATCAACACTTGTGTGTGTGTGTGTGTGTGTGTGTAAATAGTCCTCAACATTATGAATAGGTGTGATGGTTAATTCTATGCATCAATTTAGCTTGACCAGGGTACCCAGATATTTGGTCAAGCATTCTAGGTGTTTCTGTGAAGGCATTTTTTAGATGAAATTAACATTTAAGTCAGTAGATTTAGAGTAAATCAGATTATCCTCCATAATGTGAATGGTCCTCATCCCATCAGTTGAAGAACTTAATAGAAAAGAAAGTCTGACCTCCCAGTAGGAAGAGGGAGTTCTGCCTTCAGACTCAAACTACAACTTTTCCTGGGTCTTCAGCCTGCTGGCCTGTCCTGCAAATTTTATACTTGCTAGCCTTCACAACTGCATGAGCTAATTCCTTAAAACAAATATTTCTCCCTCTCTATAGATATGTGTGTATGTATATATATATGTGTGTGTGTGTGTGTGTGTGTGTGTAAATCCTATTGGTTCTATTTCTTCGGAGAACCCTGACTAGTACAATGGGACATGTTAAAGCCAAGTTACCAAATGTGTTTTAAAAACAAAAGATGTAATTGGATCTTTGTTCTAGAAAGAGTGCTAAAGCTGGTGTGATGAATTGGATAACAAGAAGCCACAGTTTAAGAGGATGAAAATTAAGTGTGAGGGTTGAAGAAAAGAGAAAAATCAAAGCTGACTCTTTGAAAGTTTCTATAGAAAGTTTATATTCTAGATGGAAACAGAAAGTTTCTATTCTAGATCAATAGTGATGCCAACGCAAAGAGCGCAATATAGTAAAAGCAGTATTTTCAGGAGAGGTGGCATTTTGGGATTTGTAGAAGTAGAGAGGTGACAAATAATTTGTTTAGTTACTGAGTTTTAGCAACCTGTGGCATCATAAATGGAGTTATCAAGTAATATGTCAATAAATATATGTCTGAAATCAGAAGACAGATGAGCCTGGGTGGATATATTGATATGCTCACTATGTGTAGCTAGGTAATTACAGAAATCTTAGAAATTGGTGAGATGATTCGTGGAGAGAGTATAAAACAGGAAAAATAGTTCTACGGCTAAATATCAGTGTTGCAGAAATATCAAAGAAAAAACTCCACTGAGGAAAAAAAAAGAAAAGAAAATCAGAGATATTATGAGAACCAGGGGAAAGTAGTATCTAAGAAGCCACTAGAATACAGTTTTAATAATGACCTAGTATTAAACAAGGTTAAATGAAGTGTAAATTTTGTTTGAAAGCAGATGCAACAGTGATCATGGAACTTAGTAATTAAGATGTTTTGAGTTTTCTCATGATTGTCATTTCAATGGAGTGGGGAAAGCAACAGCTAGACTGATTAAGAAATAAACAGGAAGTAAGTAGAGACAGTAAGGTTAGACTATACTTTTTAAAATTTGTGGCGATTGGAAGGAGATGTATATGTCAGTGGCTTAATGCACAAAGGCAGGTTGATTTAGTATGAGAAAGATTTGAGTGGAAGTAGCCAGTGGAGAGAGAGGATGGAGATTTGAACAGTAGAGAAGAAAACACCAGAGGAATTATTCAATTGCCTTGTTTATTTACTCTTTTATTTATGCGTTAACACAAACATTCATTTTCTTCCTTCGATCAATATTTGTTAGGTGTTTGGTATTCCTCATGCACTGTGCTACACATTAACGATACAAGGATATAAACTATGATCACAGACACGTGGAGATCCTAGCACTTTGTGAACTACAAGAAAAAGAAATTTAGTATTTTTAGAATACTGATAGGGAAGATAGTGAATGATGTCTACTCCATTAAGTTAATGAAATGACATCAAATGCAACGATTCAAGTGTTCATCAGGTGAACTTTACAGAAGGTAGTTAAACTCTGCCTTGCCAGTAGTGCTTGGAAGAGAAGTTTTTATCCCCATCCAAGGTGTGGACCTGCTGGAAATAGCATGTGTGTTTGTCCCAAGTTATTTTTGAGATGCTCTCAGAAAACTACTTCATCATTCACAAGTCTAACTGAGGATCAGTCTGAAAAGCAAGATATGAAATTGCAATTGGTAATTGATAGGATAAAATAAGTGCATGCTTTCTGTTCCTCACTAACAAGATGTGGTATCTTAAAAAATCAGATGTGGTAATTTGGATATTGAGAAAAATCTCTAAAGAAAGACTCATAAAGGAAGACATACAATATTCCTAAAGAAAAGGGGAGAAGAAAAAAGGATTCATAATTGGAATCATGTGTTTTTAATAGACACACACATACAGAAACACACACACACACACACAAAGTAGTTCCCCTTTATCTACATGGAATATGTTCCAAGACTCTCAGTGGGTGCCTGAGAAACCATGGTAGTACTGAACCCTACATATAATAAGGTTTTTCCTATACATACATAGCTATGATAAAGTTTAATTTATAAATTAGGCACAGTAAGAGATGAACAGCAACAACTAATAACAAAATAGAACACTTAGAACAATATGCCAGCATCAGTACTATTGTGCTTTAGGGCCATTGTTAAGTAAAATAAAGGTTGGTTGCACACAAGCACTGTAACACCTAGACAGCCGATCTGATAACCAAGACGGCTACTAAGTGACTAACGGGCAGTAGCGTAGAAAACATGGATGCACTGGACAAAGGGCTGATTCACATCCTGGCAAGACTAAGCAGGACAGTACAAGAATTCATCACCTATTCAGAATGGTGTGCAATTTAAAAGGTGAATTATTTATTTCTGAAATCTTCCATTTAATAACTTTGGACTATGGTCGACCACAGGTAACTGAAACTGCATGAAGTGAAACTACGGATAATAGGGACTACTGCATGTGCATACACACACACACACACACACACACACATGTGTGTGTGTGTATATATATATGTATGTATGTATATGCATATATATATGTAAACATGTGATAAGAAAATGTGATCAATGAAAGAAAACATGGGGAAAGAAGCAATAAGATCCAGATAGACATTAGGTGCATATGAGCTACAGCAGATTTTTTTGGTTGCAGTATTCCAAATTAACACCTTTCTTCTTATTGCTAAGGATTATTACACATTAAGTGAAGGTCTTCCTTCTGGAACAGTGGGTGCACTGGAGCTCTTTTTCTAAAGTTATAGAAAAAGAATATTTTTTTCTGTAGTTATAAGAATGTAAAAGTGCATTGGATTGGCAGAAGGAAGGGAAAGATGCAAAAATACTAAGAAATGAACTAGTTAATACCTATACTCATCCTTCAAATTTGAAAGCAAATGCTATCACCACGTGATACCTTCCCCAATTCTGCCAAGCAGAGTGAAAGAGGGAGTTTTGGTACAACTCATCCAATTATGAATTGAGAGTCCTCTTAGAGAATTCCCTTTCCTAAAAGATCATTCTGAAGGGGAAAGGTGAATAATTGAGGCAGCAGTGACAGCCATGTGGGAAGGGAAGCATTAGAGTGCTGAGCAATCCTTAAATAACTAGGGCAGGACAAAGGATGTCCATCACCCTGGAAAATAATACATTCCTGGCCAATCGAAATATTACACTCCTAGATGCCTCCTATCCTAGATAAAAGATGGTCTATTTTTCACTTCTCCATCTGGAATTTCCATAGCAATAGAAATAAATTGAAGCCTGTTCCCTAGAGAGATCTGGGTTAAATCCCAACTTTGCACTCTCAGTATTTCCTATGGGGTCCTTAGGATTTTCTCGAGATTTTCATATGAAGTTATTTTTATCTCCCCAGAAGAGATTGACCATAATTTCTTTCCCTCAGGGCAGACAAAAGACTGGGCAATAATGTGAGTTCTAGCTGTGCAACTACTAATGTTGCATACTTTGTTATGTCTACAATGAGGAGGATAATGTCTGCCCATTGCCTAACTCATAGTGCTGTTATAAGGCTAATAAAATATCACACTCAAAACTGTATATGAGATTTAGAAAGGAGCAGGATTATAATTATGTGACATGCTTAGTTATACTCAAAGGATACCCAGATGAAAAGAAAGCTTCCTTGGCTCTTTCCCAAGATGGCAACGCAGTGACTGAATCATTTACGTGAAGCTGTAAATATGTGAACAGGCATCGTTAACCATATCTGAAGAATGAGAAATTGTCAGGCACTAAAGTAAAAGCCACTCAGACAATTCCATACAACTCCCTTGCACCCCACCATGGCTTGCAGGACACAGCACAGGGTGAACAGGCCACACTTCCAATAGCAACAATGGATCTGGTCAGAGGAAAACGTTTGTCCATCAGAGAGAAAGAGCCAGAGACCTATGGCTTTAATAACAGTGAGCACTGTGCTAGGAAGAAAGGCAATTGCAGTTAAAATTTTCTTTCATGCCCTGTTCTCTGTTGCCTGGAAATTACTGACTCATAGTTTTATTTCTGCACTTTGGAGCTCTGGATGCAATTACACGAATACCTTCTAAAATTCATCAGTATTTTGTGTGCATAGGAATTCAGATCCCTTAACTTTCTTACTAAATTAACTGCCTGGAGTAGGTTTCCAAATCAAAAGAATTTTCTAACATTCATGTGGACATGAAGTTCTCACTTCTACTAGAAAGATAAATTCTATGAATGTAAGTAATCTAATAAAGCACTAAAATTGCAGGATTCCTTTTTATTATATCTTAAGACCTATAGTAGTTTAGGAAGTGCTAAAATGGCCAACTTCTAGTCAAGGGGTCCCCAGGAGAACAAATCAGTGATTTGCGGACTGTCATAAAGAAGAATGTAGAAAAATCTAGGTGGATCAAAAGGTTCTTTGGTTTTTGTTTACTTGTTTGTTTGTTTCCACATATTACTATTTCTAAATATGAACCTACACAAATGAGTCTTAAGATCTATAATGTGAAATGTTATAGATGTTAAATATAAAAACATCCTACACATACTGCAGGCAGCCATTGGAATATGTGAATCCTTTTTAAGTTGATAAGTTAGAGTGGAATGGCTGCTGGCAATGTGGGTTTCAAAAAGAAATTCTTGCTCTTATAGATAAAAGGAGTTTCTGAAAAAAGGTTTCAAAATCTGTTTTGTTAAAGAGAGAGCAGGAGAGAGAGAAATCTTGGTGGTAACCTTTGTTTTCCGATTATTTCTACCTTACCTTTCTAATACAAAAAGATTTATAATATATTCAAATATCTAGTTTCACTGTTAACCTAAGAGAGGAATCAAATTCTACTGTTTGTCATAACATATTACATCATCAAGTAATTTATAATGAAATCTCAGAACCCTGGATCTGCACAATAAAATTCTTTTAGGAATACAGAGGGAAAAAATAATTGTGAATTGGTGACAATCTAAACCATAGAATGCTTTAAGGCAATAGTTGTTACTTTTAAGTATTTGAAATAACACTAATGGCTATAAGAAAAAAATTACAGTTTATGTGGGACACTGCTATATTTTATTATCTCTGAATGGATGTGGGGTGAAGCAGCCCATAATTAGAGTGACAAAACCCATGAGGAGTTTAAAACTGTGCTGGCATCAAATGCCACCTCTGAGATCTTGTTTTATGAAATAGATGACTCACAAAGTTAGGAGGTTACATAAAAATGTATGCTGCTAAAGTGCTTTGAAAAGCTCTCAAAAACCATTCTATTCCCTAAGCAAGCCAAACATCCACCCACAAACGTGTTCAAATTATTAATTTCTTTAGCAGCCCTTCCCTTCTTCCCCTGCTGCTTTTCCCTTGAACAGGTCAAATTTGAACCAGCTCTATGTTAACACAGATTCTGGCTCAGAGAACTGCGAATACAAATGGCATGTTCAATATTTAATTTTTTCATCTTGATGGATATGTTGTTTTAAAATGGAAACTTTTAACAAAGTAATATAGTGCTTACATGTTTACTGATAAAAGCATGAGAAGAATTACATCATAACTTGTATGCTTTCTATTAGCTTTCTATATAGTTAAAATATCTCTACCTGAAGAAACATCCTCTTTTTAACTACTGTTTTCCATGTAATTTTCATAGAATTTAAAATATCTTCTTTACAGGAAGCAATCTTATACCAATCTCAGAATGCCAAGTAATGAGTTCTTTTGACTTCCAATAGAAATAAATACGAAAGCAAATCATTTTTAAAACCTGATGCTCTGTATTTATAGTAGCTCAATCTGGTGAATTCTACTACTTAAACTCTATCAGTAAAGATGTCAATATCATGTTAATCAGAGGGACTAAAGCAATCTCTCTTTCAATTATTAAAATGTCACATACTGTGAACCTTCTAACTTAATCAACTTCCATTTCTGCTTCCACTAGCATATAAATTTTAAAGTACACGTCTTGATGTAATTAAAGTAAATTTAAATATTTTCACTTTAAATGATAGCAGTTTTGCCTATCAAATGAACAATAATTTAAAAAAATGTTAACAAGAAGATGGGATATTTGCTAAGTCAGGAACTTTATAAGATGATACTGTTTGACCCAGTAATTATACTTCCAGAAATCTCTTCAATACTATTGCTATTATCAGAAAAGCAGAAAAACAAGACGAAAAAATATTTAATATGGTATTATTTATAATCATCAAAATTCAAAAAATGCTAAGAAGCCTATACTGGGGATGAAAATTTTAAGAAACAGAGTAAAAATTAAATGTGCTTATGAGACAAGGTTAAGGGAAAACAGCAATACACAAAAATAAATTGATTCGCCATTGTAAAATGTTTGTCAAAAAGTGGAAAGTCAAATCAGAAACTGAAAATCAAATACTGCATGTTATCTTTTATAACTGAGAGCTAAATAATGGGTACACATGGACATAATGATGAAAACTAGAAACTCTGGGGAGTCCAAAAGGTGTGAGGGAGGGAGGCAAGGGTTGAAAAACTGCCTGTTGAGTACTATGTTCACTATTTGGGTGATGGGTTCACTAGAAGCCCAAACCCTAGGATTATGCAATATACCCATGAAACGAACTTGTAATGTACCCCTGAATCTATACCAAAAAAATGTAGATAGTCATGTATATTATGAAGTTAATGATGTAATTGCTGAGAGGTGAGAGTACAGGAACTTTATTTACTTATTCATATTTTTTTTGTATGTAAGTTAACTTTATCATCTATACATAACCTGTAAAATGAAAAAAAAGTTATTTAAAAATATGCAAAATTTGTGGTTTTTGAAAATTGCATTTAAATTGGTCGTATTTTATGGGGCTTCTATGTTTAAATTACAACACAGCTGACACAGTTCTTAAGCAACACACAAGTTCTTTCTACAACTTCCTCAGTAGCAGTAACACTGCAATGACCCCATTTTTTCTTAGTATATACACCAGTTTTTGCCCTTTAATATAGTAGTATTGAAATTTTTGCTTACTTTACCACAATATTTCCTAAACACCGAGCCTTCAGTTTTTGCATGTTGTCATCCAAAATCATAACTACAAAGTAAAATATAAATATTTGAATAAAAATTCATAATCTTAAAGCTTAAACATTTTTCTATATTTTTATATTCAACCCAAAAAGCTCTAGCTTAAGAGAGTAATCTTTTAATTCCTGTGAGACCATGAACAAATATAAACTAAAATATCTTACAAAAAAATAAAGAGCACATGTATCTGATTCCTAATAACATCAGAAATTTTCCTTCAGAATATCCCTTAAATGAAGACATCATATTTCAAACGTGGTAATTTCATCTCTATGTCTATGTCCACTAAATATACCCTTGTAATCTATTAGAAGCATTAAAAACATGTTCAGCTTTTTAAAAAGTAAAGGAAATGAAGTTTTCAAACACACCAAAAAATATACGCAACAAAAATAAAATACTTACAAGCACCAAAAACCCCTTATTCTGATTTAAAGCGTAATATCCACTTAGGAGCTTTAAATTTGGTCAATTTAATCTTCCCAAATATTATCTCAATACTTTCTGTGCTGTCCTGATAGAATCCTAAAAGAGTTTAGGAGATTAAAGCTTGTATCCACATTCAGTAACCCTTGGTGCAAACTAAATATGAAGATAAGTCATCATCTTTTAGGCTTTAATAGATTATTTATGTGGCCTCATTCATCCAGGTAATTCTACCTTAAGCAGATATGAGAAAAGAAGGTTGTTGCTCTCAGAAAAAAATTAATTGTTCCCTTCTTTGTGTTCCTGGAGCACTTTGTTTTAAAATTCTGTATTGACAGTTAGTAGAAGTATCTGTATCTAACTAGATTGTGAGTTCACGGAGGCCATGGCTAATTTATCTTTGTTTCCCTAAATCTCAGTACAGTGGCCAAATCACTATATGCCCCAGGCACATTCTGTAACCCGTTCAGTTTCCCTGTCTATGAAATGGGAGAAATCTCTTTCTCATAGTGCTTATGCAAGAAGTATTTTTAAAAATGTATGCAAAGTGACAAGTTTGCATAAGGTACTCAATAAATGTGTTATATTAAATTAATTGTTTTTTAGACAAAAAGGATTTTCTTTTCTTTCCTAAAAGGATCCTGCGTTTTTTTTTATTATTATACTATTTAATATTACATTATGATTTTAATCTCTAAACAATCACAAAACATAAAAATTATCAGTCATAAAGTCACTGATTCCTTGGTTTTAAATGTTTAACCTGTACTGTCTGCAAGCCAGTTGAGAAACTTCTGTACTGAAGTTACATGAGGGAAGAAAGCTTAACTATTTCTTACAACTAGATATAAAAATGGCACTGAAATACTAACAGAGAAATGTGTTTAACGTCTTCCACCATCAGAAACCCCTAAAAATGTCTCAACACAAAACATTTTTTTCTGATAAAAGGAGCAGAGATGACAGACTGTTTAAACAGAGGATTTCACTAAATCTGGGTTCACCTTTCCAGGGCTGGAGAAGTCACTGACTTCACAGAATATCTATTTCCGCCTTGAATAAAAAAAAAATCTGAAGTATCTTTTTATAAATGTATCTGCTAGGTTAAACCAAATGATCCACGTTTTTGTAACTAGCCATTGTCCTAGAAGGGAAATCCAATATTTTTATGTTAGAGAAGCAAAAGTCAAATCTCTGAATTTTGTAGTTTATATGCAAATAAGAAACATATGTTAGGAATCATATTTTGTCTCCCAAAGCTAGGTTTTCTTCATAGGTCTACTAAGCCAAATTGTGTGACCTTAAGCAAATTACAAAACCTCTGTGCCTCATTTTCCTTGTCTGTAAAATGAATGTGTTAGTCTAAATCAAGTCAGTCCTCTGACTTTTCTGAAATATTAGTAGCACTACTAGCTAAGACATATTCTGCCTTTCTACTGGTAGGCACTGTGTTAATGCTTTATTGCATAACATCACAAAACAGAAGCCCTGGAAAGCATATAAAAATGTTACTCTTATTTAGAAATAAGGAAACAGTGTTCAAAAAGTTATGTGACTTGTATAATTTATACACCTAGAGAGAGCCATCCAAGATAAATTGTTTAATAATAATGGTTACTACTGTAAATTTAAAAACAAAAATTGACAGGATATTATAGCTTTTAGTCACATAAAGCCAGCATCAAAGAAATGTTTTCTTTTGGGATCCTCCCCCTTTGTTTTTATTTTTATTTTTATATTTATTTATTTATTTTTTGAGACAGAGTCTTGCTGTGTTGCCTAGGCTGGAGTGGCACGATCTCAGCTCACTGAAACCTCTGCTTCCTGGGTTCAAGCAATTCTCGTGCCTCAGCCTCCCAAGTAGCTGGGGTTAGAGGCGCACACCACCACACCCGGCTAATTTTTGTATATTTAGTAGAGACGAGGTTTCACCATGTTGGCCAGGCTGGTCTCAAACTCCTGACCTCATGTGATCCGTCTGCCTTGGCCTCCCAAAATGCTGGGATTACAGGCATGAGCCACCACTTCCGGCCTGTTTTTATTATTAAACAATAAGGTTTAAAAACTTTGTCCTCAATCCTAAATTAAAATGCAGCATGTGTAATATACAGTAAGAAACTGCAGCTTTTGAAATCAAAGCAAGCAAATTCTGAGGACAATGGTTTGCATTGTCCCCAGGATCTAACCAGCAGTGTTATCTCAAGAAAATTATTTATTCTGTTAACCAGTTGGTTAACTCATCTCTAAAATAGTAATGATAGCTCTGAATTAAATATACTTCAGCATGAAATGAAAAGACATATATAAAGTACTGGGCTCCCAGCAGGTGTTTCCTTCATAGTAATTTCACACCCATATTCCTAACATACCTTATTAATGATATTATTTTTGTGGTTATGACAGTCATTTAGAACATATCCTGGAAATCCACAACATACTTTTGATAGCAAAAATTAAGGCATTCATTTTTAATACAAGGCATTCATTCAACCAGATTCTAATTAAGCCCCTAGTTTGTTTCATGCAACATAATACACACTAGATGCAAGAAAATGCCAAATTTATTAACTTTACGTATTATCAGGGTCATTCCTTACCATTGTATCCTGGGACGCTTTTTCCTGCTTGCCCTGGTGGAGGTGTTTTAGAATTGCCTAATCCAACACATGACGCAGTAATTGGAGATCCAGTCTCTGGAAAAAGAAATGTTATTTATCACTTCATGTTTTAACTTGGAATCATAATGTTTCTTGAGTACATGCACACTCTACCCCACCCTAGTTTGTCATACAATGCAGCTGTGTTAGGAATAGATGAATAGTGCAAATATATTATTTAAAAATTTAAAGCTATCTAGTAACTTATAACATATCCACAGTATTAAAACTTAAGAATTCATAATTAGAAAAATTTATATAGTAGTGTTTCTTCTAAAGAAAAGAAAGGCTGCTCTAGCGTTTGCAATTGTGGATCAGCAGGCGTGTAGAATGGAAAATTATGTGACTTGGACGGTTCCATAACACACACTAAAAGCTAAAATGATCACTAGAAAAGATGCTTTCTCTTGACTCACCTAAAGTTATTTCGTTTATCATTGTTAATTACAGTTGTGTCAAAACATTTTTGTTATTTCTAGCTCATTCTCCGGAATAAGTAACCCAAAGATTTTTGAAATTATTACATTGATGTAAAAGTAATTGCGGTTTCTGCCATTACTTTTAATATATGGATAATATCGTCATTTAGCATTAGGTATATCTCCTAATGCTATCCCTCCCCCCTCCTCCAACCCCACAACAGTCCCCGGTGTGTGATGTTCCCCCTCCTGTGTCCATGTGTTCTCATTGTTTAATTCATGTTGTGCACACGTACCCTAAAATTTAAAGTATAATAATAATAAAAATAAAAAAAGATTACACACAGAAAAAAACATTTTAATAAAATGTCTTTATAAATTAAAAAAATATATAATATATATGGATAATATCATGCTCTAATTTCCTAAGAGCTACACTTGCCTAGAGAACCTGCATTTAAAGCTAAATTTGGCAATAGTTTTTCAAGTTGTTCAGTCTGCTGTTCCTGGATGTTAGAAGCCCCAAAACACAGGGAGGAAGATGACTATACTCTGCTGACTATTTCATCAAAACCACGAACTTTCTCACAACTAGCCTGCAATGATTGACAAAAATGCTAAATTTGTTTTCTGTGTCTCAAGTTGTAACAGCCAGAATATTAGCTATTACCTGATTACCACAAGTTCTGAAAGTGGTTATTTTTAATGGAGGGATGCACTTATTAACATTCATAAAAGCAAGTTTGGAGTTAACACAATCTTTTGAATACAAAATATATATGTACGAAAGGGCAGGAAAATAGTATTTGGTTAGTGAAAAGTTTGGGAATTACTTGCTTAGTATTACACACATAACCTACACATACATATACCCAAGGAATTAACTGCCAAACCCATCATATCTAAAGTAATCCAAAAAAATTAAAGGCATCCATCTTCTAAAGTACTCAGAATGTGTTCCTTCTACCATGGGCTCTACCATAATTTATCACATATTGATATCACTTTAGAATGATGGGAAGAATTTATTACTGCTCTTTACCTTCCAGAGTAGTTCATTTTATTATTCACATTTTATGGATGGAGGCTCAGCTGGCATCAATAACAGAGGATGAACTCTTGAACATCAAAACACAGTTCCTAAGTCACAGTTTAGTGCTCAAGATGCTAAGCCATATGGTCACTGCTGAGGATCATCGGCAAGTAACCAGAGCAGACATTTCTGATGTTTAACAAAGAGTTCTAAAGTATTTTCCAAGCATGACAAAAAAAAAGGTGGGGGGCAGGGGGGAAGGTATTTTATGAAATGGCAATCCATAGCCATCTAATACTCCTGCCGATTTTCCCCACAGCATAATCAAAGCAAGGGAGGACATCTGCATGGTCAGAAGTGTTAACAGCATTTCCCCCTCTGTTTTTTCAGAAATGTCCAGGTGCTCACCTCAGCTATCCTTCGAAATGGATATGAGAGACCAGAGCAGGGTGATGACAGGAAGCAGTCTTGTAGAGTGAGGTGCTTAAAAGAAGGTACACAGAACAAATAAGATGATAATAGGAAGAGAAGCTTCTCAGACACATTAGGAAAGGAGATACCACCTTCAAGATGCTTTTGTTACTTCTACTACCTGGTGCAAGGAAGCTGCTAGAGTAAATCTATTTTAGAAGTATTCTTATTAAGTTCAGTTTGTCAATAGGGACACACCAGTTACCTAGAGTTCAAACTCTCTACAGTTCTTACAGTGTGGATTCTCATGAAAGACGTTATCACTCTGTTGTTCCTATCGCACTGGGAGAAGGGGGATGTAGGAAAAGAAGGTGAGAGTATAACCTAGTCTTAAATAAAGCTGCAAGACAGCAAGAAAGGATTAATGAAGCGTTGTCCTTCTTCACTGCCTAAGTAAGCTGATATACGAACCTCCTGAGATTCCCAAGCATCTTTCTATAGTAATTATTTATTTATAACCTTTATTCTTCATCTTTTTTATACATTATGATTATAAGACAACTATTAAAAGCTTATTTTTCTATATAATTAATTTGAGTCTTAAACTTTAGGGTGCTGAAAATGATTATTCATTCAGGTTGCCTAAAGTAGATAATATATGTTTATACTTTGAACATTAGTAATTCAAGTGTCTTGTTGACTTTATTTTGATTGATTCATTCAAAGGATTAGAAAAAGAACTATTGCTGGCTGGGCGTAGTGGCTCATGCCTGTAATTCCAGCACTTTCGGAGGCCGAGGCTGGTGGATCACCAGAGGTCATGAGTTTGGGACCAACCTGGCCAACATGGTGAAGCCCCATCTCTACTACAAAGACAAAAATTAGCCAGGCGTGGTGGTACCCACCTGCAATCCCAGCTACTTGGGAGGCTGAGGCAGGAGAATTGCTTGAACTCAGCAGGCAGAAGTTGCAGTGAGCCGAGATCACACGACTGCACTCCAGCCTGGGTGACAGAGCAAGACTCCATTAAAAAAAGACAGAAAGAAAGAAAGACAGACAGACAGATGAAAGAAAGAAAGAAAGAAAGAAAGAAAGAAAGAAAGAAAGAAAGAAAGAGAGAGAGGGAGAGAGAGAGAGAAAGGAAGGAAGGAAGGAAGGAAGGAAGGAAGGACAAAAGAAAGAAAGAAAGGAAAGAAAGAAAGAAAGAAAGGAAGAGAAGAGAGGAGAGGAGAGAAGAGAAGAGAAGAGAAGAGAAGAGAAGAGAAGAGAAGAGAAGAGAAAAGAGAAGAGAAGGAGGAGAGAAGAGAGGAGCGGAGAGGAGAGGAGCCGAGCGGAGGGGAGCGGAGGGGAGCGGAGGGGAGCGGAGGGGAGAGGAGGGCAGCAGAGGTGGGTGGGGAGGGAAGGGGAGGGGAGGGGAGGAGGTGAGGGGAGGGGAGGAGGTGAGGAGAGGGGAGGAGGGGAGGGGAGGGGAGGGGAGGGGAGGGGAGGGGAGGAGAGGAGAGGAGAGGAGAGGAGGAAAGAGAACTATTGCTAGTGACTTGTAGAAAATACAATCAGACAAAATGGCAGTTCCTAGGACTCTAAGCATACTAAGGAATCATAGGTAGAACAAAAGTGAGCTGAAAAAGACCGTAGTTGTTGTTACAGATACTTTGGTTATCCTTCTTTGTACCTCTGAACATCCTAGGACCCAAGGACTGACGCATCTTCAATATAAACATATACATATTTCCTCACACACTTATGCACACAGACAAGATAAACACTCTTGCTCTCAAACTGGTCCACGTGCAGAATAGGCTTCTGATTAGTGACAACCCCTAAGCATGCTGCAATCCTTAACTGAAATCCTATGAACTCCCAAAGCCCCATTTCCAGGATGTTCTAAAAACATCTGCTTCACACTACCCGGGCTGTAATTAAGTGGCTAGCAGTTATTTATGGAGACAAGAAATCTAGATGTCATGTTGCAATTGGGAAATAGCTACAATAAACAAACTAGAGCATTCTCTTTGTAGAAGAGCATGGGATACTTCATTTAGACAAAACTTTACAAAAG
Organism: Homo sapiens; assembly: GCF_000001405.40. Classification (NCBI taxonomy): domain Eukaryota; kingdom Metazoa; phylum Chordata; class Mammalia; order Primates; family Hominidae; genus Homo; species Homo sapiens. Next base: position 81,213,014 of record NC_000012.12, on the reverse strand, counting down.
CACCTCACCTTAGAAACACAAAATGTTCAGCAAATCACCAGCATAGTTTCTTTAGATAAGAGACAGCTAGGAAGAAGATGAACAGGGAATTGAAGGGTATGAAGAATGTCACCTTAGCACATTTATACTCACCCTGCATTAGAAGCTAATAGAGAAATTTCCTTGTTTTTAAAAAAGGACAAACTTCATGGTATCTTTACTGCATGTCTTTACTGACTCACTCTACTTTATTATATAATAAGCTGTTACCTAAATGAATTTACTTTAAAATTTCTGACTCTGAAGTAAAAACAGGGAAGACAACTAGATACATATTTTTCCAATATGAATTATGCTATATACCAAGAGTCGAGTGCTTTTAATCTATATAATTGCATTTATTCCCACTACTACAAGACTACAGAGAGAAAAGGGAGTATTCTTTTTACTGATGAAAAATTCTGAGGATTAGCCAAGAAAATTTAAATAACTTGTTCTAGTTTTCATAGTTCTTTCAAAGAAGGAGAAGAATGGAATAGACAAGTACCACTTCTGAAGCTCTCAAGTAACAGACAGAGGATGAGAAAGGAATAAAATCACCTAGACTGTGTCTCAGTAGAGGAAGAAAAATCCCTGTGGCAGGAAGTGAGCCCAGTCCCCCATACTTGCAAATAGCATTACTGGTGGTACAAATCACTTACTAGCAAATAGTTTTTGAGCAGCTATTATGTGCTAGGTGCTGTTGTTAGAACTGGAGATACAATAAACAAAAGTAGCCAAAATTTCTACCCGCATGGAGACCTCCCAATTTCTAACTGGGGAGATAATGAACAACATATTATACAAGAGTAAAATGTGTGGTGTGTAAAAGAGTGATAAATACTAACGGAAAAAGGAAACATAAACTGAGTATGAAATGTCATGGAGAGGGTTTTCAATTTTGTATTGAACAAGAAAGACCTCCCTGAGAAGGTGACATTTAAGTAAACATCTGAAAGAAGAGAAGACATGTGACACATAGATATTTAGGGGAAAAGAATATAAGAGAAGGGAAACTCAAGTTCAGAGGTCCTGAGGTCGGTTCATACCTAGAGTGTTTGAGAACAGTGAGGCAGCCAATGTGACTGAAATAGAATCACAGAATTAACAAAAAGTATTGATAGGAAATAAGGTCAGAGAAATAGTGAGGAGGCAGATCATGCAGGAATACTTCAAAGTCATCCTAAGACCTTAGTCTGAGTGACATTGTAAGCTAATGAGGGCTTCTGAACAAAAAATTAATGAATCATAACAATGTAAATATAATTTATTTAAATAGTTACACACCATTCAGGTTCTATGTCCATGTTTAATTTATTTGGGCTGCAAGAGAGATGTGTAGTAGGAAATGCAGAGACTGACAGAGGCTGTATTAGAATAACTGGTTAATAGATTTCTGTGGCTTTCTAAACATCAGGGACCAATTCACATGATAATTCACAAGACTGACAGAAAAACTAGGGCCCAGTTGGGTGGCAGATGACAGACAGACTGTGTGGGTAGATGGTCCACATAAACCAAAGATAATCCCTTTTGTTATGTAAGTGTGAGCATGCATAAAATTGATACATTTCTAAAAGAGAATTTGGCAGTTCTTATAAAAAATCCTTAATCTACCCATTTTGACATGATGTGATTATTACGTACTGCATGCCTGTATATCTCATGCAACCTATAAATATATACATCATGTATCCACAAAAATTGAAATTAAAAATTAAAAAAAAAGAGGCTCCTGACTGCATTCCCAGCATTTTGGGAGGCCAAGGCAGGTGCACTGCTTGAGCCTACAAGTTTGATACCAGCCTGGGCAACGTGGTGAAACCCCATCTTACAAAAACACAAAATACAAAATACAAAAATTAGCCAAGTATGGTGGTGCACACCCAGTAGTCCCAGCTATTGGGCAGGCTGAGGTGGGAGGATCACTTGAGTCTGTGAACTCAATAGCCTGATAGCACCACTGCACTCCAGCCTGGGCAACAAAGTGAAACCCTGTCTCGAAACAACAACAATGGAAAATTAATTAATTAAATTAAAAATGAATTAAAATTCCATCAAAGCCAAATTTTAAAAGCCTATGTGAAAAATAATTATTCTTGCTGCACTTTATACAAATAATTAGGCCAAGTATAAGACTAAAGCTTATTTTTACAAGCAAATCAGTCTTATCATGATTTATCTTTAGTAAAAATGGGAGACTGGAGAGAGAAAACTATTTTTCAAGAACTACGGTATACCTATTAGATTCCAGTCTCATCACTTGTTTCTGAGTTTTTTCCTGTAATTTAGACTGACCTTGATTATTCCTGTGAACCAATCAGTGATCTCTGACTGCAGCTCAGAAGAAACAAAAGAGATGGGTAATGTAAAATTCCAGATTAGTATTCTAATTCTGGGTATATATTGGAATCAGCTAGCATCCCCATATCAGTTTGGTTCCAACAGTTGCCAGGTTCATAGCCTTCTTATTTAGTTTACTTGGGATAGTTTTTACTTATTTTGCTATACTATTGTGGAATATATTGCTGTTGTACTCTATGTGTAGGAATGCAGGATAAGCTTTCTCAATGTCCTCTTAAATTGAACACGTTTAAATCTTTCAGATATCACCTTTTGATGGAATCCAAGAGTTATGAGTGGTCCTCAACATACTGATGCTTTCTGACGAAGCTCCTCTCTAACCTGAATACGAGAGACCCTAATAGGCAGGAATATCATCACCCCATTCAGCCTGAAGAAGTTACAGAAGATGGATTTTAATCTGTCTACGACCCTTAGGATTAGGTTTCTCTTATAAAAGGGAAGGGGAAAATATGTCAGAGGCATTCAAACCAGAGCAACTCCATCTTGAATAGGGGCTGAGTAAAATAATACTGAGACCTACTGGGCTGCTTTCCAAAGTGGTTAGGCATTCTTAGTCACAGGATGAGACAGGAAGTTGGCACAAGATACAGGTCACAAAGACCTTGCTGATAAAACAGCAAGAGGTAAAGCAGCTGGCCAAAACTCACCAAAACAAAGATGGTCATGAAATTGACCTCTGGTCATCCTCACTGCTCATTATATGCTAATTATAATGCATTAGCATGCTAAAAGACACTCTCACCAGTGCCATGAGTTTACAAATGCCATGGCAATGTCAGGAAGTTACCCTATATGGTCTAAAAAGGGGAGGGACCCGCACTTCTGGGAAGTGCTCACCCCTTTTCTGGAAAACTCATAAAACATCCACCCCTTGTCTAGCATATAATTAAAAATAACCATAAAAATAGCCAACCAGTAGCCGTTCGGGCTGCTCTTCCTATGGAGTAGCACTCTTTTTTTCCTTTACTTTCCTAATAAACTTGCTTTCACTTTACTCTATGGACTTGCCCTGAATTCAATCTTGTGTGAGGTCCAAGAACCCCTTCTTGCGGTCTGGATCAGGAGCTCTTTCAGGTAACAAATTCATCACTGAATACTGTCCGGGTTGTTTTAGTCAACAATACTTGGAGACTTGGAGCACCAGAATCCCTGGCTGATTTCTGCCTATGATCCACAAAATCATGAGATATGGTTGTTGTTTTAAGCTGCCAGGTTCTGGAGTAATTTTTTTTTTTTTTTTTACATAGCAATAAATACTAGGAACATTTCCCATTAAAAATGTTATATAACCTTTTTAAAAAGATTTAGTGCAAGTCTCAAAAAAAAAGTGCATGTAGTTAACAAAAAACATTCTCCTAGCCTGCAGCTGAAATCAGTCTGTGTGCCTGAGAGTCATTTGTATCAGCAGGACCAACAGTCCAGTCCCTGACATTCTGTGCTTGGGAAATGTTTGCTGACTAGTTAATGCATACTTCTAACATGATTTTAGGCTCCCATGATAAAGATCAGGGGCCTAAAAAAAATAAGTAGCAAATCACAGAATGTAATCCCAAAATGAACCAGAGAGAAAAAAATAGAGGACTCCAGGAAGATAAAAGCTATATGTTACCATTATGATTCCTTTACAACATTTTCTTATTCCAAGAATGATATTCAAAGGACAGTCATTCAATAAGTATTTATCGAATATATTCTATTCACTAAAAGGTATTTCTTCTGGGGAAAAGGGAGTGTTGAGGGTATAAATAACATGCCAAATAGAAATTGCAGCATGTATAAAGGTTCAGAAGTTAGACCACCAAAGGACTGTGAGTTATTCCGCAGAGCAAAGCTTGCGGGAGGCAAGTGTACTTAGGGAGATAATGAGAGACCAAGTGAAAGAAGTAAACAGCGGGATGAAAATCCCATGTTAAGAAATTTGAATATTGTTCCAGGAACAATGGGAGACATGGGGGGTTTTGTAAAGGCGATTTGCTCAGAATTGCATTATAGAAAAATCTCTTCAGTTGCTAACTGGAGCACTAAACTGATGATCCCAACCCAAAGCAATAAATCAGATAGATGTGGATGGTCTGGTGCAGGTGACTGGCAGTGGAAGATAAGACCAAATTTTAATTATACTCAAGATCAAAAGGTCTTGGTGATTGTCTGGATACGGGGCAAAAGCAAGAGGGAAAAGGCCAAGTTAACCCCCTGGGATATGACTCAAAAGTTAAAGGAAACTAGATGTGAATGAGGGTTAAGAGGAAGATGTGGTGGCAAGTTCACAAGTCCAGCTCTATAAATCAGAGCTCCCGCTGCATCTGGCAATCTGCCATTCTGCCTTTACAGTGGTTCCAGAAACTACATTAAAACAATATGGATTTAGAAGTCGGTAGTCCATGCTGCGAGTGGAAGACTTACGAATAAATCAATGCAGCAACCTAGTACTGCTGAATCATATTAATCACAGCATCACGATGGGCATAGAGGCAATTTGTAAAGAAACCATTCTCCCCACCTCTGAATCTTTACAGTGAACTATAAATAACTTGAATAGGTAGCAGAAAGAAAGCAGAAACAGTGAGATGTACACTAGTGAAAGAAAATCAATGTAATCTTTGTGTTCAGGAGATGGTAGGATTTTAGTTTAAAATAGTTAATTCAAAGCAACCTATAGGTTGCTTCTTTGTATAGGAAGAAGACCATTAATTCGAGCTATGAGACACTGGTCTTATCCTACTCCCTTATAGCACATTGCCTCTAACTGTGGAGGACTCAATGGAGAAGCCCATAAATAACCTTGTGTTTAACTAGATAAGAAACACTGAGTTAATGAAGGCATGAGATAAAAGCTATGGGGAGAGGACCCAGGACAGCACAGAAGAATGAGAGTTCTGGTTCTAATGTCAACTAGCTAGTTGACTCAAGGAAAGTAAAATCTCTACGGTTACATTTTCTCAAACGTAAGTTCCGCTTTTACAGTCCAAGTTTTTTTGAATCTGAATTATTTACAGGCCAAGATTCTAAAGATGGCCTTTACATTAATGAAGGGCTATTTATAGAAAGGAAAATAAAAATAATATTTTTTGAGTGCTGACTATATGCCAGGAATTCTTCTAGGTTGTTAGTACATATTTCACTTCACTTAAAGCTTTCAATTAGTCCTGAGGAAACTTAAGATCAAGGATTTGCCCTTGGCTATAGAGTAAGTGGCTGAATTGGGATGTAAAGGCAGTCCTACTGGATTCTGCATCACTTCTTGCTACCCACATTGTTTCTCCAAGGAGAATAGCCACCTGCTGTTTTCCAAATTAAAATTCACAGCAAAAGAGGAATTGGGAATTGTTTTGTGGGGGCAGTAGGCCCAGTGCAGGGGTTTACGTGTATCAGGGGGAATCAAATTTCCAGACAGTAAAGTTTGTCAAGGGAAGGTATAGATAACTCTTGCTCTTGTGAAGATCTATAAAAACATGACATATTTTCAACTTTCTAACATGGTTTATACGTGATCCTTGCCCAGAGTAGGAGGAGAATTAGAACAGATATTTCAAAGGCCAAAACAACTTTATGTTATTAATCGATTTCCCAGCGTTTAGTCCCTTGCCAAAGCATTGTCACTGATATAATAATGAGCACAAATAGTGATTCCAAAACACAATTCTACATCTCTGAACTAATTTGTGTAATATATTTTTTAAAAAATGATGTTCTTTTTACATTATAATGCTATAAAGATGAAATGTCTGATTCAATGAGGGTGTTTGCTTTGGGAATTCATTCTCAGGTGGATTAGCAGTTTGTAAACAGTTATTCACTTTCAGAAAGAGAAAGCCTTATTAAGCATGCCTTACATTTGACAAAAGGTTATTCTTTCCACAAACCAAATTCATGTAGCTTACTTCTAAGCTCTGGCTTTTCAAATTATCAGTAAAAATCACCTACTTTAAACTAATGAAGACTACTCTAAATGAGAAAAAATGCTGTTGCCAGGCAACAATAATGACATAGGGCTTCTTTTCTCTCTCACCAGATGGATGCTGTCACGCCATCTCTAGTTACACGTTGCTGAGATGACACTGTGTCTATATAACTGCTTTTTCCCCCATCACAACTTCTCATGTTAAATTTACCAAAAAATATCTTTTCTATGAATGAAAGAAAAAAAATAAATGTATTTCTGACCATTAAATTGTGAAAAACAAAGATGTATCAGACAGTAGTTAAGTCATTCATATTACTGAAAGATTATTTGCATTTTACTATTTGAAAGTAGCCTAGGGTATCTCCTGGGTAACCTGGTTCATGGGGTCATGTTTTGCCGGTTCAGTACAACCCAACTCTTTGAGTTCTACAGTTTGCATTTCACACTAGCTCAATCCATTATCTTTGAAACACAGACATGTACTTTAAAGAAACCCTCCCACCATAGTGCAATTTTGATAGACTCAGAAATTACTGAGTAAAATACAGAAGCAGAGAATAACAAGTAGTTAAAAAGCAAAATCCAGAAGGCAGCATTTGATAGCACATGGAAATATTTTGCTCCCTGATCTGCAGACAGAGGAATATTTGCTAATGGCTGTTGGTACTCAAACCACATAAAACAGGTTTTTAAATCAAGATGGAGTCCTCAAGTCACCAAGAATGTGCTTTCTTCATTGTCACATCAGCTATATGGGCCTCTTATGCCTAGGTATGCCTAGGAATGTATTTTGCAGTAAATATACAAGATTTTGCACAGGACACAAGCTAAGTAAATTCGAAGAAAGTCACACGCTAACACACAGTTGTGAAACGTTTTAAAAAGTGTAAAAATAACAAGAGGCATAATGTTCTCAATGCTGATTCCAGGGATATAAAATTCCTTATTATAGCCTAAATATAGAGAACTGCAGGCTGACAGATTAAATCCATCTGCAATTCAGTGTATCAACATGGACACATGAAAGAAAAATGTCTGAGAATTCAGGAGGAACAATGGAAGAGGATGATCACGGAAAAAAAAGTGACTTAGACTTTGATACCTTACCTAGCAAATCCTCAAATCCTAGTTAAGTGTTTTACAATGTGTTTACTTAGGAGGAATGAGACAGGGCTGTAGTTGTGCCTGTAACATTTCCCACAGAGATCTCTGTTATCAAACTCTTAGTAATTATTCTATTTTGTGGTTTTGATTTTTGTAAATAGAATGTATTGCTGTCTTAAACAATTTCTGGGCTAGTGAATCTTCTCCAGATATCCCTAAGAATAAGGATTAAATTCGATCAACCTCGTCAACTTTTGTAGTTAAAAGTCTTGCCTCAGTTGTCTACTGTCAGGAATTCTAACTTGCCAAGCTATGCAAAAATAAGAAATCATAACAAGCAGCCCTGACACATTTTAATAACATAGTATAAGGGTATGTGTACCCTTAGAATCAATAGTTTAGATTTAGGAGCTGGCATGACTGAAGTTTGGAGGAGCCTTTGGGTCCACTTTAACAAAATCCAGAATTATCAGATTATTCCCCAAAGGAGGAAGAGTTAGGCTGTATATAGACTATAATTACTTCAGAACTGCAGTTACAATTAAAACCGAAGCAGTTCAATCAATTATGGAGTGAAATACTCAGATTACACCAAGATAGAAGAACTCCACAAAGATGGCTCAAGGCAGATAAAGTAAGATCAAACATTTCAATCATCACCAATGTCTCAGTTCATTAGATGACTACTGTTTTCTCATTGAAATTCCTCCTTAGAGTTTAACAAATTCTGTGAATTATCTAAGAATTTTATTCCTCCATTAAAGTGATGAAAACAAACAAACAACAAAATCACCTAGTGCTGCTCAAGTTGGTGGTCATTACTTCATTTCAACTATGTCATCAGTACCTGGACATAAGGACACTTGAAACACTTTCAATATAAGCTCTAGATCTTCTGATGGTAAGTACACAGGTAGTGTCCTGTCAACAGGTAAAAATAATCTGAATTTTGTTGAATTAAACCCTTCACTAAGTTGCCCCTTATAAAAGCCATTGTGGAATTTGAGTATTCTATCTTTGTAGCTGTCATGAATTAACTGAGTGATAGCAAGAGAAAGAACAAAGCGTTTTTATCTAGGATTAAATAACATTAAACATTGGGACTCCAGGATGTTTTGTTACAATCATTTCTAAACCAATACCATATCTTATAGCAAATAGGAATGAATGAAGGAAAGAAGAAATAAAAGAAGGGAGGGAGGGAAGAAGGGTGGAAGAGAGGTAAGGAGGAAAGAAGGGAGGAAGAGAACGAGGGGGGAGGGAGGAAGGGAGGGAAGGAAGGAAGAAGAGGAGGAAGGAAGAAGAGGAGGAAGGAAGAAGAGGAGGAAGGAAGAAGAGGAGGAAGGAAGAATAGAAAAAAGTAGATCTACTGTGTTTAGGATTTAACAGTAAGTCTCTGAACTTTAACAAATCTTTTTTTTGTACTAGCTCATTTACTCATAAAAACAATAATTCCTTTACAGTGATCTTAAATCACAAGAAAAAAAAAATCCCACGAAGGCCACCATGCACTGCACTGACAGTTCTTTCCTTCTAAAATTGTGCTTCCTGTCTGACCTCTATAACAATATAGTGTTTTATTTGGGGATCGTACAGCTGAGGATAAGGAAGTTCTGGCTGTTCATTTCTTTTTTTTGGCACATGGATTACCATATTTTAATGAAACCATTATCTTTTTGTTTTCCCTTTTTAAATTATGATTGTAAAACCTCTGTTTCTCTATCTCTGGGTAAAAAATAAAACGAAAAGTTCAGTCAATAATCCAGATGTTTTTAATCTTTTTATGGATGAGTTACTGTGAAGATAATACATCTGGGTGAATGACAATTTGGCTTTTATACAGATTTAGAAACAAATAGAGACAACTCTCCTCTCTAAACTTGACAAGACCAATTTCCTTCATGACAGCATTAAATATTTACATTATTATACTCCAAAGCAAGAGATTCATGCTTCAGTGGTGGTGAACAACAACAATTCTTTATTAAAATGTTCCTATGAGGGGTGGAGGGTGCTAATCTGTTCTTGTATTTTCTACAGATTAGGTCTCAGTTTAGATTATTAGATATTATTTGAATCAGATATAAAAGAATGTCTTTTTAATGAAATAAAGAGGATGTTAGTCACTAAAATCAGTTGGTACTAATACAAGTTGCACTAGAGCAACAATAATAATGTGTGATGGTTAATTTTAGGTGTCAACTTGACTGAATTAAGAAATACCTAGCAATCTGGTAAAGCATTATGTTTGGTTGTGTCTGTGAAGATGTTTCCAGAAGAGACTAATATGTGAGTCTGAATGGACAAGATGAGAAGATCTTTCCTCAGTGCGAGTGGGCACCATCCAAGCAGGCAGAACCAGAAAGAACAAGAATAGAGGAAAGGTGAATGTGTGCATCCAACTGCTGAAGTTGGAATACACTCTTCTTCTCCTATCCCTGGACAACAACTCCAGGCTCCCCCATCTTTGGAGTCCAGAACTTATATAAGTGGCCCCCTGAGTTCTCAAGCCTCTGGTCTTAAACTAAGAGTGACATCATTCGTTGGCTTCCCTCATTCTGAGGCCTTTGGACTTGGACTGAGCCATGCTACCAGAATTCCAGGGTCTCAAACTTGCAGATGGCCTATTACAGGACTTCTCAGTCTCCATAATCATGTCAGCCAATCTCTCTAAAAAGTATCCTCTCATATATCTGTATCTATATCTACAAATTCTGTCTCTCTGGAGAACCCCGATTAACAAAACATGGTCATATAAATGAACTGACTGCGGAGTCCCTTCTTACAACTCAAGTCACAGGAACTACTTAATTTTTATTCATACGTTTTAGTTACTTAACATATCCCTTACTAATTTCAAATTACACATCACAGTTTCTAAGCAGCTCATTTGTACACATGTATCAGTGTAATCAGAGAGCAAATTCATGAATTATTCATACACATATGAATTTATATGAAAGGCTCATAAAAGTGTGCAAGTATGTAAAAAATATCAACTTCTAAGTCAATAACAAGAAAAAGGGACCCTGTAGAAAACTTGAAATTTGAAATAAAGCAAAGTATTATTTGGTTAAAGCTAACCTTCTCTTAAACATTAACATGTGTTTCCTAGCATACTTCTTGGGGAAATGTACCACCATCTATTTGATATACAAAACTAGGAAACTCATTAATGCACTTGTAATACCAGATGTTTATCTTTTTGTAATATTTCATAATAACTCATAACATACTTGCCCTTTCACCCAGAATCAAACATCAATTTGATAGCACCTTAGGAAAGAATGGTTGAAATTTTATTTTATTTTTATTTTTATTTATTTATTTATTTATTTATTTTGAGACAGAGTCTCGCTCTATCACCCAGGCTGGAGTGCAGTGGTGCGATCTCAGCTCACTGCAAGCTCCACTTCCCAGGTTCATGCCATTCTCCTGCCTCAGCCTCCCAAGTAGTTGGGATTACATGCACCCACTACCACACCCGGCTAATTTGTTTGTATTTTTAGTAGAGACAGGTTTCACCATGTTGGTCAGGCTGGTCTCGAACTCCTGACCTCGTGATCCGCCCACCTCGGCCCCCCAAAGTGCTGGGATTACAGGCTTGAACCACCGCACCCAGCCCTTCAGTATCATTTTATAACTACTTACCACAACATACAACTTTGAAAATGATAAATTGATTTTTTTCTATGCAAACGTATAGAGATCCTAACTAGTGTCCTGTTAGCCAACCTCTGCATCACCTATAATGAAATTATTTTACAAAGCACAAAATAATCTAGCGATCTAGCTACTAGCTACCTATCTACCCATTCAAATATATTTGTGTAGTTTAATAGGACAGAATACCAAACAAAGGCTGTAAAAGCAAACGGGATGAGGACAATGGAAATGGAAAGAATCATTCATTTTATTAGTAAAATCCACATGTTTTCCATGGCAATTAACAGTCACTCCAACCTGATTACAGTGACAGCACACTGACACAATGTAGCTATTAATTCCCTTGGAACAATACATTAAAGAAAAATTGCAAATTCTCATGGAACTGAGTATCCACCAGGGACCTCATATGCTTCTGTCACAGGCTTCAGTGACCTTTTTTGTAAGCCTGAATAAACTAACTACATAAACCCACACAGGCTATTATGTACAAAGGTGTCTATAAGAAAAAGTAAAAGAATTTTATAATTTTATTTGTGAATGTGCTAGTTTTCTTCAGTGAGTTTTGGCACAGTCACCTTGAAGAGGGAAAAACAGAACTTTTCTGCAAGCGTTTGTGTCGGGTCACGTTTGTGTGGAAAGTAGTCCCCCATTTTGAACAGATAAGAGAAATTATCTTAAAGGTGACAAAACATTTTCTAGTTCATGACCAAGAAAATAACTGTTAAAGCTTTCCTGGCTAATAGGGGATACATAAATACTGTAAACATTTTTCTTGCAGATGCAATAATTCTTCACTTGTTTCTATGTATTTCTACACATAGCATTGATTGTTCTCAAAATTCCTTCTTATACTTTGTATTTTCTAAAGAGTTACAAATCTGAGTTTAAATAATTTTCCCCTTAGTAAATAAAACTGGAAGGAATAGAAAGCTTCTTTCTGATTTTCATCTTATGTAAGGAAAGTGTCCTCTGCTCTGATTATTCATTTTATATTTCATATTACAAAGGATGTAAAAAACATTTTTTTCTTTCTTTCTTTCTTTTTCTTTTTTTTTTTTTTTTTGACAGTCTTGCTCTGTTGCCCAGGCTGGAGTGCAATGATAGGATCTTGGCTCACCGCAACCTCCTCCTCCTGGGTTCAAGCAATTCTCTGCCTCCCGAGTAGCTGAGATTACAGGCACGCTCCATCACGCCTGGCTAATTTTTTGTATTTTAAGTAGAGATGGGGTTTCACCATGTTGGCCAGGCTGGTCTGTAACTCCTGACCTCAAGTGATCTCAAGTGATCTGCCTGTTTTTGCTTCCCAAAGTGCAGGAATTATAGGCGTGAGCCACCGTGCCCAGTCAGAAAACACATTTTTAAAGAACAATATTCAAGGACATAATATAAAAAGTATAATTTGTCAGAATCAGAAACTTCTGAAGTATCAAACACTGCATTTCAGGCTTAGTCATTCAGTTAATCTTTTACATGAAAATCATTTTTACAATCAGAGCTAATTTTTTGCAAAGTAATCTCACTAATTTTTAACCCAAATTTGATATTCTGCCCCAGATGCAGAGAAGGTGAGAATACTGAAAATATGTATATAAAAAGGTTGATCTAATTCATTGAACTAAGTGGGACTAAAATAAAATATGTACATATAAAGGTTGTAGGGCTCCCATGGCTCATAGCTGCTTTCAGTGAGTCAAATTTTTTAAAATCTCTGTACTTTGTGAGGAGGTAAATGGCTTCTAGACAATGTACCCATTCTCATATATATAGCCATCCCTCAAAAGAAGCAGCAGATAGAGTTATTGTTGTGGTGGTTGTCTGCTTATTCCAAAGTTTATAGTTGATCCATTTAATATGAAAATTTGTTTCCCAGGGAACACTTAGAGGGAGGACTATAGGGAATAAACAAAATAAATTAAATGAACAAATTACATATGTAATGACAATTGTTTTGAAGAAAAATAAATTTCTCTGCCTTTAATGCTAGGCAGAATATATTAGATATTATAGAACACAAGAAGGTGGCCAGAGAGTCCTATGAGAGGAACAAGCCTTCATAAAAGGACTCTGGGAGCAGTGTGCAGTGTGTATCAAAAAGCAGAGAGAATAGAGATGAGTGATTAGGAAACTTTAAATCAGGACAGAGGATAATGCAGCTGCCAGAGCTCAAAGGCAAGGGGAATACTGAAGGTGGAATGAACCCAACAGACACTTCAAAGGAAAATCTGAGACTTAGTAACTTACCAGATATAAGAAACAAAGAAGAGAAGATAAAGAGGTCTTTAGTGCTTTATACCTAGGGACCAAGAGAATGGTGGCATCAATGTCACTTATGAAGACATTATTAATAACACAACAATAAAAAAATTGCTTATTTTTACTGAAACCTGAACCACTCGAATCCCGAGTTTGTGTCTGATCTGCTGGTCGTAGCTCAAAAGTTTCCTCCAATCCTTGCAGCTTTTTGGAACATTTCTTTACTATTTATGTACATGCTAGGAAAATGCTTACCAGTTTGCCACCAATGGTCTAAGACAGGTACTCTGAAGACATTTTTGGACCATTCCAGGGTCTCTACATCACATCGTTCTCCAGCCACAAATAATGTTTTGAACCTGAATATGAGACAGTGAATTCAAATTATTCCTGGAAAATAAATCTAAATAATTGTATTTACATTTTAAAAACATTGGTTAACCACACTCATTATGTCAGAGGAATACAGCAATATAACCAATACATCACACTGTATAATGATGAGAGTCATTTCTTGTTTGGGCCCAAATGTAAACAAACATACATCACAGAATTGGAGTGAGGTACTTCCAAAGTAGAATTCACAGCTAGTGCTTTTCAGTTTATAAAAGAGCAATTGAGTTGATCTCTGTAATCGATCTGCCATGTTCATCTAATGATCAAAGATAAAATATATTTCACCTTGACATTGTCTCCGCTAATTTTAGCTCCAAATTTGATTGCTATATTCTAAGTAAGGATATACACAAAAAATACATACATAAGTGTTGGCTAAGGCAGCAAATATTCTTATAAATATGAATTTGTTCCTTCTTGTGAGATCCTATGATAAAGATTACTCTAATTTTGAGTATATATTTTTCCTATTCCAAGGACATATGTAGGAGAAATAGCTGGTAAAGAAGTAAATGCCACTGTGGCCTTGGAAGTCAAAAAGGTTCTTCAATCAAAAGGAATACAAGAGTACTAAAAGATGAAGGAGAATAACCATCTTTGGCAGAAAGCACTGTATCGCAGAATGGAAAAAACGAAATAGGAAAATACAATTGTGTTGACCCCATTAGTGGTTCGTTGAGAGCATGGGTGTTTATGGGTTTTTTTTTTTTCATTTTCAAATGCCCTCAGGACCTGTTTATATATATATAAAAAGTGTGTGTGTGTGTGTTCAAAGAGTTAATTCATTTATCATCAAAGTAAAACACAAACAGTTGACAAACAAAAACCTGTCTACTGATCCTGAACAACGTAGTATATTTTACTATTCGCTTAATTTTTCATATCATTTCATAAAGATTCATGGAGATTCAAATACTTCCACTCCTATGTTCCAATAACATTCTGTTTCTGTCTTTGCTATGAACATGTATCTCATTCTAGACTTCTTTTGTTTTTGTCTATTTCCCACACTGCACTATGAGCTCTTTAGGAACATGTATCTTTATAATCCCAAGACCAATCAAAGTACATGAAATTTTTAGGTATTTAAACATTTCTAGATGCTCAGAATGATAAAGTACAGAGGTGGGGAGTTAGCAAAATTAACACCAGTTTGACTTATTCTTCTAAGTGAAAGAAGAGTCATGTTGGTTTCTTAGAGTGTGGAAATTGAGAAAAAAAGAACAGTGCCCTGAGGAGGGCAAAATTCTGGAATTACTAATCTAGGATATTTTCAGTACACAACATAAATGTGAAAAGACTTGAGAACAGCCAGTTGTTTTTTATGGACTCAATCAGTGACCTGGGAGGCTAAGCGGGGGTAGCACATATTGGGGTGTGATACAGGGGATGGGAAATCGATGCTGGAAAAGCTGCCTGTAAACTCTAGACTAGGCAGGAATTATAGGAAGGCAAGGCAGTAATAACCAGAATAAAAGAAAAATACAAGGAAAAATAGTGAGGTAAATGACTAGAAGTCACATAAGAAAAAGTTTGATGAAAATGAAGGCAAGGTGAGAAAAATAGGGTGTCATTGTAGACAGAAGGCAATTTCAAACTTACAGACCTTGAAAACGTGTCTGTTCTGAAGGATGATAGTGTTTATGGTAGCTGACAAGGTCTAACAGTGAAAGACACAGAGGGAAAGAGGAGTATTTTCATAGAAGGATTCTCTTCAAGATAGTATTAAAAATCACTCAAGTATCATAGCAGTGGAGAGTACAAAGAAAGTCTGTGACTTGTTGATTAAAGAGGCTAAAGGAGGTCTGAAGAGTGGGGAGAGGGTATTACAAAGAGATAGCATGAACTTCAACAGAAGATGGGCCACAAAACAAAGAAAATTCTCAAGTTCTCACGTTACCAATTTTATTTTAACATCTTCCCCAACTTTTATAGATAATCTTGGCCCTGAAGGTGCATTTGACCGCAGTAGTGAGAAAAAAATAACAGTTTAATTATTCTACAGAAAATAGAGGTTTTAAACAGCGATTGAAAAATACACAATAATTAATTTCTGAGTATAAATGAATCACTGATAAATGATGTCTATATGTGAAGTGCAATCACCTAGAATTATTCATGGTAATTTTCATCTATAGAAGATAATACCTTTAAATCTATAAGGATGTCAAAAAGGTTTTAGTTAAATTGTGATAAAACATCCAATGTGCTGTTACTAATCCACGTTCGTTTTCTGAGAAAATTAAAAAAAAATCTGCTAATATAAAGATATTCACAGAATAAAATTATCTTATTACATTTTATTTTTTGCAATAATGTAGTTGGAGCCATGAGGATGAACTAAATTGGTGATATAGTTAGGATACCTGTTCCCTCCAAATCTCATGTTGAAATGTGACCCCCCAGTATTGGAGGTGGGGCCTAGTGGAAAGGCTTCATGTCCTCCCCATGGTAATAAGTCCTCACTTACTCTACTTATTCGCATGACAGCTGGTTTAAAGAGCCAGGCACCTCCTCTCCTCCCTCTTGCTTCCTCTCTCGCTATGTGAGATGCCTGCTCTCCTTGAGCCTTCCACCATGATTGTAGGCTGTCTGAGGGCACACAAGAAGCAGATGTGGCATTTGCTTCTTGTACAGTCTGCAGACCCATGAGCCGAAATACATCTCTTTTCTATATAAATTATCCAGCCTCAGGTATTCCTTTACAACAATGCAAAATGGGCTAATACAATTGGCATGGTCCAATGGAAATATAATGTGAGCTGCAAATCCAAAAAATATATCTAGTTTAAAATTTTCTAGTAGCCACATTCAGAGAAAAAAAAGAATAAGGTCAAATTAGCTCTAATAATATATTTTATTAAAATACATATATCCAAAATGTTATTATTTCAACATGCAATGAATATAAAAATTACTGGTGAGACATCTTCCAGTCTTTTTTAAATACCAAATCTCAAATTGGACTTGCCACATTTCAAGAGCTCAATAGCCACGTGAGGGTATTTCAAGAGTTCAATAACCACATGAGGCCAGAGGCTACCATATGGGAGAGTGTAGAGGTAGATCATGACTTTCTGAAGAAACAACAGAATTCTTATACTGGCCTGGAGGAAGAAAAATTTTAATTTAATATTACATACTCAATTCCTGCTCAAATCATTATGCTAATAATTTATTCTGACATGGATCTGTATGCATGTACATGTGTGGGTATGCAAGTGTCACGGAATGCAGCTAAGACAATCTATTACTTAATGTTTTATAAGTAAACTGTTATCTCAACAGATTTTCAAAATTTAGAGTATGATTGGTTTAATAATTAGGCATCGTTATAGGACTTCACATAATGGTACAATCCACTGTCAAAAATAATATTTGAGTAGCTGCCCACTGGTATATTTCTCAACTGCATATTCAAAATTATCTAGGAGCAGTTCTTTAGCACAATAAATGCCAAAGGTAAAATTCGCGTGTCCTGATATAGACACAGAAGCATCATTTTAAATTTCAGATAAGAGCATAACCTATTACTAGTCATTGTTAAGAAATTTTTTGAATAACTTTTGTGAGTACCCTCTAACAGTATGCAATGCTGCTAGGGTAATCTTTAAACCTTTGAGAACAAGGAAGGGGGATAAAAAGTAAGGAAGAAAATGGGAGAGCAAGGAAGAGAATGAATAAGAGACAGAGACTAGGAAAAAAAAACCACACAATTTTTTTGACAAATTACATATCCATATGCAATTTGAGATAAAATTTAAGTAATCAAATGTATATATTTGTAATTTGAGATTAAAATTTGATGATCAAAAATGACCTCATCTGAGGGAACTGTTATAGCAGAATGAAAAAATTATTTAAACATTAAATTATTAAAAGTAGGTTAAAGTATAACAAAGATTAGTGTAAAGTTTTAACGTTTAAAATGAGGTTGATATACCTATAACTTTAAATGCTATGTAAAAACAAGACAAAATAAAAAATATAAAGGCCATAATGTTGATAATCCTAGGACTGAAAAGTAGTGCCATGTTTTTAATCATATGTTATTCAAACACTTTTCTGATATTTTAGAAAACTCCTGTGATGAAAGACATCATACATTTAGATAACACATTAAAATTTATAAAATGATAGGTTTGGCTGATCCCAGCAGTGTAGGCAAAGAGCAACCAAAACGAATAATTCTACAGGTCTTAATATCACATTTCCAATGCCTGTTAAGCCATAAATTAGTTTAAAGAAATCTAGATGGTTCAAATGCCCATGTCTTTGGCTTATATATGAAACTAGAGATCGAGAACTTCAAAAACACTCACTATTAAAAATGTGATGTACAACATTGTCAACTAAAAAACTAAAATACAGATTTTTAGCAAACCAAGGGACACCTGATATCTTGATATTACCAGCATTTTTGCAAGCTGTAATTTTTTTTTTGACTATCCCCCAGTCTCTACCACACAAACTACAATTAATCTAAGTAAGTGATTATAATAATAAACCATGCATTAGCATTGAGCACTTATCTGATGGCAAATTTCACTATTATATATTTTAAAACTTAGTATTTATTACTGTGTTTTTGCAGTATATTCCTATTGCTTTTGTTCCTAAACTTGTTTACTGTTCTTTTTAATATCATTATTATAGCAATCGTCATGCTGGCACTAATAAATTGAAAGGTACAATATTACACAATGGATGACAAAAGTGGTTTCATCTCTGAAAGTCAGAAAAATCCCTTCCATTTCCATTAAAATCACTTTACTATTTATTGAATGCAAAGGAAAAATTGTGAGATCATTAGTGGTTTAGAAAAATGTCAAAGACTTTACGGATGACTTCTTTCCCTAAATATGCTAGAAACTATCCATTTATTTTTGTATTAAAATTCCTCAAACTATCAAAAAGTTATTGTTATTTTATCAATTACAGACTGCTAATTGTATAATACTAAGGAACATAAACAGAATACAAATCTAAATAAAATTTAGGAATAAGATATAATTAATGAAACAATATAATATCATAAATATTTAATCAAATATAATTTAACTCTCAATTCCTTTTAGTAAACAAAACTACACTAAGTGATTTGCCCTTTTTTAAACATGATAATAATTGAAACAACAAATCTTAGTATAAATCTATATTTTATAGTTATCTTAGGCATCAGGTATCTTCCTATTGTTTCAAGAAGTACAGTGGTTTATAAAAAAAAAATAGTAACCTTTTCAACAGCTAAATTCCTCATTAATGACCTTGACATTATTTTATTAATAATACAAAGGAATAAATGCCTACCGTAGAAAATTCAAAAATATATTTTGTGTAAATATACATTTTACAAAAGTTAAAATTAGACATTTTTGTAGAGTAATTTGGGCCCTCTGGATGGTAAATTTACCTAAGTTAATTATGTATGTTCTAGATCTGACTGTACAATGTAGTAGCTACTAGCCACATGTGGCCATTTAAAATTTAAATTAGTTAAAATTAAAAAAAAACTTACAATATAAATTTCTCAGTAATACTAACCTAATTCAAGAGTTTAATAATCACATGTGCCTATCATATTGTAGAGATTAGTTTATTGGAGAATGCTGTCATAGATTATTATTGACTATTAAATGTGTAGATAATTTCTGATGATGGTAACACATGGAAAGATTTATCTACTTTAAAATCTATAATACTATAAACTAAACAAAATAATAATATTCAGAATAGAAAAAAAGGAGAGGAGAGAAAATGAATGGGCATGAGACCTATGCACCTTTCCCTAATTTTATATAAAATTGAACACAAGACTAAAATGAAGCTGAAAATTAAGCAAAAGGGAAATGGAAAAATGATAATGCTGTCAAATTAATTTTGGTCCAAAATAGAAATGAATAAAAAGCTAAAGACAAATCTGATGAAGAATTTTCAGGGAATAAAGTGAGGGCAAAAAAATAAAAAATAAAAGTGAATATTTCCTTCAAGGTCCATAAACTACCAAACAAGCAAAAATTACTCTTCACTTGTGCCAACAGATGTTAAATAAAAATAGATTATTTCAGTGATGCCTCGTCGACTTCTGGTTCACATGACAGATTATCATTATTTTTTGCCATCAATATATCTGTGGTTATCTTCCTTTTCCCTACATTCAATTTTCTTCTATTTGCTCCCCATTAGAATTCACTTTTAAAATGTAAAGACGCTAGTGTTAATATCACACATGTATTTGACTCTTCTGTGAATGGCTGAATAGCATTTTGCCCAACAATTTCTCATTTCTTTCTCATCTCTCTCTCTCTCCCTTTTTCAAGTACAACCCTCTATCTCTCTCTTTTTCTCAAGTACAACCAAACAAGCTGGAAAAAATATAAAAATGAAATACCTTTTGAATACATCAGAGAACTCAAAGGCAATAGCACTTAAGGCATCAAAAGGCCAAAAAGAAAAATGTAGAGAGACATAAGACTGATTGTCTTAACTGTTTTCCTTCTTGGGACACTTGCTAATTGGAAACAGTAATTGAAGAGCTGAGAAACTGAACAAAAACTATGTGGCTGACTGACAGGCGTTGAAACTAAATGGTAAATCCAGTCATAATAATTTCTTGGGAAAGGAAAATCGAAGATTAAAATTCACAATGGAAAAAAGGTGACATAAAACACCCAGGTATTCAGTTTGCACACCTGAAGAGGTATAGCTAATAATGGAGGTAAACTGGAAAGAAACCAACCCTCTCAAATATTGGAGTCTAGCTTCAAGTCAGCTCCATTCCTAATGAATAGAAGTGATCTTCCCTTAAGACAATTGCCTGTCAGAATAAGAACCACTCTGTGGGGATATTAAAACATCTGGTATCTCAATATAGCTATTTTCTTTTTTCTTTCTGTTTTTTGTTTGTTTGTTTGCTTTTTTCCTGAGATGGAGTCTTGCTCTGTCGCCCGGGCTGCAGTGCAAGAGCACGGTCTCGGCTTACTATAACCTTGCCTCCCAGATTCAAGCCATTCTCCTGCCTCAGCCTCCCAAGTAGCTGGGATTACAGGCACCCGCCACCATGTCTGGCTAATTTTTTGTATTTTTAGTAGAGATGGGGTTTCACTATGTTGGCCAGGCTGGTCTCGAACTCCTGACCTCGTGATCCACCCGCCTCAGCCTCCCAAAGTGCTGGGATTACAGGCACGAGCCACCGCACCCGGCCAAAATAGCTATTTTCTTATAACAGTGATATAATGGAAGACAAGACCATATGATTAAACTCTCAAAAGAAAAAAGAGACATTAGAAAGACACACATAAAATCAGTTATTTTTGCTACAGACTTAAATATAACTCGGATGAATATGTTCAGGAAATATACGTAGAATATTAGCAGAGAACTGGAAATTATAATAAAGAATCAAATGAAAATATTTAAACTGAAAAATGTTTAGGAATTATAAACTCAATGAAAGTTTAGATACAACTAGAGGTTACAATAAAATCATCTAACTGCAACTGTGAAAAAAAAGCAGAAAAATCATCAAACAGAGCCTGTGAAATATAGGTGATATGGTAAAAAGTTCTAACATATGTGTCATTAAAGTATCAAAGTTTAAGAAGGGAAAATAAAGTAGAAGTATTTGAAGAGATGGAAAAGTTCTGAAAATAAGTGAAAGATACCAAGCCACAGATTTAAGAAGCAGTCTGCATCACAGGAAATTGAATTCATAACTTAAAAACCTTCCCATAATGTCACTTCTGGCCCAGAGAGTTTTATTTGATTTTTAAATACTTCAAAACATTTAAATAAAATTAATTGTACATAAAATCTTCTAGATAATAGCGGGGAAAAAGACTTCCATGCCCATTTTATGAGACGAGCAAAACCCTGAAACCAAAACCAGTAAGAGTATAAGAAAGGAAAATTAGAGATCAATCTTGACTAAAAATCTAGATTTTAAAGGAATCTCCAAAAATAGAAAGGAAGAGGGGGATAACAGGTGGAGCATAGAAGATTTTTAGGGCAGGTAAAACCATGCTATAATGATGGATACATGTCACAATACTTAAACTTCATAGAATGTTCAATACCAAGAATGAAAATATATTTAAATTATGGATTCTGGATGATAATGAAGTATCAATATAGGTTCATCAATTTTAAAGGAGATACAGCCATAATGTGAGATGTTCATAGTAGGGGAGGCTGTGCATGTATGAAAACATAAGTTATATAGAAGCTCTGAACTTTCCACAAGATTTTGCTGTGATCTAAAATTGCTCTAAAAACAAGGTCTACCAAAAAAAAAATCTTCAACAAAATGTCAGCAAATTAAATTCAGCTATATTTAAAAAGCATAATATATTAACCAAGATGTATTTATTTCAAGATTGTAAGAATTATTTGACACTTAAAAAAATCAGTCACTATAATTCACCACATTAACTCCTAATACAATAAGAGGGGGAAAAGTCACATGGTCATCAGAAGATGAAGAAAAAACATAGATAAAATCCCAAACACCAAAAATAGAAACTTTGTTAATTTGATAGCTTTTCTCCAAACAAATAATACATTAATAACAAAAAACGCTAAAATCATTTTCCTTAATAATGAATATTGAAAGCTTTCTTCCTGATAATCTGGATGAGACAAAAATGAGCTTTACCACCAATTCTATTAAATACTTTACTGGAGGATCCTAGGAATAAAGTAAGAAAAAGAAATAAACGGCATAAAAGAAGAAATAAAATTGATACTTTTCTCAAACTACATGACTCTGTACATAATACAATCATACATATATACATTAAAACTACTACAATTAGTAAGTGACCTAGGGAAGAGCTTCAGAAAGTAGGTCATTATACAAAAACAGTTACATGTTGTTATATCAGGACCAAACAATGCAAATGTAAACAATACCATTGACCATAGCATAAAAATAAAATTTCTTAAATATAAAAAGATATGCAAGATTTTCACACAGTAAGCCAAAAATCATTAATGAGTGAAATTAAAGTCCTAAATAAACAAAGAGATATACTTGTTAACATGGACTTTTTCACTGTATCAATCTGTAAACTCAATGTAAAGTCTCTCTCTCTATCTCTATGTTTTTGTGTTTGAAACTGCTAGGCTGATACTAAAATCTGTTCAGAAATAAAACGAGCCAAGAATATTCAAAACAAATTTGAAAAAGAATAAGCTTGATATATTAATAGTAGATAAAGATCTGTTATAAATCTATAATGATAAAGACAATGTAAGAGTAATGTGAATACAAACAAGTAGGCTGATGGAACAGAATAGAATCAAGAAGCAAATGAGGTATTTGTAGGCACTGTCATGACAAAAGTGTTGCTGCACAGCAGTGAGAAAAGGACGGCCATTTAAATAAATCGAAATTGATCAAATGGATATACATAAGGAAAAAAATAAAACTCAGCGCCTTACTTCATGTCATACATACAAATCTATTCCAGGTAGATTATAGTTGTAAGTATGAAAGGTAAAATGAACAATAAAATTTCTAGAAAATGAAATACAGGAAAAACACCTATGTCTTAAATAAGACTTGAAAAGCAGTAATCAAAAAGAAAACTATTGATAAGAAGGCACATCTTTTTATCAGAAGTCACCACTGTGATGGTAAAAGGAAAATTTAAGTCAGAAGTTGGAGAAGATTGTTTATAATACATATAAGTCAGTAAAGGACTTGGATCCAAAATAAAGTATGAAAAACTCCTACAAATTAACAAGAAAGAGAAAATAAAATTTGCAAAAGACTTGAATAAGCATGTTATAAAAGAGGACCTTCCAATGGCCAAAAAATTATTAAAAGGTGATCAACCTCATTCAACCTCATTAACAACTTTGACATGAAAATTAAATGATAATGAGATATCACTACATGACAATCAGAATGGCTAGAATTTAAAATACTGAAAATATCATGTTCTGGTGAAGACATGGAAACTCTAGAACAATCACACACTGCAAGTGAGTGTGTAAATTGGTGAATAACCTTGGAAAACTGTTTGACATACTCTGTAATGTAACCATTATACCTTAGTTATATATGCTCAACAGCACTATATGTGTATGGACACCAAAAAGACATGTATTATTAATGCTGCAACTGCATAAGAGTCAAAAAATTAGAAACAATCAAAAAAGAATTCAACTGCTGATCTGATAGAGAATAGAATGGTGGTTGCCAGCAGCCAGGGTGGTTGGAGGGGGAGAGGGTAGTTGGGAGGTATTGGCCAAAGGCTACAATATTTCAGTTAAATAGGGGGAATAACTCCAAGATGATTTGGGAATAACATGATGACTAAAGTTAATATATTCTTTTTGAAAAATGCTAGGAGAATAAATGTAAAGTGTTCTCACCACAAAAATGGTAACTTTGTGAGGTAATGTATGTGTTAATTAGCTAGGTTTAGTCCTTCCACAGTGTATCTATACTTTGGAATTGAACATCATGTTGTACGGAGTAAATGTATGACTGTATCTGCCAACTTAAAAAATAAAAGTAAAAATTATTTCAACAGCAAAATAGGTAAATAAACTGAAATACTCATAAAGAGTGATCTAACCAGCAATCAAAATGCAAGAACCACTTTGACGCGCAAACTTATGGATGAAGCTCAAGGCATTAAGTAAATGAAAGAAGCCAGGTATCAAAGAATACATTCTGTATGATTCCATTTATATCAAGTTCAAAAAAACAAGCAAAACTAATATACAGTGATACAGGTCAGGATAAGGCATATTTTTGGGAAGCCAAGAAGAGATAATGGTTGGGAAAGGACAAAAGGGAGGGCTTCTGCGATGCAGGATATGTGCTATTTCTTGATCTGGATGTGTTCAATGGATATGTTCACTTTGTAATAATTATAACTTTTAAAATTCTGATTTATGTTCTTTTCTGTATATATACCTCAATAAAAGTTAAAATATAAATGTATGCATAGTTCCCTATTAAATTACTTCTACTTCATATGAAATATTTTTTAAAGTAATGACATAAACTTGAAACCATAAATATTATTTTGATATAATATATGAAAATTCTCATATTCCTAAGGCTAGATCAGTTTCATTATTTACTAACCTATCAGAGATATATATCATCTTTAAATTTTAAGGTTTGT
The DNA here is from genome assembly GCF_000001405.40 of Homo sapiens. Classification (NCBI taxonomy): domain Eukaryota; kingdom Metazoa; phylum Chordata; class Mammalia; order Primates; family Hominidae; genus Homo; species Homo sapiens. The sequence goes on along the minus strand of NC_000012.12, from coordinate 81,188,159 downwards.
TCAATAACAACACTTTTCAATATCTTTTATCAAGCATATCACAGAAGAGATACTCTGAATATCTCTAAATTCAAAAAAATACTAAATAAAAAAGTATAAGTTTTTTTAGCCAGTGAATATAATTTACTTCCCTTTAGAGGTATCCTATTCTCAAATTTGCTTAGCAATAATGTCATCCTTCTAATTTGCTTTCCTGCTTTCTACATCATTAGAGGATTTAAAATCATTCCAGATTTGGGCACATTCATATTTATGTAGCCTCAGGCTTACCTGCGTAACCTTGAGTCATACATACACAAATAAGATAGCAACCATTTCTCTGCTATCAGCCTCAACTTGCTTTCTCAATTTAATAAAAAACTTCCTCCTAAACTAAAATTTTTATTCTAAGCACCAGAGGGATAAAAATATACTCAAACAACCCTTGTTGCTTTAAAATATAGGAAACAGATAGAGGTAATGCTTTTTTAACTTGTATAAACTATAATTTTTTTTATTTTTTCACAAAACGGGTTTATATTATTTACTTGTCTGATTTGACAACTGTTGTGGTAATTGGTAGCTATATGAAAAAAATGATTTAGTAATAATGAGAGCTGGATATTTGAAATGCTGATATGCAACTCCACCACAAACTCAAAGACAGCCAGACATACAGGCATTGTCATTTTATCATTCTAACCGGAGTATTAGCTCTGAATATGAGCTCATATTTGTGCAGTAGATAAGACATAGGTATCTCTAAGAGCTTTTAGAAATAAATATTGGTAACTTTATGAAGAAATTAAGTTTTTGCTTGTACATTTTCTTGTTTAATTTTAATAATGGTGGTTGCTAAAGTTGGAAAGTTATATGTTGTACACTAGATCTCTAGACTTGTTCATCCTACATACCTGCTGCTTTGTATCCTCTGACCTGTTCATCTGAATATCTGTTCATTTCCCCTTTCTTCCAATCCTGGTAACCATGGTTTTCTTCTGTATATCTGTATTTTTGATTTTTTTTTGTTGTTGTTTTAAAATTTAACATATAAATGAGATGATGTAATATTTTTCTGTGTCTGACCTATTTAACAACGTAGTGTCTCCAGCTTCATCTATGTTGTGGCAACTGGCAAAATCTCATTCTTTTTTAGAACGAAATGGTATTCCATTGCATATATGTACCACAGTTTCTTTATCCATTTGTTTATCAACAGACACAGGTTGTTTCTATCCCTTTGCTATTGTGAATGATGCCACAATGAACATGGGAATGCAAATATGTTCATGAGGTGGTGACTTCATTTCCTTTGAGTATATACCCAGAAGACGGATTGCTGGATCATATGGTAGTTCTATTTTTAATTTCTTTAGAAACCTCCATACTGTTTTCTAAAATGGCTGTAACAATCTACATTCTCAAGAACAGAGTACAAGAGTTTCCTTTACTCTACACATTTGTCAACATTTGTTATCTTTTGCTTTTTGATAATAGCCATCTAATGGATATGAGGTGATATCCCATAGTGGTTTTCATTTGCATTACCCTGATAATTAATGATGTTGAACACCTTTCCATATGCATGCTGGCTATTTTTATGCCTTCTTTGGAGAAATGTGTTTCCAGGTATTTTGCCCATTTTTTGATCAGGTTATTAGTTTTTCCACGATTGAACTGTATGAGTTCTTTATAAAATTTTGGATATTAACCCTTTATCAGATATATGAGTTGTGAATATCTTTCCCACTTCATAGGCAGCTGTTTCATTTTGTTAGCTGTTTCCTTTGCTGTGCAGAGCTTGTTAGTTTCATGTAATTCCATTTATTCATTTTTGCTTTTGTGGCCTGAGCATTTGATATGAAATACAGAAAACCATTGCCAAGTCCAACAGCCAGAAACATTTCCCCCATGTTCTCTTCTAGAAGTTTTATTATTTCTGGTCTTATACTTAGGTCTTTTATCCATTTTGAGTTGATTTTTGTGTATAATGTAGGTTAAGGATCCAATTTCCTTCTTTTATATGTGGAAACCCAGTTTTACCAACACCATTTATTAAAGTGACTATTTTTCCCTATTGTGTCTTCCTGGTGTGCTTGTCAAGACTTAGTTGACCATATACGTTTGGATCTATTTCTGGGGTCTCTGTCCTGTGCCACACTGATCTATGTTTATGTTTTTATGCCAGTAAGCTACTGTTTTGATTACTATAGCTTTGTAATATACTTCTAAATCAGGAAGTGTGATGCCTCCAACTTTGTTGTTCTTTCTCAGAATAGCTATGCCTACTTGGGGTCTTTTACATTTTCATACAAATTTTAGGATAATTTTACTATTTCTGTGAAGTATGCCATTGGGATTTTGATAGGGATTGCATTGAATCTGTGTATTGCTCTTGATAGTATGGATATTTTAATAATATTAAATCCTCCAATCCATGAGCAATGGGCTATCTTTCCACTTATTTGTGTTTTCTTCAATTTCTTTCATCAATATTTTATAGTTTTAATGTAAAGTTTTACCGTACCAATATAGTTTTCCACCTCCTTGGTTAAAATTATTCCAAAGTATTTTATTTTATCTTTTCAATGTTATTGTATGTGGGGTTTTTCTTTATTTCTTTTCAGTTAGATCATTATTTGTGTAGAAAAATGCCACTGATTTTTGTATGCTGATTTTGTATTCTGCAATTTAGTGATTTCATTTATTAGTAATAACGTTTTTGTGGTATCTTTGGAGGTTTTTGCATATAGGACAACATCATCTGCAAATAGAGATAATTTTACTTCTTTTTCAATTAGATACATTTAATTTCTTTTTCTTGTCTGATTGTTCTTGCTAGTACTCCAGTATTATGTTGAATAGAAGTGGCATGAGTAGGCATCCTTGCCTTACCAGATCTTAGTGGAAGTTTTCAGTTCTCTCCAGTGATTATAATGTTAGCTGTAGGTTTTTCATAAAGTCTTTATTATTATAAACGTTCCTTCTATACCTAAACTGTTGAAGGTTTTTATCAAGAAAGGATGTTGGATTTTGTTGAATGCTTTTTTTATGTTAATTATGATGATCCTGTTAATGTGATGTATCACACTGATAGATTTATGTACGTTAAATCAGTTTTGCATGCCATGGAAAAATCTCACATGAACACAATGTATAATCTTTTCATGTGTTGTTGGATTTGTTTTGATAATACTTTACTAAGAATTTTTGCATGAATGTTCCTCAGAGAAATTAACCATAGTTTTCTTGTGATATCTTTATCTAACTTAGGTGTTAAGATGATGCTGGCCCCATAAAATGTGTCTGGAAGTACACTTCTAGCTTTATTTTTCAGAAGAGTTTTAGAAATATTGATATAAATTATTTTTGAATGTTTGGTAAAATTCAGCTCTAAAATCATCTGGTTTTGGGCTTTTCTTTGTGGGAAGGGTTTTGATTACTTCTCAAATCACTTTAATTGACTTAATATTGGTAGCTTATATTTTTCTAGGAATTTATCCATTTTCTCTAGTTTATCCAATTTGTTGGCATATAATTCTTCGTAATATTCCCTTACGATCCTCTTTATTTTGAGAAGCCTGTTAGAATTTCTTCACTTTTATTTTTGATTTTATTTATTTCAGTCTTTTCTCTTCTTTTCATTAAGAGTTTGTAAATTTTGTTGTTCTTCAAAAAGTGAACTTTAGTTTTATTAATTATTTTTATGGTTTTTCTGTACTTCATTTGATTTACTGCTGTTCTGATATTTATTATTCCCATCAGCTAATTTTTGGTTAGTTGTTTATTCGTTTTGCATTCCTTGAGGGGTAATGTTAGAATATTTATTTGGGGTCTTTCTTCTTTCTAATTGTAGGCATTTACTGCTATAAACTTTCCTCCTGGAACTGCTTTTGCTGCATCCCATAAGTTTTGGTATACTGTGTTTCCATTATCATTTGCCTGAAGATGTTTTTAAATTGTTCTTTTGATTTCTTCTTTGACCCATTGATTGTTCAAGAGCATGTTGTTTAATTTCCACATATTTGTGAACTACACAAGATTACTCCAGTTATTAACTTATAGTTTCATATCATTGTGGTCTAAAATTATACTAAATATTATTTCAATCTTATTAAGTTTGTTAGGGCTTTTTTTGTGGCCTAACATGCAATCTATCCTGGAGAATGTTCTGTGTACACTAGAGGAAAATAAGTACTCTGCTTCTGTTGGAAGGGAAGTTCTGTATATGTCTGTTAGGGCAATTTTGTCAAAAGTTCAATTTATGTCCAGTATCACCTTATTAATTTTCTGTCTGCTTGATCTATTCATTGTTGAAAGTGGGATTTTGAAGTACCATATTGTATTGCTATCTATTTGTCTTTTCATGTTCATTGATATTTGCTTTATATATTTAGCTCATCCAATACTGGGTGTATAAATATTTACAGTGGTTGAGTTATCTTAATGAATGACCCTTTTATTATTAAAAAATGACCTGTGTCTCTTGTGACAGCTTTTGATTTGAAGTCTATTTTATCAGATGTAAGTATAACCACTCCTGCTCTCTTATGGATGGCATTTACATGGATGTTCCCCTTCCATCTTTTTACTTTCAGCCTTCATGTGTCCTTAAGGCCTAAGTGGGTCACTTCAGTGAATCTTGTTTAATCCATTCAGCAACTACATGATTTTGGTTAGGGAACAAAATCCATTTACAGTCAAAGTTATTATTAATAGGTAAGAACTTACTACTGCCATTTTATTTATCTTCTAGTTATTTTGTAGCTTCTGTGTTCCTTTTTCCTTTCTTGTTGTCTACCTTTGTTATTTGATAATTTCTGTAGTGCTAAGCTTTGATTCCTTTCTCTTTATCATTTGTGTATCTGTTGTAGATTTTTGTTTTGTGGTTGCCATGAGGTTTACATAAAACATCTTGTAACCAGCAAAGGCTCCGGCTGTTTGCCGCTTGTAGAAAGAAACCAAAATCACAAAACAAAGTGTGATAAAAAGAGAGGAGTTTTAATTGTCTGTGCTAACACGGGGAAAAGTGGGTGGAATTCTTCCAAAATAATTTCCACTTTTCCCCTTGCCAGCATGGATAATAAAGTCTCCTCTCTTTTTATCACACCTCACTCTTGTTATTTTGGCTTCTTTCTACAAGCAGTGAGCAGCTGGACCCTTTGCCAGTTAAAATTTTTGGTGGTCTGTATGGGGAGAGAATTCTGGAGGTGTCTGTTCTGTGTCAGTATTCATGTCCTGAAGCTTCTAAGAAAATACATGACCAGATAAGTGAGCATGATGTGCATTTGACAAGCATTTAGGTAAATAAATGTGCATAAGGCATGGTTGGATAAAGTGGAAAGGGAAAGAGAATGGAGGTTCACAGTACGTTCTAGAAAATGCATTTGTAGTTTGTCTCAATGCTGTGTCCTGAGACTGGGGAGAGAAGAGGAAAGAAAGAAAAACAGTTTTTAAAATGCAGTTTGAAGCTAAGCAGCTTGGTTACAATCTTACAGATATACTTTTTTAAGCTGATAAAAACTCAACTTCTGTTGCATACAAAATCTCTAGATTTTTATGCTCCTCCTGATACACAATTTGTTTTTGATGTCAAAATATGCATCTTTTTACATTGTGTGCTTCTAACCAATGTATTGGCTATTATTAATGAATTAATTGATTTCTACCTTCATACTAGGTGTAGGTATGATTTATGCACCACCATTACCTCTAGAAGAAAGTTTTATACTTTTGTATGTATTCATGTTAGTAATAATCATCCCTTTGTTTCTCCTTGAAGGACTTCCTTAATTGTTTCTTATAAGGCAGGTCTAATGATAATGGATTCCTTCAGCTTTTGTTTATTTTTGAAACACTTTATTTATCCTTCTTTCCTGAAGGACAGCATGTCTGGCTAGCAGTTTTGTGTTTGTTTTATTCTTATTCCTTTCAGCACCATGCCATTTTCCCCTGGCCTGTAAGGCTTCTACTGAGAAATCTGCTAATGTTCTATGGAAATTCCCTTATATGTAATTTGATGCTTTTCTCTGTTGCTTTTAAAATTCTCTCTGTATATGACTTTTGATAATACGATTATAATGTGCCTCTTTAGATTAATCTATTTTGGGATCTGTGCGCTTTAGGGATCTGAATATCCATATCTCTCCCAAGACTTAGTTTTCAGAATTTTTCATAATTTATTTCATTAAATAAGCTGTTAGTCCCTTTCTCTGTCTCTTCCCTTCTTAAAGAACATAATGCAATACTTCTTCACTTAATGACGTCCCATAAATCTCATAGGCTGTCTTCACCCCTTTTCATTCTTTTTTTATTTTTTCCTGTGAATGAGTCATTTCAAAAGACTGATTTTCAAGAAGTTCACAGATTCTTTTTTGGCTTTATCTAGTCTACTATTGTAGCTCTCTATTGCTTTTTTTTTTTTTTTTTTTTTGCTTAATTGATTGAAATCTTTGGCTTCAAGATTTCTGATTCTTTTTTATGATATATATTTCTTTGTTGAATTTGTCATTGAGATCATGAATTACTTTGCTGATTTCATTGAATTTTCTATTTGTATACTATTTTGTCTCTCTTGGTTTTCTTAAGATCATTAATTTAAATTCCTTTTCAATAACTTCATAAATTTCTGTAAATTTGGGGGTCAGATACTGGGAAATTCTCATGTTCCCTTGGTGGCATCATGTTCCCTTGCATTTTCATGTTTCTGGTATTCCCACATTAATGCTTGCGCATCTTCTGGTACAGTCTCCTCTTCCAAACTTCAGAGAATGACTTTCATAGGGAAAAACTTTCACCTGACGACAGGCTGGAGGGCATCGGTTGGGCAGAGTGCAGTTGTTCTGGTACTAGGTGGGTGCAGTGGTGTAGTCTCCATACAGCTTCTCCAGGTGAGATCAGTGTTAGTGATGACTGCAGATGCCTTAGTGACCTGGCTGCATGATTTTGTGGCAGTGATATTGATTGTGTAGGCTATTATGATAAGGGCTTTAGAGATCCTACTGTTCTTGTCTTTCTAACACTGGGAAGTCTTAGCTGAAGAGGCCTTTGTTGATATTGGTTCTGACATGGTTCACAGGCAGTCACAGTGACACTGGGATTCAGGGCATAATATCTATTTTAATTCCCTTGGGCCACAGAAACATAAAAGTAAAATACTCTGGCATTTCACTTATACAATATAAGCAGCCTTAATTCAAGCCCACTTTTTGACTTCAGTAAACTATAAATCTCTTCTTTTAGTTATAGGATAGTAAACTAATTCAAAGAGGTTCAATGAGATTGATGTTGGCATTCTCCTTGAAGATGCAACTTGCTATAATTATCTTTGATTATGCATCAGATTAAATAAAAATGTAGGTCCATGACCTGGCGCAGTGGCTCATTCTTGTAATCCCAGCACTTTGGGAGGCTGAGGCAGGCAGATAACCAAAGGTCAGGAGTTTGAGACCAGCCTGGCCAACATAGTGAAACCCTGTCTCTGCTAATAATACAAAAATTAGCCAGGCGTGGTGGCAGGCACCTGTAATTCCAGCTACTTGGGAGGCTGAGGCAGGAGAATCGCTTGAACCTGGGAGGCAAATGTTGCAATGAGCCAAGATCATGCCACTGCACTCCAGCCTGGGCAACAGAGTGAGACTCTGTCTCGATTTAAAAATATAGACAGACAGATAGATACATAGATAGATACATAGATGGATAGATAGATATAGATATATCCATAAGCCAGCAGAAAAATACCTAGACTATTCAAAGCACATTATTACAAAACAAAAATAAAATATTTTTCTTCACTTTGTTTTATCCAACTTGTATCTTAGGTTCAGGGGTCACATGTGCAGATTTGTTACATGGGTAAATTGTGTGTTGTGGTGTTTGGTGTACAGATTATCAAGTAATCCAGGTAACGAGCATAGTACCTGAGAAGTAGTATTTTGATCCTGATCCTCCACACTCTACCCCTTGTGTCTATTGTTCCCTTCTTTGTGTCCATGCATACTCAATGTTTAGCTCACACTTAGAAGAGTAAACATGCAGTATTTGGTTTTCTGTTCCTGCATTAATTTGCTTAGGATAATGGTCTACACCTCTATCCATATTGCCATGAAGGCCATGATACTCTTTTTATGGCTGTGTAGTATTCTATGGTGTATATGTACCAAATGTTCTTTATCCAGTCCACCACTGATGGGCATTTAGCTTGATCACATGTCTTTGCCAAGTTTCCTGAGGCCTTCTCAGAAGCTGAGCAGATGACAGCATCATGCTTCCTTTACAGCCTGCAAAACCATGAGCCAATTAAACGTCTTCTCTTTATAAATGACCTAGTCTCAGGTATTTCTTTATACAATGTGAGAATGGACTAATGCAACGTCCTTTGCCCTTTTTTTTTTTTTTTTTTTGAGACGGAGTCTCGCTCTGTCACCCAGGCTGGAGTGCTGGAGTGCAGTGGCGCGATCTCAGCTCACTGCAAGCTCCACCTCCCGGGTTCACGCCATTCTCCTGCCTCAGCCTCTCCGAGTAGCTGGGATTACAGGCACCCACCACCACGCCTGGCTAATTTTTTATATTTTCAGTAGAGATGGGGTTTCACTGGGGTCTCGATCTCCTGACCTTGTGATCTGCCCACCTCGGCCTCCCAAAGTGCTGGGATTACAAGCGTGAGCCCATTTCTTAATGGGGTTGTTTGGTTTTTGTTTGTTGAATTGTTTAAGCTCCTTATATATTCCAGATATTAGATCTTTCTCTGACGCGTAGTTGGCAGATATTGTCTCCCATACTCTACGTTGTCTGTTTACTCTGTTGATAGTTTCTTTTGCTGTCCTGAAGCTTTTTAGTTTAATTGCACTTGTCAGTTTCTGGGTTTTTTTTGTGTTTTTTTTTTCTTTTTCTTTTTTTTTTTTTTTTTTGGCAATTACTTTTGGAGTCTTCATCATGAAATCTTTGCCAGGGCCTATGTCCAGAATGCTATTTTGTATAAATTCTTCTAGGATTTTTATAGTTTTAGGTTTTATATTTAAGTCTTTTATTCATGATGAGTTGATTTTTGTATGTGGTGAAAGGAAGGGGTCTGGTTTTAACCTTACGCATATGGCTAGCCAGTTATCCTAGCTCCATTTATTGAATGGAGTCCTTTCTCAATTGCTTGTTATTGTTAAGTTTGTCAAAGATTAGATGGTGGTACATCTGTAGCTTTATTTCTGGGTTCTCTAACCTGTTCCTCTGGTCTATGTGTCTGTTTCAGAGGCAGTACTATGCCATTTTAGTTAATGTAGCCTTGTAATATAGTTTGAAGTCAGGTAGTATAATGCCTCTGGCTTCGTTCTTTTTGTTTCAAATTGCTTTGGCTATTTGAGCTCTTTTTGGTTCCATATGAATTGTAGAATAGTTTTTTTCTACTTCTGTGAAAAGTGTCATTGGTAACTTGATAAGAATATCATTTAATCTGTAAATTGCTTTAGACAGTATGACCATTTTTACAATATTGATTCTTCCTAATCATGAGCATGGAATGCTTTTCCATTCATTTGTGTCATCACTAATTTCTATCAGTAGTGTTCTGTAATTCCAATTGTAGAGATTTTTCACCTACCTGTAGGTGTATTCCTAGGTATTTTATTCTTTTCATTGCTAATGTGAATGGGATGGCATTTTTTATTTGGCTCTCAGCTTGGATATAATTGGTGTATAGAAATGTTTTTTTTTATTTTATTATTATTATACTTTAAGTTTTAGGGTACATGTGCACAATATGCAGGTTAGTTACATATGTATACATGTGCCATGCTGGTGTGCTGGACCCATTAACTCGTCATTTAGCATTAGGTATATCTCCTAATGCTATCCCTGCCCCCTCCCCCCATCCCACAACAGTCCCCAGAGTGTGATGTTCCCCTTCCTGTGTCCATGTGTTCTCATTGTTCAATTCCCACCTATGAGTGAGAACATGCGGTGTTTGGTTTTTTGTCCTTGAGATAGTTTACTAAGAATGATGATTTCCAATTTCATCCATGTCCCTACAAAGGACATGAACTCATCATTTTTTATGGCTGCATAGTATTCCATGGTGTATATGTGCCACATTTTCTTAATCCAGTCTATCATTATTGGACATTTGGGTTGGTTCCAAGTCTTTGCTACTGTGAATAGTGCTGCAGTAAACATATGTGTGCATGTGTCTTTATAGCAGCATGATTTATAGTCCTTTGGGTATATACCCAGTAATGGGATGGCTGGGTCAAATGGTATTTCAAGTTCTAGATCCCTGAGGAATCGCCACACTGACTTTCATAATGGTTGAACTAGTTTACAGTCCCACCAACAGTGTAAAAGTGTTCCTATTTCTCCACATCCTCTCCAGCACCTGTTGTTTCCTGACTTTTTAATGATTGCCATTCTAACTGGTGTGAGATGGTATCTCACTGTGGTTTTGATTTCCATTTCTCTGATGGCCAGTGATGGTGAGCATTTTTTCATGTGTTTTTTGGCTGCATAAATGTCTTCTTTGGAGATGTGTCTGTTCATGTCCTTCGCCCACTTTTTGATGGGGTTGTTGGTTTTTTTCTTGTAAATTTGTTTGAGTTCATTGTAGATTCTGGATATTAGCCCTTTGTCAGATGAGTAGGTTGTGAAAATTTTCTCCCATTTTGTGGGTTGCCTGTTCACTGTGATGGTAGTTTCTTTTGCTGTGCAGAGGCTCTTGATTTTGGATCTTGAAACTTTACTGAAGTTGTTTATCAGATCTAGGAGCTTTTGGGCAGAGACTATAGGGTTTTCTAAGTATAGAATCATATTATCTGCAAAGAGAGATAGTTTGACTTCCTCTTTTCCTTCTGGATGCCTTTTATTTTTTTCTCTTGACTGATTACTTTGTCAAGGACTTCCAGAACTATGTTGAATAGGAGTGGTGACAGTGCACATCCTTGTTTTGTTGTGGTTTACAAAGGGAATCCATCCAGCTTTTCCCTGTTCAGTATATTGTTGGCTGTAGATTTGTTATAGATGAGCCTTATTATTTTGAGGTATGTTCTTTTGATGCCTTGTTTGGGGTTTTAAAATGAAGGGATACTAAATTTTATTTATGTCATTTTCTGCATCTATTGAGATAATCACACAGCTTTTGTTTTTAGTTATTTTTATGTGATGACTCATATTTTGTGATTTGCATATGTTGAACCAACCTTGCATTCCAGGAGTAAAGCCTACTTGATCATGGTGGATTAGCTTTTTGATGTGCTGCTCGTTCCAGTTTGCTGGTATTTTGTTGAGAATTTTTGCATCTATGTTCATTAGGAATACTGGCCTAAAGTTCTTTTTTCATTGCATCTCTGCCAGAGTTTGGTATCAGAATGATGCTTGCCTTATAGAATGAGTTAGGAAGGAATCCCTCCCCCTCAACTTTTTGAAATAGTTTCAGTAGGTTTGGTACCAGCTCTTCTTTATGTTGGTAGAATTCATCTGTGAATTCATCTCGTCCAGGGCTTTTTCTGGTTGGTAGGTTTTTTTTATTACTGATTCATTTTCAGAACTCCTTATTGGTTCATTAAGGGTTTCAATTTCTTCTGGGCTCAATTTTTTTTTTATTTTTGTATTACTATTATTATTTTTTGTAATGGAGTCTCATTCTGTTGTCAGGCTGAAGTGCAGTGGCGTGATCTTGGCTCACTGCAACCTCCACCTCCTGGGTTCAAGCAATTCTCCTGCCTCAGCCTCCCAAGTAGGTGGGACTACAGGTCAGGCCCACACCACCACACCTGGCTAATTTTTGTATTTTTAATAGAGATGGGGTTTCATCATGTTGGCCAGGATGGTCTCGACTGCGTGATCCACCTGCCTCGGCCTTCCAGTGTGCTGGGATTACAGGCATGAGACACAGCACCCAGCCTCTTGGTTCAATCTCAAGAGATTGTATGTTTTCAGAAATTTATCCATTTCTTCTAGGTTTTCTACTTTGTGTGCATAGAGGTATTTGTAATTGTCTCAGGATTTTTTACATTTCTGTTGAATCAATGCTAATGTTCCCTTTGTCATTTCTGATTATGTTTATTTGGATCTTCTCTCTTTTTTAAATAGTCTAGCTAGTGGCCTATCAAGATTTTTATTCTTTAAAAACTCAACTTTTGGTTTTATTGATCTTTCATATGGTTTTTTAGCATCTAAATTTTTTTCAGTTCAGATCTAATTTGGTTGATTTCTTTTGTCTGCTAGCTTTGGGAATGGTCCGCTCTGGTTTTTCTAGTTCCTCGGGGTGTGACATTACATTGTTAATTTGAGATTTTTCTAACTTTTTTATGGGCATGTAGTTCTATAAAGTTTCCTCTTATCACTACATTAGTTATGACCCAGAGAATCTGGTATATTGTACATTTGTTTTCATTCAGTTCAAAGGATTTCTTGATTTCTACCTTAATTTCATTGTTTACCCAAAAGTCACCCAGGAGCAGATTGTTTAATTTCCATGTAATTGTATGATTTTCAGAGAGCTTCTTGATATTAATCTCTATTTTTATTTCATTGTGGTCTGAGAGTGTCACTGGTATGTTTTTTTAATTTGTTGAGAATTGCTTTATGGCTGAGCACATGGTAGATTTTAGAGTATTTCTCATACGCAGATAAGAAGAATGAATATTCTGTTGTTGTTGGGTGGAGTGTTCTGTGGATGTCTGTCAGGTCCATTTGATTGAGTGTGGAGTCCCAAATATCTTTGTTAGTTTTCTGCCTCAATCATCTATTGAATACTGTCAGTGTGGTCCTGATGTCTCCCACTATTATTCTGTGTTTACCTAAGTCTCTTTGTTCTTCACTTTTTTAATATATTTAATTTGGACTATAATTTTTCACATTTTATCTGTATACATGCATTCAAATATTGCCCCTTCATTTAACCCATTCTTCTATTTTCAAAAGGCAGATGTTAGTACATCTGTATCCATCTATCTGTGCATTTTAAGTCAGAATTGGCATTTTACCTTTTAAGGAAAATATAACAAGAGTGATTTTAAAAAGAAATATTTTCATAATATTTGAACTGAAATTAACATGATATAATATTTTAAAATCTCTAAGCAGAGTTAAAATTCCAACTATTTCAAAATTATATTTAGACAAGTTGTTCTTAATAACACTCTGAATCTTTTGGCTCTTCCTATAAGAGTATTCCAGTACCAGAAAAAAAATAATGTTCACTTATTCATTTTGATTGCACTTTCTAATGTCATTTGCCCTGTGCATCCCAACGTCACCTTGTCAGAGAGTACTGCTTCCCCAAAGCTGCCCCAGGGTCCTGTTGACGGATTGCTCTAATTGCAGTTGGTGCTGTAAACAAGGCAGCTACTCCATGCTCTGCAAGCACACGGAAATAAGCGCCAGCATCTGGTGTTCCCACAGGCTTCCCCTACAATGAGATTCATTTAAAATGTCACTGGATAAAATGTGTCATATTTCACTGACAGTTCAATAGTTATACATTTAACACAACAATATTAATAATAAGGGGTTTTCAACAAATCTTAGTTTTAAAATATTTCCATGTTCTATCACAAATAAAGCAAACCAAATACCCAGGCATAACAGAGACTGTTTGCTCCATTTTAGTATCCTAAAACCTTTCAAATTACAATTTTTTCTTCATCAAGTTTTGAAAAATAAAGAATTAAAAATACATACCACATTCAAATTAAGAATATAAAACATTCTTGTATTTGCCAAAAAAAACTATATATGGTTGTTATGAATTTTGAACTTTAATGTATTTTTCATGATCACTATTAAAAATGACAACAGTATTTCTCAAAACATTTGAGAAAAAAGAAAAATCTGAAAAAGCAGTGATTCCTGAGCAATGACCTTTTCAGTTAAATGTCTCACTCCAAGAAAAGTAACTCCTATGAATTAAAAATAATCCAATAAGATGTGCCAAAGTGCATGTTTTCCACAGACTCAAAATAACATTGTATATGTTCAATGGAAAATCATGCATAAAAATCTCACAATTTGGCAAGCCATACAATTCAAAAGACAAAGAAAGGTTTAGTTGATGTTTCTGAAAAGTGGAAAATAGGCAAGTTACTGAAATAAGTCAGTAACTCTCCAAACATTCTAACTAACCCATAAAACCTATCTTGGCCAAGCCACATCCCCTTCTTCCATAATCAGTCCTCATCACTGCTACCTCTTCCTGTGTTTCTAAAGCAAGATGCCTGCAATGTTAATAAATGTCTTGGATATATATATATATATCCAAAATCCGTTTGTGGAAGTTGGAGGCAAACAAATGGCAACAGGGTGTTTTAATCTTAGATCATTTCTTGAAACCTTAAAAGGGTTAAGATGTATTACTAATTTCTACGAGAAGGGTAACTGTATCTAATATTTCCAAAACCTCTGTGATTAAATTCTCGATCTCTGTTTCCCATGAAACTCTGTAAATGACATGTAGGAAACACTGAACTAAGGTAAAAAGAGCAAAGGATTTGCTAGTAGCAAACTCAACAATGTCCCCAAATAGGGAACAACAAAAAAATGATGATATCATGACAGTTAGACCTATTAATTTTTTCTTAATTTAGAAAAAGGAATGGACTATAAATGAGGTATAAGATAGTTGTCCAATAATTTAGATTCAATACTCATTGATTAGATCATTGATAGGACACTATTTTTTTATTATTTTTAAATGGTTTTCTTTAATATTATTTAGTGTAATTATGTTCCTCTTTTCTTAAAAAAAACTATTTCAATCTGTTTTATGTTCTATTGCTTTCTATTTTGCTCTTTTAATACCAAGAAAGTATTTCCTGCAGCTGAAAATTCATTTTTATTATCACAACTGTTTAGTCTAAAGCACTATTTCAAATTATTTCATTACTCTTCATACAAATCAACACATGCAAATAATACAAAAAGCTGCAAAATACAGCCTGGCAACACATGTACATAATTTCACTCACAAATTTTGAAGGCTTTAGTACATCAGTCTGAAATGAGTCTACAACTTTATTCTTTCTAACAAACAAGGTAAACATTTTATTTTTACTTTTTTGATATGTCTCAGGCACTGATCAGTTCCTTGAGTATGACACTGTGCCTTAGAAAACGTGATCTCACCCAAGTGAAAATGATTTATTAATTGACCTTGTGCAACTGACTTACCCTGTCTATGCTTCCATTTACTTGCCTGCTAAATAAGAATAAATCATTTTGCCAATATTTTCTCAATAAGCTAAAGGCACTGAGATAATAATGTAGGATAATTTAACCTCCACTGAAGAAAGATATTTTATAGCCAACTGAAATTGAATTCTACGACAGTGCCAGTGTCATGAGAAAATAATTACTCATTAAAGGGTGATATTAATATCATAATTAAAATGATATACCATGTAAGACCACCTACAAGGAGGACACAGTATTTTACAGTGCCTCCAATTTCTTATGTTTAATGATATTAAATGCAGATCAAATATTGAAAATACAGTCCTATACCATATAGCAATGTTTTAGATAATTATGACACCATATTTTTTTGCTTTGTTTTGGTGGTTTTTGAGGCAGTGTCTTGCTCTGTTGTGGAGGCTGGAGTGCAGTGGTGCAATCTTGGCTTACTACAACCTCGACCTCCTGGGTTGAAGCAATTCTCCTGCCTCAGCCTCCCGAGTAGCTGGGACTACAGGTGCACGCCAGAAAGACACAGGTGCATGCCCGAAATACTACAGCGGATGAGACAGCCCCTAAAGAATTAAGGATTCCAGGGACAGAACAACTGTGCTGGGATGTGCTCATACAGCAGGCACACATCAGTGTAAACTTGCTGTGATAGGCAAAATTTTGTCTGCTCTTTTAAAAGAGCGAGTGTCTTAGCAGTCCATTGTTACACTAAAAAAAAGGGCATGGATCACCAGGGCCTTTTTTTTTTTTTTTTTTGAGACAGAGCCTCACTCTCAGGCTGGAGTGCAGTGGCAGGATCTTGGCTCACTGCAACCTCTGCCTCCCGGATTCAAGGGATTCTCCTGCCTCAGCTTCCCGAGTACCTGAGATTACAGAACCTGCCACCATGCCCAGCTAGTTTTTGTCTTTTTAGTAGAGACTGGGTTTCACCATGTTAGCCAGGCTGGTCTTGAACTTCTGACCTCAGGCAATCCGCCTGCCTTCGGCCTCTCAAAGTGCTGGGATTACAGGCGTGATACCATAGTTTTACTGCGCTTTTTCTATATTTAGATATATTTAGCTATACAAATACCACTGTGTTACAATTGCTTGCAGTATTCAACACAATAACATGTTGTACAGGTTTGTAGCCTTGGAGCAATAGACTATACCATGTAGCCCTGCTATGTAGTAGGCTATACCACTAGGTTTGTGTAAGTATACTCTATGATGTACACAAAGTGATAAAATCTCCTAAGGATACATTTCTCAGAACATATCTCCATTGTTAAGTAATATATGACTGTATTAGTAAAAAAACTACATCATACTTTTTATAATATAGGATTTTAACTTCTATTGCAAGTCTGACTCTGTACCAAACTAATTTTCGTCAATATTATACTTATGGATTATAAAAATCATGATAATGTAGCATTACTATTAGAATAGTAAAGAAGCGATTCATAAAATCCCACAATGTTCTTTCATAAGTTAATTGAACATAGAAAAAGTTCAATTGCTTTGTGTTTTATTGTCCATTCCCCAGAAGATAATTCAATGTTATGAATAAAATGTTTTCCTATTTAAAATTAACTTAATATTTATATACTTTAGTTTTTTCTTTCTTAAGACCTTCTATTCAATGTCAAATTCAATTAAAACAATTATGAAATTAAGGAAATTACCTGTTTCAAAAATAGTCTGATGATTAACATATATATTAAGCCCTGAATAATGTAAACACTTCAGGTAATATAATGCAGCATAGAACAAGATCTTTCATCAGAAACTGTTGTTTACATACAAACAAATAATAAAGTGAGCAACACTGGTATATTTATTTATTTAATAAATATTCTGGGAACGATTTTGTGAATAAGCCGGATAAGGTCCTGCTTTAATGGAACATACATTCTCATGTGTATGGGATAATATTATTAGAAATTGCATAATATATGCTGCAAGCTATTTGTGTCCAATAAACAGAAAGAATGCAGTAATAAACAGAGGACTTATATGTTCTCAGTACCTACCACCACTAGTAGCTTCAGAAAGCTGAAGCAAAGCCTGTAAGAATCTTTTATTATTAACAGTAAATAAAAGTGGCTCAATGGCTTATTTATTTTATTTAAAATTCTCTCCTGCCTTCATGCACACGCACACACACATAGACAAGCATGCACACATAAGCAATAAAATCTCTTCACAATGCTTTTTAAAGGTAGCCAGTAACACACTAAGCATACTGAACTGCCTAAAGAAAAAGACGTTGATTCTAGAACTTGGTTTTCATTAAGGGGAAATAACCCAGACAATATTCAATTTAGAAATAAGAAGATTCTAAGAATGCAGGGATTTTAAACAAACAACATACACACCAAAAGCAATAATGCAGCCAAAAATACCAACTTTAAAGCTCCTCAAACTCAAATCAATGTGGTTACCAGTTGTTTATTTAATTCCTTTCTCCCAAACTAAGTCTACATTATTAGTTGCTTCCTAGATAATAAAGGCAGAAAGGGATGTCTACAATGATGAAGCCAAAATTCTAAGCTTTCAGCTGTTAGAAACTATAAAATTTAACCTCAGAGATTTATAAAACATCAATTGCTAATATTAGCAAGATTTATAATGTGGCTAACAATGGTACAAAGCACAGAAACCAAAACAGTTACCAAAATGCCTTAATGTTAACATCCATATATACTTTTCTACCAGTTATGATTCATTGTATTAATATGTATTGTAGATGACAAGGCCCCAGTCAGAAAACCAGTTACTGTCTTCTCACATATTTGCTACTGAGGTTAAGTTTTCAACACAGGAAAGCAGTGAAATACAACCACTTAGCAAAATAAAATTATAATTAAACACTAGAGTTAAATCTTTGGGCAAAAAAATTTGCTTTATTATTAATCCTATGATTAATCCTATGATTCCATTTCTTCAGGTCTTGAGGTTAAGACTACTTGTGATTTCCCAGACACTGATATAAAACTTTTTGAGTCAACTGCAGTTTTGCCTCTTTTTTTGTGGCAGGATTAGAAATACATTTAGTCTCTTTCTGAGCACTACTTTTGAGAAATGTCACCCAAGGAATGTTTCCACAGCAGTTCTAAGGTGAAGACAGCAGCATCCTTTATCGACTAGTAGCAAATTTTATTTCAGCAGATAGGTGATGCAGAGAGTTGTTTTGTTTATTTCAGGAGAGTGATAAAACTAGAAATAGCATTTGTTGAATTTCTACTATAGGTCATGTGTCTTTATCAAGGGATGAGTGCTTGGGACAGCAACATTTAAACTTAAAACTTGTTAAAACATAAGCAGTTATCCAGGATATACTATTTAGTGAAAAAAAAATTAAAATGCAGAATAGTATGCATAGCATTTGTACAATTCCATTTGTATTAAAAAACAATAAAAGACATTGCTCATATATGAATTAACTATCATAACATATAAGATTGACAACCTTCAAGGGAGATAAATTGTAAAACTGGAACAGGGGATGGTGAGGTTTCCAATGTTTTCCCTTTCGTAAGTTTTAAAGTATGAAAAAAGAGGGTGTACAATCTCTTCAAAAATGGGCCTTTTCTTTCTCAATGCCCCTTTCTCTATAACTCACATTATTTTGTTCCAATTTTCAAAACATTATGTTGCTTTAAAGCCAAATGGGATAATTGTCCTATGCCTTAAGATCCTCAGATGAAGGACTTTGTGTTATGGCAGACGCTCCTTTAATAATTGAAAATTTACTTATAAATACAATCTGATTCAGATCAGACTGACTTCCTTGATTCTTACTTGCTAGGGATGTACCATCATTCTGTAGGCCTCACCTGTAAGGATAGGCTGCCATCTTGCCTTTCTCCATCTTATTCACACCACCATCTAACATTACTCAAATCCAGTGGTTACTAACCCTAAATATACAGTAGAACTTCTTGGGATGATTTTGAATGAAACCAATGTCTGGTCACACTTCCAGAGATTCTGATTCAATTGGCCTTGATTTGGGCTGAGCACTGTTGTGTTTTAGTTATTCTAATCTGCAGCCAAGTAATTCTAATCTGCGGCCAGGATTTAGAACTGATACATGGTCCTTCGATAGACATTATCTCAGACAAGGCTATTTTTCAATACCAACCTGCCTGGTTGCCCTAATGGATGAGCCTAGAATGTAACACTAGCTGTTTCTAATTTTCTCCATTTGTTATAAATAAATGAGCTAAATCCAAGTGTTAACAAGTGAATATAATGATAACTGAAATCTGATTATGACCATATACAGGGGAAATTACTGGGGAGAAATGCTTCACTGTCCTTAATTATTTATGCCTTGCCCTATAAACCAGACTCTAGACTGGACATAAATGTCATGATTTATAGGACATAGCACCCTGAGTACAACTGACCTTTCTCCAAAGATGGAAGGATTAGCTCTGACCCAGAAGCTCTTTATGTATTACCCAGAGACCTTTAAAGAGTATCACTCTCATCCAGTGTTTTCGTTGGTTGTATCACTACTTGAGAAGATTATATGTTAATTTCATAGATACGGAGTTCCTGACTCGAACTTCAGAGGAGTTCATGGATATTCTGAAATTAAATTAAGGTATGTACATATGTTCATTTTCCTATGGAAGAGGAGTCAATAGCTTCTATGGGATTCTAATAAGCGTCTATAAACAAAAATTGTCGAAGTATATGAAAGCCTCTCAAAACACAAAATGCTCCTTAAAGATTTTCTACTGGTCTCAGAAACAGCTTGGAGGAAGCAAGACTGCAGATGGTCATGTAGAGACCATAACATCCCTTCATTTTCTGTTCCACAAGATAGGTAAATTGCCAAGACTACCCTTTTAATGCACTTCTATTAAAGAGTTATAAATATTCTCAAAGAACCAACAATTTATTGGTCAATCTGAGGTCTCCAACCAACCTGTCTTCTTTCCCCACTCCCCATTACTTTAATCATATGGAATCACCATTTTCATAAGTCAAAGCAAATATCAGCAATGTCACATGGTTCAGATTAATACTTTCTATCAGTTTGCTATTTTGACAATCCCTCTTCACTATCTCCTTGTGGTAGGTCCCACATAGTTGCAATTCCTCAGGCTTGAGTCATTTCCTTTCTTCAATTAAGGATACAACTCTGTGTCCAGGCCTGAGAAGGTGAGACTTCTCCATGGCTAAAGCTCCAAGACACAAATATCTATAAATCTATTATTTTTGAAGATACATATGTACTAAGGTCTGAAACATGCCTCCCAAAATTCACGTGTTGAAAATTGAATCCCCAGTGCAACAGTGTTGGAAGGTGGGGCCTTTTGGAAGATGCTTAGGTTAGGAGGGCTCTGCTTTCATGAATGGACAAATGGTGCTAAAACAAAGGGTTTGTGGGAGTGAGTTTGTTCTCTTTTGTCCTTCTGTTCTTCTGCCATGTGCAGATACATGGTCCTCCTCTCTGGAGGACACAGAAACAAGGCACCATCTTGCAACAAGAGACAGAACCTTCCAGCACCTTGATCTTGAATGTCACAGCCTACACAACTGTATAGAACAGAATATATTTCTGTTCTATATATTTCAGAAATAAATTTCTGTTCTATATAAATTACCCCATCTGTTGTATTGTTATAGCAGCATAAAACAAACTAGGGCAGGGTGTGTATCCTAAATGGTCTAGATCTATCCTTTTGGTTTGGTTCTTCTCTCGTCCTTTCCTAGCTCTGAGAGTTGACAATTTGGGGTCTTATAATGAAGCCAACCCCCAATGAATAAGCCATTGTTTCTATCTAGCAGATAAGAGTCTATCTAATCCCCTTTAAAAAAAGTTTACCTTTGGAAGTATTAATGTCAAGTAAATGAAGCAGAGAATGGAAACTGCTAATTCTGCAGATGCAGTGCTAAGCAAATTAGGGACTCTGACATATTTAACATTCTCAGTAGTCACAGAGAGCATTTACCCCTAGTATACAGCTCGTAGCTCATTGCTTCTAGCAGGACTGTTTTCATCTCTGAGTTATTTCATGTGGATGTGCAGTCACTCTGCCATCCTGTACTGGAGGGACAAATTAAGGTTTTTCTTATTCAGTGTGATTAATGAGACTTTGCTGCAAGCAGAGAAATTAAATGGGTTCTTGCTTAATCACACTGCCAGACTTCTGCCCAGGAAGTGAAGTGTGGCTATTCCATATGCATACTACGATTCAACCTGAGGTTGCACAAAACCTGGTCCCTCCATAACATCCAATTCTTTGTCCAAAACAACCTTCAAACATGCTCAGATTTCTCCATGTCAAAAATGAAACAACAAACTTTCCTGTGAAATTGCCCTCATAAAAGGGGCTAATGATACCCTGATCACCAAAGTGCTCTTCAGTTGTCTTATCAGTCTTTTCTCTGTAGCACTTGGCACTGTTGATCCTCATCCTCTGAAAAACCTTCTCGTCACCCTTCTTTAGTACACTTTGCTTTTCGGATTCTCCTGTTGACTCCAATTTCTAACTCTCAATTTATATAGTTTCTCTTCCTCAGCCTCAAGAATTTCCTAAGTTTCTGTTCTCAATCTTCACCTGGTAACTTGATCAAATCTTACTTCACAATGTCATACAAACATCTGAGTACAACCTTCAAACTCAGTATTATCAAAACAAAAAGTATTGCTTCCCTCTCCACCAGTTGTTCCTCCTACTGTAGTACTTCAGTTGATAACTGCCATTATATTGGTTGTCCTAGCTGAAGACATCAGAGCCATTTTCAGCTCCCTTTTCATCTCTTACAATAGCCACCTGACACCCTAACCTCCTTCTCAATATTCTGATCACTGATATTCTAGTCCTGGCCACGTATCTTGGACTACACAACAATCCAAGTCCAATTGGACTTCCCAATTGTCCCTCTCCAGATTATGGCAAGGGAATCCTGCTTTTGAATCCAGAGAAGCTTGTTTCAAATCCCAGCTCCAGCCCCATTGTGTCACTGGCAAATTTATTTGCTGTCTCTGTTCTTAGTTTCTACAGCTGTAAATGGGGTACTTAAAATATCTACATCATGAGTTTGTACTTATAATTAAAACAATGTATAAAAAGTGCTTAGAAGAGTTCTGATCACTCAACACTCAATCAATAATAATTATTATTAATTGTTATTGTCTCATTCACAAAGTTCTTCCTATCTACTAGTTGCAAACATCCCTTAAAAACCTAGTGCAGATTTTTAAGCCAGCATGCAAGAGTTAAATGTAGAGTATTTATCATAGGTGATGACACCATGTAGTTTACAAATAAATTGTCATCTTCTACACAGTGTAAGAGTTTGTTAGGTGTGTCTTGATTTGTTTGCTTTCTGTACTTTATATTAATCTTTTTTTTTTTCTTTTTGAGACAGAGTCTCGCTCTGTTGCCAGGCTGCAAGTGCAGTGGTGCAATCTTGGTTCACTGCGAACTCCACCTCCCAGGTTCACACCGTTCTCCTGCCTCAGCCTCCCAAGTAGCTGGGACTACAGGTGCCCACCACCACGCCTGGCTAATTTTTTTGTATTTTTAGTAGAGACGGGGTTTCACTGTGTTAGCCAGGATGGTCTCGATCTCCTGACCTCGTGATCCGCCTGTCTTGGCCTCCCGAACTGCTGGGATTACAGGCATGAGCCACTGCGCCCGGCCTCTGTACTTTATATTAATCTTAATTCCTTGAATATATTGTCAGAGCCTTTGGTGGAAGGCCATATCTGATATTTATTCTGCTTCCCCATCACCTTCTAGCATGATTTGGAGCTGACAATAGACATTAGTAAATATTGTTGATGGAGCTATGACAATAACTGAGCTTGCTAGCTCCAACATAAAACATAGACATACATAAAGGGAAAAAGGAACTCAAAAATAAATATTTTTTTAACAACTAGTCATGGGAAAAATCTAAAAGATGCTAGCATCAGCTTTATAATCTTTTCCAATTGGGAAGATCAAATTATATAGCCTGAATCAGAGTAATAGCTGAGTCATCATTTTTCTCATTCTATATACACAGAAGGCAGATTGCTATATACTAGATTTTTTTAAATGTTATTTCCCATTACATGAAGGGAAGAAAAGGACTATGATGTGTCCAGTTGAATATACTAGTTAGCAGAATCATGGCTACTTGTTTTAAAAGGAAATAGCATATTTCTGTCTTTAAAAGAAGCAAATCCCTGTCCTTGAAAAAGGAATAAACAAATTAAACTGGTTAATATAAATAAAAATACAAAATTCTTGCAAAGAGAAGATAACTACCTCCATGTAGGTAAAATTACACTGTGAAAATGAAGCCTGGGAGGAGTTAAGTATTCAGAAGGTGTACATGTGAAAAATACAGTATAGGATGACTTAGTGGAGATTACAGATACAGGGAAATACAGAATTGAGATGTTCATTAAAGATACTTTGGGGATAATTTAGCAAGAGTATTAAATGCAAAAAATAACTTGCGAGCAGTTCCTACCCTCAATATTTTCAAATATGAGACTTGCATATTTGGAAATGGCTTAGAGTTTTAGTCCACACATATAAAGTGATAATGATTACTCTTATTTACACATGTATAAAATGTACAATCACATGTTGCTTGATGATGAGAATACTTTCTGACATATGTATCTTTAGGTGATTTTAGCATTGTGAAAACCTCACAGAGTGTATTTATACAAACCTAGATGGTGAAGCCTACCACACACTGAGGCTATATGGTATTGCCTCTTACTCCAAGGCTACATATCTGTACAGCATGTTACTGTACTGAATACTGTAGACAACTGTATCACAATGGTAAGTGACTGTGTACCTAAACATGTTTAAGCATAGAAAAATAACAGTAAAAATATGGTATAAAAGATAAAAAATGCTACACCTACATAGGGCACTTACTAGAAATGGAGCTTATAGAACTAGGAGTTGCTTTGTGTGAGTCAGTGAGTGAGTGGTGAATGAATATGAAGGTGTAGGACATTATTGTACAATACTACATATTGTATAAACACTGCACACTTAAGCTACACTAAATTTCTAAAGAAGTAGTTTTATTTCTCCAATAATAAATTAAACTTGGCTTACTGTAACTATTTTACTTTATAAATGTTTTAGTTTTTTAAATTTTTGACTTGTAATAAGACAGCTTAAAAGACAAACACATTGTACAACTGAACAAAATTATTTTCTTTGTTTACATGTTCATTCTATAAGTTTTTTCCATTTTAAAAATTTCAATTTTTAAAAAACTTTAAACTTTTTTGTTTAAAAACTAAGACACAAACATACACATTAGCCTAGGCCTACACAGGATCAGGATTGTCGGTATCACTGTCTTCCATCTCCACAATTTGTCTCACTGGAAGCTCTACTAGGGCAAGCATAGAGCTGTCATCTCCTATGACAATAATGACTTCTTCTGGAATACCACCTGAAGGATCTGTCTGAGACTGTTTTAGAGTTAACCTTTTTTAATATGTAGGAGTACGCTCTAAAATAAAGATAAAAGGTATAGTATAGTAAATATACAAACCAGCCACAGTCGTTTGTTATCATTATCAAGTATTAATGTGCTGCACATAATTGCATGTGTTATACTTTTACCCCATTGGCAGCACAGTAGGTTTGTTTATACCAGCATCACAAACGTGAGAAATGCAATGTGTGACAACATTATGATGATAGGAAATTTCCAGCTCCATTATAATCTTATGGGACCACAATGTATATGTGATCTATCACTGACCAAAACATTTTTATGTAACACATGATTGGACTTTATAAAAAAATAATATTTTTGAAACGTTTGAACTACTTTCAACTACACTATCCCATTTGATTCCTAAACAAATATAAAGACTACAGAGTTCATTTCTATACCGATCATTCTATAAAGAAAGGTTAGTGGCAGCAGCAGTGGCCCATCTGGAATGGTTACTGTGGAGACAACTTTCCAAGCTGGTGGGATAGGATCCCAGTCCTCTGGGCCGCAGCTGCAGCCACCCAGCCATCCCTGTGTTCTCGGAGGCCCAGGAAGCCCCTGTCCCCACACAGGCTTGGAAGTGCCTGCTCCTGCTGCATGGCCTCTCCCTGCTCCTGGTGCCTGCTCTGATTTCATAGCAAAGTTGTGGCCCTGTCCAGGTGATGTCACAACACAGCCGAGTGTGTGCACACTCAGGGCACTGCAAACATGCCAGCCCCCTACCTCCTTGGCCCCCTCTGAACTCTGGGTGTCAACGAGCACAGGAGGGGGATCAAAGGGGGCTGAGGATGGTTCAGCACATGCCTGCAGGTGCCCCTCAGCATGGACAGCCAGGGTGCCATGGACAACATGTTAATGACAGCAGGAGGTAGACAGGCTTCTGGGTGGAAAGGGGTGGGTCCCCAGTGAAGCCTCCCCTTCAAGGCAGGGACAGCCTGAAACCTGAGAGCAGGGCTGTCAGTTCTGGGTGGGGTCCCAGGCCCAGAGTGAGAACTTATGGTGCTTTTTCCAGGCCATCCATGGCTGCTAATAGGCCAATCAGCATGCACTTTCTCCCTTCTGAAGACCATAAAAACCCCAGACTCAGCCAGACTCACAGAGTTGAGGGACAGCTTGCCTGCAGATAGGAGTTATCCATTCCAGAGGGCTGCAGACTCAATGGGATGACTTGCCTGCCAATAGGAACTACCCACTCTGGGTGTCCTCTCAGCTGCAAGCTGCACAGATATTGGGATGACCTGCCTCCAGATAGGAGCTACCCTCTCCAGGTCTCCTCTTGCCTGTGGACAGGACCTACCCACTTCATGTCTTCAGAGACCGTACTGTTGCTCAATTAAAGCACCTCTTTGCCTTGCTCACCCTCCAGTTGTCTGCATACTCATGCATCCTTGACATGGGACAAGAACTCAGGATTCACCAAATGGCTGAACTGAAAGAGCTATAGCACAAACAGGGCTGAAACACGGCCTCCGTCCCTGCTTGTCATGTTATGGGTGACAAGAAGGAGAGAAGGGCTGTGGCCCTTTGAGCAGCCCAGACCTGGGGGCTCCCCAAGCCAGGGCTGTGACAAACTTTTTGGGGCTCTGCAGTTCCTGGCATCTCCAAGCTTCCATGTGCCACCATGTTTCCCTCGTCCAGACACAGGTCCGTAGTGGCTCCTGGAGCTGCCCAACCAGCATTAACAACCAGTGTGCCTGACTGTGTGCAGTGGCTGGACCCCACGCTTGCATGCTCACACACCCCTTGCCATTTTGGTCCTGGCTTGCCCTTGGCAGGCATGGGATCCAGGCCAGTAGGACAAGCTGAGCACAGCCTGCCAGGACAAGTGGGCAGAGAGAGCCCAGCAGGCTCAAGTAAAACTCAAGACAAAGCATCACCAGCTGCAGAGGCTTCTGGCTGGAAAAGCAACATCCCAAGGGTCCTGTGACATTAGGGTTATCTAAACTCTCCATTCTGTCTATGAATTTAAGAAAAAGCATTCAGTAAGAGATTATCAAGCTGAATACTATGAAGTTTTCAAACTTTTATGCAAAGTTGAAAAACTAGCAATGATAATGCCCATCAAAAAAATAGAAGTGAAACATTAAAATGCTTGGTAATGGTGAGCCAGGGAATTCTCTGTGTTATTCACTGATTAAAGCCTTCGAGTTCACTTTTATTTAACTCACAAGTCCTACACTTAAAGGATAGATCTACAAGGGGAGAGACCACCGAGTTTTCTCCTATATCTTCTGCTCATTCTTCAAAATTCGTAGTAGCTGAATCAACACATCCCTGTATGCTGATTTCTTTTTTCTTGGTGCTGAGAGGAGAATTAATGGGCTCCAAAGGGAGCTGCCTCTAGTGCTCTGATTTGAATTCTTCAATGTTATGAGGACAAACAGACTTTGAAAGAAGAAATGTGAGTAATATTCAAGCATTTAAGTGACTGGATTACAGGAGAATTTATGTTTAGTGTTTATATATTAGAATTCTATTCTGGGAAATAATACATTTGTGTTTTTGAATAATAACTATAGCTTATAATATCCAGAACTGATTACACTATTATATCGTGGGAATTATTCTAAATATTTATTCACAGATTAACCAATTGAATGCCATAGGTATTATTACTACTGATAATTATAGTTCAGAAGACTAAGGCAGAAAGCAGTAAAGCAGCTTGAGGCCACACAATTAATAAACAGAAGTGTCAGAAATCATACCATGGCAGCCTTAACTAGTATGCTTCCTCTCAAACACTAAAAGTATTCACTAATTTAAAGTGAAAGTTTTCTTCAGTAAATATATTTGAAGAATCAGCATTCCCTAACTATGAAAAGAAATTGGAATAAATTCCAGAGTTAAAAAATAAAATAAGTTACCAAATAATATATTTATTCAAGAAAACCAATTAAAGTGAAGAAGATTCACAAAAGTGAAAATTGAGACAGTGTGTGTCAACCCTCTCATTTTAATGATTAAAAAATGAACTACCAAAGAGGTTTAATTAATTTGCTTAAGTCATATAGGTACATAAAGGCAGAGCAAGATAACCACACATATGTTAGTATTTCTAGTCCAGCGACCATACTCCTGTACCATCATTCAGAATTTTAAATCCTCACCTTTCTCTAATTCAATTTATTGCCTGAGAAGGCAGAGTATGGCATATACCTTCAAAGTTAATTGTTGAATTATTAACAAATAGCCATCTGCCCTTGCTAATCTAGTAAACATACTGAAGAATTTATTGAAAAGGCTTGTTGCTGTGATGTATACCATATGTGAAATACAAACAAATGTAAAATGAGAGCAAACTTATATCCCTTGACTGGAAAAGAAGACTGTTATTACATAAAAATGACAACTGCTATATCAAGACCAATTATACCAACCAGTTTATGGCTTACTCTAAAGCCGGATTTAAGGAGAAACAGTAACTACTAACATTCCATTTTAGACCTACGTAATACTCTAGCCAAGGAACAGTAATCTCATTTCTTGCTTAACCACACCACTGTCATTGTGGAAGCCTGGGCTTACTGTATCATGAAATTGAAATATGTGTACAACACACACTTTTGCACATTGGTAGACAGCAAAGATAAGGAGAAAGGCAGGACACGGAAAGATTTATTTGCCTTAGAGAAATGTGTTGGATTTTGATTCTGCAGATGACAGTCTGGTAAAGGGAAGAAATACTAGAAAGAAGAGAGAGGCAAGGGAGCATATCTCTGTATAATCACCATTTGCCATCACACACATGTGAATGCGCATACACACTAGGCTGTTAGCTAAATTTGTTTGTACATTGCATTCCTATGTGAAAAGATTGCTTGTGTTTTATCCCTTCTCTTTGGCAAAACCATCCTACCAAATATCTGTTCTTGTTCATACACGGTTAGGGTTAGATCTATTGGAATCACTGCTCTATTAATGAAGTAGATTTCTAAAGAAGTACCATTCAATTTTTTCCTCTCAAAAGTAAAGACTAAATTATTCAGAATTGGTTTCCATATTTTAACTGGTCAATCCAATTTTCCTTCAAGAATTGCATACTTTAAACATCTCATACTGCACTGACTGAGCTGGCCAGGTGTTTTGTATTTAAATATGTCCAATTCCATTGATAAAAGTAAATCTCTGTCTATAAAACATATATCCTGACTTATTCCTTTATTATTTGGTAACTTTATTATTCTTTCCTGGTTTTGGGCATATTTTGTTCCTTTTTTCCTAGGTTCTTGAGATAGGAGCTTATATTCTTGATTTGAGTGTTTTCCTCTTTTCTAATCTATCTATTTAGTGCTATAAATTTCCCTCTCAGAAAATAAACTACTTAAATACAGGTGTTCTGTATTTAAATATGTCCAATTCCACTGATAAAAGTAAATCTCTGTCTATAAAACATATAACCTGACTTATATAAGTTGCTCATGCAGTCCTGTTGTAAAAAAAAGAAAATTTAAATTACTCTTACTCATTGATAGAAAAAATCTTTACGTATAAATCAAGTTTTCTTCTGATATTGTCATTCAGGCATTTATTTAACAAATATGTATTAAATACTGAATATGTGTCATTAAGGCAAGGAGCTGAGAATTGACGGTGGACACAAACTCAGATGACTCCTTCCTTAGTACAGTTAGAGGAAAGAAGGGCAAACGAACACATCAAAGGAGCCTAAAGACTAATATGAATCTGCAAGTTTTATACAAACCACCAAGGGAAAATGCAATGTGCTAAAAGACCATGATAAAGGGATTTGACCTAATCAGGGAGGTCAAGGAGGGCTTCCCTGAGGAAGTGACACCAGCTGAAATCTAACAGACAAGTAGCATATATTTCAGGCAATGTTCCTGGGACAGGAATGAGCATAAGAATAACTGCAGGGAAACAGGAGCATGTGGTACATTAGACAGGAGCACGTTGTACCTTGGAAGGAAAGAGAATGATTAGGATCGAGCAAATGGCCAACACTTTCAAATGCTGAGGAGTCAAGCACAGTGAAGACTGAAAATGCCCATTGACTTTGGCAAGTAGAGATGACTGGGGATGTTAGGAAAAGCTGTAGCTATGGAATGATGGTGACAGCAATTGGAGAAGATTGCAGAGTAAATTCCATTTCTTAATCAGGAACTTACTCTGCAATCTTCTCCAATTGCTGTTGAAGCTGTTGAGTGTAGACAAGGCCTTAAAGAGAGAATGTTGTAGCTGTCAGGAGATAAGGGATTAGAGATTTTTGTTGTTGTTTGTTTTAATGAGGTAGTTTTATGAATTTGTTTGAAAATGTGGTAATTATCAGGAAAATAAGCAGATTTACATGCAGTTGTAAGAAGTAATACAGAGATATACCCTTTAACCAGTTTTCCCCAGGTGTAAAAACTGCAAAACTACAATATGTTATCACAATCAGAATATTGATACAGTCAAGATACAAACCAGTTCATCTCTACAAGGATCCTTCGTGATGCCCTTTATGGCCATATGTGGCCATTGCTGATTTATAGAGACACAATGAATATTTGTATGTTAATCTTGTATCCTGAGACTGGGTTGAACTCACTTATTAGTTATGGGATTTGTGTGTGTGTGTGTGTGTGTGTGTGTGTGTGTGTGTGTATTCTGTAATCATTTATGCAAATAATCATGCCATCTGCAAATAAAGACAATTTTATTTCTACCCTTCTGGTGTGTATGCCTTTTCTTCCTCTATATTTCTGTTTATATTTATTTATTTATTTTTTGAGAGGGAGTCTTGCTCTGTTGCCCAGGCTGGAGTGCAGTGTTGCGATCTTGGCTCACTGCAACTTCCACCTCCTGGGTTCAAGCGATTCTCTTGCCTCAGCCTCCCGAGTAGCTGGGACTATAGGTGCGCACCACCATGCCTGGCTAATTTTTGTATTTTTAGTAGAGATGGGGTTTCACCATATTGGTCAGGCTGACCTTGAACTCCTGACCTCATGATCTGCCCGCCTTGACCTCCCAAAGTGCTGGGATTACAGGCGTGAGCCACCGCGCCCAGCTTCCCTATACTTCTTTATTAAATGAGCTAGAACTTCCACAGATATGTTGAATAGAGGGTGAGAGTGGAAATACTTGCCTTGTTCCTGAACAACAGAGGAGAAACAATCAGGCTTTTATGATTAGGTATGATATTAGCAGCAGGTTTTTTCATAGGTGATCTTTTGTCAGGTTGAGGAAGTTCCTTTCAATTACTAGTTTTCTGATAGCTCTTCATTATGAATGAATGTTGAATTTATTAAACAACTTTTTCTACATCAATTAATATGATTATATAATTTTTCTGTAGCCTATTAATATGGTAGATTACCTTGATTAATTTTCAGATATTGAAGCAGCCTTGTACCTCTGGAATAAATTCCACTTGGTCACAGTGTATAATTCATTTTATAGATTGCTGAATTGTTGAATTCAAAATATTTGCTAATATTTTGTCAAGAATTCTTGTATCTATATGTTTATGAAGGACATTAGTTTGTAGTATTTTTTTTTGTCGTTGACTTTTTATTAGGGCAATACAAGCTTCATTAAATGATAAGGAGAGTGTTCCCTCCTCTTCTATTTTCTGAAAGAGACTGTGAAGAAATGGTATTGATTCTCCCTTAAACATTAGTAGATGGCACATGGAATACAGAAATACCAGCCACCTGCCTCCTCTTCTATTTTAAACATTGGTAGAATTTTCCAGTAAAACCATCTGTGTCTGGAGATTTCTTGTTGGGAGTCTATTTAATTACATATTGGATTTTCTTAATAGTAATAAGGCTATTCTAGTAATTTATTTCTCATTTGGTGAGTTTATGGTTTTTGAGGAATTAGTCTATTTCATCTTCATCTAAGTTGTCAAATTTATGTGTGTTGAATTTCTCATAGTATTCCCCTATTACACTTTTGATGTCTGCAGCGTCTTTAGTGATATCTACTGTTTCACATGTGGTACTGGTAATTTGTGTCTTCTGTCTCTTTTCTTTGCTAGGCTTGTAGAGGTTTGTCCATTTCATTTATCTTTTCAAAGAAATAGTTCTTTTTCATTAATTTTCTATGTTTTTATGTTTTCAATGTTATTGATTCCTGCTTTTACCTTTATTATTCCTTCCTGGTTTTAGGTATATTTTGTTCCTCTTTTCCTAGGATCTTGAGATAGGAGCTTATATTCTTGATTTGAGAGTTTTCCTCTTTTCTAGTATATCCATTTAGTGCTATAAATTTCCCTCTCAGAACTGCCTTAGTTGTGTCCTCCAAAATTTTATATGATGTACTTTCTTTTTCAATCAGTTTGAGATATATACACCCAGAGACGTGTGTGTGTGTGTGTGTGTGGGGTGTGTGTGTGTGTGTGTGTGTTTTCCTGGATATTTCCTATTTGACCTATGGATTATTTATTTAGAAGTATATTGATTAGATTCCAATTGTTTGGGGATTTTCCTGTTAACTCTTTTTAATTTTTAGTTTGAAAATACTGTGGTCTTAAAATAGACTTTGCATGACTTCAAATATTTTTAAATTAGTTGAAGTTTGTTTCGTGGCCCAGGTTTTCGTTTATCTTGGTAATTATTCTGTGGGCATTTAAAAAGAATGTGTATTCTGCTGCTGTCGAGAATAGTTTTCTATGAATGTCAATTAAATCTTGTTGGTTGATGATGTCAAGTTTTTCTACATCTTCACTGACTTTCTGTCTGTTGTTTTATCAATATTAAGAGAGAAGTGTATCTAATGATAACCTGAAATATGTAACTGGAATGTATAGGCACACATCATATCAGAAGCCAAAACATAGAATGGACATAAGTCAACATGACATATTTGTGCATGAGCTGAATATCAGCCCTGAATACATGTCAAGAGGCATGGAAAAAAGAGGACACTTTTGATAAGTACTGAATAAGTAGATTCAACAAACTGTAATGACCAGCAGAGTGTGAGATGCAAGGAAAATGAACTTAAGAATCACTTGCAGATTCTCAGTTTGCATTACTGCATGAATGGAGGTAACATTAACAGAAACACAGAGTGCACTGAAGGAAATATGGTTTGCAGGGTGGGGTGGAGATACAGAACTCAGTTCATGTCATCTTGGGCATAAGATGTGCACAGACTATTCAGAGATGTCTAACAATAGGTTAGTACTCAGCAGGAAAGGCAGATATAAAAAGGGGATTTAGAAGCCATGATTTAATTAATGATCCTCAAATATAAACTGCTTGGAGATTATCCAGGAAACGTAAGCAGAATAAGAAAATAGAGCAAAGACTATGATCCTGCTAAACTCTAATGTTAAGGACCAAAGTGAAAGAAACAAAGAGAAGAAAAGAAGAACAAGCTGTCAGGATGGAAGAAAGAAAACGAGGAGTAGAGTATAATTTAGTTCCACAAGTATTTATTAATTGTGTAGTGTGTGCTATGCACTGTGCTGTGAAACTGGCTTTTATCCTCTTCGAGATGATACCCTCTTCTAGACATAAATGTATCATTTCAGTATAGTGTGGCCAGCTCAGTGACAGACATATGCTCGAAAGCAACGGGACCACAAAAAGGGGCACTGCACACAGCCCAAGAACGTGAGAGAAAACTTTCAAGAAATTATAACATCTAAGCAGAGTCTACAAGGAGAGTAGGAGTTAACCAAGAAAGGAAAGACAGGAGGAAAGTCACACCAGAAAAAAGAAACAACATGAACATTAGCCAAAGAGCCTGGAGCTCAAGAGAGAGGAAAGGATCACCTAAAGGAATGGTCTGCAGGGCTGAACTCTAGTAAGAGAAAAAATAAAATCAGATTAAACAAGGCCCTTTGACTTTGTCACTTATGAAGTCACTGGTGACCCCTGCTGCAGCAGCTTCTATGAAATGATGTGAACATAAATCAGACTACGGTGAGATGAGGAATAACTGAAACAATATGAGGTTCAGGAATCTGGGCAGGATATTTTTTCAAGGAATTTAGTGGAGAAGAAAATAAAGATGGCATAGTTGAAGCAGGCAAAGGTCTAAAAGACTTGGTTTTGTGACCAGAGAAAGTCAAAGACATTTATAAGTTGTAGAAAACAAGCCAGAGGGCAGAGAAAAGGTTTTAAATAGTAGCTTACTTCAGTCAATTATTCACACAACAAATATTTATAGAGCATCTACACTCTTCTTGAGCAAATCATTCCAACATAGAAACAAACAACCCTCCATCACAGTGTTAATATCATGTTTCAAATAAACTTGAGAAACAATAAAAGCCCATGGTAAATAGCGCAAAATATGTATGTATCTCAATTCTAAAGCAGCTTAATGCTTATAACCAAAAATATGTTAGCATCTTTGGCTTTGTCATATTTATGTAAGCAATGCCACAATTCAAAATAACTATTCAGTGTAGAGGTTTATTTTGTTTACTTCAAGAGAAATAATTTTTTAAATTAAAAACATTATATTGCAAAGACAATGGTACAAAATGTTTTCTCAAGATTATTTTGTTTTAATTATTACAAATACCTAAATGCACATTCAGTATGCAAGATATAAAAGCACTATACAAAAGCTGCAGAGTAGTATATGAATTCCCAAATGCATATCAAGTCCGCAAGATATAAAAGCATGATACAAAAGTGTAGAGTAGTATATGATGGTTTAATACTTGTGTCAAAGTCTACCTTAATATTTCTTAGCATTCAGAGACAGAAAATCAGCCAGCTAAAAATGAAAGAACACAAATAGCCTTTAAGTGATGATGAGGCCTGGAGTATTCCAGAAAGATTGAGAATGGCCTCTCATGTTTTCAAATTCATTGACTTGCAGAAATTTAAGAGTGCAAATTAACTTGAAATCACTTAATACTATTCTCCACACCCCACATATAAAATTCCCTTTACTTCACAATCCTTGTCTGGTATTGACAGAACACTTATGTGAGAGAGAGCCTTATATTTGAGAAGTTGTCCATTTGTTCTACTGCCAAGCATTTAAGTTTGTCTCTGATTATTCCCAAAATATAACCCTCTGTAACTCCGCATTCAAGACTACATAATTTATATGTAGCAACTTTTTAAACATCAAAATATACTTATAATATCTGCACTTTAAGTGTATTATTTGTCAGACTAGCCATTCCCAATTTCTTCACCTTTTTTTTTTTTTTTTGAGATGGAGTCTCACTCTGTCGCCCAGGCTGGAGTGCAGCTGCATGATCTCAGCTCACTGCAACCTCTACCTCCCAGGTTCAAGTGATTCTCCTGCCTCAGCCTCCTGAGTAGCTGGGATTACAGGCATGCACCACCAGGTCTGGCTATTTTTTGCATTTTTAGTACAGACAGGGCTTCACCATGTTTGGCAGGCTGGTCTCGAACTCCT
This sequence comes from Homo sapiens, assembly GCF_000001405.40. Classification (NCBI taxonomy): domain Eukaryota; kingdom Metazoa; phylum Chordata; class Mammalia; order Primates; family Hominidae; genus Homo; species Homo sapiens. The sequence continues at coordinate 81,153,197 of NC_000012.12, read as the reverse complement.
GACCTCAAGTGATCCACCTGCCTCGGCCTCCCAAAGTGCTGGGATTATAGGCATAAGCCAACATGCCCAGCCCACCTCTTTCTTGTATACATTATTTCCATGCTACTCCCTTTTTTCAGATGCTTTCTAGTAATTTAGTGATTTTTTTTATCATCTCAATTAAACTGAATACAAATTTTCAAATGTGGAAGAGTAAAGTAAGATTACATCATTGCACATGGTAAGTATTTTTTAAAAACAGTCCTACCAACAGCTTATGTTTAAGTTATGGATGTTATAATACCCAGAGATTTGGCTACATAAACTACAACTAACCCAAGTTTTCCCTATTTCATTTCTGTATTTTTTAATTTAAATATAGAACTGTAAATATTTATGTATTTTTCCATCTTGTTAAATTTGTCCCAAAAGTCCAAGGCCATTTTGAATGATAATTTAGCAAACTACCATATTAGTTATCCCTCCAAGACTTTGATCTTCTACAGATCTGATAGGTATGTTTTCTAAGTCTTTATACAAGACATTGATAAAGTTAAATGGAATAGGCATATGAAGTAAATTTCCTATATGCAAAGAAATCTTATTCCTAGGTGACACTGATATATTCATCGAATTTTTAAACAGTTATTTATTCAGGTATAAATCTGGTCAGTCTATATTCCTATGTCTTATACACAGAGCTTTATTAGAAACCAAGGAAAGTATTTATTTAAAATTGAGACAACATGACTTTGGAAATCCATTAATCCTATGAAAATAAAAAAGGTGAATCTACATTGCTTGTTTTATGATAACTATTTTCTAGGACTCTAAAATCAGTATCAGTTTGCCAATAATTTCTAGAAATGTTAGGGATAGATATAAAGCTTGTTTTTGTATGTTCTTCAGAATTTAATTCTGACTGTTCAACAAAATTTAAATAACAGGCTAATATTTCCTACATATCCTTTTCCCTTTCAAAATTATATTTTTAACTGGAAGAAGATATAATAATGTCCCCTGTCCCCACCCCAATTTTTCTGATCCTACTCAGGACTGCTTCATGAAAAGTTTTAATAAAATAAATATCATTTATATGTGGTATTAACTTTACTTTATTACCTCATATAAAACTGTTGTGTTCCCATGAAGAAGAGGTCCATAGCAGATATAGGAATGTCCAACAACCCAGCCTAAGTCAGAAGCTGCCCACCACACCTAAAAAATAAGATAATAAAATGAATATATTTTATTCAGAGAATGTCATGTAATGTAAATTTAAAACCACGATTACCTCTCCGGGTTGAAGTCCGTATATGGAAGACATTGACCAGTGTAGCATGACAGCGTATCCCCCAGTGGGCCTAATCACACCCTAAGGAGAGAAAAAGTGAAATTAAAATCAATAAACAATGTGTAAAAACACTCTCTATCTTCATAGCATCCACTTTAAAAGTTCCTGGTCAAAAGTATTTTATATATTAGCTACAAGTTACTTTGGCTTTTATAAAATTATCTTTGAATCATTATTTCTTTGGGTCCTTCAATAGTCAACACAAAATAATTTGTCCTCATTAGTGCCATTTTTAGAATCCATTCTCACATAACATTATTAGTCTTCTAAAGAAAACATGATTTCACAAAATTACATGCAATACAAACTTTTCTAATGGCACCACACATTATCAACACTACATTTTCAGACATATTTCCAGAACAAAATTTAATGCGAAGAAAGGTAAAATGTAGTTATACACCTCAAATGCAGACTAACATAAGGACCTCTATTTCTTAAGATGATTAAATAATAATAGCTGCTTGGAGGAAACAAAGTCATATTCTAACTGGAATCTCATTACAACGCTTCACTGAGGATCATGCAAGCACACTTTAAAGCTGAGCAATTCTTTAGTTATGAACTCTAGAACTCTTAGGGCTGAATTCCAGTGAGTTGAATCTAAGGTTAAAAAATTTGTCTTATATTGCATTTTGGGCAAAAGTAGGGATCATTATATCATTGTAGTAAAGTTTTCACAAATCAGTTTCAAATAGCTCTCCCCAACACTGGGACCATATTCAACCTAAATGAAAGATTAATATTTGAACACTGGGTATAAATGTCACCATAAATAAGAACTAATGGAAAATTTAATAATTAAGTTCATTTATTGTTTTAAAAAACATTAATCATCATTGGCCCAATAAGACATAACTGAGTGAATACTCAGAATGAGTAGGTGAACACCTGCTAAGAGATAGAAGGTATATTCCATTCACATGTATTTTGAAGCATCTTTTAGTACAACAATTATAACTGCTCTTATGCAAAAAAAATTGTTTTTTATGAAAGGGCAAACATGGATCTAATCAATAACTGTGCTATTAGTTATGCTTTTTAGCATAGCTCTGCACCTTAACACACATACACAAATCAGGAAAATGAAACAGAAATTGACTTTCCGTTAGTTACTAACATTGCTGCTCTCCTCAGGTGCCACTAATAAAACATAGGCATCATGCTGTGGAACATTATTTTATTCACCTGTAACAACACCTGGTCTCTTAGCAAATATCAGATGCAGTGTTGTTGGTATTTGAGAGCTATTTTCTAGATTGTATGACATGGTTAGCATGCAGCTGGCCCTGTTGATCTCCATGGGAACATTAGAAATTCTAAGCCCCCTGCCAGTAGGCTTTACACGTGCACCTTCCCATGTAAACGAAACAGTTATTTTTCCACTGTATCCTATCCTATCGTCCATGCACTTTGCTAGTTTGTTCTATTGAGAAGATCTTTTCCTATGGCTCAACAGATTGATGAATCTGATATTAATCAATTTGCAAACACTTTATAAAAACTATTCATTTTACAGACTAGAAAAAGTAGCTTTTGTAGACAATATGCTGTCCATGTGTTATGACAGATGGTGATACTTAATATCAGTAATAATTTCAATTAAACATGTTTTAAAATTTTCTCTCCATCCTACATGTCCCTGCATTTAGAACCCATTTTTATCAGTAACTCTAAACATTATTAAAACTAGGTAAATGTTTAGACCATATGGTACAGAGGGTAAGATGCATTGACTAGAAATGATGACCAGAAATAAAAGGTAAGGGAAGACATAACTGAGTAGTAATTCAATTGTAAAACCTGAAACATAAATGTAAAGGATAAGTTGACAAATTTCTATTTACCTCTCAGATGAGTACTTCTTCAAACGACATTTACCAATGTCACTTTGTCTGTAAATTAGTGAATACTTAAACCCATCTGACCAAAAAAAAGAGACTTAAAAATGAGAACATGCGTGAAAAAGCATTAAAAGTTGTAAAGACTAAAATTTAAAATTTCATTAACAATATTATTTCCTTGGTTCTAGCAATTATTGCTTTTTATTTTACCCTGTGCTCCTATCAGTCAAAAGGCATAAATGTCAAAATAATTAGAGGTTGCCGTCAAAGATTCTCATTTAAAACAATTAAAATGAAGCTGAAGGAGTGAGAAGAGCCGTAATTTCTGTTTTTCGTTAGTCTTTGATACCCACTTACTTTTATTTTTTAAAGAATGAGTATAAAAATTTTAATCAAGCATCTTTTTACCATTTATTAATCTAGACTCTAGATCTGCAATTTGGTCTTGCCTCTCAAATGCTCAGATAATACAGTTTCAAATTTCTGAGTATTTGATATGGTGCAGAAAAAAGAAATGCATGGTTTCATATTCTCCAGGTTCACGTTTTGTAAGAGGTTTGAAAGTATAAAAAACACGAAGGTTACATTTCAAGAGAATTTCTTTAGCATAAATATTAATTTGTAACAAAAATAAGATGATAAAGCATTTTTGTTTCCTGTTTATAATCACATTTTCCAGGTAATGATAATTAAAATGCAAAAGAGAAACACCATTCAGCCTCTGAAAACACATAAATTATGCTCCAGAAAACAAACCATTATACTATAACTAAGCAAATTTAGTTGTAAACTAAAAATAGCACTTTTACAGTATATCTGAATATGAAGTAAAAATACTCAATACCAGTGCTTACCCCTAAAACACAAACCTTCTTCATTTTAGTCTTTCGAATCTCTATTATTTATTATTACCTTCTATATGCACTTTCTTTTTTTTCCTTTGAGATGGAGTCTTGCTCTGTCACCCAGGCTGGAGTGCAGTGGCACGATCTTGCTCACTACAACCTCCGCCTCCCAGGTTCAAGCGATTCTCCTGCCTCAGCCTCTCGAGTAGCTGGGACTACAGGACTACAGAGGCATGCCACCAGGCTCAGCTAATTTTTTTTTTTTTTTTTTTTTTTTTAGTAGAGGCAGGGTTTCACCGTGCTAGCCAGGATGGTCTCGATCTCCAGACCTCGTGATCTGCCCGCCTCGGCCTTCCAAAGTGCTGGGATTACAGGCATGATGCACTGCGCCTGGCCTCTCTATGTACTTATACTCTACCTACCTTAAAAGTAAAGTCACTAGATGATCTCATATATTCTCATAAAAACCCTGTAACCTGCCAATATGCTGTTCCGATCTTTTGGTAGGATCAGTCATAATTCTTAAAGATGTCTGCGGAACTTGAAAAATATCCAGATGGGACTAGCACTCTGTGCCCTGAATAAAGACATGAAAGTGAATCCTATCTCAGACATAGCAATGGAAGCAATATGAAGGTGCTCTCTTTTGGGAGTGGGGGACAAATACAATGTTTATGGTGTTTAAAAAATCCAATCAGTGCAAGTAAAAGTAAAGGGTGAATGTTAGTTACTCAGAAATAGGACCACAAAGTTATCACAGATAGTTCTTTATAATTTCCAGCTTACTGAGCTACTTTTGAAGACAAGTAAACTCACAGATTGTCATAAATGGGGCTATTAAAGTAAAACAGAAAACATGTTGGTGTAAATGTTGTGTGCAGTTTTGGCTGCCACAACTTGAAAAAGAAAAATGCAATTGTAACAATAGGTGTTGTAGAAGAGGAGGGAAGCCTGAAGTGTGTGGTAAGATTAAGAATTTGGGATTCTTCATTGTAAAAATATAAGTTTTTTTTTTTAATGGTCTTTAAATATCTGACAGGCAAATCCCAAAATACTGAGAGTAGAAAAGCTTAGAGTACATGACAAAACTTCCTATTTCCTACATTAAGTCCCTCTATCATTTATTTTGTAATAAAGAATCATACAAGGCAAATATATATATATATTTACATATGTAAAATGTCTATTCACATACACACATGTAAACATATGCATGTATCCATGCATGTGTACATATTTATATGCTTATGTATATGTATGTATACATATATATATACATGTGTGCGTTTGTGTGTGTGTGTGTGTGTGTATCAATTCAGCCTGACAAGAAACAATAAAGGGGGAAAATAAATTTTATTTGAAGGAAAGAAAAGAAACCCATCACCAGATGATGGCAGGCGTCAGAGAAAAAAAATGAATGGTTCTGATTGTTTAAAAGATCTAACACGTCAGCACTAAACCTTGTTTTGACAGTGGTTTGACAGATGGCATCCCCTTTTTCTAGAGTAAGCCTCCACCCCTTTTCTAAACCTGATGAACTCCAATGTCTTCACCAGGAGTACTTCAAGACATTGCAAAAATACCACCTCTTCTGGGAAGTTTCACCCCATCCTGTTATTTGTGTCAAATGTCTTTCAGGTCCTCTTTCACAGCCCTCAGGGCCTGCAAACCTCATCAGAGGACTGATATCCCCACCTAGTGCTGTGCCTTCTCCACCACTTTGAGCACAGTGAGGACAACATCTTTGTATCTTCAGCACAGTGTCTGGGATAGAATAGGCATTTAATACATTTGTTGACTGTCTAAATGAGTGAACAGTTTAGTGTATAAACCCGTGTGAACAATGCAATTATTTCAACAAACACTCTTTGTTCAGGAGAAACCCTTGACACTTGTAGAACTTAGTGAATCTTGAATCTTCTTAGAAGGCATAAAAAGTTTCTATTCGGGATATTTCATCAAACATGAAATATCTTGATACAGGTTTTCAGATGATTCTGAAGCTATGTCCATGGAGGATATTTTGGCAGTTGTATAATTTTTTTGTCGATCTGAACAACTGTGAGCTAAGGGGCAAGGGTGCAACCAGTTCAGCACTTTAACTGCAAGAGCGTACCACAGATCAAACAAAAAAGTTCACTGCTGTTTTTTATTTGACTTTCACTCTTTTTTTTTTCTGGGGCAGGAAGTAAGTGCCCATCAGGACAAAAGGCCTTATCTACCACTTTCTTGTCATGCTTTCTTTTCAATCTTTTCCTTTTGATTTCTTTCCCCCTGTTCTCTTTTGACACTGAACATTTTTCCTTTTTATATTATCATGATCCCTTTATGATATCAAACTGAACAAGATAAATATTATAATCACTAAATCTCCCATACCTAAAAGGACATCTGATCCAGATGAGGGATTCTTTTATCATGTAGTGCTTTGAACTATCTCAAATATAGGCACCCAGACCAAACAGAATAGAAGCCCACAACAAAACAGAAATGTATGCAAAGAAGCTCACATGTGGTTGCTGGAATATTTACAGCAGCTAACAGATTAACCTGTCATACAGCAACTTGACAACTCCAGGGTTGGCAAATGCTGATATGCAAATATGCTTTAAATGTATCTACAAATTCTAACCAAAGAACAGACTGCCTTATGTGTGTTTTATATTTGAGAAACAAGCATTTTTAGGCAGAAGAGTTTTATGAGCTCACAACATTATTTTTCCTCATGAAGATCAAGGATTGAGGAAACAAACCATATGATGACATCATATTTATATCTAAATGCTCCATTAATGCATGTGTGTTTATTTTTCCTATACTTACATTCTGTGGATCCCATATTAAGATTTTAGGTACTATTAATCCTGATTATACCTATGAAAAATGAAACGAGAATTGTATGAATAAGGAGGTGTCCAAGAAGCTGGCTTACTAGAGAAGTAAGAGATCATTCAACAAATATTCTGCTCTACCTGGGTCAAATTTTAATGTTAGTGCTACAGTGGATCCAAAAAGGATAATGTATATTCTAAGACCTCAGAGAACATTCATTGTTATAAAAGTAAATAAATAAAAACTAATATGTATAAGACAGGTTAAAATAAGTGCCATAAAAACTAATATCTATAAGATAGGTTAAAATAAGTGCCATGAAGGTCTGTTGGTAATGTAAAATTTAAAGCAATTTCAACCCTAAAGTCCACTGGAAGGAAGAGGGACCTAAAGAGATAACTACCTTCTTTTGCCATTCTGTATGTGTTAACTTTGCAAAGCCCACTCACGCACACAATTTAATCACCAGTCCTGTACCCCAGTGACCTACAAGGGTCTATCTCCAACCCCATATGTGTAACTCTTGGGCTCAGACTCTCATCACCAACTCTTGACTGGGCATCTTCATGTTAAATGTCCTGAAGACACATCATGATGAGTATGTCAAAGACTTTTAGTTTCCCTAGCCTCCAACCATCCTTCTGATTCTATTTCAGTGAATATTCAAAAGCACCCTCATATGTTCTCAAAGTCTTAGACTCCTAACTTTGAACCAAATCTGATTCCTCCCTGTTAAGCATGCTGTCCTATGTAAAGTCCCAAACTAATTAAACAGCCTGAAAACTAATTTCTTTGTCTCCATTGTGTGTAGTCACCTATCTTCCCAACTAAAGGATCACCTTCTATCTTGCATCACCTATGTTCATACCTAGTTCAATCTCACTAGACTAGAAGGACTGTACTTTACTCATAGTTGTATCTGTTGAGCACTCAATACAAATACATTATATTGAGTCAAATTCACTGTGATGCAGAAATCTCCACACAATTCAAGCCCTCTCAAATTTATTGAAATAGATTGTCTCAGGATGGTACATTAGGAGGAAAATGAGGATGATAGAAATATCAAAGGATCTTCCATTTAGGCATTGAAAGGAATCCAGAAAAGAACCTCTCAGAGAAAACCTGGGCCGGGCGCAGTGGCTCATGCCTGTAATCCCAGCACTTTGGGAGGCCGAGGCGGGTGGATCACGAGGTCAGGAGATTAGGACCATCCTGGCTAACACAGTGAAACCCCATCTCTACTAAAAATACAAAAAAAAAAAAAAAAAAAAAATTAGCCAGGCGTGGTGGCGGGCGCCTGTAGTCCCAGCTACTCGGGGGGCTAAGGCACGAGAATGGCGTGAACCCGGGAGGTGGAGCTTGCAGTGAGCCGAGATCGCGCCACTGCACTCCAGCCTGGGCAACAGAGGGAGACTGTCTCAAAAAAAAAAAAAAAAAGAAAAGAAAAAAAAGAAAACCTGGAATAGCTAGGGTCCATCCTTATTTGGAACCACTTTTCAATATAATGCTCTGTGTATTGCTTTTATTTGATTTCTACTACACTGGCAAGTCAGCTTTTAATTTCTGAAAACCTTTTCTTCTGCCCCTCCCATAAGATCCCATTCCAGGTCACAGTGAATTTCAGTGACTTAAAGTCTTGAGGTAGCACAAATGTTTTTATAAGATTTCTTCAGGCTTTTAAGAAACTAAATTTTTTAAAAATTAAGTTATACTGTGTTTTCAGGGTCAGGAGTTTTCTCTCAGTTGATACTTTTATATTAGATCATAACTTTGCTGAGTCCCCTCTTATTTTATAGCCAAATGTTCAGTTGGACTCCAGGTGGCTAGTGTGCAAGGCAGAACTGGAAAAAGTGGAGGTTGAGAATTATGTCGAGCAGATTATATGGCATGCTTCAATAAATAAATCTTCCAATCTTCAATATGCAGAAATATTTTTCAAGTCACTAGAGTTGCAACAAAATCATAAGGCTTCAATTCTACAATGAAACAAATATCTTCATGTGCATGCATCTACGTATGAATTCAACAAAAATTTATTGAGCACCAACTACATACAGCACAATGGTAGACCAAAATATACTAAAACATAACCTGTGTCCTCAGAGAGAATATATTACCCTACCAAAAGTGTTCCTTTTCACAAGCAAGGTTTATATGGAACATCTTAAATTTCCTTTTAAAAAGCTAACTAATCAAATAGAACCACTATTCTAAGAAGATTAAGAAATGAAGTTTTCAGAACACTGATGCTATAGCAATCTAACAGTAATAAAGAAGCCACTGTCCTCAAGGAAGAGAATGATTATGAAAGTCCCGTCCCCTACTAAAATTCTACAATTCAATGAATATTAAACCACCTAATAAAGATGAGTAAGGAAAATGATACTGTTATCTTTTATAAGGGTCTATGAAGAAACAGTGTTATTTGGAGATACCAGGCAAAAGTGGTATTTGTTGCTATTTGACGCATCAATGAATATTGATGCTTTCAACTTTGCTTTGTAAAAACACATTTCATGGTAAACAGATTTAAAAATCCTTGAGTGTCTTCCATGCTGTAAATCAAATAGTTCAATACTTTGGATAAATTGCCTCTGTTCAAACTGCCTAGGCCAATTCTCAAAATCACATTCATAATAAATAATTGAATTCCCCTAGATCAAAAAATCAATTCTATACTGCATGAAACTTATACCTCAATCTAAAAGAATAAAAATATTTTATTTAAAATATATTTTTATATAATGTTATTAAACCAACTGATATTCAATTAAACATCTACTAAAGCAATTGTATATTTCTAGCATTTGAGACAATTCTGGAAGAAATGAGAGCAAAATATTTGATGTTAAATAATAAATGTTTTTATATTTAGCACTAAACACAAAATCTCTTTAAGATATGGAGTAACTGTGTCAGGTGAGATCACGCCACTGCACTCCAGACTGGGCACAGGAAAAAAAAATAAAAGCAAATGAAGTAACTCTCTAAACTTCAAAGTAAAGTCTGCAAACATTTCCAGTCAGTGATCAAACATTCTTGGTGCAAAGTAAATCTACTGCTATAGATAGTTATCTCTAAGAGAGTGAGTACCTTAGGTAACCCCGTTGTGCCAGATGTGTAAAGAATATACAGTGGGTGTTCTGAAAGAACAGGAACACAGTCATGTGACTGGGCTTTTGCCATCTCTTCATCCCAATCAAGGTCACGACCGGGAGCCAAAGGAACCGCCTCCTACACAGCAAAAATATAAGAATATGTACTGTAATAAGGAGATTAAATCAAGAGAACAAAAAGTAGCTAAATCTATTTAAGTCTGAGCATCTGACTGAAAATCTAGGCCTATATGGCACTGAACATCAGATTTATGACTAAAAAGTTCAAGTTCATGATTTAACATAAATGTTTATAAAAAGTCCAAAAGTTTTATATTCACTTCAACTAAACTGACAAAAAAGCATGTTTCATTTAAATCTAGAGATATCCTTTAGAAATTCAGTATAATGCAGTAATGTTTCCATCAACACTCATGGCTTAAATAACGTTTCATGTTTTTATAGATGTATGTACACTAATAACTTTATAAACTAATTTTTATTTTTCATAGCCTATTTATTTTATTTTGCATTTATTATCTTTACAATGATGTGTCAACTAAGCTATTAAAATTTCTCTTCATACAATGGCCTTTAGGAGTAATACCACAGCTACCTTTCCAAATAAGAAAACATTAATTCTTCTTCAGGAGTAGGGAAGAATTCTACTATTCCTTTTTGAAGACTAAAATCCAGTTTTGAAATTTAGTCAGAGTCTGTGATATATCTAAAATACAATCCAAGTTTTCCTCCTTCTAGTAAACTTTGTGATAATAGAGTCATGAGTTAAACAGATACTCCTTTAAAGAAATTAAATAGTCTTTTTTAAAAACAGTGACAATGAAATGGCCAGATGGGTGAAAAGCAGGGAAGTGGCTGATGGAAAAGTTACTCTGATGGGGAATTACAGCTATTTAAGTAGAGTTAATGCCCATTAAAAGCCTAGTTTTTTTCTTAGATGTTAGCTGAGCTCAAGATCACACATCAGGAAGTTTATAATTGGCGAACATGTTAGCACAAGCACAAGCAAAGTTATATAACACTCAATGAAAGTTAATGAGATCTACTATCTAGAGATGTATGTAACCATTTCATTAAAGTGATTCCTGAGATAAGCCCAAAGATTGAAAAATTTAGAAAAGACAAGCCACTTCCATTTTCTAAGCTGCTTAATACATTAATCAGGGTTGTAAAAACTGTTCATATATTTAAATAGGTACATTTACCAATTAATACTTCAATATAATATCACAAATATGATGCCTGTATGAATATGATACCTGTATGAATAAACACATTTATAGCTAACACATTTATAGCTGAATCGAAGACCCTGTATCAAGTTGAAGTTTCAGGCCAAACTGCTTTCTCCAGCCCCACTCTGATAGGTACTGGCTCTGCCATTTAGATAAATAAAATAGTTGACTATGACCAAATCATACGTTTCCATTTCTATTTATACAATGGATAAAAGCAACTAATTGCAAATTATCAAACTTTTGACAACACAGAGATCTATAAAAATCATCACACTGCAAAATACAAACATCAAATTGAGGATCACAAAAATAATTACAGGTTGATAATTTTGATAGGACTCTAATGAAATTAGGACTTCAATAAATGGTTATTCTTCAGGCTAAGAAACAGAGGTATGTGCAAAGGAGATCTGAGAAACAGAGGAAAAAAAACACTTTCACATATATGCATTTACTTCTATAGATATGTCTTTCCTAATTCTTATAATTCTTAAAAGGCGGTATTGGGAGAGCATAGGGGTGATTGATGCAATATCCTTTGATTCCATCATTGTTTGCCTGAGGCTTAGGTGTGGCAGCCAAGTTTTTACCTCCTCTTACAAAAATGCAATCCTGGTTAATAAGACACACCACTGAGCCTCATAATTTGTGTCTCTCTAAATTCAAAGCAAAGCCATTCCACTGGGCTTAGTTACTGCCAAAACAGCAGGTCTAATAGAAAGAACAAGAGATTTCTACAGCCCTCATCTATATCACAATAGAGGAAAGGGCCTGCAGAAAAAGAGAGAAGCTGAGAAAGTAAGCTAGTTATTGGAGGGGAGCAGGCAGTTAATCTCTATTAAGAAGAAAAGAGAAGAGACTTGCACATATCCAATGTGTTTATAGTGAAAGAAATAGCATATATCTTGTTGGTTACAAATCATTAAACTGGAGTTTAAATCCTGGTTCTGCCACTTAGTAGCCGTGACTTTGGGCTATGACCTCTCCATTACTCAGTTTCTTTATCTCCAAAATAAGGCTAGAAACAGCATGTATTTCATTTGTTTGTTAGAATTAAATAAGAAAAAATATTTGGAAGTACTTAGCATTGGGCCTAGAACTTAGAACATCATAAGTTCTGAACAAATTACATGTTCAGCACTTATATACTGTAAGTATATGTAATGTAAACAGCACACATATACTCACATATGCATACATTGTGTGTGTGTTCCTGCCATTCCTCTAAACTGTTCTTACCCAAAGCCTTCTATATTACTGATTTTGCATTGCCTGATTTAAACAGCAAAGAAGCTTTTTTAAAAAAAGTGCTTGAGGTCTTCTGAAAGAAACTTAAAATTCTTCTTCAAGATCATAAGAACATTAAAATCATTAAGTGCAGCAGTTCATGAACCACAGACTACTAAAACTTTACACAGGAATTTAATGTGGTAATGGGAATTGCTAGGTGGTAATCAAAATGACATATTTTTAACACTCTGTTCTCATATCTTGTCATTTAAGTATTTTCAAAGAAAACTTGTCAAGAGTTCTATAAATTAATTGCACATGATTCTTTGCAGTCTTGCAATTTCACTTCTGCAAAAAAAAAAATTTAATCTGCTAGAAACCCAAGTTGGTCTTATCATAAATAGCTAGAGATTTGCTTGGGTGAAGAAGTAAGGTGATCATGAGTTCAAAGTTACAGGAAAAGTACGGTAAATTGTATTCATTGATATCTTATACTGTTCTCCCTTCCTTCATAGATCACAGAATAATTTATCTACTTAGAATATTCATGTTTTGTTTTCCTAAGCATAGTTTTATTTCTGGCCTAAATACTCTTCAAAATTTTAAGAAGACAATTGCATGCAAATTAATCACACCACTCCAAGAGTCAGTATAGCTGAGGGATTAAGCATGCAGTCAGAGCGCATGCATTCGCATCTTGACACTGGCACTTTCAAACTGAGAAAGTTACTTTATCTCCATGTTCACTGGAGTCTTCTTTTATTAAAATAGTAATAATATTATCATCTAGTTAATAGAGTTACCAGGAAGATTAAAAAATATGGCCGGGCGCGGTGGCTCACACCTGTAATCCCAGCACTTTGGGGGGCCCAGGCAGGCGGATCACGAGGTCAGGAGATCGAGACCATCCTGGCTAACACGGTGAAACCCCGTCTCTACTAAAAATACAAAAAATTAGCCGGGTGTGGTGGCAGGCACCTGTAGTCCCAGCTACTCCAGAGGCTGAGGCAGGAGAATGGCATGAACCCAGGGGGCGGAGCTTGCAATGAGCGGACATCGGCCACTGCACTCCAGCCTGGGCGACAGAGTGAGACTCTGTCTCAAAAAAAAATAACAATAATTATTATTATTATTATTTTATATATATATATTCATTAGTAGAATGTCTTAAAAATCATATGGTAAGCAGTCACTTCGTGTTTGTTATTATTATTGCTAATATAATCTGAGCTAATAAAAAACACAACAATAGCAATATACATAGAATCCAATTCATTAATCTCACACATCTTTCTGTGTTTCACTCTTTTGGTTTTAAGCTAGATTTTCATGAAGTCAGTAAGTCTTATTCATATATTTTTTAGAAATAACAATAACATTCAGCAGTATACTTAATAGCTTATAAATCAAATGTCTCTTTTAAATGGTAAAAACTAAACTCATTCTTAGCATATTACCATAAGCAAGAACCAAATTCAATATTCAGATTACCATATTTGGACGATTATAAATGAGAATTTTGTCTGGTTTGTGTTGTCCTATTTTTAGCGCTTCTTCTACAAGTGGTACGTACTCTACCCTCCTTCCAGGTTCAATGCCAAATGATGCTGTAACAACCACCTTGGGCTACAATTAAAAAATAATAATGGAGAGAAAGCTTTAACAATGTTAATTAGGTAATCACAATATTTTAGTTGCAGACTGGCAATTCAACATTTGTAAAGAAATGTCTGAATGTTTCTGTTTTCTATTGAATGGTCTGAAAACCAGTAAACCCTTTGTAATTGTTAGAGACTTGATCACTTCTACACAAATCTCACTTACCTGTTCAAAACTGCATGCTCAATGATGTTTTTGACTCATATGTATGAAATGTATAAATCCCTTTCAAATAATCCATTAAGCCAGGTGGATTTGCCATAAACTAGTACAATGCAAATCTTGAGGCCCCTTACTTGCAAAGGCCCCAATAAGAGCTGGCTGCTGCTGAGGTTGTAGTAGCATTTCATAGGTTTTCTATATATTTCTCTTCTAAATGCCTAAAGAGATTACAGCAGAAAAAGACCCAAATCTCCAATAATTTATAATAATTTTTTCTCATTCTAAATATATATTCATGTTCACCAAATATTACATTATATTATTTTCTTAAAAAGGCTCCCAAATGATTAAAGTTTCAAGCCCCACAAAGCCTAGACCTGCCCCTGTCCTTAAGATACACTTTATACTCTTTACCTGCCAACTTGTTAAGTCATTCTTCAAGACAAACACAGGTGTAGGCAAAATGTATCCCTGGTGGGAACCACAGCTTATGTTAACCTCTCTTTTCAGTACATTCTGGACATGCCTCAAATGTTCAGCTATAGTCAGTGTTCATAAATCTCTATTACTGCACAGTAAGCTCTATAAGGCCAAGTTTGGATGTCATTTATTTTTGTGTTTCCTATACCTAGCACAGTGCTTGGCATGTCATGAGCTTTCAGTAAACGTTTGCGGAACTCATTAATTTGCAGAAAAATAAGTCCTCATATTTTTAAGTACATTGTTTCTTCACCAAGAAATCCAAAGCAAAAGAGACACATAATAAATTATTCGGAAGGCAGATAATTGACCCAAAGTATTGCATGTATTCCTGAATTCTGATTTCTAGTTATAATACATTTCATCTAGGAAAGGTTTATACTGTGCTAAATATATGCATATATAGTATTGCCTGCTTTTTGAATATAATTTAATATTCATGGAACAGAGGCTCAGTGCAATTACATAGTTTGCCCCAGGTTACAAGTGGCGAAGGCAGAAGGAAGGCCAGTTCTGTCTGGTTGCAGAACCTCTTTCCACCATATCAAGCTGCCTTAAAACAAAAAGGAAAAAAAAAGCAGAAAGTCTTGTTTCCTTTTATTATATTTTTAAAGGTCAGACATTTGAATATAATTCACATTTTAATATCTATAATACTCACAAAAATAGCTCTAGATAGCATTCCTTAGAATTCTGAATAAACAAAAGCAAGCTACATATCAAATTAGGAGCATATATAGAATATATCAAAGCTTGAATAATTTAATAAAGTCAAAATTAGACTCTTCCTCTGAAAAAATAATTCCTTTCACATTTCTATTAACAGTCTTATGGGAGATCTTATTGAGTCTAGACTGACTTGTTAGAATACATCCTTTCCATCTTCTTCTGTTAAAATAAAACTTTTTCTTTAGCCTATTTATTTGAAGATCATGACATCAAAATCATTCCTAATTTCAACTACACACTAATTTTACCCAACTATCTCAGATATATATATCTCCATCTTCTCTCCTTACATTTGACCTGCCCAATTGCCTTGTCCATAAAAGCATTTATTGCATAAACCCCTTAACAAAGGAGTATTAGGGGTGTGTGTGTGTGTGTGTGTGTGTGTGTGTGTGTGTGTGTGTGATGGATGAAAATTCCTTAAGTGGTACACCATAAGTTTTTTAAATCCTTATTGTTTTACATATTGTAATTTCCCTATATCTTATCAAAATTTTTTACAGTTTCTTTTGCAGGTCAGTGACTGATATTTTTTCCCTAGATTTTCTTCATAGGCATTAACTCAACATGTTTAAAAAGAAAAAAAAAAAGATAAAAAAGGACCCAGATGGTTTGTCCACAAATCAGCTTTCTTGTTTTAATAACTAATCTATTACAAGATAAAGTGAGATATGCAAAGCCTCACTCTATACCTAGTACTCAGGGGGCCTTCAGTATATATTAGCTTTCTTCCCATTAAGAATGTCTCATCTTGGGCTTGTAAAACTCTAAAGGTCAACCATCTCTTGCTCTGATAAGCACCTTCCTTCCTTAATCTTCCCAGAGTCCTTTTTCCCCTTCATATTGCCCACTGTTTCACAAACAGACCACCTATCAAAGGTTTTTATTACAGCTTCCAGCTTCACTCCCACTTACATACTGCAAGACCTGCCTCTTCTTAACATTGTTTAAAACATGACACTTGCCTGTTCAAAAACTTTTACTCATTAACAGAATCCAGTTCAGACAAAACCTACCCTTGCAAGCTCACCTTCTCTCACCTTTTAGTCACATTGGTCTACTTACTGTCCTTCCAAATGAATTTTACCATTTCCTGTCTCTACTGCTTGACTCAGATTCTTTTTCTGCCTTTTTGGATCCTACTATGTCATTCTCTTCAACTAGCTGAATCTTAGCCAAGATCTAACTCAAATCTCATCTCCTTCAGGAAGCCTTCTTTGGCCACCCGACTGAAAGAAAATGCCTCTTCCTCTAAATCAGGGGTCTGCAAACTATGGTTGTGAGCCAAACCCGGCACACAGCCTGTTTCTATAAAATATTATTGAAAAATGCACACCTATCATGTACATGTTGTCTAAGGATGCTTTTGTGCTACAGCAGCAAAGCTGAGTAGGTGCGATAGAGATCATGTTATCCATACTGCCTAAAATATTTACTATCTGGTCAATTACCATTAAAATTTTTCTAACTCCTGCACTAAATTCATAGATTAATAATAGTTAACATTTTTTAAATGTGTACTATATGCCAGACAGTGTGCTGTTTTAGATTAAATAGCTCAATGATATTTCACAACAGACTCACTAAATTGTTATTTTTGTACCCCATTCAAACATATATACTTCCTGGAAGTATATGGATTGTAAAACTAGTTATATGTCCCATCCATTTGATAAGTATTACTTATTACCCAGTTGCAAAGACAGTGTCAGGAACATAGCAGGAGCTTAATAAAATATATGTTGAATGAACAAATTAGTTATTAGTCCTTTTCTTGTATGTCTTATACACCCAAATATATGACAAGCTAAGTTGGAAAGCAGACACCTTATCTTATAGTTTATATTCCCCAAGGCACCTAGCAAGATGTCTTTCACATAGGACTGACTTTAAAACAAATGTGTGATTAACAGGTGTATGTGAAATAAAAAACATTTTATTTATGTATTTATTTAAATAGCTTGAAGTCTGGACTTTTAGGGTACTTGTCACCCAAATAGTGTACATTGTATCCAATAGGTAGTTTTTCATCCTTTATCCCCGTTCTGGGTTTCCAGTGTCCATTATACCACTCTATATGTCTTTGCATACACATAGCTTAGCTCCCACTTAACAGTGAGAACATGAAGTATCTGGTTTTCTGTTCCTGAGTTGTTTCACTTAAGCTAATGATCTCCAGTTCCATCCAATTTGCTACAAAAGGTATTACTTTATTCTTTGTTATGGCTGAGAAGTATTCCATGGTGTGTGTGTGTGTATATATTTTATTTTATATATTATTATAATATTATATATTATATATATTTATATATTATTATATGTATTTAAGTATTATTGTATTATATATTATATATAATGTGATATATATTATATATGTGATATATAATATATTATAATATATAATATATAATGTGATATATAATATATATTATAATATATATAATATATTATATATATCACATTTTATTTATCCACTCTTCAGTTGATGGTCACTTAGGTTGATTCCATGTCTTTGAAATTGTAAATTAAGCTGCAATAAACATATGCATGTAGGCGTCTTTTTGATATTTAATATAATGATTTCTAGGAAAAGTATTTATCAACCATCCTATTTGAAGGGAGGATCTAACAAGTATAGAGCATTCTCAGATGATTCATCCACAGATAAATATGACTAAATTATACATAGCTACTACTTGATTTCCCAAAATAAAGCACTTACCTTTACATGATCAATGCGACTACTTAGTTCTTTGGAAGCAAATCCTCCAAATATGAGACTGTGGATGGCACCTATCCTTGCACATGCCAACATGGTATACATCGCCTGTGGGATCATAGGCATGTAGATAACCACAGTGTCACCTTTCTTGATGCCATGCTTGACCAAGACACCAGCCAGCTTGGAGACCTATGCCAAGACCATTAAATCAGTAAAGTGTATTTTGTATTATTTCACCAAACTTCTAACTTAAGGCAGTAATATTAGAAGCTGATCACCCGCTTGGTAGTAGATTAAAGGAGCCTAAGTAACACATATTTGATGATGATGATAATGCTTTAGATGGTGAGAGTAATAACAATTGTATTATAATCATTGATTATAAACCAACCTACTATTATTATGTCACATAAACTTTATGACTTAAGATTGCTTAACCATTCATGTCACAACATTTTTACTGAGCAACTATTATACACCAGACATAGTATGTAAGAGTTGGGAATGTAACACTGATAAAAGAAAGACACAGAATTGTCCCTGTAGAGCCTATGTATTGCAAAAGGTGAATCTGTCAGGTGAACAGAAAAACAAAATATTTACAAATTTAGATAGATGTTGGGTAACTGTTAAAGGAAGCAAGTATATATTCATAAAGAAAACATATCACTAAACACTAATAAAGCAAATAAGACAAATTCTACTATATTATTATTTACATCTAAAGATAAGGTAATAAGGTTCAGAGCTAATAAACAGCTAACCAAGGTCAGAGAACTAGCAAATGCTGTAACAGGACACGATCACAGGTCTTCCGACCTCATATTCTTTGCTCTTTCTACTGCCTTTATAGTTTTTTTTTACACTAATTATTATACAAAATGACTTTCCTCTGTATTTGGATACAACATACACAGTTCTTTTTTTTTTTCTGTTTTTGAGACCTCAACATATAAATGTCTCTTCCCCGTAACATGTTTTTGTACTTTCTAGCAATAAAGACAAAACAGATTATAAGCCACACATGATAAAATTTATTGCAAGAATCCTTCCCATGGGCAATTATAGAGGGCTGTGGGAAGTACTCCCAGATCTTAATGAATAAGTAGTTCAACATTCTTTTACTTAAAATATATATATTAAGTATCTATTATATGTCAGACACTGTTTTCAGATACATCAGATAAGTAAACAAGACAAGACAATAATCTCTACCCTGCAAGTACTTATACTTTAGCAGAGAAAATACTCACAATAAGCAATAAACACAATAAATAAGTAAATTATCTATTGTGGTAAAAAATCTTCAATCATATGCAGGAGGGAAGTAGAGCAGAGTAAAGAGGATTCAGAGTGCAGGGGAAGGGGTGGATGTAATTCTCACCGGGAGCTCACTAAGAAAGCAACAGTTTTGTAAGACATGTAGAAGTTGAAAAAAAGTGGATATCTATGAATGTACTATTTCAGGCAAAGAGAACATCAGTGAAATACAAACATGTAAGAGGTAAAGGAGATCATATGTGATGCGATCAAGGAACAGCAAGGAAACCAGGGGCCTGGAGAAGAAACAAGTGAAAAGACAGTTGTCGATCAGGTCAGGGAGCCAAAGGGCCTGTAGGGGCATGGTGGGCAATTGGAAGGACCATGGCTTGCCTTTGAATGTGACTGTCCAACACAATGAACAGAGGAGGCTTGGGAGAAGAAATTAGGTCACATGTCTATTTATGGCTCCTTTCATTTTTGTCTCTCCTACTTTCTGGACAAGTTTAAAGAATTCTGAATCCTGGCCATTTTTCTCTTTTCTATTTATTCACTTCCTCTGTATGGATGGGGACAGGTGTGGTGAAGGTTAAGGGATCTGGTGAAAGACAGAAAGAAAAAAAAAAACACGATTTTAGTGTTTTATTCTACTTTATATTGCAAACTCTATAATTGAGTGCTATGTTTCAAGAACTTCAAAGACGCTAGCAGAAGATTATGAGAAAGATACACCAAAGTAATAAAAATCATGAACTTGAATTATATATGGAACTCAAAAAAACAAGACAAAAATTGGAAAGTTATATCCAAACATCTCAGTGTGCAACCCCTGCAGAAAGTGACCATGCTTCATTATCACATTACTAGGTACATCATTTAAGGTACCACACTGAGAGAGACCAACGAGAATAGCTAGTCATAGCCAAAGCTGTGACTTCAGCATCTTGAATTATGCCAGTTGAATAAAAATGACATTCAACCAAGGCCCACACTACCAATAATTCAGTAACTTTATAATCCAGTCTCACTTTACAGTGTTGATGGAAGATGCCCACCAATTTTCTGTCCTCTGAAAGAAATGAGATTAAAAAATAACTAAGATCAGAGCAGAACTGAAGGAGATAGAGACACAAAATTTCCTTCAAAAAATCAATGAATCTAGGAGCTGGTTTTTTGAAAAGATCAACAAAATAGATAGACTGCTAGCAAGACTAATAAAGAAGAAAAGAGAGAAGAATCAAATAGACGCAATAAAAAATGATAAAGGGGATATCACCACCGATCCCACAGAAATACAAACTACCATCAGAGAATACTATAAACACCTCTATGCAAATAAACTAGAAAATCTAGAAGAAATGGATAAATTCCTGTACACATACACCCTCCCAAGACTAAACCAGGAAGAATTTGAGTCCCTGAAAACACCAACAACAGGCTCTGAAATTGAGGCAACAATTAATAGCCTACCAACCAAAAAAAAGTCCAGGACCAGACAGATTCACAGCCAAATTCTACCAGAGGCACAAAAACGAGCTGGTACCATTCCTTCTGAAACTATTCCAATCAATAGAAAAAGAGGGAATCCTCCCTAACTCATTTTATGAGGCCAGTATCATCCTGATACCAAAGCCTGGCAGAGACACAACAAAAAAAGAGAATTTTAGACCAATATCCCTGATGAACATCGATGCAAAAATCCTCAATAAAATACTGGCAAACCGAATCCAGCAGCACTTCAAAAAGCTAATCCACCATGATCAAGTTGGCTTCATCCCTGCGATGCAAGGCTGGTTCAACATAGGCAAATCAATAAACGTAATCCATCACATAAACAGAACCAAAGACAAAAACCACATGATTATCTCAGTAGATGCAAAAAAGGCCTTTGACACCATTCAACAGCCTTTCATGCTAAAAACTCTCAATAGACTAGGTATTGTTGGGATGTATCTCAAAATAATAAGAGCTATTTATGACAAACCCACAGCCAATATCATACCGAATGGCCAAAAACTGGAAGCATTCTCTTTGAAAACTGGCACAAGACAGGGATGCCCTCTCTCACCACTCCTATTCAACATAGTGTTGGAAGTTCTGGCCAGGGCAATCAGGCAGGAGAAAGAAATAAATGGTATTCAATTAGAAAAAGAGTAAGTCAAATTGTCCCTGTTTGCAGATGAATGATTGCATATTCAGAAAACCCCATCATCTCAGCCCCAAATCTCCTTAAGCTGATAAGCAACTTCAGCAGAGTCTTAGGATACAAAATCAATGTGCAAAAACCACAGGCATTCCTATACATCAATAACAGACAAACAGAGAGCCAAATCATGAGCGAATTCCCATTCACAATTACTTCAAAGATAATAAAATACCTAGGAATCCAACTTACAAGGGATGTGAAGGACCTCTTCAAGGAGAACTACAAACCACTGCTCAACAAAATAAAAGAGGACACAAACAAATGGAAGAACACTCCATGCTCATGGATGGGAAGAATTAATATTGTGAAAATGGCCATACTGCCCAAGGTAATTTATAGATTTATTGCCATCCCCATAAAGCTACCAATGACTCTCTTCACAGAATCAGAAAAAACTACTTTAATGTTCATATGGAACAAAAAAGAGCCTGCATTGCTAAGACAATCCTAAGCCAAAAGAACAAAGCTGGAGGCATCACGTTACCTGACTTCAAACTATACTACAAGGCTACAGTAACCAAAACAGCATGGTACTGGTACCAAAACAGAGATATAGACCAATTGAACAGAACAGAGCCTTCAGAAATAACACCACACATCTACAACCATCCAATCTTTGACAAACTTGACAAAAACAAGAAATGGGGAAAGGATTCCCTATTTAATAAATGGAGCTGGAAGAACTGGCTAGCTATATGTAGAAAGCTGAAACTGCATCCCTTCCTTACACGTTATACAAAAATTAATTCAAGATGGATTAAAGACTTAAATGTTAGACCTAAAACCATAAAAACCCTACAAGAAAACCTAGGTAATAGCATTCAGGACATAGGCATGGGCAAGGACTTCATGACTAAAACACCAAAAGCAATGACAACAAAAGCCAAAATAGACAAATGGGATCTAATTAAACTAAAGAGCTTCTGCATAGCAAAAGAAACTACCATCAGAGTGAACATGCAACCTACAGAATGTGAGAAAATTTTTGCAATCTATCCATCTGGCAAAGAGCTAATATCCAGAATCTACAAAGAACTTAAACAAATTTACAAGAAAAAAATCAAACAACCCCATCAAAAAGTGGGTGAAGCATATGAACAGACACTTCTCAAAAGAAGACATTTATGCAGCCAACTGACACATGAAAAAATGCTCATCATCACTGGTCATCAGAGAAATGCAAATCAAAACCACAATGAGATACTATCTCACACCAGTTAGAATGGCGATCATTAAAAAGTCAGGAAACAACAGGTGCTGGACAGGATGTGGAGAAATAGGAACATTTTTACACTGCTGGTGGGAATGTAAACTAATTCAACCATTGTGGAAGACAGTGTGGCGATTCCTCAAGGATCTAGAACTAGAAATACCATTTGACTCAGCAATCCCATTACTGGGTATATACCCAAAGGATTATAAATCATGCTACCATAAAGACACATGCACATGTATGTTTATTGTGGCACTATTCACAATACCAAAGACTTACAACCAACCCAAATGTCCATCAATGATAGATTGGATTAAGAAAATGTGGCACATATACACCACGGAATACTATGCAGCCATAAAAAAGGATGAGTTCATGTCCTTTGTAGGGGCATGGATGAAGCTGGAAACCATCATTCTAAGCAAACTATCACAAGGACAGAAAACCAAACACCACATGTTCTCACTCATAGGTGGGAATTGAACAATGAGAACACTTGGACACAGGGCGGGGAATATCACACACGGGGGCCTATCATGGGGTGGGGGGAGGGGAGAGGGATAGCATTAAGAGAAATACCTAATGTAAATGATGAGTTAATGGGTGCAGCACACCAACATGGTACATGCATACATATGTAACAAACCTGCACGTTGTGCACATGTACCCTAGAACTTAAAGTATAATAAAAAAAATTCAAGACCTTGTGTGAAACAAAGATCTCAAAATCGCAGGTCACAGCCAAATGTGACCAAGATGTATTTAAGTTGGGGCCATATCACATTTTAAGAAAATGAACCAGCATATTAAATTTAGTAGGTTTCACATACAAATCTAGATCTCCAGTTTCTCTAGAAAAATTGTGAAGTCTAGCAGCACCAGGCCTGTGTTCTTGAATAACAGCAATCAATTGAACCAGATGATCAGCCTAGTGGTTTGCCATAGAACTCACTATTCCCAGGGGCATTTATCATACAGCTTGCATTTTTTTTCATTCTGAGTTTAAAATATATTTTTTACCTCTTATTTATTTTATGTTATATGCTTACACCATAGTTCCCTAACCATACAGAAAGTGTGATACATACCTACAATTGATTTTTCTCCCATCCACCCTCTTCTGTAGGCATCTGAGTTGTCAACCACTGCCCTGAAAACAATTTTTAGTTAAATGAGGCTGCACCAGTCCCGTGTAACCACTAGATGGAGTCTATTTGGCCTTGCTTGTTTCAGCTGCTCCTCAATGTTTTGATAACCTGATAACCACACCAGAGCTGGTCTACAGACAAAAGGTTTACAGAATCAATAGTACGATTTTCTTTTCCAGTAGTTTTCAGGGCTAAATGTCACTCTGGTAAAATTTTCCATTATAATTTGTAAATCTAAATATATATGTATGAGAATATGCATGGGAAAACATATGAGTTCATAATCACTCAAATAAAGTATTATTGGAACTCCAAAACAGAAGGCATTTGATACTGCTATTTCAGGGTTCACCTAGTTTTTATCAACTTCAGGTGGAAAATTATCAAAGAAGAAAACAGGTATTATTTTTATGGAATGACATATTCTTATCCTACCATAAATGTCTGAGTGTAGAGTTACAATTTCTATTATTAGCAAAAGGGAAAATATTTTAATATAGGTTGTTTATAATAAATAGTTTTTCAACTGAAGAAAAGTTAACCATGTGCCGTTCACCCAATTCACATTCATCTTTGCACCTTCTTAAATTTGTTTTTAAATTTGTCAATAACTTGATGGTTTTACACAAGGATAGACCAGTAAAATTGATTTTCAGTCTGACATCAAGGGCAATACAGATCCCAGGGGAGCAAGGCCAGCTAGCATGAGGATACTATGCTACCAATGTGTGAATTACTGGGCTGCGAAGGAAGCCTAGAGGAAATGAAAAAATGTATTTATTTAGATATAACAATGTGTGACTCTTCCCACTAGAAATTAGATGAATCATTTTGGTACTAATTTAAAGCCATTTTAACACATAAATGTCCTGTCATTGGTTCAATTTATGTAGTATCAGCTGTATGTCCTAAACTGAGGTTAAGTCTACAGGTACAAAAATAAGAAGGAAATGGTTGGTCCTTACACCAAAGAAATTTGGAGTCTGGAAAAAAAAAATCACATACAGGAATAATAATTGTAAAGAAAATGCAACAACTGAAATTTATATATTATAAAATGGTATGCACATATATTTGGTTTATAAATAACATAAATATAACATATAATGCATCAGACAGAAGTAAAAGCTTTAAATTTCAGTTATAAAATGAAAACATATTGCTATGAATAATGAAAACTAAATTAATAAAAAATTTTATGTTATCATTCTGGAAAATCTTTCAAAAACAGTCTTTGGGGTAGTATAACTTTGTGACCAGATGCTCATAGCTCAAATATAAAGATTAGTCAAAATTGGCAAAAAGCTATGTTCTACAGAACAAATTATCACTTGCTTCACAAATAGCAAGTGTGCTCACCTAAGGAAAATCATGCTTGTACGAAAAAAGATAGTTCCCTAGTTTCCAAATTGTAGTAAAAATGCAGTGATCATGGGCAACTTCAAAACCACATCAAAGAAAACTGTATGAAAAAGCAGACAGGGAATGCATATTTTCAAAATGCCACAATGTTACATTGCAAACCCTGGTCTAAACCGTAACAAAAAATAAAACTAATTTAAAAACCAATTATAATATCTGAGGAAACAGATTACTAAAAGTATGGATAAATGAATTGTTCTTGAGAATATGTATAATTTCCATAGAAAGAGTTATATAAAATACTTGCACCTTACTTTTAAACATATTAATCATACACATTTTTGTTTGTTTTACTTGTACACATACAGGCAGCCATTGAAAAGATTAAAATTTTAACTACAATGAACAACTTATTCTTTAGTCCATGCATTAACTATGCATTCAGGTAAATATCTGTGAAAATAATCAGTTATTCTAAAACTGCTTAAGATCTGGAATGATAGTAAAACTATCTTTTTTGGAAGAGAATTTTTCAGGAATATAAATATTTTCATATAACATAAGAAGCTTCTAGAAATGTAACATTTTTAGACAGTTACAATTTATTAGATACAGCATTGAAATAATTTTCATTGAAGATGATATTATGCTAAGCCAATTTATTTTGAGATATGTCTCTTAAAACCAGGAAAGTTAGAGATGTTATCTAAAAAAGAAAAATCTTTCTTTTAAAGATGAAAACATTACATTTACACTTACAAGTAAAATGTATTATTATTTATCTAAAACACAGAGGAATACTTATTTTATATTTAAGAATCGCATTGTATTAAATTTTTCAAGAACAATTACAAAACGCTATCTTACATTCAAAATAGTTATCTGATAGTGGTCTAGAAAACATTTACTAGCACATTTCTTCTCAAATAATTTTCTTCAAATGAAAGAGTAAATACCATTACTCAGAATTATCATTTTTCTCATTACCAGTTTCTTCACACATGGGTTTCAATCAATATTTAGTCATTTTCAGACTATGTATTCACAAGCAAAGTGAAATAGATAATTATTTAATCCCTTTAGTTCAAGCTCAAAATAATCAGTATTTCAATAATCTTTGCTTTCAAGACTACTGTGATTTTCAGACTGTAATTTCACAGAAAATTAGTTAAATCCTGTATTTCCCTATGTATATGTGCTCAGTCTTGATAAGGAATATTGTCTTCCATTTCCTTGATACTTATGTTAAAATTTACAAGAAAATCATCAGAATTCATCACATCTTGTAAAGCATATTTTGTTAATTTTAAAACAGTATTTCTGTGTAACAGGCCATTGTGGACAGAGAAAATAATTCTACGTCAAGGAGAAGTCCAAGGTCTAAAAGAATGGAAAATGCAATTGATGCCTGTTATTAACACACAACAGGACTAGGGTGCATGCAATAAAAAGGAAAGAAAATACACAGACAAAGAATAATTAAGGATTGCATCCACTTTTTACCATTTTAACATCTCTCCACTATAGACATTAATAATTGGGTAATTGTAACTTTCTCCTGCTTTTACTCACTGGAGAGTTGCTGCCAATATCTCTAATCATCACAGCATGTGCCATTTGGCTGAAAAAGTGAAGGCAGTTTAGTATAGAGAGAGAAAACATTCAGGATGAAGTGGGTTGTGAGATGAACTGGAAAGGCATGAAGAAACAATATTAGACATGATACAGAGTCTTGTTATGCCCATCGAGTTTAGACTAACCCGAAAAACAATGTGTAATAATTGAAAAATGTTCATCCTCTTTAAAAGTAAGTGCTTTCCACATTCTTAAAATGTAATGATTATTGCATAAACTAGAATCATTAATGTAATGATTATTGCATAAACTCGATTATTGCGTAATAGGGGTAAAAATAAATAAGCTTATTTGAGAAATATTAAGAATGGGGCCACAGTTTGGGTTTTAGCAACTGATTGGAAAGTGATGCCATTCACATTGGACACGTTTAAATTTGAGACGCTAGTGGAACAACCATGTATAGACACCTACTCGGCAATCCTGCATATGATCTCAACATCAGAAGAGAGATGTGGGCTGATGACACAGAACTGAGAATAGCCAGCGTTGCCACTGGGAGTAACCATCACATATGTGGCAAAAAAGGCCATTGGCGCAGATATAATCACCCAGGCGGGATGTGTAAAATGGAAAAAGAAGGCAACCTAGAAGCAGGTAGTGAAGGGACAGGCAAAAGAAGCATTTAAGAAGGATAATTAGAATGAACACAGGAAAGAAAGGAAAATGAGGGCAGAATGGTATATAGAAGTTAAGTGAAGACTGGCAGAGAATGGACAAAAATGTTAGACATAATAAAGAGAGGAAGTAAAATATTGAACACCTATTGGAATTAATAAGAAGAAAGCATTAATTACCTTAGCTAAATGAGGCAGTAGCATATTTTAGAGGGTTTTGGTTATGTGTGTGGTAAGGAAATTTAAAAGGCATTTTTCTGAAGTTAATCAGTGAATGAAAATAGATAAGAAACTAGCTAGTAGTAGAAACATTTATGTATTTTTTTTGTTTTGTTTTGTTTTTTTTTTTTGAGACGAAGTCTCGCTCTTCTGCCCAGGCTGGAGTGCGGTGGCGCAATCTCGGCTCACTGCAAGCTCCGCCTCCCGGATTCACGCCATTCTCCTGCCTCAGCCTCCCGAGTAGCTGGGACTACAGGCGCCCACCACCACGCCCGGCTAATTTTTTGTATTTTTAGTAGAGACAGGGTTTCACCGTGTTAGCCAGGATGGTTTCGATCTCCTGACCTCGTGATCTGCCCGCCTCGGCCTCCCAAAGTGCTGGGATTACAGGCGTGAGCCACCAAGCCCGGACAATTTATGCATGCTTTTAAGAGAAAGAGCCAGCAGTGAGATAGGTATAAGATAGATTAACAGAACAAGAGCCCTAAAAAGAATTGATAGAATGGCTCCAGGAGACCAAAGAAAGATTACCTTCTATTTTAAAAGGAGGGAAAGAGAAAACAATGGGTGTGGATACAGGCAAGTCTGTTGGTCTGGTGATAATAAATTTATATAATCATTGCTAGGTTTGAATCAATGTACCCTGTTAAGCTTGAGGCACAGAGGCAGGAAAGCCAAAAGTTTAAAATGGCCTTTGGAGAGTAAAAGAGAAACTTACTCGAGAAATGCTAAAGAAAAAAAGAAAATGCAGCATTGAAGTCCCAGTGGACACTGGATACCATAAATTTATATTAAATCTATATTTGTAGTTACGTGATTTTTCTTTAACAGGATTCAACGTATCAGATACAGTAATGAAGACAATAAGAAATTGGATTGATCCAGGTCTGGAGTTTTGCCACAGAGTGAAATGGAACAACAATATGCAGGAGAAGTGAGGATACTGGTAAGAGACGAGTTGTGTGGTTAAACTAAAAAACCTAACCCGGATAACAGAAAAGTGAACACAGAAGAGACCCTTACCTAGGGACTACACACCATCAAAATCGTTTAAAACTAGTATTTCATGAGGCCAACAAATATATTAAAAAGTGCTCAACATAACTAATTTTTAGAGAGATGCAAATCAAAACCACAATGAGATACCATGTCACACCAGTCAGAATGGCTATTATTAAAAAATCAAAAAACAACAGGGGCTGGCAAGGCTGTGGAGAAAAGGGAACACATACACACAGTTTGTGGGAATGTGAATTAGTTCAGCCACTGTGGAAAGCACTTTGGAGATTTCTCAAACAATTTAAAACAGTAGTACCATTTGACCCAGCAATCCTATTACTCGGTATATACTCAAAGGAAAATAAATATTTGGTAGAAAATAAATCTTTCTACCAAAAATATACATGGACTCATATGTTCCATCACTGCAGCACTATTCACAATAGCACAGACATAGAGTCAACCTAGATACCCACCAATGGTGGACTGGATAAAGAAAATGTGGTACATATACACTATGGAATACTATGCAGCCACAAAAAAGAACAAGATCATGTCCTTTGCAGCAACACGAATGCAGCTGGATGTCATCCAAAGCAAATTAACACAGAGACAGAAAACCAAATATGGCATGTTCTCACATGTAGGTGGGATCTAAACATTGTGTACATATGGAAATAGAGATGAGAACGATAGACACTGGGCACTGGGGACTATAGAGAGGGGAGGGTGAGAGGGGGGTGAGAACTGAAAGCCTATCAGGTACTGTGCTCATCTGAACAACAAACCTCAACAACACGCAATTTATCCATGTAATTAACCTGCACATGTACCCCCTAAACCTAAAATAAAAGTTCAAAAAAAACCTGTGGTATTTAAATAGGTATTGTGTCTAAAAATGCATGCTATCTAAAAATGTAGTTTTATTGCACTGTATAAGAATACGAGAGGTTTAAAATAGACACTCTAAAAGTTATAAGCCCTAATTTACATATATTCTCTAGCCTTTCTCCACCTTCTATCTACCAAAAAAGCAAAACCGTAGGATCTTCTCATGTATCTGTTTCCAGCTAGCCTTCACAAAATCTTCCTTTAATTTTTTGAAAATTATATCCATGATTGCCCCTTTCCCTCCACCATTCACCACAGGATTCAATTTATCCCACCTCAAGAGATATTTAATTGAATCTGTTTTTCTCTAAAACTAACATTTCCAATAATTTTTAATTCACATTCATTTATTTCCCTCCCTTATGAGTACTGCAAGAATATTGATTTTTTTTACTGCAAATGCATTATATTTAAACTATATTATATGTTAAGCAGTTGGGTGGCCAGACTGGAACCCAAACACCACTCAGAAAAGTACCATTGATAGATATATAGAGAAATAGATTACAAATTCCTATTTAAAATTTTTCAAATGATTTTTTAAAACATAACACAATTCAAAGTTGATTACTTTCTGTACGCTTCCTAGAGTATTTGTAAAGAAAATATCCCAAGTGCTGAAGAAAGCTTTATTACATATAAAAAATATGTAACCCACCTGGACTAAAATGAAAAAGAAAATTCAACTATTAGAGAGGTAACTTTTTACAGTTATGCATTCACATATACAAGCATTCTGAAAAATCTAGCATAATTCTGTGGCTAATGTACACACTTTCCCAAATGAGTGTTTGAAAAGGTACAGAATCTACCACACTATATTAAAAAAGACTATTCAATTCAACACAAGTTTGTGTAAGTTATCTAGATAAGGTTATATTCCTTCAGTGAACATAATATGATAGTATGATAGTAATAATTGCCTCACATATTTGTTTATACAATAATAAACATGCAAAATGTGAAACAAAGTTGTTACTTTAAAATTGTCACTGTTGTCTGCTATATACACTTCATTAAAGGGCTAGCGAATAATATTTTTTAAACAACATTAATTTCTACTGTTAATGAAGGCCAGATTCCTTTTCTCTTGATCTAATAAATTCTTTATTGTAGTGTTTCTCCAAGTAGAGTCGGTAGAGATATTCTCAGGGCCCATGAGTTCTCCGTGAGAATTTTTTAACGTTGTGTTTTCATTTTGATACAATTAAAAAATAATAGGCTGGGCGCGGTGGCTCATGCCTGCCTGTAATCCCAGCAGTTTGGGAGGCCAAGGAGGGCAGATCAAGAGGTCAGGAGATCAAGACCATCCTGACCAACATGGTGAAACCCTATCTCTACTAAAAATACAAAAATTAGCTAGGTGTAGTGCCACGCACCTGTAGTCCCAGCTACTCTGGAGGCTGAGGCAGGAGAATTGCCTGAACCGGGAGGTGGAGGCTGCAGTGAGCCAAGATCACGCCACTGCACTCCTGTCTGGGCAGCAGAGCAAGACTCCATCTCAAAATAATAATAATAATAATAATAATAATAATAATATAGCATACTCTGGATTATCTGAGCACTCATGCAGTTTCACTGTTTATTTTTGTAATCTCATGCAGAATACGTAAAGGTCAGATAAGGTTATGGCACATTGTATAATCAAAGCCTCTATGGAAGTTCAATTACTAATATGTGACAAGAGAATTGAGGCATCACAGGGAACATGTCACCGAACTCAAAGCCCCAGGGTCACAGCATCAAACACACTTTACAATCAGTCATTCAGCTCCAGTAGAGCAATATCATTCATTATAGTAAATTAATATTGTCATATTGAGCTTGATTAGCTTTGTGGGTTTGTTCTTACCCTGCCTATAACTCAGATTTGGCTTTATTTATGTACTAAGCTGTAAAAAGAGAACATTAAGGCCTAGGCTTAATAATACACTAAAATAAAAATAATTTAAGTAAACACCAAAAGTGTGTAAAAATGTTTTGCCTTTATGAAGCATTTATATGCTTCACTATTTCATGAAAAAAAAAAGCCAAATTGGTTTCTTAGAGGCTTTTTTTCTCTTAAAGAAAGACAAATATAAAAGATGCAAAAGAAGTCAACAGGAATCCTGCTGCATTGTTTAGATCAATTCTGCTGTGATTATTTAATCAAAGTTCTAATTAAACAAACACCCCCAGCACTTCCACCGGCAGTACATAAAACATGACAACTACCCTGACTACACCAACCACACTTCCCAGGATTGGGCAATGTTCCTGTTAACCTTTACAGTTTCTTTGATCAATACATCTCAAAAGCCAATCAATATAGGTGAAGGTCTCATAGAGAACTTGCCAAATATCCCAGGAATGGTACAAAGACATGAGATCATTGCAATAGCTGGGTCAGTTTTAACAACATCTACATCGCTCAACCAAAGGAGCTGTACACATTTAAAGAGAAGAAAAATTCACAAATACAGTGCATACACTAGTAACTAATAAACAAAACAAACATAGATCATGGTATGTGCCAAGAATTTATGACAAATATTCTAAAATATATCAAATTTCCCATAAAACCTATACATGATAAAGTTAATATTATTCAGCTTTGTAATGGAAATGAAATGCTTTTAAGTCAAGGTTGGCATGAGAAAATGAACAGTCAATATCTCCAAGGTCTCTAATCTTGATAATAATTCTAATGAATGCAACCTATATTGATTTATTCAGATTTATTTACTTAAGTATTACATATATCTACCCAGTGCACAAATGTGAGCATAAAACTTCCAAATGAATTAAAATAATTTAGTGGCATCATTTTTCATAGCTATGTATTTATCTATTTCAGAAAACCTTATATGAAAAATACTTTGTCTTATATACTCAAAGTGTGATTCTAATATATTAATTTGCACCACTTTAGCCACTCAGTGTCCTCAATTTATGTTAGTTAGCTTTATCCTCTACTTGTTATGAAAATTGTGCTAGATTAAATGATTTTATAGTTTCATATGTTAATTTTTAAAGGTCAGAAACAGAAAATTGTTGATGCATTCAGCTGTCTTTACATTGCTGTATAACAGGTACAAGTGTTCATTGTGACCAGCTCTCCTCACTTCCACTTGTAAGGACATTTTTTTTCTTCTTCTATTCTCTTCCTACTAAACTTAGACTGCCTGTCTCCTTCTTTTATTCTCCAACAATCTTTCTATATTGTTTCCTACTTAATTTGTCTTGTTGTCCTAGAACTTAAGCCAACAAAAGCAGTTGGTTTTGTTCTCAGGGTGCACATTTTCATTATTAACTATGTCAAATCCACCTCTTGGATAAATCTTCTGCAGACCTTCAGGGGACACCTGTGGAAGAGTCACCTATGTGTGGGGCACACACTTCTATTTTTATTACTTGACCCAGCTTCTACATCACCTCCACAGTGAAGTGTTGTGGGAAGTCAAGGACCCCAAATGGAGGGACCAGCTGGAGCCACGGCAGAGGAACAAAAATTGTGAAGATTTCATGGACGTTTATGACTTCCCTAATAATACTCTTATGATTTCTTATGCCTGTCTTACTTTAATCTCTTAATATTGTTATCTTCATAAGCTGAGGATGTACATCACCTCAGGATCACTGTGATGATTGTGTTAACTGTACAAATTGATTGTAAAACATGTGTGCTTGAACAATATGAAATCAGTGCACCTTGAAAAAGAACAGAATAACAGTGATTTTAGGGAACAAGGAAGACAACCATAAGGTCTGACTGCCTGCGGGGTCAGGCAGAATAGAGCCATATAGCATAGACAGCCTATAAATGGACGTGCAAGTAGGGAAGATATCACTGAATTCTTTTCCTAGCAAGGAATATTAATAATTAAGACCCTGGGAAAGGAATGCATTCCTGGGGAGAGGTCTATAAACAGCCGCTCTGCGAGTGTCTGTCTTATGTGGTTGAGATAAGGATTGAAATACACCCTGGTCTCCTGCAGTACCCTCAGGCTTATTAGGGTGGGGAAGAAACCCCACCCTGGTAAATTTGAGGTCAGACCGGTTCTCTGCTCTCAAACCCTGTTTTCTGTTATTTAAGATGTTTATCAAGACAATACATGCACAGCTGAACCTAGACCCTTATCAGGAGTTTTTGATTTTGCCCTTTGCCTTGTGATCTTTGCTTTGCCCTTTGCCTTGTGATCTTTATTAGCCTCAGAAGCATGTGATCTTTGTTCTCCTTTTTGCCCTTTGAAGCATGTGATCTTATGACCTACTCCCTGTTCTTGCACCCCCTCCCCTTTTGAAATCCTCAGTAAAAACCTGCTGATTTTGTGGCTCAGGTGGGCATCACAGTCCTACCGCTATGTGATGTCACCCCCAGCAGCCCGGCTGTAAAATTCCTCTCTTTGTACTCTTTCTCTTTATTTCTCAGATCGGCCGACACTTAGGGAAATTAGAAAGAACCTACGAAATATCGGGGGTGGGTTCCCCCAATAGTGAAGCCTTCTCTGAACTGCTGTGGCCAGGTTGGTCCTTTCTCCATGCTACAAATGCACAAAGCTTTGTTGTTACATTATCACACTACCATTCAGTAGCTTTTTTGTATTTCTCACTGGGCAAACTATAAATTCCTGAAATTCAGGAATCATGTTTTAGTTCATCTTTATGGCCCCACTGCCTAAATCAATAAATAATACACAATAAGCATTCAGTATGTGTCTGAGGAATACCTCACTGAAGCCTTTGTTCTTAATCTCTAGCATGCCACCTATGAGACTTCAATTTCAGGTATTATTTATTTCCCTGGACTTACAATTTATTGACATTAACAGGTTACAATTATTTACATGTAAGATCTGATATTTATTTTGCCTGTGAAATGAAAGAGTACTTGTGGCAGGAACTCCTAACTCCCCATCAAGATGCCTCCACCTACACTACTTTCTCCAGCCTTCCTAGCAGCTGATGGCCAAATGGGATGTGTGTAGAAAGCATATATGACATTTCTCTGTGTGGATATTAAAATAGCATGTCCATTCCTCTATATCCTCCTCCACCTTCCCAAGAGTTGGGACATACATATCTTTGCCACAGCTTCAGCGATGCAGATGAAGGCAATGAGCTATAAGATGAAGGTATAATAAGACTTCATAATCTTGGGTCATGCCAAGCTAAACCTCATAATCTTTAGATTATTATAAAAGACAAATGCATTATTTAAAAAATTAAGCCACTATTTTACTGCACGTCCTTATTTTAGCAGCTTAGCCTTTGACCTAACATTTAAAAATTTGAGTGGAGGGGGGGATAGTGTATCAGTTATTAAGTAAATGTTTAATTATGAAAATCATCCTTAAAGTGTATGTGTGTATGTGAAAAAAATAGAACTAAAATACTTACAACAGATAATCTTCTTTTCCCAGAATTCTACTTGAAAATTATACAGAAACAATTTCTTAGAATGCTCACAAAAGACCTGAAAACATGGGGAGGAAGCAGGGCATTTACAGGTAACTGCTGCATAATTGGTTCAATCAGACTTCTTTCAAACACACTGGATGTAGCCAGGGATCCAAGACCAGAAACATACGCAGAATAGCTTCCAGAATCTCACGGCACAAACTGTATCTATCCTATCCCTTAATTTCCCACATGTAAGTAAATACTGCTGTTCTAAGGGGATTTATGTTATGGGGTGCCGATTCATTTGTCATCTCCTTGTTTCCAATGTTATCTACTACAGTCTCTTCATCTTCAGAGATGCCAAAGTGATTTCTTTGACAATATGGAGCTTCCCATCATCTTTGGAATTAGATACAGTCTTGACCATGGCCTGCAAGGTTCTATATGATCTGACTCCTGGATACTCACCTAACCTCACTTTCTACCATTCTCTTCTCATGAGCTCTGAGTCCTCATGGCTTTTCCAATGGTCTGAATCTACTCTTGTTTCAGAGCCCTAATACAATTTTCACTCAAATATTCACATAGTTCCTATCCCACCCTTTATTTCAGTCTATGCTCAAATGTCATTTCATAAGTGACAAGTACTTTCCCTGACAAGCCTATCTCAAATGGCAGGCGAAGTCCCTCTCTAGCCTTTTATTGTTCTTCACTTATACCTAATTTATATTGTATTATCTTTTTATTCATAGTACATATTCCCAACTAGAATGCAATTTTCTTAAAGATTATTTTATGCGCTACTGAAACCCATGGTGTCTCTAGTAGTGTCAAATATATATTATGTGTTCCACAAGCATGTTTTCAATAAATAAATTTCACACCATGATCATTCTAGTCCAAGAAAATAAATTCAAAGCAGATGGCCTACAGATTTTCAGATAACTTTCTAAAAGACCAGGGTTTAGCCACCCTGAAGATAATTCAAATCTAGTAAGAACCTATCAGTGAATGATAAATGCATTAAGCAAATGTAAGAATAAAAGCCATGGACCAGATTTCCAATTTCTAAAATGGCAAAGTAAGTTAAATATTTTAATCAGGGCTTTAAATGAGACAGCACACAGACCTTCAAAGTCAGAAAATGAACTAAAATGAGAAAGATTCTCACCCTGTTTAAAAATAAAAATTCCTAATATATAAAAACAAAAATCACAATGTGATGGCAAGTGATACTTTTGGAAATAATCATTTATCTTAGATAATGATTAGATTTTACTTTCTTATAAATGAATTATTAAATGTTTATTCACAAACTAATTCACTACATAATATGACTCCATGTACTATGAGGCCTACATTAGCTACTGTGTAGGTGAAAAACTGAATAAAATATTACCCTTATCTCAAGGAGCTTTTTCTCTGGTAGGAAGATCATGTAGGTACCCTAATAACTGGATTAAAAAAGCAATAATGAACCAGTACATTAGGAGAAGGTGTAAGCAAAGTGCTCTGGACTTCAAAGAGTGGTAAAATAGTTTCTGGTATGGAGGGGAGTGAAAAGAAGTAAGTTTATACTTCCAACAGTGGTCTTGATTTCATGGACAATATAATTTCTAAAGATCTGTCTGAGAATATTCAAGGGATTGGTTGTATTGTTGCTCTTTTGGATTGAGTATGAAATAATCTTTAGACACTTATAATTGTGAATAAATGGGGAAACTAGGAAATACTAAACTGTTGTTTCATCATTTAATAATTCCCTATACTTTCTATTAAAATTTGTCTAGTGCTTATCTTCTTTATATTAAGTCCTCTCAAAATTTAACCTAAATTTTAGTAAGTTGTAAAGTACTTTAAACCAAAGTTCCAGTTACAATTTTGATAAAAATTTAAGCCAGTATTTAGGATATACTCATCTATTTAAAATGAAATACAAGCCTTTCTGCTTGTGTACATTATATGTACACAAGCATTATACAATATATACATTATACTTGCATTATACAACATAGCTCACAGAAACATATGGTTGGGTCAGACCACTTAAATGTGACTAGAACATTTTAACATTAATAAATGCATTAACACAGCATCATCTTCTATAGATCCTTAAATACCGGCACTGGTGCTTCCTGTTGCATAATATTCTACTGGCAAGCTTTCATTTCCAAATTTGCTTTCAAAGAATGGCCAGTAGAAACTGAGAGAGTGTAGACCTTAACATTAATTATTTTTTAAACAGGGGCAAATGTCTTCTCAACTTTGATTCCTAAAATCATTTAACTCACCATCAGCTCACTAAAGAATCTTTATTATTTTTGTTAAGGTTTTCAAATATTGGTAAGGTCTTCTCTTTAATTGTGAGAATGTCTCTCTCCAAAACTTCAAAACATGGCATGCTAACAATCCAATAGAAAAATTAATGGACAAAAGATATTAATGGTATTTCAGAAAAGAGCATCAGCATTTGGTCAGGTGTGGTGGCTCAAACCTGTAATTCTAACACTTTGGGAGGCTGAGACGGGAGGATTGCTTGAGCCCAGGAGTTTGAGACCAGCCTGGGATAGAGCGAGATATCATCTCGGCAAACTTAAAATAAAACAAAATAAAAGACAAATGTCCATTAAGCACAGGATAAGAAGTTCAACTTCATTTGTCATCAGGGAAAAAAAAATTAAATCACAATGCAATACCACTATGCATTCACTAGAAAGGGCAAAATTTGAAAGATCTGGAATTGTCGACACTGTTTTCACAGCTGGCATTCTCATAAATTGCAGATAGGAATATAAATTAGTGCAACCACTCTGGAAAATTGTTTGGCACTATCTACTCATGTCCAACGTGGGCATACCCTACGAACAATTCATCTCATTCCTAAGCACGTCCCCAACACAAATGCATAAATATTGTCAACAAAATTTGTGTACAAACATATTTATAGCAACATTGTTTGTAATAGTCCCAACCAGACATTACCCAAATAACCAAACTACAACCTCTTGCAATGAAATGAATGAAACTCATCACCAGAAAGTTGAGTGAAAAAATCCTGACACAAAAGAGTACATTGTATTACTCAATTTGTATAAAGTTCAAAAGCAGGTAAACCTTTAGATGTCTGAATAGCAATCATGTAGGGGCTGAGGATGACTAAATAGAGGCACAACAAGGGCTTCTGGGGGCCTGGAAATATTCTGTTTCTTTGTTGCTTACATGGAATTATTCTGTTTGTGAAAATCTAACAAAATTTATTCTTGTGATCTGTTCTCCTATCTGAATATATATTATATATCAATAAAAGTTCAAAAATTGCATGCCAGGAAAAGAAATGCATGAACGACTATAACTTCTATCTCATACTAGCATCATTCCCCTATTTACCAAGCATGGAAAAGGTAATTTAACTTACAGAGACACACTTTTTAGTGGCACTGACCATAATATAAATGAAGGTTTTATTGTTTATTTAGGAAATTTAAGGAAAGGAAACAGATAATAAAAGCCACTGCATCCTTTCCCCTGAACAAAGACAACCATTGACAGGGCTGAATTTCTGCAAGTCCTGGTTTTTGTGTCTTAAGTGTTTGCTTAAGGAAATACTGATATGACAGATGAAAAAATGTCAGATTATCTTACTCTGACATATGTCTGAGCAGATGGAATACATACTTTGAAGAAAATATCCTACAGGGCAGGGGTTGGAAGGAAGAATTCTCATGGGACATGGCCCTTGATTTCAGAATAATTTTCTCCTCTAAATTTTTTGACCTTTATAGTTACAACTACTGCCATAGTTATGTTTCAAAAAATTACCTTTAGTTAAGATAATAGGAATTTGCAGTTTGAATTAAATCAGGAAAATTTAACACATAATTGGTTTTATCAATTTTCCCAGTATACATGTATTCATGAAAATTGCTCAAATGCCCTTCAGGGGACACGTTCTTATTTAGTGAATAAATACATAAAAATTCATAATTGTTGAAATAAAAAACAGAGCACACTTGCCACACACAGAAGTAAATTCAACATAAAATTAGTGATGGTGAAAATAAAGATACTTTAAAATGACTAGTACTATATATATAAGATATACATACACATAAAATACACTCTTACACATACCTTTTATTTCACTGAGGCTTAATATAACGACTAACTTGAAAAGAGCTAACAAGAGCAAGAATACAATAAAAACATACATGTCCTCTAGAATGCAGATCTTCTGAGTTATAAGTGTGGGAAATCCAAGGAGGATATATTCATCTTGAACTACCAAGCTGAATGTAAATAAATTAAAATCCTTCACAGATAGAAATGGAATTTACTTGGAAAGATAATCCAGTTCCATTACTGGTACAATTTAAATCTAAGACATTCCTGCAGTAAAAGAAGCTAGAGTCACTTGGAAATTTCAAAAAGTATTTCATTCATTTATTCTTTCATTGACTCATTCATCATTCAACAACTATTCACTACATGCAAGGCACCATTCTGCAAACAAATACAAAGTCACTGCCTTCGTGGAACTTAGATTCTAGAAGAGAAAATGACACTAAAAAAGAGAGACAAATAAAATGTAAGGAATGATACTGAGTAATAAATGCTAAATTAAAAAGAAAGTGAAAAAATGAATTTATGAAGTGGTGTGGAAAGGAACATTTGTATTTAGTATGGTCAGAAAACATCTCACTGAGAACGTAACATTCAGGTAACATGGACCATAAGATATCTGGAGGAAAAATTATTTCTAGCGGAGGGTAGGCAATTGGGATAATTTTAGGCATTACCTCTTCCAGAAATCTCCCTAGACTCTATTTACCTCTGGCTGAGTTGGCTGCCTTCACTTGTGTTCCTACAGAATATAACATTAACCCCTATCATGACCCTTATTCGGTTATATTGAAATTGCCTGTTTACATGTTTTCTTATCTCTTTGACAATAGGAAATGGGTTCATTTACTTTGTATTTCTTATTCCTATCAGGGTTTGGCATACAAAACAAATATTTATTGAGTGAATGATGGATCTTGAACTAGGCCCAAATCTCTGTACAAAAACCTTAATAAAGGGTTATTTAAAATATTTTCAGATCTATAGAAAAAATGATAGTTTTAGAAAACCTCTACTTCTGAATCATTCTGTAAAATTTTCAGATCTTTCATGTTACTAAGACAAGGTAGCCTGTCTTGTTGGCTCATTAATTAAATAATAAATACAGACAAATTTAATCAAGTATTATCTAGCCAGAAACTTCTGGTAGAAATGAAACATGGGAGAGTAAAACAAGTAATGTACAAAGGCACTTCTTTTCGTTTGTTCTCAATGGAATTACCCATTAAATCTTTCTTTCTCTGTCTTCTCTACTTAATAAAATAAAGGCCGCAGGGAATCAGAAGCAAGTAATCAAAGTAGCACACAATGCTTCTCTCTTTCCTAACAGTTCTTCCTTTAGTACTTTAGAGAAGAAAAGCCTGGGGAATCAGAGGCTGTCAGCAGGTGAGAGAAACAGTCCTTTTAACTACTTTGATGTCAGGCTAAACTGAAACCAGGGAACCAGCACAAACACAGAAAGGGTTTGAAAGATGAGTTAGCAGAAAAGCTTCTAAGCAAAACATATGTGTATAATTGTCATATACACTTATGTAATTAATTAATTGAAAACCAACAAAAGAAAATGAGAATGTCAACAATTCTTCTTATTTTAGGTTTCTCTAAAGCTTTTTCCCTGACTGCGATGTTTGATTATGTATCAAATTAAATATGTGGCTATAGGTAATGTTTTTACAATATGTAAGTAAATTTACGTATTTGTATACCAATAAGAATTTGCCAGTATTTTCATGAGAGTGCAGCAACATGCCAAAATCACAGGCACGATTTTTAATCATAGACTAAACCTCTTCTAAGATGAAAATGCAATCCTAAAACAAAACATAGATTATAATAGGTTTTCAGGAAATCGACATTATCTCTTATAATGGAATGCAGCCTCGTAAGAATAACAAGCTCATTTGGTAACAGAGTGCCTTTCTAACTCATCCCAGTGTGAGAGCTGTCTCTGTATACTTAATCCCAAAAATACAGTTTTCAGTTACAGACCAATAAAAAATACCAAACGATATATTGCAGCATTATTTTGCTTTTTTCTGTCTTGAGCTGCCCAGCATTTGAACCCCATTCTTATTAGACTGAAATTCCCCTTGTTTGCATCCTAGAGGGAGACAGGTCCCCAGTTCCTACTATTAAATCAAAGGAGGACAAGATATTTCTTCCCCACTGCCTGGTTGTTTAGGCAAGTCACCTAAGTTTGGCCAACTAGTGCTGTATGATAGACGCCTTGACAGCAATGACTTGACTTGACCATACCCTGAGAAAGACCCTGTATGACAGGCACACCCAAATATGTGTTCAGAGTTCTGAGCTAGGGAATACAAATCCAGGAGTGGCCAATCCACACATCCATTCCTTATTTCTGAGGAGTATGTCAGCCCTATCCCGTCTGGGATCGAGGCCCTTTGCTTTAGGTTAAATGGAAGTTGCCAGATGGAGACTGTTAGGGGGATGGTGCTAAGTGAAGATGCTATAGAAACTGCATGCTTTTTGCAAGTCGTGCAGTTCTCCTGCCCAGCCTGCCACCAGTGGCCTCTCCCCTGGATGTAAGGCTCCAGTAAAACCCCATGTCTTGTATGGGGCTCTGGGTCTCTTCTTTGGCCTCTTGAACCTGGTGCCATCCCCACTGGAGTCAATAGGGGTTCAGCATGACAGATGTTACTACTCTGTCTTTCAATCTAGAAGATTGACTCAAGGCAGTGAGTCTAGTTATTGGACAATTTGTGGGTTCTTCTTAACTCCTCACTTCTGCTCTTTCTCCCTTAGGGTTTACCATTTTTCTAAGCCTGGCTCTTCAGTCTACCCTTTTCATAAGGTCTTTTTTTATGTTTAAATCAGCTGAGGTTGGAATTTGTTGCTACAACCAGGCTGATACCCAGCCTAGCAAACTGGTCTAACTCTTCTCTCTTATTTGCAACAACTCAGGACTGGAAAGGCGATCCTTTAGTCTGAGTTGCCTTTCTTGAAATTTCTTACAAGGCAAAATAAGAACTTGCTGATGAAAAAGAATATGATTTCAAAGAGTCAGGGAGAGTTGATGAAACTTTCTAAAAATGGAATGGAACCCTTAAATGGGTTCAAAAAGCAAAAGGAGAGAATACAATCTTAAAAGCCTTCATGTCAAAGCAAATGCCTCCAAACCCTAGCATGACAGACTCTGCTCAACTTCAGTTTCTCAACCAGTGGCAATCTTACCACTCAGCAGACATTAGCTATGTGCGCAGACGTCACAACTCAGGGAGGTGGGGTTGTGTTACCAGCATCTTTAAGGTGGAGGCAGGGATACTGCTAAATGTCGTGCCATGTACATGGCAGCACCCACAACAAAATATTATCTGATCCAAAATATCAACAGTGCCAAAGTTGAGAAATCCTGCCTTGCACCATTACCTCTCTTTAAATCATTTTTAGTAAATGTTCCACAGAGCTTGAATAACTTTCCCACAGTCCACAATTCCCAAATACTTTTTATAATTACTTCTGAGGCCTTATTTCTACCCTAATGTTAATAAAAGAGAAAAATCTCATAACTCATCACTTAATATCATGATCCACCTAAGAACTGCACAGATGGGAAAGAACTCAAAAGAGCAAATAAGCCAAAGGAATGAACATGTTCAAAGAGCTACAAAGGCCCAGGAGTATCTAAGGCAATAACAAGACATCTAGGGTAAAAGAAAGGGTTGTGTGCATAGTCAAGAATTTTGGAAAATGAAGCTTGGAAGGAATGTTATGACCAGATTTCAAAGTGTCTTAGACACCACAGCAATCTAGATTTTACTCTCTGAATAACAGCATTTTTTAAGAAATAGATTTTTAAGTGGCATAGAGAAATATGTTGTTTCTTAGGAAGAACACCCTGGTGATCATCTAATATGAGCAGAGCCTAGTGACAGGGAAGGCAGTTAGAAGACTGTTTCAATAGTACAAGATCTGGGGAGCAGCCAAAGGTGATGGTAATGTGGATGAAGAGTAAAGACCAGAGGAAGAGTGACACATATTCTCAGGATTTGCCATCCTCTCCCTGTAAAATGAGCATCATTTAGCACTGTGAAACATAAATTGAAGGCTATAAAAACTGTCTACATGAGTTAACACATCTGTATTCATTTCCAATGTGTATCAAAAGAAAAGCATGGCAACATATTTCAATGCATTAGAGAATTGAAGGCTCTACAATGAGAATGTATGCTATTTAAGTAATTTCTATATGAATTCATATATACATATATAAAGTTTATGATATTACCTGCTCCAGAACTTCTTTATAGGTAAAGGTTGCTTTAGTGTTTGTAACAGGACTGTCATAGATGATAGCAATCTTATCCCCTTTACCATTTTCAATATGACGATCAACGGCATTGTAACAAATGTTAAGCATTCCTTCCACAAACCTGAAAAATAATTGGAAAGTAAAGGTGAATGATGGCTTTAAAAATATATTGTCACTTAATGAAGTTATTATATTTCTAGTTTGATAGAGCTGGCCTTAAAACAATGTTTCCTAGTGCATTCTATGTCAAGTAATGACAGCTGTAAACTAGATATTTAAGATGGTACACAGTATACTTTTTTATTTTAATAAGCATGTATTTATTTTGATGTGCACTAAAAAAATACATACCTCACACTTCCAGCTGGCGACTTTGTGGATTTTATTGCTTAGGATAAAACTAGGGTATAGAGCACCAAAATCAGCCTTTTTACATAGATGAAATAAATGGTATGTAAGTGCAGTGCAGAGGCATTGGGGATTGTGAAAGGGCAAATGGCAGATGTGTGACTGAAGTTTTGGTACCTGCTGCAAATAGAAAAACTTACCGAAAAATTCTATTCTGCTCTGAAAGAGCTATAAGTATTTTTTATTTCAGTTAAATGTGATGCCTACAATTTCACAAAGAATAGATAAGCTCTTTTCTGCATGTTTGAAATGCTTCATAATTTGAATAAAGAAGGGACATGCATATAAAATATTTATTTTTGAAAGCCTTTGCAATTCAGTGCTTTTCATCTCTTAATCGATCAATGTTTTCCTTCGAAAACACAGAAACCATGTAGATACATGGAATAATTTTTTAAGGAAATATAACTCATTTTTCTAAAAGAAAAGGCTTTACATATGCCAAATTTTT
This sequence comes from Homo sapiens, assembly GCF_000001405.40. Taxonomy (NCBI): domain Eukaryota; kingdom Metazoa; phylum Chordata; class Mammalia; order Primates; family Hominidae; genus Homo; species Homo sapiens. Next base: position 81,108,821 of record NC_000012.12, on the reverse strand, counting down.
AGTAAAATGGGAATTAGAATAAAATATGCAAGTACAGTAATGGTCCATTTCTTCCAATGTCAGACTACCAAATATAGTAACAATGCAAAATAACAGGAAAATATATTGAAGTAAATAAAAAAGCTCTTGTTAAATAGCTGAGTATCACTTTCAGGTATTCACTCAAAGAGCCCTGTGTGAAATGAAGCAGTGGATTAAAAGCAGCTACAGATACAGTGGCAGCATTAAAAAATCATAGCCACAGAGGCCGGGCTCAGTGGCTCATGCCTGTAATCCCAGCACTTTGGGAGGCTGAGGTGGGTGGATCACGAGGTCAGAAGTTCAAGACCAACCTGGCCAAGATGGTGAAACCCTGTCTTTACTAAAAATACAAAAAATTAACCAGGCATGGTGACAGGTGCCTGAAATTCCAGCTACTCGGGAGGCTGAGGCAGAGAACTGCTTGAACCCAGGAGGTGGAGGTTGCAGTGAGCCAAGATCACGCCACTGCACTCCAGCCTGGGTGACAGAACAAGACTCTGTCTCAAAATAACAATAATAATAATAATAATAATAATTAATAATAATAATAATAGCCACAGAAAGCAACAGGAGGAAGAATCATTTAATCAAAGTCAAATGACCCTATGTATTTCAATAATAGCAAATTTGATTACCTACAGCATAGCACAGAATTAATTTATATAATGATTCTGAATTCCCCTGTGACTGATCTCATGTTTGTTCAAAAATATTACCTCTTCCCAGCATCCTACTCTTAGCAAAAGTATTTTGTCTCTTTCCTCGGCCCTTCCTCCATGAGTGGAGACTCTCTCTCTTGATTTGGGGCTCATCCATGTACTTGCTTTGGCTAATGCAATGTCAGCAGACACGATGCAAGCAGAGGCTAGCTCTCCTGCACCACTACCTTCTCCAGGAGAACAGCCTCCCAGATATAACTGCTCCCTCCTCAACATGGCACCAAGAATGAACACCTGCAGGTGGGAACAGAGCCCAAAGAAGCAGGGAGCCCACACCAGCTAGATTTATGTCTTGAAGCAATGCTCCCAACCACCCCCAACCTAGATCAGCTGATGCCTTGACCACCTGCAGACATATGGAAATAAACTCTTAATAGTTCATTTTACGGAGATTTTTGTGGTTCCTGGACATATAGTATAATTGTGGCCATAAATATCTAACACACCAACAAAAAGGTAAAGTTGTCATTCTGTGGTGGAAATAAGGAAAGGTGTTTTATAGAATTTCCCACAAAAACATTTATATATATATATATATATATATATATATATATATATATATATATATATGTATATATTTGTACCTGAAAAAAAAAACATTTCTGGCAGGGAAACTATTTACTTGCTAGAATATTTCTTGATAATATCATTATTCTCTTTTCCTTTATCTATGACTTCTATTCTACCATTCTTTGTGATCAATATTCAATTATGTTCATGATATTTTACCCAAAAAAGGGGCTTCCCTCAATTCCACAGAATTTACTTTGTCATTTATTTGCATTATTCTTCTCCTACTTCTTTGCCAGCTCTTTTTCAATATGTTTGTTGCATCTTGTTTTCTCTGCTTCATCTTTTATTGGCTGTGATATCTCATGTTCCATATGCATCCCTTAGCTCACGCTACAGTTTCTCCCTAGATGATGCCTATACTCTTCTGGTTTCAACTTCCACTTTGATCTCCAGCCCTAACCTTCTTTTCTGAGCTCCATACCTTATAGCCAAAAGTCTGCAGGACATCTCTACTTAAAAAAAATAACCTGTCTAAAATTATACTCATTTCACTCCACCTCCACCCCCACCCCCACAGCTCCATCACAACTGCAAACTTGCTCCTCCTCCTGTTTTCTAAATTTCAAGGAACTATGTTGCATCCAGTGGCCTGAATTAGAAACTCCAAAGTCAGATTTGTACCCTCACTCTCCATATTCATTTATATGTAATGTCACATCTTATAGAGCCTTTATTGTCTCTGTAATGGTTTGGTTCTCTCACTGATTACAATGAGTGCATCCTAATTAATCTCCCTGTTTTAGACCTGACCCCATTCACTCAAGCCATCTCCATATGCTGCTATAATGGCTTTGTTCATTGTAAATATTATGTAAATATGTCAACAAAAATATTTCAAATAGTGCTCAAAATTATTTAATATATTTCTCTAAAGTTCAAGATAAAAACTATATACCTCTAGATCAGCAGTCCCCAACCTTTTTGGCATCAGAGACTGGTTTCATGAAAGACAATGTTTTCACCGAACTGGGGTGGGGGAAGGGTATGGTTTCAGGATGATTCAAGCGCATTACATTTATTGTGCACTTTATTTTTATTATTATTACATTATAACATATAATGAAATAATTATACAACTCACCATAATGTAGAATCAGTGGGAGCCCTGAGCTTGTTTTCCTGTAACTAGACAGTCCCATCTTGGGGTGATGGAAGACAGCGACAAATCATCAGGCATTAGATTCTCATAAGGAGAATGCAACCTAGATTCCTCACATGTGCAGTTCACAATATGGCTTGTGTTCCTATGAGAATCTAATGCCACCCCTGATCTGACAGGAGTTGGAGCTCAGGCAGTAATGTGAGCAGTGGGGAGCAGCTATAAATACAGATGAAGCTTTGCTCAGTCACCTGCTGCTCACCTCCTGCTGTGTGGCCCAGTTCCTAACAGGCCACAGACTGGTACCAGTCCATGGCCCTAGGGTTGGGGACCCCTGCTTTAGATGACATTCAAAACCCATTGATCTACTCTGTTTCATTTCCACTCATCCAACTTTACAACTCCAGCTGTACTGATTACAAACTTTGCAGTTCCTTGAATTCAGTCAGCTTCCACTTCTGTGGCTGTCCTTCATTTTACCACCACCCTCCCCAAGTAGTTCAAAAGCCCTGTGTACCTGTGTATGTTTCTCCACCATAGCACTTACCACACAGCTTAACTTAGAACATTGCTCCACTCAGATGTTTCCTTCATTACACTGTAATCTACCTGAATGCAGAGACTCTTTAAAAAGAATCTTAAAGACTACAAGAAGAATATGACACTGTTTTAGATCCTAAGATTACAAGGAGAATATATACAGCACTTGCCATGTATTAGTCACTCAATATTTGTTTGATGAATGAATGAATGAGAATGTTACTAAACTTTCAAGAAGCATAGGATTTAGGACCCAGACAGAGTAACTAGGGAAGTTTTTACTCTCCATTTTAAAGTCAAGAGAATAGAGATAAGAAGAATACCCAGGGCACGTGGTTAGGAATTGGAGAAAGCCATACCTGAAACCCAAGTCTAGATGTCTAAACTGGTGTTATAGTTGGCAACATCATATTCACTCATTCATTTATAGATGATTTTACTTTTTTTTCTCTGCTCCAGTTCAATTGATTCTTTTCTCTGTCATCTGCATTCTGCTGTTGAGCCCATTCCTGAGTTTTCATTATCATTATTGTATTTTTAAGTTCTAAAATTTCCATTTGGTTATTTTTTATATATTTCATTTATTTGCTGATGATTTCTACTTATTTATGGAAACTTTCTAAAAAAATTGTTTTGAATGTGTTCATAATTGTTCCTTGAAGCACTTTTATGATGGCCGCTTTAAAATACTTGTCAGGTAGTTCCAAACTCTGTGTCATCTCAGTGCTGGCACCCATTGATTGTTTTTCTTATTCAGAGTGAAATGTTCCTGATTCTGCATAACGCATAATTTTTGGATCTTTGTGTAATGAGTAAATCATATCTAGACATCTCGGGTCTTATATTACATCTCGGGTCTGCAGATTACTGAATAACCTGATTTAACATACGCTCTTTGGGTGATGGTTATGCTGAAGCCCAGATTTCACCACTATGCAATATATACATGTCACAAAGCTGTACTTGTACCTTCTAAATCTATAAAAATAAAAATTAAAAAATAAACAAAAATAATAATCTGATTTAAATCTTCTGTTTTAGCAGGTCTTCTCTGACACTGTGCTGGTGGGCAGGGAGCCACCTCATTACTACCAGGCACAGGTATAAGTCCCAATTAATCTCCAGGTTCCCTTGATACCACATCAGCTGGGGGATGGCTCATGAATGATGGGTCAGGGTAATAATTCAAGCTCCCAAGAGGTTTTTACAACCTTTCATCCTAGATGAAAGGAGAAGGGCACTTTGTGACTGCTCCCCCATACCCTTCATGTCCTCCCACATGGCTGGGTGGGAGGACCTTCTTACCTCCTTACCTTAGCCAGAATGAAAGTTTCAGCTCCCCACATAAACTAATCTGACCCCACCAAGGGAGGAGGCAATGTCTGGGGCACCTTGCTACACCTTGGCAAGAGCAGAAATCTAGACTCTCCAGCAGGTCTTTACTGGTAAGGATGAAATTGAGGCCACACTATTTTTCTGGAGTGTTTGGCTGGATTAGGACAGCACTCACCTAAAAGTTTTCTGTCTTGCCATGCTGTCCCTTTCTTGGTTCTGTAGTCACAGAGAGAAAGTTTTTATTGGGGCTTTTTAAAATCTGTGCCTATTGGTGCTTCTCGGTTGCTAGCTTCTTAAGAACCCAGTGTGGGTTACAAAAAGAAAGAAAAAAAGAAAACCCAGGGAACTCATGGCCATGCCATTCCTCACATCCCCAAATTTCCTAGCTGGTTGACCTTCGCTCTACCTTTCAGTCTTCTTATGTGTGTTTGATATACAACATCCTAGGTTTTTTATTGTATTTGGCAGGAAGTATATTTTCTCTGTCTTGTCTTGAAAACAGAAGTCTCTAAATAACATTTATCAATCTTTTACTGTAGTCCAAGACTTCATATCATATATGTTAACAAATTTAATTTTAAAAAACCTTTCCCTATGAAGCAGGTATTATTATTAATCCCATTTTACATACAAGGAAACTCATCACAGCAACTTGCTCATGAAAGTCTGATTACAGAACCAAACCCTCAAACATACAATACTACTTCTATAAACAATACTCAAAAAACTTGAACTTGGAATTTTTTTTCAATTGTTGGCAACTTTAGAGTAGTTTAATATTGAAAATATTAACAACCTAGGATTTTCTTTTTTAAAAGTACCTTTAGACAATTTTTTTTTTAAACAAGAGTACCTTTTGGAGGAGGCAATATAAAGATCCAAATGAGGTAGGTTCTGTAGGCAATGTTACACAGAACTGCTGCAGGAGATAGCAAATCAGCATGGTCCAGAGGCAGTTACAGGTAATGAATCTACCAATATAAATTGGCTAAGCTTAGAGATTGGTTTACTGCGACTGACTAGACCAAGTGACCTGCAAGAAGCTGCCCAGCTCAAAGATTTGATTATTCTACTATGACAAGTTTCTTATTTCATTTTAAATAAAATCATTCCAGTAAAGGTCAATTGAATGCCTTCTATGTGCTGACTCTCTACTGTTCCTTCTAAATTCGTGGGCAGGTTTTAAATGGTTTGTCTCCCCAGATTATAAAAGTAACTAATGCTCACTGTAAAAATACTAAAAAATATACTTTAGAGTATTTCCTATTCTTTCTATATACAAACACACTTGTTATGTAGTTTCATAGTTTGCCTCTGTGTTGAGGACTACATTACGAGTTTTTCCCAAGGGCCTGAGGAATTCTCAAAAATTATGGTAATGATGGCATAATATTCCATTCAATGGCTATTCAATAATAAAATTAATCCTGTGTTGTTACTAATTCCCTTTCACAACATTGTCATTATTTTAAATGATCCTAGGATGATGTTTCCTGCAGACAAATATTGGTCACACTGCTTTCTAATTACATTAGCAGGCTACGTTCCCACAATCTAACACATGTGTGCACATTAAAATTGAATAATCAAATTGTTTTCTGGAAATACTGAATTAATCTATATTATCATCAGCACTCCCTGAATCTAACATGAGCATCTAACTCCTCTCAATGCAGATGACTCTCAATCTTCTCCTTTTTTTTTTTTTAGATGCAGTCTTGCTCTGTTGCCAGGCTGGAGTGCAGTGGCGTGATCTCGGCTCACTGCAACCTCCGTCTCCCAGGCTCAAGCAGTTCTCCTGCCTCAGCTTCCTGAGTAGCTGGGACTACAGGTGTGCACCATCAAACCCAGCTAATTTTTTTTTTTTGGTAGTTTTAGTAGAAATGGGGTTTCAACATGCTGGCCAGTATGGTCTTTATCTCTTGACCTGGTGATCTGCCCGCCTCGGCCTCCCAAAATGGTGGTATTACAGGCGTGAGCCACTGCACGTGGCCAATCTTCTCCAATTTGAAAAGTGAAACATAGTTTTAATTTTGGTTTCTTTGGTTACTATTATTAAGCCACACATGCCCTCCCCCACTTATGCTTCCTGCACCCTCACCTGCGCCCATGCACATGCACAGACATCACACAAACTTTTCTGGGCCTAGAGTGTAATTTTCTGAGATAGGAGGAGTTTCTCCATAGAGGATCCTGTACAAGATTTAAGACTTGTGGAACAGGAACAAGGCTCTATATGACTTCCGGAAAGTCTAGAAATCCTACTCTCATTGCCTCTTCTTCCTTAAACACTCATAGGAAGAAGGATTTTAGTAACCAAAACCTCCATTAACTGACAAGTGAAAAAGGATCTTTATTCAGATTCTGAAATGTACTTCACTCAACTACCGATATCTTGACACTCAGATGAGTGCATGTGTGTATATAAGTGTGTGTGTGTATATATATATGTATGTGCTAGAATATGTGTGTGTGTGTGTGTGTGTGTGCGTGTGCATAAAATAGAAGAGAATATAAAGCCAGGGTATGGGGAGAGCATATTTTCAACATATTTAACAAGGGAAAGACATATTTGCAATATTTAAAGTGTTTCTACAAATTAATAAGAAAAAACTTAAAAATCCAATAGGCAAACAATTTCAGCATGATATCCACTGATGAAAACAAAATGAAAATGACCAGTAAGTATAAAAAAAAAGATGCTCAACCTTATTAACAGTCAAGAAAATTAATATTAAAATTATAAGATGTCATTTGCCCCTCTGACTTGATATTAAAAAAATCATACATAGTTATAGTGAGAGTGAAGAGAAAACAGCATTCTCGTATAATGTTGGTGAGCAAATAAATTTGTTCAGCAACTTAGGAGGGCTCAAAATCAGTATCTATTAATATTTTAAATACATATTATGCATCGTTAAAGGAATGCAATGTATATGTGATATATACATATATCAATATGAAACAATGATCAAAATTAGCTTTTTACACAGCCAGAGCAAGTTGCCTGTGTATCTATGTTTTGTATTATATAAATGCACAAGCAGTATGGAAAAATGCTTAAGAAAATAATAGTGGTAAACTCCAGGTAAGAGAAAAATTGGAGGGCAGTAATAGAAAAGGGATAGTCTGTATTTTTATGTAATAAAACTTCTGTGTTATTTGAGTTATTTGAGCACGTATTTACATACTGAATGGGTGATTTAAATTTTTTTAAATAAAAAATATAAATTTTAATGGTCTAGCTTGCTTAGCTTTTGGTTTAACTGACTCATTACCTTAATAGTCAGCTTAATTATAATCAAATAAAAATATTTAAGTAAAAATATAACTTTAAATTTTTCTTCTGGTAAAAAGAAGCATTTCTTCCACTTATAACAACATCTAAACTCAGTTTTATGAAACTAAAATCTGGGCCATAAAAATTTTGCTTCTGCCTTTTATTTTCTCAACAGAATCAACCTCAAGCAGCTAAAAAGTCAATAATAACTGGCTACACAGAACCTTCAGATCACAAAGAGAGATATGCTATCAATCATCATTCCTGCTGTCTATCATGATTTTGGTTGCCTTCCTTCTAGGCATTTGTAAGATTGCACTTTCATACCCACTTGAAATGAGGCATGGCCATGTCGCTTTCTGTAGCCCAGGGCCTAACAAGAGAAGGAATGCAGGCAAAGTAGTCTCCAAAAGCCAGTGGGTACTTACTACATATCCTCCTCCCTGCCTCCCTGCCACAAAAGCCTGTGACATCCCAAATGTTGACTGTACTGTCAGCCTATATCTCTGAGTGAGGATGGATGGCCTGGGGCAAATCTTCCTAATAACCCAAGATCAATTTGTAGGATGAGCGAGAAATACCTGGGCTATGATGTACTAGGAAGATTTGGGGGTTATTTCTGCAGCATAGCCTAGGCTATTCTGACTGATATAAGATTCTTAAGATCTATCAGTTTCGGCAAATTCAAATAAACTTTGAAATTGTTGTATTTCATAATTTAAGAGGCAGAGGGATGCACTCCAGGGCAAATGAAATGGGTAGAATCTCAGCTCCTGTAAATAAATAGTCACTACAGAAATGTTAGATGTCCTTGTAAAGAAGTCAAAGATGCACCTTCATCATGTAAGCTCTCAGAGACAGGACTGAGGGCCTCCCCAAAGCGATCTGTAAAGAAGATAGCTTTTAAAATTCCTTTTGGACTTCTTATTTTACATAATTTTCTATTTTCTCCTATAATCACACCTGTGAATAGCCACTGCACTCCAGCCTGGGCAACATGGCAAGACCCCATCTCAAAAAAAAAAAAAAAAAAAAAAACTGGTAATTTTGCATTTGTCCTTGCCCCTTGCTCATTAATGCCTGCTAACTCACATCCAGCATAAAAACCTGGACTCAGCCCTTTGAGAGACTCTTGCTTGAATCTGATTTGTTCTCTTCTTCACCTTAGCCTACCCTGAGTCTTCGCTGTCTTTCCTAATGTTAACTTCACCCATTCTATGTTTGACTGTGGCCTTGTTTATCAAATTAGTGAGACTGGGGCATGTATTTGGTTCACACATTGAGCTAAGTCAGTGAACGTGTGTGGATATCTGAAGGGTTTTTAAGAGGTAGGGAGCCTGTCCTCCATGGTCTTGATCTCTGGGTGCCAGAAGTGGCTAGTAGTAAATGTTTACATGATTCTTCTCTTCCCATCAATTTTTTCATCACTGCCAATTTCCATCCTTCCCTTTTCTGAGAGCTAAAAATTTTTAATTTAAATATGTATTTACTATTCAAATATTATAAAAGGGAATAAGACTGATACTGAAAAAAAAAGTCTTCTTTCAGAGTGAATGATAGCCATTTTTCAGAGAGTAACGGACAGCTTTTAATCTGCAAATTTGGTTACTGAGCTACAGAAAGTTAAATTAGTAAAATCTAAAATGTTTCTCTCAATTCCACCATCCTCTCCCATTCCAATAACAAAGCTTAATATATTTTTAACAGTGTGGCCTATAATATGAAATTCTCAAAAAGTGCCATATCGCACTTTGTATGAAATAACTGTTGAAAGCTTCCTCCAACACAACCATATTTAGTTGTCATAATGTTGCAACTTTATCTGTGTTCTCAGTCACTGATTTCTGCACTTTGCATGTATTTATTATTAAATAACTGAAAAGTTCAGGTTTATATTTACTTTCTGTTATGAGCTTCCTTCTTAGAATAACATTACAATTTATTTCCTTGATGACCTCCTATATACATGGGTCTTCATCACAATTTATAAATAAATAAACAATAAAACAAAAGAACTTCAGGCTCTTTTTCTAAAGTAGAATCAACCAAAGCCAACATATTGGAAACAATTCAAAGATGAAGGCTACATTTGATTATCTATATACTAAAAAAAGGTGAATATATAATCTTTATAAAAAAATTCATTAACTCATAAGAAGACTACAACAGATTAGAATCCCAAATATTAACTATAATAATTTTTCTATTCAAAAGTGTTTCTATTTAATACATTTCATAATAATTTTCTATTGATTGGACCAGAGACTGTGAAGGAAGGGGAAACATTATAACTGGGAACATGTTCTCCACTCTCAAAACGAAGACTGGTTTGCAATAACTATGATAAGATGCAAAATGTGGCAAATTTCCTGACAGAGGTACAAACTAAGCATGATGAAAGCACATAATAAGAAAGAGATTAATTCTAAACTAGGGAATGTGGTAAGGAGCTGATGGATGTGAAAAGGAATGTAGTACAATGTTAAGGCCTGAGCTTTGAGGCCAACAGACTAGAGTTCGAATCTTAGCCATGTCATTTGCTAGTTATTTAAATGACTGCAGACAAATTAACATGTTTAAGACTTTCTTTTTTCATCTATAAACCTTAGGGAAAAATTTTAAAGAATTGTATCAAGACAATGCTATGAGCATTTAACACAAATTAACTCACTTAATCTTCATGAGGACTCTGTGAGGTAAATACAGTAGGTCTTCATTTAACATCATCAATAGGATTTTGGAAATGGAGACTTTAAGCAAAATGACATACAAGGAAACTAATTTCACCACAGGCTAATTGATATAAACAAGTGTTAAGTTCCTAGGGCATATTTCTGGTCACAAAAACATCATCAAATTTCTAAATAAGGACCCAAAACACTTCTAATAGTAAACACTGAAATAAATATGAGCTATCCATACATTTAAAAAAGATAAATAACAACCACTAAGAGCATTATTTACCCAATTATTCAGCTCAGGGTTGTGGGCGGCTGGAGCCTATCTCAGCAACTCAGGGGACAGGGCAGGAACCAGCCCCAGACAGGACACCATCCTATCGCAGGGCACAGTCTCACACACACACACACACACACACACACACTCTCTCTCTCTCTCTCTCTCTCATACTGGGACCATTTAGATATGCCAATTCACCTTATGTGCACATCTTTAGGATGTGAAAGGAAACCAGAGTACCCGGAATAATCCCACCCATACATGGGTAGAACATGCAAACAACACACACAGACAGTGGCGCTGCCCAAGAATTGTTCTTTTTTTTTTCCACTTCAATATTACAACAAAACAAAGTTGAACAAAATGCCGTTATTCAAGGACCTACTACATCCAATAATCCTCATTTTACATATGAGGAAACTGAGGTAGAGACAAGTTTCCTACCTGAGGTCCACACACAATGAGTGACACACTGGTATTAGTGTTAGTTGGGCTCTGAGTCTCAACTATTCTGTGTTAATGTGTTAATGTGAGAATGTTCATGCCTTCCACGATCGTAATTTTATACACATTTCATTAGCTCCTTTCAATAACCACATCAGACAATTACTATTATTACACACATTAACAGATGAGCAGACTGGCTAAAGTGAGTTAGGAGGGCATAGCTCTATGGTCACAGGTAGAATGGGCAGGAGCAGGACACAAGTGGAGGGTGATCATTTATAGTGTTTTGAAACAATGAAGTGTGTTGTGATAACAAAGATGGAAGCAGGGAGGTGTTTGAGAAATATGGAATACTGTAAAGGAAAATTTTAGAGGCAAACAGGAAAAGAGTAAGGAAAACGAATACAAAAGAAACCAAAGTTTTAGGGCCGGGGTCAGCAAACTACAACTCACATGTCAAACTGGTCCACTATGTGTTTGTGCAAAGAAAACATTATTGGAACATATAACTGATTTATGTGTATTCTCTGTGGCTGTTCTTGCTCTACAACAGCAGAACTGAGAGATTGCAATGGAACTGGTCTGGCCTGCAAAGCCAAAAATATTCAATCTGGTCCTGAAAAGAAAAGCATTCCCACTCCCTTCTCTAGAGCAGCTCTGTCTAGTAATTTCTGTGACAATGGAAATGTTCTATGTCTCTGCTGCTCAGTAGGGTAACGACTAGCCACATGTGTCTAACTAAATTTAAATTTAAATTAACTAAAATACAATAAAATTTAAAATTTAGTTTCTCCACCACAGTAGCCATCATATGAGTGCTCAATAGCCACACTTGGCTAATGCAACTGAGAAACTGATTTTTAAAGTTTAATTAAATTAAACAACTTTAAATTTCTACCATAAAGACACATGTACACATATGTTCACTGCAGCACTTTTCACAATAGAAAAGACTTGGAACCAACCCAAATGTCCATCAGTGATAGACTGGATAAAGAAAATGTGGCACATATACACCATGGAATACCATGCAGCCATAAAAAAGGATGAGTTCATGTCCTTTGCAGGGACATGGATGAAGCTGGAAACCATCATTCTCAGCAACTAACACAGGAACAGAAAACCAAACACCACATGTTCTCACTCATAAGTGGAAGTAGAACAATGAGAACATATGGGCACAGGGAGGGGAACATCACGCACTGGGGCCTGTCAGGGGGTGGGGGGCAAGGGGAGGGATAGCGTTAGGAGAAATACCTAATGTAGATGACCGGTTGATCGGTGCAGCAAACCACATGGCACATGTATACCTATGTAACAAGCCTGCATTTTCTGTGCATGTATCCCAGAACTTAAAGTATAATAATAACAAAAGAAGAAAAAGAAAATGGTACAAGTGCATGTCCGCTTTTAAGTATCCATGTTTTTTTGTGTACTTTTGTGTCCTCCCAGACTCTCTGCTTTCTGTAGGCAGGGACCACATGCTAGTTCATTAATGGCACACAACAAATGCTCAATGATTATTTTAAAATAAAAGCTTGTAAGTGTGAATAAATGTGAAATGTAATATACTCTCCTGACACATTCTCCTTACAAATTCTCTCCTGACACTTTCTCTTCTGACAAATAATAAAAAGACTCTTATAAGGTAAATAGTCAGTGCTCAGCAAAAACAATGACTAGCTCAAAAGACTACTGTTGCACAGAAACAGAGCAGGCTTTAAGTATTTTTAAGAGGGCAACATTTTGCTTTATTCACACAGTGATATCCCATCTGAATTACAGATACTTGGCCTTTGGGAAGTATCAACTGACTGTTCCAGGAAACTCTCCAAATTGGGTAATTGCTTACTTGGAACAGAATAATAGCCTTATGTTAATTTACCACTAGGGATATTGTTTTTGTGAAAGTACTTGGAAAGCACATCTCTCCATAGCACAGATAATTATTTTAACAGAGAAACCTGATGTAAAGACAGAGGCATTCCTTAGTCCCACCGATCCTTCCTACATGAGTATGTATACTCAGAATCTGGCCCCATCACACCATCTCTAGCCAGATTGTCCCATCTCGACATGAAAGGACAACATAGACATCTTCCGCCTTGCCAGATCATCTCGGATTAAAGCTAGGTGAATTGCCAGTGGTGAGAAATGCAGCCCACAGGAAAAAGAATAGAAAGAAAAGCTTTCAGGAAATCAATGCCTGTTATCTGAACTGAATCCACTGTCAGTGAAAAGACATGAATGAATGATCTTAAAGATTCTCCGGTTGTGAGTCATGCCTGACAGTAAATTCAAAGACGTTAAGGATACATTTTATCTTGTTTATTTGTATTCTAGAGGAAAATGCAGGAAAAACCAATAAGTTAAGTAAAAGGACATAGGATTTGGTTTAATCTAAAAAGGTAGAAAATGTAAAATGATAATTAGATTAATATTAAGGTTCAAAGTAAAAGATAAAAACATTTAGGTTTCAAAGCATAAGTATATTAAATTCAAATACAGTGCTAATAACATAAACTTAAAAGTAGAGTTTTTAAAGGAAAGCATGCTTCATCAGTCAGTCCTTTTCATAACACTTTAGGGACTCTCTTAGGAACAGTGGTCCCCAGTCAACCAATTCAGAAATGTCATGATGAGCTGGCAAAGAACCAAACTCCAAATGAGAGCAGGTTCCTAGAAACCAGACCTACAATCCAGAATGCCCCCAGGGCCACAAGTGGGTAACTTTGAAGAAACCTCAGAGTTATCCAGAGAACCAGGAGGGAGTGGAATGGAGGGTGTACTCTGCCTAATGACAGCTAGTATTTGTTGGAAAAAACAGAAGCATGTATTCCTGATGATAACAATAATGAAATGATGAACAAAGAAGGAAATGAGGAGAAGGAGAAGAAAGAGAAAGAGCAGCAGCAGCACGATGCAGGGGAGGAGGACCCCAACTAGCTGACCTGGTGTTAATGTTGCTCTGGTTAAGGAGAAATGGGAGGAAGACAGGAGAGCAATAGACAAGGATTGAAATTAATGTTTTCTAAACCTGAGAACTTTAGGACTATACATTTTTTCATTTTTTCATATTACATCTTTATCTTAACTATCCATTTCTTTCTCTTTCAGCTTATAACTCATGCAAAACAACATGCTGCAATGTTCTGATGAAATGCTCCTCTACAGTCGAGGCTCCCAGAAGGCAGAGAGCATATTCATTAACTCATTCTGCTCAACACTTAGCTCATGTCCATGGAGAGATGTTGAATATGAGCTCCTATTAAAAAGAGGGAATACAATCAATCATTTGAGAATGTCCAAAAAGAACTTTTCCTTTCCATCGAGCCTTACAAATTATTCTAAGATTGTTTCTGTAAATACCATGTAATTGGGAGAGATACACAGGGAGCGTCAATTGTGTCTGTAATGTTTTACTGCTTATGATAAAAAGATCTGAAACTAATGTGACAAAATACTAAGATTTCACAGAATTCAGTGTTGAGTGTCCTCTAAGTTATTATCTTTATTCTTCAAATATTTCATAAGGAAAAAGATGGTGGGAACTTACAATATTTATTATTTTTTTGGAGAATGGCTGGATAATATACATTGAAATCTGCTAAGAATTTACCAGAAGGAAGGAAAGAGAAACACACACACACACACACACACACACAGAGAGAGAGACAGAGAGAGAGAGAGAGGAAAAAAAAATATATCCTTGGAATGCCAAGCCCAAAGATGCAAGTCTATCTGCCGATTTATAAAAGCAAATAAAGAGAAACCATCTAAATGCCAATATGAAAGGATTAGGAAATATTTATATATTCACCCAATATGTTAAATATTCTGTATACATTAAAAATAATGAATTAGAAAAATGGAAAAAACACTTCTTACAAGTGAAAAAAAATGAGCTACCAAATAATATGGATGGATAGTACAATTCCATTTCTCTATAAGAACAGAAATAGAGATCCAGGGAGTCAAACAGATTGACAGACATAGATTCTTGATTTTTTAAAGGCATAACATCTACACATAAAATATAAATAAATAAGTGCAAAAACTGGTGAATCTGAATAAGACCTATAGCTTAGTTCATTGCATTATGCCAATGACAATTTTGATTTTAATAATGTACTATAGTTATGTAAGATGTTATTACTGGGGGAAGCTGGATTATGGATACAAATGAACTCTTTGCATTATTTTTGCAACTTCTTGTAAGTCTATAATTATTTCCAAAAAAAAAACACTGAAGGGAACTATACCTAATATAGCAAGATATTTGACTTTCCTGCATTTACCTAATTAAAATGTAAAGTAATACCTATTTTTACAGTGGGAAAAAAGGCATAAACCTACACTTTAATCAGAATTCTTTTTTTTTTTTTGGTGGCGGTGGGGACAGAGTGTCGCTCTGTCATCCAGGCTGGAGTGTGCATTGGTGCAGTCTCGGCTCACTGCAACCTCCATCTCCCAGGTTCAAGCGATTCTCCTGCCTCAGCCTCCTGAGTAGCTGAGACAACAGGCATGAGCCACCATGCCTGTCTAATTTTTTTGTATTTTTCAGTAGAGATGGGGTCTCACCATGTTGGTCAGTATGGTCTCGAACTCCTGACCCCAATTGATCCGCTTACCTTGGCCTCACAAAGTGCTAGGATTACAGCCGTGAGCCACTGCGTCTGGCTCAGAATTATTTCTGAATAAATAAATGCCAGTGAAAGTAATTTAAACATAAGTCTCAATCCTAGGCCTTGCATTTATAAAACCTCTCCCTTGATAATTAAATCACACTACATCTCCATCTAATGTCCAACCTATACCTTGCACCCAAAAAAAAACCTTAAACACACAGACACAAACATAACCTAGACATAGCCTCAAAGATAAATCCAACTACACTAAATAGACACCATTGGACATAACTTTAATGCTAAGCAAAACATAAAACTTTTATCCTTTTTTTCCTAGCCTTATACTCAAAATAATCTGAGAACAATGTTACGAAGTACATCTTTATTATATTTTTGTCAATTACCCCACTATCTCCAACCACATTCCTAGATGAAACGTTTCCCATTAACATTTTGATAATTTGAAACGTGAATACAGTGCAGCCTGCTCAATTATCGAAGATCTCATTATCTAGCTGGTGCTAAGAAACCCATTATCTCCCTTTATTCTCTCTTTTCTGATTTGTCTTTCCCTTGCCTTCCTGCTTGTTTTCACCTCCAACAAAAAATGAGAGGCTGCACAAAGGGATAAAATTAAAATTAGTTGTTTTTTTAATCTATTAAAGGATTCATTAGTTAGAAAATGGCCACTGTTCACCAAAATGGAACGCTATGTGCTCTAGTTTTTCACACCTCAACAATCAAAGGCAATTCAGAGTAGAACTGATTGTAGAATAAAATGGATTTTGTTACTCTTATTTTCAGAAAATAATAACTAGATAATCCATATCACTTGTTATTACTCTTCTTTTATTGAACAGGAAAACGAATGCTATTTTACTATAAGCAAAATGCCCTTTTTCCTCGCTTGATGTGTAACATTGTTTTTTAGAGTTAAACTCTATCTGGACTCTCATCTTGCACCTGGAATAGTGCCTGGTCCATAGAGGTCATTCAGTAAATATTGGATGAATGAACAAAATAAAGAAGAAACAAATGCATTAACAAATGAATAAACTCCAGGGCTAAAAAACAAAATAAAACCCACTTTTATAAATATAAAAGGCTAACAAACATATATGTGTATGTATATATTTATGTATGCACAGCTCGTTTTTAAATCTGTAACACTGGTATTATGAGGATAAGATAGGATTAATTGGGGAGGAAACGTGACACAATGAGAAACTGATACACTCTCAAGCATAGTAAGTCTGTTTTTTCATCCTAGATCTGCTATCTCTGCATGGCAAGTGAGCATTAGCAAGTTACTTAACTTTCCTTAAATTCTTGAGAACTCAGGATGCTTTTAAGAAGTTAAATTACTATGGTAAAAGGTGATGCTGTTATTATGTACCAACATGTTTTGTATCCTGTAACATTTTAACATACACATACACAGGTATGCACACTTAGAGTAAAATCATCTTTTAGAATTTAAGAGATTTTGATCTAAGAGTGGTATTATACGATTTCCATCAAATACTGTCTTTGAAATATTTAATTTTTTAAAACCCTCCTTATTAAAGTATTTTTTACTAATGATAAACTTGAAAATTAATATTTTTATAAATTAAGTAAACCAAGGTAAGAGAAAATTTCATCAAATTAGGTCTACTAAGCCTGTAATTACAAATTACATTTTCAGACTGCTCTTGAAATATTCTAGCGAAGTAAAACGATGCTCATGCTAGACATATGTAGGAGATCTTGAGCAGTCAAGACCCAATATTTTTAAATAATAATAAAATCAGTTTTATATTTTTTCTAAAATTCAAGCTTTTAACAGATCAAGATAGGCTTTTACTCTAATATATTAAAATTTTATCATAATTTATGATAACATAAATGCATTCTAATTCAACATTTTTATATGATTGCTATCACTTTTTCATTCTGTGATTTTAATTTTCTTAACATATTTACTAAAAGATGACAATCTGATAACATAATATCAACCCAACTCTTAATCTGAGATCCTTGGAATCTCATATGTGCCTAAGAGGCAACTTTTCCAGTTCATTCTCATATAGGAACAGTCAGCCCTCCATATCCACAGGTTACACATGCACAGATTCAACCAACCGTGAATCAAAAATATTTGAGAAAAATTAATTTTAAATAACAATATAATAATTAAAAAATACAAATTTGAAAAATACAGTATACCAATTATTTACATAGCACTTAATTGTTTTAGGTATTACAAGTAATCTAAAGATTATTTAAAGTATATGGGAGCATGTGCATAGGTTATATGCAAATATTACACTATTTTATATAAGGGATTTGAGCATCTGCAGATTTTGGTATCTGCAGGGAGTGGGTGGTGTTCTGGAACCAATCCCCCACATAGGTGAAGTATTTCCCTACCTTCCCTACTTGCAGTATATATGTATTTGTCTTGATAAATGGAAACCCATGGATTATAAAATATCCTCTACTACAGCTTAAGGATCAATGAATGAGCTAAGGAGAGGCAAAGGAAGCCAACTGCCTCAAAATAAAGCTTAGACCCAAAGCTTAGATGACAAAACTTCAAACTCTTTGGTTCCTTGATAGAGGATTTGTGGATTATTTGAGGTTCTGATTGGATAGATGATTCAGGTAGTATCTACCTGCAATTTATATAAAAAATCAGATTTAGGAGATGGATTAGAAGGTAAATCTGTATATGGTGAAGTTTTTAATGTCAGTTCAACTGATATATACAGAAGGCTTTGTGCATTCTGCTGCGAAGATCACAAATGTAATTTAGACCTGAACCCTACTCTCCTATTACTGAGTGGTGATGTGTCAAATTATTGGTAGAAGTATCAATAGAGCATGAGCTCACATAATAGATGTGAAGTGACAAAATGTAGATGAGCATTGAGCATTTTTGCCAAATTTGCTTAAAAGAAAACAAGATTGAAATGCTTTTTAGGAAAGAACCACTAAAGGTTTTAAGATAAAATCCCTAGAGACATTGAAAGGCGACGAAATCAAAAAGACATGTGCAAGTTGGCTCTGGGAAAACAGTGAGGACTTACATTTCTCTAAGATAAGAGGAGAGTGGAAAACACACAGAAACACAGAGAACAAATAAAGCAAAGGGAAGTTAAATCCCGATTAACATTTTTAAGAATGCTACATTGCTCTCATGCTTTTTCACTCTCTAGGTTCTGCTATGTAAAACAGAAGGTAGAGAGCATAATTACAACTTATAACTGAAATTAGGCTCTACAGTGTGACCCAACTGGGTTGAAAAAACTAAGTCCACCACTGTATAACTTCGGACAAGCCACTTATCTTTCTGTGCATTTGTTTACAGTATTATAAAAATGCATTATAAGAGTTGTTGGGAAGATTCAAAGAGATAATATACATATAGTGATTAGCATAGGGCCCAACACAAATCAAATTCTTCATAATTAGTACCAAAACAGCAGTACTATAGTCTTTGCCATTGTCATTGTTTTGTTATTATTACTATCACCATTATCATTATTGACGATAATACATCAGGTTACAGAAAGGAATGACTCAGTAACAAGCTAGAGAATAATCACATGTTAGTTTCCTTCTCATTCTATTACAGACTCTGCACATATATTTTTGACTCATCCCATAAACACTCAAAGGAAGCATTTAACATTTTTAGATCATTTGTTTTCCAAAGTTTGGCAATATCTATGGAATAACACAGGTGAGAGACACAACTCATTGACCTTGCACTGGATTCCTAAAAAATGGGATATTATTAGAACTAAGGGAGCCAGTTGCAATGCAATTTCCAAGAAATATATCTCTGCACTTAACATATGCCATTAATCAAGGTTTCTCCACCTGCATATCTTCTGCTTGAAAATGCAGAAGGGAATTAGGATCAAGATAAAAAAGAATGAAAGAAAAATAAAAAGAAATAGTACACATCAACGTATTTAAAAGTAAATAAAACCAACAACTTAACATATAAAGAAATCCTATTTTTTTATTGAGAGGTTGGAGGAGTAAATTTCCAAGTGTTCATAATTAGACAAATTAATTAGGCTATTTATCATGTTCTTATAAAAATAACATTAAAGCATACTATAAGCAATGAATAATGTGGTCATTATAGATTTTCCTTAAGCCAGAAAATCAACAGAGTAGTTTTAAGGAAGAGATTAATATTGCTTTCTATTGTCCAGGAAACATTTCTAAAGAAGCTGTCAACTCATTTAAAGCTCCCTTCCTCCCACCTTTAGGACTGTCATACACAATAAAAAATTAAAAGTTTATTTTTTCAAAGAACAGCTATTTTTTATTCCATATCTAGAATGTTTTTGAGATGTAGACCCAAACTTTAAAAACTCTTCTTATATCACTATTTAAAAAGAAAAGTAAAAACTTTAAACGGTTTCAGAGGAGAAGAGTTAAAAAATTTTTAAAAATCTAAAATTAATTGAGACTATTTTCAACAAGCAATAGAATATATTTAGGAGCACAGATGCTAAATTCAGCCAGCCTGGGTTGAAATCTTAGCTCTGCTATTTACTAGTTTTATAAGTTTAGGCAAGTTTCTTAAGAAACTGTATTTCCAAACCCTTTAAACAAGAATAAAAATTGGCCCTGCCTCACAGAGTTGTTATAAATATTAAACAAATTAAAACACTTAGTATTGTATCTAGCGCATACTATGGAGACAATAAAAAGCTTAGTTGTTAGCTGTTTTCATAACAGCTGTTTTTATGATAACAGATAATAAAAAGGTTAGCTATTTTATGATATACCTGACAATGTTTATGTACTTTAGCAGACTAAATTATCCCAACAGTCATAAAGTTATTATTTACCCCTCAATCAGTAAGGACAGGCTGGATTATGCCATACGGTAACGATTGCAAAATCTCAGTAACTTGCAAAAATAAATGTTTATTTCTCACTCACGCCACTCCATTGTGGGTTCAGGTAGACTCCCCAAAACATTGTCATCTATACGTTTTTGCTTAGCAATCCAAACTGCTTCTATTCTACATGTACTTCCAAATGGCCATGGTAGATGAGAAAGAACTAAGAATTGAAGCTCTGGCAATTAACTAAGTGAAAAGCCTTGCTCCTCTTATTGCAGTGGCCAAAGCTAATCGCATAATCACGTATATGTGGGGAAGACCAATCTTCCTACATATTAGCAGAAGAGAACAGACGAGAAAAGAAACAACACAAAAAATAGTAATACCCATCACAGTATGCATTTTATAATTCTTCCGTATTATAATTATTTGGACCAAGATACTGTTCAAAGAGTAGAGCCAAGATTTTGAACCAGAAATCAGTTTGTTTTCTCCACTAACTAATTCTCAATACTTTTTCCTCCTAACCACCAAAATTAGGGTATCCAACAAATCCCATTGATAAGAGTGGCAAATTTCATCTGTACTTAAGGAGGGAGAGTTGGGAGGGAGAGTTAGAGGAAGGCACAGTCTAGGTATTTGTGGTTTATTATAGAAAAATACTTGCCTCTCAATTGAAAATCAATGGAATTCTATGAAAATAAGAAAAAATGTATGGAGAGAATGCAAAGTGAGATTAGCGCAAAAGTGGACTTTTCTAAGCTCCCATGCACTCATTAGATTAAAGTTATTTAGCAAATGGACAATAATACGGAGTGACTAATTTTTTTTTTAGTCTTACTAAATTTTTCTACAGATATCTATACTGGCCAGATCTACAGTAGAAATTAAGCATTCTTTTTCTTCCTCCTTCTTTTCTTCTTCTTCTCTTCCTCTTTCCTCCTTCCTCCTCCTCCTGCTCTTCTTCTTCTCCTGCTCCTTCTTCTTCATCTTACCAAATTTATTTTACTTAACTGCTGCATCCACTTAGCAATGACACCTTGAAAGATTATACTTGGCAAGTGTTGTTATTCTACCATAAACACCTTAAGAGAAGGTATTCCTATTGTCCAGAGTCAGGTCATAAGTCAAAGACCTACAGACTTTAATTGCTTTCCTCCCTCTTAAGGCAATTAATGTTTTAAATTATTAAAGCCATATAATTAAACTCTGTCCCTCTCTAATTTAGTATTTGAAAGACCTTCTGTTTTTTACTATCCTCGTATTTCCAATTGGACTCCTTCAAACTCAAAATTCACAAATTTTAATTTTCCTAAGATATTATAAAAATAATACCTATCCTTTCTATGCACTGTTCCTTACCTCATTCAACTAAAACACTGACAAAAACAAATATAATTAATACCTTTAATATAACAAGTTCCCTATCCACGTAGTTTAGATAAAGGATTTGAGCTCCACATTCACATATACTTGAAACTGTAATTTAGAGAGGTTATTACATTCATATATATAATTGCAAAGATTCATTAGCCTCCTACACATTTTTCTTACAAATGTCACACCACAGTGGAAAGCAATGATCTCCCTCATGGAGTTGCAGCTTGTTGCTTATGAAAGTAGAATAAAAAAAAATAAAAAGAAGAAGAAGAACAAGCAAACAACTTCAACCACTGGATTTTTTTTGTCCTTTCAACTAATACTATATGTGGCATGACAAAAGAAAAGTAAGCCACCTTTCAGGCGGTGATAAGAGTGTGGATTTTCCCCCAACACCTAGTAGTTGATCAGTCACAGCCGATTGAATTTCCATTGTTCATTGATTGCGCCATTTGCCAGGCAATCCATCCTTGCTTATGTAATTGCAGCATTCCTGTAGTTCACTCTGTTCTGTCCTGAAGGTTCAGCAGCATGACAGGCTGAGAAAATTAGATACGGCACAGTACCAAGCTGCTGACCTTCAGAATATAAAATAAGGCCCATCTTTTAAAACTGGTCTTTCTTGATGAGGTTATTTTGAGAGGCCTTATTTCTAACAGGCAATTTTTCATGCCAAGCAGATACCTTCTTAAAATATTTTTAAATCTATAAAATAATGATGATTTTATATTTTAAATATACCTTTACTGTGTACAACGCTATGAATAAATTCATTTAATTTAGAGTTTGTCAAAAGGAGAAAAATTCTTCCTCTTTATATAACACTCTCACCTTCAAACCAGAATTAAATGTAATTTTAAAAATATCTGACAAATACTGAATTTCCCAAACAGTTTAATGTAGCTGAGCATTTGTTTGCCAAAGAGCCAAAGTTCAATAGGGGGATTAAATTGCTTTCTGGATACATAAAATCCCCATTATATTTGTATTTATTTTCCTTTGAAGCAATCTCAAACTCACAGAAAATTTGCGATTACAAGATAAAGTACTTTTTTTTTCCCTTTGAAACATTTACTGACATGATGCCCAAGAACCCTAGAATAATTTAATATGTAATTGTTATAAATAAGGACATTCTTCTAGAGAACGATACTATAACCATCAACTTCAGGAAACTAATATTGACACATTACCACCATCCAATCCTGAAATCCTGTTCTGGCTTCTTACTTGTCCTCAAAAATATCAATTATGGTGAAAATATTCAGAAACTACCTTTTGCATTTAATTCATATCTCTTTGGTCTCCTTCAATTTAGTAGCCAAAAATCTTTTTCAGGTTGGCCAAGATTTGGCAACCTGCCTTCGGAACAGTTCCCTTGATATTTGGAGGAAAAGATTCTGGGCTTAGCCACTGGAGCTATTAATACTAACCCAGGTCTAGCCTCTGCTAACTAGCTGTGTGGCCTTAAGATTCAATTCCCTCATATGTAGAAAAGGCATGATAATACTAACTTTGCAGCATCTGGGGAAGGAATAAATGGAAATATGTGACTCTACTGTATAGTTGATAGTTCAGAGAAAGGACTCAACAAATATTCATTATCTTTTCCCTTTTCAGCTGCTTCCTTATCCTCCCTGTCAGACTCACAAACAAATATTGAGATATTTAGCTCACTAGAATCACTGTAGTATTTAAAAAGAACAAACAGATCTACTGAGTACTCTTTATACCAATTCTGAGACTTTTGCAACCTGTTTCTTTCAGTAACTTGTAGCAGCAAAAGCAAAAAATTAACATAAGAAACCACACAAAGTTCAACTTGCAAAAACAAGGAGTCCTGTTGAGCAGTAGGCTTCAAAACAAGCAAAATTCCCTTCATTCCTATTTCATAATTTCTTCACTTCTGCATTTAAACATAGATTTCTTCTTAAAGGGAGGAGAGGAAATAAGGAATGAGGAAGAAACTTATTTTACTTGACCCAGATACCACCATACTGCCATATATTATCCTGTTTCATCTTCCTGTCACTGTCGAATATCCTCATGGAATGTTTTTGCCTATACCAGTTCACTCTGTAATGTGCTATTCTGGCTTTGGCCCTTATCTCACCATTGATATCATATTATAGAAAGTCATCAAGAATCTCTGAGTCACAGCAGATATTTTTTTGATTTTCAATAGCCTCAAAGCATCTCTAGAGCCCTTGACCACTATTTTTATCTTTTCTCTCCTTTACAATGCATGACACTAGAATATCTTGCTCTTTCTTTTCCTCTTTCTTTGAATGTCTCATCCATTTCCATAGTTTTTTTTTCTCCCACTTTTTCCCAAAGTTCAGTCCTTACTATTTTCCTCTTCTCTTCCCTTTCTTTCTCTCTTTCACTTCAACTTTCATAAGCTTCTACCTCTCACCTCTTTAAGATTTATACTAAAATCTATAATTCTACATCAAGTTCTCTCCCAGTTTTCAGCCTCGTAACTTTAATTGCCCCATCAATTCCTCATCTGGACATTTAAGTCAGATTCTTACAGTTACCATGTCTTTACTTCCCTGCATCCCGCTGCCAAAAAGTCACTATGTGTAATTTAATTTTTATTCCTGAAGTTCCTCTCTTTCTACACCTCCTGCTATTACCCTAGTTCATTAGTCACATTATTTTATGTTCTCATTACTCCATGTTTCCCAATATCCCTCATTTCCCAACCTACCAAGAAATATTGAAATCTGAAGTCAAACTTGGCTTCTGATAATACTTTCATCCTATCACCTTCTTAACAAAATGTTTCCATGGATCATTACTGCCTTACGAGGCACTGCAAACAAAAATGATCACAATGGAAAAGTTAATGGCTGGGACAGGCAAAGTATAATGCAATAGGGGTGAGGACAGTGAATAACAAACAAGCACATGCACCATTTAAAGGATCAGCAGCTGCTCAGTTCCAGCCGAGTGTTGCTGTGCAGGAATACTGACCCATCGCCGACAGACATTCCGGGTTTTTGTTGTTGTTCTTGTTTGTTTTTTTGAGACAGAGTCTCACTCTGTCACCAGGCTGGAGTGCAGTGGCACAATCTTGGCTCTGACTCCCTAGATCAAGCGATTCTCCTGCCTCAGTCTCCCAAGTAGCTAGGATTACCGGTGTGTGCCACCACATCCAGCTAATTTTTGTATTTTTAGTAGATATGGGGTTTCACCATGTTGGCCAGGATGGTCTGGATCTCCTGACGTCGTCATCTGCCTGCCTCAGCCTCCCAAAGTGCTGAGATTACATGCGTGAGCTGCTGCGCCCTGCCCATTTTTTCTTCTTTAAAGAGGAGACCAAGGGCCAGGCACGGTGGCTCATGCCTGTAATCCCAGCACTTTGGGAGGCCGAGGTGAGCGGATCACGAGGTCAGGAGTTCGAGACTAGCCTGGCCAACATGGTGAAACCCCAAATCTACTAAAAAAAAGTACAAAAATCAGTTGGGTGTGGTGGTGCACATCTGTAATCCCAGTTACTTGGGAGGCTGAGGCAGGAGAAATGGTTGAAGCGGGGAGATGGAGGTTGCAGTGAGCAGAGATCATGCCATTGCACTCCAGGCTGGGTGACAGAGTGAGACTCCGTCTCAAAAGAAAAAAAAAAAAGACCAAAAGCTGAATTTTTTACAGGAAATTTAGATTTTTATATTCCAATATTTAAATGCCAACAAATTAAACAAACAAAACTTGTAGGTCAAACAAAGCCTACCTGCAGGCTTTCAGCCCTGCTGTGACCTAAGAAGTAAATGCAAATGCCTTAGCTTGCTACTCCAAGCCTTTTAAAAGCAGGCTGAAACTATTTTCTGAAAGTAAGTCCCAGCAACTCAGACAAGCCACTAAAAGCCAGCTGGTCTACTATAACTATCCTCTAAGGACACTTGGCTTTTCTTACCTCTATGTTTTTGTCATCTTGTTCCCTGAACATAAATGACTTTCCTCCTAAGTCCTACTTTAAGATTCACTCTAAATGCTACCGCTTCCCCTCAAAACTTATTGGACCACATTAGCTCACGGGAGTATTTCTTTCATATTCCAAAGATAATCATATCTAGTTGTATGTGTCAGGGACAGTCCTAGGCACTTTACAAGCTTCTCTCACCCAATTTAATCCTTAGAAATAGATACCGTCATGATTCTAATTTTGCAAATAAAGGTATTGAAGCTTTCTCAGAGTAAGCGGCAAAGCTACGGTTGAACTCAAGCCTGTATTGACCCAGTGAAGAAGAAGGAATAGGAAATTTACATTTTGGTCATGTATTACCTGACAGGTATTATATGCCAGGAAAAAATTTAAAAATCCTTAACATAACTCAAAAGACCATTCACGATATGGCTCTCTCCTTCCATCTCAAGATAATTTTCTGTCATTTCTTAAGTCCCAACCGAGTAAACCTTCTTTAAGTTTCTGGAACTTACTAAACATGTCTACCTCATGGCCTTTGCATATGCTATTTTCTTTCCCTGGAATGTTCCTCCCCACTTCTCACATGTCTAACTCCTACTCATTTTGATCTCAGTTTAAACATCATTTCCTCTAGACCCCTCTCATGATCCTTCTAAAGAAGACAGTATCATATCCCCCAATAAAGGCTGGATTACCTAGCATCTACTGCAACTCTAAATAGTGTTCATCATGTTGAAAACCAGATATGCATGTTCTCACTTATAAGTGGGAGCTAAACACTGGAGACATACAGATATAAAGATGGGAACAATAGACACTGGGGATTCCAAAAGGCAAGGAAGGAGAGAGGAGGCCAGGGTCGAAAACCTACCAGGTACCGTGTTTACTATCTGGGTGATGAGTTCAATGGAAGCCCAAATCTTAACATCACACAATATGTCCATATAACAAACCTGCACATGTACCCCTGCATCTAAAATTTAAAATTAGTCTCTTTTGTAATAATTTAATGCATGTCTTTCACGCTGCTGTGTGGTGAGTTCCTTCACTATCTCTTTCATCATTTTCTCTGTACTGTACATGCAGTGGGTGAATGATTGATGTCCTTTAATTCTTAAAAGCCATTTTAAGACTTGGCAGGATTAAACAACCTTAATCTCAGCTAGTAAGGAATTCAGATCCTGCATGTTGAGAAACCCACAGTATCTTGACTACAGAAATGTTAGCCAAGCTTAAGTTATTTTCTAATAATCTGCATTTAGTTAGTCTTTTCCTTTTTGGTTTATAGTCACTGTTAATACATATTGATTTCTAAACAAATGGTATATGAGAATCCTATCATTGAATGTTGTTTAAATAAAAGTAAACTAAAATTGGATTGCAATGCTTCCATAGAAAGAGATAAATTGATGGCCCAGAGAGTCAACCACAATATATAATAGAAAAGTGAATTGACTAATCCTTCAGAGAGTGGCAGCTGGATTTCAATTTCAGGACAGGCAGCAGGATGTCTATCCGGAGAAAATAACCAGAAACTTCCACTTTGTTGTTCCAGGACTGAAGAAATTACTATGATTGCAGTTCTCCACTGAAGTCTCTCTAATAGAGACTTTATTACCCAAAGAGCCAGGTGTTAACAATATGGAGTAACCACCAAACTGTGAGGAGAAGCAATCACGTATAAACCCCTAAAGCACCTACCTGTAATTTGGATTTGTTTTTTGAAGGTCTTAGAAATTACAGGACTGGAAATGCATTTAATAGAGTCATTCACTACAATGGAAGTTCCCTTCCATATATCGCCCTTAAAGATTTATTCTCCATGTCTATATTACTGCATGCATAGAATATTGCACAGCTTATGTCATTGTGAAAGCTAATATGCAATACTATTTATATGCTGAGACTTTTGATAAGCCTGTGGGTTCTGAGGGGAGTTTACTTTTGTGAACAACAAACAGACAAGCTTATAATGAAGAATCGCTCTTGCCTCTGGGAAGCCGAAGGGCATCA
This sequence comes from Homo sapiens, assembly GCF_000001405.40. Classification (NCBI taxonomy): domain Eukaryota; kingdom Metazoa; phylum Chordata; class Mammalia; order Primates; family Hominidae; genus Homo; species Homo sapiens. The sequence continues at coordinate 81,081,047 of NC_000012.12, read as the reverse complement.
GAGACTGTGACTACACATATGCCAGCTCCACAGAGGAGAGAACAATTAGCTATAGCAATCTCGCCTTGTTTTGCTTAAGCACTTGGCTGTCAATATCTCCCTTCTCCAGATCCCAGCTTCAAAGAAAGTAAGTAAAGCTCCTTCACACCAAATTGTGCCTAAATCCACTTATCACCTCCCAAAGAGGTGTCTTGTTTTATAGCAACAAAAATCATCAAAGCTATGTATCCAGTTAGTTGACTCTCACTTTAAAAATTTATATGCCAGCTCTGCCTTAGATCTTGCGGATATAAAGCCAAACAAAATAAAAGTAAATTCAGTCTGCCCTTCTGTTTGGCTTTGTGGAAATTTGCTAACCAATCAGGACTATCTTCATTTAGGTATCCAATGCAGTCATAGATTCAAATTGAAACTACTGACTAACTGAAATTTAAGATTGGTCTCCTACGTCTACTTCCCTCCCAACCCTGCTTGCCCAACCAGAATTCTTTTAAGATTGAATCGCACTGCTGAAATAAATAGAGTCAAAGTTTTATCACTTCTTCACTTTGATTTTCTGGGCATGAGTTCAAGACTGAAAAGATAAAGAATTCAGATACGGTGTTATCAAATTGTGATCTATAAAAATATAGTGACCCTTTCACAAAATTTCTCATTAAACACATCTTATACACACCATTTAAAAAAATGTAGACAAGCAACTAGATATTACAAAGAAAAAGCAAATTATTGAAAAGGAAATCTCCTGGTCTTAAGCTCTACTTGCTGGGACATTGACACTCACTTCCAAAGCTCTCTCCTGGGCCTTTGCTGATCCCTAATTGTCCTCTCGAATCACTCCAATCTGTCCTTTCTCCTCCATTCTTATTGCCACTGCCTTAGGTCTGGCCCTCACTGTTTTTCATTTAGAATATACCTGTGGCTTCTTAACTGAATTCTCTGCACATTAGTTTTATAATGGAGATGGCCACATAAAATCATTTATAGTACCATATTTTATGACAGATATTTGTACACAGAACTTTGAGAAACAGTGATGCAATAATCTCTGTGCTTTCATCTGAGGAATACTAGGAGAGTTTCCTGCTCCTAAGATAATTATGGTCTGAGAATACAAAGAGAGCTATTCTTCCTCTAACATGTATAGGGTCTAGTGTATAAAGACATAGTCTTCATCCTTTACTAAGTTAAGCCTCCAATTATTTCCATATTTGCATTTCAGGAAAGTGAAACACAGAGAGATTAAGTCACTTGACTGTGAACACACAGTCAGTAACTGTGAGAAGCCAAACTCAGACCAGGTAGTCTGGCCCCAGAGTCCATGCTTTTAATCTTTATGACTTCTAGAAAGCAGGGACTAGGTTTTACTCATTGTTGAACACCCAGTGTCTTGTTCACTGTCTGGCACAGAAAAGAGGACCGATCAAATACTATTGAAAAAATAATTGATAGGAAGGGGCAAGGTGCTCAGATTCTAAAGGGAACACCATGTCATCCCCACACACTTTTGAGAGGACTGGGCATGGTGGAGACACAGAACAGGCTCTAGCCAATTCCATTCCAGATTTCTTGCTCTGACCACAGAGCCATTCGTCCACTGCAAACCTGACCATATCATTCCCCTCATCTCATTGCTGAGCAGTGTTTTTCAAACTTTTACAGGAAACATCCTCTCTAATGGCTGGCAGATGAGAGCAATCACACCCCCAGAGGGCAGACACATAAGGAGCCACACTCTAAGAGTATCACTGACTGTGCTTCACCCTCAGTATCTTAGCAAGCTTGATATTTATTCTACAATGTGTCTGCGTTTGTTGTAACGCAAAAAAAATCATGCTTATAACTTCTTATAATTCCAACTCCAGGTGGAAGACTTTACTCCTACCATGACTTCTAACATCACCTGGCCTATATCTATCTGTATTCTTTCTGGGTACCCCATACTGCAGCTTCATATACACAACAGGCCTATGGATCTGATCCAAGCTACTTAGCACAGTACATAAATCCCTTCCGGACCCAGCCCCTGACTCACCACTTCCCCTCCCACCTCTCCAGCCAACACAATCATTGGCAGTCACTGTCTCAGTCACAGTTCAAGCTGTTGTTCACCTCTAGAACTTTGATAATTAGGGCCTTGTCGACTTCGAGAAGACATACCCATCCTTCCAAACCCTTATGGGGTGCGATTTTATTGAAGTCTTTTCTTAACCCTCCCTCCCCATAGTAGGAGGATACTTAGTTATAATTCCCTAGTTTCTTGTACCGCTTGCTTTGTTTACCTAGTATCTCCCTTACTAGACTGTGCGGTCCCTGGAGGCAGGATCTTGTTTTAGTTTTCTTACTATTCCCACTGCCAAAGCAGAACCTTGCCAGTCAGGTAAATCTCCCGTTTATGGGACACTGGGTTCACAATAGGTAACAGGGTCTCTCAAGAGCAGAAGGCAAGAGAACTGACTATGAAATTGAAATGAAACACGAATTGAGGGGTCTGAACACATCTCCAGTTTCAATTTTCTTTCGTGATAGAATGCCAGATTCCAGGTCCCAGGGAGGTCCTGGCGCCCAAAAAGTTACCAGGGATGGGGGATCAGGGTTGGCACAGAAGTCACTCACCACCTGGTAGAGGGCGAGTGTTTGTTCTCCAGCGTTTTGGTCCAGGGCTTGTACCAGCTGATCTGCTCGGCAGCTTTGCCCCAGAACCTCTCGGGGTCGGTCACCGAGGCTGCGAAGTGGGTCTTGTACTCGCTGCCACTGCCGGAGGACAGTGCCCTGCATCCCCGGCCCCCGAGACCGCCCCGCGGGCCCGGGACCACTAAAGCCCTGAGGGCCGCACCGGCTCCCCGGGCCGGAGAGGACCCAGGCAAGGGCCCTCCGAGCCCCCCGGCGCTGGTGACTTTACGACACTGCAGCCAAGACGGTTTCATCTCCTCCGGCCACCCGCGGTCCCCGAGTGTGCGACAAATGGTACTCTTGCAACTTCCTGGGGCCTGAGGGAAGGGAGTAGGGGGCGGGGGCAAATTCCGAAGTGAGCCCAGAGCCCAGAAGTTTGGAAGCCACACTAGAGTCGCCGGGAAAAACCGACCTGGAGCGACCAGAGAAGCAACAGGCTAAAGTGGGGGCCCCGGGACAGGGGTGTCACAGCGCCGTTGCAGCAGGTTAGTTGCGCTGCTGCACGAGATCCAAACCCCAACATGCACTTCCAACCCCGCAGCCTTCCGGGAAAAATCGCGCTCAAACTCCAGAACGTCCTTCCGATTTCAACACACAAGTACTCCTAGGAGGAGGCCAACGGCCCATCTCTCAATTTTCAATCCAGCAGTTTGTACACGGCTGGTTTAATCTTTGGAAGGTCGTTGGTGGAGGTGGCATCGCCTCTGACCTGCAGGAAACCAGCAACTCGGTGCGTTGAGGCAAGGCTCTTTGATTGTTATTTATTGATTGATTGATTTTTCAAAATCAGCTCAGTCCCTGGTTACTAAAAACACAAGCAGCTCCAGGGCAAGGACTGCTCCGGGATTTCCTGACCACTGAGAGGGTAGGAGGAGTGGAAGGAGGTTGTGCCAGACAAATTGGGAAGTGCTTCTTGGGGTGATTGACAGGTCACAGGGAAGGTGACCCCACTGGGATGCGGATTCACCTGCTGACCAGACTCCGCATGTGATCTAGACAGAGAACAGATAGGACTTGTTGCATTGCCTCCCTTCTAATTTGCCTGCTTGGAGTTTCTGTGGCTTTTCTAATGAGAAAACAAAACAAACAAATAAACAAAAAACAAAAATAGGAAGTAAGTAAAGATGAATCAAAAGAGGAAACTGGGAAAATGTAAAAAGAAAGGTGGTATATAGTACTGTCTAGGTTTAACATTCGTCAAGCTCCGCTATTATTCATGCTTTAGCGAGATTCAGATGCAATCTTTTGCCTTAATATTATGCCAAACACATTCTGTCTTGGTGTGACAGTATTTGCAGTTTTAAATGTAAAGATACGTATTTCCAAATCTGAGGTGAGAAATAGTGGCATGCCCCTGACCTTGGGAAGGATCATAACTTGAGAATCCGTAAACAAATGATTCTGCAGGAAAAGAATAATGTGGAGATAAAGGCTAAACAGAACAGAGGTAAGTGCAATGCAAAACAGAGAATATTTCTTTAAATAACCACCTCCCTTTCCACTGAGAGGCAAGGCACTAGACTTTTCCCTGACATCTGCAGTCTACTTTAGTCCTTCCAAAGGTCTCAAATCAAATAATGTCGAATGGCCAAAGACACAGTCACCATTTAAATCCAGAGAAAGTTACAAAGCCATTTAACCTCTTCATCCTTCCAGAACGACAGATTTATTATTGGCACCTAGCATGTGTTCACATTATACTGGGCACTTTAAACAAATGTTAGCTCCTGTAATTCTCATGAAAGTACCAAGAAGTGGGAATCATAATCCCATGTTTACAAATGGAGCTAGTATAGAGATAGATCGACTTGCCCAAGGCCACGCAGCTAGCAAGTGAAACAGTCAGGATTCAAACTTTATGGATGCCCAGTATTTCAAAGCCCAGATGCTTTGAATTACAGATATGCCGTGATACAATTTACTGACACCTCAAGGTGGAGGGCTAGGGGAAAACCCACTCTAATCCTGTCACTCACTCCAGGATACTGTGCAAATACGATCATTTTATCTCTGTGCCACAACTTGAACAAGGAGGGGAATCTGACTCCAAAGTCCACCATTTTAATTCCAGGCTGAGTATCTTCTACTTTAAAAAAAAAAAAAAAATCTTAGAATTCCAGTAAAATATGACAAATTGAATAGCCACATTCATTCTTCTCCTTAAAGAAACTCCACTGAAAGAGAATCAAAGAGGGCGGTTGTCGTGGTAAAAATCCTACAAGGATAAAGAGAACAGGAAAAGAAAAGAAACCAAATGAAAGAATAGAAAGAAGATGAATCTGTGGAATATGATTTAAAAGTGGGAGGAGGAGCTTGTGGAGGAGAAAATAGATTTTCCTAAGGAGAATCCATTTTCTCCTTAGGAACCTGGTATGTCTCAAGTTTTGGAGGTGCTGGGTTCCTCTGAAGGTTCAGAAGGAAGTATGAAGTTCAGAGCTTAAAAACAAGGAACTGATTACAAGATCACATGAGGCAAAGTTAGACCCCCGTATCGCCAGATGAAACCACTTTTTCTGGACCCATCAGTATACCATTTTTTCTTTTGAAAGTAATTGTATACAATAGATTGTTACTGTAAGCTCCATTTCAGGCTGAAGGGAGAGCATAAGTGTAGACACAATCCAGCAAATGCAGTGGGTCTGGTTTTGAGAGTGTTCAGTGTACAGGTAGAGCAAGCAAGGCCAGTGGAACTAGAAGATTGTACTGGACAAACAGCCAGACAGACGAGTGTAAATAGTGTCAAATGCAAGTCAGTACCTCAGGATAAACTATTAGCCTTTAAATTAAGACACCAAGAGCCTGTTGATTGGTCATTAAGCATATGAAAAGATTAAAATCATGAGCCATGAAGTCTCAGGTTGAATCTTATTACACTACTGCCACTTATTAGGTGTGAAAATTTGGAAAGTTAATTTTCTGAACTGCAGTTTCTGCATCTGTAATCTGAAGCTGATAATCTTACTTCACAGGATTGTTGCAAGGTTCAAATATGTGTAAACTGCTTAGCATTGGGTCAGTAGCAAGCCAAGCTAATTTAGGACAGCAGCCAAGCCAGTGAACAACCAAATAATCTAAAAATTCAACCCTGCAAATTAACATACCTAAAATTTAACAATCAGAACCTCTCAAAAGAAACAATTTTAATTTAAGCATGTATATAAATTCTGTATTATTTCAAAAAATAAAATTATATTTTTAATTAATTTGAGGTACAAGGTAATCACAATCTTTTCAATGGTTAAGCATGCTAAAACTCCAGCTTATTAATGCATAGTATTTATTTCATTGTATGTCATAATGGTATAATTAATATGCTATTCAGGATGGCATTTTAAAACATCATAAGCAGATTTATTGACAAAATTATTTAAGAGAAGCATTCTAGCAAATGGAAAGAGCAAAATAATGGAGACAGTGCAGAGAAAGATCAGAGAGAATAAAAAGGTGTGGAAATTTGCTCAAGAAAGAATGAAGGGAGGGGAGAAAACTGGAGTCAGAATACTTAATGCCTGCTGAGGCAGGCGGATCGCCTGAGGTCCAGAGTTTGAGACCAGCCTGGCCAACATGGTGAAACCCCATCTCTACTAAAAATACAAAAATTAGCCAGGTGTGGTGGCGCAGGCCTGTAATCCCAGCTACTCAGGAGGCTGAGGCGGAAGAATCGCTTGAACCCGGGAGCCGGAGGTTGCAGTGAGCAGAGATCGGGCCATTGCACTCCAGCCTGGGCCACAGAGCAAGACTCCATCTCAAAAGAAAAAAAAAAAAAAAGAATACTAATGCCTAAGGAAAAAATGCTGAAATACAAAGGAAGAACAGAGTGGAACTATAATTAAAAGAGAGAAAAGATATAAGGATCCTACAATCCAATTTTTCCCACTTTACAATCTTTACCAGGTTTGGTCATCACTAGCAGAGGTTAACGTTTTTACCAGAGAGAGAGAGAGAGAGAGAAAGAGAAAGAGAAAGTAGTTAAATTGTAACAATTTTAAAATAATGCATTCTGCTGGCCACAAAATTTATATTTTCACCTAACTATTTTAAGAGCCAAATGTCTAACTACAAGTATTAGAGCTACTAAAATGTTTGATTGTGGCTGGGCGCAGTGGCTCACACCTGTAATCCCAGCACTTTAGGAGGCCAAGGCGGGCAGATTACAAGGTCAGGAGTTCAAAACCAGCCTGGCCAGTATGGTGAAACCCTGTCTCTACTAAAAATACAAAAATGAGCCAGGCGTGGTGCTGAGCACCTGTAGTCCCAGCTACTCGGGAGGCTGAGAAGAAGAATCGCTTGAACCTGGGAGGCAGAGGTTGCAGTGAGCCGAGATCATGCCACTGCACTCCAGCCTGGGCAACAGAGCAAGACTCTGTCGCAAAAAAATAAAAAAAAGGTTTGCTTGTAACTTCCATGCTTCTGGTTTCTTGAATATTTTGAAAACTTAGCAAGTATATGTGGAGGGGTTTGCATAAAGTACTTCATCTGTGCAGCAGGGCTGAGCTGAAGTTTGCCCCTGCAGAAACACTGCAAGTTTATTATGATTTAACAAAGGGTTTCTGGAAAATATACTGATTTTCAGGGCTTAAAAAATAGCTTTTAAATGTCTAAAATGAAATCATACATAGTAATAAAATTGTAGACTCCTATTTTGAAACTTTCTTTTTATTCCCAAATAGTAACTGCAGTTAAAAAAAAAAAAAGAAGAAGAAGAAAAAGGCAGATGAAAGAATCATTTTAAAACATGTAACATTCCAATAGATGGGAAGGCATTCTACAACTCCAGTTCATTCTAGCAGCCAAATATCCTCCACTAATCTTATTTTTATTTCTGAAAAAACAAAACAACTGAAAGTTATTTCTAATTAAAAAACATATTGGCCGGGCGCAGTGGCTCATGCCTGTAATCCCAGCACTTTGGGAGGCCGAGACGGGAAGATCACCTGAGGTCGGGAGTTTGAGACCAGCCTGTCCAACATGAAGAAACCCCGGCTCCACTAAAAATACAAAATTAGCCGAGTGTGTTGGTGCATGCCTGTAATCCCAGCTACTCAGGAGGTCGAGGCAGGAGAATTGCCTCAGGGAGGTGGAGGTTGCAGTGGGGCAAGATCATACCATTGCACTCCAGCCTGGGCAACAAGAGCAAAACTCCATCTCAAAAAAAAAAAAAAAAAGAACTAACAAAAAAAACCATATCTAGTTACTTCTATTTGAGAAAAACATGAAGGGAACAACGACGTAGGCAAATATTTTCAATAAAAATTACTAATATTTTAATCAAATAACCCAAATCCTTAAAAGGTGATTTTAACTCTTTTGCAGAGATAATTCCAAAAGAATTATCTCGTTTCTGTGTCTGTTTCATATTCCTAACTAATACCACTGTGTGGTACTCAAATACTGGCAATATAACTTTAAATATATAAGAAATTATCTCATTATCATGGTAACAGATTATGAAAAGAAAAAGAAATGCCCTTTGTTATAATATTTTTCATAAAGTGTAGTTGATTGCCTAACAATTTAGGTTGCCAATTTATATATGCGTGTGTGTGTGTGTGTGTGTGTGTGTGTGTGTGTGTGTGTGTGTGTTTATGTGTTTAGGGTAGGATATATCACACTTTCTTCATCCAGTCATCCACTCATGGATATTCTGCTTGATTCCATATCTTTGTTATTGTGAATAGTGTTGTGATAAACACACGGATGCAGGTATCTTTTTGATACAGTGGTTTTTTTCCTTTGGGATTATAGGCAGTAGTGGGGTTGCAGGATCGAAAGGTAGTTCTATTTGCAGTTCTTTAAGAAATCGCCATACTGTTTTCCAGAGAGACTGTACTATTTACATTTCCACCAATAGTGTATAAGTGTTCCCTTTTCTCCACATCCTTGCCAACATCTGTCATTTTTTATCCTTTTTAATAATAGTCTTTCTGACTAGCATAAGATGGCATCTCATGTAGTTTTAATTCACATTTCTCTGATGATTAGTGATGTTGAGCATTTTTTTTCATATGCTTGTTGGTCATTTGTATCTCCTCTTTCACACAACATATGTTCATTTCTTTTGCCCACTCTTTAATGGGGCTATTTATATCTCGTTTGTTTGTTTTGTTGAGTTGTTTGATTTCCTTATAGATTCTGGTTATTAGTCCTTTTTTCAGATGCATAGTTTGAAAATATTTTCTCCTATTCAACAGGTTGTCTATTTTCTCTGATGATTCTTTATTTTAATGTGAAGAAACTTTTTAGTTTAATTAAGTCCCATTTGTCTATTTTTGTTTTTGTTGCATTTACTTTTAGGTCTTGGTCGTGAATTCTTTGCCTAGGCCAATGTCCAGAAAAATTTTTCCTAGAAATTCTTCTCGTATTTTTATAGGTATAGTTCCAGGTCTTACATTTAAGTTTTTAGTCTATCTTGAGTTAATTTTTGTATATGGTGACAGAAAGACATTCAGTTTCATTCTTCCACATATGGCTTTCCAACTTTCCTAGCAACATTTATTCAATAGAGTGACCTTTTCCTAGTGTGTGTTTTGTCAAGTTTGTCAAAGATCAGTTGGCTGTAGGTATGTTGCTTTATTTCTAAGTTCTCTATTCATTTTTCTGATCTGTGTGTCTGATTTTATACCAGTATCATGCTGTTTTGCTTACTACACCCTTGTAGTATAATTTGAAGTCAGGTAATGTGATTCCTCCAGCTTTGTTCTTTTTGCTTAGGAATGCTTTGGCTATTTGGGCTCCTTTCTGGTTCCATACGAATTTTGGGAATTTTTTTAATTTTGTGAAAAATGACATCAATATTTTGATAGGATTTTCATTGAATTTGTAGATTGCTTTGGTTAATGTAGTCATTTTAACAATACTGATTCTTCCTATCCATAAGCATGGGATGGTTTTCCATTCATGTCATCTATAATTTCTTTCATTAGTGTTTTCTAGTTTTCCTTGTGGAGATCTTTCATCTCCTTGATTAAATATATTCCTAGGTATTATATTCTTCCTATTTTTTAGTTTCTTTCCCACTATTTTAAATGGTCAGCATTGATTTTTACAATTCTCTATGTTGTGTATTTTTCATTTATCATTTCCAATACAGGAGGAATAATTGTTTAAAGACTTTTAGAGAGTTCAGATCAAATTTGTTGTATTTATTTTTGCTAATTTGACTCCACAAAGTGCATTAAAATCTTTGACTTTGTGTGTAAGCATTGGTTGTGTACATAAAGATAATAAAACTTTTTCAATAAATGGAATGATGTCCACTTAGTAAAACTGTATTTGTGAAAGATAAAATTTCTCAAGATCTCAGCTCTTTGGGTGACTGCATATGTGGTGATGACTCATAACAGTTTTTGATTGATCTTGCAAAAAGACTTATGTTGTCTGCTGTAGTATTTCAAATACCAAAGTTAGAAACTTGGGTGCACACAATTACCAACCATATTGGCATGCATTTATACACTTTGCTTTTTAACTTATTTCTTTAAAAATATGGTTCACCTTCTTATAACTGTTATACCTGTGCAAATGTTGTTAGTATATCTTAGTGTTTATGCTTCCAAAAAATGTATTATTGTTATCTGTTTTATTGCTTAAAGTGGCCTATAATGTGTTCTGTAGGTTTTATTTTAATTATATATATATATATATATTTTTATGATACTTTAAGTTCTAGGGTACATGTGCAAAACGTGCAGGTTTGTTACATATGTATACACATGCCATGTTGGTCTGCTGCACCCATTAACTCGTCATTTACATTAGGTATATCACCTAATGCTATCCCAACCCCCTACCCCCACCCCACAACAGGCCCCAATGTGTGATGTTCCCCACCCTGTGTCCAAGTGTTCTCATTGTTCAATTCCCACCTATGAGTGAGAACATGCGGTGTTTGATTTTCTGTCCTTGTGATAGTTTGCTTAGAATGATGGTTTCCAGCTTCATCCATGCCCCTACAAAGGACATGAACTCATACTTTTTTATGGCTGCATAGTATTCCATGGTGTATATGTGCCACATTTTCTTAATCCAGTCTATCATTGATGGACATTTGGGTTGGTTGTAAGTCTTTGGTATTGTGAATAGTGCCACAATAAACATACGTGTGCATGTGTCTTTATAGCAGCATGATTTATAATCCTTTGGGTATATACCCAGTAATGGGATTGCTGAGTCAAATGGTATTTCTAGTTCTAGATCCTTGAGGAATTGCCACACTGTCTTCCACAATGGTTGAATTAGTTTACACTCCCACCAGCAGTGTAAAAGTGTTCCTATTTCTCCACATCCTCTCCAGCGCCTGTTGTTTCCTGACTTTTTAATGATCACCATTCTAACTGGTGTGAGATGGTGTCTCATTGTGGTTTTGATTTGCATTTCTCTGATGGCCAGTGATGATGAGCATTTTTTCATGTGTCTGTTGGCTGCATAAATGTCTTATTTTGAGAAGTGTCTGTTCATATCCTTCGCCCACTTTTTGAGGGGGTTGTTTTTTTCTTGTAAATTTGAGTTCATTGTACATTCTGGATATTAGCCCTTTGTCAGATGAGTAGATTGCAAAAATTTTCTCCTATTCTGTAGGTTGCCTGTTCACTCTGATGGTAGTTTCTTTTGCTGTGCAGAAGCTCTTTAGTTTAATTAGAGCACAGTTGTTAATTTTGGCTTTTGTTGCCACTGCTTTTGGTGTTTTAGACCTGAAGACCTTGCCCATGCCTATGTCCTGAATGGTATAGCCTAGGTTTTCTTCTAAGGTTTTTATGGTTTTAGGTCTAACATTGAAGTCTTTAATACATCTTGAATTAATTGTTGTATAAGGTGTAAGGAAGGGATCTAGTTTCAGCTTTCTACATATGGCTAGCCGGTTTTCCCAACACCATTTGTTAAATAGGGAATCCTTTCCCCATCTCCTGTTTTTGTCAGGTTTGTCAAAGATCAGATAGTTGTAGATGTGTGGTATTATTTCTGAGGTCTCTGTTCTGTTCCATTGGTCTGTATCTCTGTTTTGGTACCAGCACCATGCTGTTTTGGTTACTGTAGCCTTGTAGTATAGATTGAAGTCAGGTAGCTTGATGCTTCCAGCTTTGTTCTTTTGGCATAGGATTGACTTGGCAATGCAGGCTCTTTTTTGGTTCCATAAGAACTTTAAAGTAGTTTTTTCCAGTTCTGTGAAGAAAGTCATTGGTAGCTTGATGGGGATGGCATTGGATCTATAAATTACCTTGGGCAGTATGGCCATTTTCACGATATTGATTATTCCTACCCATGAGCATGGAATGCTCTTCCATTTGTTTGTGTCCTCTTTTATTTTGTTGAGCAGTGGTTTGTAGTTCTCCTTGAAGAGGTCCTTCACATCCCTTGTAAGTTGGATTCCTAGGTATTTTACTCTCTTTGAAGCAATTGTGAATGGGAGTTCACTCATGATTTGGCTCTCTGTTTGTCTGTTATTGGTGTATAAGAATGCTTGTGATTTTTGCACATTGAGATTGTATCCTGAGACTTTGCTGAAGTTGCTTATCAGCTTAAGGAGATTTTGAGCTGAGATGATGGGGTTTTCTAGATATAAAATCATGTCGTCTGCAAACAGGGACAATTTGACTTCCTCTTTTCCTAATTGAATACCCTTTATTCCTTTCTCCTGCCTGATTGCCCTGGCTAGAACTTCCAACACTATGTTGAATAGGAGTGGTGAGAGAGGGCATCCCTGTCTTGTGCCAGTTTTCAAAGGGAATGCTTCCAGTTTTTGACCATTCAGTATGATATTGGCTGTGGGTTTGTTATAAATAGCTCTTATGATTTTGAGATACGTCCCATCAATACCTAATTTATTGAGAGTTTTTAGCATGAAGAGCTGTTGAATTTTGTTGAAGGCCTTTTCTGCATCTATTGAGATAATCATGTGGTTTTTGTCATTGGTTCTGTTTATATGCTGGATTACTTTTATTGATTTGCATATGTTGAACCAGCCTTGCATCCCAGGGATGAAGCCCACTTGATCATGGTGGATAAGCTTTTTAATGTGTTGCTGGATTCAGTTTGCCAGTATTTTATTTAGGATTTTTGCATGGATGTTCATCAGGGATATTGGTCTAAAATTGTCTTTTTTTTGTTGTGACTCTGCCAGGCTTTGGTATAAGGATGATGCTGGCCTCATAAAATGAGTTAGGGAGGATTCCCTCTTTTTCTATTGATTGGAATAGTTTGAGAAGAAATGGTACCAGCTCCTCCTTGTACCTCTGGTAGAATTCGGCTGTGAATTTTTCTTGTCCTGGACTTTTTTTGGTTGGTAAGCTATTAATTATTGCCTCAATTTCAGAGCCTGTTATTGGTCTATTCAGAGATTCAACTTTTTCCTGGTTTAGTCTTGGGAGGGTGTATGTGTCCAGGAATTTATCCATTTCTTCTAGATTTTCTAGTTTATTTGCGTAGAGGTGTTTATAGTATTCTCTGATGGTAGTTTGTATTTCTGTGGGATCAGTGGTGATATCCCCCTTTATCATTTTTATTGCATCTATTTGATTCTTCTCTCTTTTCTTCTTTATTAGTCTTGCTAGTGGTCTATCAATTTTGTTGATGTTTTCAAAAAACCAGCTCCTGGATTCATTGATTTTTTTTAAGGAAATTTTGTGTCTCTATCTCCTTCAGTTCTGCTCTGATCTTAGTTATTTCTTGCCTTCTGCTAGCTTTTGAATGTATTTGCTCTTGCTTCTCTAGTTCTTTTAATTGTGATGTTAGGGTGTCAATTTTAGATCTTTCCTGCTTTCTCTTGTGGGCATTTAGTGCTATAAATTTCCCTCTACACACTGCTTTGAATGTGTCCCAGAGATTCTGGTACATTGTGTCTTTGTTCTTGTTGGTTTCAAAGAACATCTTTATTTCTGCCTTCATTTCTTTATGTATCCAGTAGTAATTCAGGAGCCAGTTGTTCAGTTTCCATGTAATTGAGCAGTTTTGAGTGAGTTTCTTAATCCTGAGTTCTAGTTTGATTGCACTGTTGTCTGAGAGACAGTTTGTTATAGTTTCTGTTCTTTTACATTTGCTGAGGAGTGCTTTACTTCCAACTATGTGGTCAATTTTGGAATAGATGCGATGTGGTGCTGAGAAGAATGTATATGCTGTTGATTTGGGGTGGAGAGTTCTGTAGATGTCTATTAGGTCCTCTTGGTGCAGAGCTGAATTCAATTCCTGGATATCCTTGTTAACCTTCTGTCTTGTTGATCTGTTTAATGTTGACAGTGGGGTGTTAAAGTCTCCCATTGTTATTGTGTGGGAGTCTAAGTCAATTTGTAGGTCTCTAAGGACTTGCTTTATGAATCTGGGTGCTCCTGTATTGGGTGCATATATTTTTAGGATGGTTAGCTCTTCTTGTTGAATTGATCCCTTTACCATTATGTAATGGCCTTATTTGTCTCTTTTGATCTTTATTGGTTTAAAGTCTGTTTTATCAGAGACTAGGATTGCAACTCCTGCCTTTTTTTGTTTTCCTTTTGCTTGGTAGATCTTCCTCCATCCCTTTATTTTGAGTCTATGTGTGTCTTTGCATGTGAGATGGGTTTCCTGAATACAGCACACCGATGGGTCTTGATTCTTTATCCAATTTGCCAGTCTGTGTCTTTTAATTGGGGCATTTAGCACATTTACATTTAAGGTTAATATTGTTATGTGTGAATTTGATCCTGTCATTATGATGTTAGCTGGTTATTTTCCTCATTAGTTGATGCAGTTCCTTCCTAGCATCAATGGTCTTTACAATTTGGCATGTATCTGCAGTGGCTGGTACCAGTTGTTCCCTTCCATGTTTAGTGCTTCCTTCAGGAGCTCTTTTAGAGCAGTCCTGTTGGTGACAAAACTGCTGGGATTACCTAGCACATATTGGCCAGGCATGGTGGCTCATGCCTGTAATCCCAGCACTTTGGGAGGCCGAGGCGGGCAGATTACCTTTCTCTCTGGTTGCCCTTAACACTTTTTCCTTCATTTCAACCTTGGTGAATCTGACAATTATGTGTCTTGGGGTTGCTCTTCTCGAGGAGTATCTTTGTGGTGTTCTCTGTATTTCCTGAATTTGAATGTTGGCCTGCCTTGCTATGTTGGGAAAGTTTTCCTGGATAATATCCTGAAGAGTGTTTTCCGACTTGGTTCCATCCTCCCCATCACTTTCAGGTACACCAATCAAACGTAGATTTTTGCTTTTCACATAGCCCCATATTTCTTGGAGGCTTTGTTGTTTCTTTTTACTCTTTTTTCTTTAAACTTCTCATCTCACTTCCTTTCATTCATTTGATCTTCAATCACCAATACCCTTTCTTCCACTTGATCAAATCGGCTATTGAAACTTGTGCATGTGTCGTGAAGTTTTTGTGCCAGGGTTTTCAGCTCCATCAGGTAATTTAAGGTCTTCTCTACACTGTTTATTCTAGTTAGCCATTCATCTAATCTTTTTTCAAGGTTTGTAGCTTTCTTGCAATGGGTTCGAACATTTTCCTTTAGCTCGGAGAAGTTTGTTATTATCGACCTTCTGAAGACTACTTCTGTCAACTTGTCAAATTCATTCTCCATCCAGCTTTGTTCCATTGCTGGCGAGGAGCTGCGATCCTTTGGAGGAGAAGAGGCACTCTGATTTTTAGAATTTTCAGCTTTTCTTCTCTGGTTTCTCTCCATCTTTGCAGTTTTTTCTACCTTTGGTCTTTGATGTTGGTGACCTACAAATGGGGTTTTGGTGTAGATGACCTTTTTGTTAATGTTGATGCTTGTTGTTTCTTTCTGTTTGTTAGTTTTCCTTCTAACAGGATCTTCAGCTGCAGGTCTGTTGGAGTTTGCAGGAGTTCCACTCCAGACCCTGTTTGCCTGGGTATCACCAGCGGAGGCTGCAGAACAGCAAATATTACTGCCTGATCCTTCCTCTGGAAGCTTTGTCCCAGAGGGGCAGCCACCTATATGAGGTGTCTGTCAGCCCCTACTGGGAGGTGTCTCCCAGTTAGGCTACATGGGGGTCAGGGACCCACTTGAGGAAGCAGTCTATCCATTCTCAGAGCTCTAACGCCATGCTGGGAGAAGCCCTGCTCTCTTCAGAGCTGTCAGACAGGGACATTTAAGTCTGCAGAAGTTGTCTGCTGCCTTTTGTTCAGCTACGCCCGGCCGACAGAGGTGGAGTCTAGAGTCAGCAGGCTTTGTTGAGCTGTGGTAGGATCCACCCAGTTCGAGCTTCCTGGCCGCTTTGTTTACCTACTCAAGCCTCAGCAATGGCGGATGCCCCTTCCCCAGCCAGGCTGCTGTCTCGCAGATCTATCTCAGACTGCTGCACTAGCAGTGAGCAAGGCTTCATGGGCGTGGGAGCCACCGAGCCAGGCATGGGAGAGAATCACCTTGTCTGCCAGTTGCTAAGACCTTGGGAAAAGCACTGTATTTGGGCGGGAGTATCCCGTTTTTTCCAGGTAGTCTGTGACAGCTTCTCTTGGCCAAGAAAGGGAAATCCCCCAACCCCTTGCACTTTGGCTTTTTTTAAGCCCTGAAAATCAGTATATTTTCAGCCTCCCAAAGTGTATACACATTTAAAGCAGTGTGTAGAAGGTGAGGCAACACCCCGCCATGCCCTGCTTTGGCTTGCCGTCTGTGAGCTACACCCACTGTCCAACCAGTCCCATTGAGATGAACCAGGTACCTCATTTGAAAATGCAGAAATCACCTGTCTTCTACATCAATCACGCTGGGAGCTGCAGACTGGAGCTGTTCCTATTCAGCCATCTTGGAATACCCCTCTTTGTTTCTGTTTAACGTTTCTCTCCTGCAGATAATTTACATGGGAAAGACATGATCTTGATGATATAAGGAAGCTATATTTTAGAAGGGAGAAGGAGAGAGAGAGAGGGATAGCTTTAATAAGCAACTGATATTTTACTAAGGTTAAGATATTTCTTGGGCAGGCTCCATGCCCTGGGCCTAGAATAGCCATTGACTGTTCTCCAGTTTGTAAAATAATTATATGTTGTGACAGTAAATGAGGGACAGTTGGTATCATTTGACCACATTAAAATTATTTTGGTTTGTATATGACCCAACCCACTCCTTAAAAAGTTCAAAATGGGGTTTGAGATGTTAAAGTTTTATTGTCATTGTTGGTAGATGTTTGTATAGGACCCAACCCACTCCTTAAAAAGTTCAAAATGGGGCTTGAGGTGTTAAAGTTGTATTGTCATTGTTGGTAGATACTTCCCAAAAGCAGAATTCAAAAGGAAATGAGCAAAGACTGCAAATGGTTGAGAAATTAAGTGCCTGTTTAACCCACAAGTAAAACTATTAATAAAATAAAGATTCTAGAAGAAAGGGCTTCCTGAACTTGAATTAAGGGGGGATCCAGTACTGAAGTTCCATGAAATTAAAATGGAAATTAAAGGTGCAGTTATCTCTGTTTTTGAGATGTTGGTCACAAATGTCAGAATTAGTAGCAAATGGTTTTGGTAAAGATTATAATAAGGAGGGTTAGAACCCCAAAACTTTACAAGTATAAATAAGATAATATCTCTTCTTTTCTTGAAATCCATCCAATCGCTCTTAACTGAATTTAGTATAAAATCTAAACTTCTTTCCATAGTACATAAAGTCGTCATAATCAACCCACTTCTATCTATCAGACTGCATGTCACAACCACAATATGCTCCAACATCACTTGTTTAGTTCTAACTCCCATGTATGCCAAGCTTGTTCCCACCACGCAGACCTTGCCCTTACTGGTCTCTTCATCCCTCTATCTAAAGGGCTCTTCTCCTAGATATCTGCTTGGCTGATTTCTTCCTATAATTCACATCTTAATTTAAATATCACCTCGTTACAGAAATCATTGATTTGATTGTCACTTTGTTTTATTTTCATCTTAGTCCACACATCCTTATTTAGAATAATATTTATTTACTGTGTTACAATGTGCTAGTTCTTTATTTTCTATATCTGACCATTTGAAGATAAACATCATGATATCTGGCAAAAAACTGTCTGTTCTCTTGACCTTTGTATTCATATATACCTGATATGGCTCGGCTTTGTGTTCCCACCTATATCTCATCTTGAATTGTAATCCCCATAATCCCCATAATGCCCACATATCAAGGGAGAGACCAGGTGGAGGTAATTGAATCATGGGGGTGTTTTTCCCCATACTATTCTCATGATAGTGAGTGAGTTCTCACGAGATCTGATGGTTTTATAAAGGGCTCTTCCCCCATCACTCAGCACTTCTCCTTCCTGCTGCCTTGTGAAGAAGGTGCCTTGCTTCCTCTTTGCCTTCTGTCATGATATTAGTAAGTTTCCTGAGGTCTCCTCAGCCATGCTGAACTGTGAGTCAATTAAGCCTCTTTCCTTTATAAAATACCCGGTCTCTGGCAGTTCTTTATAGTAGTATGGGAACGGACTAATACAATACATGACATAGAGTTGACATTTAATAGCTCTTTGTTAAGGAGACTACCTGAATGAATGAACATCATACACTGAATTAATCATTTGGGCAAATATCCAAGCAGAGAATAAGAAGAGTCTGGGAGCAGGTGAAGATAAAGGAAGCCATTCAACATCTGAAAGGATTGGTGGAAGTCATTCAGGGCATGATCATAACTAGCAGGCTGAATCTTTCATAGGTAGAAAATCACAAAAACAGACAATTCTGAAACCTAACATCAGGAGAAAAACTTCAAGCATACTAGGGCTATTGAATTATTTCCAGATAGCATAGATGAATCAATTAATAATCCATTCCTTAGGTTAATCAATTTGAATACTGTATTAACTCTTTTATAGGATAGTAAGTTTTAGTTTTTGTAGCTTACAGATATGAGCCAATCAAAATCCTGAAATATATAATCCTGAACTTTATAATTTCAAATGTTAAATCCTGAAAATATGATTCTGCAAAAAAATTTTAAAATATTTTTAAAAGATATTTATTTTTATTTTTAAAGAAAGATGTATTTAAGAAACATGTTAAAACCTACAGAACGGGAGGCAGTTCCAAGATGGCCAAATAGGAACAGCTCCAGTCTACAGCTCACAGCATGAGTGACGCAGAGGACAGGTGATTTCTGCATTTCCAACTGAGGTACCGGGTTCATCTCACTGGGGCTTGTTGGACAGTGGGTGCAGGACAGTGGGTGCAGTACACTGAGCGTGACCTGAAGCAGGGTGAGGCATCGTCTCACCCGGGAAGTGCAAGGGGTCAGGGGATTCCCTTTCCTAGTCAAAGAAAGGGGTGACAGACGGCACCTGGAAAATCAGGTCACTCCCACCCTAATACTGCGCTTTTCCAATGGTCTTAGCAAACGGCACACCAGGAGATTATATCCCGTGCCTGGCTCAGAGGGTCTCATGCCTACGGACCCTCGCTCATTGCTAGCACAGCAGTCTGAGATCGAATTTCAAGGAGGCAGTGAGGCTGGGGGAGGGGCACCTGCCATTGCTGAGGCTTAAGTAGGTAAACAAAGTGGCCTGGAAGCTGGAACTGGGTGGAGCCCACCACAGCTCAAGGAGGCCTGCCTGCCTCTGTAGACTCCACCTCTGGGGGCAGGGCATAGCCAAACAAAAGGCAGCAGAAACCTCTGCAGATTTAAATGTCCCTATCTGACAGCTTTGAAGAGAGTAGTGGTTCTCCCATTACGGAGTTTGAGATCTGAGAACGGACAGACTGCCTCCTCAAGTGGGTCCCTGAACGCTGAGTAGCCTACCTGGGAGGCACCCCCCAATAGGGGCAGACTGATACCTCACATGGCCATGTACCCCACTGAGACGAAACCTCCAGAGGAACTATCAGGCAGCAACATGTGCGGTTCAGCAATATTTGCTGCTCTGCAGCCTCTGCTGCTGATACCCAGGCAAACAGGGTCTGGAGTGGACCTCCAGCAAACTCCAACAGACCTGCAGCTGAGGGTCCTGACTGTTCAAAGGAAAACTAACAGAGAGAAAGGCCATCCACACCAAAACCCCATCTGTATGTCACCATCATCAAAGACCAAAGGTAGATAAAACCACAAAGATGGGGAAAAAACAGAACAGAAAAACTGAAAATTCTAAAAATCAGAGCGCCTCTCCTCCTCTAAAGGAATGCAGCTCCTCACCAGCAATGCAACAAAGCTGGACGGAGAATGACTTTGACGAGTTGAGAGAGGAAGGCTTTAGACGATCAAACTTCTCCGAGCTAAAGGAGGAAGTTCAAACCCATCACAAAGAAGTTAAAACCTTGAAAGAAGATTAGACGAATGGCTAATTAGAATAACCAATGCAGAGAAGTCCTTAAAGGACCTGATGGAGCTGAAAACCATGGCATGAGAACTACATGACGAATGCACAAGCTTCAGTAGCCGATTCAATCAACTGGAAGAAAGGGTATCAGTGATTGAAGATCAAATGAATGAAATGAAGCGAGAAGAGAAGTTTAGAGAAAAAAGAATAAAAAGAAATAAACAAAGCCTCCAAGAAATATGGGACTATGTAAAAAGACCAAATCTACGTCTGACTGGTGTACCTGAAAGTGACAGGGAGAATGGAACCAAGTTGGAAAACACTCTGCAGGATATTATCCAGGAGAACCTCCCCAACCTAGCAAGGCAGGTCAACATTCAAATTCAGGAAATATAGAGAATGCCACAAAGATACTCTGCAAGAAGAGCAACTGCAAGACACATAATTGTCAGATTCACCAAAGTTGAAATGAAGGAAAAAATGTTAAGGGCAGCCAGAGAGAAAGGTCGGGTTACCCACAGAGGGAAGCCCATCAGACTAACAGCTGATCTCTCGGCAGAAACTCTACAAGCCAGAAGAGAGTGGGGGCCCATATTCAACATTCTTAAAGAAAAGACTTTTCAACCCAGAATTTCATACCCAGCCAAACTAAGCTTCATAAGTGAAGGAGAAATAAAATACTTTACAGGCAAGCAAATGCTGAGAGATTTTGTCACATCAGGCCTGCCTTACGAGAGCTCCTGAAGGAAGCACTAAACATGGAAAGGAACAACTGGTACCAGCCACTGCAGATACATGCCAAATTGTAAAGACCATCGATGCTAGGAAGAAACTGAATCAACTAATGAGCAAAATAACCAGCTAACATCATAATGACAAGATCAAATTCACACATAACAATATTAACCTTAAATGTAAATGGGCTAAATGCCCCAATTAAAAGACACAGACTGACAAATTGGATAGAGTCAAGACCAAGACCCATCAGTGTGCTGTATTCAGGAAACCCAGCTCATGTGCAAAGACACACATAGGCTCAAAATAAAGGGATGGAGGAAGATCTATCAAGCAAATGGAAAGCAAAAAAAAGGAGGGGTTGCAATCCTAGTCTCTGATAAAAAGACTTTAAACCAACAAAGATCAAAATATATAAATAAGGCCATTACATAATGGTAAAGGGATCAATTCAACAAGAAGAGCTAACTATCCTAAATATATATGCACCTAATACAGGAGCACCCAGATTCATAAAGCAAGTCCTTAGAGACATACAAAGAGACTTAGACTCCCACACAATAACAATGAGAGACTTTAACACCCCACTGTCAACATTAGACAGATCAACGAGACAGAAGGTTAACAAGGATATCCAGGAATTGAATTCAGCTCTGCACCAAGAGGACCTAATAGACATCTACAGAACTCTCCACCCCAAATCAACAGAATATACATTCTTCTCAGCACCACATCACACTTCTTCTAAAATTCACCACAAAATTGGAAGTAAAGCACTCCTCAGCAAATATAAAAGAACAGAAATCACAACAAACTGTCTCTCAGACCACAGTGCAATCAAATTAGAACTCATGATTAAAAAAACTCACTCAAAACTGCACAACTACATGGAAACTGAACAACTTGCTGCTGAATGACTACTGGGTATATAAGGAAATGAAGGCAGAAATAAAGATGTTCTTTGAAACCAATGAGAACAAAGACACAATGTACCAGAATCTCTGGGACACATTTAAAGCACTGTGTAGAGGGAAATTTATAGCACTAAATGCCCAGAAGAGAAAGCAGGAAAGATCTAAAGTCGGCACCCTAAAATCACAATTAAAATAACTAGAGAAGCAAGAGCAAACGAATGCAAAAGCTAGCAGAAGGGAAGAAATAACTAAGATCCGAGCAGAACTGAAAGAGATAGAGACACAAAAAAACCTTCAAAAATCAATGAATCTAGGAGTTGTTTGTTTGAAAAGATCAACAAAATTGATAGACTGCTAGCAAGACTAACAAGAAAAGAGAGAAGAATCAAATAGATGCAATAAAAAATGATAAACTGGATATCACCAATGATCTCACAGAAATACAAACTACCATCAGAAGAAGTTGAATCTCTGAATAGACCAATAACAGGCTCTGAAATTGAGGCAATAATTAATAGCCTACCAAACAAAAAAAGCCTAAGAACAGACCAGTTCACAGCCGAATTCTATCAGAGGTACAAAGAGAAGCTGGTGCCATTCCTTCTGAAACTATTCCAATGGATAGAAAAAAGAGGGAATCCTCCCTAACTCATTTTATGAGGCCAACATCATCCTGATACCAAAGCCTGGAAGAAACACAACAAAAAAAATAGAATTTTAGATCAATATCCCTGAAGAACATTGATGCGAAAATTCTCAGTAAAATACTGGCAAACCGAATCCAGTAGCACATCAGAAATCTTATCGACCATGGTCAGGTCGGCTTCATCCCTTGGATGCAAGGCTGATTCAACATACGCAAATCAATAAATGTTATTCATCACATAAACAGAACCAACAACAAAAACCACATGATTATTTCAATAGATGCAGAAAATGCCTTCAACAAAATTCAACAGCCCTTCATGCTAAAAACTCTCAATAAACTAGGTATTGATGGGACGTATTTCAAAATCATAAGGGCTATTTAATACAAACCCACAGCCAATATCATACTGAATGGGCAAAAACTGGAAGCATTCCCTTTGAAAACTGGCATAAGACAGGGATGCCCTCTCTCACCATTCCTATTCAACACAGTGTTGGAAGTTCTGGCCAGGGCAATCAGGCAAAATAAATAAATAAATAAAGAGTATTCTATTAGGAAAAGAGGAAGTCAAATTGTCCCTATTTGCAGATGACATGATTGTATATTTAGAAAACCCCATCGTCTCAGCCCCGAATCTCCTTAAGCTGATAAGCAACTTCAGCAAAATCTCAGGATACAAAATCAATGTGCAAAAATCACAAGCATTCCTATACATCAATAACAGACAAACAGAGAGCCAAATCATGAGGGAACTCTGACTCACAATTGCTACAAAGAGAATAAAATACCTAGGAATCCAACTTACAAGGGATGTGAAAGACCTCTTCAAGGAGAACTACAAACCACTGCTCAACAAAATAAAAGAGGACACAAATAAATGGAAGAACATTCCATGCTAATGGATAGGAAGAATCAATACGGTGAAAATGGCCATACTGCCCAAGGTAATTTATAGATCCAATGCCATCCCCATTAAGCTACCAATGACTTTCTTCACAGAATTGGAAAAAACTACTTTAAAGTTCATATGGAATCAAAAAAGAGACTGCATTGCCAAGAAAATCCTAAGCAAAAAGAACAAAGCTGGAAGCATCACGCTACCTGACTTCAAACTATACTACAAGGCTACAGTAATCAAAACAGCATGGTGCTGGTATCAAAACAGAGAGATAGGCCAATGGAACAGAACAGAGGCCTCAGAAATAACACCACACATCTACAACCATCTGATCTTTGACAAACCTGACAAAAACAAGAAATGGGGAAAGGATTCCCTATTTAATAAATGGTGTTGGGAAAACTGGCTAGCCATGGGTAGAAAGATGAAACTAGATCTCTTCCTTACACCTTATACAAAAATTAATTGAAGACAGATTAAAGACTTAAATATTAGACCTAAAACCATAAAAACTCTAGAAGAAAACCTAGGCAATACCATTCAGGACACAGGCATGGACAAGGACTTCATGACTAAAACACCAAAAGCAATGGCAAAAGCCAAAATAGACAAATGGGATCTAATTAAACTAAAGAGCTCTGCACAGCAAAAGAAACTACCATCAGAGTGAACAGGCAACCTACAGAATGTGAAAAAATTTTTGCAATCTACCCATCTGACAAAGGGCTAATATCCAGAATCAACAAAGAATTCAAACAAATTTACAAGAAAAAAACAAACAACCCCATCAAAAAGTGGGCAAAGGATATGAACAGACACTTCTCAAAAGAAGACATCTCTGCAACCAGCAGACACATGAAAAAATGCTCATCATCACTGGTCATCAGAGAAATGCAAATCAAAATCACAATGAGATACCATCTCACGCCAGTTAGAATGACAATCATTAAAAAGTCAGAAAACAACATGCTGGAGAGGATGTGGAGAAACAGGAACACTTTTACACTGTTGGTGGGAGTGTAAACTAGTTCAACCATTGTGGAAGGCAGAGTGGCAGTTCCTCAAGGATCTAGAACTAGAGTTACGATTTGACCCAGCAATCCCATTACTGGGTTTATACCCAAAGGATTATATATCATGCTACCATAAAGACACATGCACACATATGTTCATTGCGGCACTATTCACAATAGCAAAGACTTGGAACCAACCCAAATGACCATCAGTGATAGACTAGATTAAGAAAATGTGGCACATATATACCATGGAATACTATGCAGCCATAAAAAAGGATGAGTTCATATCCTTTGCAGGGACATGGATGAAGCTGGAAACCATCATTCTCAGCAAATTATCACAAGGACAGAAAACCAAACACCGCATGTTCTCACGCATAGGTGGGAATTGAACAATGAGATCACTTGGACACAGGGCGGGGAACATCACACACCAGGGCCTGTCAGAGGGTGGAGGCCTTGGGGAGGGATAGCATTAGGAGAAATACCTAATGTAAATGATGAGTTGAAGGGTGCAGCAAACCAACATGGCACATGTATACCTATGTATCAAACCTGCACGTTGTGCACATGTACCCTTGAACTTAAAGTATTAAAAAAAAAAACAGAAACAAAAAGCCACCTTGTGTAGACAATGATAGAAGTGGCAGATGCTCAGCTAAACAGATCCCTCTTTTATGCTTTGTCTTCCTGAGATTAGATGCTTTAAGAACTGATTTAAACCTTTAGTTTGGTCTGCAAGCAATACTGTTTTGAATGATACATAGACCATAATCAGTAATTAAATTAAAATTTTAGCTTTAAAATATCCAGCAAAATCTCCTCAAACATTAACATTATATTTTTGAGGATTATATAATCTGTAATAGAAAAGTGACAAATGTTTACTCCTACACAGTTCTTTATTATCTGTCATATGTGTATTGCCCATTGACTTTAGCAGTGCTACAGATAGTAGTACATTATAAGATTCCATGGAAGACAAATAAATTTGATCTTCAGTACTGTAGATACATTTGTGGTAATGTTCAAAAGCAATTATTTTAATTGTCTAGTAATTAAGACATGTAACTAAACTCCTTAATTTCTATAAAACCCAAAATAATTATGTAGAGCAAATTAAAGATTTTTGTAGTAACAATAAAATTAAATCTGTTCTAGGGATTTGGTTATGTTGCATACAACTGAATGCTAATCATATTTTATTGGTGTTTTTTATAACCCCCGAATCTGCTCTTTTCTTCACAAATATTATTAGAAAGTAACATTAAATGACTTATTATAATATACATGTTAATGAATCCAACAACAGAAAATCATGCAAACGTTTAAATTACTGCAAGTTTACTTTTGGTAATTTGATCAAGAATTTCTACAAGACCTTGTTCTAGGAAACAGGGACTTTGTAGGCAATCATCTTTCTCTGCCTCTCAAAAACATATGTAATCATCTAAGATTAGAAAGATATTAATCAGGAAGCTTGCAAAAGAAAGGGCACAACTCACTTCAAATTTCCCTTTGGAGACAGAACATTTATTTAAAAAGTAACATTAGCATCAGATGCAATTATGGAAACAAAAAGATTTACTAAGAGCAAAAGAGCATAATATTTGAACTCCAATTTAAGGTCATCTGTAATCTCCCCTCATATTAACAAAAGTGAAACAAGAAATCTCTTAACCATATAGTAGAGGCACATTAACAGAATTTCAGGTTCAGAACATGTGAAAATATTACCTAGGAGGAGAGGGAAATTAAGAAAGGAAACTTAAAAACATTTTAAGATTGTATTAATTTCTTCAGTCACTACAAAAGCCTTTAATGTGGGCCTAACATGTTGTGATCCCAGAACATCAGAAACAAAAGGGTAAATGTAACAGCGAAGACCAGGGATAAATAATTATAATATACAGTTTAAGAGCTCAAGCTGAGTCCCTGATTTTAGTCCTTGCTCTGTTGCTTATTAGCCATATGCTTTTGGTCCAGTTTTTCATTCCAAGGCTTAGTTTCCTCATGTGTGAAATGGGAACAATAACAGTGATTCTGCCTGGAGCTACTGGAGGGCTAAATGAGATAATGCATATAAAGTGCTTGGTACAGTGTGTAATTTAGTCAGTACTAAATAGGTGGTTATTTTCATTCATTCATTCAGCATATATTTATTAGGCACCAGCTATATACGAGGCATCCTGCAGCTAATGGGAATAGAACAGGAGCAAGACTATTGTCATGGAACTTACAGTTTAGTCGGAGAGAAAATTAAACAATCAATTACAAGAAAGTACTATGGGAGTATGGGAGCACAGTCATGATTCTTGAAGAAGGTAGGAGAGGAAGGTAAGCCAAAGAAGGCTTCTTGGAGGAGATGATTTTTTTTCTAACTTTTATTTTAAACTCAGGGGTACAAGTGCAGGTTCGTTACATAGGTTAATGTATGTCATGGGGGTTTCTTGTATAGATTATTTCATCACTCAGGTATTAAGCCTAGTACACATTAGTTATTTTTTCTGATCCTCCCCCTCCTCCTACCCTCCACTCTCCAAAAAAGCCCCAGTGTGGGTTGTTCCCCTCTATGTGTCCATGTGTTCTCATCATTTAGCTGTCACTTATAAGTGACAATATTCAGTATTTGTTTTTCTGTTCCTGTGTTAGTTTGCTAAGGATAGTGGCCTCCAGCTCCATCCATGTCCCTGCAAGAACATGATCTCGTTCTTTTTAGGGCTGCAGAGTATTCTATGGCATATATGTACCACATTTTTGAAATCCAGTCTATCATTGATGGACATTTAGGCTGATTCCATGTCTTTGCTCTTGTGAATAGGGTTGCCATATGTGTGCATGTGTCTTTATAATAGAATGATTTATATTCTATTGGGTATATACCCAGTACTGGGATTGCTGGGTCAAATGGTATTTCTGATTAATTTTAAGCTAAGACTGCAGGAGTAGACTGGGCTCAGGTAGGAAATGAGGCAGAAGCATGTTCCAGACAGAGAAAACAGCATATGAAAATGACTTTAATCTTTTTTCAGTGATTCAGATGGATGTATTCTTTTCTCATCTTCATCTCCAGCTATTTTCATATGCTGTGACCTCTGTATGGAACACTCTTCTGCCTCTTTGTTCTCTCCCTGCCAATCCCACCTCACCGTATGCAGTGGTTAATAACAGTCAGGTGAAGTAGTCATGACTTATAAGGTCCTATTAGTGATTTATAAGCCATAGAATGTAATACAGAATTTATCTTTAGGGTAACAGAAACTAATTGAAGGTTTATGAATGCATGTGCCTATATACATGTGTGTATGAATATTGTTTACTGGAGGTTACTACTCCCTTCATTGAATTTTACTTAGAGAACATCATCATGCCTTGGGAAAAGGAAGGGAGAAATGGATCTTCGTGGGTTGCTGAGAAAATAGACCCACAGATGGAATGGTTCAGAAGCTGCAAGTAATAGCATTAAGTTGCAGATACCCCCATGATCAGTGTGAAAACAGTATATACTGTGATACTACACTGATGAATGTGTATCCAGCAGCGTATAATTAAAGGTAATATGCAGAATGTGCAGTCCAAACGATATAGTAATGACAGGAGTGACATGAGAAGCACAATCGTATATTGAGAAAACTCACGTAAGCCTTTATGCTAAATTATGACCTAAGAAATGGACTATGTGTGTCAGAGATAGAAAAGAAACTGGGAAAGTAATTTTTTATGTATTGCAACCCAAATAAACCTCAAATTCCTCAACCCCTGTCTTATTAGGCCCTTCATTATCTAGCCTCTCATTAGCTTCCCCTTCTCATCTCTTACCACATTCCCAAGTTGCCCCCTGAACTTTCAGGTTCCTTATTGACTGGTTCCTACCCCCTCTGCTTACACACATTGCTTCATTTTTCTAGACTATTCTTTTCTTATTTGCTTTGCTAATTCCTACTCAGCCTTCGTATCTTTGTTATTTGCTTCTTCCAGGAAGCCTTTCCTTCCTCCTTTCCTTTCCTTCTTCCTTCCCTTCCCTTCTTCCTTTCCTTCCCTTCTTCCTTTCTTTTCCTTCTTCCTTTCCTTTCCTTCTTCCTTTCCTTTCCTTCTTCCTTTCCTTTCCTTTCCTTCCTCCCTTCCTTCCTTCCCCCACTTTCTTTCTTTACTTCTTTCTTTCTTTTTTTGACAAGGCCTCTTACTGTCGCCCAGGCACAGCCACTGGGCTCACTGGGACCACAGGTGCACCACACCTATATTCATACATATACATACATATATATGTATACACACACACACACACACACACACACACACATATATACGAGATTTCACTACCTTGCTGGTCTCAAACTCCTGGACTCAAGTGATCCTTATGCCTTGGTCTCTCAAAGTGCTGAGATTACAGGCAAGTGCCACTGCAACTGGCCTAGAAGCTTTTTTTAAGTATAATAGGTACCTGTGTTATGTTCTTCCACTCCCATAGCAATTATCACCCTTCACTCTCTGCTCCAATAAACTACAACTCTGTGATCTCTCTTACCTTCCTATCCATGATGGCTAGCTCATACTGTTACATAGTAGGTATTGATAAGTGTTTGTTGGTGACTGCATCTGATTTGCCAATTGATTTACTAAGTGGATGAGTGAATGAGTTATTGAATAAGACATAGAAACAAAACCTCAAGGGCACTCAGCAAAGGAGATGCAAGAGCAGGACACTGTATGTTGGTATTTATTTTTATAAAGAGCTTATTGCTCATTATTTCAGTTTCAGAAAACCTTGGTAAATTGATGTAACAATCCAATTTTATAGGTAAGAAATTTGAGCCTCTGAAAAGTTAGTGTTGTACTGAAGACTAACTGATGGTATGTAGAGGAAATTGAATTAGAACCAAATCAGAAAAGGCAAGATTTTGAGGTAAAGAGTAAAGCACAAATACAAAAATATTTTTAAAGGGTTGTAGAAAATAGATTACTTCATAGACTCATTTGTATTGATATTTAAAATGAAACAAATTTGATCTTCCTTCTGGACATGATATTATGACTGTATTTGTTTAAGGCTTAGAAATATGGGAGTAAAAATATTGTGGCTTAACTAGGATTTGAACCTCAGGTAAAGCATGCACTTTTCTATTTGAGACATATGGTCATGATTTATTTCACTATGAGGAAGCTGAAAATAAAAAATTCTGCTCCAGATATCACGGATCTCTGATGAACAAATATTAGCATTTTTGACCAGCAGCATTTGAGCAACTTCTCTTAAAAGAATAATATAATTAGGAGTGGAAACAAAACAATTAAATCCCTAATATATTTAATGAAGAATCAGTTAAAATTAATTAGAGATGACAAACCCCAAGCTTTACTGCTAGAATTTTAAGAGAACAAGAAATGGAAAGTTCTAAATATGAGTGTTTTGAAAATACAAAGCAATGGGCCAGGCTTTAAGATCTTGTAAAATAACAGAATACAAAGCTAAAGAATATTTATGTGTCAGATACCTTTGAAGATGTTAAGATATAATATTAGCAAGGTTTGAGTGGAACTTCCTTATCATTAGATCTTGCCATCATAAGATGTATATCTTATTACCCACAAGTGTAATAATTTGTTTGCAAGATGATTTCCTAGGAGATTTTAGTTTTATTACAATGGTTTATTGTTATTTTAATATTAACACATACATTTTGATGCTGGTTTACTTGGGTGTTATGGAATGCTATACTTAAACTTGGTGGACTTTTTTTAGAAAATTGGATTTAAATGCACTCCAATTTAACTGGGTGGCACTTAATTGATCTTGTTATAATTAACTCAATTTTTTAACAGTAGAATTAAGTCAACATGTATTCAAAATTATTCAGATTCTTGTGGAGTTAGGAATCAATGAATTAATATCAGTTATGATAAATAAAAACAGGAGTGAGTGTAACAGAACATTTGTAAAACATAATATCATCTCCATATCAGGAAAAATCTGAATTTAAACCAAATCTCCTGAATTTCCATATAAGACTGACCAAACCCTAACCAGTTTTTTCACCAATATCTATGTTTTCTTCATTTTTGGCATGGTGCTGGACTACATTTCCAGCCCCTCACACGGTGAAGCAATGAGTCCGAATCTGGTCAATTTAATGTGGGTCTAATATGCTCTCTGGGACTGGCCCCTAAACCCTTGAACAAGATCCTCCAGATCCTTTACCTTCCTGTCTGCTCTCTGTCTGCGAGAATCCAGTGGAAAATTATAGCACCTTAAAAAAGCATAGAGCGGCCGGGCGCGGTGGCTCACGCCTGTAATCCCAGCACTTTGGGAGGCCGAGGCGGGTGGATCATGAGGTCAGGAGATCGAGACCATCCTGGCTAACAAGGTGAAACCCCGTCTCTACTAAAAATACAAAAAATTAGCCGGGCGCGGTGGCGGGCGCCTGTAGTCGGGAGGCTGAGGCAGGAGAATGGCGTGAACCCGGGAAGCGGAGCTTGCAGTGAGCCGAGATTGCGCCACTGCAGTCCGCAGTCCGGCCTGGGCGACAGAGCGAGACTCCGTCTCAAAAAAAAAAAAAAAAAAAAAAAAAAAAAAAAAAAAAAAAGCATAGAGCTACATGAAAGGAGCTAGATCCCTGAATCACCCTGAGGAGTAGAGTCCATCACTACCCATATCAGATGTGATGTGAGTGAGAAATAAATCTTAATGTTTGAAGCCATTGAGATTTGGGAAGAATTTGTCACAATGGATAGCTTAACCTGAGTAATACAGAGGATATGAGAACAACTCCAAACTTCTTGTCTATGCTTTCCTCTCTTAGCTACTACTCAATATGCTCAATGTTGCTGAATATTATCACTAATTATGTACCATATAATTTAAATAAAGATGAATTTGATCTGGATATTACTCGGAAATCTACTTATCAATTGTTTTCAGCATTTTTACAAGAAATGTAAGTCTAAATTAAAAGTGTACAATGCTTTCCATAGAGCTACAATATTCTTCCATTGCCTCATAAAACACTAAAACTGGCACAAGACAGGGATGCCCTCTCTCACCACTCCTATTCAACATAGTGTTGGAAGTTCTGGCCAAGGCAATCAGGCAGGAGAAGGAAATAAAAGGCATTCAATTAGAAAAAGAGGAAGTCAAATTGTCCCTGTTTGCAGATGACATGATTGTATATCTAGAAAACCCCATCATCTCAGCCCAAAATCTCCTTAAGCTGATAAGCAACTTCAGCAGTCTCAGGATACAAAATCAATGTGCAAAAATCACAAGCATTCTTATACACCAATAACAGACAAACAGCCAAATCATGAGTGAACTCCCATTTACTATTGCTTCAAAGAGAGTAAAATACCTAGGAATCCAACTTACAAGGGATGTGAAGGACCTCAAGGAGAACTACAAACCACTGCTCAATGAAATAAAAGAGGATACAAACAAATGGAAGAACATTCCATGCTCATGGGTAGGAAGAATCAATGTCATGAAAATGGCCATACTGCCCAAGGTAATTTATAGATCCAATGCCATCCCCATCAAGCTACCAATGACTTTCTTCACAGAATTGGAAAAAACTACTTTAAAGTTCATATGGAACCAAAAAAGAGCCCGCATTGCCAAGTCAATCCTAAGCCAAAAGAACAAAGCTGGAGGCATCACGCTACCTGACTTCAAACTATACTACAAGGCTACAGTAACCAAAACAGCATGGTACTGGTACCAAAACAGAGATATAGACCAATGGAACAGAACAGAGCCCTCAAAAATAATGCCGCATATCTACAACTATCTGATCTTTGACAAACCTGACAAAAACAAGCAATGGGTAAGGATTCCCTATTTAATAAATGGTGCTGGGAAAACTGGCTAGCCATATGTAGAAAGCTGAAACTGGATCCCTTCCTTACACCTTATACAAAAATTAATTCAAGATGGATTAAAGACTTACATGTTAGACCTAAAACCATAAAAACCCTAGAAGAAAACCTAGGCAATACCATTCAGGACATAGGCATGGGCAAGGACTTCATGTCTAAAACACCAAAAGCCATGGCAACAAAAGCCAAAATTGACAAATGGGATCTAATTAAACTAAAGAGCTTCTGCACAGCAAAAGAAACCACCATCAGAGTGAACAGGCAACCTACAGAATGGGAGAAAATTTTTGCAACCTACTCATCTGACAAAGGGCTAATATCCAGAATCTACAATGAACTCAAACAAATTTACACGAGAAAAACAAACAACCCCATCAAAAAGTGGGCGAAGGCTATGAACAGACACTTCTCAAAAGAAGACATTTATGCAGCCAAAAAACACATGACAAAATGCTCATCATCACTCTCCATCAGAGAAATGCAAATCAAAACCGCAATGACATACCATCTCACACCAGTTAGAATGGCAATCATTAGAAAGTCAAGAAACAACAAGTGCTGGAGAGGATGTGGAGAAATAGGAACACTTTTACACAGTTGGTGGGACTGTAAACTAGTTCAAACATTGTGGAAGTCGGTGTGGCGATTCCTCAGGGATCTAGAACTAGAAATACCATTTGACCCAGCCATCCCATTACTGGGTATATACCCAAAGGATTATAAATCATGCTGCTATAAAGACACATGCACACGTATGTTTATTGCGGCACTATTCACAATAGCAAAGACTTGGAACCAACCCAAATGTCCAACAATGATAGACTGGATTAAGAAAATGTGACACATATACACCATGGAATACTATGCAGCCATAAAAAATGATGAGTTTATGTCCTTTGTAGAGACATGGATGAAGCTGGAAACCATTATTCTCAGCAAACTATTGCAAGGACAAATAACCAAACACCACATGTTCTCACTCATAGGTGGGATTTGAACAATGAGGACACATGGACAAAGGAAGGGGAACATCACACACTGGGGACTGTTGTGGGGTTGGGGGAGGGGGGAGGGATAGCATTAGGAGATATATCTAATGCTAAATGACGAGTTAATGGGTGCAGCACACCAACATGGCACATGAATACATATGTAACAAACCTGCACGTTGTGCACATGTACCCTAAAACTTAAGGTATAATAATAATAATAATGAATAAAATAAAAATTTTTTTGCTCATTTTTAATAATTTCTTCTCCCACATACTCCATATTCTCTGCTAATATATTTCTACTGGACAATTTCCTATCATAGAAAAAGAACAATTTGGGCTTCAAAGGAGTCTGATTTAATGAAAAGCTGTGTTGATAGTTAAAAGCCATATTATGAAATCATATCATAAAATACATATTCCAATTAGAATTAATCCTCATCTAAATTTATCTGATGAAATGAATATATTTTCTACTTTCTATTACAAAACAAAATTACTTGCTAGCTGCTGGGCTGATTAGTTTTTAGCAATACAAATTTCTCCTTCTTTAAGTGTACAAAAAAAATTTTATCACAATGGCTAGCAAAACTAGTACCATTAGTTTTGAAGTATTGTACCTTATTTTTACTAATTATATCCAGAACCCAAACATCAGAATAGCAAGGAGTTTCTGTTATTCTGAAGTAGCATATTTGGCTCTCTGATTTTCATGGGTGAATGAAATGTTTCTCTTAATTCAACATAAAAGGAAGTGAACATTTTATATTACATTTCTCATTTTACAGATCAGAAAGCAGATCCAGACGGGGAAGGTAACTTTCCCAAAGATCCACAGCTAGTAAGGGGAGGAGCTATAATTTGACTCATGTGTGACTAGCTCTGATGGCCTGAGCTCTTATTGACCACGTCTATTAGCCAGGATTTCTCAGACATGAAAAATTGCAGAAAATTGAGGATGTTATCTGTGGATCACCAAGGATGTATGGACCCTAGATTGGAAAATACTGCCATTAACTACTAAACATAGTTTCTTATCTTGGACTAATAAGACCATAAACACAAACATGCTGAAACTGCAAGGCAGTTGCATGATTATAAAGGAATCTATCCGATTGTCAAAAACATGTTTATACATACATCCATCTCTATCCAACTATCCATCCATCTATTCATCTGGTTATTGATGAATCTGAATTGGTGGGGTACAAAAAGAGTTTAAGTTTTCTCCAGTCCCTGCTTTTGCAATACCCTTTGGTCAGTCTTCAGACTCAGGTTGGAAATACCTATAACGCCAAACTTTAAAAATAAAAGAGAAAGATAGCTTTAAGAATATCAATTTCCATATACTCAATTTCATATACGTTTTTTCCTAAGACTGATCTATCTGAGAGTGAATCTGTGGAAGAAATTAAGGTAGTTTTCCTTCTTCCACATTCCTCTTCCTATCTCTTTTATCCTGCTTCACAAAAGAAAGGCACACACCTCAAAACGTCTCCAGACATAAAACAAAGTTAATATGAAATATTAGCCTAAGAAAAGAAATCACTTTTAATAGATAAACAAGGAAACATAAACTATCTTAGGAGTTGTGTTTTCCCTAAGTGATAGATATTTCTGTTAAAGGTGAAAGAAAAGGATTTAAAACAGATTGGAATTGATAATTAATATTTAAAGACCTCACTTCTCCATCTTCCTACAACTATCAAAGAATGTGTTAATTTTGAGAGAATTCCACCAGAGGAAAGCCAACAGCATATTATTAAAGTTTTTGAGTATGGAAAACAGCTTTTTCTGTGTATCTAAATGTAAGCAGTTCTCTTCAGCTATTCTCAACACTCACCTTTGGGACATGACATTAGCTGAAAAGAAAAGCTTTGAAGAGTTGAAGCAGTGTAGGTTAATGAAGTAAGTTTTTTAAGTACAATTTGAACATGTTTTGAGATGATCAAAAACTATCCATGGAAAAAGGCCATGGATGAAATTTTTATAAATTCTGATTTTCTATGCATTATGCAACAAGGTAGTTAAAATCTATTTTGTCAAGTCATATCAAGAAATATTTCTTCAAATTCACATGGTGAAGACTAAAGACTATATTATATAAGTCTTAGCTATTCTTCAGCTAAACTAGATATTAGTGAAAGAGTAATAGTTACAGACAATTGTCATTTGATAAACCCTAGTAAAGCCATTTCAGAATACTTCCTAGATATGGAGAAAATAAATGACTTTGACCACTACATAATAGATTCTTTTGGGAATCAGTGGCTTTCAATTCTTTGCTTTTGACAAAATTGAAGGAGGATCTAATTGAACTATCCATTCATATGTTATTAACAATCATTATTATAAATTACTATGTTATTTTTTGCTTATAACATAGGACTCAAATAATTAAGTGATACTTATATTTAAAATACTGTGATTAATATCAGCATATTTATGAAAGTATTTTTCACCTGTATAACTATAAAAATGAAAAATAGAATGGAATTAATGTTGACTTTTTTGCATTCTGACATTAAGTAATATGCATCTCTGCATAGCTGAACTAATTCTTTTGGATATTTTGATCCCATTAAAAAGTTATTTCTAAAAAATAATATTTATATATTTCTAATACAATTTTACTTTTAAAGTTACTTTTATTAACGTTTATACAATGTTTAAATTGTTTAGATAAATTGTGTTATCTTATTGAAATAACTAGGGAAGGGCACTGTGGCTCACACCTGTAAACTCAATACTTTGGGACGCCAAGGTGGGTGGATCACCTGAGGTCAGGAGTTCAAGACCAGCCTGGCCAACATGGCAAAACCCCGTCTCTACTAAAAATACAAAAATTAGTCAGGCGTGGCGATGTGCATCTGTAGCCCCAGCTGCTCGGGAGGCTGAGACAGGAGAATCACTTGACCCGGGAGGTGGAGGTTGTAGTGAGCCGAGATCGCGCCATTGCACTCCAACCTGAATGACAGAGAGAGACCCCATCTCAGAAAGAAAGATAGAAAGATAGGAAGAAAGAAAGAAAGGAAGGAAGGAAGGAAGGAAGGAAGGAAGGAAGGAAGGAAGGAAGGAAGGAAGGAAGGGAAAGAAAGAAAGGAAAGAAAGGAAGAAAGAAAGAAAGAAAGAAAGAAAGAAAGAAAGAAAGAGAGAGAGAGAAAGAAAGAAAGAAAGAAAGAGAAAGAAAGAAAGAAAGGAAGAAAGAAAGAAAGAGAAAGAAAGAAAGAAAGGCAAGGTTCAGAAAAAATATTAAGCCTATAATTTGGGGAAATGTTTAATGAATCCAATTTATCTTCATAATTTCTCTAATACTCTTACCTCTGCACAGATAGGCACAAATCTCCATGTTCGCTGCATGTGAAACATTAAACTGAGCAATAAGATACCAATGTTGGCTTCTATTTTCTGGGAATGTTACTTCTTGAGGCCTTCTCTCTTGGATGTGGTAAGCATGATGTCCCCACTCTTAAAGCAAAGAGGGGGAAAGCCACAATGCTTTTCCATGGCCTAGTAATTCACAATTTGGAATTACTCCCTTTATTCCCTGGAGTTCTGCTTAAGTGGATTTGAGGGTGAGATGGAGACTAGGTTAATAATGGGGAATGGCTGAGATGTATGTCTACCCTGTAATCAGCTTCAAGGGGATCATATCCTCTCAGGCATTCTTTATAATGTAGGGAATTGATGTCTCTTTTTTCTAAGTCTTGAATTTTTATTTGTTGAATTTAAAACTATTAATAAGAAAATTACTACTCAGCATACACATACAGAATGAAGCACAGATTTTAAAATGTGTATATCAAGCCATTGTAAAACCATAGAAAATATCCTCAGATTCAGGAGTCTGCAGACTCTAACTTAAGGTTCTATGAGCACAAAGCTTTCCAGCTTTTAGACAGGTGCCATCTAAATCCAAGACAGCCTGTCAACTGGAGATTACATCAGTACCACAAAATAAGTCTGTGCTGCTCTTCATAAAACACATTTCACTGAAATCCATTTAAAAATCTTAAAAACATATACCTATTTCTTAATTATCTGTCATTTTATTTCAAAATTTCAGGAAGAATCATGAAATAAAATTATTACAATCAGAATTGTAGATTAAAATTAAAGCATCTTTTAGGATTGATTCTTCAAAACTTTATGGCAAAAAATTCTAAAACTAAGAGAAGAAAACACAAAAAGGGAAATATAATAATTGTCCCAATGTAATCATATTTTATAAAGTATTCAACAATCTAAATGAAAAAATCATTGCAAAAGAGTCCAGATATTTTCTAAAAATGATTATCTGTTTTTTATCATTGTCTAATTTATTACCAGCTTAATTAAATCATCGAGGCTGGAAATAATGACTCCAAGTATATGAACACAATGAGTTTTAGAGATACATCCCAGTCTCTCACAGTATAAATACAATAGCATGTCTAGACATATATGTGTGTATACATATATATTCAGAGTATCAATATATTCAGCCCAAGAAATATCAATAATAACCAAATCATAGAGAACAGTTTGGTAATATATAAAGCAACCTGGAGACTTTCCGACAGAACACTCACAAATCTTGCAGTATTTAACATACGCAATATTATCCTCTCAGGGAACTACTATTTAGACTTGATTCTAGCCTCATATGTGGAAAGAGAAGAGATTTTAATTTTTATGTGTGACATTTTGTCTATATCTAACAATGAGTAAATATAGTAACCACTCAAGGCAACACATACAAGATTGAGCATGCCTAATCTGAAAATCTGAAATCCAAAATACTCCAAAACCCAAAACATTTAGAGTGCAGACATGACACAAGTGGAAAATTTTATACTTGACCCAACCATGTGATAGACCATAGTCAAAACTTAAGTGCAAACATACAACTTATTTATTAATCCTAAGGGAAAACTCCTCCTATCCCCCTTCAGCTGCCATGTATCTTTTTAAACACACCCAATCTTCTCCACGCCAAACACGCTTACAAAAGATAATAAAATGACATGTGTGGACAGACATGGCAACCACAGGCTTCCCATCATGCCCCACATGGGGCTAAGACCTACTCATTGTGGTTTTTGTTTGTTTGTTTGTTGCTTATTCGCTGCTCTGTGATGTAAAGATATTGTTGATAATGTCAAAAAAGCCTGCAGATACCCTGCTAGTAATGATAAGAAAAAGAAGAGGTATTTATGATTATCTATAGGACAGAAAATCAAGCTGTTGGAGAAACAGGACGGTGCTGTTAAGTGTGAAACATCTTACAGAAGAGTATGGCGTTGGACCCCCACATATGACCTGAAGAACCAGAAGGATAAACTGTTGAAGTTCTATCCTGAAAGTGATGAACAGAAGCCAATGAAAAATAGAAAAACATTGCATGAATTTAAAAATGAAGATCTTGATCACATACTGAAAAAGTGTATCCATCAACATCACAGTGAAAACATGCCACTTAATGGTATGCTGATCATAAAACAAGCAAAGATCTATCACGATGAACTGAAAGTTGAAGGGAATGGTAACTATTCAATAGGATGGTTGCAGAAATTTTAAAAAATACGTGGCATTTATTTTTACAGTTGTGGTGATAAATCATCTGCTGATCATAAAGCACCAGAGAAATTCATTCATCATTCTGCTAATGAAAATCTGACCAGGAACAAGTCTGTAGTACTGATGAAACATAACTGCTTTGGCACTATTGTCTCAGAAGGACACAGACTACAGCTGATGAGACAGCCTCTACAGGAATTAAGGATGCCAAGGACAGAATAACTGCGCTGGGATATGCTCATGCAGCAGGCACACATCAGTGTAAACTTGTGATCAGCCAAAGCTTGCGTTCTTGCTGTTTTCAAAGAGTGAATTCTTACCAGTCCATTATTATGCTGGCAAAAAGAGATGGATCACCAGGGACATGTTTTCTCATTAGTTTCACAAATATTTTATACCAACAGCTCATACTCACTAACAGGAAGCTGGACTAGATAATGACTGCAAAATTTTGTTATTCCTTGGCAACTTTCTGATCATCCTCTAGCCAAAATTCTCATCAAAAATAATGTTTGTGCCACGTACTTTCTCCCAAATTTAATGTCATTATTTCAGTCATATAACCAGGGAAACTTTAGGTCACTGAGAGTAAATATAAAAACACTTTGTTGTTGTTGTTGTTGTTTTTGAGACAGAGTCTCCCTCTGTCACCCAGGCTGGAGTGCAGTGACGCTAACTCTGCTCACTGTAACCTCCACCTCCTGGGTTTAAATGATTCTCTTGCCTCAGCCTCCTGAGTAGCTGGGATTACAGGCACCCACCATTATGCCTGGCTAATTTTTTTATATTTTTAGTACAGACGGGGTTTCGCCATGTTGGCCAGGCTGGTCTTGAACTCCTGACCTCAAGAGATCCGACTGCCTCGGCCTCCCAAAGTGCTGGGATTACAGGCATGAACCGCCAGGCCTGACCAAAAACACTTTATTCAATAGTGTGCTAGCAGCCATTAACAGAGGCATGGGTGAGGAAGATTTTCATAAGGCATTTAGCATGAAGAATACTATGCTGTATATATTGTTTCCACTGCTTGGAACACAGAGATTAAAGACACAATTGTGTGTGCCTGGCACAACCTCTGGCCTCTGACTATATTCAGTGATGATGATGAGCAAGGTGGTGACTTTGAAAGATTTTGTATGTCAAATGAGAAAAAAGTCTGACCTCATTTCATATGCCAAAAAGATACCTTCAGCGTCATCAGTGAGCTGGAAGAAGTGGATATCAAAAAAGTTTTTAAGATCAATAATAAGACTGCAGCTGCTCATTCATCAACCAATGATGA
Organism: Homo sapiens; assembly: GCF_000001405.40. Classification (NCBI taxonomy): domain Eukaryota; kingdom Metazoa; phylum Chordata; class Mammalia; order Primates; family Hominidae; genus Homo; species Homo sapiens. The sequence continues at coordinate 81,041,248 of NC_000012.12, read as the reverse complement.
AATAACTGAAATTTTTCCAAATCAAGGTGATCATAATAGTATCGATGGTGAAAATGACCTTGTTAACACTGCAGAAGTGTCTAGAGACAACATGGTGAATATGTGTGGTGGGCTTACTGAAGGACTAGAATAGTGCACATTCATAAGAGAACCAGAAATAATGTCAGGTTATAAAATCAAAAGAGACTTCTAAGACAAAAAATATTGTTAATAAGGCAGATAAATCTGGAGGAAACATTTTTAAAAGCCATCCAGCAGAATGCCACCTCAACCCTAGAGGACCCACTTCCTGATCCCACAACTACTTCTGATGTTTATTCTCATCTATAAACAAAAAACAAATGTACGGTAATCTTTTAATCAAAACATCGCATTGCAGGTAGAAACTAAAAGGTTACCTTTGTTTGTTGTTGCTGTTGTCTAACAGCTGATGTAGGTATTCTGGCAATGCTACAGTGTTACTAACTTACACTGAGCACATTATTTTTTCACTGTATGGGTGGTTTGTCATTATCTTTTTTTTTTTTTTTTGCTGCTAAGTATTTATGTGTGAATAAGTGCAAGAAAATGATTGCTTATGGGTAGCATATAAATTCAGGGTCAGGAATGATGGTGATGCCAAACAACCACAGACTGTTCACATGGGTGGCTGGGATAGTACCACCTTTGCTATCTGATGTACACAAACCTAGTTGCATGCACAAAATTATTTAAAACGTTTAAAATTACCTTCAGGCTATGTGCATAAGGTGTATATGACATAAATAAATTTCGTATTTAGACTTGGGTCCCATCCCCAATATATCTCATTATGTACCTATAAATATTCCAAAATCTGCAAAAATGCACAATCCAAAACACTTATTGTCCCAAGCATTTCAGATAAGCGATACTCAACCTGTATTTGTTAAAATATTGGTATTGCCCAAGGGCACAATGCATTATTTTCCACATGTCATTTTCTCATTGAAATAAAATCTGATTCATTCAGTGGTGACTTCAACCTTTGGCAACTTGAACACCTGTAAGAAATCTGAGAACTTTACAGGAAGTGAAAAAAATTCTGGCCCAACAAAATAATAAGTATTTCAAGATTTGAGTATCTTCTTTATTGGCTGGTCCTTTGATTCAACATTCAATATAATAAATACACATTTTTGGCAATCATGCTTATCTTATTTTGCTGACTATGTCAAGTTAAAAGGAGAATAATTGAAAGCTTCACTTGGGAATTCATATATTCATTCCATAAAATTTAAAAACTTCCCATGTGCTCAGCAATGCACTGGCAAACTAAAATATTACACAATAACTAAATAACAATAAGGGGGGAATAGAAAAACAATAATATTAATGCTAAGCCAAAAATCGATGGTCATGAAAATGACTCTAAATTGTTAAGAGCAAGATTATGCTTGATATTTTTTGTTTATAAAAGCAAGTAAGTAACTGTTTACTTAAGTAAAATGCTTATTTTATTTTCATTTTACTTTTATTAATTGTAATGTTAATTTAAATATAGACCTCAGGTCTATAGCTGACTTTAAAATACATGCTATTAAAAATGTCATGTTTGATACTTAAAGAAACAACTTGTCACCTAGGAAACTCACTTACTGAAAGCACTGCATTTCACAACAGCAGCTGTATGACAGTAACAACAAGCAGGACCTCATTGCTTCTTTAGAAACTTTAAGGATTTATTCTCATAAAAAAATCATCCATAAAGACTAGTACAGCAATTTAATAAGCCCAAAATTAATTATGATTACATTATGTCTCAGAAAATGAACATTATGTAATGAGGTACAGTTAGAATCCCTGGGGAAACCACGGTAGTTATTTTCAATTGGCTATTTCTATTAGATACAGGAATAGCACCGAGAGGCTTTGAAAATTTAATAGCCTCTGTCCTCTCTAGAGGACTAAATCAGTAGATTGAAATGAAATGTTATGCTGGATTTCAAAATAGAATATTCTTAACTGTATACACAAATTAATATTAGTGGCCATTCAGAAAAGCAATCAAACATTGCACATGTTAAACCAGCCATGTAGAATGGTATGGGTTCATAAGTTCAAGGTCTTCATGAAATATTGTGAAGGGCAAATAAACATTCGAATCCAAACTAAAAATACAACCTTTAGGTCTATAGCTGAGTGTATTTTCCAGTCTGAGTTGCATATGCATTATCACATTTTGTAATCACGTAAAATATGCAGGTTCCAAAAATAAACAGAAATGGTCACCTCTTAGTCAAGTTATTAACAACCCAGTGGAATTCAATTTGGGTAAAAAACAAAATTGGTAGCCTCGTGTCTGACCTCCTACAGATGTTCTTTTTTCCCCTGCACAACATATCCCATATTTTACCTATCAACATAACTCAATGATTATCATTACCAAACACATCTATACATGATCATTTATATATTTTGAAGCATGAAGTTGACAAATTGTTTCTAAGCAAATGTTTCACATTTTACTTGCCCCTTACTGATTTCTGGGCCTTCCCCAGGAAGAGCAGTTTTGAATCAGTAATCCTCCATTGTCATCATTATGTGTCTATAAAGGCATTCTTTTAGGTGTTCTTAGCACCCATTTTACTATAATGAGAATTATAAGTCCTAATTAAATTAAAATGAAAACCTTACTGGATGTTTGATTCACCCATTTGTAAAGCAATTGAATAAATGAAAACCCACCAACGGTTCTATATATTCAAAATCCACATGTTTGTAACATGGCCCTTTGTAGTTTTTGATAGCTATCATGATTTCTAGATGAAAAATATTAATGTTAATTTTTGAGGGCACTTCTCAAAATGTGTTGGACTCAACAACTTTATGGATTTATGATTCTTGATATGTATCAGTTTTATTTTCCATTCCTTTGGTACTACAAATTTGTGGGGGTGTTTTAAATAATGAAAATAGCTTTAGTGTTTTAAATAATGAAAATAGCTTTTAGACTATTTTCTTAAATTCTAAAAAGAAACTAAAGAAAAAAACCTGTTTTCCTGGGCACAATTACTGAAATGTCAAAAAAACTGATCTTTAGACATATTACAATTGGGAGAAATAGAGCTTTTTTTTCTAGTAATACTGTATAAAATCACCAGATGGTATCTCCTAGTCCCTGTGGAAGGTCTCTTGGTAGACAAAACATTTAAAACAACAAAAAAATTATGCTGTACCACAAAGGAGGTGTTTCCAATCACTAACTGCTTTTTTTTTTTTTTTTTTGTATTCTATTGTACTTTTTTTCACTTTAGTCTCTTGCTTCCATTTTTTAGTGATTAATAAAAAATTTGAGGCCGGGCGCGGTGGCTCAAACCTGTAATACCAGCACTTTGGGAGGTCGAGGCGGGCAGATCACAAGGTCAGGAGATCGACGCCATCCTAGCCAACACGGTGAAACGCCGTCTCTACTAAAAATACAAAAAATTAGCCGGGCGTAGTGGCCGGCGCCTGTAGTTCCAGCTACTCGGGAGGCTGAGGCAGGAGAATGGCGTGAACCCGGGAGGCGGAGCTTGCAGTGAGCCGAGCTCGCGTCACTGCACTCCAGCCTGGGCTACAGAGCGAGACGCTGTCTCAAAATAAAATAAAATAAAATAAAATGAAAAATTGATAGCCTGTGTAACATTGTAAGATTGTAAGGTTTACAGCCAAAAAAAAAAAAGCCTAGAAGCAACCACTAAAAAAAATTCTCTTCTTAAAATTTCTCTCCCCAGACATAAAGCCCCTGGCCTATGTCAAATGTCTGACTGATGCTCATAATACGATAATGGTACTTCTGAATCAAAACTCAGCGTTGCCTCCAAGAAACACAGCCCAAAAGGCAAAATTAAATGTGCAGTGTCTAAATGGATCTCGCTGATCATTCTTGTTTTCCTCCAAGAACCTGAAGCTATGGTTTATCGTTTTCCTGTGGAATGTACTGTGAAATACCAAACTAACTTTAACTTATCTGTTACCTTGGGGCTTTCTTTACTTTACTAGAGAAGCAGCAGGATATAAAGAAAGAATTCTGGAAAAGTATACCACCTAGAACTGTTTCCCAAGCCCTCTTTCGAAAAGAAATATTGTTATGTTCAAATATGTCAGAGAAGTAACTGATTAAACAAAGATAAATGTTTTTGTTTATATGCTTGTTTGAAATGTCTCAGAGATTTTCTTATTATAATGTGTTTTGGTAAATCTGTCAGATAAAAATATAAATAATAGCTTCATTGAATCATTACGCAATGTATACATATATCAAAACATTACATTACATTGTACTCCATAAATATATACAATTATTATTTGTTGACTTCCAAAAAAGGTGCTATAAACAATTATTTTACTTCAGTATGCATATTTTGTTAGTTTCTTATCAAGATTTGTATTCAAATGAACTGACTTTGGGAAATGTTGACTTCACGGATGCTAATGTTAATCACCAATTTTAAAGAATCATTTATAAAAAATTTAACACCATCATTAATGATGTAATTGTTGGTTTTTAGTGTGATATTAATGAATGAGTAGAATTGGAATCTTTTTTCTATTCTAATTCCTATTATAATATAAAGTATGATGTATATCATCACATATTTTCTCAAGAGAAATATCTATTTGAAAATATCCAAACAAATACCTAAATTTTTACATTTTACACAAGATTTGGTGAAATCTGTGACATGGTACAATTACTGAAGTAGACTTAAACAATTTTCTGCTGAAGCATGCAGAGTGCTAAACTACAGAGTCATCATTTGGGCTATCTAAATAAATTCATGTCCCTCATTTTAAGGATATTCCAGTTCAGGGAGGTGAAGTCACATGTCCAGAAATAGAAAAAAATGCAAAAAGAAAAAGAAAACAATAACAATAAACAAACAGAATAACTGTGGCATAAACAAGAGACAAGTTGTTTCTTTCTCCCATTCAAGGGGTCCAAATGTTTCTATTCCAGGCTCCTTATTCTTGCTTCTGTGCTATAAGGGGCTATCATTTCAAAGTCCACCTCAACGGCCCCAATAGCTGCTGAAGCTTCAGCAGTTAAATGCTCATTCTAACCAGCAAGAAGGGAGAGAGAGAGAGAGAGATTGATTTAAAATGGCTCTATTTGAAAGCATTTCAAGGAAGTTGCATACCTTATTCTCCTTATATCCACTAGCTAGGATTTAGACATATGGTCAAACCTAAAGCAAGCAAGTCCTGTGCCAATCTAAAAACAGAAAATAAAGTATCCACAGTGATTGGTAAATAATCAACAGCTTCTGACATCCAGAAAGCTACTTAAGGCAGAACTTGAGGGTTAATTTGAGCTTTTTAGAATTCCTGTTCATTCTTTTATTACCACATGTCCACTTTTATGTGAATATATTCAGGTTCTCCATTATTAAATTATCCAAGCCCTACTTCAAGTCTCTCCTACCTCATAAAGCTTTTCTTAACTATCACACTTCAGAATGCTGATTTATCTTTCTGGATTTTGTTGCAGTCAATCTATACCGCAAATTCTGGGTTGTATTATCTTTTTTTTTTTTTTTGAGACAGAGTCTCACTCTGTCACCCAGGCTGGAATGCAGTGGCGTGATCTTGGCTCACTGCAACCTCCGTCTCCCGGGTTCAAGCAATCCTCCCGTCTCAGCCTCCCAAGTAGCTGGGATTATAGGCACCCATCACCACGCCCAGCTAACTTTTGTATTTTAGTAGAGATGGGGTTTCACCATACTGGTCAGGCTGGTCTCATACTCCTGACCTCAGGTGATCCACCTGCCTCGGCCTCCTAAAGTGCAGGTTGTATTATCTTGAAGGCACTTCTGTTTGTATGCAGCCTCTCTCCAACTGCACTGCAATTTTCAAGAGGACAGGAAGCATGACTTGACTATGGGGTTGTGGCTGGCCTCAGCTTTTGATTTGTGGGATCCAATGACTTTTGAGTTCTCATCCTACTTTACTGGATGTGACCCTATTGACTACTGCTGTATACAAAAATCTCACCCATTCCTTGGCTTCTGTGGCACCATGCACTAACTCTTCTTATGGGTTCCAACTATCATGGTAGCACAATGTTAAAACATTGTGTGCCTGCAGTCCATAAAAGAAGAGATCTTGAACTTTGATAACCCTCAATGCTCACTCTTAGAATGCTGTAGTATGTCCAAAGTTTGCAGACTGTTGACCTATGGACTGGATCTAGTTCATAGACATATATTTTCTTTGGCTCACACAAGGTCTTCAAAAGAGTAATTTAGTTGTCAACATTTAAAAATTAGGAGAGGTCACATTAACGAAAAAAACAAAATTTCAGTATCTCTTGAAAATTTAAAGATATGGGAACACTGAGCCAACACACCCATGTGCTATTAATAGTTTTGAGCTGGCTACCTGTCATCCTCTGGAGAAAAGCAATGCTATGTACTCACTGAATCTTATTTATTTTTCCTTTCTGAGCACAGAACTAGATTGCATTTCCCAATAAATTAGGTATGGCTGTTTGATTGAGTCGAGCCAATCAAATATAGTTAAAAGTATGTATGTCACTTTGAGGAATGACCACAGAAAAAATTGCCTATAAGATGATCAATATCCACTTTCTTATCCTGTAAGCCAGACTCATACAAAGGATTTAATTGGAAGACTTCAACTATAGATGAATAGATGTAATAGATAATGGGGGCAGTACAGGAAGGAGCCTGGACCCCTGAACTATTTATTTATTTATTTATTTATTTATTTATTTACGAGATGGAGTCTCGCTGTGTCACCCAGGCTGGAGTGCAGTGGCGCCATCTCGGCTCACTGCAAGCTCTGCCTCCCGGGTTCACGCCATTCTCCTGCCTCAGCCTCCCGAGTAGCTGGGACTACAGGCGCCTGCCCCCAAGCCTGGCTAATTTTTTGTATTTTTAGTAGAGACGGTGTTTCACCATGTTAGCCAGTATGGTCTCAGTTTCCTGACCTCGTGATCCTCCCGCCTCGACCTCCCAAAGTGCCGGGATTACAGGCGTGAGCCACCGCACCCAGCACCCCTGAGCTATTTATTACATGGAGCAGAGTTCCCATGCTAATCTTCATTGTAACATAAAAATAAATAAATGTTTATTCTGTTAAATCATTGAGATTTGGGGAATGTTTGTTACAGCAGTTAATCTGACTAATGTACTGTATTTAAACAATGGTAGGCAGTCTAATTCACTATGATCTACACCAAGCCTGATGTATCTAATAACTGTAAGCAGCTGACTCTTTGACTCCTAAATTCTGCCGGTAGAGTAGTCACAGAGTGAATTTTGAGGACCAAATTTACAAGGAATTTGACAAACTGAAGCACTTTAAAAGACAGTTTATCAACACCAGGACTACTTATCAAAAAAATTATTAAGAATTATGTATGTATAGTTTTGAAATGGAAGTTGTAGAAGATACTTTAAACAGTTTTCAAATATTTGAAAGGGTTTATACAATGAGGAATTGAATGTGCTCTGCATAGCCAAGAGGGCATAACTAGAACCGACTGAGTAGAAATAAAAACTGAAACACCATCCTTCAGGGGTCTTATAGAGACTATTCTTATACTGGGTTAATAGGTTGAACAAGAAGACACTTGATTTCCAGAAAAATACCCAGATTTTATTAAGTTGGTGTTATAAGAATTACTCATATTTTAGTGTGTATACTTATTATTGGTTCTGCTTTGCTTGAAATATTATACTTTTTTGTTTGGTTTGGTTAGTTTTTGTTGTTACAGTGAGCTTACAATGCTTTGTTTATCCTAAGTGATCTTCAGCTACATTATAGATTCATTTGCTAATTTGAACATAAAATAAAACTGCCTTAGTAAAGTAATTAAAAATGAATGGGTCCTAATAACACTGGCATTTTTACTTTCATAGTCTCTAATATTGAAGATGGCTACATGAGCTTTTATGTTTCTTTGTATGAAGGCTCTTAAATAGGTCCAATGACTATTCCATTTATAACCACCTTTAAATTTTATATGATTTTTTACAGAATCACAGATAATGTTAATATCATTAAAATATAAAATATATTTAAATGACTTTCCTAAAATAATTTATTTACCTTAAATCACTAAGTATATCCATATATCTGTTCTTCTTTGAGCTTTCTCCTATTTCTTTTTTGTTTAGAGATGAGGTCTTTCTGCCCAGGCTGGAGTGCAGTGGCTTGATCATAGCACACTGCAGACTTCTGGGGTCAAAGGATCCTCCCACCTGGGCTTTGGCCTTCCCAAAGCACTGGGCATGCTACTTCACCTGGCCTGAACTTTTTCAATCTATATGCCCTAATTTGAAATAAAAATATAAAAGATACAGTGGAAGTTCCCTGGGTCCCCTTTCCCAATCCTATTCACCTCCTTTTTTCAAAAATAATCAGGAACCTAAATTTGAAATTGAGCATCATTACCATTATACTTCTGAATTATTACTATATAAGCAAATATCAATAAATTACATATTATTTATTTGCCTGATATTAAAATACATTTTAATATATATTTAGTATATGGAATATGTATTTATTCAATATATACAGATATTTATATTAAAATATAAATATTAAAATAATTATACATATTTGTATAAATTTTAATAGCAGGGAAATCAATAATATGTAATTTATTGATATTTGCTTATATAACAATAAGAAAAAGCAAATTGTATTATTGTTATATAATTGTATTATATAACAATAACAAGAAAAAGCAAATTGTGTTCTATGTGGTATATATGTATACCCAATTGTATTCTATTTCTTGTTCAACATTATGTTTTGTTTTTAAAAAGTAAGTTCATTTCTGTTACATATATTTTACTTATTTTTCCATTTAAGCATTTAAACAATTAACTAATTTGTGGAATAGCTAATCTATTTACATGGTTTCATAGTCAGTAAGTGAAAAATGTTGCAGAGTTAAAAGTCCTCCTCCCACCTCTGTACTTTAGACACCCAGTTTCCACCCACCTCAGTCCCCCAAAATAGGTACCCATGGTTACTAGTTTCTTGTGTTTCCTTCCAGAAATGTTTTAAATGCATAAACAAATGGTAGTGTGGTATACACACTGTTCTGTACATTGCTTTTATAACTTAATTATATGTGGATTATCTTTTCATATCAGTGCATAAAGAACATTCTTATTTTTTCTAAGTGTAGTATCACATTTCATCTTATGAATGTCCCCTAACATATTCAACTGCTATTCCTCTGATAGATATTTAGGTTGTTTCTGTGTTTTAGCAATTTCAAGTAATGCAACAGTATATAACAAATATATACATAATTTTACACATATGAATTAGCTATTGTAGTATAATGAATTCTGTGAGCCAAGAATTCAGTCTTAGTTTAGGTGTATTCTTCTGTCTCAATAACTCTTACAAGGCTATAATTAGGGGTTGACCATGTCCGTGTTCTCATCTGAAGGTTTGACTGGGGGCAAATTTGCTTTCATGCTCACTCATGTGGTTGTTGGCAAAATTCAGTTCCTTGGAGGTTAATGGACTGAGAGTCTTAGTTCCTCACTGTCTGTTGGGTGGTCTTACTTCTTACTTCTGTGTCAGATGAATCTCCCCATAGGACCACTCACAACATGCCAGTTTGCTTCTTCCAGAGCTATTAATAATTCTGCCAGAGGGAGGGGAGTGTGATAGACAGTTGGATGATAAACAGATTATAGATAAATTAGATAGATAGAAAGATAGATAGATAGATAGATAGATAGATAGATAGATAGATAGAGCCCAAGTCATATTCTTGGTAACCTAATCTTGGAAGCAACATCTCATGGGTTTTGCCATATTTTACTCATTAGAAATAAATCAGTAAGTCCAACACCCACTCAAGGGAATGAATATTATACAAAGGTGTGAAAATCCCCAATGAGGCAGGATCACTGGGGCCCATATTAAGGGCTTCCTACATGATTATATTTACAGGATAAATTCTTGGAAATAAGACTGCTAGTTCAACAGGTATATACGTATGAATTGTAACTGATATTGCTAAATTACTCTGCACTCCCAACAGAAATATGTGAGAATACCAATTTCCACATGTTAATATTTCTGTTGTATTATTGAACTTTAATATTTTTGCCCATTTGAAGGGTGAAAAAAATCTATCTATATGTATTTTCATTTGAATTTCTTCTGTCATAACCAAGCTTGAGGTTTTTTCCATATATTTAAGAGCCATTTGTATTTTCTATCACTTTTGCCCAATTTTTTATTGGGTTATTAGATTTTGACATATCAATGTTCAAGAAAACCTTATGTCTTAAGATGATAAGCCCTTGGTCAATATTGTGAGCTACAAATATTTTTCTCACTTTATCATTTGCCTTTTGAGTTTTCTTATGACTTTTTGTTATGGAGAATTTTTTAATTTCAATTTTAGTCAAACTCATCAATCTTTTCTGTTGCAGTTTATTTTGAAATTCTACATATTTTCTTCTAAATTTTTATCTTTTTTATATTTCATCTTTGATTTGTTTGGAATTTATCATAATATCGTGTGTGAGGAATGGATCCAACATTGTTATTTTTTAGTTGTCCTGACACCATTTTCTAAATAATCTATATATTTTTTCATTGATTTGAGATGTCATCTAAAAAATTACTAATTTCCCTTATGTATTTAGATCTATTAAACCTAGTAACATTAATAACAGATATTATATGTATGTATATTTATGTATGTATCTATGTGCACATGTCTATGTGTATGTATAGATATATAACCCTGCACCATGAAGATAATAAAATTGATTACATACTGTAACATAAATAAAAACTCGGTGAATATCTCCAAGTGGGAATACTGCACTCAATGTTGTCTGATTATCTGATTACAATGCAATGAAAATAGTAATTAATAATAACACCAGAAAACCAAAGCCTCTCCCAATCAAATATTAAAGATAAAAAGCATTTAAAGCTCTTGGACAAAGAAAAATTATAAACCAAATGTACTGAATTATCTGAAAGCCACAATAATAAAAACACTACATATCAGAACCTATAGCATATAGATAAAACAATTTTCAGAGGAAAATCCATAGCAACAAATACATGTGAGTAAATAAGACTTAGAATATTGAATTAACATCTCTTTCCTCTAGTGTATTTGAGTTAATATCTTTTTCCTGTGTGCTTTTAATGGATTTCTTTTTTTTTCTTTTTTCTTTACAAATGTTGATGCTACACTAATTGTTTAGATATTTATAACAATAACAACTTCTGGGTGCCTAGATTGATATACGTTACTTGATCTTTTACCTATTAGCCCAAAGATGATTTCTTTATCACTGCAGTACAGTGAATTTGCTAGGACACTGGTATATTTCATTATTGCTTGTTCCTAGTTGTTTTTTCCGGCACAGAGTTTGCCCTTACAGTATGTAGATTTCAAATCTTCATTTCAGGAAAGTTTTCTTGAATTATACCTTTAAATATCTTCTTCTACCCATTAATTTAGTTTTCTTTTTCAGAGATTGCCATCATGAATCATATCTTGGGCCCTCTATATCTAGTAGGTCTCTATTTCTATTCTATAGTATTTATTTTTCTCATTTCTATTATTCATGATTTCTATTTCCCTTTTTTCCCATTTTTTTCTACATTCTTAAAATGATTTTGCTCTTTTATTCCTACTTTGATTTTGAGCTCTGCTGTCTCATTTGATTTCTAATATTTTTTGTCTTTTTTTTGTCTTTATAAAATATGTGATGAACATAAACGTTGTGTTTGCTTTGGGGCTTGTGACATGAGTTGAATAACAATTCAAAATGATTTTTAAGTTATTAACTGAAGTAATATCTTCTAGATTGGTATATCTTGAAGATAAGTATGTACATTTCATCTTATGTATTATAAAATATTTATCTTAGCTTCATTATTTTAATAGACTCATTTGTTTTCTGTGATATTTCAAAGGATACTTATTGAAAAAGCATTCCCATAGTTTCTTGTTGTATTTTTTTCTACTGTTTTCTTCTACCACTTATTTGACTTTTAGTATTAAAATAGAAAACAATTCTAGACAAGTATTTATTTTTATAAAAAGACATTGGCATTTATAATTTAAAATATTTATATAATTGCATTGCTATAGTTTTATTGTTATAATAATCTCAGCATAATACATTTTCAAATGTTATATGGTTTAGGAAGATCTAATTTGAAACTTCGAAATATAATTGTTACTTGAGCAAGAGAACATTAGAAAACCTCACACTATAAATCCTCTATTTATTTTTGGCACTATTTTTTTAAGTTTACACATACAAATTCTTTATGTTCATCACATATAACATGTTTTGAAATATATATCCATTGTAGAATGGCTAAATCAGGCAAATTAACATATGGATTATCTTATATTTATCATTGTGTGTGTGTGATGAGAACACATAAAATCTCTTCTATTAGCAATTTTTTAGAATACAATAAATAATTACATTCATTGGTAGATTTTTTACTAATATTTTTTGTATATTCCTCGCAGAGGTCACTTCTTTATTATTTTTTAAATGTATGGTAAAATTTTAGGCCACAATTTTCACCTGCATTGTAATTATACATTTTTCTGGTAAGTATTCTTCAATTGTTAAAATTTTTGGCATTCTTTAGAGTTGCAGGCTATCCAGTTTTCATACACTAAAGATTGCTTCATTGCTGCTGCGACAGAGACAGACTGCTTCCTTCAATTATGGCTTGCTTCTGTGATTCATTTTGAGGCTATGCCTCCACTTCTCTTTAGAATTAAATGAGAACTTGAGGGCATTTATTGACACCTTTGGTGGCAAAGAAAGGATCTGACTGTTAGAGTTGGGAATAAATCTTACCTACAGGATTTTTTTCCCCCCTCTGAGATCTAGTGCCACTGGATCCACTATGTTTCTTATTCGATTTATTCCATGAAGCTCTCGTCTGACCTCAATTGCTTAGGAGGATTTACATAAAATATTAAATCTGAGAGTTATTTTTATAGCATATATTTGCCAAAAATAGAATATGCAGGTTTTGGTAGATTGGATTTTTGATTCCACTTATTCACCTGTCCCCAACTCCACCCTCTTGTCATAGGCATTATTGACCTGGGGTTTGGCTATGTGACTTGGTTTTGCCAATGATGTATGTGTAGAAGTGACACTCTGCCAGATCCAGGCCTAGATCTCAACAGTCTCCAAGTTCCCACTTTCATGTTTTAGCCTCTGACATTACCATGCCCTGGCTAGCTTGCTGGTCCAGGGAGGATAAGAGACACATGAAGGATAACTACCTCAAGTGACACAAAGACATGAATGGAGAAGCAGAGCTGTCACAGTCACCACAGCCTGAAGCAGAGTTGCACAGATGAGCCCAGCCAACCTACAGATGTGGTAGCAATAATAAATGACTGTAGTTTCAAGCTGCTGAGTTTTATGTTTGTTATGCAGCTAATGAATGCATATATTGTTTAAAATTCCTTTTTGCTTTTAAATTATTCTTAGAAGTGACAAGAAAGAGATGGGAAAGATTTATATGATGTACCCAGTCAGATTGATATTTAAAGACCAGCATTTTAAAACAACTTCTTCATATTGATTTAGGTATATTTAATTAGTTCATTTTAAAGATTGTGGTAGTTTATTGTATATTACAATTTACCCACTTTCCTCTTTGCTGAATTTTTCCTTTGTTAGTATTTTTAAAGGCTTCAGTGACAGCTTAGTTTTTGAATCTTCCCAAATCCTCACATAAAATCAGAAAAAGCATTTAGTTAACAAAACCAAATCCACAGGCAATTTTTATTAAAATACCAGGTGACAAGGTATATTGAAAGACACATAAACGCATTGGGAGATAAATCAGCAGTAGCCACAAGATCTGTGCACGCGTCTGTGTGTTTGTAATGGTGGGTGCCAAGAAAGGGGGAAAGAGAGCAAAGCAGTGAGGGCACAGATGGGTGTGAGAAGAGAAGAGCACCCAGACAGCCAATAGGTATCCACTGGAAAGCACTGAGAGACAAAGAAAACCCAGAACTACAGCTACTACAGGAAACTACATAAGAGGCAGCTCTGCGAAGTCAGAAAACCCATTTGAATCAAACGCCTTTTAAAAGTCCAGGAACATGAATTTCACACAAAAATAAACAAGACAAAAATATTAAACCTGAATTCCATAGGTAAAAATAGAATAAGGAACGAAATATGCAATGAAAGGACCCCAGAAAAGACATGCTTTAGATACATACATACACACATAATACATATCTACATACATAGGCAAATAAATAAATACCAAAACTACACCTACTATTTTAAAATGAACTAAAAGACACCAAAAATGACTTAAGAAATACATACATGAAAAATACAACATGAAATTACATTTAGAAAAACTCAGAAATAAGGTGATAACTAAAAAGCTAATCAGATTTTTTTTTCAGTACTCATGAATATTTTGTATCTGTAACTTCGAGCACATGTGCTAGAGTTTTACTGAGGGACCTAGAAGTGCAATTTGTTAAAGTGTGCACACATCTTAAAGTTGCTAAATGTTGCCAAATTGCTATCTAAAATTGTTGTGTTAGTTTACATTCACATTAATATCTTAGGAGAATTAATAGTCTACATATATTTACTCACATTTTAATTATTAGACTGTTTCAATTTTGCCAATTTATTGGAGGTGAAATAGTACAGAAATGTTATTTAAATTTTTAACTCTGATTATTAATGAGGTTTAGCATTTTTTATTTTGAAAATTTTTATTTCATTTTTAATTGACAAATAGCTGTATATATAAGTAGAGTACAATGAGATGTTTTGATACCTGTATACATTGTTAAATGGTTAAGTCAGGCTAACTAGCATATCCATCACCTCACATATTTATCATTTGATATAGTAAGAACATTTTAAAGATTTAGCATTTTTAATATATTTTTAAATCATTTTTAGTGAATTGTCTGCTCATATGTTTTATATATCTTTATATTGGAAAACAATAGCTTGTGTATTTTCTTTTTTTAAGTTTAAGATTCATCTTTTAGTTGATAGTTCCCTTTTTGAAACAAAACTTGTAATTTAACGTGGTATATTTCCACAAGCTTTCATATATGTTTCGTGGTATTCGTTGCGCTTTTTTCTCCGCCCATTAAGAAAAATAAATGTCCTATGCATTTTTTAACATTTGGTAAAGCTTTGGTTTTTAAATTTGAATCTTTAATCCACAAGGAATAGATTTCATTTATTTTTGTTATGTCAGCATCCACACTGAAACCAATTTTTCACTGGATTTCAGATGAGCACATGAATCTCTATGGCAGCACCCAGAATGAAGATACCGAAGTGAAGAGTGTGCTTATTTTCGAATTCACTAGCTATTGCCAAATTACTCTCCTAAGGAATTTTTCAAATTGACAGTATCACCAACAAAGTATGAGTTCTACTTCCTTACGAGTGTTATGAATCATTAATTTTTGCCAGTGTGACGAGTGTTAATTCTTGTGCCAATTGTCATTTTACAAAATCTTTTTTTTGGAATTCGTTTCCTTGAGATATATTACACAATTACTCATTCAGAGTGGATTGTCCACTTTCTCTGTTTTCACGAATATGTGAATCCCTGCTTATTTCTTTCAGAGTGATATCCAAATATCCCCAAAGAATATGTTAAATACTGACTCCTTCTCCCATGGTTACCTTGTATTTAAGACCCTGTTTTAAAGGTGATTGAGGAAAATAAATTTACAATTATTTATTTGATTTTTCTTATCCTCATGCTTAAATATTTATATTAATACTGTCTTACATCTGTATGAGCACTCAACAATTTTAGAGAGTTCTAACATGTATTTCAACAAGCATTTAAAACTCAGATTAGAGTTTCCCATAACTACACATAATAAAGTAATATAATGTTCTTTTTCGTGCTTATGAGTCTCTTTCAGTTTCTTAGTTACTATTATGTTATGTTTCATCAAAAACGCTTGCATATTTATATCAACATTCCATTTACCCCTTAGATTATTCATGCCTGAGTGGAGTGTCGGCTGCAGAAATAGGAGGTTTAATGAGTTTCATGGGGATACCTAATTCCAAGAACAAAAACTGGAAAAGAAATGAAACACAAATGCCTGCATACTAATATCGTCCCTTGTTAGAACCGATCTCTGGAGCACAGATGATAGATAGTCCCTACCCAATATACATTTCCTTTAAGTGGGCCTTTACTTCCAATTTGGTGTTGTTTGTATAAGTCAATCTCTCACAGACACTGCACTAATGCTTAATATATAAGCCACAAATGCCCAAAGGAAAAGGTTACCATTACCCTGCCCTGAATACTGTATTACTCTGCACCTGCTCAGCTTTTCTTTTAGACTATTGCTTTGTTCTCTTGATCTTTTATTTCTCAAGATCTTTGTTGTTTGTAATAGAAATAGGACACCATAAAAATAAACATTTAACTTATTATCATTCGGCACATCATTTTTTTGTTTAAAAGAGAACTACAATTTACCTTGGTGAAGATAATGCATTATAAAGCACTTTTTAAAACATATTTAACATATACTATGTAGTCCTAGTCTATTATAATGGCAATAAAAGTTAAAGAATGAAATTCTTTAACATATACTATGTAGTCCTAGTCTATTATAATGGCAATAAAAGTTAAAGAATGAAATTTAAGGTTGATTGAAGCACATGAAAAATGGAGAACTAAGGCAATTATTCATGCTTTTAGGATAAAAATTCTAATATATATATAAATAAAATATTTTGATTCTGTATAATTTAGATACATTATATCGGGTATGGTTTCTGTGTGTGTGTGTGTAAGCATGCACATGCAGCAAAAATAACATGCAATTATAATCTTTGCATTCTAGTGATTATGAAAATTTTGGTTTTAAATTTTGCAGAAAAATTAAACAAAGACTTCCAAAAGGACCTGAATTTCTTAAGCCAGGTGAGGTTTTTGAAGAGATATTTTCCAATGGTATCTAGGAGAATTTAATTAATTTGTCTGAAACATAGGAGGAAATGTTGTTTGATTCAGTTTTAAACCTCACTTTGAACTATTGTCAGCACGTTCTGATGGGACATACTCTAGATTTCCCAATTTTCTCAGATTTCAAAGAGAATAAGTTAAAAGGTGCTTATCCCTCCATACATAAAAGAATACTCTGAAGTGTTGTCTAGTGACAATGAGAAGATAGGCAGGAGGGACAAACAGAAATGAACATCAAAGTAACTACTAATTTATGTAAGGCATTTTACAGATTATTTATGTTTTTATTGTGGTTGAAGTTATCTATTGTCATTCCCTCTTTTACTCCACAGAATAAAAAAAAAAAAAATTCTTCATTTGCAGAAAACCATGCAAGAGAAGGTAGCAACTTGCTAAATGTGTATGGTTAGTATGAGTCAGAGTCAAGATTTAAACTTTATGAGTTCTATGATTACAAAGTCAATATCCTTTCCCATAAACTATGCAACAAAATAAAATAAAAATGGAATTTTGATTAAGGGTGATAAAATATGCAAATGTAGCCAATAAAACTATCAGTTTACTCTTAGTGCTATTCTATGTTGTTGAGAAGGCACGAATATATTACCAACATCATTTATCTGAAGAACACAAGTGCTTGAAGAATTTTTAAATATTGGGCACTATAATAGGCCCTATAATGTAAATAATTTACAAAATTTTTGATGGTTTGATTTAGATATCATTTATTGAGTTATTATTTTTTTGCCAGTCATGAATCTAGTATCACATTTCATCTGTTCAACAAGCAGGTGAGGAAAGTATTAAGTAATTTTTTAATAGAAGAAAATACTAAGAGGCTCATGGACTGATCAGTATCACAGAGCCCTTCAGGGACTTACCCGAATTCAATCAAAGACCTCCAAACTTCTAATCCTCTATACTCTTACTGTTTCCATACCTCCTCAAGCAGAATGTTCAATGCATCAAATATAGAGAACACTCAGGAGCCCAACAATGATTCCAAGTTAGATATATGGAACAATTATTGTGATCATTCATGTTTTCAAAATTCCTTTTTTAAACAGAGTAACCCAAGTATTTACATTTCAATACATCCAAATAATTATCTCAATCCTTTCTTTCACTTCACCCAAAGAAACTAAATTTTAAAAACTCACCATCAAAATGTTATCAACTAGGTAAAGAAATAATAAGAAACAGTTCTTTAAAATTCCTTGAATATGCTGATAGAAAATTCTATAATGTGTCCCATTATCATTAAGGAAGGCCATCTACTTTATCAGTTAAGCACCATGGCTCTGTAGTTCAGACTTACAGTATCCAAACCCTAGTTCTAGGACTTATTTTCTTAGGCAATGACATAACATTTCTGAATCTTGCTTTCTCCATGTGTGTAGTAGGGATAAGAATATGCCTATGACTCATTTAGGATGCTTAGTTATAAGTTTCACAAAATTCTACTCAAACCAGATATAACTAAAATGTGTTGGCTCATGTAAGTAGAGTTCAGAAATTTCAAGAACACTTTCATCATTGGCCTTGGCTTCATTTTTTTAAGGTTTGTGCCAATGCTGGCTCACCAAGGGGAAGCCAAACGGCTGCAATAGTTGTGAGCCTCATATCTCACACTATTCCTTTTAGAGTAAAAGAGACATACTCTTCCCTCAACCCTCAAATACAAGGCCCCAAGTTTCATCCAGATTTACCTACCTACAGGCACATATCCACCTTTAAAAACATGTCTACAGCTTATCCGGTAATCCAAGTGCTTTGGGAGCCTGAGGCAAGAGGATTGCTTGAGGCCACGAGTTAGAGATAAGCCTGGGCATCACAGTCAGTCTCTGTCTCTACAAAAAAAAATAAATTAATTAAAAAATAAAATTAGTTGGTGTAGTGATGCATCCCTGTAGTCCTAGCTACTCAGAAGGCTGAGGTGAAAGGATGGCTTGAGCCCAGGAGCTCAAGGTTGCAGTAAGCTATGACCACACCAATGCATTCTAGCTTGGGCAACAGAAAGACTCTGTCTCAATTAAAAAAAAAGAAAGAAAGAAAAAAAATATTCTATGGCAGAAAGAAAATAAGAATGGAAAGGAGTATTCTTATTTTGGTTTAGACCAAAGTGTGCATCTGGAGTGGGTTCAGTCTTAAACCACATAGTGACTTCTCAATGGGGGAAGAGACAGAAATCATGGCTGGGGATGCCAAAATCAACATCCTCTGCAGGCTGCCTTATAAGAGTGGCTGTAGAATTGAAAGAAGTAACATGCGTAATGCACTTAGCAGAGATTCTGACACAATAAAAGATAAATAAAAGATAATATTTCTCTTCTACTATTTTTGCTTTATTTGCATTTTATTTGATGACTTTATTGGTACCCAATCTAAAATATAGAAGGCAAGATTATATGCTGTAACTTAGAAAAAAAATTCTAGGATATTTGTTCTACGTAACTGAATTAGAGCATTGCCATTTTGTGTCCTGAGTTTGGCTTGTACGGACAGCCAAATCATATATCTTGGTCCAAACAATTCTTTGCTATTATCCTCCTTCGTTTTTCCCATGCAAAAATTTATAAACTAACTATTCAGCAACAGTTGATCTGGCAATGTAAACTACAGTCCAGCAATTTCACAAACTACTTTATCAAATGAACTGAATAAACACTTCTACTTCTCAGGCTGCATGTGTTCCTGATACACTTTCCAACGCAACATTTTTTGGCTCTATACTTAAAGGGATTAAAAGAAAGTGGGTGTTTTTTTTAAAAAAAAAGCACATTTCAGAAAATTGAAGGGATGAAATCTTCCTTTTTTATAGTTACTCAACTATCTATTAAGGTACTGAGCCACTGTGCAGTTTTATTTTCTACTCTTCTGACACTCATGCACTGGCAAGACAAAATGTTCACATATTCTAATGAACACATCATGTCTCTTTTTTCCTTGTCTTGTCATTTCCATTTCTCCTTATCTCTTTTTTTAAGAGGTTCTGTGTCACTTCAATCAACTCAGCTTTCCATAATGATAACATTAGACAATATTTATTGAGTGTCTATTATTTGTCAGAAACTGTTTTAAGTCTTTTATCTGTATTAACTCTTTTAATCTTAAAAATGATGATGTTACTTATAAAAATGATTTTTACACTCCCAAATGTAGTAGCACACATTATTGGAACCCCTGAGTATGCCTACATTTTATAGCAATAAACATTTAAAGAAATTATTTTTATAGTTGGAATAAATCACTACAAGAATCAATATTTATATCATCCCCTAACACACACACACACACACACACACACACACCCCTACTATGCTCTATGTCTAGAGCTCTTCGACTAGCATGAATTTCCATACACAGGAGCCTCATTGTTCCTGAGTTTATAGCTTCAGATTGATTTACATACAAAGACTGCCTACCTGTCTCTGAATCACAGTTTCAAGTTCCTGAAAAATAGAATCTAATGTACCAGCTGAAGTTAAATGTCTATGAATGATTCACCCAGCTATACCCAAGAGAAAGAATCTTATAGTTCAAAAAAAGGATAAAATATATCATAGACGTATCACTTTTGCTATTAGTAATAAAAGCCCTTATAAAAGGAAGCAATACTGTATCAGAGCTTAGTGGGACTGGAGGGAAATGGAACATACAGAGATCGGCAGAGGTTGGACAAGGGGAGAAAAGACACTCTACAAACACAGTTCCCTATCTTTATGTCTAAGGACCTGAGCAAGCGCTTTAATAATGAGCATGGGAAATCAGTAAATTATTTATAGTTGGTTACTTAATTATACTTAACTGTGTAGCAAACTTTTTTTCTGTAGTGCCAGTTGAATCGTTCTCATTCAATTTCTCATAATTTTAATCAAAGAACACTTTCTAATGTTATTTTAGACTCCTATGAGGATAGGGAGTTTCATGGAAATTGTGGTTAAGATTCTTATACTTTGAGAGGGCAGAACACACAAGTAGCAGCCCTTATAGACTACTGCAGTAATAAGACATTGCTCTGTGGAAGTAGTCTGCCGTTATACTTACTCCTTTTTTTTAAATGTTCTTTATACAAGCAAACAAGTGAAAAGAGAATGAAAATAAATAACAGCACTACTACCAATAAAAAAACTAAGAACTCTTACACAGAAGTGCAATAATCAGTTCCCAGGACATGATATCTATAAAAATTTCTTCACATCTTTTCATAGAAAGTAACACATTATAAGTGAATTGTCTCATCAAAAGATATTCATGAGCTTTTTCTCCTAACATGTTTGATTCTTCTCTTCATTGTACTGAAGAGCACCATAGTTTCTGTTGTTAACCTGAGGAAACACAAATTTTCTTTCAATAGGCTAACTAGTTAATATCTATAATGTCCAGTGCATATATTAACATGTAGAAAAAGAGGAAAGAATAGGACTTAATATTACCAACTCAAATTCAATCGCAAATCAAGAACCTGAATCATACCTTATACCCAAGTTCTTTTTAAGAGGCAAGTTGCAAAAAGATGGTACTTAGCATTGTCCTTGTTTTAATTTTAACAATTCTAGATTCTGTGCAATGATATTTCCTTACATCATTACACTTTTAATTTGCATTTCCCTGATGACTAATGATGCTGAGCATGTTTTCATGTTTTAATTTTTGGACACCTGAACATCCTCTTTTTTTGTAATGCTTTTTCTTTTTCCCATTTATAAAATTGAGATCTATCTTTTTCTTATTGGTTGATTTTCTTAATCTTAATCGTGTTGACTGATTATTTATTGAATAGGATATATATTCTGTAAATGAGTTATCTGATGTATGTATGTGAGGCAATTACCTTATTTTAGTCAATGGCTTATCTTTTCACTCTCATAATAATGTCCTTGGTGGAACATGTATCTTAGTATCATAAAAAAACAGTTTGTCAATGTTTTCTTTTATGGTTTGCTTTTTGTGAACTGTTTCAAAAATGTTTGTACACATCAGGCACATGAAAACATTTTCCTATTTTCATTGTGGGAGCTTTATTATCTTGCCATTTACATTTATATCTATGATACATCTCAAATTATTTTTTATGTGTAAAGGTTAATGTTACTTTTGAATATCCAGTTGACCTAGCACCATTGATTGAAAAGACAATAATTGTCACCACAAATTTCAGTGGTGTTCTATTGCAAAACAGATGAACATACATGTGTGGGCCCATCTCTGGACTGTCTATTTTATTTTATTCATCTATACATCTATTCTTGCATCAGTACCACACATTCACAATTACTGTAGCTTTATGATGTGTCTTGATATTTGGTAGTATTAGTAATCCAGATTTATTCTTCTTTAAAATGTCTTTGACTCATATAAATCCTGTGCATTTCCTTATAAGTTTTAGAATTTTAATTTTAATTTTAAAATACTAGGAAATTGATTTGGATGGTGTTTAATCCATAGGTCAATTTGGGTTAGGTTTTAAATCTTTAAATAGTGTTTTAATTTTCTATGGCTACAGAACAAATTACCACACATTTAGGAAACCAAAACAACACACTCACTTATTATCTCACAGTTTCCATAGTCAGAAATCTGGGCACTATTTATCTAGATTCTCTGTCCAGGGCTCACAAACTTTCAATCAAATTGTTGGCAGGGTCTGGGGTCTCAGTTGAGGCTCATGGTCCTGTTGTCAGTATTTGCTTCTGGAACACGTAGAACTCATGGCGACTTGCTTCTCCACGATCAGAAGAGTCTCTGACTTTCTTCTCTGTCATCAAGACCCTCTTTAAAGGACTCACCTGATGAGTCAGGTTTGCCTCAATCACCCTTTTGCTTAACTCAGCTTCAGCTAATTTGGGATTAGTTAAGTATATCTGCAAAATCCCTTCACCTTTGTCACTCAACAATACATAATTATGTCTGTGATAGCCCATCACCTTTTCCATATTCTAACAGTTAGAAGCAGGTTGAAGGTCCTGCCTACAGTCAAGAGTAGATTATGCAAGGTTGTAAATCATTAGGGCTCATTTGAAAATTCTGCCTACTAGGCTGGGCACAGTGGCTCACACCTGTAATCCCAGTGTGACAGGTGTGAGGCTGAAGCTTGTGGATTGCTTGAGCTCAGGAGCAGGTGGATTGTTGAAGCTCACCAGCCTTGGCAAAATGGTGAAACCCCGTTTCAAAAAAAAAAAAAAAAGAAAGAAAAAGAAAGGAAAGGGAAAGGAAATGAAAAAGAAAGAAGAAAAGGAAAAAGAAAAGAGAAAGAAAAGAAAGGAAAAGAGAAAGAAAAGAAAGGAAAATAGAAAGAAAAGAAAAGAAAATTAACTGGGCATGGATGGTAGTGCATGTCTGTAGTCCCAGCAACTCAGAGGGTTGATATGGGAGGATTGCTTAAGCCCAGGAGGTTGAGGCTGCAGTGAGCCATGAGTGCGCCACGGCACTCCAGCCTAGGTAACAGAGCAACACTCTGTCTCAAATAATTAATTAATAAATACAATTCTGCCTACTGCAAGTACTGAGTCTTCCAATTCAGGAACATGGTGTTCTCTGTGTTCATTTGTTATTTTAAACTTCTCTCAGCCATATTTTGTAATTTGTATTGTAGAAGTCTAGCACATCAATTGGAAGATTTATGGTTAGGAGTTAGATATTTTTGTGCTGTTATAAATATTTTAGAGTTATCCTGTTTTTAGCATAGAGATACAATTTAGTTTTGTGTATTAAATATGATCTAGCCACCTTGCTAGATTAATTTCCAATAATTTATTTATAAATATTAATAGATTTTTATGTATACACAATCATGTCTTCTGTTTTACCTCCCTACTATCAATTTTTATGCTTTTTTCATGATTTTTGCACTATATAGAACCTATAGTACAATGTTGAATTGGAGTGGTTATGGTGGCATCCTTGTCTTGTTCCAACCTAAGGGGAATGTGTTGAATATTATGCCGTTAAGTATGATGTTAACCATGAGGGGATTTTTTTTTTGTAAATATCTCTTACCCAATAACAAAGACTTCCTTTCATTGCTAATTTGTAGAAAATTTTTAGTCCTTAATGAATGTTGAACATTGTCAAATAATTTTTATGCGTCTATGGAGATGGTCATATTATTTTTATTCTTTATTATCTTTGTGTGGTTAAGTATATTGATAAAGGTTCTAATATTAAACCAATGTTCCTTTACTGAAAGAAAACCTTCTTTGTCATGATAATACATTGTATATTTTACATATAACTTTGTTTGAATCTTTAAAATTCTTAGAGGGTTTGCTTTCATGTCATGGGAATAGATTTTTTTCTCCAAATACAAGATTTGTGTACAGACTGCGGGTAAACTATGAGAAACAAAAGAAACAGAAGAAATAGACAAGACATCTAGCTTTTCTTCTGGCAAAGATAAGCTTTGTGTTTTCTTTTTTTAATTTTTTTTATTTTACTTTAAGTTCTGGGATACATGTGCAGAACGTGCAGGTTTGTTACACAGGTATACACGTGTCACGGTGAGTTGCTGAAGCTTTGTGTTTTCTATTAAGCCGTTGTTACAGTAGCTTCAGAATCTCTGTGAATTTAACATTAGTATCATGAAACTTGGGATCTGATAAAGACAATCTAATCTAAACCCCTCATTGCCCAGGTGGTGAAAAAAGGTCCCTTAAATCTCAGTTTAAAGGTGATTCCACAACATCAAAATAGTGTTACCTCATTAGTTTGTTATAAAATCACCAATAACAAGTAGATTCACTTTTATTTATAATTTTTTTTAGGACTAGAACTGTTAGCTGTAAGGGAATAGAGAACAATGTTTAGATTATTTGGCATATTGGGATAATTTTTGAATTACTACTTTAGACAAGGCATATTATGTTAGCAGTAATATGACATTTTGTTTAAAAAATGAGTATTCTGCACAGGAAGGGAAACAAGCAACAGAAAAAAAGGTAATGCATGAAATGGGAAAAAATACTTGCAAGCCACATATTTGATAAGGGGTTAATAGCCAAAATGTATGAACAACTCTTACAACTCAATAGCAGAAAAGCAACGCAATTTTTAGATGCGCAAAGGACCTGAACTGACACTTCTCCAAAAAAGTTACAAAAATAACCAACAGATATATGAAAAGGTGCTCAACATCACTAATCAGGGAAATGCAAATTAAAACCACTAGAAGATATCACTTCACACCTATAACAATGGCAATTAAAATCAAGGGATAATAAAGGTTGGCAAGCACGTGGAGAAAAGGGAACTCTGGGAACGTAGATTAGTTCAGTCATAATGAAAAGCGGTATGAAGGTTCCTAAAGCGATTAAAAATAAAACTGTCGGCAGGGGTGTGCTGGCTCATGCCTGCAATCCCAACACTTCGAGATGCCTAGACTGGAGGATAGCTTGGGCTCAGGAGTTCAAGAGCAGCCTGGGCAACACAGCGAGGCCTTGTCTCTACTAAAACTAAAAAAAATAAATTATGTAGGCATGGTGGCATACGCCTGTGGTCCCAGCTACTCAGGAAGCTGAGGTGGGAGAACTGTGTGAGCCTTGGAGGTCGAGGCTGTAGTGAGTCATGATCATGCTACTACACTCCAGCCTGAATGACAGAGACTCTGTCTCAAAAAACAAACAAAGAAACACTGTCATATGACCCAGCGATCTCTCTTCTTAATATATATTCAAAAGAGATGAAATTACCACTTTGTATGTGCATTTACAGTTCACTGCAGCATTATTCACAATAGCCAACAATCTAAATGTTCATGGATGGGGGAAAAATAAAGAAAATGCTATATATATATATATGAAATGAAATATTATTCAGCCTAAAAAAAGAGATCCTGCCATTTGCTACAAACGTGGATGGATCTGCAGCACATTATGTAAGTGAAATAAACCAGACACAGAAAGAAAAATATTGTATGACTAAACTTATGTGTGAGATGCATAGATAGATAGATATTTTAAAATGTCAAATACACAGAGATAGAGAATGAAACAGTGGTTACTAGGAGCAGGTATGGGGGAAAAGGAAATGAGGAAATGCAGGTCAAAGAATGCAAAGCAGCAGATATGTAGGTTGAACAAGTTTAGAGATCAAATGTACATGAGGATAAAGTTAATAAAATAGTATAGTATTAATAATTTTTGTTAAATAAGTCGATTTTAGCTGCACTTGTACTTATATGAGATGAAAGATATTAATATATATAGTATACCCTAGTAACTATTTTACTATTTATATTGTATAACATCATGATGTCAATCCCAAATATACATAATAAAATTTATTTGAAAAAATAAATAGGTATTTTGCTTATTTTCACATTATATTCAAGTACAAAAATAACTATCAGTATTAAAGGCATACCAATTAATATGAAAATATAATAATAATTCTCCCTTAGTTAAGTGGCATTATCATAAATAACATACACATCATTTGAAATTTCCATTTCAAAAAATCATAAACCCAAGCCTTCAAGTGAGAAATATCAGCAATCTATCTTTAGTGTTCAAATTTCTTGTATTTTAAAGCATGAAATTTTACTGCATGTTATTCTTTTAAATTCACACTGTTTTTAACTTCATGCAGTGCTTTAAGTATTGAGCATCCTGAAGCTCTGTTATTTTCCTGTTAAATGAAGTATTTTGAACAAAGAGCTGATTCCTTGAAATGTATGTAGTTAGAGTAAACAGATAACCTACAGAATGGAAGAAAATATTTGTAAACTATGCATGCGACAAAAATCTAATATCCAGAATCTATAAGGAACTTAAATTAACAAGCAAAAGACAATCCCATTAAAAAGTGAACAAAGGACCTGAAGATACTTCTCAAAAGAATACAGACAAGCAGCCAACAAAAATATTTTAAAAATGGTCAACATCACTAATCATCAGAGATCAGAGAAAAGCAAATCAAAATCACAATGAGATACCATCTCACCCCAGTCAGAATGGCTATTATTTTAAAAAGAACAGATGCTGGCAAGGTTGTGGAGAAAATGAAACATTTATATACTGTTGGTGGGAATGTAAATTAGATCAGTCACTATGGAAAGAAGTTAGAGATTTCTCAGAGAACTAAGAGTTGTACTACCATTCAACACAGTAATCCCATTACTGGGTATATACCCAAAGGAAAATATTAATAAATCATTCTACCAAAAAGACATGCATTTGTATGTTCATTGCAGCACTATTCACAATAGCAAAGACATGGAATTAACTTAGGTGCCCATAAACGTGCACTCGGATAAAGAAAATGTGGTACACATACACCATGGAATACTATGCAGCCATATAAAGAACAAAATTGTATCCTTTGCAGCAACATGAACACAGCTGCAGGTCATCACTCTAAGCAAATTAACATAGGAACAGACAACCAAATGCCACATATTGTCACTTATAAGTGGGATATAAATGTTGGGTACACATAGACATAAAGATGGGAAAAACAGATCCTGGGGACTACTGTAGTAGGGAGAGCAGGAGAGGGGTTAAGGGCTGAAAAACTACCTGTCAGGTACTATGCTCACTACCTGGGTGTCAAGATCATTTGTACCAGAAACCTCAGCATGATGCATTACAGCCATGTCACAAACCTGCACATGTACCCCCTGAATCTAAAATAAAAGTTGAAATTATAAACAAAATAAAAAATAAAAATAAATTGCTTTAAGCAAGTTAATTAGCAGTTGCTTTTTCTTCTTTATTGAACAGACGTTTATGTATTTTGCTTATTTTAGATTTCAGTGCTTGTTTCATTATTGATCAATAAAACCTTGTTAGTATAAAAGTTTTTTGAAAAAATGTATGCTGTTGCATTTCATTAAATGAATTGTCTAAGTAAATCAAGAAAATAAAATTTAATTTTGCTGACTTAATAGAGAATATTTTAGTGCTATGCAATACAATACTGAAAAACCAGATTAGTCACTTGGACTTTTACAAGTTATATTAAGTAAAATTTTCCTGTGGGAAATATTATCACATAGAACACATACTAAGATGTTTGCAATTACTATTAGGTCTGTAAAACCTAATTTATAGGAATGTTTACTTCATTAGTTGGAGATACTTTGCCTTGAGCTGCTATTTTCTCCTTTTTATCCCTACAACTTCAGAGAGTTAGATACTGTGGGAAAAATAAAGAAAATGAAATGAAATAACTGTTTTGAAAAAGAAAATATATTTATTGGGGAATAAAGCATTGCAATGGAATACACATAGTAAACTATGTGTGTTTTCAGGGAGGTAGAGAAAGACAAAAGTTTTTAAAGGAAAAAAGAAGAGGGTTACATAATTGTTTTAAAATCATTATCTTTGGCTACAAAAATCAGTAACAAAGGTGATGTCAGTCAGAGGTTGGACAGGCAGTTGCTGGGCAGATGTCCTTGCAGAAGTGTTTCTTGTGTAAGATGGCAACAGCCTTTGTGCAAGGTGTGAATTCTGCAGTCTTTTGTGATAGGTTGTTATCCAGCATACAAACATGAGAACCCTCTCTCCACCATCTTCCTTGAAAATAACTATTTAACAAAAATACCTGACCATTATTTTTTCAGGTTATCTGTTTTCTGGTCATTATTTCCTATGCTCCTTTAAAATTGTGGAACCACATTTGGAGAATCACTGCCTTCAACCACTTGCCCCGCCTCTACCTTTTTCTTCAAATCTATTCTAATTGACTCCTTTTCTAAAGTCTTATTTGATCATCCTGGTTGAAAGATTTCTCTCTTCTAAACTGACATAGTATTCTGATACATGGAATATATTTTTCATTGTCTATTATTTTGACCTGTATCAAATTGCCATTTGAATAGTCAAAAATGTTGGTAATTTCATATTATTTAAATTAATATATGCTAAAGTAGTTTATGTATGCTTTTAAATGTGTGATTCATTCTATTCCCTCATGTACTCCTTGTATACTAGATTTTATTATATATAATTAAATATATATCACTTTCTCATCTGGCACGTCAATTCCTGATGTAAAGGAATGTCACATTTTTGTTTTTAATGAGGAAGAGCACAAAAACAATTTTGTTGAAAGAATAGATGAGCAAATATGACCATAGCAGTAAAGAAGGGGTCAATTCGGTTATTACATTAACAAATAAAATTAAGGTAGTTCAGCCATTTTCTACTTATAACACCTCCTAGCCAGAGCTTCTGTTATAAAACATAGAAAAGAGAGAAGCAGTATAAAATGTTGCTATATGCTGTGTATTTTTTAATCCAGAAGCATAGATATTCATTCATTTATTTATTCAATCATCCAACAGTAGGTAGTTATTACCTATTATGTTTTAAAAATTATATAGGTGTGGGAGAGACAAAACTCATAATGTCAAATATGTATTGAGATTTAATATGCCAAGCACCATTCTAAATGCTTTTCACATTTTAACTCATTTTATCCTCATAAAAAACCTACCAAATGTTACCCACAGATAGCAAGTGGTGAAAATGGAACACAGAGAATCTAAGTAACTTGCTTAAGGATACATACCTCAAAAACAGTAGAGATGGGCTTCAAGCAATGCAATCTAATTCCAAAGTCCATTCTCATAAGCTGTAACTACTAGCTAGTACTCCTGAAGGAAAGATCTACCTACATGATCCACCAGACTGAGAACAGAAATTATTCCTTCTTTTTTTTTTTTTTTTTTTTTTGGCGGTGGGGAGACACGGTCTGGCTCTGTTACCAAGGGAGGAGTGCTGTGTTGCCATCATAGCTCACTGCAGCCTCTAACTCCAGCTCAAGCGATACTTCCACCTCAGCCTCCCTAGTAACTGGAACTGGGACTATAGATGCGTGCCAACACGTCTGGCTATTTTTTTTTTTTTTTTTTTTTTTTGGAGAGATGGGGTCTACCTATGTTGATCAGGCTAATCTTGAACACCTGGTCTCAAATGATACCTCACCCCTCCACCACCTCGGCCTCACAATCACACCTTGAATTACAGGCATAAGCCACAGTGCCCAGCCAGAATTTGTTTCTATTGTTTTCACTCCTCCATTCTGAGAACCCAGACCAATGCCAGATACATTGTACACACAATAGTTGTTGCTGAATAAATGAATTAATGCTCACCAAGAACTCCAGAACTAATAAGGTAAGTTAAAACCTGTAATAAAGATATTTTTTAAAAAGTATTGTGAAAGATCTCAGGGTGTAAGATTTAATTTGATAGAATTAGATGGAGTTTCATGAGGGAATAATATGAACTGTGTTTGAAAGACATTAGCTACAAGAGTATCCCTGGTGTAGAAAACAGCATTGCAAAAGCTCTGAGTCTTGCAATGAGTTAGGTTCTGCCCCTGGATATTAGCAGGATATAACAGGGATGAGAAATCTGTTTAAGATTCCCTGGCATGAGAATACGAAGGGTGATGTATCTCAGTCTCAGGAGAATGTGTTTAATCCTATGAGCAATGGAACAGCTGCAGGCTTTCTTTCTTCCCTTCTCTCTCAGTTTGAATGTACATTTTTAAAGTTCTTCAATTCATGAGTGGTTTTTTTCTGCCTTATAGCCAGTCCCCACTATATTTCAGCTAGATTTAGCAAAAGATCAGTCATTGAAAGAATACATTTCAGATATTAAAACAATATAACAAACTATTAAACAAAACCTCCACAAAATCAAGGAGAGTGACTAGTAATTTAACTGTTTGTTAGAATAGAAAAACACTTTCATAGGAAGATAACAAAATGCACAGTTTCTGCAACTTTGCTTCACAATGTCTAACATGCAACAAAAGGTGCTAGACTTCAAAGAAGCAACCAAATATGACCCATTGTCAATAAATTTTAAAATTCAATAGAAAATCACTGGAAATGGCCAATATATTGGAAATAGACAAAGTTTTTAAAGATGCTATAATAAATATATTTCAATGAACTTAAAAGCAGACTGGAGGTAACAGACGGGCCAGTGAACTTGAACATAGATCAACTGAAATTTTACAATCTGAAGAAAGAGAAAAAGGTTATAAAATAATAAGCATAGTCTTATAAACTAAGTGGTCTGACATGCAGGTGAATGGAGTTCTACAAAGAGAGAAGAATAGGGCAGAGATAAATATTGGATAAATTTTTCAAAATTTTCACAAGTTTGATGAAAAACAAGAAACTTAGCTAACTCCACATAAGATAAGTACAAAAACAGTACATCTAGGGACATCATAATCAAATTGCTAATGAAAATCAAAGATAAAGAGAGTATCTCAAGTAGCAAGAGGGAAAATATATATATTACATTTAAGGGAACAGCAGTATGAATTGTGTGGACTTGTTTCTCATCAGAACAAAAAATGAAGAAAATGGAATTACATCTTTAATGTGCTAAAAGAAATCAGAATTCTATGTCTGCCAAAAATATTCTTCAATGATAATGATAAAGTCATTTTTTCAGATAAGCCAAAACTGAGATAATTCATCCCAGAGATCCACACTACAAGAAATGCTTGAGACTTCAGATTATAAAATGTGATTGGACAGACTGTTATTACTCCTTTATGTATTTCTCCCAATTCACGTCATAGTAACTTACACAAGGTCGGTACTCAAAAATTTTTTTAAAAATTTATATTTGTAATTAACAGTTTTGCACCAATTTATCTGAACTATCAATACTTAATTTTCCAACTTTACTTTTGCAATTTTTGTTTTCCTAATCCAGTTCTGTTCTTTCTGAAGTTTGAAGATTTTGATTTATTTGTACTCTCCAAAAATGTTACTAAAACTAGGTCGATATTTACCAAAGGAATGAGACTTGTGATATGTAAACAGGAATTCTGAATAAGCAACAATTTTTCTTGAAAGATTTACAGTTTCATTTTATTACTGCCTAAAGTGCTTAAATAATTGCCTTTTGTTTAGTGACATTACACATTATCATGGTATAACATATTTAATATCCCTACCTTTATATTCTAGACACAATACAATTTAAAAAGCATTAGTGTGCATTTTGCTGGGATCAGCTTTAAACTATGGCCTGCAAGAAATAATTATGGGAAATATACTGCCGCTATGTGTTTTTTTGTCAGGACAAAAAATTATTGCAGCCCTAAACCTT
This sequence comes from Homo sapiens, assembly GCF_000001405.40. Classification (NCBI taxonomy): domain Eukaryota; kingdom Metazoa; phylum Chordata; class Mammalia; order Primates; family Hominidae; genus Homo; species Homo sapiens. The sequence goes on along the minus strand of NC_000012.12, from coordinate 81,009,149 downwards.
CTATTCTTTATTTTAACTATTTTAATTTCCAGAACTAGAATACAAACTCTTCATAGATAGAATGGAATTTAGATCTTCTTGGAATCCTTTGGTACAATGCTTTCTACCTTGTAGCTGCTCAGCTACTGGTGAATTAAAGAAAGAAATAACAAATTTTATAAATAATAGAATCATTAGTGCACAATCTTTTAAATTTGTTATTTAAAAGTAGATCCTAAAGAAATTGGATTGTTTGCCACACAATCTAATTATTTATGTTGTTGACCTCATAGTCAAACTCCACCAGATTGTCTGTACTTATTGACTTCCTACTGCCCATTCTTTCCTTCCACTGCTCCCAGTATTCCATGAAAGTCCATTAATCAACATCATAGTGATTTCCATCTTACTGAATGAAGTGGCTTTTTAAAAAATTTCTCATCATATTCCAACTCATAATACCAATACCGACCTGATATTGAAATCCTTCTTTCTTGAGCTTTCTGTGATATCACATTTGCCTAATTTTTATCCGCATTCACCAATTCTAGGTATTAAATTTTATTTTATGCCTTTTGGTTATTTGTTGAATTTGTTATATTATTTCATAATGCATTGATGATATAATCACATTTTAAAAGATCAATATATCCTTGAATTACTGTGAATAATATTGAATAACTCTATGTGATTATGAAAGGTTATTAGTTTATTGATTTTTAATCACTTTCATGGGCTCTTTTATTCTACATACTCCTAAGCAGATTTGCATCAATGAGAAAGAGAATCTTTATTTGAACTCAGAAGCATTTTAACATTGAAGATTATAGAAAACAATTTTCCATTTTTCTATTCTGTGGTAGTTTACACAACATTTGGTGTATCTAAGATACAGTTTGTGAACTCTGCATCCCCCACTCCCATTTTCCTTGATGCTTTTTATGAGAGAGCAATGAGAAGATAAGTAACTAAGCCATTGCTATGTTTTGGTTTTTTTCTTGGAAACTGAGATTGTAAAATATTTATAGTGATTTAAATCTGCTATGGCAGAAAGGATATTTTCTCTCTGCTAAAGTCTCTGCTCACTGAAATATATGAATATACTTTCTGTAGCATCTCCTCTCTACTAAAGTTAATGTTAAATTAAACTTTTTCATGAACTAATCTACTTTTAAGTTAATCAGTGTTCAAGCATCCTATGTCTATTCATTGTGTAATTAAAAATTTAATTGTTAAATTGAGTTTATATCTAGGGAATCACCAACAGTGATAACTGGATTACAAGACGTTTTGTACGATAATGAAAAAAATAAAATGAATCCAAGGAAAAATGCAGCAAGCCATCTATTTTAATATCTTCAATATTTAGAAAAGTAAATCACTAAATTAGTCTCTCCCTTTTTTTAAACCAGACTCATTAATTATTTATAAGCCTCATGAACTATTCTGTGACTTATTTTACAAGTTTAATTCAATTAATTTGCATGGTATGATCAAATCAAAATTTGACTCTTATATTCCTTTAGCTTTCAAATATAAAATAAAAGCCTTCCAGTTAAAAAGGAAATGAGGAATAATACTAATATTTATCAATGCAAGTTAAAAAATATCTCAATGAAAAGTATTATCCAGTTCCTAATTTTCATGTTTTTGGTAATAGGCTTTAAATGATGATCAATACAGAAGACCCACTCTTTTTCAATCTGTGGCTTTCTACATGTGAGCTTTTTATTCATCATGGTTTCATAGTACCTCCTCCAGGCCTGGTGCTGTGGCTCACACCTGTAATCCCAACACTTTGGGAGGCCAAGGCAGGAGGATTGCTTGAGGCCAGGAGTTCGAATCCAGCCTGGACAACAAGCAAGACCCTATCTGTAAAAAATAATAATAATAATAAAAATTAGTCAGGTGTGGTCGTGCACACCTGTAGTACCAACTACTTGGGAGGCTGAGGTGGGAAGACTGCTTGAGACCAGATGTTTGAGGTTACAGCTAGCTATGACCATGCCTCTATACCCCTGCCTGGGCAACAGAGTGACACCCTGTCTCTCTCTCCTCTCACTCTCTCTCTCTCTCTACACACACACACACACACACACACACATATACACACACACATACACACACATATATATATATATTGCATGCATATTTTGAACTATCATATATCATATATCATTACTTCTAAAAGTTGCTACTTTCTGCTTGGTTAAGTTCCAACACTATAGTTTGGTTAAAAGTTTGAACACACCATATTTCACAGTTTTTATTCTAACCTCCCATTATTACTTGATTAATAGTTTACAGGCACCATGTGGAATCTGCTTCTAAGAGTAAGCTAATTATTTCTGTCAAAAGAACTACCCCAGAGGTTATTGAATTAATAATGTACATGATGCCTACATTAATGCATTTTTATGTAGCTCACCTCCAGTCACATAAACCCAGTCATCTATTTTCATATTAATGACTTGATTGTGTATATAAAAAGTTTGATCCTTCTCTCCTTTCAGGTCTTTGTTTAAATGTTACCTTTTTGGCAAGACCTTCCCTGGCCATCTTGTTTAACAGTATACCTCCAATATACGCTACCCACTAGCATGATTTATTTTGGCCCATAGCACTTATCACCATCTCATGTTTTATATTTTGTTGGTTTTCTGCCTCACCCCACTTGGATGTAAATTTCATATAAGAGATATTATATAACTTTGTTCATGCTCTAACCACTGATACTAGAAGAATTTCTGGAATGTAATAGGTTCTCAGTAAATATTTGTTGAATAATCTTTTTTTAAATCCTAAAATGAAGTGGACATTATAGAAGAAGGTATATATACATTTTCAGGTAAGCTTCAAGAGCACTTAACATGATTTGCCAACAAAAGTAAGTTTATATGAGTTTCTGGACTCCCTCATAATATGTATGCAGTTGTGTAGAGCATACTATTTAGCAGAATCTTGAAACAGAAAATACGAATGAAGTTCTTAGTACTCGGGATTCATGTTCACAGGGCAGATATTAAACGATCAGTGAAATGATGAGGTGAACATGTGCTGTAACGAGTAGAAATATGCTAGAAGCTAGAAAACAAAATCGGATGTGCTAGTAATAGGTTGCTTCTGTTTACCCTGAGCTCTGGTATCTCATTCAGTCATCCTCATGGTGACTTGCTTCTCATTGCCAAGAATACTCTGCAGGAAAAATATAAGGCAGTCTGTCTCTATTGATTTCCCCCCTTATCTTTTGGCATGTATAATACTCTGGGAAATAAAGACCCTAAATATAGTTGGTTGCTGTACTATTTAAAGTGCTCCTCAGTGTCTAATGAAGCAAAGTGCTCTATAACTGAGTAGGTATGGGCATCATTGCCAGAGCAGCTGGAGTCATAGCTCATTTTGGCACTAGTGACTGATGCAGCGTGAAGAAAGTAGCAATATGCCAGGTGGAGATAAGTCACTTAGCTGGCTGATTACATCAAATTGCTTCCAATATAATCAGCTGGGACACATTTACAAAACTGGCATTTCAAATCATTATACGGAAGTTGAATTAATCATGTAGGTATATGGCTTCATATTAGGTGTTCAGTATGTGTTCATAGTAGGCACTTAATACAAATGTTAATTATAATGTATGGAGGAGGAAATAGAACAAATGAAATCATAGCTGATTTTTTTGTAAAGTTAGGCTTACCTTTACATTATGACTAGAATATTGTCCTAATCAAAAACTCTGTTAGCTTTAATAAATGTTTTTGATTAGCCTAAAACCTGACTGTTTCAGGTTGCCATCTATTATTTCTGAGTTTTCTCAGAAATAATACATTATAATTTCTGAGTTTTCTCAGAAATAATAGATGGCAACCTGGAACAGTCAGCACCTGATTTTCCTTGTGTCAATCTCCATTTAGAGTCAATCAAAATTAGATTACAACTCATTTTTAAATTTCCTTAGTTCTCCGTTGCTCTGTGTCTGCCAGCTCCTGGATTGAAATTCAGCTGTGTTGTGTCCTGCATACACTCCTCTTGATTAAGAGGCTCTATTGGTTGGTTGTGACAAGGTTCTACACAGTCCCTTGATCCCACAGAGTTCATTTAAACTGTCTTGCCATTTTCACATTTCATTACATAGAGAAAATGGAAATGGGAAAGATTGCAGTATAGTATAAATCATTTTTTCTAACCTTTGAAATGATGACATGACAAATGGCAATAAAAAATGTGTTTTAAATCCAAGCAGAGTGACATTGACATTAACACAAATGTTAATTTACAGTTTAAGCAGTTCTAAGAACTGAACGATTCCTTTTCTTGGGGACTTTAAGACTGGCAACATCAAAATTAGAGAATCTCTGTACAACATCATCCATCTAGCTAACAATGTTGTGCACTTAAAACTTTGTTAAGATGGTGGCCATTCTAACTGGTGTGAGATGGTATCTCATTGTGGTTTTGATTTGCATTTCTCTGATGGCCAGTGATGGTGAGCATTTTTTCATGTGTTTTTTGGCTGCATAAATGTCTTCTTTTGAGAAGTGTCTGTTCATGTCCTTCGCCCACTTTTTGATGGGGTTGTTTGTTTTTTTCTTGTAAATCTTGTTTGAGTTCATCGTAGATTCTAGATATTAGCCCTTTGTCAGATGAGTAGGTTGCGAAAGTTTTCTCCCATTTTGTAGGTTGCCTGTTCACTCTGATGGTAGTTTCTTTTGCTGTGCAGAAGCTCTTGAGTTTAATTAGATCCCATTTGTCAATTTTGGCTTTTGTTGCCATTGCTTTTGGTGTTTTAGACATGAAGTCCTTGCCCATGCCTATATCCTGAATGGTAATGCCTAGGTTTTCTTCTAGGGTTTTTATGGTTTTAGGTCTAACATTTAAGTCTTTAATCCCATCTTGAATTAATTTTTGTATAAGGTGTAAGGAAGGGATCCAGTTTCAGCTTTCTACATATGGCTAGCCAGTTTTCCCAGCACCATTTATTAAATAGGGAATCCTTTCCCCATTGCTTGTTTTTCTCAGGTTTGTCAAAGATCAGATAGTTGTAGATATGCGGCGTTATTTCTGAGGGCTCCGTTCTGTTCCATTGATCTATATCTCTGCTTTGGTACCAGTACCATGCTGTTTTGTTTACTGTAGCCTCGTAGTATAGTTTGAAGTCAGGTAGCATGATGCTTCCAGCTTTGTACTTTTGGCTTAGGATTGACTTGGTGATGTAGGCTCTTTTTTGGTTCCATGTGAACTTTAAAGTAGTTTTTTCCAATTCTGTGAAGAAAGTCATTGGTAGCTTGATGGGGATGGCATTGAATCTATAAATTACCTTGGGCAGTATGGCCATTTTCATGATATTGATTCTTCTACCCATGAGCATGGAATGTTCTTCCATTTGTTTGTATCCTCTTTTATTTCATTGAGCAGTGGTTTGTAGTTCTCCTTGAAGAGGTCCTTCACATCCCTTGTAAGTTGGATTCCTAGGTATTTTATTCTCTTTGAAGCAATTGTGAATGGGAGTTCACTCATGATTTGGCTCTCTGTTTGTCTGTTATTTGTGTATAAAAATGCTTGTGATTTTTGTACATTGATTTTGTATCCTGAGACTTTGCTGAAGTTGCTTTTCAGCTTAAGGAGATTTTGGGCTGAGATGATGGGCTTTTCTAGATATATAATCATGTCATCTGCAAACAGGGACAATTTGACTTCCTCTTTTCCTAATTGAATACCCTTTATTTCCTTCTCCTGCCTGATTGCGCTGACCAGAACTTCCAACACTATGTTGAATAGGAGTGGTGAGAGAGGGCATCTCTGTCTTGTGCCAGTTTTCAAAGGGAATGCTTCCAGTTTTTGCCCATTCAGTACGATATTGGCTATGGGTTTGTCATAGATAGCTCTTATTATTTTGAGATATGTCCCATCAATACCTAATTTATTGAAAGTTTTTAGCATGAAGGTTGTTGAATTTTGTCAAAGGCCTTTTCTGCATCTATTGAGATAATCATGTGTTTTTTGTCTTTGGTTCTGTTTATATGCTGGATTACATTTATTGATTTGCATATATTGAACCAGCCTGGCATCCCAGGGATGAAGCCTACTTGATCACAGTGGATAAGCTTTTTGATGTGCTGCTGGATTCGGTTTGCCAGTATTTTATTGAGGATTTTTGCATCAATGTTCATCAAGTATATTGGTCTAAAATTCTCTTTTTTGGTTGTGTCTCTGCCCAGCTTTGGTATCAGGATGATGCTGGCCTCATAAAATGAGTTAGGGAGGATTCCCTCTTTTTCTAAACAACAGGTGCTGGAGAGGATGTGGAGAAATAGGAACACTTTTACACTGTTGGTGGGACTGTAAACTAGTTCAACCCTTGTGGAAGACAGTGTGGCGATTCCTCAGGGATCTAGAACTAGAAATACCATTTGACCCAGCCATCCCATTACTGGGTATATACCCAAAGGACCATGAATCATGCTGCTATAAAGACACATGCACACGTATGTTTATTGCAGCACTATTCACAATAGCAAAGACTTGGAACCAACCCAAATGTCCAACAATGATAGACTGGATTAAGAAAATGTGACCCATATACACCATGGAATACTATGCAGCCATAAAAAATGATGAGTTCATGTCCTTTGTAGGGACATGGATGAAATTGGAAATCATCATTCTCAATAAACTATCACAAGAACAAAAAACCAAACACCACATATTCTCACTCATAGGTGGGAATTGAACAATGAGAACACATGGACACAGGAAGGGGAACATCACACTCTGGGGACTGTTGTGGGGTGTGGGGAGGGGGGAGGGATAGCTTTAGGAGACATACCTAATGCTAAATGACGAGTTAATGGGTGCAGCACACCAGCATGGCACATGTATACATATGTAACTAACCTGCACATTGTGCACATGTACCCTAAAACTTAAAGTATAATAATAATAAAAAAATTTGTTAAGATGTTAAATTTTATGTTAATTGTTTTTACCACAATAAAAAAACAAAAATTTTTTAATCTCAGTCACTGTCATTAGATGTATAGTATCATTATATTTCTATAGACTCTTCTAAGATAAATATAGTATCAGTTTTAAAAAAAGAATAGATGGATTTTTGTTTCCATTTCAAAACAATTCAGGTAGAGAAACTTCTAAAATATCACTTCTGGCACACACGTGTGTGCGCGCACACACACAAATGGGAAAAAAATCACATCAAACTGTTAACTCTTGTTATTTTAGGAAAGATTATGACTTTTAAAATTTGACCTATTAAACCAGAAATACTACTTTTTGAAATTTAAAATATTTGACAATATAATTTGAATCACAAAAAAGAATAAACTCTCTCTTCAAAGAAGTCAGTAGGCCCCTAGTTTTTATTGAGCACATTAATGACACTATAAATTATTTGCCTTAAACAAGGAAATAATTATTCTACTATGTTTATTTCTTGGGTGATTTTATAGTGGAGTGACTTCTTTTTCTATCTCATATCCTACCAGCCATCTTATTTGGGAAGAATTCCCCTGATTTAAGTAATGAGAAAATTCTACCTCTTAGTACAGAAATGGAAGCATCTAGATATCTCATCTCCATGACTCTCTTGGCTGCCAGATCATGATGCTTGACCAGTGAAGTGCTTCAGCTTCAACTTTGAATTTTGAAGTGGTGATGCAAAGATGCAGGTCCAATCGACTCTAGCATAGCAATATTGAGAGAGTCTTGCAGAGGTGCCAAGAATGGTATCCTTAGCACGACCTTGGTTGTGTTCATTGATGCCTAACCTTTTGGTGCATGCTTATTTTCTCAGACTGAATCTTTAGCTTTCCTGTGAATTTCTGAACTAATCATTATTCATCCAGAAAACAATTTCTGCTTAACTTCTCAAGAGTTGGCTTTGCTGCTTACTACAGAAACTCTGGTGAAGAAATTGGTATTTGGGAATAGACTGTAGGCAGTAGATAGAGAAATGAGGATTCTTGCCTAAAAAGTACTGAAGGGAAATAAAAATCTCCTGTAACTATCAACAGTTGGAAATCTAGCAATTAGCAACTAAGGTATACAATGCAGGAGGAATTCAAGACTGTAAGACAGGTGGCTATTTATAGTCATAACAGAAAGCTTAGAGAGAAAGAGAATGAAACCCATGCTGTCCTACCCTCTAGTCCCACATGGCTAAATATACCAGTGATATTGAAGACTTGGTGCTTAAGTATAATAACATGTAAGTCTGTCATTAATAATTTTATATTGCTTATATGTTGAAATTATATTTTGGGTACATTTCATTAAATAAAATATAAAATATAGTTTTATTTGTTTACTTTTACTTTGTGGCTACTAGAAAATTTAAAATTGCATGTAAGGCACATATTCACAGCTCATATTGTTTCTATTAACAGTACTTCCCTAAACCATCAACGTGAGGGCCAGTCTGAAACTCTGGTATTTTTTATTAATGTACTTAAAAACTAAAAATTAAAACTTAAAAAAAACAAAATATTTCTCTTACAGCATTGGTACTGAACTAGCCAAATACCAAAATTTGATTGCCAAATTATAATATCACTGAAATCATGGTCTTGCTAATTCTCTTACATGAGATATACGGCATTGACTGAGAAAGAGTGAGGACACAAAAGAGACGGGTAAATGAGAGAGGTTCTGGAAGACTTGAAATACCCTCATTCCTCAATCCCACTAACCTTCTATTGCCAGACAAGGAAACTCCTTCCCATTTACTTAAAATACTGCAACTTCCTTACATGAGTGTTATCTGGGAAATTAAGACAGTATCTTTCATATCCAACGACGGCACATCTTTCATTGTTTCCATACTTCCTGCTGAAGCCATTATCAACATGGTTTCAAAATTATAGACTCACAGGCTCAAAGAATTTCAGAACTTTGGTTCTTATGTCTGCAAATGTGTGGAAATATTAATGGAAATAAATTCTGAAAGTATGTAACAAAGGAGGAAGTAATATTATTTAAAATTGGGCTGAAGGTATCAATATAAACACACCTCCCAGAGATTCATGATTCCGTGTGTTACCTCAAATTTTGGGTCTAATTATTGGCTCTTCTAGAGTGACTTACCAGTTACCCACATTACTGTGCCTTGGCGAAGGCTGTTAATAGAAACAATGTGAGCTGCAAATATGTGCCTTGCTTGCAATTTTAAATTTTCTAATAGCCACAAAGTAAAAGTAAGCAAATAAAATTATCTTTTATATTTTATTGGATGAAATGTACCCAAATCATTATAATTTCAACATATAAGCAATATAAAATTATTGATGACAGATTTTACATCCTATGATAGGATGTAATAGGAGAAAGGGATTTGCTCAGACCTTTAAAGGAATTGGTACACTGAGCCAATGTTAATTCCCATTTCCCACACTGCCATTGCAATCACCAGTAAGAATGGGAGTTTACTGCAGTTAGAAAGTTGGTGGAGTTTTGACCCAAGTCTGCCACTTGGTTAAGTCAATTAAAGCCTAGTTGATAGGGATTTTATTTCACAAGTTCCTAAAATGATTCTGTAAATTTTATTTCTATTAAAAGAAACCACAGTCTATTTCTATTGCTTATAAGAGAGGGCATTGACTGGCTGATGTAAATTTTTAAAACTTAGTAATTTCTTCCATTTATTGGAAAGGGTACTGATGTTGATAATATGTCTACTTTTAATTTCAGCTTTTAAACTAATAATTGTATGACTTTGAGCACCTACCTTCTTCACCTGTAAAATTAAAATATTTGACTATTATTTAAATTTCTTCCAAGCTTAAAATTTTTGATTCTTTACACCATAACAATCTAAATGGAGCAAATGTCTCCAAATTAAATTTGTTTCAACCCAATGGCTTAACAGCTCCCACACCATATAATCGTGTGTCAGTAGAATTAGAATTATTGACAAAGCCTTCCCTAAACCTGAGGATATTTTTATATTTTTCTGCTCATACTTGTATCCACTGAAGTTCTAAAACATTAAGCTTCATTTATTGATTTGCCTTCTTTAAAAAGTGTTCCCTCCTCGTCCTTTTTTTTTACCTTGTAGCTTACAGCCTTTGATTGTTAGTTTACAATTACAACAAAGTCAACTTCTCTAATCTACAATATAACATAATCTCTAGGCAAAGGAGGAAGACAAATATAAAATGGATAGTTTTACAAATATATAACAAATGTGGTAAGTGCCACAAAGTTTAATAGGGTGTTATGAGAACGCATAACAAAGCACCTGGCAGATAACTGCCTCTGAAAGAAGCAACAGGATTTTCAGAAGTGTACTAAAGATGGAATCTGGATCACACTAAGACTGGTAGCTAACAGATACAGGGCTGTTCTCCAGCTGATGTGTTTAATGCAGATCAAATTGAAGCACAGAGTAATGTGTAGTATGTCAATCTGCTGACATAAGAAGCTTTATTAATCCTCTTTTCCTCTTAGAGTTCTGGAGCCTGAAACCTCAAAGGGCTTAGGTCCAGGCTTTCTCCCCTCACCAGCTCCAATTAGGTGTTCGTATCTCTTGGGAAAGATAGTGATGAAAAGGCAAATAAATGCCTTCAGGTTACTTCAAACATCAAGCTACCTGCAAAACTCTGCCTTACATGTATGCAGCATCGGCTTTTCCCAGTTAGTTTTATCTTCTTTTAAACTAAGAGATTAAAAGTTTTAAACTGCAGGAAATAAACCAGAGTTCTTCTCAAGAAGCATAGAGTCCTATAAAAATCCACTAGTCACAAAGCAGAAACTAGATTTTCTTGTAGGCTACTGGCCTCGTTTCCTTTGACACTTTAGTTTAATTTAGGTCCTGGGCATGAGCTTGTTTTCACAAAGGTATTTATAGAGAGAAGAAAGGAGAGAGAAGCTTAAATTTGAATTTCATCAACGCCTTCTGAGATCAGGGCTTTTTCCAAGGAACATGAATGTATTTTCTTCAGACTGGCAGCTTCCTAAATGCAGTCACCTGGTGAGTAAGTGACAGGCCTGCACCAAGGAGGTGGGGTTATGATTTTATATTGTCTTCTGCATGGACAAATCACCTAATCACCTAAGCCTCAACTTTCCAGGCTGTAAAGTGTAGCCAAGAGTGCAATTATTGTGAAGAATGGATGAAATATATATGTGAAGTGTTTAGTACAGTGCCTGACGAATATCTGCTCAATAAATATTAGTTATTAACATAACCATCATCACTATTTTTTAGCAGACAGACAAAACCAGAACAGTGGTTGAAATAAGAGTGCACAAAAAGATAAGAGACAAAAAGAAGCATATTCATGTCACACAGTAAGCCTCGGAAAACATTTTGATTTATATAAGACCTATGTTCATCTGCATTATTCATTTTAATCACTTTTATTGATTGTGTATCTTTGAATTGACCTTTTAAAATTGTATTACAAAGCAGCACATTACAGTACTTAAGAGTAAGGTCTGTGGAGTGAGAATGCCTGGATATGAATGTAGTTTCCACCATTTTCAAGCTATGCTATTTCAGACAAGTTCCCCTCTAAACCTTTGTTTTTATATCCATGAAGTAAGAGTAATACTAATGCCTCCCTCACTGGTTTGTTGTCAGGATCAAATAAACTAATGCATGTAAAGTTCTCAGAACAAAGTCTAACACAAGCTAAGCACTCAAGAAATGTTATTTCAAAATACAGCGTGACAACGACAGGGATACATCTTGAGAAAAGCATCATTAGGCATTGCCTGTGCAAACATCATGGAGTGTAGTAGTTTCACAAACCTATATGATATGGCCTACTACACATTGAGGGCATATGGTATATAGCCTATGGCTCCTAGGCTGTGAACCTGTACAGTATATGACTATACTGAATACTGTAGACAATTGTAACACAATGATACATATTTGTATATCTAAATATAGAAAGGTAATAGGTTGTGTCACAACCTTAGGATGGTTACGATGTGGTAGGCAATAGGAATTTTTCTATTCCATTATAATCTTAGGTAAGCACCATCCTATATGCACTGTGTCATAGATTTTACATTTTCCTCAATGATCAATCATATTCTCTCATTTCCCATCCTGTAAAGCCTGTTTAAGGATTTCGCTCAGTGTGTTAAGAGTCAACCATCATTCTCAGCAAACTATCTCAAGGACAAAAAAACAAACAGCGCATGTTCTCACTCATAGGTGGGAACTGAACAACGAGAACACTTGGACACAGGAAGGGGAACATCACACACTGGGGCCTGTTGTGAGGTGGGGGGACAGGGGAGGGATAGCATTAGGAGATATACCTAATAGAAATGACAAGTTAGTGGGTGCAGCGCACCAACATGGCACATGTATACGTATGTAACAAACCTGCACGTTGTGTACATGTACCCTAAAAGTATAATTAAAAAAAAAAAAAGAGTCGACCTGTCAATTTTTTGAAAAAGTGCAGGCTAAATCAAATTGTGTTGCCAAATCTAAAATTTTCAGGATTCATTTGAGCAATGTCATGGTGTTAGTCAGGGTTCTATTAGAAAAAAATTGTTTTTAACTCTCTGATATTTAAAGCAAGCATAAATTTAATACAGTGAACTTAGTGATTTAAAAATGCATAGAAAGGGCTGGAGGAGCAGCAATCATAAAGAACACTCGCTATTACTCGATCATAAAGAACACTCAGTTTCATCACCAGCCGTGAGAGGATTAGGAAGTTTCAGGAATCACAGGAAGCCCTTCACCATGGATCTTAGCTCACCATAGCACCTGGTGAACAATTTCCAGGGGATCCGGAGGAGCTGCAAAGCATCACATCTGTTGAAGCCCAAGACATCTCCCCACTGAATAAAGAATAATGGTTTCCACTTTTCGTTTACCTTTCAGGCTTTGTAACCTCTGCTTGGTGAACTCTAACCAGGAAACCTGCTGGCAAAGGATTCTGGGTAATGTATTTTCTAGGCTTCTAGTCACTGTGATTTGAGGACAACCAGAAAAAGAAATAAGGGTGCATGTTGGCTTCTCTCAAAGAAATAATATGCAGCAGTCAGTCATCTGGCCATTTAGCATCCATATAAATCTTTCTATCTATATTTAAACATACAAACACCAAAAAAAAAAAATAGCAACAGTCTAAAACCTAACATATTGGAATTATTTCTTATTCAAAAGAAATTTACTCTCTCAATACAAAGAAAAGATCACAAATTCTATCAGTTATTTTACCCAAATTAGTAAAATTTCAGTTTGGTAACAATCCTTTTTGATAAACTTTAACCTAAACGCTAAACTATCAGGTTATCCACCACTAAAATACTTGATATCAAAAATTACATAGGTTAATATACACAAATATATTCACAGCAAATCAAGCAAGAAAGCATGCCTGAGTACTATAGTAATTTCTGCCTCTAGATATAAAGCAATAATTAATATTAAGAACTTCCCTTTCTGGTGATTATTCTATGTCCTCAGCTGGCACCTAAGGTGCTATGGTTTTTTCCTTGGTGGAGTGCCCTAAATTTTGGTGATCCTATCTGCATTCAGTTGCTAGAGTTGTCTCTTAATTTCTCCCATGGTAGATGGAAGCAGTAAGAGTTTTCCACATTCCACCGACTGTGTAGCAGTGACCTTCTTTTCCCTTAATAATCAGGATCATTTACCCCAAACTGTTCAGTACACCCCTGATTTGCCTGTTAGTTCCTTTATATGACATATTATGATGGCAATCTCAACTTCTAGTTGCATAGACATTTAGTTTTATGCCATGGTAGAATAATTCCTCCATTAGGAACAAGAGTCCAAAGTTGTTAGAACAGGAATTAGGATACTAAGAGTAAAACAAACCACTATTATTTCTTCCACTGGTTCCAGACCTATGTGTTCTCACTGTACCTCAAGGTGATAGAGTACCTTGTAAAACCAGTGAATCTCATAGTGTTAGTTTATCCTCTCACTAATCTCACAGCAAATGAGTTCCTTGGTCAGAAACAATATTTGGGATCCAATGACAGTGATATGGTTTGACTCTGTGTCCCCACCCAAAACTCATGTTATAATTTCAGTGTTGAGGGAGGGACGTAGTGGGAGGTGATTAGATCATGGGGGCATATTTCTCCCTTCTAGTTTTCATGATAATGAGTTTTCACAAGATCTGGTTGTTTAAAAGTGTGTAGCATGGGTGGGCGCAGTGGCTTATGCCTGTAATCTCAGCACTTTGGGAGGCCAAGGCGGGCAGATTGCTTGAGCCCAGGAGTTTGAAACCAGCCAGGGCAACATGGCAAAACCCCATCTCTACAAAAATTAACTGGGTGTAGTGGTGCCTGCCTGTAGTGCCAGCTTCTGGGGAGGCTGAGGTGGGAGCATTGGTTCAGCCCAGGAGGCAGAGGTTGCAGTGAGCTAAGATCGCAACCCTACACTCCAACCTGAGGGACAGAGCAAGACCCTGTCTCAAAAAAAGTGTGTAGCACTTATCCCTTTGCTCTCTCTCCTGCTCCACCATGGTAAAACATGCTTGCTTCCCCTTTACCTTCTGCCGTAATTACAAGTTTCCTAAGGCCTCCCAGCCATGCTTCCTGTACAACCTGCAGAACTGTGAGTCAAATAAACCTCTCTTCTTCATAAATTACCCAATCTCAGGTAGTTCTTTATAGCAGTGTGAGAACAGACAAATACAGATAATGAGTAAGGCATTCAGTGAATCCAAGGACGATGTTTCTGACAGAATATTATGGGACTGGGAAGGAAAATCCATACCCACGGTGTCTATTTCAGTGATTTCAAATTGGTACCCTTAGTATGACATAAAAATCCAATGTAATCAGTTTGCCACCAGATGTCCCGGAGAATGGTACCATATTGGCGACTCAGCTTTCATTTCAGCTCTTGGCAAACTCATTACTTAGCAACTTTCCTGGCCAGGTTAGCCTTGAAAAGGGTTACACTCATATGGTTTAACTCTTGCCTAATTTCCATTTAAGCTGCATTGAACAACTCGTTCTTGAATTTATTGGGCAAACAGTGGGGTGGTTGTTAAAAAGGACTGATAATTGACCAGGCATGGTGGCTCATGCCCATAATCCAGTACTTTGGGAGGCTGAGATGGGAGGACTGCTTGAGGACAGGAGTTCAAGACCAGCCTGGGCAACATGACAAGATCCCGTTTCTACAAAAAACTTAAAAAAAACAAAAGGCCAGGCATGGTGGCACTTGCCCCTATAGTCCTAGCTACTCAGGATGCAGAGGTAGGAGGATTGCTTGAGCCCAGGAGTTTGAGGCTGCACTGAGATGTAATCATGCCACTGCACTCCAACCTGAGCACCAGAGCAAGACCCTGTCTCTAAAAACAAAAAGCATTAAGGCAGCCTGACTTCCAACATCCACAGAGCAGGTCACCTTGTCAATGTGATTATTTAGACTCCTCTGCAGTGTATGCCCTGTGCCAAGGCAGTGTATATGTGAGATACAAATATATTTGCACTAAGTAACGACCCGAGAGGTCTTTTGCTGATTTCCCATTTACCTCTTCCTCTGACTTCCTTGTCACTACTCCTCAAGTCAGTTTCCTTTCATGTTGTATGACTGTTCAGGAAATCTACTGACACCATCCATTCATCCATGGGTATGTGTCCATATGTCTAGTCATCTCCACTACCATTGAAGTGCACTGCCCAAGTTTCTGCCCCTGCTGTCTTCTAGGGCCCCAGTGAGTGGAGTTGTTATGTTATAGTTGTGTAGTTGTTACTTGTTGCAAATCTATTTTTAATGTGTAAACCAGCCTTAATTTTTTTTAGCTTTCTCATACAGTTGGCTATAGAAAACTTCCCATGAGATCACAGGTACAGGCTGTAGGAATGGTGGGAATGCATTTTGCCTGCAGACTCTAAAGGGTCTTTTTCTCAATGGCAGGGGTGTGTAAGGTATAGCAACTTAACTTCCACCTTGTAGAGAATGAGTTAATGTGGCATAGACCACTGGCAACTTAGAAACTTCACCATGGTGGCAGGCGCCCAAATTTTCATGGGGAATACTTCCCACCATCTGGCACATTGTATGTCACACCAAGGCATCTAGGGTATTTGTTGATTCTTGCCACCAGATCCTAAAAAGATATCATCAGTGTAGTGAACCCAAAATCCTATGGGTTGGGGAGATGATTCAGATTCCTGTAGAGAGGTAGAAAATTAAAATAATCCCAGTAAGTGAAAGAAAACTGCTACTAGTAATCTCTTCTAATTGACTTAACTTCAAAGACAGGTTATAGTTTTTCATGTATGTGAACTAGTGTTTTAGGAAAGAATTAACATTTGATTATAAAGGAAAATATTTTCATATCTAATAAACAGATTTATGAAACAAAGCAGATGAGTAAAATATATAATAGGAGAATTATGCTAAAAGACACATAAAATGACAAGAGGTAATAAGATGAGATCATAGGACAGAGGAAATAAGATGAGTTCGTAGAAGTAAAAATGAATTTTAGAGAAATATAATGAAAATGAGGCATAAGTATAGCTAAAGTAAAAAAAGAAGTGATGATTGTATAGAATACTATGGCAATCTATTCACAACTTACTTTATTATCACTCATTTTCTTTTTAAATTAGCAAGTATGAAAGAGAAAATATCCACTGTACATAAAGTATTTATTACTGGTACATAAGAAAAATAACATTTTGCTACAGTGCTGAACCAAGAAAATCATAGATCTTATTTGAAATTTAAATGTGGCCAATATTCATCTTTATCTAGATACTTAAAACTCAAATATGCCGATTCGTTATTTTTATGTTTTCTTCATTTCATCGTTGTGAAAAAAACCTAAAGTATTTCTGTTGAATAATTCAATATCATTCTCTCCTAGTAAATTTAGTTATCTTCATGCACTGTTATAAATAAGAAAGATATCACTGATTCTAAAAATAACTTTCTTTGCTTTAGATGAAACCTAATAAATACAAAACATATATTTTCTTCCAAATTTCTTCTAATTTAGCGTTATTTACTAATTCCTTTAGCATCTTGAATTTTGCATTTTACTATCTTTATTTTATGGTATTACCTTACCTTTATTGCCTCACCTTTATTTTATTATAATGTACATGTAATGGAATTTTAAATTTTAGAATCCCTTTTGAAGACCTTGCTGGGACCTTTAAAAAAAAATAGAATACATTTCCAGGTCTTTAGTTTTACTAAGGCTAAGTGCTAGCCATTACACATTCTTAAAATAACAATGCTAAAACTGAAAGAGTAGTATAATTAAAAGTATGTATTGGCCAGGTGTGGTGGCTCACGCCTGTAATCCCAACACTTTGGGAGGCCAAGGCAGGCAGATCAGTCGAGCCTAGGAGTTTGAAACCAGCCTGGGCAACATGGCAAAACCCTGTCTCTACAAATAATACAAAAATTAGCTGAGCGTGATTGTGCGCACCTGTGATCCCAGCTACTCAGGAGGCTGAGTGGCAGAATCACTGGTAGTCGAGGTTGCAGAAGAAAGAAAGAAAAGAAAGAAAGAAAGAAAGAAAGAAAGAAAGAAAGAAAGAAAGAAAGAAAGAAAGAAAGAAAGAAAGAGAGAAAAAAGTATGGAGTAGGCATTTACATTGTATTGGGACTATGTTGGTTACAGTGCAAAGCAACAATGATCATTGCCATGGGGTCATTTATCATTTAAATCATAAACCACCCTAAATCCCTTTTCATTTTTTATACCTTTACATTTAAAATAATTCATCTTATATATTACTTTATAGTTTCTTTAATATTTCATAGCTTATAATACTTCTAAACATAAAAGGTTAAATTGCTAGCATTCTCTTCTTAGGGTTTTCTTTTTTCACATTTCTGCTCTGTCATTTTTTAAATTATAGCTTTTTATGAGATATAATTCATATACCATAAAATTAAACCATTTACAGTGCACAATCCAGTAGTTTTTAGCATATTTACCAAAATCGAATTTTAGAACAACCATTACCACCTAATTTTAGAATATTTTTGTCACACCCGAAAGAAACCCTATAGCATTCACTACCCATTTCCCCTTTACCTCAGTCCCTAGAAAGTACTGTCTATTTTCTTCTCTATTATTTTGCCTATTCTAGACATGTCCCATAAATAGAATCACTCACTACATGGCCTTTTTGTCTAGTTTGATTCATTACAATGATGTTCGAGGTTCATTTGTGTTATAACATGTATCACTACTAAATTATTTTTATGAACAAATAATATTGCATAGATACATGATGCTTTGTTTATCAATTCATCAACTGATGTTTGGGTTGTTTCCACATCTTGACTATTATGAATAATACTGCCATAAATACTCATATGCAAGTTTTTGCATGGACATATGTTTACAATTGTCTTGAGTATATACTTAAGAGTGGAATTGCTACATCATATGGTAAGTCTGTATTTAACATTTTGGGAAAATGGCAAACTTTTCCAAAATGGTTGAACCATTTTATTTTATTATTTTTATTATTTATTTATTTATGTATTTTTTTTGGACGGAGTTTTGCTCTTGTTGCCCACGCTGGAGTGCAGTGGCATGATCTCGGCTCACTGCAACCTCCACCTCCCGGGCTCAAGCTATTCTCCTGCCTCAGCCTCCTGAATAGCTGGGATTACAGGCGCCCACCACCACGCCTGGCTAATTTTGTATTTTTAGTGGAGAGGGAGTTGAGTTTCACCACGTTGGCCCGGTTGGTGTGAAATTCCTGATCTCAGGTGACCCGCCCCCTTCGGCCTCCCTAAGTGCCCGGATGACAGGCATGAGCCACCGTGCCCCACCTAACCATTTTATAATCCTGTCAGCAATGTCTATGGATTCCAATTTCTCCACATCCTAACCAACATTTCGAACAGATTGAGTATTCCTTATCTGCAATGTTTGGGACCAGAAGTGTTTTAGATTTTGGATTTTTTCAGATTTTGAAATATTTGCATATACATTGTGAGAAATGTTCAGGAGGAATCCCAAGTCGCATCACAAAAATTAATTTATGTGTACACCTTATACACGTAGCCTGAAGATAATTTATACAATATTTTAAAATAATTTTATGCACGAAACTAAGTTTGTGTACATTGAAACATCAGAAAGCAAAGGCGTCTATCTTAGTCACCCATGTGGATAAACTGTGCTTGTGTGGCATCTCCATCATTTCTGAGTCTGAATTTATATGCTACATATAAGCAATCATTTTCTTACACTTAATCACACGTAAGTACTTCACAGTAAAAAAAAAAATGACATACCATTCATACAGTGAAAAAATAATGTATTCAGGGTAACTAAGCAGCACAGCAGCATCGCCAGAATACCTGTATCAGCTCTTAAAGAACAAAACAACAAACAACAGCAGACTTTCAGACTCCACCTACGGTGCTGTGTTTTGATTATAAGATTATTGTACATCTTATTTTTAGGTGAGAACATCAGAAGCAGTTGAGCAACCAGCACATAAGGAGGCAATCTGCTGGATGGCTTTTAAAAATGTCTCCTCCAAAGTCATCTGCCTCATTAACAGTTTTTATCTTAGAAATCTTTGATTTTACAAACTGAAATTATTTCTTGTTCTGTCATGAATGCACACTGCTCTAGTTCAATAAGCCCGTCATACATTTTCACCATGTTGTCTATAGGCACTTTTTTTGCAGTGTTAACATCATCTTCATCATCCCTATTATCACAGTTACCTTGATTCAGAACCATTTTGGCTATTTCACCATTGGTCAATATGAACAACTGGAGCCTCACTATCAATGTTAAAAACTCTTCAATATGCACCTCTTCCAGCTTACCGATGGACTCTAAAGGTATACTCTTTGCATATGTAAGGAGGTCAGACATTTTTTCTCACTTGACATGTGGAATCTTTCAAAGTCACCACCATATTCATCATCATCAGTGAACATGGTTGTAGACCAGAGATTGTGCCAAGTCTGCACAACTCTGTCCTTAGTCACTGTGGCCCAAGCCTTGGCAACAGCTTATCTGGCATCCTTCATGATAAACACCTTATGAAAACCTTCCACACCCGTATCTCAGTTCACCGTTGATAACAGGCTGTTCAAGGAAGTGTTTTTATATTTAATCTTGATTGATCTAAGCATACCCTGGTCACAAGGCTGAATTAGGAAGTCACACTTCAGGGGAAGGACCTGGCACAAACATTATTTTTGATGAGAATTTCAGCTAGAAAATGAGCAGAACAGTTGTTAAGAAATAACAAAATCTTGCAGGCATTATCCAGTCCAGCTTCCCTGCAATCAACACAAGCCTCTGGTACAAAATGTTTGTGAAACCAATGAGAAAAGATATTCCTGGTGATCCATGCCTTTTTGTTAGCATAACAATGGACTGCTAAGATACTCACTCTTTGAAAACAGCTAAGACAAAAGTTTGCCTATCACAGCAAGTTTACACTGATATATGTCTGCTGTATGAGCACATCGCAGAGCGGTTATTCTGTCCTTGGAATCCTTAAATCTTGTAGGTGCTGTCTCATCGGCTGTAGTCAGTATCGTTCTGGTATAAGGAGGCCAAAGTAGTGATGTTTTTTCAGCATTATAGGCTTGTTCCTGAGGCAGATTTTTATCACTGATGACCTTGGCAAACCTGTCAATGAATTTCTCTGCTGCTTTGTGATCAGCAGATGCTTTACCATCAATAATCTTTTAAAAAGTAGTAAAGTAGTGCCGCGTCTTTTTTTTTTTTTTTTTTTTTAGACGATGTCTAGCTCTGTCACCAGTCTGGAGTGCAATGGCACAATCTCGGCTCACTGCAACTTTCGCCTCCCAGGTTCAAGCGATTCTCCTGCCTCAGCCTCTCAAGTAGCTGGGACTACAGGTGTGTGCTACCATGCCCAGCTAATTTTTGTATTTTTAGTAGCAATGGGGTTTCATCATGTATGACAGGATGGTCTCGATCTCTTGACCTCATGATCCACCCACCTTGGCCTCCCAAAGTGCTGGGATTATTGGCATGAGCCACCAGGCCTGGCCAACTGTGTTTTTTCTTAAATTTCCACTATCATCCTGAATATTCATAATTCTCTTCCACTTTCAGTTTATCACAATAGATTTTTGCTTGTTTCGTGATCAGTGTACCATTACACATGTGTTCACTACAACACTCATGGATCGATACTTCCAATATATAATCAAGTTCTTTATTTTTAGCTTTATGCAGTGTTTTTCTATTTTTCTTTAATGTCTGTCCATCACTTGCGGTATGGAACTTCAACAGCTTATCCTTCTCTTTCTTTAGGTCATACAGCTACATGACATACGTCATTCCAATACCATACTCATCTGTAAGATGTTTCATACTTACACTGCTGTTCAGTTTCTCAACCAGCTTGACTTTCTGTGCTATAGAAAAACATAAATACCCTCTCTTTCTCTTATCACTGTTATCTATAGGGGTACCTTCAGGCCTTTTTGACATTTTCAACAACACCTTTACACCACAGAGGAGAGAATACACAAAAAACCACTGTGAGCAATGCAAGTAGGTCTTGGCCCCACTTGGGGCATCATGGGGAACTTGTCATTTGGTTTGTCCAACCTGCACACATGCCATTTTTTTACCTTTTGTGGACATGCTTGTTGGGGGAAACTGGGCAGGTGTGGAAAAAATATACCACATCTGAAGGCAGCTGCAAATGTCATTCTCCCCTTGAGGATACTGAATAATCTATGTATTGTGCACCTGCATTTTGACTGTGACCAATCACATGAGGTCAGGCGTGAAATTTTCACTTGTTGCATTATGTTGGTGCTCAGAAAAAATTGGATTTTGGAGAATTAGTGATTTCAGATTACAGATGCTCAAATTGTGTCTTTTATTTTACCCATCCCAGTGTATGTGATTTGGTATCTCATTGTTGTTTTGATTCAATTTCCCTGATAACTAATTTGAATCTTTTTTCATGTGTACATATTTTTATTTGTTTCTATTTTGCAGATATGGCTATTTACATCTTTTGTTTGTGTTTTAGTTGGGACTTTATCTTTTTGTTGTTGACTTATAAGTCTCCTTTACATATTCTCGATTAAGTTCTTTATCATATCTATAATTTGCAAATATTTTCTCCTATTCTTTGGTCTTTTTACTTTATCAATGCTGTCTTTTGAAACCAAGTTTTTCATTTTGATGAGGATGGATTCACCTACTTCTTTGTGCATTTGGTGTTCTATTTAAAAAAGCATTACCTAATCCAAAAGTCATGAAGATTTATTCTTATGTTTCCTTCTGGTAATTTTTATCATTTATATATTATATTTATGTCTCTGATCCATTTTGAATAATATTTGTATATGGTGTATGGTAGGGTTTAACTTCATTCTTCTACATGTGGAGATCCATTTGTTCTAGCATCATTCATTGAAAAGACTATTCTAGTTGATATCTACATTTGTTTGCATGTTAATCTTCTATGAAGTATGCATATGTTTAAAACAATGTATAAAGAAATATGCTGAAAGTACACATATCATTATAAATAAATTCCATAATCTTTTGACAAACTAAAAAGTTCTGGGCTAAAATTTTAATGAATATCTTATCTTCAGTGGAATAATATAGTACCAAGTTTAGTATAAAAGTTATTTTCCATCACTATCTCTGACTCTTGGCAAGTTAGCACTATTTAGAAATTCTTCTGTTTTTCCCTTTTATTCTGTTTTCACAACTGGATTGTGGCCTAGATTTACCAATGAGAGGCATTCATGTGAGAAACAGAAAGCTTAAGAGAGGCTAAAAATGTCTTATTGCTCTTGGGGCATCAGTGGGATATATGTGAGCTTCAGCAGATATGAAGTTTTGAAACGGCTTCTGGGAATTCTCCTAAAAATTATCTGCCTTTGGCCTAGAGGCAGCTACAAACACACACAGTGAATTCTTGTTTACTGCAGTTGCCTGACTCTCAGAAAGCTTGCAGTGGACCTGAGAGTTAAGGTGGCTTTTCTTAGTCTCTGCTCTTTCAACATACTCAATGTTTTCCCAATATTCTAGCTCCTTGTGTTAACTATTTTCCTTCTTGCATTACTTAGAGAGTTTGTTTTTTCTAATTAAAGTGTAAATTTTATATATATATATATATATATATATATGTTGAAGGATATGCCACACACATATTTTTAAGTATTATAGAATCAAAATTATACATATGAGATTCTTTAAACATTAACTTTTATAGGAAGCTATCAAAATTTATTTTCCTTTCTCATACTACCATGTCCCTTGCATTGATATTGCTGTAGCTTCATCTGAGATATTTACAAAAGAGGAAATTTTTTCACTCCTGCTTTTTACTGAGTCCACCATCTTAGGGCCTGTGGCATAATAAGCTCTACTTTCTACCTCCTGAAAAACCACAGCCCATAACATTTTCTTCTTGCTTTCATCAGATGTCTATCTCCCCATGTATAATATGTAGGATCTTCTCTGATTTCCTCTGGGAGAACCGGGTCTTTGAAAGAGGACATATAGAGAGAAAGGGTCTTGGTTCCTATTATTTATCCTGTAGAAAAAGTTCACAGAAGGTTATTTTCTGTTCTTTATGTTTCTTGTCAGTGGTCTAATTCATTATCTGCAATACATTCTGGTACTACAACTGAGGTATGTAGGTAAGTAGATTGATAAAGATGATGATATGGGTACAGAAAAAGGCTACCAATTCCCAAGAACCAACTTCATGCCAAATACTATAGGAAGCATTTTCATAATAATAATAGCTTATTGCTTTTAGTGCATAGTATATTTAGGGCACTATGCTAAGGGGTTGATAATCATTATTATACTAAATCATTAAACAATTCTAATAAGGTAAGTATTGTGGTCATTTCTATTTTACTGATAAAAAAAGACTTTAAAAAAGTTAAAAAATATTATAGCAGTCAGAGTTACTATGTATTAATAGTACAACTAGGTTTCAAACCCAGGTCTGTGTGGCTCTGTAATTCATATTTTTTTATACTAATTGATTCTGAGACCTATATTTGTGCAATATATTTAAAGAGTCTAGAGTTCCCTTCCATATTTTTTTTTTTTGAGACAGAGTCTTGTGCTGTCGCCCAGGCTGGAGTGCAGTGGTGCAGTCTCGGCTCACTCCAACCTCCACCTCCTGGGTTCAAGCAATTCTCCTGCCTTAGCCTCCCCAGTGGCTGGGACTACAGGTGCACACAACCGTGCCTGGATAATTTTTGTATTTTTAGTAGAGGCAGGGTTTCACTATGTTGGCCAGGCTGGTCTCAAACCCCTGACCTCAAATTATCCACCCACCTTGGCCTCCCAAAGTGTTGGGATTACAGGCGTGAACACCACAGTTCCCTTCCATATTATTCCAATCCATCTTCCATTGCCACAGGCTGTTATTTTTTTCATAAGCAAATAATACAGAGCTACCTTTTGCTCATAATTCTTCAATAGTTCCCCATCACCTACGTTGTACAATCCATAAACTCTTATGCTTGGCTCAAAAGGCACTTTGCAATTTAATCTTTTAACCTATTGAGTCTTAGTTTCCTTTACTTCCTCTAAACTTCATATTATTCTAACATGTTTTTCCCTCAGCCTAGAATGCTTATAGGACAGGCAAACTACTAAGGGTTCTCAAGTCCTGCCTCAAAATATCACATTCTCTGTAAAGGTTTTATTGATGTGATTTCTTCCAGAAAACTTAGACAGAACTTTGCCTCTACTCTCATTGCTTCTTGTGCATTTGTATTAGCTATATATCATGATGAATATCAAAGAGTATAGTCCTGTCTCCAACTTTTGGTAAAGTTATTTAATTTCTCGGTTCTTCACTTGTCACTTTGGGGACAATAACAGAAACGCTGTCATAGGTTTCTCGTGATGATTAAATAAGAATGCCTACATAAAAGACTCAACAGAATGCCTGGCACACAGGAAATGCTCATCAAAACATTAGTTATTACTTTTGTAATTTTATTACTAAAATAAAATTAGCACATTGTAATTTATTTTGTGTTATAGCATTTCATTTTATATCATTCTACATTTTTTACAGTAAACTATTTTAGATACAGCTTGTACTTATAATCAGAGAAAATCCTGTGAATATTTTAGGCATGGCTTATAGACGAAGATCCTGTTTAGATGATCACCAAACCAAATTTGAAAAAGCTTTTAGACTAAAAAATAAGTAATTTGTTATGATGATGTACATTTGGGTTTGTATTTAAATAAGTATGACTGGGAAGAAGTGAAGTGAACCAGCTGAGCCTCTCTAGTGATGACAGAGAAGAACTATATTTTCAATAGCTCAGGTGCTTAAAAGGTAAAGGCACTGGCCTCCTTTTGAGAATAGCTTGGTGGAGCCACGCATGCTCTTTGCCTGTCTGTTGGCTACCATGATGTGTCAATAAATATACATCTTTTCACTGAAAGGAAGAAAATGATACAACGGGGTGTTACAGACTGTTGAGATAAATTTCTAATTCCTGCTCCTTCTATTAGATCAGCCCATACTCTGTACCCACAGTGACAGCCAGCGATAAAGTGCCCTCACATTCTTAACCTGAAAATGAGTACATGTGAATGTGCCTTGTCATTATCACCCCAAAACCTGAAAGGACCTGAGATGATGGTGGAGCCAGGTCTGTGATCTGAGTAACATCATTAGGTATTCAGAATACACCATCTTTTTACCTCCAAGTTTTTAGCAATATCCTAATCCCACATGCGTGTAAACCCAAAAGTATCTGACACAGGTCTCAATCAATTTAAAAAGTTAATTTTGCCAAGGCTAAGGATATACTCATGACACAGCCTCAAGAGGTCCTGATGACATGTCCCAAAGGTGATTAGGGTAGGGCTTGTTTTCAGGGAGACATAATACATCAATCAATATATGTAAGATTTACATTAGTTCAATCTGGAAGGGCAGGACAACTTGAAGCGGGGGGTGGTGAGGGTGAGGGCTTCCACATCATAGGTAGATTTAAAAATGTTCTGATTGGCAATTGGTTGAAAGAGTTGTTACCAGTAGGAAGGAATGTCTAAGTTATAATAAGGGGTTGTGGAGACAAAGGTTTTATCAAGCAGATGAAGCCTCCAGGCTTCAGAGAGAATAGATTGTAAATGTTTCTAATCAGACTTACTGTCTATGTTGATGTTAATACTGGTTGGGTTTTCTTGAATTCCAAAAGGAAGAAGGGCATAATGAGGCATCTTGGACTTCTCCTTCCCATCATGGTCTGATCTAGTTTTTCAGGTTAATTTTGGAATGACCTTGGCCGAGAGGTTGGGTCCATTCAGATGTTTGGGGCAGGGGGAACCTTAGAATTTTATTTGTGGTGTGCATGAGATACTGGATGAGAGAAAAAAGGAGAGAAAGAGGAGAAATCAAAAGTTAAATGAAGGAAAAGGAAGGGAGATTTGGAGGTGACACTGCTCCCTTTTACTGACTACACCATACCCATTTTTTTTTTCTGCTACCAATATCTCTAGATTTTCTGCTAAGTCTTTTGTTCTCTTTTTGCATTATGACACCCTGCTGCACTCAGCTTCCATTGTAACACTTTTTTCATACTCAGAGCTGTTGTAGCAGACATAACTAAAGCTTTACTGGATGGACAAGAAGAAACTATATTCTATTAAAGTTAGGAATGCCTGTGTGACCTGCACAGGTCTATTAAATGTGAGGAGCAGGGATGACAGTCTCTTTGTCTGTTTTGAAAGAAGCATTTCAGAGGGGAGAACAAATGCTCATGCTCACCTTTCCTGCTAAGGCAAATGGGAGGCATGACGTTGAAATAGGAACCCTATTGATAAATTAACGAAATTACTTTCAATTTAGGTCCTTGAGTAACCATGATGTGCAGAGCTCCGAGGCTAACCCTTGGTGACATACAACACAAGTGAGAAGTAATCATTATCTTAAATGACTAACATTTTTGTGTTCACTACTGCAAATAACCTCCTGTATAATACAAATACACTTTTTCTTTAGGCACATTGAACCTGAAATAGACATTAGGCCTCTCAGTCCAATGAAAGACCCTATTATATCAACCACTTTGTGATCAAACAGAGAAGAATAATTTTCTAGACATGTATTCCACATCGGGCTGACTACTTTGGCTATGCAGGTCATTGCTACAGTGAGTTTTAGTCTGATCACACATTATTGGTCAGCTTCTCTTTCAGTATAGTAACAGAAATTCTTTACCAACAACTATGCATGTGAATTACAAGGAAGAGTTTTTAGGCTCCATATCCTATTTATACGTAACAATCTAGAAGAGTCTCCAGCCTTTTTGGCACCAGGGACTGGTTTCAGACTGGCAGGGTTGTGGGGGGTGGATAAAACTGTTCCACCTCAGATCATCAGGCATTAGTTAGATTCTCTTAAGGAGCACACAACCTAGATCCTTTACATGGCAGTTCACAATAGCATTTGTGCATCTGAGAATCTAATGCCTGCACTGATCTCACAGGAGGCGGAGCTTAGGCAATAATGCGCACTGGCAATAATGCTCACTGGCCCACTGCTCACCTCCTCCTGGGCAGCTGGGTTCCTATCAGGCGGTAGACTGGTACTGGTCTGCAGCCTGGGGTTGGGGACCCCTGATCTACGAGATTGTTGGTTTATGGTGGATGACAACCAACAGTAGAATAGCCTTTATTTCTATTTGTTTTAACTCTTCTCCTGATGAAAAGTAGCTTCTAATGACGCAAAGACTTTATCCCTAGTTCAGCACCCTTCTAATAAATAATTTTATGTCCCCAAAATAATGCTATCAATTGCATTTTGTTTGGTTCATCATATTCCTAATTTGACTCAATTACAGCCAAACTCCTAATATCTGATACATTCCAGAGTTCCTTTGGTTTCAGTTTCATGGAACTAAAGATTAGCTGGAACTACTCATAGATTTTTAGGAGACTAAGCCTGTTTTTCCTTGTATTATTTCAGGAGACTCAAGGGTGTGACGGGGCAGAGCTGTTTCATTATTTTCTAGGGGTGTGTTTATAGTTCAAAACTAAGTTAAATACACCAGCCTGGCAGTGGTAATTACTTTCCTAAAAAGGAAATCCTTAAGTACCTTAGCATTCTTCACTTATTTATTTATTTATTTATTCAACAAATACTTATACTATTTAATATCTTTAATAATTCAGGCAGTTTTCTATGTGCTGAGGGCTCTGCCCTCATGGGGATACCAGGTAATAAACAGGAAACCAAATGAACTGAAAATGTCAGAAAGTGATAAAGGCAACAAGTGAAATATGATAGATAGACGGGCTATGCAGTGCTTGGAGGGTCCCCTTAGATTGAGTGTTCAGGGGAGACTTTTTATCTTACTAGTGTGATTTAGAAATATTAGTGGGCTCCTTCAGGTGAGTTCATACTGTAATAGGTGCTGCACAAAACAAAAACAAAAGTAGCAGAAGACAGAAAACTGCTCTCAAAGATGTCAGTGAATTTGTGAAGAACCAAATAGTAAACCAAGTTGATTCCAGACAGAGAACCTGATCAGCTCCCTCCAGTTTTCCACGCACCCCCACCTTCCATCTCCAATATTCAAGCCTGGTCCAAATCCAATCAAAATAGTTTGCGTCTGAACAAGATGGGTTCAGGACTGTGATGAATCACAAGACCATCTGATTTTCTGCTTTTGGCTCTGAGTGATGCTCTAGTTATGGAGACATATAAAGCCTATTCACTTCAGATCTGAAAATGTCATCAGCATTGTGTTCACTAAACATCCTCATTTTATCACAGTGCTTTTATGAAAAGGAGAATTATTCTTATCAAAACTAAATTTAAAAAAGAGTCAATGACAAGAAGCTCAAGTGCCTTGTAGTACCAAAGACACTTTGCTCTGTGTTGACAGCAAATGAAACAGCTCTTCAGAAAAACTAACAGTGTGCAGTTTAAATGGTCAACAAGCCTAATATACAGTTGATTTGAGCTTCTCATTGTTGTCGAGGGCAGTTACTGAGCCTCAGTGCCCAGAAAGTTAGAAATTCTCCCTCTGTGCTTCTCACACATGTTAATACAGACCGTAATGCTTTACAAGCTGGACAATGACTTGGCTGACACCTGTAATATGAAAGAGGGAAGGAAAAGGTAACCAGGATTTATTCAGTGCTTTCGATGTGCTACTCAGGCAATGTGCCAGATACGTTACATGTATTTCCTCATTCCAGATACGCTTCGATCTCCAACGTGCCATCAAATTCTGCCCTTGATATACAACTTTCAGTTATGTTCAAGTAATTCTGCAACATGTAATGGGATATAGCAGTAGCTCCATGGCTGTAGATATAGTTTATCAGTACAGGATAAACTGTATGTGGAGTGTGCATACCCTCACAAGAGAAGTAAATACATGTTCCTAAAGGGAGCTAAAGAAGCACATTTACAGAGTTCTCTTCTAGGAACTATATTCAGGAGATGAAGAACCCTACATTTTCATGGTATTCAAATTATACATAAAAAACCTCTTTATTTAAAAAAATAGAGAAGGAAGAATGAGGAAAGAAAGCAAAAAAAAAAAAGATTCTATCATCTTGCCTCCTATTTTTTTTTTTAAAAAAAAAAAAAACCCTTTTTATATGTTAAGATTAGCAAAGAAAAGATAATGTCAATACTGGGAGAAGACAGAGGGAAAAGTTAAATACTGGAACATATGTGAAAGTCTCTCTGGCATACCCCCTTAGGCTAGGACATAAATTAAACCATTCCCAACGGTTGCCTACAAGAGTAGACAGTCTATTAAGGCAAGATTTAGAGACTAATTTATTGCCTGTGTTTTTGTTGTCTCTTTTTGTAACGAAAACATATTGGACGTCCCCCCACCCCATATTTCCATTTGAACCAAATTATAAAAGTAATCTGAATTGTATATTAGCCATTTTACATCCTCATGAAATCTTTCAATATGACACAGTTTAAAGTGAATGATTTTGTGAGGTATGTTTAGAATAGTAAAGCTGTACCAGGAAACGTGAATTGCATTTTTGACGTTTATCCATAAATTAATTCCTCAAGTACTCATGCTTATGTAGAAATTGTTGAATTTTCTTCACTGGTTAATTATTGACCAAAATTCTATTAATATTTGCATACATCATTCAGGCATTATTTTCTTATGTGGATTATATCTCAAGAAATAAAATATGAGCCTCTAGGGTAATTGAAAAACCTCTACATTTTACAATTATCAGATAAAGTCTAAGCTGATAAATAATGCCTTTAAAACACCCGGGAAGCCATTATTTCTAAAAATAAATTGTAAACTAAGCATGATTTTATTTTGCGAGGTTTCAAAGCTATAAATCAATTTATGGTTGCCACTATTAATTTAACCTATTGTTCTTTCACATTCCCTGTTTCAAAGGAGGTGATAATAATAATCCCTCTGTATCTCATAGGGACTCTTATGAAGATAAATGGGAAAATATACGTGAACATTCTTTGAGCTACTTTAAAGAGAGTGTTTGTGTGTGTATATATGTGTGTGTATATATATATATATTTAGCTAACATTGTTTTTGAGGAACTATAGAATGAACATTTAATACAATTTTTATTTTAAATACATATAAAATTTCATAAATATTTTCAATTAAAAAAACATTAATTTACCACACCTCTGATTTAAGTAAATCAGAATAAATACTGTTGATTTTGTCCTCTTCACTGTCCTTTTGAGTTCATTATTTTTGAACACTCTAGTAAGTCCTCACGGGCCAGGATTCACTGGTGTATTTTCTGAGCTGTGGAGCCCAAACCGAGAAACACACCCACACCCTCCTTTCCTGTATTACAATTATAGACAGTTAAGTCAATGGCTGTGTGAAGTTAACAAATTGTATTCTTAGCATCAATTTCTGAAAGTCATTATGTTACTATCTTTAATATTAATTGTGCTGTTTTCAATCCACCATTTTGCCCATAAATAGAGAGGAGTGATGATGCACGTTATAAGAAATAACAGATAATGCATTGATCCCCCCATCAGAATCAGCATTTTTATGCAAGAGGGACAGTTGTGGGAATTGTAAAGATGTGGCTGCAAGTGGGTTGAATTTATTTTTCTCTATGGCTTTAGCATATTCTTAGAAGGGAGTTTCAGCTGGGTTCAGCCCCCAGTTGAATTGTGGTTTCATGGTTTCAAGGTCATCAATAGTTGGAAAATGAATACAGATTAATATGGGGAACTGAATTTAATTCTTATTACCCTGGAGAAATAGCACTGGGAATGGATGCTATACCTGCTTGACTAATACATCCTTCTTCTGTTCTCCCAAGTCACCTTGTCTACAGAAATATTTTCACTTGGACAAATAAATAATCCAGACAATGACATGCATCTTTTTAAAAGACCAAAAATAGGGATTGTATGATTTTACTCCTAGCAACTAGAATGGTGGTGAAATGAACAAATGCAGTATAAAATATGTTTATGTGAATAAATGAATTACTTGGAAAAATATTCATTAACCACACTTTAGATATCAATTTTGAAAAATGTCCTTTGGGTATATGCCCAGTAATGGGATTGCTGAGTCAGATGGTATTTCTGGTTCTGTATCTTTAAAGAATCGCCACATTGTCTCCCACAATGCTTGAACTAATTTACATTCCCACCAACAGTGTAAAAGCGTTCCTATTTCTTCAAAACCGCACCAGCATCTTTTGTTTCTTGACTTTTTAATAATCGCCATTCTGACTGGCATGAGATGGTATCTCCCTGTGGTTTTGATTTGCATTTCTCTAACGATCAGTGATGTCGAGTTTTTTTTCATGTTTGTTGCCTGCAAGAATGTCTTCTTTTGAGAAGTGTCTATTCATGTACTTTGCCCACTTTTTAAAGGGGTTGTTTGGGTTTTTGTTTGTTTGTTTTGTAAATTTGTTTATGTTTCTTTTAGATTCAAAGGCATATAAATCATTCTATTATAAAGATACATACACACATATGTTCACTGTAGCACTATTCACAATAGCAAAGACATGGAATTAACCCAAATGCCCAACAATGATAAACTAGATAAAGAAAATGTCGTACATAAACACCATGGAATACTATGCAGCCATAGAAAGGAATAAGATCATGTCCTTTTCAGGCGCGTGGATGGAGCTGGAAGCCATTAACCTCAGCAAACTAACACGGGAACAGAAAACCAAACACCACATGTTCTCACTTATAAGTGAGAGCTGAACAATGAGCACACATGGAGACAGGGAAGGGAACAACACACACTGGGGCCTGTTGTGGGGTGGAGTGGGGGTAAGGAGTGCATTAGGAAAAACAGCTAATGCATGTTGGGCTTAATACCTAGGTGATGGGTTGATAGGTGCAGCAAACCACCACGGCACACGTTTACCTATGTAACAAACCTGCACATGCTGTACATGTGCCCCAGAACTTAAAATAAAAATAATTTTTTAAAAAAGAAAAATGTCACTGTTCTTATAGTCTGAGGTCAGATAAAATTAGAAAACAGAGGTTTGGAAAGGAATTTCAGAGAAATGGTGGAATTTGAATTGATTGCTTTGTTGGGGAAGAGGGAGCATCTTATTAGGCTATTTTGTTACACATAAATAAAACAAGTTCTCTAACTCCTGTTTCGTTCTTGAAGAAAATTGGGACAATTAATTGGTCCATTTTAATCAGAGCTATAACAGCTCTATTTCTGAAGACTTGTTTTTTTCTTTGTCCAAAATATCTCTCTCTCTCTCCCTCTCTCTCACACACACACACACACACACACACACACACACAGAGAGAGAGAGAGAGAGAGAGAGAAGAGAGAGAGGAGAGAGAGACAGAGAGAGAGGATTGGTTCAGCAGGATGATTTGCAGTAGCAAAGTATTTGTTTTTGTAAAGATCATGTATTCTTCTTTGGACAGTTACTCGGAAAATAAAAAGCAGAGCCTTAGACACTGAGGATCAGAATTATTTCAAGTTTAACCAGGAGTAATTGGTGGATGCAGCACTTAAGAGGGCTCTACATGTTACAAACACTAGTCAAGCCCCAAGAAAGGCTCCTTCACATCTCTTGTCAAAACAAAGACAACTGCTGTTAGTAGGTATGGAGGCTTATGAGTGATGCTGCTGTTGAAGTTGAGACAGTTGAGGAGATAAATTGAGTGGTGAAGAGTGGTGAATGGAAAGAGAAAACATAAATTAACTAACTTGTGGAATCCCTTTTCTTAGGCATACGAGACCTTGCCTAACAAGATGCTATTACCCTGGAGTGCTGAGTGTCCATTTACTTGCCCCCTGTTCCAGTTTGCAGCCTCAGCAGTACTTTCAAAATGTGCACTATTTGTGAGAATCACCAATGAAGGCTGAAAAACATTTTATGATACCATTCATATTTCTCTTAAATTTGAATTCACATTGGTCTGTATTTATACTTTACAATATGGTAGCTGCTAGCCAATGTGACCACTGAACACTTGAAGTGAGGCTGGCCCAAAGTGCTGTAGGTGCAAAATAAACACTGAATTCTGAAGACTTACTGTGAGAAAAAAAGAATGGCATAGATCTTAATAATGTTTTATATTGATTTTATATTGAAATAACATTGCTTTTAGATATGTTGACTAAAATACAATATATCATTAAAATTTTACCCCTTATTTTTACTTTTTTCATTTGTTCAAAACTACTTATGTGGCTCACATTATATTTCTAGTGGACAGTGCTTGAGTAGACCTAATATGGGTAAAGTGTGATACCAAATCTTCAGAGGTACTAAGCTGGACACTGAACATTGGAAATCAAAATAGTTATATTTTATAAAAGTACGTAGTAGGATTTAATTGAAGTTTCAAAAATGGTTGATTTTTTCATTTTATTAAGTTAGTTAAAAAATTGTCAAGGGGAAGCTCATGAAATAGTGCTAAACGCATCTCTAAAAAACAAATATGTACTTCTAGAATTGTAGACAAAAAGCTAGAATCATTCTTTGTACTATATATGGGCTTATTTTGACCTCCTAGAAAGAAATGTGGCTTCAACTATGCCAACAGTGTAAACATTTTTTGACATATTTCATAAAATAAAAATACCAAATGCCACATTATTATCACTCTCAGACAAACTATGGAAATATCAAGTATGTGCTGTTAAAACAATATATGCTAGAGGAATTAAAGAAAACAACAGAAGGTTCTCAAATAAGGAGTGAATAGTGAAACCACCCTAAACTCAAGAAGCGCTGAGAAAAGGGGATACTTAGAGCTCTCGTTCTGTTTTGGGAGGAATTTGGGGAATTTCTATATTTCATATATTTATCCAACTATTATACCAAACCATGATCTTGTTAAATGAAGTTCATTAGTCCATGCCTTGACCCAGAAAGATTAAATTATAAAGAACCTACCTTAAGCACAGAATTCTTCCTTGACAAATTCCATAATACATCTGAGAATCTCATGCAATATATATAAGTATGGGATTGTACCTTTGAAATAGTATAAAAATTGTATATTGTTGTGGTGAAAATTTGAGGTTTCAAGGTTTGTTAATATTTTTAATCTACCTGTAATTTTATACAGGTGGTGCTCAAAATTGTATATTTGCTGCATAAACTTCAATTGCAGAGTATGTTTATCACGTATCAAAAATCCCCACTGGGCTTGTTATAAATAATTGGATAGGGTATTCGACATATTAAAACAATCTTTTAAATGCCAAGAACAACAAAAAAATAGTGAACTATGGTCTTTGAAAGAAATAAAATCAACCTTGAATTGGTACTATCTGTCGTTGTTTGGTATAAATTGTTGCTTGCCATTGATAATGTCAGCAATCAATTAAAAAGGTAAGTAATCTAAGGTTGGCTACTTCAATTTTTGACAGGGTAAGGTACACTATGTAAAAATTTAGGGAAAATGTTTCTAAACTTAAAAAATGCATGAGAAAATGTCAACAAAACTGATTTTCTAATAAAATAGGAAGAAATTAAATAAATGAAAAATATTTGCATGATGATGAAGAAAAAGATTCACGTACAAATAAACTGAAACTAATTTCTATTTAAAAAAAAATGCTTTCTAGGCCGGGCACAGTGGCTCACTCCTGTAATCCCAGCACTTTGGGAGGCCAAGGCGGGCGGATCACGAGGTCAGGAGATGGAGACCATCCTGGCTAACATGGTGAAACCCCGCCTCTACTAAAAAAATACAAAAAATTAGCCTGGCGTGGTGGTGGGTGCCTGCAGTCCCAGCTACTCGGGAGGCTGAGGCAGGAGAATGGCGTGAACCTGGGAGGCGGAGCTTACAGTGAGCCGAGATGGCGCCACTGCGCTGCAGCCTGGGCAACAGAGTGAGACTCTGTCAAAAAAAAAAAAAAAAAAAAAAAAGCTTTCTATTATAAATTTAAGGTATACTCCTAATGCAGGAAGATTTGAGTCATATAGTTCTATTTTAAATTTTCTTTATACTATTCTAGCATTGAAGAATTAGGAAGAAGAAACATGTATAGTTTTAGATGATACATTATGAGGGTAAAAATCTTGATATAAGTAATATAAAAGTATATAATTGAACTATTTATGTGATAGTTTCTGTAAAGTGTTAATTTTTCAAATGTTACCCTTATTACAATGTTTGAACATATCATTTTGTAGGGTAGTTTCAAATATAAATATTGCTTTATAGCTTTATTAGCAATTTCAGATACTTTTTCAAAATGAAGTTATTAAAACAAACCCTAAGCATTTTGATGATTCAGAAAAGGTTGTCTAATTTTGTCTTACTGTCAAAAGAATACAAATTATGTGAAAGCCATGATTATAACAATATATAAGTAACTTTGTTGACATGAATGCAATAAAAATAATATATAAAATAAATACTTAATGACTGATAAATATATGTATATATGCTTTGCTTATTAACCATTCAAATACTTTACTCTTTTTAATGAAGCAGCCAGGAACATGTTATAATAATTTAAATTTGGTCATTTAAAACATTTTTTGACCTTTAATAATAAAGAGTTACTAAAGTTTAATACATATTTTTCAATGTGTTCATTATAAAGGGATGCTTGTTAAAAAAGAACAGTGTACTATATTTCATGTAGTAGTCTGAAATTCGGATTTCTAACTTGTACCTATTTAGTCATATTGTATGTGAACCTACATTTGCAATGTTCTCCAGGTCCCACAAATATCAGTTGTAAACCTGGTGGTGATATTTGCTCTGAAGAAAGTGACCATTTCCGTTTTCATTAATCATGTGAAAAAAAGACTGTCAAAGTATAATTTTCTAAAAGATAAAAATGTAACTCAAAAAACATAAAGTGAGCTCACATTAAAAACCTTAAGGAGGAATTAAACCAAAGGATAAATTGGTTCAAAGTAGTATAGAAAAGACCAAAGTATGTATAGTTACAGAAAGAGGAAAAATGCTGAAATTATGTTGCTAAATTAAATACAAAATGATTTAATGTGCTCCAGGACCAAAACAAGTAACCTTTAGGGTTATGTTTTCTATAAGATAGAAATTATTTGCAACTCAACTAGATAAAAATCATTTGCAATTTAACAGCCTTCTGAAGGTTAATATCTTACTGCACAGAGTCTGGTACTCTATCAATAGTAAATAGTAAATCAAATGAAACTGTATAATCTTAGAGAATTAGATAAACCTGGGGCAGCCCTGTTAGTGCTTTTTTAGGCCTCAAGAAGAAGTCGCAGTCATCCTTTTACATCCTAGATTTTAAATACTTTTTCTTAGCGAGGGAAAGGAAATAAGTCTGGGAAATTCAGTCTTAAGTTGAAGTGAGCAAGGGACTCCTTCCTTAAATGAGACTTGGATAGCAAGCCAGGGCTCTGATAATAGACAGACTTGAAAACATTCTATGTGGTAAGAGTAACCCGGCCCCAGCCATATAGAGGCAAGACAGAAACCAGACCAGGAGGTACCCTGTGATTGGGACTCTTCAAGGATGGCCCTGGACTAGTACTCTTCCAAAGCAGCCTTATATCATGATAACTGTAATTTATTCTGTGTTTTCATCACCTCTAGACTTTAATGGAATACTGCCGAGTCTTGTCTTTAGACGTGTTGTGGGAAATTAAAGCAAGGGTCCATTCCATGTTTGGGTGAGGTATTTTCACTTATGGCATGCAGAGAAACAGGTGAGACAGTGTTTGTCCTCACACTGAGGCCAGTATGATGGTAACAGCAGTCAGTGGCTTAAGGGAGGACAAGGGAAGGAAATCTATATGAAATTATTTATTAACATTGTTGGGTGCATTAAAAAGAGGAGTCATATAGGTCCAGCTTGGCCAATGGCTGTGGCAAACGAAGATCAGGTCATATGAACAACTAGGGAGGTGCTTACCAGAAATATTTAGAAGGGGACCCTGGAAAAGACTGGCTTTTCCCTTTGGATATATGAATGAGGGCCCGGAGCACCTATACTTGTTGAATTGTAGTATAATTGAGGTAGGAGGCGAAGCGCGGACACCAGACCAAATTGAGGAGCAGCTAAAACAGGTCCTGGATGGAAGCACCTCCCCACAAGATATCCCCACCAGCCTGCCATGTCAGTTTACCACTGCCATGGCAACACCCAAAAGTTATTACCCCTTTCCATGGCAATGACCCCAAAACCTGGAACTTACCACCATCTTCCTAGAAATTTCTGCATAAACTGTCCCTTAATTTGCATATAGTCTAAGGTGGATGTAAGTATGAGTGCAGAACTGCCTCTCAGCTGCTACTCTGGGTTCCCTGGCTGTGGGGCAGTCCTGCTCTGCTGCTGCTGTACACTGGTGCTTCAATATAAGTTCCTGTTTAGTACTGCCAGGTTTGCCTTTTAATTCTTCTCCGGGCGAAGCCAAGAACACTCCCCAGCTAAGCCCCAATTTTGCGGTTTGTCTCTCTTGCATCACAATGATTGCAGGTGTGAACTCTAGAATCATATGACCTGGGTTCAAATTCTAATTCCACTTCTTAATAGCTATGTCAATTTTGATCATATTACCTAGCTTCTTTATTCTTCAGTTTCCCCATCAGTAAAAGAGGGGTAAAGCCATATCTACCATTCAGGGTTGTTATGAAAATTAAATGCATATCTATCTATCATCTATCTTCAAATAGTGTCTGTTATATTGTCTGCTTTTAGATTATTTTTCTCTTGGCATAGGTGCTATTTCTGATGCCCTATGTTCACTTTTGAATTGTAAGAGTGACAGCCTGCAAACTACATTTCCCTTACTAGTTAAGTTCAGAGACTGGAAAGTAAGAGGAAGAGAGATACCATTTTCCTACCTTTGGAGATGGCCTCAGCAGAAATAGCAGCAGTGTCAGATGAGCTCCTCAGCAGCAGTGTGGCTCCCAGGTGCTCAGTAAACTGCAATACTAGCACAAGCAGAGCCACCAGCCAAGAAGTGGCAAGGTGTACTACAGCCCAGGAGTTATAACAACTCCATACCCATGAATAACTCCCTGTACTCTTTGGTTCACTCAGCCCTTCCAACCACTTTATAACTAATTCCCTGCATTAAATCCCCCTGCTGTTGAAATATCTAGAGTGGTTCCTGTTTTCCTTACTGATGGATACAGCTATTGCTATCACTACTCAAGTAGAGTAATCTTGCTATTATTATCCTCTGAAATATTACACTGGACCAAAAAGTCTAACAATTTAACCTTCATACCCATTTTTCCACTCCACTATTCTAATACGTTTCCCCACAGACTTTGTCCTTGGCCCAGAAGTATTATATAATGAGTGGTCAATAGTTGTATGAACTGGTGTTTCATCTAAATACTCCACTGTAGGTTTAGCTCCATCACTGATCAATGGCCTAATGGGAGGAGAGATTTAGTTCATTTGAAGCCAGTCTAAGAAAGTTCGCTGGAGTTCTATTTTGGAGAATAGATTTAAACAATTATAAAAAGGTATAATCAATAACAGGAGAGCTGTTATGTCCTACATAAAGCAAACGTGCCTAGAAACATTGTGTGATGTACCTTGAACACTTTATTTTTTTTCCAGCTCTGTATTGATTACCCATGACTTATAACAGTTTGAAGGAGAAAATATATACTACACAGGTACCCTTGTTTTACAGCTGAAGCAAAGTTTATTTTCAGTAGCCGTTCTGCCTTGGTAAGTGAAACTTTGATCAATGAATTTAGTATCCAGAACTATAAATTCACAGAAGAATTTGTGAATATGAGGACTTAAAACTGAAGAATAGTTCAAAAAATGATCCAGAAAAGATAGAACTGATATAAAGGGAAAGTATCTGGCTCAGAAATTTACTTAAATGACGTAAAAGATTAGTATGATTCACATTAAGGTCCCTTAATTTTTCTTTGATCCTTATTCTTCTCTTTCTTTAAAGATTTAGTTCTGTGTTTAAATTGTCATATCCATTTTTCCTCATTGACCTCTTTTAGACACTGGAGAAGACTATTGTTAAACTTGTCATCTCAGTATACCGGCTTTTGCTGGCAAGCAAAAGACTTCTCATTAAACAGTTACGCAGATTTGTAGCTGGTTGTGAACAATGTTAACTGAAAAATGTATTTACTTTGAATGACGCTTTCAATCAGCATACTTCATCAAACAGCTTCCTTGGGCTAGTTATATTAAATTATTTTAAAAAGCCAAGAAAGCTAGTTTTATTAATCTAGTTTTTTTGTTTGTTTGTTTGTTTGTTTGTTTGTTTTTTGGAACAGAGTTTCCCTCTATTGCCCAGGCTGGGGTGCAGTGGCACAATCTTGGCTCACTGCAACCTCTGCCTCCTGGGTTCAAGTGATTCTCCTGCCTCAGCCTCCCTAGTAACTGGGACTACAGGCAT
Source organism: Homo sapiens (assembly GCF_000001405.40). Lineage (NCBI taxonomy): Eukaryota > Metazoa > Chordata > Mammalia > Primates > Hominidae > Homo > Homo sapiens. The sequence goes on along the minus strand of NC_000012.12, from coordinate 80,969,357 downwards.
GCACCACCACGCCCACCTAGTTTTTTTTGTATTTTTAGTAGAGATGGGGTTTCACCATATTGGCCAGGCTGGTCTAGAACTCCTGACCTCGTGATCCACCCACCTCGACCTCCCAAAGTGCTGAGATTACAGGCATGAGCCACCATGCCCAGTCTAACTTCTTTTTATTGATAACCTATAGTACGTAACTGTACAATATGTGACCAAAAATAAATAAGATCAATACACAGGTATGACATGTAGAACCAGCATCACTGTTACAGTTGTACCACTTACAATATCTGATTAGTCTACATGAGATAGTCTATTACTTTCTGGGAGCTGGAAAAAAATACAGAGAACTGCTAGAACATAATTTGAAGAGCTGTTGACTGAAAGATAGTAGAATAAAATTAAAATAACACTGGTTTTATAATCATACCACTTAAAATTAATCCCCAACTTTTTCCCCTCTAAAGTGTATTTCTCTCTCTCTCTTTCTCTTTCCTCCTCCTTCACTCTCACCTTCATTCTCCCTTGCACTCTGTCCTTCACTTACATACTCACAAGCCACATATACACCCTTAAATCAGGTGCAGCAAACTACGGAATGTGGGCCAAACTTGGCCTATCGCCTACTTTTGAAAATAGTTTTGATGAAACACAGCCACACCCATTTGTTTACATATTGTCTATAGCTCTTTTTTGCTTCAAAAGCAGTTTAGTAGTTGTAACAGTGACCATATGTCTGCAAAGCCTAAGATATTTATGGTCTGACCCTTTACAAAAAACATTTGCTGGCCTCTGCTTAAGATTATAGTAGAAGCTCAAGAAAGATCAGTCCCCTCCATTTAGTTTGAAAAAATATGACAGAACACTTAGCACTGTGATCTCCAATAAAACAAACCAGGGCTCCTTGGAAAAATAGCTGATTTTATGACTGGGAAAGAAAATACACAAGATGAGCCTGGAGCAGAGCATTTTGTAAAGCCAGAAAGTAAAGAAGTGCTAAAAAAACAAAAACCAAAAAAAAAAACAGAGATATGTCAACAAGATAAAGGACACAAATGAAAGTGCTCCCAATGGCCAAAGCTAGAGCAATTCAAGTACATTAATAAATAAACAAATAAAAATGGTATTGGATTATAACTTAAAGTTTAAATTAATGTCCATGAGTCTATGCTGATATAAATGACTGACTGAATAAAGAAATAAGGGGGTAACAAACAAATCTCTAGTGCAGAAGAATTCCAAATAATTTATGTAGACATTGCCCTCAAAGAGGTGGAACGTTACTGTCCACTCCTCAAGTGTGGGCTGTGCATGCTCACTTTCTTCCAAATAGTACAGCATTGAAAAGAGGAAAAAAGAGTAACTTTACAGTGGAGAAACTTGACAAACACTACCTCAGCCAGTTGATCACAGTTAACATCAACAGTGATAAGTCAAGTTGATAGCACGTACCCTTGATATTGTGTGATAAGACTGGTACTTTGCCTTCCTCCACGAAATATGTGATACAGTTCTGATCATGAGAAAACTATCAGACAAATCTCAAGTGAGAGACATTCTACAAAATATTTGACTAGTACTCCTCTAAACTGTCAAGGTCATCAAAAACTAGGAATGTTGGAGGAACTGTCACAGCCAAGAGGAGGCTAAGTAGCCATAACTATGTAACGTGGCTTCCTGGATGGAATCCTGGACAGAAAAATGTTGTAAGTAAAAACTAAAGAAATATGAAGAAATTAGGAATTTTAGTGAGTAATAATGTGCCAATATTGTTGTCATATTTATTGTAACAAAGTTATCATACTAATATAAGATGATAATAATAGGAGAAACTAGGTATGGGGTATATGTGAACTCTCTGTACTATTTTTGTGATTTTTCTGTAAACCTAAAACTATTTTAAAGTATAAGTTTATTTTTATATTTGGCAGAAAACATCTGAAAAGTTATTACATTTCATGACAATTTTCTTACACATTCGGATGTAGAAATTATTTCGCCATGGATCTAACAAAGAAAATTAAAATAAACAAGTTCCAAATATGCTTATTCTCTTACAGTAATATTCTATGCTTAAGTGTTTTATTTGAAAACTTTTGAAGATTTTGCATTTACAACTAATGGGCTCCTATCCCAGAAATTCTAGAGAAATACAAAACTCTATTTCAAGTAGAAAAGACAAAAATAGCAAGACATAACAGTCATGCTCTGAATATAATTAAGTCATTCAGAGGTTCTATATAATAGTAGTATAAAAAAGAAAGAAGGACACAGTTAAAGGGTAAAATCTACTGGGAACATATTTAATTCGAGTATTGTATTTTAGAAACTACCCAAAAGCAGTAAGAGAGTTAGCATGATGTCTGGGAAATTATAGTGAGCAATACAATGGCATAGCAGTTGATTTGTATATTTAGAGAAAAAAAATCAGCATAAGAAAGAAAACTATTTTTTTCTACATTTGAAGGAAAAAATACTCTAAATTAAAAATGTATTTCCTAGGAAATAGCTATCTCCAGGTAGCAAATGTGCAGCAAGGACAATTCTATGCCAAGAATAAATCTAAAATTGGCATACAGTTCATCCTTGACATTGCTAAACTTTGAATGCTTTAAAAAGTTAAGCAAAGAAATCCAAAGCTGTCATCTGAAGCATTTTAAATCCATGACAACATACTTAGTTATAAAATGACAGTTCTAAGACAAATGAAGCCATGGTGGCAATCTTTCTAAAAGGGAAACTGATATTACAATAGGGCTGTGTCAGGTCATGTCAAAATAGGGTGTTATTGGCACCCTTGGCCTCTGATGGTAAAAGCAAAGTGATAAACCCCCAATTCAATCCTCAAGAAATCTTTTTTAAAATACATACAAATAGAAGAAAGCAAGTCAATCATTTAGATCAGCAGTCCCCAACCTTTTTGGAACCAAGGACTAGTTTTATGGAAGGCAATTATTCCATGGATTGGATTCCAACTATGGAACGATTTCTGGATAACACTGTTCCACCTCAGGTCACTCAGATCATCAGGCATTAGTTAGATTCTCATCAGGAGCAAGCAACCTAGGTCCCTCACATGCACTGTTCACAATGGGTTTTGTGCTCCTATAAGAATCTAATGCTGCCACTGATCTGACAGGGGGTGGAGCTCAGGTGGTAATGCCTCTTCCCACCACTTACCTCCTGCTGTGCATCCTGGTTCCTAACAGGCCAGAGATCAGCACAAGTCTGTGGTCTGGGGGTTGGGGACCCCTAATTTAGATGACTGATGATATTTCCACTAAAAGACACATTTTTGTATCTTAACTTAGAATATAGTTAACCACAGATCAGTGTTATCAAAGGCTTTCCCCAATATAGTAGAAAAATATTTAAAATCACCTTTCCTTTGCCTTGAAAACACTTTTTAAAAACGGATAGTTCCCAAACAATTCAAGATAATTAAATTATTTAATCTATCTATTCCATAATGCTAGATCAGAAAATGTCTGTTATATAGAAAATATTTGTTAGCTTATCAGTGCTATATATTAATACTTAAATATTGTGCAATTAGGAACTTAATTGTCAAAATAATTTTTAAAATGTGATTATGCTGACTAAATTGAGCATATAGATTCTCCACATGTTTGCTTTAGCCTGATATCATTGTTTGGATCTTTGAAAAAACAAACAACTAATATTTCTATCAATGAAGAGTAAAATAGTGAAGGAGAAACAAACTTAGACCAATTCCTTTAACTGCTTGATAGTTATTCTGTTTAACTTCTCGGCTAAAAGGGAAGGAATTAATTTTTCTTGTCCCATTATAGCCTTAGCATAGATCACTTACCAACATTCATTTACTTAATAAATATTTCTTGATTACAAAATTTACATCAGTCATTATGGTATAGCTGTGGGAATACAACTGTAAGCAAAATCAGAAAGAGTCTCTGCCTTCATAGAGCTTATAGTCTTATAGAAGAAACCAATATTAATTAAATAATCACATGAATAAATGTGAAATTGCTCTTGGAATAACTGCTAGGAAAAACAGGTGAATGGTGCTATGTGATTTAGTTGGAGAATTAGAAAAATCTCCTGGGGAGTCACACAAGATATAAATAAAGACTAAGTAAAACTTTACTCAACCAAGGGCAGAGGGAAAATTTTCCAAGTAGAGGGAAGAACATATGCTAATATCTTATGGTGAAAGACAGTTTGGGCCATATATGAGCTTTAAAAATCATAGTAAGAAAGTTTATCTTTTTCCTTAAGAGGATACAAATGTATTTAAGAGTTTTAACCAAAAGTGACAATGACCATCTTTTGCATTTAAAAAAATGTCATGTAGTCTACAGTGTGGATAAATGATTAAATGGGGCTGGCCTAGATGCAAGTAGATTAGTTAAAGGGTTATTATTGTATCCTGGAGTCAGAAAATAAGTAAACCATCATGTTTTCTATGGAGCCAAAATGTGGATGGATTTGAGAGTTACTTAGGAAATAATATGCATTGCACTTGGTAATGGATTGAATATGGGATAGGGGAATAAAAGAGAGAAATAGAAACAGGTGCAAAAATTAGCCTCTAAGATTCTGGCTAATAAAGTCTCATCAATATTTTGACTATTCATTGAGATAAGAAGATCATTAAAATGTGGGGAAAATGATGTGGAGTAGAATTTATCCATTTTGAGATATTAATAAAGCACTGAGACATTCACGGAGAATTTGCACTTCCATAATGGCAGAGTAAAAATCTCTGAAAATAGGTCATAAAACAATGCTGCTCATAAAAGCAATGAGAAAATGGGAAAACTGGCAATAATAGACAAAATCAACTGTTTAAAAACTGAAAATTAACCAAAGACATGCAACAATTGCAGCTTTTATGCAAGAAAAATGGCTGAATCTCAGTAAGAACAATGAACTTTTTGACATTTTAACTTGCACTACTCCCACTACCCTCTTTCTTATTCCATAGCAGCATTGAAATCTAACAGGCTCACAACTATGTTAGTGGTCAACCAGCAGTCTACCAGCCAATGGAGGGTTTGGAGCTTCCTAAAAGTGCCATCCCCAGAGAAATGTTACCATTTGACTTTTCTAGCAGGTTCTAAGTAAAGCTCCATTCTTAGAGCTTGCCTTTATTTGACCTAACTCAAACCTCCCTCTATGTGAGTATTGTCTCCAGGGAAGTTGTAGAAAATAATGACAATTGTTTAACATTGCAGCTGGCTGAGGGAGTTATAACAGTTGTAGCTAGCAAGAGGCAGACTAAGAATTTTAGAAGGGAAAAAGGGAATGAAATGCCCACTGGGGGATTTGAAAAGGCCCAACATATTCTTAAATATCTAGAAGGTCACATTCATATGAAGGGCTGTGCATATACAGGAATGACCTGAGAAAATTCTAATCTGTCACATTTGGCTGATGTTGATGCCCTTTCCAAGCAGGAGGTAGAGACTAAGGCAGAGTTTTAAATGTGTGCTGGAACATTGAAGGTATAGACCACAGTACAAACAGTACAGCTTGACAAAGATTCGGAAACTTATTGGTTTAAGCCTCTAAGGAAATCTCTGTGTATTTATTAACTGATCACTAAGTTAACTGAGAAGAAATTTCACTGGCTGGAACAACAAAGAACACAGATTTTACAAAATTAGTCCAAGAAAGTCATCAAACAAGCAATGCCCTTTGCTTTGCTCAGCATCAACGACAAAAACAATGACAACAAATGGCAACAGTAACAAACCCTGGGTAGTGAGGCGTTATTTGATTTCAGAATTACAACATTATGTTATTTTACATGTCTAGTATTTTAAATTGAAAAATCATAAAACACACACACACAGGAAAGCAGGGCCTGAACACATAAAAAAAAGCAGTTAAAAATTGGCCCTAAGAAAGTCAAAATTTGGACTTACTAGACAATGACTTTAAATCAACTATTATGATTATGTTCAAAGAACTAAAAGAAACCAAATAGAATATGAGTGAAGAAACAGAAATTATTTAAAAAGGCAAAATACAATTTCTGGAGTTGAAAAGTACAATAACTTCAATACTCAACTTTCAATAACGGATAGAACAACTAATCAGAAGAACAAGAAAATAAAAGACTCAAAAAACACTATAAACAAACTTGATCTAATAGACATCAACAGAACACTGACCTAGTAAAAGCAGAATGCACACTTTTATCAAGTATAAATGGAACATTCTCTAGTATAGACTAACTGTTATGCCATAAAATAACTATCAGTATATTTAAAAGGATTTAAACCATACGAAGTTTGCTTTCCAACTAGAATGAAATGGAATAACAGAAGGGAGGAAACGGAAGGAAATGTAAAATTCACAAATAAAAGGAACATAAACAGCACACTCCTAAGTAACCAGTGACTTAAAGAAGAAATCCCAAAGGAAATTACTTTGAGATGAATGAGAACAAAAGCACAACATATCAAAACTTACAGGATGCAGCTAACATAGTGGTTAGAGGTACATTTATATCTACAAGTGTCTGTATTTAAAAAGAAAAAAGGTCTCAGATAACTAACCCATCTTTCCATTTTAAGAAACCAAAAAAAAAAAGGCAAGTTAAACTCAAAGCAAGAAGAAGAAAAGAAATAATAGGTATTAGAATAGAAATTAGTGAAACAGAGAATAGAAAAACAGTCATCAAAATCAGCAAACCCGGCTGGACGCGGTGTTCACGCCTGTAATCCCAGCACTTTGGGAGGCCGAGGAGGGCAGATCACGAGGTCAAGAAATCGAGACTATCCTGACCAACAAGGTTAAACCCCATCTCTACTAAAAATACAAAAATTAGTTGGGCATGGTGATATGCATCTGTAGTCCCAGCTACTCGGGATGCTGAGGCAGGAGAATCGCTTGAACCTGGAAGACAGAGGTTGCAGTGAGCCGAGATCATACCACTGCACTCCAGCCTGGGGACAGAGCAAGACTCAATGTCAAAAAAAAAAAAAAAAAAAGTTCAGCAAACCCAAAAGTTGGTAATTTGAAAAAAATCAACAAAATTTATAGAAATTTTAGCTGGATTGTCTAAAGAAAAATGTGAAAATATTCAAATTATTATTTAATACTAAAATCAAGAATAACAACTACCCACCTCACAGAAATAAAAAAGATTAACAAGAAATATTACAAGAAATGGAATGCTAACACATTAGGTAACATACATGAAAAGGACATATCCTAGAAATACAAAAACTATCAATACTAATTCAAGAAAAAATCTGAATAAACCTATAACTAGTAAAAAGTTTTAATTAGCAACTAAAATATTTTCCACAAGGAAATTCCAGGCCCAAATGACTTCACTTGGTAACTACAAATGAAAAGATATTCACCTTCAGGTATCGCAACACTTAATGTTATCAAATGACAATAGTTCCCAAATTGATCTGTAGATTTAATACAATTCCCATCAAAATCTCAACTGCTTTATTTGCAGAAACTGGGGCTCAGAAAATAATACCATGAAATGAGGGCCTCAGCCCCGACCTCAGAAGCAAACATTTTTCCTTGACCTTCTCCTGCCTTCATGAGTCTCAGTCCCATTCTTCCCCAAGACTAGCCTTAGAAACTAATTCTCTCTTCCTGAAAACAAACCATAAAACTTAAAAATATTACTCTAATTTTTCCTCTCCCTTTCTGTGCAAAAACTGGACATAAAGAAATTATCTGTCTTACTTTGTTTGACTACAGATCATAAGACCCCCACTCCAGAGAAGAATTCCCTATACTCAGAAGAAAGGAATACATGCTCAGAGAGGCAAAGACAAATGTAGAGACAGGCCTTGCTGGGTTTCCCCACTCAGTCCATGAAAATTAGATCAAACCCATTTTGTCCAATCACATTTCTACATAGCTGTCCATACTCTGTTGATTCTAAGCATAAAAATGGACAATTTCCCCTGTATCTTTAGTTCTTTATTCTGAAGGATCCCACATATACATGTTAAATAAATTTGTATGCCTTTTCTGCTATTAATCTGCCTTTCAAGAGTTGATTTTTCAGCAAAACTGAAGAGATTTGCTGTCCCCTAGAATTCTAACATTCATATTGAAATACAAGGGACCAGAATAGATAAAAGTCTTGAAAAAGAATAAAGTAGGAGAATGCACACTTTTTGATTTCAAAATTAACTACAAAGCTACAATAATCAAGAGAGTATAATACTGGCATGAGCATAGAAATATAAATAAATGGAATAGAAGTGAAAGTCCAGAAATAACTCTTTATACTTATGGTCAACTAATTTTCAACAAGGGTGCCAAGACAGTTCAATGGGAAAGAATAATTGTTCAACAAATAGAATTAGAAAAACTGGATATTCATTCTTTTGCATCTGTAATAGACAATGACAATAACAGGTATTGAATAGCACGTGCAGAAATTGAAATCTTCTTAAATTTCTGATGAGATTATAAGTGATACAGCAACTTTGGACAAAAATTTAGCAGTTCTTCAAAATAGTAAACATAGAGTTCATGTAAAGAATGAAGACATATCTCCTACCTCACACCATATACAAATATTATATGTGTATGGACACAGACCTAAATATAAGAGCTTAACCTTTAAATATTTTAGAAGACAATGTAGGAGTAAATCACTGTGACCTTGGATTAGGCTTTCTTAGATGTGAAAACAAAAGAATAAACAACAAAAGAAAAAGATAAATAAATTGAATTGCATCAAAATTAAAAATTTTTGTGTTTCAATGAACATCATCAAGAAAGTAAAAGGAAAACAGAATAGAAAAAATATTTGCTAATAACATATCTAATAAGGGAATTCCAGTATTGTAGAGCTGTTATTACAGAAATAACCCTTTATACTATGGTCAACTAATTTTCAACAAGGGTGCCAAGACAGTTCAATGGGAAAAAATAATTGTTCAACAAATGGTATTAGAAAAACTGGATATTCATTCTTTTGCATCTCTTGTAGAGATAACTCTACAATAAAAGACAAATGTCTAATTTTAAAAAGGTAAAGTATTTGAATGAAAATTTATCTGAAGAAGATATATAAATGGCCAAAAAACATATAAAAACATACTCAACCTCATTAGTTGTTAGGGAAATGCAAATTAAAACCATAGTGAGATACCACTTCACACCTACTTCTATGACTAAAATAGACGACAAAAACAAGTGTTGGCTAGGAGGTGAGAAACTGGAAGACTGGGCTGGGTGTGGTGGCTCACACCTGTAATCCTAGCACTTTGGGAGGCTAAGACAGGCGGTTCACTAGAGGTCAGGAGTTTGAGATCAGCCTGGCCAACATGGTGAAACTCTGTCTCTCCTAAAAACACAAAAAAGTTGCTGGGCATGGTGGCACATGGCAGTAATCCCAACTACCCGGAGGCTAAGGCACAAGAATCACTTGAACCCAGGAGGTGGAGGTTGCAGTGAGCCAAGATTGTGACTTTGCACTCCAGCCTGGGTTACAGGGTTACAGAGCAACTCTGTCTCAAAAAAAAAAAGAAAAGAAAAGAAAGAAAATAAAAAGAAAACAAACTGGAACACTCATACATTGCTGGTGAGGTTGTAAACTGGTGTAGCTACAGTTGGAAAACAAATTATACCATGCGATTCAGCAATTCTATTCTTAGGTATTTGCCCAAGAGATGGGAACACCTATGTTCACACAAAAACTCATACATGGGCCGAGTGTGGTGGCTCACACCTGTAATCCCAGCACTTTGGGAGGCCGAGGTGGCAGTATCCCTTGAATCCATTAGTTCAAGACCAGCCTGGGTAACAGAGTGAGAGCTTTGTATCTCCAGGCATGGTGGCCTGCACTGATAGTCCCAGCTACTTAGGAGTTTGAGGTAGGAGCATCACTTGAGCTCCAGACATTGAGGCTCCAGTGAGCCATGGTCGTGCCACTGCACTCCAGCCTGAGTGACAGAGTGAGACCCTGTCTCAAAATAAAAAACAAACAAACAAAAAATACACAAATATCCATAGCAGCATTACTTACAGTAGCAAAAAAAGTAGAGACAACCCACATATCCTCCATTAACTGAAAAATGGATTTTAAAATGTAGTTTTTAAAAATGCGAAGGAGGCAGGGCGTGGTGGCTCACGCCTGTAATCCTAGCACTTTGGGAGGCCAAGGAGGGAAGATCACTTGAGGTCAGGATGAGACCAGCCTGGCCAACATGGTGAAACCCCATCTCTACTAAAAATACAAAATGATTAGCCCGGTGTGGTGGTGGGCATCTGTAATCCCAGCTACTCGGGAGGCTGAGGAAGGAGAATCGCTTGAAACCGGGAGATGGAGGCTTCAGTGAGCCAAGATTGTGCCACTGCACTCTAGCCTGGGTTACAGAATGAGACTGTCTCAAAATAAATAAATAAATAAAATATAATAAAAAATAAAAATAAAAGGGCAAAGGAATTTTGTTTGGTCACAAACAGGAAGGAAGTACTGGTACATGCTACAACATGGATGAAACTTGAAAATGTCACAGTAAATAAACAAAGGAAGATGTAAAATATTTCATATTGTATGATTCCATTTATATAAATATATAGAATAGGTAAATCTGGAGAGAAAATTAGTAGTTTCTAGGGGTTAGGAGAAGTAGGAACAGGAAGTGACTGCTAAAGGGCATGGTATTTCTTTTTAGGATGATGAAAATATTACAAAATTAGATACACAGTGGTAAAACTTTGTAAATATACTTAAAGCCACTCAGTTGCACACTTTAAATGGATAAATTTTATGGCTTGTGAATTATATTTCAATGAAATTGTTATTAAAAAATGTTTAGGCCAGGCACAGTAAATCACGCTTGTCATTCCAGCACTTTGGGAGGCTGAGGCAGTTGGATCACTTGAGCCCAGGAGTTTGAGACTAGCCTGGGCAATATGGTGAAACCCTGTCTCTACAAAATATACGAAAATCAGTCAGGCATGGTGGCAGGAACCTGTAGTCACAGCTGAGGTGGGAGGATCACTTGAGCCGCAGAGGTCAAGGATACATTGAGCTGTGATTGCGCCACTGCACTGCAGCCTGGGCGGCAGAGTGAGACCTTGTCTGTAAATAAGTAAATAAATAAATAATAAAAAATTAAAGGATAGAATAATAAATTTGAATGGTTTACAGGAAAGATAATTTTGGGTACAAGTTAGCAAGTTTTAATATGTTGGTAGAATGTTTTATTAATGGCATTTCAAAGTAAAATCTCCCTTAAAGAATATAAAAAATAAAATAGGGGAGATATGGAGCTCAGGGATTGTATGAAGAAATGGTTGCGGACATCTTAGAGGTATTATATAGATGTTCTTGGTTTACACTGGTTTAAAGCTATTATTTTAGAAAATAAAAATATGTTAAAAATTACTTTGTAACAAGGCAAGAAATATTAAGATAAAAAGAGCCAGGTAGGATTAAAGCATATGGTCTTTTGCTGTTTCTCAAACTTCTTAATGCCTTTTTTTTCAAAGGCATTGGAATAACATAACAAAGCATGAATTCAGTGAAAACTAAAGGGAGCCATTCACAGTAATTGAAATAGCCAAATGTAAAATGTAAATATGTTTTAAGATATTGGTTCTGCTTTGAGAATGCTTGAAGGTTTTTTAAGAGAATCTAAAGATTGGCATAGTTCATATACACAAAGAAAAGAGATTTCAATGAAAAAGAAGCAACATTCCTTTCCATATACGTGGTGCATTGAAACCACTAGGTAATTCTTATAGCCAATTATTTATATCTGTGAGAAAACCTAAAGAAACCATTTTGAGTGTGTTAGTTTTTAAAAGAAATACATTGTAACATCAAATAAATCCATCTCTAGCCTCATTGTTTTAATTATGGTGTCTCTATCTGCTTTGTCCATATTAGAGTTTTATTCAAAGAAGTAGTCGTATCAGTTCAAATCCTGGTGATAAGGTAAACTGCTGGTGTTTAAACAATTGCCAACCTTGAATACTAATATCAGAACTATAAACAAGGAACAGACTGGGATGGTGATAGGTGAGTTAGCCTTTGAACAGTGAATACAAGTTGCTATGGTCCCTGATGGGTTCCTTAATGTTGTTTCTTGAAAAGAAGAAAGGTGGGGTTTGGAGTCTGGCTTATTGGAGAAAGTGGTCATGTTCCTTCGCCTCTCTCTGTACTAATTTCCTTACCTGCGAATAGAAAACAATACCTTCATAAAGGTACAGGAAAGATGAAATAAAATAATGTTAATAAATATCCTTTGTGTACCTGGCACATACAGTAGGCCCTCAATCAATGTAGCTATCATTACTTCTGTAATTAGCAAATCCTATTTTACATTATAGTAATGAAAAGCATCAGAAAAAAAGCAACATTGTGGTGACATTATAGAATGTCCAAATATTTATAAATCATTATGATAAGCTTTGGCCAACATGCTTTGATGTCTTAGCAACTTGACTCATATTCAGATGAGGTTGATGAAAAAATAATTATCTCTATTTAAATATAGTACAAAGGTACAGCGTTTGTGAAACAGTGTTTCCCTCATTTTCCAGCTTAAAGTTAAATGGAAAGATTCACTTCAAAAAGATAATATAGCCACTGGTAAAATGAGACAAATCAATGAAAAATATCAAACTCCTCCTGACCCTCTCTCTTTCACAGATGAAAAGTAAAACAGATGAAAATGGTTATTTATCAAATGACTATACTTGTCACTCAAATTAAAATATACGTATACTCGAATGCACACAAATATTTCAAATTTATGTAGGATATACTTTGTTCTGACCATCCTACAAAGAATAGTTAGCTACAGAGTTGTATCAATCTCATATATTGCAGCAAATATTTATGAATATAATGTTCATTCTTCCCTACTAGATAATAGGTGTCATGAATTCAGTGTATGTTGCTCACCTATTAGTATATTAAGTGCACCACATAATCTTTGACATGCTGCAATACTGAATAAAAATTGGTTAAATTAATGAGATATTTAGCTGGACATGCTGAGAATACATCTGCCACCACTGTTTCAGTAGGAAAGAATACAGCTTGCCCTTATTTAATCGGAGGCAAGGACTCAGATCATGGTAATGAAGGGGTAAAAGTTTAAATAGCTGGTGGTACAAAAGGAATGTGTGTGTGTGTGTGTGTGTGTGTGTGTGTGTGTGGTGTGTGTGTATGTATGGAAGTGAACCTGGGGGCCTCATGGCAGAGCACCTGGAAGAACCATTCCTTTGGTGATTCTAACCGGGATTGGATATGCTATTGAGGTGTGGCCAGGAAGTATGACAGGAAAGGCTTTTTGGCCAATGAGCCAAAAAGATTTATTCAGGAGGACTAAACTGGTAGATCTTAGTGATAAGGAGTTACATTACAGGTATATTTAACTTTTGAGCTGGGCTTAGAATGTAACTCTCACTTAATCTGCATTTGATACCTAAGAGCATAAGATTGATTCCTGTTCAGTAGGGCATCCAAAGGTAGGGACAGGCTGGAAAGATAGGACATGGGCAGCCAAGGTAATTGTTCTATCTTTTCCAAGAATAGCATGCGCATCTATCTGCTCAATCAAGATTTAGATTAATATCCAGTAAGCATTACCTACTGTGTGTCAGTGACATTTATCTCCTTACCTCTTCCCAGGAAACTATTTATTTATATTCATTAAGTTTACAGAGGCTGATTTATGAAAATAGAATGGAGTAAATTCTGCAGGCAAACAAAAACATTTTATAATTCTCATCCATCATTTGTTCTTTATTAGGAATTTTATAGTTACCATAAAGTCAGGAGGAATAGCAAATACACTTCATTACACGCTAGACCCTATTTCAAACCATTTACACAGATTATCTCATTTGATTATCACAACAATCTACTCCATAGGTACAATTATAATCCAATTTTACAGATGTGGAAATGGAGCAAGAGATATTAAGTCATTTGATCAAGGTCACACAGCTGCTGAGCCATAGATCTGGGATTCAGAGTCAGCACACAGATTTCAAAGCAGGGACTCTTAATCTCTAAACTATACTGTCACTGAGCACTACGGGTCACATGGGTCACTCACTCACTACCCAGAGTTTTGACTTGGTTTTGCCTCAAGCGCAGCACAGTACTCCTCAAATTTTAATGCATTTACAAATTACAATGTAAACATATAGATCTTCCAAATCAAGTTTTATGGGTAATATAAGGGATTTCAAGGGCAATTTTTGCCTTAGTAGATAACTTTAGAGTTTAACCCTTTAGAAGTAATCTCGCTGTAACTTCCAAAATTCCAGACAGCCTGTAAAGCAAAGACAATGTAAGTAGAAGCCAGCCATCCCTAACAGGGTGCTTGGATATGCTAATTACAGATAACTTAGGAATTCATTCGGGCTCAGACTTTTTTAGGCAACGCTAGTCTGCTTGCTATATTGCAGTTAATGTACAAAATTTGAGATATAAGATAAACACTTAGAAATATATTTGTATTATCCATTTGCCCCTTTCCTCTTTCCCTTAACTTCTTCCCATTTATTCATTTTTCATTCACCACTATGTCAGATTTGTGGACAAAACAAAGCAAAACAACAAATCCAAACATGGCCTTATCCATGTGCAGCTTATGCACTTTAAATGAGTAAGGAGCTTTCACTTTCTCAGCATTCATTTAGCTCATAGAAACATGTCAAGTATTAATCAATGGGACCGAATCGTTTCCTTAAAATTATTTAAAACTGTAAGATGAATAGAAGTATGTCTTGATGTTTATATTTTAGAACTCAGATAAAATTCTGGTACAAGGTGAGGATTATGAGAATCTAGTTTGAAATTGATAAATGCAGTTGTCATCATGATATTTTCCTTTTATGGCTAGATAATAGAAATAATGTGTTTAGCTCTAAAAATTTCCATCTGTTGTCAAGCTGAGGGATCAATTGCAGTTGTCTATATTCTATTTTTATACTCTCACATTTTAAATCTTCTGAAAAAGTATTCATGGATTTTTAACGTCTAAATGTTCCAATGATACAAATAGAATTAGACAGTGGTTTGATAACCAATTGCTATTGTGTCCAAAGGAAAACTTCTAAACCATTAGCAACACCAGAATATTACTAAATGAATTCTTTTTTTTTCTTTTAGACTTTTATTTTAGGTTCAGGGGTACACATATAGGTTTATTATGTAGGTAAATTCATGTCACAGAGGTTTGTTTTACAGATTATTTCATTACTCAGGTATCAAGCCCAATAGCCAACAGTTACCTTTTCTGCTCCTTTCCCTCCTCCCACCCTCCATGCTCAAGACCCCAGTTCTGTTGTTTCCTTCAGTGTGTCCATGTGTTCTCATTTTTTTTGCTTGTTTTTTTTAAATTTTATTATTATTATACTTTAAGTTTTAGGGTACGTGTGCACAACGTGCAGGTTTGTTACATATGTATACATGTGCCATGTTAGTGTGCTGCACCCATTAACTCGTCATTTAGCATTAGATATATCTCCTAATGCTATCCCTCCCGCCTCCCCCGACCCCACAACAGTCCCCGGTGTGTGATGTTCCCCTTCCTGTGTCCATGTGTTCTTATTGTTAAAATGAATTCTTAAGTAGGGATTTCAGACCAAGAGGATAAAGAAGTGCAACAGAAATCTATCTCATTCTGAAAATAACACATTTATAATCCCTTCAATGCAATAAGGTAATGCCCTCCTGAGAATATCTCATCTGATGGAGATAATGATGTTACCAAGTTGCAGGAAGATATCTTAATTTAATTTATTTTAAATTTTAAAATGAATTTGGATTTTGTATATCTAGGAAAATGAATGAATGACTCATTGTTTTCATAGAGATAAAAGAAAAATTCCTCAAAATCACCAATAAGCCTATGAACAAATATAATTATATATGCTTGCCATAGAATGTACTCAGACTTATAAAAAATAAGTTACAATTTTAAATAACTATTTTGTCAAAATAGACTTCTTTCCCAAAAAACTTAAGTGAGGTAAGCATTCAACAGTGATTTTAAACACATACATGACATCAAAGCTTACTAATTTAATTTGAATGGTTCTTTCACTAAAATATTCAATAACATATGTAATCTGATGGGTTTTTTTTCAGAGCTCTCTTCAAAAGGTGAAGACACAAAGCAAAAGTAGTTTTGTTTATTCCTCTTTAAAGAATGATTTTTTGCATTTAATAAACATGAACATTTACAGTTCACAGAAGGTTGTTTCATTTTTCTTTTTGCTATCAATTCCCTCAGGATTTGTGTAAATTCTTTCCAAATTTAGTAATGGAATGTCTCAGAAAGTAAAAATTTAGAAAGGCAATATTAATATTGATAAAAGAGATGAAAGTAAAAACAAACATAGATATGGAAAATTTGAAGGTGAGTATAAGAAAGAATAAGTAGGTGAGAAGTAAAATCAGACTAGTAGTAAAATGCAGATGTTCTTTAATTTACATAAATGTTAATTTTCTGAATTAAGAAAGAAGTAAAAAAATAGTATAGTAATTTCAAGCCTCAAATTTAAAGACGTCAACCTGGAGTTGATGAAAGGTTAGATAGTAGTACCCTTGACATATAATTATACTATAACTCAGCTCTAAATCACATTGCAAAGAGGAAGATTCATAGAGAATTGGAAAGCTGCACATTTGAAGTCTCAAGTTCTTTCATTACATGGAAGAAACATCTATAGTCATTGAGAGGAGTGAATCCCAAAGGGCTAGAGAACTACTAAAAAAGAAAAATGACTTGTCAGATGATAATTAAAATTACCTGCAGGTTTAGTATTGTTGGTGTACTACAATCCCAAGCATGCCACAGAGACAGCTGGTAAAACACTTCTTTCCTTACAAAATCTATTTTTCCATCAGATTACTTGTAATATTTTCCATGGAACTATATTTTCAACTTTATATTGAAAATGAATAGGTGAATGACATTGTCTTTATTTTTTTTAATGCCTTGAAAGTCAATTTTATGACATATATTTCTTCAGTAAACCAAAGAGAGAGGGGAAGAAAAAAATTCACACATGGATATAAATAATAAGGGAAGAAAACCTAACAAGTATTGAGATGAAGGAAAATTGAAAGGAAAAAACATAAATGCTGCAATTTTATCTCCACTTTTTCTCCTGATAGATGTTGAATACAACAATTAACCTGGCACTAACCTCTACCCACACTTCCCATTGACTCAGTGGGAGCTCTTCACAAAGCTACAATTATGAGCTGCACATAACACAAAATTGTTAACCTGCTCATTTACCATCTCTCTTATTCCCTAAATATTTTATCTCATTTATTAATGTGAAAGTTCCACTGACATCAAATGTAGATACTCTGTTTCAAGAATTATATCATGTGCATACATCCCACATGATAATGGTAGATAAATCCCATGTGTATGTTTAATATTTGTCTTACACACATCTTTGTCTTATATTTCCAGTAGTCTGAATCAAAATGCCAGTGATTATGTACTAAAACATTATGATGCTAAAAATCTATGGGGCAATGTAATCCACATAAAGACCTGAGGGAAGGGGGAAGAACTTCTTCCCATGTGATAATATTCTGTCATTTCTATAGGCTCCATGATATTTACATTTTCTTTAGGCTTTGTCTCTTATTGTAAAATTGGGATTAATGGTAATTATAACAGAACTGACATAAATGACGCAGTGTATGCACCACCATTTAAATCTCCATAGCCATTCTCTCTCTTCATCTAGTTCATTGTTCTCAAAACATTTCAACTAAATGAATACATCATCATTTCAGAACTCATCTTGAAATAAATAGGTATCCTTAATAATTCCCCCAAAGCTTCCCAGAATGAACCTCTCATCACTGATGTAGTATCAATATTTTTTTATATCCTATTCCGTCAAAATCTCTCATGCTTTTTTTCATTATTTCATTGTTGTTCTTTATTTACAAGTCTGTTAATACTTAAGCCATCTTGAGACTTAATTATTACCATGTTTTTATACTACCTGGGATCAGATAAGCTACTATAATTAAAGGGTATTCACAAAAGAATACAGTTATACAGTTATTTGGGGGTATATAAAGGGACACTTTAGGAAAGGTGTGGGATGTTAAGAAAACGTGGGTCTTCAGAATTTTACACTTAGGCCACTGCATACTTTCCTTTGTATACCATTGATTTTTCTACAGTCAGACTTATAAATCTTCAAAAAAGTAATGTTTTTTTCATTTCTGCCATAGCGAACATTGAAGAAAATTGTATGGAGGGCCATCCAGCCAATGAGTCAAGCTGTAGTGTGGTGTGAAGGCCTGTCTCCATGACCTGAGAATGAATCTCTTCTCTTCATATTAACATAGAATATCATTAGTTCATGTGGATAATTTTGTTTGACATTCTGTAATTATACCTTTTTAAAATTCATCATCATTTTTCTATAATAAGTTTTAATACACTGGCAAGAAGGACCTCCTGTCACCTTCCTGCTCAAAAAGCTTTAGACTGAATGAATCTTAAGCTCCTTAAGGTAACTCTCAGAGCCCCCTGTGGTATCTTTCTTTTCCCTTTTCTACCAGCTTCTTTCTACTTTTCACAGGTTTCCACTTTCCTTCATGTCTCCCATGTTCCAGACAAGTAGACTGTTTCAATAATAAAACACATACCATCATTTCCTGAGTGTACATTTAGACATTCTGTTTAGTTCAACTGAAATGTTTTTCAATCCTACCTCCACCTAAAAACTCTTCTGTTTTAAAAGATCCAGCATAAATACCACCATATTCATGAAGCTTTCCATGTTCCATGTAATACTGTGTTCATATCTCTTATATATGGTGGTGCTTACCATGTCCTACCCTGTTTTGCAGAGAATTGTGATAAATATTAAGTTCCTGTAGGGCAAGGGCCACATTTTATTTATTTTTTTCTTGTAAATCTCCATAGAACATAGTAGATAAAACATCTTGTACAAAGTGAGCAGTTAATAACTGTAGTTGAACTGATTTTCCATTGTAAAATGTATTTTAAATGGAGATTATTTGCTGGGCAGTATATTGTTCTCTTACTCATTCTTTTATTTATGTATTTATTTATATTTTGGGACAGGATCTTGCTCTATTGCCCAGGCTGGAGTGCAGTGGTGTGATCATGGCTCACTTCAGTCTTGACCTCCTGGGTTCAAGTGATCCTCCTGCCTCAAACCCCACCTGAAGGAGCTGGGACTACAGGCCGCACCACCATGCTGAGCTAATTTTTGTATTTTTTTTTTTTTTTGTAGAGTCGGGGATTCACCATGTTGTCCAGACTGTTCTTGAACTCCTGGGCTCAAACAATCCACCTGCTTTGGCCTCCCAAAGTGCTGGGATTACAGGCGTGAGCCACTGTGCTGGCCTTCTACTTCTTTTATTCACAAATATTTATTGGGTATCAGTAAAATGCCAAGCAATGAATATGCAGTGGCAAACAAACATTGTCCCTCTACTTGTGGAATTTACAATCTAGTGTAATAACACAGTGTAGTATAAAGGGCACTGGACTGGTTGAAACTTGGACTTCAGTCTCAGCCCTGTTCCTCACCAACTAGGAATAGTGGGGCAGTTGATATAATCTCTCTGGGTCTCATTTCATTTTCCACTGTTGGTTAAATTTGATACTCGTAATGAGTATCAAATTCCATTATGGCTCAAAAATGTTTTCATATTTTGTCTTGATTCTGGAGCAACATGTTCAGATGGATGCAACTTGTTCTATGATATATTTGTCAATATCAGGGCTGTCTTTCTTTCTTTTCTTTTCTTTTTTTTTTTTTTTTTGAGTTGCTTTCTCTCTGTGTGCACCAAAGACAGAATCAATGTATATGGGTGCATAGTAAGTAACATCAAATAGAAATAAAGAAGTAAAAATCAGCTTCAAATATTTTAGTAGGCCTAGAATCATGTACTAAACATTAATCATAAAACAATATAGAATTAGCAGTGTATTGCTTTAGAAAAATGATGGCCACATTGGAAAATCCTGAACAGGAAGTTTCCTGGAGTCATGAGGGTTTCCTCCATCCACGTTTACTCAGTCAGGCAGTCATGATGGGAAAGATCATCTGCTCCAAATCAGTTCAGTGCTCTATGGAGAAATTGAGGCCACTAAGCAATAGCCGAACTATAGAGTATTACGCATTACTTTGAAGACTATTAAAAGAAGTAATTCACAAAGCTACTCATAGAGTCCATATTTTGGCATTTAAGAGGATTGAGAATGGAAGAACCTATATGGCCAAGGCAGTATCCATCAACTCAGGTGAAGCAGATCCTTCAAAAACTGATTAAACCTGGACCTCGATCCACTTTTATTAACTCTCTCTCTCTCTCTCTCTCTCTATATATATACATTTTATTAACTCTCTCTATATATATAACTTCTATATATATAACATATATATACACATTATATGTATATAACTTATGTATATCACTTATATATACACATATATGTGTATATATGTAAGTTTTATATATATATACACACACACACACACACACACACACACACACACACACTTAAAAAAAGAAAAACAAAAAAAACCTCTATGCAATATTTATTTCAATACTCTGTACTCTTCTCAGACCTAGTTTGGTCTCAGTACATGGCTTTGTTTCTTATATCACTAAATCCAGGGTCTTTGTTCAGGTTGGCTCTTATTCTCTCAGCAGCGCTTGTGACACAGCGCCCATTTCTTTTGTATTCCCTTGCTGTGTATGTTATCAGTCTCTCTTAGTTTTCCTTCTACCTCTTGTTTCTCCTTTCCTGGATCCTTTTCCTTTATATGAACTTTAAATGTAGGATTTCATCAGGGTTTAGTGTGAGACACTCCCCATTCAGTAGTCTTTCTTTGTGTGGTTTCCTCCTCTCTAGTAATTTCAATTATAATTCAAATGGTTTCCAAGTTTATACCTCTAGTTCAGGACTTTTCTTAGCTACAGACTCATAGTTCATCAATTATGACATAACCATTTTGACATCTCAAAAGTGTCAAACTTTGATGTCAAACTTCATAAGTTGAAAACTAACTTTTCTTCCCAATTTTTCCTTCAATATTTCCTACCGCCATTTATCCATTCATTCATGTCAGAAGCCTAGGAGGCACTTTTTAATATTGTGTCTCCTTTACCACTTGCATACAATCTTACCAAAGGCCATGGGTGTTATCCTTCAAGCATTTCTGGGATCCATCCACTTCATTGAATTTCAATTCCATCTTTGTAGTCCAAACCACTGTACTTTCTTACCTGGATTGCTGAATAACCTCTTTAATGGTCACTTCTAATTTATACCTGCTCCCTGCACCCTGATCACTCTTCACATTGCATTCAGATATTAAAGAAAATACAAATCTCTTTATTTCACTTACTCTGCTATTTAAGACTACTCCCATAACTTCCCATTTCTCTTGGGATGAAATCCAAAATCCCTCATGTGGCTTTCAAGACCTGTTATTTTTACCTTAGCTTGGCAGACTCTCTGGTTCTGCTTCCTTAAGCCACATTGACCTTTCTCTCTGCTTTTTGAAAGGGCCAAGTGCTTTCATGCCTAAGGTACCCCATAGGGTACCTGATCTTGGAATGGTCTCTACAACCCTCACCTTTGCTTGGTTAACATCTAATACTCATTCTTCACATTATACCGTAAGTGTTACTGCTCTGGAGATATCCTTTCTGAATCCCAGATCGGTTTATGTACCAGTTACAGGCTTTCTCATTGCACGATGTACTTTCCTCAATTGCATTTATATTATTGAGGAATAATTCCTACAAATACCAATAATTCCAGTTGGGTATTGGTGGTTTTGAAAACCGCTCAATGTTTAGTGCTTAGCACAGCATGTGGCACTTAGTATCAACTAGACATGAAATTATAGAATAAATGAACCAATCTCTCTCTCTCTCTCTATTTCTCCTGAAGCAAATGTCTTTCATAACCACTCCAACATTTTTTCCTAAGCTTTAAAAAAGCACCAGTAAGATTTCTGGAGTCTTTAGAAGATGGTGCAGGAAGTAAGGAGTGTTGGAGGAAAGAAAGAAAGGAGCTTATGATGGTGGTCACTGTCCACCATGATTTCCTAAATATACACACCCACCCATTCTGCTCCTGGGAGGCCTTCACTTGTTTTCTCCAAAGACAATAAAAGCAAGCATTGTAGCTGCTACTGACTTATGTAAGGCATAATGTTTTCAGTTCGGTTATTGTTCTACATCCATCTTTTTTGTATTTTCTCTTTATTACATGATTATTTGTGATGATGTATGCCAGCAACTTATTTGCAGAATTCACAACTGACTTCAGTATAGAAGTTCAAGAATGAATGTTTTTGAATGCACATACATATACACACACACACCCCTAAAGGAGAAAACAAAAAGAAATTAAAATTAAAATACTATTAGTCTTCGGAGACAGAAGTTTATCATGATGTTTCCTACATAACTACAAATTTGACGATGATTGTAGTTGCAGTATAGAAGATTTTCATGATGGTTCCCATATAACTACAAACTCGACACTGATTGTAGTTGTAATAAAGATAAGGCCAGTAGAGAGCACTATATGCACTAGCTTTTAAAATAGTCTTTGCATTACTAACTACTAATAAAATTTAATGAAAGAATAGTATTTATTGTTTTAAGTTGTACTTAGCTTTTTGATTCAGTTAATAAATCAACATGTCATTTTATTTGAAAATGAAAGTACTTAAACATCTCTGTGTTTTCATTGTGTTCCTATACTATTTCATTTAATGGAAATAAAATGTTCAATAAAACAAATATCTAAAAGTGGCTCTACTGTACAGCATAATGACTACAGTTAGTAATCTATGTATTCTTGACATAAGAGAGTGGATGTAAAGTGTTCTCATCACTATAATAATAATATGATGAGTTAATACATATGTTAATTAGCTAGACATGTCATTCTGTGATGTATATACTTAAAAACATCATGTGGTACATGATAAATACATACTTTTTTTTCCTAGTTGGAGTCTTGGTCTGTCACCACCAGGCTGGAGTGCAGTGGCGCGATCTCGGCTCACTGCAACCTCCGACTCCCCTGTTCAAGCAATTCTCCTGCCTCAGCCTCCTGAGTAGCTGGGATTGCAGGTGTGCACCACCAGGCCCAGCTAATTTTTGTATTTTTAGTAGAGACGGGGTTTCACCATGTTGGCCAGGATGGTCTGTATCTCCTTACCTTGTGATCCGCCCGCCTTGGCCTCCCAAAATGCTGGGATTACAGGCGTGAGTCACTGCAAAAAGCGGTACTTTTAGGCTTTTAATTTTTATCTTCCTTCAGACATATATACCATTTGTTTCTTAGTAGAAAATTATTGTCATGATCTCTTGACTTACTGAATAGTCAGCTGGATAGTGCATGATACCACGTATTTCAAATGGAAAAATTGTCATCAGTCTATGGTGACTAGTTTTTTGCTTTTAATCACTTTAGGTTTTATAAATTCAATTAAATATGACATTTTTATAAATAAGTGGTAACAAATGGCATATGAAAGAATGCATGCAATGAAGCAGGAATAAATCCATCGCAGGTATTATAATCTGGAAGCACAAAATTGAAAATGGCCACATTAGCACTGGATTATTCAAAATGACAAGGTCATAATTGAGTGGAGTTCATGTTTATAAAGATGCTATAAACAAGACTGATTTTCATTCATAGCCCTGTTTGAGATAGCAAAAGCCTAGAAACAACCGGAGAGTACACCTATGACAGGCTATTTTAATGAAATGTTATGAAGTAGTTAAGAAGAATTATATAGATCTATATGTATTGATATGAAAATATCACTAAAATAAAATAAATAAATATGCAAAATATAGTGCACAGTAGAATTCTACTTGGAATTTTAAAAAGATATGTGCACATGTAATATATGTTATATATATTTCATACAATATATGGTATTAAATATACAAAAAAAATCCTTCTTAACATTGATGACTTGTGATTGAGTGGGTTTCTGCAGTACCTTTTGAATTGTTTGACATGTGCATTGTCTTATGTTTAAAATTCCAAAACAAAAACTCTTGTAAAGGAAAGAATATATAAGATATATAAAAGAGTTAATAGTTTGTTTGCTTATCTTACCTTGATAAAGATGGCAGAGATTTGCTTGCTGTCTCTACTTTTTGGGGATTTCTTTGATTTGAGGTCTAAATAAAAATATTCAGGTTGGTTTACCACAATTAATCTATGCAATATTCTGGGTGACAGGAGCCTTGAGATACTAACATAGAGTTAAAACCATCTTCAATTGCCTCGTTTGCTCCCATTCTAGTTAAATCCCTAAAAGACTACAATAAAGTCACAACTGGATTTATTATGTGAGTAAATGCTTAAAGCAATAAGCAAAATTAAGAAAACTTTAGAAGAGGAAACTTCTCAGAGATACTGCATTTCAGGAAGTGGATCTGCCTTGTGTAATGGCATAGACTCAGGAATGGTATAAGGAGATTACAGGGTCAGAAAGGCCCACCTGAGGGGCAAGAGTGTAAGAGTTCCTCCAGGACCAGAAAAGCCAGGAAACCACAGAAGTTGAGAGTAAGGAACTCAGTTTTAGAGGAGCATAATTTGATCCTCCTAATTAGTTTTGAGAAAAGGGCACTCTATGTTTTAGGCTGGGCCCAGAAAGATGATATTTAAATATAAACTAACTAAAATTATAGCATTTTTTGCTCCAAATTAGAGCATTGGAGGATAAAACTAAAGAGAGTTTGGAATTCTCTACTGAATGTGCTGTCCATGCTAATTGTGCATTTAGCTCTTAAACTTGCTAATTACTGACATGTATGTTTCCCAGCACACTTAGAGTAAATTCTGTTACTAGCCCCAATTACTGTTCAGTGTAAGAATGTGAAGAATTTGAAGATGGCCTGTTCATCTGTTTCTTCCTAATATCTTTCATTAATTCCATACTACCAAAATTAGAGATAAATTTTGCTGGTGGAAGGAGTAAGTTAAGCTATATTTAAAGGGATAGAAGTCAGATATTGAGGTGCTCCTCAAGAGAAAGCCATTTTAACCATGTTTTAAATAAAGCCAGCGTCCCAAACAAACAAGTCCTAGCTATCATTAATGTCCTTTCCAAGTATCAGGTGGCAGTGTTGTCCCTTCACCATGGTAAGATTCCCCAGCCACACTGAGACTCTATTATATTCATTTTGCCCCTCCTCTTTCTTTAGTTTTTTATGAAATTCCTTAGATTCCTTTTATTTTATAAAAATAAAAATGAAATAAAACACATACAGGAATGCAAAAAAAAAAAAAAAAAAGAAGAAGAAGAAGAAGAAGTTCCTGGTCTACTTAGCAATCCTCTGATTCAAAGTTGCAAAGAGTAGCTCTCTCTGCTCAAAGGTAAAACATTCTCCTATCTACATGCAAGAAAGTAAATATTTCTAAGTTTCTTCTGGAAGTCAACATAAATTGCTTCCAGAAAGTCATCACAATCCACACTTACCTTTTTTATTTCTGTATCCCTTTAACACATATAAATTTATAGTATTGTTTATTATTGATATATCATTTTGTAATTAATTTTATGCTTTTATTTTCCAATTGTTTTGTAAACTCCATAAAAATATGAATGTCTCCTACTTCTAACTCCATCTCTAGTCCTGTGTCCTAGTCAGTACATACACATCAAGTGCAGTGCAGATTTGTTATTTTAAAAAATGTTCTATTAAGTACAATGTGACTTTTTCCCTGACCACTCTAAAGTAACCTCTTTCCCTGCTGTATATTTCATCACAACATCCTATTTTATTGTCATCATATACTTTGTGGTATGCTGGTAAATGTTTAACAAGTGGCTCTCTAGAGGGAGAAAAAAAAATTGGAATAGAGTATTTACCAATCCCAATGGTTTAAATACTGCCACCATGGTCAATCAAAAGATACCAATGTGATATAACTGAAAGTGATGTTGAGACAAAATGCACATTATTGGGTCTCACATACAGTGTGAATAGGCTTCAACACATCAATGTTCATGATAATCAATATCTAAGATTATCTGATTGAATGGCTAATTTGTATTTTATCTGTCTCTCTTCATCAAAACTAAGTTCCAGGCACAGAATAGTGCCTAGCATATTGCAGGTGCTTAATTTGTTGGACAAAAGCGTAACTTTTTACTCACTGTTAAATATATTTAAAATGTTTAGATGACAATGGTAATAAACATGTTTTTTAAATTGTTAAAGTTTGTGAGTTCTAATAGTTTAGAAATATCATCTCCTGAGCAAATGTGAGAAGAGACTGCTTTACTTTTAAAAATTAGTTTGTTTAATATTTCTTGTATTTCTAGACATTCGCGAGAGATGTAAATATGAATTTGGGATGAATAAAGAAAAACAAAAAACTAAGCTTTGAATTTAAATTTCATTATTGAAAGATCAGTCATAACTTCTAACTGTGAAAACAGAGAAGTGTTATTTCTTTCGGAGAAAATAAAAAATAATAATAATTAGAATTTCCTTTTTTTTTTTTTTTTTGAGATAGTTTTGCTTTTTTTTTGCCCAGGCTGGAGTGCAATGGCGTGATCTCAGATCACCTCAACCTCTGCCTCCTGGGTTCAAGCCATTCTCCTGCCTCAGCCTCCCGAGTAGCTGGGATTACAGGCATGCACCACCATGCCTGGCTAATTTTGTATTTTTAGTAGAGACGGGGTTTCTCCATGTTGGTTAGGCTGGTCTCGAACTCCCGACCTCAGGTGATCCACCCGCCTTGGCCTCCCCAAGTGCTGGGGTTACAGGCATGAGCCACCGCGCCCACTCTTAGAATTTACTTTTAATATTTTAATTTCATCCGAAATATTTTAACATCTAACTCTGAATTAGTAACTCTTCATTCTGAAGTTAGTAATTTTTAATGCAGATGCTATGATACAAATATTTTTCTTAGCATAGATTGTATTCATACATTTTATTGTATGGTTGGCACAAAGAAATTAATGAAAGGTTCATTGTATTTCTGTTCATTAATTATATTACCTTCCACCACCTAACTCTCAATAGCTCTATTTAGGCTTGTTTTTTTTTTAATTATACTCCAAAATGAACTGCCGATTTTACCCAAATACACACTGTGCCTGCTTCCTCATCCCTGGCTTTTCTCTCCTGCTCCCTATAAGGCCATTCTCCCTATCCCTGTCTTTTGTAATTCTGACATTATTCTAGATCTAGTTTAGTCATCAATTTATTCATTCTTTGCACAATACTTAGTCACTAATTGCTCTCTTTCTTGTTTGTTTATTGACTTTCTCTTCCTTAGAGAATACAAGCCAAGTGAGAACAGGAAATTTTTCTTCTTCACTGCAATACCCCAATGCCTAGTACAGTGCTTGGCATATAGTCAGTATATTAAGTGTTTGTTGAATGAACAGACAAATAAGTAGTTATCAAAAAAAAAAGATAAACTAAATATAGTAAGATATTCTATGATGGTTTTAAAAAATAAACATTTAAATTTCAAAGTATTGGTTGGCACTTCATCTTAATCTAGTGCTGTTTTGACAAAGCTGTATGAATTAAGAAAGATAACATGTTATCTTGAATCAGTCAAAAACAATTTCTAACACCCAGGCTGAAAGAACTCCAGTTTGAAGGTGCTATTTTCTCATATGAAACTGTGCTCATTATACTTCATTTATAATCTAACTAAACACATTTCCTTGGTATGCTAATGCTCTATGCAAACCTTCTCTAGATTTTGTCATATAATTTTTAAAAATTCAATTAAGTGAAACCGACCTTAACATAGCTTTGAATGATTTTGTTAAGAACAGATTTTATATATCAAATAGGCAGTTGTTTAAATATTAACCTATATGTATATATAATGGAACCAGTATCATAGTTCTTTTGTCCTTTGACCTAACTTCCCTTCATCCATTCCTCTCTCTATGTCTCAAGCCAACACACACACAAAATAAAAGAGAGAGAGAAAAGACATGTGTGTGTGTATATATACATATAATATATCATATATATGTATTAAATATATTTCACATGTATTAAATACATTAATATTATATTAAAATATATTTATAATATATATTTATATCTCTTAAAAATATATATCTTAATAGATATATATTTATATATCTCTTAAAAGATTTTATAACCATATATATACTTATCTGGAATTCTGAAATAAAAGGCTGAAATCACTAAATCTTCAACAACATAGAATAAAGTGTGATGAGGCCCAGCGTGGTGGTTCATGCCTGTAATCCCAGCACTTTGGGAGGCTGAGGAGACGGATCACTTGAGGTCAGGAGTTCGAGGCCAGCCTGACCATAATGGTGAAGCCCCGCCTCCATAAAAAACACAAAAATTAGCTAGGCATGGTGGCGGGCGCCTGTAGGCCCAACTATTTGGGAGGCTGAGTCAGGAGAATCGCTTGAACCCCGCGGGCGAAGGTTGCAGTGAGCAGAAATCGCGCCACTGCACTGCAGCCTGTGCGACAGAGTGAGACTCCATCTCAAAAAAAAAAAAAAAAAAAAAAAAAGAACAAAGTGTGATGTTTCTTAGTGGAAAGCACAGGAGATTGTGAAGCCAGGTGCTACTATTCTTAAGCAAGTTGTGTAACCTCTGTGAGCTTCAGTTTACTTATCTTCAAAACGGCATAAAAATACCTACTTCTCTGGGCTGGAAAGAAAGGGAAAGAGAGACCAACTTAGCACCAAGTCTGGCACATATAAGTGCTCAATAAGTATTTATTGAATTAGTTAACTCCATGAAAATATAGTTACCATTAAACTAAATTTCTACATATCATTTAATGAAAGAGTGTAGTGATTTTGTAACCAAATAGCTAAGATAAAAGCATAATTACAAATATTTTAACAATTCTCAGGTAAATACACAGCAAAGCAACTGGCATGTGACTAGATCAAGTATATCCCTGCATGTCTCAAAACGAAATTCACAAATATTATTGGAGAGATAGTATTTATTCATAAAAACAAATTCTAATGGATAATGAATTTTTATTAATTTTCTACACCTGTGTAGACATAAGCTAAAGGGAATGAACTTTCCACTACTAAAAATAATAACAGATGAATTTATGGTGATTTATGCTTCCTTTTAATTTCTCTTTTAATCTTGATTTAAAAACAACAACAACCCTACAGAGTCAACACAGAGAAAGAATGACAGAGCAAATTTCAAATAGGAAGCTCAAGGCAGAAGTCCAGAAATATGCTATGAAATGTTTAGTCCTGAGGATGCATTAGGAAACAAAAAGACAAAGAAAACTCTACCTTCACTGACACCACAATCAGGGATTTGTGTTGGAATGGGTACAATTTATGACTTTTGGGCTGATGAATCAAGCTGCTTAAATACATATTCCCTAATAAAGGATGTTGTAAAATAACTACATTAGAAGTCAAGGGATTTGTATGTTCTTTTATCCTCAGTTACCGAGTGAGGTTTAATAACTTTGTGCAAAAGCTTGTAACACACTCTGGTATCATTGCGCTCATCTCAACTTCTTTCTGTTGCTTAATTCAGGGCATGTGAATAACGGTAAAAAACCAAAGTTGTTTTTGCAACCTCTGGCCACCGAGGGCACTTCCTTTTAATAGTGCTTAGAGTACTGCACAGAAGCTTATGGTTTGCTCACTGTCTCCCAAGCAAGACTGGGCAGAAAGGGGGCCATCTCATTAATCTTTGCATGGTTAGCACCTAGCACAGAGCTTACCACACGGTTCCAGGGGATGTATGCTTGTATAAATAAATTTGTATATTCTTTACTGTTTTCAAAGCACAGTCACATGTATGACTCCATTAGACCCTCATAAAACTCTGTGAGATTGCAAGGTAGAATTAGTTTCCTCATATGACAGATCTCTGTGACATTGAATGATATTATTTCCATTGTATGACAGAGGAGGAAACAGGATCAGTGAGAGATTGTGTGACTTCCGAAGAGTACATGACTAAGACTCAAATGTCAAGATCAGCATTCTTTCTTAAATACTAAATAAAAATAAACATATCGAACTACTATTTTAGGTTTGTTCTTAGGGTCTGTTAAGTCTATATATGGCCAATCATCTTTGGCTTTCCCACATTGGTGAAATGTTGTTTTTTAAAATTCAATTGTAGACTATAAAATGAAAAAGACCTTCAGAAATCCTATCTGTAATCAGAAGAAAATGGCATCAATTATATGCAAATATTTTGCTATAAAACAGTATCTGCCTTTTAGAGTTTATTGTTAGCCCAAACAATTCAGCTCTGTCACAGGAAACAAGATGGAGGCAGCTTTGTCATTTCCAATCCTGCACCCACAGTCACCCCTATTCAGCTTATAGAAGGTTTCTTTATGTTTCTTGATTTCGTAGTCAGGAAATGAATCCCTACTATGACAAGATAGTGAAAGTAGCCTTTTTATTGGGGCGAAGAGGTCACAGCCAGTATTTGAAGGCTCTCGTAATTTAATCCTGATCAACTGACTCTAAAGTCAGGTTTTTAATAACACCATCTCCCACTAGATTACAGGCTACAGGAAGTCGGAGACTAAATTGAACTCCTAAATCAAGGCGTGGCACAAGGCAATGTAACTCTTCTATCTCAATTCCTGGCATATATGTTAATCAATCGATAAGTGGCATCTCTGAACCACTGGTTAGAAATCAACATGAAAAGTGCTAGGTACATATTTTTCAAACGTAGTCATAGACAACCAAAATCAGTTTGGACATTAAGAGCAAAGTTTTTGTTGCTGGGTGGGTGAGGGGGAGTGGGGCATGTTTACAGGATGTGGTATGTAAAAAATTCGGAGAAAATCTGAACACTGTACTTGTTTCTAAGCTACATTTACTGAATTGGTAATGTATTAACAGTGGCTTGAAAAAGAAAAACTTAGCGATAGAAACTTACCTACACGTTTTTTATTTTGAAGCACTTTTAAGAGGTTTGCCTTTTTTTTTTTTTTTCTCCAGGCAATATACTCAGGTCCTAAATGAACATCTACTGATGGAACGCTGGCCTTTAGTCAGTTATCTTTATATGCCGTTATAGGTCAACATTCCGAAAAACTTCAACAGAAATTAACTGCAAATGTAATTACATCCCAAACATTTCTGATAATGGAAGCATTTTCTCTCTAAAGGGGATGGGATTATTGGATTGGCAATTTCTCTTAATCTGAGAAAACTCATCTCCCACTCCCTTCCCCATATCCCCTTTCCATCCTCTCTCTTCCCCTTATACACACACGCACCCGCATGCACACACGTATATTCTGACCATTTTATTAGAGTGGAAAGTTGAAAGGAAGCAACCCGCCAGCTACACCCACCCAGCGCTCCTGGGGGTGGAATAGCAAAGTTCTAGGGCAGAGCCTTCCCTCCCAGAGCCCGGCGATGCAGTCGCTCTCGGATACCTGCTCAGCTCCGCACCGCAACTGAAGATCTGCCGCCGCGGAACAGTTGCGTCTCCATCTGGCTACCAACCCACCCAAGCTTTCTTCTCCACCACCACCACCTTCCTTCCTTCCCCCTCCTCCCCCTCCTTTCCGTCTTCCCTCTCCACCCCCGCCCCCAATCTCCTCCTTTTTTTCTCACTACGAGCGGTTGCTGATGCTGAAGCCGAGCGTCACTTCGGCTCCCACGGCAGACATGGCGACATTGACAGTGGTCCAGCCGCTCACCCTGGACAGAGGTAAGGGAGCGGCTCGCTCGCCAGGCCACCGCGTCCCCTCTCCCCTCCTCCCTTCCCCGCCTGCCAATTCCCAACGGGACATGGGACGCGCTCAGGCAGGAGGAGAAGGGGAACGAGGACGAGCCAGGAAGGCGTTCGCGCCGAGAACAGAACACTTTCTTCCCCTTTCTCTCCCCGCTACGTTCCCGCTGCCCCTTCCCACTGTACTCGCCCCGCCGAGGGGACGCCTCCTTCTGGCTCTGGGGTCCCCGCTGCCACTCCCAGCCCCTCGCCGGGTCGTCTCCGGTCCTCTGGCTTTGTTGGAGCCGCTGCGCGGGGACGGCTATAGGCGCCAGGGGCTCGGGGTTGGAGAGGGGCAGAGAGCAAGCTCGCCCGGCCAGAGCCCAGAGGAGACCGGCGAGGGAGCCGCCTGTCAGCTTGCTTGGCGCAGGGGCCCGGGAGGAAGGAAGTTTGTCCAGGCGCCGGAGGGCGAGGGTCGGTCCAACTGCTGGAGTCCCGGCGGCCACTCGGGGGGCGGGCTGGGCGCACCCCTGGGCTGCCGGGCGCACAGTGGCGGGGCTGCAGCAGGCAGGGAGCTGCCCTCTGCCGAAAGGGCAAGGCAGAGCGCGGGGAGCCGAGCCCCAGCAGCCGAGATCGGCTCTCCGCGGCTTCGAGATCGAAAGCGGCGAGGGTCGCGTCTGCTCCCGCCGCCGGCAGCTCCCGGTCGATAGCAACTCTCGGCTTCTCCCGCGCCAGCCTCTCGTGTCCTCTCCCAGCTCGGTGCCACCGCGGCGCCCAGGCTGCGGAAGGCGCGGGGACAAAGCGCAGGTCGGGTTAAAATTCAACTTCTGACCTGCCACCCAGTGAGTCCTGCTCTCTGACTTGAACGGGGAAAGTGTTCGCTTCCTCCCCAGGACGCCCTCACAAGCTCAGGGATGGAGTCCTCCGCTGCGATCGGGGCCTCACTGGTGCACCCCTGTGGGGTTATACCTGTCCCTGAGTGTGTGGGTTTCCTTCCTGGCTCCAGCGTCCAGTGATGAAGGCGCTCGAGTCCTACGGCTCTGCAGAGGAGGACACCCTCTAGTCCCTCTCCGCAGCCGCCGGATTTAGGACCCTGGGCGGCCATTTGGAAATGGTGTACTCAGAAGAAAATGATTTAGTCCGATGTACCTCTAAAAATTTTCTTTCTAGAGGATTAAACTGAACGATGGGCAAGGCAAAAGAACATCCTGCTGAGAGTACAGTAACAAAGCCAGTGAACTCAGTTTGAGGTTTTTAATTTGGAGAGACTGTGGGTGACTTTAACGCAATCTGTTGGCGCCAGAACAGATGTTCTGTGGTGCCCATAGCAACCTTTCTTAGGGTAAGAGTTGAAAAATAAAATGTAATTGATTTTATATTAGAAAATGTTGATTTGTAAGCTGGCAAAATTAATAACAGTAGTTAAAGACCTCAGAAATCCATTGTATAATCCATGATTTTACCCACAATATCATCATCTGCACTAAGCAGGATAAATCCATTGCCGGTAAGAACCAAACAGATGGCAAGCTATCAGAAACTATGAGCTTCCCAAGTATTTATGTTTTAATGTAATGAGCTCTTATATTGTCCCATTACAAAATCACAGTCGTTAAACATCCCAAATCAAGTGACTATGTTAGGAGCAAAAACTCCAAGAAGATTGCATACCTGGGTCATTTTATATACTACCACTACTACTAATAATACAAATATTTCAATGTTGGGTTTTACCTTAGCCCTTAGATGCCTCAGTCGGTTGATGAGAGGAGGTGCTAATCGGACTAAGATTTATTTTTAAAGTTTGCTCTTGTTCACAGCCAAACTCTACTTGTCCTTCTGAGTGTAATTACGTACATGCAGTAGCTCAGGAGACAAGCAGGTTTACCCTGTGGATGAGTCTGAAAAAATTCATCAGCAGCTCATGGAAAATCTATAACCAAGAGATGATGGGTTATTGGCATCACCACTGAGCATAAAGTCAATATATATAAATATTGTTCTCCGTATCTTATTCAAATATGATTAATTACTTTCATTATTAAACTGATGAAGGAAAAGGTTCTAAAAATTTCCCTTCAAAAAAGGTGCATTTTTAAAGAGGCAACCCAGTATTACATATCTGGGTCCTAGCTGCAACTCTGATACTCACTCTGCATACATCAGCCTCTCTGGACATCAGATTCTCTCTGTGCCACATCAGGAGTTTGAATTAGATGATTCTAACACTGTGCAGCTTTAGCAGTCTATAATTCAATTAATTAGAGTTAGGACTCAGTTTTTGGTCACCTACTGGGAGATTTTCCAGATCACCTCTCTCCCAGGCTGCTTTGGTACCCTTTGATGCGCTCTAAATTGACTTGCTGCTTTGGCCCCATTAAAGCATTTATCACACTCTGTTGCATTTGTCTATCCCTATTGGATAGAACTCCGTGAGGGAAGAGACCATTTCTAAATTCATCTTTGAATTCTCAGTGTCTGCTATAGTCCCTGACTCACAGTACAATAAAAAAATAATGTTAAGTTGGTGTAAGTAAACTCAGGATAGCAGTAACTTAAGCAATGTTAAAATATAGTGATTTCCTAGTGAACTGAGGTGCATTTCATAGATTCACAGTATTTTAACCATGGAAAGGATGATAGTGATAACATAGGCCAGAGATTCTCAACCTAGCTTTCCCCTATACACTTGATGGATTGCCGTCAGTAACAATAGCTCACTAAAACTGTGATGTTTAACCAAGAGGAATTGTGGCAGGTGGGCAAAGGAGAGGAAGGGAAGAAGGTGCTTGACAAAGCCTCCCAAGGGCATCCCAGCAAATCTGAATATATAATCCACAATTTTAGAGCTGCTAGTTCTTTTTTGGTATCTTCATTTTACAAATGAAAAAGCATGAAAATGTGATGATAAGAGATATTTTCAAGTTGCTCTACTATTTAGTGGAGATTTTTATATTACAATTGAATTATTTTTGTTTGCTACCTTTTGACATCATACATGGATATAGTCTTCAGGGCAAATGTTTTAAGCAAACAAATCAAAGCTAGGGATCGAAATTAAGATTTACTGCTTTCCAAATTTGAAAGATATATCTGAAAGTAAGAAACTCAGAAGTCTGCACCTAGCTTCCTGGGTCTGCTCTGGGAAGTAAGCTTTTTCAAGGTCTAGGCTGGGCCCCAAAAGGATGAACAAGGTGATTACAGATTTTCATGGCCCTGTGCCTATCCAAAACTCTTTTTGATCTGCCATTAAGATCTGAGATCAACCCTGTAAAGGTCTCTGGGTGGCTATGGTCATTGTAAGTTCTTATTGACTTTGGTCCCAGTCCTTGATATCCTTCACTTAATGAGTACCTATCATAAGCCAGACCCTATTGTGGGATTGGTACACACTGGTGTGATAAAGAGACATAATTCTACTTTTTGTGGTAATTAGAACCTACTAGGAGAGGGAGATTAAAATACACACAGAGGCAAATATTAATTCATTCAATATTCATTTATCACCTTCTATATGCAAGATGCTGGAGGAATACCAGAAACAAAAGTTTCTGCTTTTGTGGTCCTTACGAGTCTAATGGGAGAGATGGATGATAAGTAAGGGCTTAATTAATTAATTTAACAAATAAATATTGTGCACCAGACTTACGCCAAACATTGTTTTATACACTGTGCCAGTGCTAATGGACAAAATAAATAAAATCTAATGGCATTTGCATGCTAATGAGAGTCACACAATGAACACACACATAAACAACTACAAGTGCCAAGGAGAAGAAATAAAACTGGGTAAAGGAGAGTGCTATAAATGGGGGCTGCTGTTTTAGATGTGTTAGTAAAGGAACACCCTCCTGAGTCAGTGACATTTGAGAAGAGTCCTGTAGAAAGTGAGGAGGCAAAGTTGCAGATACCTGGGGAAATGTCCTCAGGAGGGGGAACTCCTGTGCATACTGGGAACAGCCAGGAAGGTCAGTGTGAAAAAGTGAGAGAGGGAAGAATATGAAAAATGGGATGTGTAAAGTTGGTAGCCGGGGGTCAGATGATGTAACTCATAATTAGAATTTCAGATTAGTTGAAATTTGAAGTGCTCTGAAGAAAATAAACATGTGGTTGGAATAGAGAATAACAGAGAAGGGCCTGTTTGGTTAGCATTGGTCGAGGAAGGCTCACTGAGAAAGCAAAATTTAAACTACGTTTTGGTGTATTAGATTAATAAGATCTTTAGGAAAAGCATTCTGGAGAGAGTGAAGAGTATACATAAAAGCAGGTCCACAGTCACAACTTATCTGTCTTTCAGTTTTTACATTTATAACCAAGAAAATGATCAAAAACTGAAATTACCAAGAAATAATAACGCATTAATTATGCATCCTGGGGTAGAAATTTAATTATATATTAAGAAAATCTATAGATCAGCTTTTTGCTTCTTTGTATTACAAGGCTAAAACATCATATATTATAATTCGATTTTTAGAAATATACTGAGCACTGTAATTTACATGTCACTATGCATAAATCTACATGTTGAATCCAAGTGGTCATAAGAGGAGATATATTCAATTTTAGTCCAATATTTTATGTTAGACAGTGGTATAGAAAGTAGTACATGTCATTTACCCTTGTAACAAAGAGAAGATACTGATAAGGAGATTAGTGTGGAATTCTTCTCTTCCAGACCTTAAAATGTTCATAGCAACTCTTCTCTACATCAGAGGTTAGTTTGCTCAGATTTTAATCTTTAAAACCAGGAATGACCTTCAGCTAAACTCAAGGGAACAAAGAAGAATGCAATCCTTAATACTTAACACGTGGATATTAAAGAACATAGAAATGCTTCAGGAATTAAAGACCGCATGGATTTAGGGACTTTCTAAAGTATGGTAGCTCCAATTCTCCTTCACTTTTCATCTCAAGGTCAGAGAAGATAATACAAAATAACTCTTCAAATTTTACTTTTGCTTACTCTGTTCCCTTAATTTTTAAGCCAAATGGCTCTTGAATACTCATGGCTTATGAAGGAATAATACAAAACCAACTCTTGGAGAAAAATGAATAATTAAAACATTTCTAATACTTTCCTTATGACATGATTAGTAGCTTCCAATCTGCATTTAAATGCTTACATAAGATACAAGGTTGGTATTACTATCATCTAACTTTTCCGTGAGTTAAATTCATTTTGGACAAGTTGCAAAAATGAAAATGGAAATCTTTATTTCTTGGCTTCTAAAATAAGTCGTAATTTAAAATATTGATTAAACAAATCCTAGTGTGCTTTTCATTTAAGACAAATCAAACTTTTGTCCTTTAAAAAATCTGCTATAAAACCAAGAACTTTTATTTTGTGGATTTCAACCTTATGGAAAACAAGTATAAGAACAAAAATTGAATGCAAATAACTATCCCATGGGTGCCACACTTGTCATAGAATTTGTGATACATTACAATTTTTCTCTTTTCCCTTTTCACTTTTCAAGGCAGGCAGAGCTTATTACTTCATGCGTCTTCCGATTCAAGCCCTGGGAAGCCTATAGGTTTTCTAATCAGCTTTATTCACTGGTTTTTATAAAATCTGTATTTGCCAGAAAATTGCTTTTGCTTACACTCCAGAGGGGTTTGCCCCTTCTCTTGCTCCTAGTTTGTTTGTTTGTTTTAATTTGACACGGAGAAAGATTAAGGAAGAAGGAAAATAAAAATTAGGTTAGTCTTTATGTCGTTTTCAAGATGTATGCCCTGGTGTTTTGATCAGGGGTAGAAAAGAGGAGGGCTGACTATATTTTATGTCTCTTGTCCTAAATCCTTCCCATAGCAGCAGCCGCATGTGTTTTAGTGTACAAACAAGTAAGCGCTTGCTTGCTCTCTCATATTTTCTCTGGGCTCCAGCAAATATTAAAAAATTGAACTGAACTTTTTTATTTCTTTGTAAATCAATGAGTGTTTCCTTTCACACTATATAGTTACAAAACACTCCAGGAGTTTTCCATTTTTTTTTTTTTTTTCTTTTTGACAGAGTCTTGCCCTGTTGCCCAGGCAGGAGTGTGGTGGTGTGATCTCGGCTCACTGCAACCTCAGCCTTTTGGGTTTAAGCGATTCTCTGGCCTCAGCCTCCCGAGGAGGCAACAGGCAACACCACCAGGCCCAGCTGATGTTTTTGTATTTTTTAATAGAGACGGGTTTTTGCCATGTTGGCCAGGCTGGTCTGGAACTCCTGACCTCAGGTGATGCGCGTGCCTCAGCCTCCCAAAGTGCTGGAATGACAAGCAAGAGCCACTGCACCCAGCCTGTTTTTTATTTGATAATTAAAAGTTACAAAGAGAATGACTCAAATCTCTAAAGCATTTTGGTTACAAAAATAAGAAATTTGGTGAATCCTTTCTAGTTTGGTGTGTCATTCATCCGAGCCCTGAAATGTATTTGGTGTGCTCCTGTCAGTTATGAAATTAATGCTCTTGCTTATGAGTGTTGTTTTTCAGGGATCACAACTAAGGCCTAGCTCTTAAGTAGAGGAAAGAAAACATCTAGGGAGTACTATCAAACAGGAAGGTGTCCTGGGTATTAGAGATGGTGTTATATGCACAATGCCAGTATCTCTTTGAGTTCTTTTCTTAAAGTCATGACATTTGCCTGTTAGGATATACTTTCCATCAGGTCAGAGACCATGTCGGGTTTGTTTATGTAGAACCCAGCACATTGTGTGGCACATAGTTGGCACGCTCTTTGTATTTGTTGATTGAATGAGTGAATGAATGAATAAAATTGGCTTAGCAAGACTTAGCTGTCATGGATTATTCTTAATGCAACAAAACAAAACAAAACAAAAGCCTTCTAACCTAAAATAATGAAAAGTAGTGGCTACCTTAGGATGTCACTTTGCCTCTCTGTGTATGTAGCTGGCTCCTACAAGTGTAGTGCTCTCAAGGGCCAAGAAAGAATGTGAGGTGTTGGTTTTGATAGTCATAGCCCTGTTTCAGTTGTCTGCATTTACCCTGCTGTTTTAACTTATGAATTGAATCGCACGAGCTAATGTCAGAATACAACTGAAAAGGTTTTTTAAATGGGTGGAGTTGCTATAGAATTGCCCCCCTCCACACACATATATATAAGCTACGCTTTTCAATTTTTTTAACCATAAATACATGAATGACAGAACTATGTCCTAATAAACAAATTAAAATGGATTTAACTTGAACTCACTCTGCACTACCAAATGTGAACTTAACCTTAAAAATTGTGTTAATTTCATCCATGCCTTAGTTCTGGTTTATTCAATTGAGATCTTTAAAAAAAAAGATTGAATTTTGCTAAGTAATATACTAACTGAATTCAAACACTTGTCCAATAAAAATAAATATGCCTGAAAACCACTTGAAAAAAATCATGAGGGATTGAAACTTATTTTGTAGTTATATTCAAGTATCTACCTATCTTGGACATAAAGCTAGGGTGTCTAATTTCCATTGATGGTAATTTTCCTTAGAAACAATATAGCTAGTCCAAGTCTAACTGTTTGTGCAACTTTTGTTTACTTGCCCAGTGTGGAGATAGTTATATTTCAATATAACATCTTTTGTTTTTAAATTAATCAAAGGATTACCTTTAACTAAAAAAAGATAGAATAATGGGAGTCACAACATGGCTATAAGATTTAAACCCACAAGATAGATGGAGAAACATAGCATGAAATCACAG
Source organism: Homo sapiens (assembly GCF_000001405.40). Lineage (NCBI taxonomy): Eukaryota > Metazoa > Chordata > Mammalia > Primates > Hominidae > Homo > Homo sapiens. Next base: position 80,929,951 of record NC_000012.12, on the reverse strand, counting down.
CTGGGTCTATTTAACAATAATGAAGAAAAAATTGGGGAATATAGTTGAGGGACTGCTGAAAGTGATTTTTGAGGAAAATTGGAGAAGAGCAGTAATTGCTGATGGACAAATAACCTGGCTTCCAAAAAGATGACAAAGGTGTTTTGGGAAACTATAGGGCAATCTATTTGTTGCCTCTTGGCCCATATATATATTTTAAAATATATATAAAATGTGTGTGTGTGTGTACATATATATATTTAAAAGAATGAGATATTGGCACTTAGAAAAGAAAGTGGTGATCCCAGAGGCTACGTGGAAAATCACTAAGAGTAGACATTGCAGAAGTTCAGACATATGTCATAGTCTCATTATATATTCATGACCCCACAACTCTCACAGACACCTTGTGGAAAATGTGGAAATACATAAAGTGGATGATTGCATTGTTGGATTTCTAGTAGAAACACTTCTCCAAGGAAGTTTGGTTCATGGTCTTGTTTGGCACTGTTACCAATATTTTGAATGAGCACCATAGAATATATTTTAACAAACTTTACAGGTGACTAAGCTAGGAGGAATAACAAATAATTTGGCCAACCCTACCAATATTCTAAAATTATTCCTAGCTTGAATGGCAGGTTACAATAAAAGAGATAAAATTTAGAGGAAATGAATGTAGCCTTCATTTATTAGATTGAATCAAATTAGAATGCTGATTGCATATTGATTGTACTGGTGTCTGACTGGAATAATCTGGTTTAAGAGTATTTTATTTGGAAAAGATTGAGGACTTTATTTATTAGGTTGGTGCAAAAGTAATTGAGGTTTTTGCCATTGAAGGTAATATCAAAGACTGCAATTACTTTTGCACCAACATAATAATAAATTCATCATGAGCAGTGTGATTAAATTATCAAAATATTATAAAAACTCTCTGGAAAATTAAATATAAAACTAGTTAATATTAATAATGTAGAAAAACACTAATACAGCATACCCTAGCAGGGATTATTTAAAAGATATTAGAATAACTGTATTGGTATATTAATCATGTTAATAATAAGTTTTAAAACATGATGAAAATTAAACTCAATACAATACAAAAATTAACTCAAGATGGATTAAAGACTTAAATGTAAGACCTAAAATCATAAAAAACCCTAGAAGAAAACCTAGGCAATACCATTCAGGGCATAGGCATGGGCAAAGACTTCATGACTAAAACACCAAAAGCAAATGGCAACAAAAGCCAAAATAGACAAATGGGATCTACTTAAACTAAAGAGCTCCTGAACAGCAAAAGAAACTATCATCAGAGAGAACAGGCAACCTACAGAATGGGAGAAAATTTTTGCAATCTACCCATCTGACAAAAGACTAATATCCAGAATCTACAAAGAAACAAATTTACAAGAAAAAAACAAACAACCCCATCAAAAAATGGGAAAAAGATATGAACAGACATTCCTCAAAAGAAGACATTTATGCAGCCAACAGACACGTGAATGTCATCACTGGTCATCAGAGAAATGCAAATCAAATCCACAATGGGATGCCATCTCACACCAGTTAGAATGGCGATCATTAAAAAGTCAGGAAACAGATGCTGGAGAGGATGTGGAGAAATAGGAACACTTTTACACTCTTGGTGGGAGTGTAAATTGGTTCAACCATTGTGGAAGACAGTGTGGCGATCCCTCAAGGATCTAGAACTAGAAATGCTATTTGACCCAGCGATCCCATTACTGAGTATATATCCAAAGGATTATAAATCATGCTACTATAAAGACACATGCACATGTATGTTTATTGCAGCACTATTCACAACAGCAAAGACTTGGAACCAACCCAAATGTCCATCAATGATAGACTGGATTAAGAAAATGTGGCACATATACACCATGGAATACTATGCAGCCATAAAAAAGGATGAGTTGATGTCCTTTGCAGGGACATGGATGAAGCTGGAAACCATCATTCTCAGCAAACTATCACAAGGACAGAAAACCAAACACCGCATATTCTCACTCATAGATGGGAATTGAACAATGAGAACACATGGACACAGGGTGGGGAACATCACACAGCCAGGCCTGTGGGGAGGTGGGGGGATGGGGAGGGATAGCTTGAGGAGAAATACCTAATGTAAATGACGAGTTGACGGGTGCAGCAAACCAACGTGGCACATGTATACCTATGTAACAAACCTGCACATTGTGCACATGTACCCTAGAACTTAAAGTATAATTTTAAAAAAATGATGAAAAACAAATTCACAGTTAGCAGTTTTTCTCAACTGAGACACCATTGGTAGTTAGGGCGCTAAGTTTATTTGTCATATAAGAGGTTTGGTATCCTTAGTTCCCAGGAGCTAAATGCCAGCTTGAATCACACTGTGTTAACTGAAAATACCCAATGAATTTCCACATTCCCTTTTTAAAGGCAGTTCTATCCCATCTAGTTGAGAACCATCAGTGTCCAAAAAAGTAGGATAGTTCAACCTTAGAAAATAATTTACTGTGGCCGGGCGTGGTGGCTCACGCCTGCAATCCCAGCACTTTGGGAGGCCAAGGCGGGCAGATCACGAGGTCAGGAGCTCCAGACCACGGTGAAACCCCGTCTCTGCTAAAAATACAAAAAATTAGCTGGGCGCGGTGGCGGGCGCCTGTAGTCCCAGCTACTCGGGAGGCTGAGGCAGGTGAATCGCCTGAAGCCGGAAGGCGGAGCTTGCAATGAGCCGAGATCACGCCACTGCACTCCAGCCTGGGCGACGGAGCGAGACTCCGTCTCAAAAAAAAAAAAAAAAAAAAAAAAGAAAAAGAAAAGAAAATAGTTTACTGTAACTCTTTACACTAACAGATTAAAGGAGAAAAACCATATCATTTTAGTATATATTGATAAAGGCATGTGATGAAAGATAACATTAATATCTGATTAAAAAACAACTTTTAGTAATCTCTAAGTAGAGGACTTCCTTAACTTGACAAACACTAGGCATGAAATGCCGCCAATGTCAATTTTTTTTTTTTTTTTTTTTTTTTTGAGATGGAGTCTCGCACTGTCTCCCAGGCTGGAGTGCTGTGGTGCGATCTCGGCTTACTGTAAGCTCCGCCTCCCGGGTTCACCCATTCTCCTGCCTCAGCCTCCCGAATAGGTGGGACTATAGGCTCCCACCACCATGCCCGGCTAATTTCTTGTATTTTTAGTAGAGACGGGGTTTCACCGTGTTAGCCACCAAAGTCTTGATCTCCTGACCTCATGATCCACCTGCCTCGGCCTCCCAAAGTGCTGGGATTGTCAAATATTATATTTAGAGGTGAGAGAGTGAACATTTCTGTTCACATCACATCAAACAAAGCACAAAAATGGTTTAACCAATGTTATAAAACAATAAATAACAAAATATTAAATAGAAACTGTCAAAGTAATTATTTCCAGATTGATTGTCAACTACAAAGCTGTTAGATAATATTAGTGAATTTGCTAAGGTAATACAACCTTTCATATGCACAAATCAATGATCCTATTTCTAAATAGAGTCCAAAAAAAATCAATCCCTTATATTCAAATAATAAGTTAAAAATTGATGGAAAAGTAATTTATAATAAAGAAGGAATTTTAAAAATAGGAATGAAAATAGGAACAAAAAAAGCTAAAATTATATTTTTGAATGCCTTCTGTATGTCATGTTTACTCTATATTTAGGGAGGGAGATACAGAAATAAACAAGATAGATTCTCTGTTAGTGACTGTGCTTATGTTCTAGTTAAGTCAACAGATAAAATATTTAAATAAGTAAACAAATAGTATGATTCCAGAGAGCAAAGTGCAGAGAAGAAAAGTTAACAGTGGAATACAACTGAAAGCTACACCATGAGATTCTGGAAGGGCTCTCCAAGGAGGTGACATTACAGCAGAAACAACCATGCAACGATCTGGAAGAACACTTTGAGAAGAGGAAAGAGCTAGTGCAATGATGATCATCTTGCAGGGTGCAAGCAATAGCAAGCAGTAACTAGAAGAAAGAAAATAAAGAGGAGAATGGAACAGATGGATAGAGGGTGGTAGTCAGGTATTAATGCCTATTTTACAAGATTGTTGTGAGGATTAAATGAGATAATGGACAGCAAAATACTGTGCAAACTGTAAAGTGACATTTTAATACTATTTTCTTCAAGTTTCTATTGCACTAGAAGTCATTTCTGGAGTATTGTATTGTTTGGGAAGTCACATCTTTCTGTATTTAAAAACATACACTCCAGAGCCCATCCTACCTGGGTTTGAATCACGGCTTTTCTACTTAATAGCTCTCCAATTTCCCTCAAAGTTACTTGAATAAGTCTCAGTTTTCTTATCTGTAAAACGGAAAATAGTAATAATAGCACTGACCCGATAAAGTTGTTGGTTTTAAATGAGTTAATGTGTGTAAAGCACATAGAACAGGCCTGACATATAGTAACTACCCAACAATGATAATTATTTCTTTGCTGAGTCCTGGATATCATGTGCTTCCACCCTCCTGCCAAGAGACAAGGACAGAGAATGTTTGCTGCCTTCAGGCTATATGAAGAGGCAAGGGCTCAGTTTATTTTGGTATCTCCAGAAGCAGGAAGCACTTGGAGATACCTGGATGTTCAAATAAAAATTGCCCTGTATACTCACCTAATTTGCCATTCTGCTCTTGCCCCAAATCACATACTTCTTGATGTTTCAATTAACACATTTTAAATAATTCTATTAGAACACTTACCACATGAGGTTGAAATTTTCTTCTATATGGCTGTCACCCTAAAAATATGTGTTTTAATATATATCTTTCCGTACTCATTGCCTATCACAGTGCTTGAAAGATATGTGCTCAAACATTTGCTGAGTAAATTAGTGGTTTGTCTTCAAATATTGCATAGTTTTAGAGGGTAAAACTAGGTAAATGAGCGAAGGATATAAACTGACATTTTTTATTCAAGAAAAAATTTCCTACATTTATTCTCTTTAAAATTAGACTCAGGCAGTGCCTTCTGGGAATTAATGAACATCATATTAGTGGAAATGGACAGACAAAATTGAATAACAATTTGTAAAAGTTGTTACAGATGGATTTTGAGATTCAGTGATAGTTCAGGACAGGAGTTAGAGTTTATGTAGATGTTCAGCTGTCTTATTTTATTTTTCTAATATAAGCTAATCATATACAGATATCAAATGTGTACTAAGTAACTGACTGGGGTAAATATAACCAAGAGTGACTTTTAACTTTCTTTTTAGTTCTATTTAATTGCGATGCATCACATAATGCTGAGAAAGGCAAACATGGCTTTAGGGGTATGAGCTTTGGATCCAGATGACTGAGTCCCAGTCCTGTCTATCCCTGCTTCATCCTAGCCATATAACCTTGACCTGCTACTATCCTTTCTGTACTTTAGTTTTCCTCTGTAAAACTGAAAATAATTATAGTCTCTGCCATATAAGGTTGCTGTAAATATCTAATGAGAAAACACATGCAAGTGCTTAGAACACGACCAGGTCCATAGTAAGTGCTCAACAATTATTTTATTCTCCACCTCTTCTCCCCAGGGGTGCATTTTCCCCAATGCAATAAATGAAAGATTGCATGGGCTTCAGATTTAGATACATATGGATTTGAATTGCAGTTCTGCCACTTGCCATCTATGAAAGCTTTGAATATTGCTACCCTCTCCACACTGTATTTCTTTCATCTTTAATATAGGAATTATGACACCCAGTTTGCATGGTGACACATTCCTTTGATTATTCTTTCCTTTGCTTAGCCATTCAGTGTAAAGTAAATGATAGCCTAATGAGTGCCCAGTACCAAGGCAGGGCTAGGGAAAGAGCTAATATTCTAGGGAAGAAGACAGTTATTATGCAGATAATTTAGAATAACATATTTTGAGTAGGATAACAACAGCTCACATACACTGAATATTTACTACATGACAGACATAGTGCTTAGCACTTTTCATGTTTCATTTTAATTAATCTTCACAATAAACTTATAAGGCAACAAGCTTCACAACAAACTTTCATTTCAATTAATCTTCACAACAAACAAAATACAAAACATTATTTGTATTTTGAAGAATTGAGAATTGAGGCATAAAGAGGCTAAACAAAGAGGAATGGAGCTCGGTCTGGTTGATTCTTGAGAACTTAAGCTTAACCACTAGACTATACTATCAACAGCAAGTGCATAGGTCAGTAATAGAATCTATAGCAAGCTCTGAGGAACATGAACTTGCAAGGAACAATTGAGGCACAGGTGCTTGCAAAGACTTCAAAGAACAGACAGGTAGAAGGCACACCAGGAGAGTATGTTGTATGAGAAAAAAAGGAAGGAACTTTGTACAATGCTTACAAAAGGAACTTACATAGCAATGTTGGTAAAGCAATTTAAAAATGTAATATATTTTTAAGGTCCAGCACAATTATTGAAAAATAGCAGATGTTAAATAAATGATTGTGCTTATTAATAGTGGTTATTAATTTCTTAGTACAAAAGGCAAAAATACCCATAGACAGTGTATTAGGCAGGGTTTTTCAGAGACACAGAGCAAGATATACAGCTATAAATTTAAGAGAGAGGATTTATCAGAGGAATTGGCTCACACAATTATGGAGGCTGAGAAGACCCACAGGCCCCTCAGAACCAGGAAAGCCAGCAGTGTAACTCTCAGTTTGAGACAGAAAGCCTGAGAACCCCAATGAGTTGCTGGTATAAATCCCAGAGTCCAGAAACCAGAGAAACTGCAGTTCTGACGTCCAAGGACAAAAGAAGAAAGGTTTTCCAGCTCCGGTAGAAAGAGTGCAAGTTCGCCTTTCTTCTGCCTTTTTGTTTTATCTGGGCTAGGGTGCCTGCCCACATTAGGTGAGGGTGGATCTTCTTTACTCAGTTCACTGACTCAAATTCCAGTCTCTTCCAGAAACACCCTCACAGACATAACAAGAAATAGTGATTTACCAACTACAGTAGTGCCCCCCACTTATGCAAGGGGGTATGTGCCAAGACCCCCGGGGGCTGCCTGAAGCCAAGGTTAGTAGTGAACCCTCTGTATACTGTTTTTCTTATACAGTAATGGGCAGGTAGTGTATACAGGACAAAGGGATGATTCATGTCCCGGACAGAGATGGAAGGCAAGGGGTTTCATTGTGCTACTCAGAGCAAAGCACAATTTAAAATAGATGAATCATTCATTTCTAGAATTTTCCATTTAATATTTTTGGACAGAGATTGACTGCAGGTAACCATAACCACAGAAATCGAAACTGAGGATAAGGGGGGATTACTGTATCTGGGTATCTTTTAATTCAGTCAAATTGACACTTAAAATTAACTATCTCAGATTAAATTATAAGAAAGTACCAGCATATTTTGATCCTTCTTCCCAGGCTGTGCTAGTGAACCAAGAGATCATGACTGTGACATTCAGGTTACCTTTCAGTGGCCTGTAATACACAGACAAAACTTCTTTATATGGACCTGGAATTTTGATAGGCTCACAAAAGTGAGTGAAAAGTGGTAATAGTGCCCCAAGTCTTCTTTCCTGATAGTCTTTGCCTCCTAGTGAAAGGAGAGAAAGGCATTTGGGAATGTAGCAGGCCCTGAATTTCAGTCATGAAGAGAGAATCTTGACATCCCTTTAATGTTACTTGTGAATGTCCTAAAAGACATAGACTGTTCTTATCCAACATCATTAAAATACATGCCTTGAGGTTTTAATACGGATTTTAAGTGGACCAAGTAATGCTATATTTTTCTAGCACTCTATCTGGAAAAGATGTTCTACCTAAGTAAACTTACAGATAACAGATGTTTACTCCTGTAGGCCAAAATTTTATTTTTAACCATTTTTAACCTAAGCATAGGATTTATTTCCTTTCCTATTTCATTACAGCGCATGTTTTCTAGCAAATGGGCTTTTTGTAAACAGTGGAAGATAAAACAAATAAGGCAGTAGAATTTAATGCACATTACTGAAGGAATTCTGAGATACTTATTTTGTGAACTCAAAGGGAATATTTGCATCCTTCTGGCTTCTCAGACCTATCCTACTTAGCTGAGTTTGACAGATACATGCCTCTGGATGAATGAAATATTCTGTGACCAGGCAGACATTAATTTCTTCTGATGTCACACATTTTTCAAATATTGCCAGTTTGGCATCACATGGTAACCACCAATAGGAAAATGTTAAGATGGGTGTATGTTATAGGCTGAATATTTCTGTCCCCCCAAAATGCATATGTTGAAGCCCTAGCCCCTAATGTGATGGTACTTGAGGTGGGCTTTTAGGAGGTAATTAGGTTTCCATGAAGTCAGAAGGGTGGGGCCTCCCTGATGGGATTATTAGCCTTCTAAGAAGAGGAGAGCAGAGCATGCTCCCTCCCACCCTCCCCAACGCCTTTGTGCTCACTTGATCTCCCTCTCACTTCTGACTTGTGAAGACAGATCCAGAAGGCTGCTGTTCAGAACCAGAAGAAGACCCTCGTCAGGTAGAATCTGCTGGCACTCTGATCTTGGAAGTGCCAGCCTCCAAAACTATGAGAAATAAACATCAGTTGCTTAAGCCACTCAGTGTATGGCATTTTGTTACAGCAGTCTGCTTTAGTCTATTTGGGCTGCTATAATAAAATACCATAGACTAGGTCACTTATAAACTACAGATATATATTTCTTATGGTTCTGGAGTCTGGGAATTCCAAAATCAAGGTACCAGCATATTCCATGTCTGTTTAGGGCCTGTTTTTCCTGGTTCTTAGAGGACACCTTCTTGCTGTGTCCTCACGTGGTAGAAGGGGCAAGGCAGCTCTCTGAGGCCTAATCTCCAGCGCCCTCTTGACTTAATCATATCTCAAAGTCCTTACCTTCTAACACCATCACATTGGTGATTAGGCTTCAGCATAGGCATTTTGGAGGGACACATTCAGGCCATACCACAGCTGGAGCTAAGAGAGCGTAGCAATCATTACATGATCTTGGCCTCAGCAATCCTCTGTCTTAAGTAGCTGAACAGTTTAGCCATAGGCCAGATAGATGTACATGGATATTAGAACTAGATAGCATTATCTGGCCAATATTACAACTTAATATGGTACATATTAAGGTATTCCTGTTTTTTGCTTAGTTTTATTTTTCTTCTCTGCCTTAAGAAATCTCTGTCTTTCATGTACTAACAAGTTTTCAAAACTTCTCTTGGATCACTCTCCATTATTTTCAGAGCTTTAAAGAATATAATTTAATTATGCATATTTTTAAAGTTTCTCCTGAATATGTTTAAAGATGAGATTTTCTCTTTGTAAACTGTAAATTTTCCAAATGTGATGGAGCTCTAATCAATTGGCTTATATTCAAATAATACTTTAATGATCTAACGTTGATGTGAGCCTTTGCCTATTTTGCTCTGTCTTTTTTGTATTGTTTGTAATGTTGGCCCTAGGGTTTAGAGTATATATCCTTAATTTAACACAGTCTTCCTTAATAATATCACTTACAACCAACAATATACTTCCCATTGCTCCCTTCCATCTTTGGTGCTATTGTTGTATCTATAAACCCATAATTATTGCTACCAATTTTACCTTAACCCAGAGGTCACAAACTACAGCCCTGATATCAAATATATCTTGAGACTTAAAAATGGCTTTTACATATTTAAATAGTTGAAAAACATGAAAGAAGAATATTTTGTGACACATGGATATCATATTAAATTCAAATTTCAGCATCCATAAGTGAAGTTTATTGGAGCACCGCCACGCTCATTTACTCACAAATTGTCTACTGGCTGCTTTCCTGCTACGGCTGCAGAGTTGAATAGTTGGGACGGAGACTGGTCTGTGAACTATTTACTATATGGGCCTAATACTTTTCAACCTCTGCTTATAAAGCATTGAAGAAAAATAAAAAGAGAAGTTGTATTTTATATTGACTTTCAACTTAACCATTTGAGGTGCTCCACTGTGCACATGTGTCACCGAGAGATTCTGTCTCTTTGCCCTCTACCTTCCCCCAGGGGTAGACTGCAATTGCTTGTGACTTGATAGTGAATGAGCTTGGTGGTGGAGACGAAGGTGTTTCTCTGTTGTCCTGGTCCAGCCTCAGTCTTAGGAAGCCTCTGTGTGTCTGGGTCTCAAGCATAGGGCTTTCTCAGGATCCTGCCTTTCTTTGGTCTGCCAGACTAAATTCAGCCTTCTGTCTATGGAGAGTCTTGTGTGGGAGAGTTCCCTGCCCCTTTCCAGTGGTAGGAAATCTATAACAATATACATATACTATCAAAGGATTTCAGGACTAGGACTGTTTCCTGCCCTCTCTTTCCCACCCCATTCCTGGGATAGAGGGTTTTTGGCTTTTATCCTTCTCCCCGTTGTAATGGGTCTACACCTCTTGTTTTCCACCCTGATCTGTTCTTTCTAGGAAGCACCCGGTGGAAGTTTGTGGAAAAAAATCAGTGAGTGCTTGCCACTCTCAAAGGTTATATACTCATCCCTGCTCACAGTTGGCCCTTCCTGAATTTGTTAAACATTTTAGCTGGATTTTTCTCACTTATTTGGAATAGTACTCACTGTCTCTTCTTCCCAAGCTCTCCCACAGGTCAGGGAGCCTGTGTTCACTTTCCAACTCCTCTTAGAGGGGTTTTACACCCTTTTACTACTACTGTTTTGCAACGTTAACTCATACAATATGAACTATAAGTTATTCTCACCTAGCAGAGTAAGAAACTGTGTTCCCAGATGGGAAGACAGACTTAGAAAGCACTTTTGTAGCGTGGTTAATTTTTGGTGCTTATTTGTACATCTCAGCAACTACCGGCATGCATTCCTTAACGATGGAAATACATTCTATGAGAAAAGAAGCATTAGGTGATTTTATTGTGGGAATGTCATAGAGTGTACTTATAAAAACCTAGATAGTATAGCCTATTACACACCTAGGCTGTTTGGTATAGCCTATTGCTCCTAGGTTACAAACCTGTACAGGCTGTGACTGCACAGAATACTGTGGGCAGTTGTGACACAACGATAAGTGTTTGTGTATCTGAATATAGAAAAGGTACAGTGCAAATACAGTATCATAATCTTATGAGATCATTATCATATATGCAGCTCCTCATTGACTGAAATGTTATGTAGTCCATGACTGTATTTGCTTATGCAAACTATTTTTCTGTTCTTGCTCATATTTCAAATTAAAATCCAATTTAGAGATGAATTTTAAGTGAGTCTCTAATATGGTAGACTGAGCCAACACAGAAACTCTTCCATTACAAATATCAAGATGTGCCAGATAAAATTTAACAATTAAAAAACTATAGCTTAGATTGAAAATGAGGGAGTAGAATCTCCAAGTGTCTGAAATTAAAGGGAAAGGGAAATTGAAAGCTGGAATGGAGAGGTGTGAGCTGATACTTTAGTAAGAGTAGATGAAGGGAGATGAAAAGGGAGCAAGGGGTCCCAGACAGCCCTATGCCTGAGGTCAATACAGAACTGGAGGTGAGACATTAGAGTTGCATTATGCCCATAAGCCAAACTGCATTACCTAGTTTGGGATCTAAATATATTCCACCTACTTGGTTCAGGAATCCACCTTTCAAGGAATATACATAAGGCCAGGGACGGTGGCTCATGCCTGTAATCCCAGTACTGTGGGAGGCCAACATGGGTAGGATCGCTTGAGCTCAGGAGTTTGAGACCAGCCTCATCACTACAAAAAAAATTAAAAAATAAATAAAAAAAAATATCAGCCAGGCCTGGTGGTGCATGCCTGTAGTCCCAGCTACTAGGGAGGCTGAGGTGGGAGGATCACTTGAGTTTGGGAGATCAAGGCTGCAATGAGCAGTGATTGTGCCACTGCACTTCAGCCTGGATGACACAGGGAGATGATGTCTCAGAAAAAAAAGAAAAAGAAAAGAAAAACAATGAAAGAAAGAAATGTACATAAAATGAATTGTAGGCCAAGGCATACTGGAGATGGTAAAACGAAAGATAGCACTCAAACATTTATTTACACTGGTTTCTCATAGAAGAAACAGTCCCTTCCAAAAGTGTGCTCACAATTAAACATTAAAAACACATGAGGAGGAGCCAGAATATGAGGTGAATCAGTGTACACAACAAACCAACACGTGAATGAGGCCTGTGTTTCAGGCAAAGGGAACAGAAATCTGGAGGGAAAAGGTTATGTTTGAAGAGTGGAGAGATCTCGACACAAAAGTCAGAGACTATAAAATAAGCATATTTATAATTATTAAAAGTATGTATTGTGAAAGAATAGAAACTATAAACTAAGAGCATAACACTGAAATAATAATAGGTAAATTTGAAAAAAGATTATTTAAAAATATAAGAATATTGAAGAAAGATACTTTTACAAATAAAATGGCATCAAATTTTATTTTAAAGTTTAAAAAAACAAACATTTTAAATTATAATACCATTTTTATGTACTCACAGAAAAAAATAGCACCATTTTCATTTAAACTGATGCTATAGCCTTATTTCTGAAATGGCTTTTGAACTTAAAAGGAAGCTATTGTGAGTTAAGTATTAAAACAGCCAGTTTATGTTTGGCTTTTATTTCCTGAGACATTGATCTGGTCATCCTTTGCATTCAAATCTTCAGTGGCTTCCCATTGTCTAATATTCTTAATATGGCTGGCCTGATGGGTTTTATGGAATTGGGTCCATGGTTTCTTTGCCAGTTTGCCCTTTCACCACTTTGTAAGTATTTTTTAATTTTTCACATTTATAAGCATACCCTTCTCCTCTTGAATTTTTTGTTGCCTTGCCCAGAAATGCTTTTTCCTTAGATAATAACTTACCCTGAGCTTCATTCAGTCTCTACCCAAATGTCACCTCCCTAGAAGTATTATCCACCATATCTAACTTGTCTTTTCCCTACTCCCATCATTCTTTATTCTGTATCCCAGCTTAATTTGTTTTTATAACATTTTTATTAACTGACCATATGCCAATGTTTATTTGTGTATAGCCTTCCTCTTCTACTTAAGATGTCCCAAATGCTAGAACACAGCCTGGTACATTGTAGGTTTTTATCAAATATTTGTTGAATAAATAAGAAGTACCTCAGAGTCTTGCTGTGTTGCTCTCTCTGCGGGAAAGCTCTTCCCTTCTTCTTCTCTTTATCTGGCAAATGTCTACTTGTCTTCTTGGCACTCAGTTTCTAAATCCTCATGAAATCTTTTCCTATTCCTGCAACCTAGGTTATATCCTTCTGCTTTTACTTCCAAAGCACCTGTATGCTCTTTTGTAAATGCATTCACTTATCACTCAACAAATTCTTATTGAGGGCCCAGTATATTTCAACCTCTCTTCTAGGTTTTGGGACTGCAGCAGTGAATACAACAGACACAGTCTCAACTCTCAGGAAGCTTCTATTCTAGTGAAGTGGGGACAAGGGGCAAACAAGCAGGATAATTGGAGAAGCATGGCCCAGTCAGAGGAAACAGCAAGTGTAAATGCCTTGAGGCAGTAATGTTCTAAAGTGTTGGACAAACAGCAATGAGCTCAGTAGAGCTGGAGCAGAGGGAACAAGGCAAAGGACAGTAAGAAATGAAGTCAAACAGAGAGAGAGAGAAAGAGAAAGAGAGAAATCAGGGGGTGCATGAGGCTCAGGGTTACTATTTTAAAGACTTTGGCTTTTACTCTAAAATACTAAGCCACAGGAGGGATTTTGTGGATTAGTGACATGATCCAACTTATGTTTGAATAAACTCACTCAGCTATATTGATCATAGAATGTAAAGAGTAGACAGACAGATTAGTAAGAAAGTTATTGAAAAAATTCAGGTCAGAGATGGTGGTGGTTGGGATCAGGCTAGTAGCAGAAAAGATAATGACAAGTGATCAAATTCTGGTTGCCTTTGGAAGCCTTAGTAAACAGGATTTTTTCCCCCTCAAATTTTATTTTAGAATCAGGGAGAACATGTGCAGGTTTGTTAGAAAGATATATTACATGTTGCTGAGATTTGAAATATGAATGAATCCATCACCCAGGCAGTGAGCATAGTACCCAATAGGCAGTCTCAATTCTTGCCCCTCTCTCTCCCTCCCTGCTCTTGTATTCTTCATTGTCTGTTGTTCCCATCTTTATGTCCATGTGTACTCAATGTTTAGCTCTCACTTATAAGTGAGAACGTGTGGTATTTTGTTTTCTGTTTCTGCATTAGTTTGCTTAGGATAATAGCTTAATCAGCTGCATCCATCCAGTTGCTGCAAAGCACATGATTTTGTTCTTTTTTATGGCTGCATAGTGTTCCATAGTGTCTATGTACTGTATATTCTTTATCCAATCCACCATCGATGGACAACTAGGTTGATTCCATGTGTCTGCTATTGTGAATAGTGCTGTGATGAACATAAGAGTTCATGTGTCTTTTTGGTAGGTTGAATTATTTTCTCTTGGATATATACCCAGTAATGGGGTTTCCATGTTGAATGGTAACTCAACTCTTAGTTCTTTGAGAAGCCCCCAAACTATCTCCAGAACGGCTGGACTGTTTTACATTTCCACCAACAGTGTATAAATGTTCCCTTTTCTCTGTAGCCTTGCCTTGCCAATGTCTGTTATTTTTTTGACTTTTTAACAAACACCATTCTCACTGGTGTGAGATGGTATCTCATTGTAGTTTTGATTTGCATTTTCTGATGATTAGTGATGATGAGCATTTTTTCATGTTCATTAGTCACTTGTATGTCTTCTTTTGAGAAGTGTCTGTTCATGTCCTTTACCCAGTTTTTAATGGGGTTAATTTTTTTTGTTTTTTTGTTTTTTTTTTTTTTGCTTGTTGATTTAAGTTCCTTGTAGATTCTGGATATTAGACCTTTGCCAGATATATAGTTTGTGAATATTTTCTCCCATTCTGTAAGTTGTCTGTTTATTCCCTTGATGGTTTCTCTTGCTGTGTAGAAGCTCTTGAGTTTAATTAGATTCCACTTGTCAATTTTTGTTTTTGTTGCAATAGGCTCAAGTGATCCTCCCACCTTAGCCTCCTGACTAGCTAGGACCACAAGCGCTCACCACCACACCCAGCTAATTTTAAAAATATTTATTTTTTGTAGAGTCAGATTCTCACTATGTTGCCTAGGCTGGTCTTAAGCTTCTAGGCTCAAGAGATCCTCTTACCTCAGCCTCCCAATATGCTGAGATTACAGGCATGAGCCACAATCCTGACCATTAGAAACTATTAATAGAGGTTGCCCATAGTCTCACAGTTCTGTGTGAAAAGTTAATTCATTGCCAAGTGATGGTACCTATTTATTTGATATGACTGTGGGCAGTTTTAGTACAATGGATGCTAAGCTTAACATCTGGGCAGCTATCAATATGAAGAAAGTCATGAAAGATAACGTGAAACATGCGAGTTGCAGATTAATAAGCTTCTTTTGATGGGAGTGTTTGATTGAGAGTGTTTGAAAATTCTGAGTAAGGAAGTGAACTAATCTGACTGGTGTATTTATTAACTAATGTGAAAATTGGTTGCGGGATTGAATGTATGGGGAAGATTCGTGCTTTATAAACATTACTCTGAGAGAGTTTATTGGATGGTCCTTGAACAAAAGTTTCATGGTAAAATAAATTAGAAAATAATGGGTTTCCCAAACACTGGGTTAAACAAAATTGAAGGTGTTTCTTTACTGTAGGCTACAATATACTTTGTGAGTCTCCAAATGGTATGTAATATGCAGACGACGAAACTCTGTTCACGGAACCCGATCATTCTTTGGAATAGTTTGAGGATATTGGACTCTATTATTATAGTAATCTGTATGATCTGATCTTAACTTGAGGAGGAGTAATGGGAATGAAAGGAAGAAAGAGATCTTGATGGCATGCTTTATTGACTAATATGAGGTGAAAATGAGGAAAAGGAAAAAAGTCAAAGAGGAAACATGTTGGTCCATGAAGTTGATGAGTTTAGCTCAGCACTTAATGAGCTTTAAGATGTGGGGGAAACAACCAAGGATAAATTGGGACTGATATATGAAAAGTGTTCTAAGTTAGAGGCAAGTTTCAGAAGCATAGACGCCAAATAATATATAATGATAGAGAATAATCTCAAAGTAAGTAGAGCATGAATTAGCAACATTACAGAAGTAATAGCTATAGATTTTTTTCAGAAAATAATGCAGAATAGAACAAAAGACTACTTGAAGAAAAGCTGTGGCAACAAATAGTTGAAAGTAAGTATGTTTTATTCGACTAGCATCATTGTCAGTGTTCAGAGTGAGACATAAAAAGAAAACCTAATAAACACAGCATATGTATTCGCTATGGCAGTAAAGTGTGATGCTTCCTTCTGAAATCCTGGCATACTCGGGGTACTTGAGCAGTCGGTGATTTCTGATAAGCCAGGAATTCCTCGCTGTTTTAGCCTTCTCTTTTCTCCGGCTGGTATTGCCTCATAATTCATTGCGAACACATCAAGATCACAATCCCAGGCTCCCGTTTCCTCGTCTCCACATTCTCAGACATCTAACTTTTTTCTACACCTTGTAAACCACCCTCCTATAAGCAGCATTTGTTTCTTAGAACTGTGCTTGTCTGCACTTGCAGGCGTATCATGGAAAGTGTAGGAATTTATAGAATGGCTAAAAGGCTGAAAAGCGTCATCACCAGAAACAAAACCTTTTTAAACTGAGATTACGTAAAAGGCAACATAATATGTCCTTTGTTGTATTATATCCTTTGCATAATTAGATCTATTTAATACCTGTTAATTTATGGTTAGAAGGAAATGCATGTAGCAAAATATGTAGATGCATTTTCAAGGTCAGAATATGGAGTCTGGAAGAGAAATAAGGAACAGACGGTAAGCTCATAGGAAAATTAAGTCAGCCAGCTTTCCCCAGATGGTCACCTTTATACTGTTTTTTGTAGCTTGTGAATTAGGCACCTGTGTTTTCTTCAACTCACTCTCTGCCATGTGAATTCTTGCATTTGACATTTTAATTGCAAATAAAAACAATAAATTCTGAACATTTTTAATAAGAAACATGAGTGTTTTGTTCTTATTTTTAATATGAATGAAATTAATGTTTTAGAATTTCTAAAATGCTTATGCAGGTATGGAGGTGAGCTCACATACAGGATTTCTTTTTGCATTTTTCTGGAGACTGGCGTGGGTAACCTTTAAGATCTTTTCCATTTTAACATACGTATAACATATATTTTCTATAGAGTGTTTTCTTTTTCTTTTCTTTTCTTTTTTTTTTTTTTTTGAGACAAGTCTCAGTCTGTCACCCAGGCTGGAGTGCAGTGACGCGATCTCGGGTCACTGCAACCTCTGCCTCTGGGATTCAAGGGATTCGCCTGCCTCAGCCTCCTGAGTAGCTGGGATTACAGGTGTGAGCCATCACACCCAGCTAATTTTTGTATTTTTTGTAGAGACGAGGTTTCACCATGTTGGCCAGGCTGGTCTCAAACTCCTACCTCAGGTGATCCGCCCACCTCAGCCTCCCAAATTGTTGGGAATACAGGTGTGAGCCACCATGCCCGGCCTAGAGTCTATTTTTAAAAGGAGATCTATGATTAATGATAAGAATAGCCACACTGATTTTATATCTAATTCAGTTACAAATGTTTCTTGAATGTAATTATTATATTAGGTATTATATATCCCCCCCAACCCCCATACATGAGAAGAACATAATGCCTTTTATATAACTAATGATTTTCAGGTAAACAATGTGTTTTTCTCAGTCACTGCTTTCAAACTTCTTTGGCATTTGAATTTGCATTCCATTATGGAAATGTCAGATAAAGATAGTAAGGCTGCCCTGAATTGGTGCTTGATAAACCAGCATACTAATTTCCTGTTTCATTTGCATTGTGTATATGCATTAGTAAGTGTTGACACTGAGATGCACATATAAGAGAAGGAATTCCTAAGGCTTATTAAATTTTTTCTTATCTGTTAATAGAGAAATAAATATGTTTAAAGCATTAATAAAATGTGATGAAGTACTTGCACCTGAGTTAACGTATTCAACGTATGTATTATTAAAGATAAGATAAAAATACTCAGTAAATTATGACAGGAATAGTTCATGTTAATACCACTTGAAAAATAGTGCCTTCCAAATAAACTTGTTTATGTATGAGTAATTTGTCTTGCATTAAAAAAATGTGAATTAAGTACTGGGATCTTATCTTGTTCAAAAGATAAAACAAAGCTAAGCTTATTTAATCTTCTCTCAAATGGAAGAATACCAAGCTATTTACTATAAATTCAAAACCTTGTTGAACAAGCCATTTCAAATTTATTGCATTTGCTTGTTTATTTTGAGTCAATTAGATCCTAATGACTCCCCAACTAGAAAAGGTACAAGAATAATTTTCAGGAAATCTAGTGGTCTAAGATTATATTTGTTTTCATTTGGCAAGGAAATACTATGTTATTTGGTCAAATATTAAGGTGCTATATCCCTTTCCATATGATTAAATGTCTTGTTTATAAATTTTAAAATTAATCCCTTATGCTTAGAGTCTACAACCCAACCTCCAAGCTTGCATTTCCAAGCCAGACCCAGTGGCATGTACCTGTATTCCCAGCTGCCAGTAGCCTGAAGTGGGAGGATCTCTTTAGCCTAGGAGCTCATGTCCAGCCTGGGCAACATAGTGAGACCTCATCTTCTCCCCACCAAAAAAAAAAAAAAAAAAAAAATAGACAAACTTCCACCCTCTAGAACCTCCTTAAAATCACATTTGAAATTTTTCTGACACATTTTCATGTATGTAAAGATTGAATTTTGATTATAGAGTCAGTGAACATATGTACTGAATAGCACTGAGCAAGGCAAACTTTCCCCAAAATATTTCCTCCATCTTCTGGACAGGTGTTTTAACTCAACAAAGGAATAAATATAATCTGTTTATAAAAATTAATTTGTAGTTAAAAATATTTTCACAGAGAATAATTCCTGCTTTGACAGTTTCATTGGTGAATTCTGCCAAGCATATAACAAAGAAATACTATCAGTTCAACACAAACTTTTCCAGAAAATACTAGAAAGGGATCACTTTTCTCATTTTAGTTGTACAAAATTACCCTAACAAATACCCAAACCAGAAAAACACAATATAGGAAAATAAATCTAAGATAAATATTTCTCATGGATATGAATGTACGAGTGGCTAACACAATCTTAACATCTCAAATCCAGCAGAAGATACACAAAAAGGATACACATACAAAAGATAATGTATTCTGATCAAGTGGAGTTTATTCCAAGAAGATAAGTATGGTTTAACATATTTTAAATCAATCCAAATAATTTACCATAACAAAAATCATATCATCATCTCAATAGGTGTAGAAAAAGCATTTGAATAATTCCATATCTATTCATGATTTTAAAACACCTAGCAAAGTAAAAATAAAAGAAAGCTCTCTCAATAAAGGGTTTCTGCAAGAAACCTATAGTAGATATCATACTTAATGGTAAAAGGCTGAATTCTTTACTCTTAAGATTGAGAACAAGGCAAAGATCACTTTTTTGCCTCATCACTTCTACTTAGCATTTTATGAGGTGTCCTAGTCAGTACAATAAGGTAAACAAAAGAAATACGTAATATAGATTTGAATGGAAGGAGTAAACTATCTTTATTCACCAACAATATGATTGTCTATGGAGAAAATCCTGTGGGATCTGCCAAAAAAGCTACTAAAATTAATAGGTGACTTTAGTAATGGAAGAAAATATAAGGTTATCTTAAAAATATCAGTTGTATTTCTGTATAATAGCAATAAACAATTAGAAACTAAATTTAAAAGGTAATATTTACAATATCATCAAAACAGGAAAGTACTGAGTCAGATTTAACACAATATGTGCAAAAATTGTTTACTGAAGGTACAA
Organism: Homo sapiens; assembly: GCF_000001405.40. Taxonomy (NCBI): domain Eukaryota; kingdom Metazoa; phylum Chordata; class Mammalia; order Primates; family Hominidae; genus Homo; species Homo sapiens. The sequence goes on along the minus strand of NC_000012.12, from coordinate 80,910,073 downwards.
AACATTGTTGACAGAAATTAAAGACTTGAACAAATGAAATAATATACCATTGTTCAAGGGATTGGAAAACTGAATATTGTAGAGATGTCAATTTTTCCCAAATCATTATTAAAAGTAATGGCAAAAACTGCAACTACTTTCACAGTAACCTAATACAGAGATGTAAGACAATCTCAATTAAAATGCCAACAGGTGTTTTTAGGGTTTTTTTTTTTGGTAAAAATTGTCATTAGATGTAAAATTTACAAAAATGCAGAGGACATAGAATAACAGATTTGAAAAGCAAGAGCAAAGTTGAAAGGTGTTATGGTAAAAATATTTGTGTTCACTCAAAATTCGTATGTTGAAATAATAACTTCCAAGGCCGTACTATTAGGAGGTGGGGCCTTTGGGGATGCGATTAAGTTATGAGGGTGGGGCCCTCATGAATGGGATTAATGCTCTTATAAAAAAGGTCCCAAGTAGCTTCATTGCCCCTTCTGCCACGCGAGGACACAGCAAAAGATGCCATCTGTGAGAAAGTGGACCCTCGCCAGACACTGAATCTCCCAGCACCTTAATCTTTGACATCCCAGCCTCCAGAACTGAGAGAAATAATTTTATGATTTATAAATTACCCAGCCTATGGTATTTTCAATAGCAGCCTCAATGGACTAAGACAGAGAAGGTTCACATTACTGCTTTAGTTCAAAACTTACTATTAAGATACAGTAATTAAGATATAGTGTGGTTTTTGGTATAAGTATTGATATGTAAGATCAATGAAATAGAATACAGTCCAGAAACAGGCCCACAAATATGTGCTTAATTGATACTGAACAACTATACCAGGGGAACTCACTGGGGAAAAGCTAGCTTTCTTCAATAATGGTACTGTAAAAATTGGGTAACCAAATGCAAAAAATTGAACCTCAATCCTTTACACTATAATCAAAAATTAACTCAAAATGGGCCAAAAATGTAAATGTAAGACCTAAACCAATATTATTTTAAAATAGAGAGTATAAGAAAATCTTTGAGGCGTTGAGTTAGTCCAAAACTGCCTAGGTTAAATATAAAAAGCACGTATCATAATAGAAAAGGATGATAAATTAAAAAGTATTAGTCTTTAAAAGATAACATTAAGAAAATTAAAAGACGAGATTAGGAGAAAATATTTGCAAAACATGTCGATAAAGTATTTGTATTCAAAATATATAAATAACTCCTAAAACTCAACAATAAAAGAAAATAACCAACTTTTAAAAAAAAACGAATAAAAGATTTGTATAGATACTTCACTAAAGAAGATATACAGGTGACAAATAAGCATATGAAAAGATAGTCAACATCATTAGTATTTAGAGAAAAAAAGCAAATTGAAACTACACTGAGATCATTCTATTAGAATGCTGTTTTTAAAAATATCACCTTTTGTGTATGAGCTTTAAAAAGGTAAACTTTATTCTCTATCATTATTGTCTCAAGTGCAGAAAAGTATAGAAATGGCTCTTCTTGCATCAGTAAGCTCTCTTATTAGTCTCAATACCTTAAGTCATCTCTCTCCAGTAATTACATTTTACTTGATAATAAATTCTCATATATGTGTATAGATATTTAACTCTGATAAGACTTACTTCCCATATAATTATATATGTTAAAATGTGGCATTCATTTAGGTCATTTTAATGACTCTTTCCCCTGGATCAAATTTTATTATAACTCGTATTACTTATACATATGAATTTCATAACCATTTAACATCGATATAGTAGATATGTGAGTATTGATTTAGAAAATGTTGGAATCATTCTTACGGTTGGTACACGTTTGTATATATAGCAATCTATTTTTAAGACTAAATCTAAGTCTATATTTCTTAAATCTTAACTAAACAAATCTATATTTAAGACAAAATGGAAAAAGCAAGTCTGGAAAATTTTAATTAAATATTGAGTAGTACAGTGGGGAAAAGATCTGACCTGGGATTCAAGTATCTTTGTACTGGTTTTAACTTCATCACTGATATCTCAGGCTAAGTACTTAGAAATGCTCAACTTTTAGGTCATAGGCAATAACTTTATCTTACTTGGTTTTGGTTTGCTTATCTATAAATTTATGAGTACTGATTTGATTATCATTGGGGTAGCTTCAATTTGAATTGTCTATTCTATACAGATTGATTAATATCAAGCACACAGAAGAATTTAAATTTGGCTGTATGTCTAGAACACTTTTAAATAATTCTTTTTCTTTTACCTTCTTATATTTATTACTAGTTTCCCTTGAAATAGGGATCCTCTTTATTTCTTCCTACTCTTTAAGCATTCTTCATTTTCCATTCTCCTCTAAAAAGCCAGGTTGGTGTAACACTCTATGGAATCCATTCTCTCTAGAACTCACATTGCCCTCTATCACTTTTTTTCCATAGCCTTTTTTTGTGTTCTATTAATTTAATAGCTCTCTTGATAAATGAACAATCCTTTTAGGCAGAGCATTTATTCTTTAGAGCCAGAAAAGATAAACTAGTCCAAATACTCATTTTATAGATAAAGATGCTGAAGCTGAGATAAATTAAACAAATTTCAAAAATTTCAGTTACAATTTTAGGACTAGAAACAAGGACTGTTGACTTCCAAGTCCATTGTTCTTTCCTTAATGTTAAAATGCATTTTCCAAGTAAGTGGATGACAATGAAAGGAAGATTTGAATCAAGATAGTAGGTTAAGCACATATGTCCTTATTGCCTCCCATTCCAAACATCATAGCTGTCAAAAAGATATAAAGCAAATAATAAATGTTAAAAGGCACTGGAGATAAAAAGGGTGTTACTGCACACAAGACATTTTGAAGAATTCCTGAAAGATAGCACACAATAAAATCAGACTGATGAGTGAAAATATGGTAATTATCACCCACAGTAAAATGTATTAAGCATTCACTGTGTGCCAGGCACAATGCTAAGTATTTTCATGTATTCTCTTATTTAATCCTCAACACACACACACACACACACACACACACACACACACACACACAGAGCACGCACTCTGAGGTATGTTCTATTATGATCATTGTTTCACTGAAAATAAAACTTAGGTTGGTTGAATTGTCTGAAAAGACACAATTTGCAAATGCTGAATTGAGATTGGAGCCAGGAAGTCTGATCTTTGAGACACCCTCCTAATTATCTGTCCTGAAAACTTAGCTTCCCCACCTTTCTAGTTCCTAGCTCCGTTCTTTTTTGTTTTGCTTTGTTTTTTTCCGATTTTCATTTTAGGTTCAAGGGATGCATATGCAGGTTTGTTACATGGCTACATTGCATGTCGTTGGGGTTTCGTTTACAGATAACTTTGTCACCCAGGTAATCAGCATGGTACCCGATAGGTGGTTTTTCAATCCTCACCTCCTCCCACCCTGCACCCTCAGGAAGGCCATGGTGTCTAATGTTCCCTTCTTTGCGTCTGGCTCCTTTCTAATCACTATGTCAGGATGCCACAGTGATTAGACAGGAGCCAGACACAAAGTGTGGTTCTTAGAAAAAGGAACCCCAAAGCATGAACCTGAGAAAGCAAGTGCAAGGCAAACCCCCCAACCCCCAGTGAAAGCAAGAAAAACCATAAACTCAAAGACAACAGGTGAAAGAGAGTCCTGGATCAAACACTTGATAACTGAATTGGAATCACTAGGTGAATCCACTCTATCTTCTCTCACTTCTCTACACTGAGAAACAGCAGCACTTGCTGCTAGTTAAAGCCCCAGCTTTTTCTCTGAAGTATGACATGCAAATAGTAGAGTGAGAGCTGAGATAGGAAAAGAGGCATAGCAATATTCTCAGACACTTTTCAAAGACCTGGAGTGACTGTACTGTCACACCCAGTGACAAACCAGCTCTTCATTTTTCCTTGCAGAACACTCCATTCTTTAGACACCTGCACACCTAGCCCTAGAAACAGGTTCTTATTATTAGAAACTGTATCTACTGACAAGAGAATGAAAATACCAATTTTATTATGGAGGTATACAATTTAATCTAAATCTTTAAGTACAAATATTAAATAAAAACAAAAAAATACTAGCTCTTTGAGGACTTCCCATCTTTATGAAAGAACTTATCTAAAATAAATTATCCCCAAGAATATAAAATTAATGGAATGATTTGATTATATGCTTTAGAAAATAAATACCAGAGACAACCAAGAAAATAATAAGCTGCTATGAAAAAGAGACAATCATAAAAAGAAAGTTTGAAAATAAAGAAATAGAAAATGAAATACTAGGAAAAAGTTAACACAAAAATACAGCAATATAATATTAAAATATCAGTCAAAATAGAATTCAAGCCAAAATTAAATGTGAAAGAGTGATATTTAACTTAGAGAAATGTTACCAAGATGCCATTAGCATCCTAAACCTAGAGCCAACTATGTACCTAGCCCCATAGCTTTGAAATACATGTGTATGAGGCAAAAACTGTTAGTGGGAAAAATTAGCAATTCAACCAGTTTCTCAAAGATTGCCAGCTCAAGGAGATAAAATAAAATAAGGCTATTTGAGACTTCATTAAATCATTTAACAAGCTTTAGCATATATATTATATATGTTTGTGTCTGTATTATCTATTATTTTTAAACATCTGTGGATGATTTACCATATGTAACTCCAAAAATGCTATTAAAATCCAAAATGAGAAATAACACTGGTAATTTTCTCTGACCAATGTATAACAAAATTAAAATATAAAATGCAGAAGTATAATCTTCTTAAAACCATATCCATTGGGAGGCTGAGACAGGAGAATTGCTTGAACGTGGGAGGCGGAGGTTGCAGTGAGCTGAGATCACGCCACTGCACTCCAGCCTGGGTGACAGAGCCACACTCTGCCTCAAAAGAAAAAAAAAAAATCCTTGGAAATTTTAAAATTATAAACAACACTTACTTTAAAGAAGATATCAAAATTAAATGGTAGAAAGAAATGATCTCTATATGAGATGTCACTAGATTGGAATTGTGAAGAAATGTAGGATCATTAAAAGACACACACACACACAGACACTCAGCTAGTCAAACGATAAAGAAAAAATACAGATAAAAGCAAGTAATAATAAGTAAATGATCATGGAGCAAAAGATGTTTCAAAAAACTAATTGCTGAATCTTTGAAAAAAAATGTGAATAAAAATTTCCACACCTGATCTCATGTACACAAGCTTTGTTTCATGCACAAAACTATTAAAAATATTGCATAAAATTACCTTCAGCTACATGTATAGGTATATATGAAGCATAAAAAAATTTATGATTAAAATTGGGTTCCACCCCCAAGACATCTCATTATGTATATATAAATATTCCAAAATCAAAAATATCCAAAATCTGAAACACCTCTAGTCACAAGAATTTTGGATTAGGGATATTCAACCTATATTCAATTGTGTATGTATACCACATTTTCATGTATCATTCAGTCTTGAAAAATAAGAAAATCCTGTCACCTGCAACAACATGATGGATCTGAAAGACATGATGTTAAGGGAAACAAGCTACACAGGAAAACAAATACTGCATGATCTCATTTATGTGTATAATAAAATTCATCTCATAGTAACAGGGACTATCATGGTAGTTACTAGAAGGTGGGGGCTAGGGAGATTTAGGTCAAAGGATACAAAATTTCAGATAGAAAAAATAAGTTTAAGAAATTTATCATTAAACGTGGTGACTTTAATTAGTAACATTGTATAGTGTTCTTGAAAATCACTAGGAGAGTAGATTTTAAGTGTTCTCACCATAAAAACATGACTAGCATGTGAGGTGATGCATATGTGGATTGGCACAGTTTGGCCATTCCATAGTATGTGCATGTTTCATAACATCACGTTGTATATAATGTGTGTGCAATTTTTTTTGTTGATTAAAAATAAATAAATTTTACAACTATATGCTCTTATTTAAGCTAAAATTATTAATTTAGTTATATTATTTTGAGTTATTTTCATAAGTTTTCATTTTAATTTTAGAAAAACAAAAGCTTAGTGATGGTCTTGCCCACATAGAAAAAAGTTTAAAAGATTGTTATAAACACAGAAAAATATCTAAAGTCTAGGACTAGGATTTATACTTACTCTATAAAATCCCAAAATGCTCAAAATCACTAATCATCAGATAAATACATATTAAAGCCACAGCAAGATATATCATACATCAGTCAGAATGGCTACTATTAAAAAGTCAATAAATATAACAGATGTTGATGAGGCTGCAGAGAAAACAGAACATTTATACATTGTTGATAGGACTGTAACTTACTACAGCTTCTATGGAAAACAGTATAGAGATTCCTCAAAGAACCAAAAATAGAACTCTACTACTATTTGATCCAGCAATCCCACTACTGGTTATCTACAAAAAGGAAAAAAAAAATCTTTATAACAAAAAGATACCTGCAATTGTATGTTTATCACACAATAGCAAAGATCAACCTAAGTGTCTATCAGTGAATAATTGGGTAAAGATAATGGGGTATATATACACCATGCAATACTATTCAGTCATAAAAAATAATGAAATCATGTCTTTTGCAGCAACATGAATGGAACTGGAGGCCATTAAGTGAAACAACTAAGAAACAAAGTCAATACCACATGTTCTCACTTATAAGTGGGAGTTAAAATAATGTGTACCCATGGACATAGAGTGTGGAATAATAGACACTGGAGACTTGAAAGGATAGGAGGGTGGGTGATGAAAAATTACTTAATGGGTACAGCATACATCAATCAGACAATAATAGCTACACTAAAACCCCAGGCATCACCACTATTCAATATATCCATGTAATAAAATTGCACTTGTGCCCCTTACATTTAATTTTTTATCTCTCAGTTGTTAATTTATTTTATTATTATAAAATAGAGTACTCCAATTGGTTTTTAATGTTTTAATGTTTTGATAATGTTTAAATATTAAAGCAGTACATTTCTTTGATGGCTAGTCTGTTTGTCATAGATAGCTTTTATTATTTTGAGGTATGTTTCTTCAATGTTTGTTGACTAGATATTGAAGAAACACACCTCAAAATAATAAAAGCTATTTATGACAAACCCACAAACAACATCATGCTGAATGGGCAAGAGGTCAAACCATTCTTGAGAACTGGAACAAGATAACACCACCCACTCTTACTGCTCCTACTCAACATAGTACTGGATGTCCCAGCCAGAGCAACAGGCAAAAGAAAGAAATAAAAGGGATCCAAATAGTAAAAGAAGAAGTCAAACTATATATCTTCAGTGACAATATGATTCTATACCTAGAAAATCCTAAAGACTCTGCCAAAAGTCTCCTAGAACTCATAAATGACTTAAGTAAAGTTTCAGGATACAAAGTCAATGTACAAAAACCAGTAGCCTTTCTATACACCAACAATGTCCAGACTGAGAGTGAAATCAAAAACACAATCCCACTTACCATAGCCACAAAGAAAATGAAATACCTAGGAATACAGCTAACCAAGGAAGCAAAAGATCTCAACAAGGAGAACTACAAACCACTGCTGAAAGAAATCAGAGATGGCACTAATAAATGGAAAAACATCCCGTACTTGTAGATTGGAAGAATCAATATAAAAATAGCCATAGTGTCCAAAGCAATTTACACATTCATTTCTATTCGTCTCAAACTACTAATGACGTTCTTCACAGAATTAGAAAAAAACTATTCTAAACTTCAAATGGAACCAAAAAAGAGCCCAAATAGCCAAAGCAATCCTAAGCAAAAAGAACAAAGCTGGAGGCATCACACTACCTGACTTTGAACTATACCATAAAGCCACATTAAACAAAACATTTTGGTACTGGTACAAAAAAAAAAAAAAAACACATAGACCAATGGAACAGAATAGAAAACTCAGAAAAAAAGCCACACACCTACAATCGTCTGATCTTCAAAAAGGCTGGCAAAAACAAGCAATGGGGGAAAGACACTCTCTTCAATAAATGGTCCTGGGTATAACTGGGTAGTCATACACAGAAGATTGAAGCTGGACCCCTGCCTTTCACTATATACAAAAATTAACTATAAATAATCTTTTATACTGCCCTGTAGTGATAATGTTCTCAATAAAATAGATGCACTATTCACCATAACAACTTCTGCAAACATCAAGCTTTACTTTGCCCTCTAATTACCCCTTAAAGATGTAGATAGCACCACACTAACCTCATCATACAACTCTCAAAGTAATGAAGAAAACGGATGACAGTATGATATAGTAATGATAAGGTAAAAGAGGAAACATTATTAAGGAGCTTTACAGCAGAATTATATATCAAAGTGTCAGTTTAGATAAAAATATTCATCCATTTGCTAGTATAGGATGTATTTGAGGACAGGAAAAGTTAAATTTGTAGTTTCTTTATAACAAACTCTCCAAAAACACCCAGACAAATTGATGGGGTGTCTCTTCAGCAATTTCCTGATAGATTTTCTCTTCCAATTCCCTGAACACTATAAAAGGGAACTGGGATTTACTGATAATAATTACAGGGAAAAAATCTCTCAATTTTTACAATGCGCACAGATGGAACACTACCAATATAAAAGGTAGATTGTTTTTTATGTACTAAGTTAGGGAAATATTACAACTGGTATATATTTGTGGCTTGCATTTTAACATGCCAGCAATAATTATTTAACTTATTGAGAGATCATTAGACCGATAAGAAATTAGGGAAGAAAAGGTAAAATACATAGACTTCGAATTAAATTAAACTTGAAGCTCTGTGAAAGGTGTTCTGTTTTTTCACCTAGCTGCATCTAAAATCAATTGAGGTCATAGATGGAATGTAAATAAGGAATAGTGTGGATGGACAGGATGGGAAGCCAGCAGTGCACTGTTGAGTTATATCATATTGCTAATCTGTTACATAGTGGTTTTATTTTATTCCTACAGCTGTACTTCTAGTGTACTTAATTAGGTAGTGCCTAAGTGCCCATCATATTCATTTTCTAAAAAAGTTTGTCTGCATGTAAACTGTTGTAGTTTGGATAATGTACTTTAAAATATCTTCCCCAGAAAGCTTAAAAATGACTTCCCTAAAAATTTTCATAAGTGCTAATAAAATGAACTCCAATCTATTTTCAAGTCATACCCTTCGGTTCTTTTCTGCTTCACTTAGACAATTATATTTAATCATTATAAAAAGATGGAGTCCAGTTCCTTAAATCCTCATCTTCTTAGAATTCATATTTGTAAGAATTCTAAATGTTGTTAAATAGAGTTTGACATGGTATCATTGTTAACTAGTGAATACAAATACTTACATAAATAGAATATGAAATTTTGATTTAATACAATCAATTCTATTCAACAAACAATCTTGCCAGACATAACACATACTCTAAAATCAACTACACAATCTGCCATAAAAGAATCCTCAGCAAATTAAAAAACCAACATCATATCAACCACATTCTCAGACCACAGAACAATAAAAATAGAAATCAATACTAAGAAAATTGTTCAAAACCATACAATTACATGGAAATTAACCTGCTCCTGAATGACTTTTGGATAAACTATGAAATTAAGGCAGAAATCAAGAAATTCTTTGAAACTGATGAGAACAAGGATATAACATACCAGAATTTCTATGACACAGCTAAAGCAGTGTTAAGAGGGAATTTTATAGGGCTAAATGCCCACATCAAAATGTTAGAAAGATCTCAAATTAACAGCCTAACATCACACCTAGAGTAACTAGAGAAACCAGAGCAAACCAATCCCAAAGCTAGCAGAAGACAAAAAAATAACCAAAATCAGAGCTGAGCTGAAGGAAATTCAGGCATGAAAAACCAGACAAAAGATCAACAAATTCAGGAGCTTGTTTTTTGAAAGAATAAGATAGAAAGCGTGCTACCTAGACCAATAAATAAAAAAAGAGAAGATCCAAATAAACACAATTAGAAATGACAAAGGGGATGTTACCACCATCTCCACAGGAATACAAAAACCCGTCAGAGAGTACTATGAACAGCTCTATGCACACAAACTAGAAAACCTAGAGGAGGGAGGCCGAGGCGGGCAGATCACGAGGTCAGGAGATGGAGACCATCCTGACTAACACGGTGAAACCCCGTCTCTACTAAAAATACAAAAAATTAGCCTGGCATTGTGGCGGGCGCCTGTAGTCCCAGCTACTCGGGAGGCTGAGGCAGGAGAATGGCGTGAACCTGGGGGCGGAGCTTGCAGTGAGTGGAGATCGCGCCACTGCACTCCAGCCTGGGCAACAGAGCGAGACTCGATCTCAAAAAAAAAAAAAAAAGAAAAGAAAAAAAGAAAACCTAGAGGAAATGGATAAATTCCTAGAAATATACAACCTCCCAAGATTGAGCCAGGAAGAAACTGAATCCCAGAACAGACCAATAGGAAGTTCTGAAATTGAATCAGTAATACACAGCATACCAACCAGAAAAAGCCCAAGATCAGATGGATTCATGACCAAATTTTCCCAGATACATAAAGAAGAACTGGTACCATTCCTACTGAAACTATTCCAAAAAAATTGAAAAGGAGGGACTCCTCCCTAACTCATTATATGAGGCCAGCATCATTCTGATACCAAAACCTGGCAGAAACACAACAACAAAAAAGAAAACTTCAAGCCAACACCCTTGATACACATAAATGCAAAAATCCTCAACAAAATGTAAACAAACTAACTCCAGCATCACATCAAAAAGTTAATCCATCACGATCGAAAAAGCTTTATCCTTGGGATGCAAGGTTGGTTCAAATGTACACAAATCAATAAATGTGATTCACCACATAAACAGAACTAAAAACAAAACCCATATGATCATGTCAATAGATGTAGAGAAGGCTTTTGATAAAATTAAACATCACATCATGCTAAAAACCTCCAACAAACTGGGCATTGAGGAAACGTACTTCAAAATAATAAGAGCCATCTATGAAAAACCCACAGCCAACATCATACTAAATGGGAAAAAGCTGGAAGCATTCCTCTTGAAAATGAGAAAAAGACAAGGATGCCTTATCACCACTCCTACTCGACATAGTACTGGATTAGCCCGAGCAATGAGGAAAGAGAAAGAAAGAAAAGGCATCCAAATTAGGAAGAGAGGAAGTCAAACTATCCCTGTTTACAGACTATATAATTCTATACCTAGAAAACCCCATAGACTGTGTGCAAAAGCTCTTTGATCTGATAAACAACTTCAGCAAAATTTCAGGATACAAAAACAATGCGCAAAAATCAGTGGCATTTCCATACACCAACAACATTCAAGCTGAGAGCCACATCAAGAATGCAATCTCATTCACAACTGCCACAAAAAGAATAAAATAGCTAGGAATACAGCTAACTAGGGAGGCAAAAAGATCTTTACAATCAGAATTACAAAACACTTCTCAAAGAAATCAGAGATGACACAAACAAATGGAAAAAACATACTCTGCTCATGGATAGGAAGAATCAATATTATTAAAATGGACATACTGCCCAAAGCCATTTACAGATTCAATTATATTCCTATCAAACTACAATTCTTCACAGAATTAGAAAAAAAAAACTATTTTAAATTTCACATGGAACCACAAAAGAGCCCAAATAGCCAAGGCAATGCTAAACAAAACAAAAAACAAAAAAGCCACAGAGCTGGAGGCATCACAGTTCCTAACTTCAAACTATACTATAAGGCTATAGAAACCAAAACAGCATGATAGTGGTACAAAAACAGACACAGAGACCAATAGAACAGAATAGAGAGCCCAGAAATAATGTTGCACACCAACAACCATCTGATCTTCAACAAAGTTGACAAAAACAAGCAATGGAGAAGGCTTTGTATTCAATAAATGGTGCTGTTATAACTGGCTAGCCATATGCAGAAGATTGCAACTGAACCCCTTCCTTACACCACACACAAAAATCAACTCAAGATGGACTAAATACTTAGATATAAACCCTAAAATTTTAAAAACCCTGAAAGATGATCTAGGAAATAACATTCTAGACATAGGTTCAGCAAAGACTTCATAATAAAGATATCAAAAGCAATTGCAACAAAACCAAAACCTAACAAATGGGACCTAATTAACTTAAAAAACTTCAGCACAGCAAAAGAAACTATCAACACAGTAAACAAACAACTTACAGAATCAGAGAAAATATTGGCAATATTTTGATTTTGCAAATAATAAATCAATATTTAATATTTGACTTAATGCAATCAATTATATTCAAGAAACAATTTTTTTTATTTTTTTTGAGACAGTCTTACTCTGTCGCCCAGGCTGGAATGCAGTGGCACGATCTTGGCTAACTGCAACCTCCGCCTCCCAGGTTCAGGTGATTCTTCCTCCTCAGTCTCCCGAGTAGCTGGGATTACAAGCGCCCACCACCACGCCGGCTAATTTTTCTATTTTTAGTAGAGATGGGGTTTTGTCATGTTGGCCAGGCTGTTCTCAAACTCCTGGGCTCAAGTGATCCACCCACCTCTCCTCTCAAAGTGCTGGGATTACAGGATTACGCATCCGGCCCCAACAAACAATTTTCAGGTGTCTGCAATTGTCACGATTCTATGCTGGACACCAAAATTGATAGGAGACAGGTGTTCTAGTATTTAGCCTAACAAGGGCAGGCAGTAGATTGTTCAACTTCCTTCAGATGTGTAAAAACAGATTACATTTTTGGGAACAAGAAAAAATAAAATAAGCTAATTTCACTGGGATTAGGAATAAGGCTATAGTCGGCTGTAAGGATGTAAAAACATATGTACAAGATTAAATACAAAAGTGAGGTAAAAATACAGAAAAAAGGAAAGACATCAAATATAAAGGAAAGACATCAAATAATAAGGAGAAAAAAATGAAAGCTGAAACAGAAAGGAAGGCAAAACTTGATTTCATGATGTCTCGGGTAGTAGTAGGCAAATCAAACTTCAGTTTTAGCTGTTTAGGAAAGAAAATAAGAAGGATTTTAAAAAAAACAGGAAAGAAGAAAAAGAAAAAAATGCTAAATATAGTTCCTAGGAAAACTGGGAATGCATTACTGACTTTAACCACATAACAGCAATTGTTTAACAAAGAAGGCTGTATCTTAAGCTTTGTATACCTAAAGATTTGCTTATTGGGTAGGTAATCAATTTCAAATGAAATAAGTACCTCCAGAGAATCTCTTAAGAACTATAGTTTTTCATTTTGTATCATATATTGTTCATTGCAGTAGGTCTGACAAACACTTTGAGCAGTCAATGCCAGGATTTTGTCATTATATAAATTCATGACTCTAGTATTGTCAGACTTTTTTTGTGATACACTTCAGTGTTGTCCCAAATCCCATGATCATTTAGTTTTTGATAACAAATATAAAGTTGGGTATTTTCAATAGCATACTGAGTAAATTTTTAAAATTTGAACACATTTAACTTGAACCAGTTCTTCTTTGGGTTTGCCAATTAGTCTGCATTTGAGGAACGCAGCAAGTTGTTGGCAGATTAAAGCAGAGATGAGGGTCAGATGAGTAGGACACATCGATTGTCATGTCTCATTAGTAACTTCTAAATTGACAGTTTCCTTTCATATCGCAGTGATAGAAGTACAAAGCATTATTTACCATTTATTTTATGTTGTTGGTACACATGCACTGTCGTTGTATTAGATTTTTAAACTGAACATTATTTGGTAAAATTTTTAGACACCTCAAAAAACTAGTAATAAGTCAGTAGCCAGTGTTATTTATTTACCAGGACATCACTGTTACTATCGCTTGTCGCCTTGATTGCAGTGTTCCACCAACACTGGTTTTGTCTGACCTTCCACATGTAGGCTTACTCCCTCACTTTAGCATCTCTGCCCTTTCTGTCCTCCTGTCTGGATGCTCCTTCTTTGGATCTTTACATGGCTGACATTTCCAGTCTCAGTCCAAAGGTCATTTTCCAGACCTTTCCCAGATTGGCTTCCATGACGATCTTAATCAAAAGACCACTATAGGTTATTCCAGTGTCTCTATAGCATCAATATTATCCCGGAAACCTAGAAAAGCACCTTTAAAGTCACCTGCTCTCCTGGCAGCTAGCTTGTATTTGGTTGAAAGCCATAGATAACCAAATAGTGAAGCATATATTTTTTCTCACAGACAAGAATCATGGGTTTGGACAGTTCAGGGCTAGTACAACAGCTCAGTGAGGACATTAGGCCTGTGTCCTTTCCTTCTTCCTACTCCACCATCCTTAGCACATGGCAGTTATCTTCGTGATCACAAAATGGGAGTTTTACCTCCAAGGCACTTCAAGGCATTATATCTGTCAAAAGAAAGGGGAAAGAGGAAGGGTGCAAAGATGAAAATGTTGAAGGCTTATGCCAGCAGTTTGTCCATTTCAAAGGCCTTCCTGGAAGCCATAACAAGTGACTTTACACTTAAAACAACTTGGCAAAATTGCAGTAGAGTCTGGAAAAAGAAGTGCATTCTCTTTTCAGTTTCTGTAGTAGAAGATGGCAAGCGATTAGAGGGTTGTGGATGGCTTTGGGATAGATAATTCATATTGTTAGCTTGAGTGCTCAACACATTTTGTGGAATTAGTGAACAGTAACTTTAAATGACCCAGCTGCATCATTATCCATGTTCCAGCTTTGGATGCGTCATAAGTCAAATTCCACAGTCTAAATGTCAATCGAGTTCATGAAAACTCATCATTAGAGAATGAAAAAATAATTGAACTCCTTTAGATCACTGTAAGCTCATCCCTTTTAAATTCTAATATTTTTAAGTTCCAATATTTTATTCTTGTTTTTGTTTTGTTTATAATGTTCCAGCTATTTTGAAGGAAGTCTTTTGACAATGTGGCACTTTACTATCAGGCAGTTGATGATGATGTGATCATCTTTCAATGATCCACTGTTATCACTATAAACACATTGGTAATACTATAATGTAATATGAGGCTTTCGGCAGTGTTATAACTGTTTACCCAAGCTCACAATGGTCCATGTTGCAGTATCTAAAAACTAAATTTGCCATATCTTTATTATTTTATTTTGAATCCCTTTTCTGTGGCAGGGTAGAGGAATAAACAAGAGCACAGGCACTGGAGTCAAACACAGCTGGTTTTGGATTCTGGCCTCTCCATTTGTTAGGTGTATAGCTTTGGGCCAGATGACTCATCTTTCTGAGCCTTAGTTGTTTTTATTTTTCTTTAACTGTGCAGTATAAATAATAGTAATCTCTTGATATAATAGTAAGGATTTTACATGGTGATCTAAGTAAGACAAGTAAGCTCTGACTAAATGATGGCCATTAACTCATTTTGTTCTGGACCATGTATTAAACTCAGTGATCTGTAGAGTGCATTTGTGAACCACTTCCTGCATCAGAATCATCTGAGATGAGTACTAAAAAACAGATTTTAAGGCTCCACCTCTCCCTCTCTTTTTTTAATCTCAATTTTTAATATCCCCTTATCTGTAGTTTTGCTTTCTGTGGTTTCACTTTCCAAAATTTCAGTTACCCTCAGTCAATCGCAATCCAAAATTATTAAATCGAAAATTCTAGAAATAAGCAATGCATAAATTTTAAATTGTGCACCATTCTGAGAAGTGTGATGAAAGTGTGAGGGAGTGTGAGGGAGAGCAAAGGGGCAAGTGTAATATGCAAGTATTTGCCTCATGCATTGGGAGAGTGGTATTCATCAGAGGTGGCAGACAATAGGAGGAGTAGGTTCTAGGAAAATAATCCTTCTTGCTTTCCTTGTGCTTACCTGGCAGCCTCCCCAGTTCTTATCTAATATTCCTCTTGATCTGAGTTATACCAGTAAACGCAAACTTCTCTGTTACTAATCAAATGTGATAGAAGAGTTTCATAAAACAAGCATCAGGAGGTTCTGAACAAGAACCTAAGGGAACTGTTATAAATAAACTACACACACTTTATTCCAATGGATTTAAGAATAAAAGTATGTTGCTGACTCGAAGCCTTCTTTTGCTTCCTTCTGGAACCTAGCCTTGCAGGTTTCTGATATTCTTATAGAACTTAAGGGAATCAGAATTCTGTTTAAAACTCCAGCCTCATATCCATTTATCACTCCCACCTATTTGTTTCCAAAACGGCTAGGCCTGGCTGGAGGAACTTGATCTCTCCCACTTCTGGTTTTCAGACTTCCATTGGCTTTTACCACCTGCTGTGTATCCCTGACATTATACTGCAAGACTTCCTTGGAGGGGTACCCACTAGATGGCTTAAGGGGTACCTCAAGATGGTTTAGGCTCCATTGGGCACTGCTTTTTAGCTGTCTCCCTCTGCTCAGACAGAGAGGGCAAGCGGGTCACCAAGTTCATTGCCTATGCCACGAGGAAAGAGATGCTAGCCTCCCTTCTTTCAGGCATGCCCACTAGCTACAATTGTTTCTGTCAGAGCCTTCCTTACTTAGTTGTTGGAAGAGAAGCAAAAGACCTAGTACTGTGTCAAATTAATGATTTAACAATTCTTGAATTTTCTCTTATCTCCCAATGATCTTTTATGAGGACTGGGAAAGGCCTGTGGTGTAATAGAAAAGGGTTGGCTCAGCTTTTATAAGTCTTAATGGAGACGTGTCTGGTTTCCTTGATGGCTCTTTTTTGAACAATATTTTTCTCAGCTTTTGATGGTCTTAGAAATCATATGGAAGCTAAAAAACAAAAATTAAAAAAACAACAACTTGTTTAGTAGATTCCACTCCTAGAGATTTTGGTTTAATT
Organism: Homo sapiens; assembly: GCF_000001405.40. Lineage (NCBI taxonomy): Eukaryota > Metazoa > Chordata > Mammalia > Primates > Hominidae > Homo > Homo sapiens. The sequence goes on along the minus strand of NC_000012.12, from coordinate 80,893,339 downwards.
GGTCTGTGGTAGTAGGTCAGGTTGAAAAATTTCACGGGTGATTCCAATGAGCAGCCTTTGCTAACGACCGCCTTAGCACTAATTGCTGTCATCTGTGGGCTTTTATGAATCATTCTGAAACTCCTCAAAGAATCCCATTCAGCACCATGTTACACACTGTATTAAAGAATAATAGAGAGTACAAGGGTTTCTGGAATTCTGGAATGAAAGAAACCTAAAAAAATCATTTCATTCACTTTTCTCTCTCTGGGGTCTGTAAACTAACAATCACTAAGAATCACTTTGAACTTGTGCTTAAAAGGCATATTCCGGGGTCTTATCCTCACACCTTCTGAATCAACATCTCTCAAATGGGGTAAGGATTAGGCATCTGCATTTCAATAAGCTTTTCTGGGTGATTCTTAAACACATTCGTGTTTAGAACCAATAATATGTAGCAGAGGTTCTCAACCCTGGCTGCATATTAGAATCACACAGGGGATTTAAAATTACCCATGCAAACTAGAGCAGTGGTCTCAACCTTGGCTGCACTTTAGCATCGCCTGAAGGGCTTTAAAAAGCCCCATGCCCAGCCCCCCACTCTGTGCCAATCACATCAGAAATTCTCCAGGTGGGACCGACCTAGGCATTTGTGTTTTTTTAAAGCCTCTCTGGTTGATTTTAATGTGCAGTTAAGGTTGAAAACCACTGTTCTGGAGATTCTGGTTTAATTTGTTTGTCATAGGTCTCAGGCATTAATAACTTCTAAATGCACCCTAGATAATTTCAATGCACAGCCCAGGTTGAGAACTACTAAAAATATTCAGGATAGTATCATTTTCAATTTTGCTGGACTTCACCCAGTGTAGTCTCTAATTCTCTTCAGCCTGCAGATTTAGGCTTGCCTTTTTCTCCTAGTCCAGATCCAAGCAAGGCTTAACCAAGGCTGATAATAATCTGGAGTTCTAGATTCATGAGAAGTTACAGGTTCACACAGACATAGACCTCTAACACCTGCCTTCCTGAGCCAGTCTCATCAATTAATCCCTCATTCATTCAACGAATATGCATTGAACACTTGATATTTGTTAGGTATTCTGCATTTTAGGAACATGGGATGATATGTGCCAAGACACAGGGATGTGGAATTCTGTGGATGCAATGAATGAGATATTTTGTTTCTGACATCTGAAGAATTGTATACATTCACAGAGATAAAGGAGGGAGATGTACGTGCAAACAGAGGGTAGTAATTATTATAATAGATGAGTGAACAAAGAACTATGGAAATGCAGACATGATAGCAACTGAAGCTGCTTCAGAGAGTCAGGGAAGACATTGTTGAGGAGATGGTTTTTAAGCCAAGTCTGCCCTTATATGGCCTTAAACACCCACCATGATGTGATTTCTGTCTACCTCATCTCTTGCCACTCATCTCTTGCTACTCTCACCCTGTTTTCAGCTTCAGCTATAATAAACGCCTTTTATTTCTTTGAATATCCCACACTCTCTTAACAAGCCTTTGATCTGCATTTATTCCCTTTGTCTTGAACATTCTTCCCTCCTTCTCCACTTACACCTCCTACCTAGGACTCTGCTTAGCAGTTATTTCCACAAATAGATCCTCCCTGACTTCTTTGATGATGATAAATGTCTTTGTTATACATCCATGGACAATCCTGTAGTGCTTCATTTATAGAACACACCCACTTTATTGCATGTCTGTGACCCCTGCCCCTCAAGCCTGTGAGTTCCGTGAAAGCAAGAGAAAGGGGCTATCTCCTTCACCACTGTCTCCTGTGCACAGCCCAGGGCTAGCACTACTGCATAAATGAATGAATTGCATTTCAGGAACAGGTGATGACATGTGCCAAAACATAGGTGTGGAATTCTGTGGCATGTCTTAGAAATAGCAAAAATTTGGGATGGCCCCACTATAGGATGGACAGGAGGAGGTGTTCTGAGATGAGCGAGAAGAAGTCGGCCGTTAAGGGCCTTATATGTAACCCTAAGTGCTCTGAACTTTACTCTGTAGGGAATGGGAAGCCAGGGAAGGTTTGATGTGCAGGAGAATAATAATTAGGTTTACCACTCAGGATAATTACTATGGAAGCAATGTGGCAGATGGACTGAAAAAAGAAGACTAATTTAAAGGAGATCAGTTAGGAGATGTTCCAGTACTGCAAGTGAGAAATGATGAAGACTTCCATGAGAGTGATAGGGCTCTTTACAAAAGGCAATTCCAAGATAGAATCTACCGCACTTGCCGACTATCTGTATGCAAGGGGAGTGTGAAAAACACCATAGTTTTGCTTGAGAGGATGGCTTGTTTGGGGGGAGAAATTTTTAGAAATATGGAACAAAGGAAAAGAAGAGCGAGTTTTAGGGGGAAAAAAAATGAGCTCTGAGAGTTCCATGCATCCATGGGCATCTAGGTAGAATTTTTGTCTCTGTTGTTGTTTTAGAGATAGGGTCTCACTCTGTCTCCTAGGCTGGAGTCCAGTAGTGCAATCATGGCTTACTGCAGCCTAGGTAGAGTATCTTTTGCAGTTAGAAATGCATAAAATCTCAGCTTGGTACCTTATTGATTACGGAAGTGTCTGGTTTTGTCCAGTTGACTATGTAGACTTCCTGTTTATGTACTAAAAGACAGACTTTGGAAACTGGCAGTGTCACATTGATTTAATGATTTGTGCTACTTTGGCCCACGATTGGCAGTCAAAATGACTACTTCAAAGACAGTCCCCATCAAAGTCACTTTTTGTTATTTTATTCAGTTAGATACTTACACCTATGCTAACCCCACCCAGATTCTGAGGTGCTAACAATTTTATTGAAGGTGGCTGTGCTATTATATTTCTTTCTCATTAGATTGCGAGCTTTGAAAGGGAGTATCATACTCTTGTTAAGCTGGCACCAAGCATTAATAACAGAAACTCAAAATACTGGATGGATGAGTGAATGGATAAATTTATAAGCTGATGGCAGGGATGTGGGATGCTTTCTGGAGCTAGGCACTTAGGAATCGAAAACCTCATGTCCTATAACATAAATGCCTAAGTGGCTTTTCAGTGAGTTATTTACTGTAGTGACAAGGGTAGAAGAGATCACCCATAAGTATTTTTAAATGACTCTTTATTGAATTATTTTCTCTTGGCAATATGAAATAATCCAGGGAATTTTAAATTTTATGTCTATAAAAGACTACATGTTTCTTGATACATTAACCTTTGATATTGTTAAGTGAAAGAGAAGCATTTAAAATAATTGTTATTGAAAACTCTTGCTTAGTACTGTTCTAAAGGCTGGTAGATGGGCACATGATCAGAATTTATTTTAGGAAAATAACTTTGTGGACCATTTGAAGAGGCTGGAGGAGAAGAAACAATTCCAATTGGACAGAGGGGAGATGACGAGGGCCTGAAATAATGCAATGGCAGTGAAATGGAAAAAGTGCATTAATTTTAATCACTACAATATACCATACCCTGAGGATACAATGGTAACCAAACCAGAGAAGTTCCCACCCTCAAGAAGTTTATAGGCAAACTGCGGAGATACACAGCAATCCATTAATCATAGTAATACATGTAACGTTGTAGCTATGACAAACTGAAATGGGAAAGGAAAAGTTGAACTGAAAGGAAGCACCTCAGAGGCAAAATTGATGAATTAGTTTCGTTATTGGAGTATCAGAATAAATAATAGACATGTGTCCAACTCTTTACTGACATAATATTCAAATTCATTTGTATGACACAAATTACATGAAATCCCATCAAAGAAAATGTATGAAGTGACAGATGTGTGGAACAAATTAAAATGACTTTTTACCAAAAGATGAGACCAAAAAGCTATGAATATAAGTTCTGATTATGCAATTTAAGTCCACTTGCTTTTCAATGTCATCATCCAACTGGAATAATAGTACTTTCAGCTGATGAGATACAATTTATTCTAGGTTTCTCTATTTTCATTTTTTTTCATTCAGATGTTGCAAGAGCAATTGAATTACTGGAAAAACTACAGGAATCTGGAGAAGTACCAGTGCACAAGCTACAATCCCTCAAAAAAGTGCTTCAGAGTGAGTTTTGTACAGCTATTCGAGAGGTATGGCACTAAAATTTTAATAACTAAATTCAGCCATATGTCTTCTTCATAGAAAACATGTCTTCTCTACACAAACAGTTGAAATTGTTAAGATTGGAACTACATTTTAATTTTCTGTTTTTAGCTACTTGGACAGATGATAAAATATAATTTAGCCTGCTAAATTAGATCCAGCCAGGATTTATACATTCATATAAAACCAAATGTTGATCTTCTGGTACCAATGAAGGGACTGCCTAGCAGGTGACTGTTGCATGTAGTCTATGCTATTTAGTGGTCACATGAAGCCACCTAGAAATTCAGGTAGAAATAGTTATCATTAATGGGGGCTGAGTTTGTCTAAAAAGAACATCTAACTAATTCTCTCCCAGGTAAATCTGAAGTAGTAACCTCCTACTGACTAAACATTACTGTCTAAGGCAATGGAAAATATACAGATAGGCTGGTATGCCTTTCTAGCAAATCTACATTGTAATCCTTTCTTGACTAATGGTTTCAAGAAGACTAAGGTGAAACAAGTATGTTGAAATGACTATTTGAATTTTGTATTGACTTGTGGTGGGATGGACCATTCAACTAATGAATTTAATTGGTTACAAAAGAAGCCACTTGAGATCTACAAGCTATATTGTTTTACTTGGTAACCCATTACTCCTTCCCCGTCAGGAACCAGGTAATAATTCATTAGTTAGAACCTAAAGTCCATAAATCCATTTACCCTGCCAAAATCCTCAGTGATGAATTACCTCCTGTTATTCCCTCCAAAGTCAGTTGAAACCAATGGCTACCTACAGAGTTTATTGTAGCGTAGAGCAGGCACCTCCAATGAATGCTTGTGTTACTCCACCTTTCTCTTTACAACTCTTCTTGTGGCTAATGTATATTCTTTTGCCTCAACAATACTAGTTTAGTCGCTAGGCAGGAAAGACCAAGATAAAGACATACAAAACTTCTCACTACAGATTTAAACTGGTGCCTATGCAATACATGTAAAATTTGACCTTTGCTGGAATGTGTTGACTTATGCTGTGCTTGTGCTAAATATTTATCAGGTGAAGTGTTCACTATTTAATTTTTGTTAATATTGCACACAACCTAAGTACATAACCATAATAACGTCTCTAAGTTTTAACCTATGAATTTGATTGAAGGCTGTAAGGAAATTTCTCAGCATACGGATTCTTTGGCATTAGCTTCCCCTCAGTGGGAAAGGTATAAAATATCTCAAAACTGCATGAGCGTCCTCTTGATTATGGTTGTCACTCCTGTGCTCACTCTGTAGACCAAGGCCAAATTTCGCATACTCTGTTTTCTTCCTTCACAGAGTGCCATTCCCCCGAAATTTGATGACCAATTTTTTTTCCTTTTTAGAGATTCTACCATCTCTTCTATGCCTTAGAATTCTGCTTTCCACAGAAGTAACCACAGGATAGGATACATCAAATATATACCTCTGCTCATTGAGTATGTGGCTTATGATGAATTCAAAGTCTCTACCACCATGGAACTCACAGTCTAGTGGGAGAAAACTATGATAAATAAATATACAATACAATATCAGAGTGACAAGACTGGAGAGAAATAAAGCAGGATTAGAGGGGTCATGTTGAAGCTCTATTATTTAATATGATCAGCAATAAAAGCTAATTAAGTAATGGAACAGTCACAGAAATATCAGGGGTCATAGTGTTCCAGGCAGAAGAAATCACAAGTGCAAAAACCGAAAGCTAATGTGTGTGCAGTAGAATAAGCAAGGTAGGCTCCATAGAGGTAGCTGGAGAGCAGAACACATAGGCCTGGCAGGCCATGTAGTAAGAACATTGGATTTCCTTCTAAGCATGGTAGGAAGCCTCTGGAGAGTTCTGACCTGATTTTATTTTCTTTTGAAAATGTGTGTTTGGATGCTGTGATGAGACTACAAGTGTGAGTACAAAAGTAGAAACAAAGAGAGACTAGTGAAAAAGTAGTGAGTAGATTGAGTGACAGATAAGATGATAGCAACTTGGACAAAGGTGGCAGCACTGTGAAATGGGAAGCTGTCTGATTCCAGATATATATTTTTGAGAGCAAAATCAACAGAAATTATTAATGAACTAGATGGTGATATGGGATGTCAAAGAAAGAAGACTCTATTGAATCTTAGGTTTGGGCTTGAACAATTGAATGAATGATGTTATAATAAGGTGGACTAGTTTTGCAGAAGACTATCCAGGAGCTCTGTTACGGACATAGTAAGTTGATGATGCTTTTGAGATATCCAAGCAGAGATGTCTAACAGGCATCTAAGTCTGAAGGCTGGGGGAGAAGTTGGGTCTGGAAATGTAAATGTGTTATGGATATCTGTTCAAATAAACACACCAGCCTTTTTTATTTTAGAATTTGCTAAGGAAAATGAGAATGAAATTAAAATGGAAAATAAATATGAGGGCTTTGTATAGGCATTATAAATACATCTAACAAACTCTTCCTATGGTAAAGTGGGTATGTGTGTCATTGGTAGTCCATAGAAGTCTATAACTGATCCATAGACAGTTTGACATTTTCACAGGGAAAGCAGATGATGTAATTTATCTACCTTACATTTTTATAAATTTGAACTAGTAAGATTAATTTTATATTCACAGTAAAGTCCTTAGTAATAATTTTGTTCTTAAAGGCAATGCACGTTATACAGGAAGTGTAAAAGATTACTTCATCTTGGCTAACATTTTATGCCATTCATATGTTATGGTTTATATTTGCTAAGTTTGGAATTTCTTTATTATTCTTATTGTGTTGATTTACATTTACTGTGGGAAATAATAATAGTAGCAATATATAAACAACAATTCTGAATAATATTATGAATCTTTCTAGTGAAAAGGTCTTCAATTAAAATATAAAATATGAATGCATGTTGCCAGGCAGGTGAAACCAAATGCCAGTAAAGAAAATTGCAGCTATAAAGTATGATAATAAATGTCTCGAAGTTGCATTATAGTGAGCCTAGAATACTTCCTCTTCTGGTGTCTTGGGTACTGATTGTAATACTGGCAAAAAAAAAAAACTTTGAAGTTTTAGTTTTTTATTCAAATAATGCTCAGAATCTTTGTGGTTATCTGAGTTTTTCAGAAATATTTGCTAGTTAATACTTTTCCTTGTGAAAGTTATTAATGTTGTCATGCAAAACAGAGAAAAGAACAAAAATGACAGTGGCATCATTCTTAGTTGCACTCACCAGAACAAAAACAGACATAGGTCACACTTTTGCCAACAAGATTGTAAAACATAAATTATGCTCAAAAAAGAAAGCAGGACAAGCTTTTGCCAAAAATATTTTTATTGCCTTACATAAGTGTAACAGTAGTTATTATTATATGTTGAAATAATTCCATATTTTGCTTTACATTTGGATGAAACCACTGAATCAGCTCCTGGCATATGTGCAGCACCTGTATGAAGAGAATAGTTTGATAAAATTTTATTTTTTTAACTAGAAATAGATGGCCTTAAAAGAGATTTGAAGCTCCCTTAACTATTTTTTTCTATAACCTGTAAGAAAGCATGAAAATATATGCTGAGATCAGTACTGAATGAAGACCATCTACATACACAACTAAGAAAGGCATTCCTCTATCAAGAAATAACTTACACTTGAATGCAAATCCTCACACATCTTCATTCACAGAATACAGATAGTGGTAAGCAACACTTTTCTTAGTCATGTTTTATTGCTGAAGGATCTCTAAAGACCCCTGATCAATATTTAAATTGCATCTAATCAGTGCAAGTGATTTTAAAGAACATGGCAGAGAAATGGGCTGACACATGATACTACTTTTCTATAATGAGATGTGCTGGCTGATAAGAGCACATTTACACAAGTTTTTGAATGAGAGATGAAATAAATATTTTATGGTACCGATATTCTCAGTAAAGATCATTTCCCTGATTTCAAGTGACTTCAAGCTTTAGCTTCATGCTGTATTAATTAGCTAGATTAGCCTAAACTTATTAATAGAGTTGAAATATGATGATTATGAAATGTTGATTTTTTAATAAGAGAATTCCCGAAGACAACTGAATTGCAGTGCAAATAGCTCAATTGTCAAGAATTAGACTTTGCCCCAAAACTTCATGTTCTTTGCACCTCAGAGAAAGAAATCAATAAATGTATAAGTGATCATATTTTAAGGAGACATCTAATACAAACAATACAAAGAATACAGAGTACAAAGGAATTCTTGTGGCAACCAAAGTAATAAAAAAATTAAAAATCTATGTACTATCATCATCTTCCAAGTTGTAAAATATTCATGCTCCTGCTTTTCAGGATGATGTGCTCATTGACCTGGAGGATGATGTGCTGCTAACAGTGGTCTGTTGTAAGGACTTACTCTCACATTTATAACTGCTATTTGCAGGTTTGAAGCAAAAACGCAGAACACAATGTCATAATCACCAAGAACTGCCTTCTTTGGCTAATCACCAAATTGAATGTTAGTATTTTCTAAAGTAGTAGAAGTATAGAATAAGAAAATAAATCAACCCTATATGGAATGACTGTCATTTTGTGATAATAGGATTTCAAAACTGGGTCAGTTCTCTACTTCTTTGTGCATGCTACAGTTGAATTTCTCCGTCCTATCTAAAGCTATCTATGGTTATGATAACTGCTTTAGCCAATCACATGTGAGTGGAAGAAGCTATATGTTCCACTTCTTCATGGGAGCCTATGAATAAGTAAATGATTTGCCATGTTCTCTTCCTTTTGCTAGACGACTAGTAATGTTTTATATGATAAATTATCAATCAGTCTGGTTTAAGAACGAGAAAATAAAAAATAGAGACTCTAGATAACCTTTTATGAACATGTAGTCTGAGCAAGAAATAAATCTTTGTTACTCTAAATCTCCAAGACTTAGAGATTATTGTACATCAGCATTACCCAGGCTCTCCTGACACACATTGATACACAATGATCAAACCAAATCTACTTTGGCAAAAGGTTATAAGCAGTATCAATCCTTTAATTGCTGTAAAACAAAATGTTTTAAAACTATGTTGTATAAACTGTGATACATCTTTGAAAACTTATATGAAATTTGTAACCAATATAAGTACCTATAGCCATTAGACGGTTCACAATTTTTAAAATTTTGAGAAACTTAGGTCACAAATTTTATTTGCTTCTTGATTATCTCTCATTTTCTCCTACTTTCATTATTATCTTTATAAAGAGATTTTTTTGTCTTATGAACTTAAAGATATAATCAAGATAGGAGAACTATTTGGAGTTTATCCGTCTACTGTTCAAGTGCTCCTGGTCCCCAGTGAGAATTATTTTTTGAAGGGAATGGGAATTTTCACCACAATGCCTCCCAAGAGGGCTATGTGGGAAAGGTCACCGTGAGACATTCTGTCAGATCAGAGACAGAAGCTAAGTTCATAGAGTAGTGTTGTGGTCAAATTGACCAAAGTTTGAATCCCAACTTGGCTACCTATTTTTCCCTTCTCTAAAATTGTATTTTTTAGTTTAAAATAATGGACTAATACCACCAGTCTTGCACTGATCCTGCTAATTAAATATCATGTATGTGCAGCTACCTAGTACAGTGTGTGGTAGCCAATAATTACACAATCAATGGATTTTATCATTATTAAAGAGTAGGATCCCACAGTATCCCTAAGTATGGTGTTTTGATAGGTTAGGGAATGAATAACAGATAGGAAGAGACATGGTGGTTTCCATAAGCTGAATCGAAGAAAACACACAAGACTGGTATATTTATATTCATTATCCCACCATCAATAATTAAAATAAATTGAGCTATTGCACCCTAATTTCACAACCATATGAGAAGTAGCATTACGACACAAGTTTTTGTTCTTGATGCTTTTCAAATTAATGCCTATTAATGTCTTAATCTACTGTGTGGATGAAAACATAGAAGGAAAACTTAATCAGCTTTATGAGAGAGTCAATGCTTGGTTGGGTGATACAACTTAGATTCAGAATTACCCTAAGAAAATACATACTTGGCTCATTAGTGACAATATGAGATAAAATAAGGATAATAGGAGAAAGAGGAATTGGAGGAAGAAAGAATGGGAGCGAGTGAAGGATGAGAAGGAGAGAGGTAGGGAAGAAAAACAGAAGAAGGAAAAAGAAGAGAAAAACAGAAAGAGAGAGAAGAAAGAAGGAAAGAAGGAAGGAGGGAGGGAGGGAAGTAAAGCTGATACTGAATCATAGCTTATTGTAATATAATGGAAAAGTGCAGAAAGAATATTGGCAATGGATGGTGACAAATCTGGATTCACATCCTTGCTTGACCACATCATTTTGTAATCTAGTGCCAAGTTACTTAATTTCTGTGATCTTGGTTTTGCTTATTCTCTTTTTTAAGATAAAATAAGACAATAATAACTACATAGGATTGTCAGAAAGATTAAATAAAATGAGATAGCAGATTACATACCTTGACTAATACAGTGCCTAGCTTAAAGAGTTGACGATTAAGAAATTGTAGCTATTGTAAAAATTTTGATGGATTAAGTGATAAAAAGCTAAAATTAGAAATAATAGTTAAGAATCACCATTGTCATTGACTATTATTCTGAATGGCCTAGCTACTAAAATAAGTCAAGAAAAACATAAAATAGGTGTAAGTATTAGAATGAAAGAAAAGGCCGGGCGCGGTGGCTCACGCCTGTAATCCCAGCACTTTGGGAGGCCGAGGCGGGCGGATCACGAGGTCAGGAGATCGAGACCATCCCGGCTAAAACGGTGAAACCCCGTCTCTACTAAAAATACAAAAAATTAGCCGGGCGTAGTGGCGGGCGCCTGTAGTCCCAGCTACTTGGGAGGCTGAGGCAGGAGAATGGCGTGAACCCGGGAGGCGGAGCTTGCAGTGAGCCGAGATCCCGCCACTGCACTCCAGCCTGGGCGACAGAGCGAGACTCCGTCTCAAAAAAAAAAAAAAAGAATGAAAGAAAAATGATAGTACTGTTATTACTCACAGATGATATGATCGTATATGTAAAAATCCAAAAGAATATTTAGAGAAACCATTAGCATTGCATTTCTTTATATAATTTCACTCCTATATATTCAATAAAATATGTACCTATGTATGTAGTTCTTGATCATTCAAAAAATGCAATATTTTTAAATGGATGGCTCCAAATTTTCAGATAGATGTTAACACATTGTAGTGGTTGTAGAAAAAGGCAACCAGCATAGAAAGAGATCTGGATACCTTGTTAGATGACAAGAAGTTAAGAACTTGGTGATATTCAGCCACATAAAGAGAAAAGTAATGTGTAACATAAGATTTACCACCCAATAGTTGATGGGATAAATGGCAAGAGAATTAACCATGCCAGAACACTGGATGAAAAATGGAAGAATAACCAAGGATAACCAGATAACCAAGGATAACTAGAAATACCCAACTATTACAAATGGGCTCATTTGTAATACAGGAAACTTCCTATATAACAACAGCAGAGATTAGATGCTGTATTTCAGATCACGTTATAAAAGGGATATTTTAGTTAAAGATCATATACAGACTTTATGTTGTAGGTTAAGTAAGAGCAAACATATATATATGTGTGTGTACATATATATATATATATAACTTAGCTTTATTTTGTTTTCTTTGCTTTTTGTGCAAAAAATTGTTCATGGTAAAATATTTTTTTAATGTATTTAATGTTTTAATATTTTTATTGTTTTAAAATATTTTAATGTTTTCCTTTAAACATGGACAGAGTAGCATGTATTTTTTCACACAAAGTTACTATCCTTGCACAATGACATCTGGAATGGCATTGCATTCATCAGAATTAATGAAAATGCATCTGACATTATGTTTGTGCATATCTCTTTCTGTTCACATTAAACTTAGCTTAAGTTGGCAAATGTCAGAGAAAAGAAAGCTGATGGCTCCTACATTTCCTTTGATTTTATTTGCATTGCTAAATGTGATGGGACACAAAAGCCAGACTGTTTCTTGTGTGATAAGTTTCCTGCCAATGATAGGATGAAGTCAAGAAAGCTTATTTCTGAGCATCCTGAAAATAAATCACACAATATAGATTTTTTTCCCCTGGAGAAGAAGTTCAATTTTAAAAGGATGGAAATTTACCAAAACTTATATTTGCACTAACATGAAACTTTTGACATGTTTCCAATCAAAAGAAACCATAAATAACTGGAGAAAGCTTTATCATTTCAAGTACTCTAGAAATGCTTGAGCTGGTTGGTTGATTAGAATAAAAAAAATTAATAGCACCTCTGTTCACTTGATAGAACCTACTCTTGAACTCTGGTATTTTGCCAATATTTCAAAGCCAGTTATAGTGAAAATAACAGCTGTGGCATTCCCATTTGGCATGCAACTGAGTGAAAACTATGATTGTTTCAGTAAAACTCTGATTTTTATCTCTCACCTGAATGTCGATGTGTGTGTGTGTGTCTGTGTGTGTGTATGTGTGTGTGTGTGTGTGTGTGTGCGTTGCCTCCTCCCAACAGAGTTTATCAAGCAAAACTCCTAATGGAACAAAAATCTTGATACTGCAAGTACATATGGAGTACATATGGAGTTTCTTTATGCAAGATCCAGCGTAATTAATCTGGTGAAGACAGAGGTTCCACTTTTCATAGAGACATATTGCCCTCACCATCAGCATGCATTCGTGTGAAAGACACTGATAATTATTCTAAAAAGATGCTTTGCCTGCTCTGTTAAAATAATTTCACAGACATAGCCAGAAATCTAGAGTTTCAAAAGTTTTTATTTGGGAATGAAGCAAAATGTATTATTTTTACTATCAGAAGTTTTTTGGCTTTCCAATGAATAAGTGTTAATGCACTTGGCTGAACTTGGGTCAGAAATTTCATTTTATCTATTTTTTAAGTAAAAGAGAGCTGAATCTTAAAACAATTTGACAAGAGAGGTTTATTCATGGATGGACTTCTTTGTAGATGTTAGGTCAAAAAAAAATGAGGCTAGTCTTTCAATTTCAGATTTTCTGGTCTAGTAGGGTGGCTCTGGAAACAACTGTCATTTTGGAGGAAGAAATTACAGGTAAAATCTTGTGACCTTTCCATTGACATGAAAGTGCTGAAAGAAAGACTTTAGTGAGGGCAAGGGAGTTGAAAATGAGAAAGACATGTCAGTTTATCCATGGAGAAGATCTACAAACATCTGTAAAGACTACAAAACTCTTTTAAAGGTTATTTCTGCTTAGACTACATAAAATTGAAAGCATTCAAACATCTTCCCTTGCTGACTAAGGCTGCATTGTTGACACTAAGCTTTCCAAAAATAATTTCATTTGACTTGAGGACAAAGGGTTTCATAGAACCTGAATTCACCCTGAAGTAGCTTGGAGAAAGCTCAGGTGTCTTGATAAACGTCTGCTCTGCTCCGACTGATAGGGAATTTAATTCTGTTTGATACTGAAAGCTGTGTGAGCTGCAACTTTGAGCACATAGTGCTATTAAAACAGATGAAAAATTGTTTGGATACTAAAAATAACACCGATATTTTCCTATAAAGGAAGGCTCAGTCTAAATTTTAACTTCTTCCTTTTTTTTTTTTTTTTTTTTTTTTTTTGGGCTGCTCCATAGACACAGCAGGGCTATCCCATAGGCAAAGTGTTCCAGAGTAGCCTAAATTTTAACTTCTTACTAAGCCAAATAAAACAGCCTTCTCATTGAAAACTATTTTAAGCAGAATATATGTTTTCTTTTTTTATATGATTTGGTTAGTAATTTGCATTTATGTTTTATTTAGAAAGAGGTCATCAATTTTCACAAGAAAAATGAGTCACATAATTATTTGTAAAATGTGAAATAACTCAATGACAAATGCAAACAAATAAATAAATGATATGAACATTTACACACATGAGTGGATTTTTCTTGGGATAACTTCACAAACTTCATTAGATTTTCTAGTGTCCATGATATCTCCTCTCTATCCCACCCCCTCCTACCCCCAAATAAAGACTAATTAATAAGGTCTATAATATCAGTTGAGAAACACTGCTCCACTAGGTAGTCAGTCTCCTGTGATCCTTCCGGTTCTGTGAATCTATAGTTACATAGCAAGCAATCTATGTTTTTCTTCACATAGATTGCATCTACATGAAAGGCTGAGCATGTATGGATACTTGGAATATGTAACTGTGTGAGACTGTGTGAATGGGGTAAGAAAGACAAGTACTATGAAGATTTTTAAATTGATAAAAATAATACTACAGAATAAATGTACTTGTGAGAGGTGAAGCCAGCTGGACTTTTGGATCGTGTGGGGACTTGGAGAACTTTTCTGTCTTACAAGAGGATTGTAAAATGCACCAATCAGTGCTCTGTAGCTAGGATTGTAAAACACACCAATCAGTGCTGGGTGACTAGCTAGAGGTTTGTAAAATGCACCATTCAGCACTCTGTAAAAACTCACCAATCAGCTCTCTGTGGCTAGAGGTTTGTAAAATGGACCAATCCGTGCTCTGTAAAATGGACCAATCAGCACACTGTAAAATGGACCAATCAGCACTCTGTAAAATGGACCAATCAGCAGGACATGGGCGGGGACAAATAAGGGAATAAAAGCTGGCCACGTCCGCCAACAGCAGCAACCCGCTCAGATCTCTTTCCGTACTGTGGAAGTATTGTTCTTTCTCTCTTCAGAATAAATCTTGCTGCTGCTCACTCTTTGGGTCTGTGCCACCTTTAAGAGCTGTCACACTCACCGCAAAGGTCCATGGCTTCATTCTTGAAGTCAGCGAGACCACAAACCCACCAGCAGGAACAAACTCCAGACACACTTGTTTTATTCAATTTTCTGAGAATATAATTTATCATTTTATCAGAGGAATTACAAAAAGAGAATGACTACATCACCCATGGGGAACAGAATTTTAAAGTATAGTTATAGTTCTATTTCTGCAGCTTTCTCTGAGTAAAGACACATTTTTAATGATGTGTAGAGAGTGTTTGTAACATCAACTTGTCACTTTCTGGCAGCAAGTACAGGAACCATCTTAAACTATAATTGCACTAATGGGTCAGTGATCTTAAGGATATCTAAACAGACCCTTAAAAATCATCTATAATGACTCTGAAGGCTGTTAGTGTCATTATTGGGTAAATGCTCAGCCCAAGCCTTTCTATTTGCTATTACAAATGATAAAATAAACAGTGCGTATTTCCAGAAGCTTATAATTACATGTACTTACACAGTAGTTCAAAATAATAGAGTCCTTGGAGAAGTTGTATTTTGTATCAGTCAGATAGAGTGAACATTCTGTCTTCTGTTGAGATCACAGGACTGGAAATCAGAACTTCTATTTTTGGCACCACGGATGACAACTGTTTTTTTTTTTTTTCTTCCCAGTGCACAAGTCATTTAACCTTTTCTTGCTTGAATGTTGCCAACAAAAATGGAGAGAAAGAAGTTCATTTGTACAAGTCATCTAAAATGAATGTTAAGTTACAAATAGACATTTTTAAGCCAGTTTGCTGTTATTCCCTGGGGGTAATTTGCATGTAAAAAGAAATGAATTTAGTATCATTCATAATTCAAATATATGTAAGGCGATTACTAGCTTACTCTCTTCCTTTCTTCTTCCCTCTCTTCCTTCCTTTCTTCCTTTTTTTGTCTCATAGGGAAATATAGATTTAGGGCTGAAAACTGATCCCAGCTTTTTTCATTATTTCCTTGCTTTATTTGTATATAGTCTGATTGCAGTATTTTTTCCTAAAATATATTTATTTTAATTTTATTTGTTTAAAATGTTATAAAGAGATAACCATACTGTTGAAATATTTGGGGAATGTTCTCTTTCACTTACTATAATGCTGCTAAGATTCCATAATTTTTGCATTGTTGTGGTTCATTCGCTTTAGCTGCTGTGTAATATTCCTTTGTGTGAAGATATCACAGTTTATAAAATCACTGTCTCTTATAGATGGACATTTGAGTTATTTCCAGGTTATCACTATCTTGGTTGGTACTACTATTAACATACATGTGTCTCTGGTTAGATGACCAAGGCTTCTCTGGGGTATTTGTGTACATGTGGAATTTCTGGGTCATGAAGTATAAGAATATTTAACTTTTTTTTTTTTTTTTTGAGACAGAGTCTCTCTCTGTTGGCTAGGCTGGAGTGCAGTGGCATGATCTCGACTCACTGCAACCTCTGCCTCCTGGGCTCAAGTAATTCTCCTACCTTAGCCTCCCCAGTAGCTGGAATTACAGGCATGTGCCACCATGCCCAGCTAGTTTTTGTATTTTTAGTAGAGACGGGGTTTCATCATGTTGGCCAGGGTAGTCTCGAACTCCTGACCTCAGGTAATCCGCCCGCCTCGGCCTCCCAAAGTGCTGGGATTACAGGCATGAGCCACCGCGCCCGGCCAAGAATATTCAACTTTAAGAGACTATGTCAAACAGTTTTCAAACTTGATTAGTCCAATTTATACACTGTCAAACAATGTATAATTGTGGATCCATATTACCTCCAACACTTGTATATGAGACATTTAAATTTTCACCAATGGAATGTACAATGCAATGGGGTCTTATTGCAGTTATCATTGGTGTTTACTTGATCAGTCGATTGTTGAATATATCCTTTTGGCCATATGTGTTTCTTTTTCTGTGAAACATCCTTTCATGTGTTTTTCTACTAACTTGGGCTTTTACATATTCTTATGTAGTCTTATTAGTAGTTTTTTTGGGGTGGTTTATATAGTGAATATATTATCTTCCTTTGTAACTTGTCTTCAAGGTATCTTTCATGAATAAAATTCTCAATTTTAAATGCTCACATTGCTCTTGTTTAAAATATGCTTTTTGGGTATCTCACTTCAGAAATCTTTCCCTACCCCAGTGTCTGAAAGATATTTACCTTTATTGCGTACTGAAGTTTTCCTAGTCTGTCTCCTTACTATCCATCATAGTCTCCACATAGGAATCTGTTTCTAGGTTCTCATCCCTTCATTACTATTTAACTCATCTGTGAGAGCCAAGGGAATGAGTTTGGGGAACAGGGGTGGCACATAGTTTTGATCCTAGCTACTTGTGTTCCCAGCTTTTGTCTCAGTGGGAGATTTCAATTTGTTTCTGTCACTCTCTCTCTCTGTCTCTCTGTCTGTCTCTCTCTTTCTCTCTCTCTGTGTGTGTGTGTGTGTGTGTGTGTGTGTATAAAAATAATAAAACCAAGGAACTCACGGATAAATGTATAATGATGAGTATGTGCCATAAACTAAAGGTCATGTTGATTCCAATTCTGTTCTTTGCACATGAGATCCAAAGGGGGCAAAAATGTAATAGAATACAGCCTACTGCTCTCAAAACAGAACAGTTTCAAATCTATAATTTGTGGATCTCTATCTATCTTATTAAAGTTAATTAAAGATTTAAGTAATAGTCATCTACCTTATTAGACTGAAAGTAGAAAATGTCTATTATAATCATAACAGAAAATTAGTACCTAGCATGATATCAGCCAAATAATAAGCATTTAATAAATATTTGTTGGGTCCATGGAAGAATTCCTTAAGATGACTCATTTTTATTAGTAGGCAAACATATCTTTGATTTTCATAAATCTTGTATTATCAAATGGGACTCTGAGCTCATAGAAATCGCAGACAAAACATGCTAACATTTCTAGTTCAGAATAACATCTTACATTAAAATGGCTTCCACCCTTGAAAAGTGATCTGTAATTAGAGCCAAATTTTCAGGGTTCTTTATGTATTTGCATAAATATGTACGTTCTTATGAATGTGCAGATATGTAACACATGAGTTTCGTGTAGTAAGTGTATAAAAGTTGGTAATGTATACAGGGTTAAAAGGAACCATAGAAAGCACCTAGTGCTATGCTTTCTTTGCCTTTGGGAAATCATAAACTTCTTTGTGAATCAGGTAAAATTATGGGCTTTTTTTTCCAGAAAAAATGTACATGTGCAAATATTTTTATTAAAAATTCAGGGGGTTGGTAAATCTGAGACTGATCCATTTGGTACCTTCACCTACTGTAAACGTAATTTTATGGATGAGAAAATAAGATACAGAAAGTTTAAGTGGTCTTTCAACCTAGTTAGTGCCTGAGTTAGCACCAGAACCAAAGTATCCCAGGTCCCAGTCTAGTTCTAGTTTTACTTGTTATGGGTAATAGCTAAAACAGAACATTCTGGAATGTGGGAATAATGAAACAGTATTTTGTTTTTGTTTCGTTTGTTTGTTTTGAGACAGAATCTCGCTCTGTCACCCAGGATGGAGTGCAGTGGCGCCATCTCGGCTCACTGCAAGCTCTGCCTCCTGGGTTCATGCCATTCTCCTGCCTCAGCCTCCCGAGTACCTCAGCTCCCTCAGCCTCTGGGACTACAGGCGCCCGCCACAATGCCCGGCTAATTTTTTCTATTTTTTAGTAGAGACGGGGCTTCACCGTGTTAGCCAGGATGATCTCGATCTCCTGACCTCATGATCCGCCTGCCTCAGTCTCCCAAAGTGCTGGGATTACAGGCGTGAGCCACCGCGGCCAGCCGAAACATTATTTTAATGCTTGTCAGTAATGAGTTAAAATAGGAAAATTGCACCATGATTCCCATCTCCACAATACCTATTCATATATGTTCCATTTGTACCAACAACAATGATTTTTAAAATATATGCCTTTTTGTCCTTTCTTTGCCTCAGTTAACACAACACAATGTATTGTCTTATGGTATTCTATTTTCTCATATATTTGTTATTCAAGTTTTCAAGAAACAATGTAAAAAATTTAGTTACTAATCATTGTATAATTGGCATTATTTCATCAAAACAGTTATGACATTTTCAGAAAATTTCAGCCCTTTCTGGAATAATTTAGTATTTTTAAGTCCAAACTTTAGCAAATGTATTTCTGGATCTACCACAAATATGCATGTCTATTTAAATGTGCCCATAGTTCTTTTCTTAGTAAGTTAGCACTAAAGACAGAAAAACCATTTTCAACCAATAGCCACAGAGTTAGGAAGAAAGCCTATTTTCTTAAATAGAGAGAAAAGAAATCTGTGACATGTAATCTTGTTATCCCAAACTACCTTGTTTTTCCCATGGTTGACATGGGACCTGTTCACCATATAATAAGTGACTCCTAGGCTTTATTAAGCCCGATACTTGGAAACTTTTGAACTACATTTTCTATTTCCCAGATCAACAGTAGGACATCTCAGACGTATCCTACTGCCTAAAGTCCAGCCCAAGAGTACTTTGCTGCCTATTCCCTATTTGCTAGCACCTAGAAATGCAGCTACAGAACCCAGCCCTACCAGTTGTAGGGCAAAATAGCAGTAATTTAAGAGGCATCTTTCCCAGTGTTTCAGGGACTGTGAAAAAAAAAAAAAAGCAAACATAAAAATCAGATAAACAAGTAACCAACCAAACAATAAAAAAAATATAAGATACCATTTACCTTAGAATAGTCCAGGTGAGGGATTAGAGACCCCCCAGTAACATACGTCTTCCTCTTTTCAATCTTGCTACTGGAAACATGGGCCAGTGACCAGTGGCATTAATGACAGATAAATCATTGAGGTCTAGATAGCCAACAAAAGCATAACCTTGTTGACAATGCACAGGTGTACATTTTTCATGTTAAATGCAAAGATATCCCTCTCATTTAAAATCAGAATGTTTTATTTTTACTTTTTTTTTTTCTTTTTTTTTTTAGAGACAGGGTCTCGCTCTATTGCCCAGGCTGGAGTGCAGTGGTGTCATCATAACTCACTTCAGCCTCAAACTCCTGGGCTCAAGCAGTCCTCCTACCTCAGCCTCCTGAGTAGTTAGAACTACAGGCTTGTGCAACCATGCCCCACTTAATTTTTAAAAATTGTTTATGGAGACAAGGTCTTGATATGTTGCCCAGGCTGGTCTTGAACTCCTGGGCTCAAGTGACCCACCCGGCTCTACCTCCCAAAGTACTGGGATTACAGGTGTGAGCCACTGTGCTTGACCTGTTCCTCTGTTTTAAGGTCAGGAAAGGAGAGAGGGGATTAGCCTTTCTGGAACACCAAATAGATTAGGTTATTTTTCTTTCACTGATTTCCCTAACGATTGCTTCACACCTCTTCCTACACAATTTTCAGGTCTTACCAACCTGGGGCTCTCAACAGGCACAGCAGCCATAAAAAGAGAACAGTGCCACACACATCTTTCTAAAGAATACTCAGGGCTAACTGTTCTGAGGAATATAAGCCCATATGGAGACAATGTGGAGAAGTTTACTGGCAGTCAAGCAAAATTAAAGAATTCTACCTTACAGTGCAACTGATCAAAACGATATTCTGTTAATTTTCCTCTGTGACCACCTGCTTAGCTGTCAGTTATTGTTGACTCCGTATTTTAGAAAGTGAATTGCAACTGGATTCTATAAAAATTTCTTTGAAAATAATTTGATCTCTTCATATATGGGACAGTAATTATTTTGTCTCCAGGACAGAGCCAACTACTGCCGCATGTTGAGAGAATTGAGAATGCTAGACATTAACTGAGTAAATTAGATTTTTCTAAACAAGCTATAAAATATGTCTTTCCTCCAAATGTGACAAAGAATTTTATCAAGTATATTTCAATGAAAACTAAAAATTAAAATAGCCAGATGACAAGGTTGGAAGAAATGTAAGGTCTTAGAAAATTATGAATACACTATAATAGCTCAACAGAACTTCTCAATAATAAATGTTTTAAATGTTTGAAGACAGTCCCATGAGAGGGCAGTAATTTATAAATTACTATGGTTGAGGAGTTTGTAATTATGAGTGTGATTCAAATCACATTGTTGATAGTTCATGAAAAATATCTTGTCAAGCATAAGCAATTATTTAAACAATAGTTAAGAGGAAGAGATTCATTTAGAATATTCATTTGCCTTAATTAATTTTGGCTCATCATTATAGCTGAGGGAGGACTTTTTCAAGATCTCCATGACTTAAGGACTGCAAGTAATAGAATTGCTGAATCATGCTTTATATTCAAATTTTCATCTTAGAAATGATAAACTTGGGTAATAAAGAGTTGACTTAAAATGTTGATTTAATCACAATGGCATAAAAATAAATGGAAATGATTATTGTTCCAATTATGGCTTTATAATGCTTTTATTGCCAGATGCAAAGAAAAAAAATTGAAGTGTCCAGTATTTGAAGATATAACTATACAAACATATTTTCTTCAACTTGAATTTCTATGTAATGAAAATTTAACTCTGTTAAGCTACAGCTTTAAAAAATTGTCAAAAGAGTTAATGCTATCTTTAGTTAGCTAAATAGGCATAATGAGCTAACAGTGAGAAAAATACTTTAAATATCAACTAATATTCTTATATTTTATAAAATATTTCTATTTTGTAGAAGTTAAAAAATGTTTTCCTCATTGAATTCCTAGTGATAAAAAGGTTTACATTTGTCTACTACAAGATTCTAGAAATATTTTTACCATCAATACTTATATTTAGTTGTGAAAGTTGCTTTACAATAAATGCTTAATTCAAAACGAGTTTACAAGCAAAATATTTATGAATTAGTCTCTATCTGGCTGTTTTGTTTATTCAATGCCAAATATTCTGACATTTAAAAGTATTGGTTTTCTTTTGATAAAGCAATATTTATAATGGTTAGAAAAACATGCTTATTGAAGCATATTTCAGTACGTTTGGGATTGATATACATAATGACAACTAAAAAAAAAGTAAGATGAGTAGGTTTCCTCAATGCAATAGCTAATTTGAATATATAAAACTATTTAATTGGATTTAAAAGCAGTTGCAATATAATTAAGCTTGTTGACTTGCTTTCCTAATAGAGAAATACCTTTTACAGATACTATTTCAGACACTGCAATTCAATATACATAATTTCATTTTAATGTAACAAGTTATTTAGGAAATACACTCAGTATATGTTGTGTGTTAACTCCAAGGGACATTTCCTATTACCCATTCTTTTCCATTACCTCACATTTGACTTGGTCTTTTAAAACAAAATAACCACAGATATATTCTCTTTTCTACCTCTCATCCCATTCTTTATCCTCTAATGTGGCAGCAAGAGGAAAAAAAGCTGAATTTGATGGGTATATTTCCCGCACTATTTTCAGCCTGAGATGTCTTAATTTTGTCTAACAAACACTGACTCCTTCAAAAATGTAGCAGTTACTACTTTTATGACCTTGGGGCTTAGATCATTTCTATTTGAATGCTTTTTACATTTACAGCAGAATTTTGCATTGACCTTTCCCTGAGGTATACAAATAATTCCTTAGCATCTTTGCTGTTTAAATAATATGAACATATTACATTTGAAGTTTTCACATACAAAGGTAAATGTGGCCCAAAATTTGTGAATGTGAATGTGCCTACCATAGTACAACAAAATATCTTTCCCTATGCAAAGAAATATTAACTTTCAACTTGGAGCTAGCACCTGGAGGAGCACTCTGATGTTCTTGACTCCACTATACATAGTCTGGCGATAGTCTTGGCTCAACAGTTTTCTCCTGTTCATAATTTCTGGTTAGAAGAGACTTTGTCTACCCCTTTGTGGTCTCCCAGTAATCTGTAGATGAGGGTACCAAACATATAGAAGGTATTTGTGATGGAAGTTATGATTTAGTGTATCTTTGGAACATTTATTCAGTCCTCCATGTTGTTATAAGAAGAACGGAAGTGATGAGACCTCTGTGCTCCCCACTTCTGTTCCTCTTACAACTTCTTGTTCTCCCATGCTTTGCCCAGGACATGCCCAGTATTTGTATGTCTATCAGTTCCAATCATGTGGACTTGCACAATTCACCTTTCTTCTTATTGAAAGAGAGAGGATACTTACATTAGTAATAACTCTGAAAATTCTCAAGGATACCAAGTAATATTATTTAATCCACACTTTAGAGGAGTCGTTCATTTTGTATTCATCCAAGATTTAAATATTTATTATTAAATTCCCTGGCAAATGGCAGTGTTTTAAGGAAGGACCAGCTTTTTATAATATGCATGGATGCACTAATTGTGATAATGATGGAACAAGATTTCCCCTAACATATTCTTTGTTATGTTGTGCCTTTATCACAGGGAGGACATACCATGTGCATTGAGATCCTAGGAGAAGCCCCACTCTATTAGGAATTAGGGAAGTTTCCAGAGCCTTGCAACTGGCAAGTTTTTTCTCCTTAAGTTAAATATACCATATCTTTCTTTTAACTTTCCTCGTATGTCATGGTTTCCAATCCTTTAAAACATCTGGCTAGCTTTCTCTCCATGATCTCCAAAATTCATGAGAAATTCTTCTTGGAAGTATCTGACTCTATAATTTTATATTTTGTATGATAGGTTTCCATGCAACACTGTTAGGGTAAGTCATGTTCAGTTACCCAGTTGTTGAGCCAGAGTTGAGAGCATTCAAGTGTTGCCTTCTCTTAAACTAAAAAGAAGACTATTTGCAAAAAAAGAAAAAAAAAAAAACCATTGGCGTAATGTGGTTGAGTTATGCTTTTAGTAGTTATATAGACATTTAAATCTCTGACAATACCTATACTATTTTTGGACATCTATTTCTTAGAATCCTCAAAAATACATGTTATTCCATGAAATGATTCCCAACAGTTTTTAAATTAAGTATATGTCTATTCTGAGGTCTCCTGAGGTGTGATAAAAAGAAGTCAGAGGGTGCCAATGGCCGTGGTTTTCTGCCCACACTTCTGCAGATCTTTGCCAAGCCTCTCCTGTGGTGCTCAGATGGAGTGCAGTGCCTTCTGCCTGAAGATGAATCCGCCCCCAGCCAACTAAGCAATCCAACCAGGCAGTTTGAGCTGGTTAGAAGTGTGATAGAACATGTTCATGGGTCCACAGAACTCCCCACACTACAGAATCTTCTCAAGTCAGATAGAAATGCTATATGTTTGTGTGACCAGAAAACATATGCATCTTAAACTGTCAACATGAGTTCCCACAAAGCGTTCACTTGAGCTGCCTAGAATTCTGTTCATTTGTCTCATGAACTACACCACACAACCTTTTATGTATATGTATATATACACACATAAATATATATATATATATATTTATTTATTTATTTATTAGATACTTTAGTTTAAAGTGCTACATGCCAATGCCCTTTCTCCACCTAGCCAAAACTTAGGCCACCTTAGCTTCACCTTCTACTTCACTTTGCAACTTCTTGCTGGCAATCATGTCATGGTTTAGATTACATATTGCCTTCGTATCCATCTTTCTTAAGTGTCAAGTGCAGAGCAGTTGAGATGCAGTGGGTCCAGCTTTTAACACTGGAAAAGTCTCTGCTCTAGGATTTCTGTGAGGGTGATCCTGTTTTGCTACCTACCTGAGAGTAGTCATATCTGATATGGGCCCCCCCACCTGAAACCAGCCCAGAGGCAAGTACTGGTCTTTAGTGATCTTATCTGCTACATAGTTTATCTTCAGTTAATTAAAGCTTAGCAATGGGCTCTGCTGGGCAACTGGGCAGGTAACATTCCTGGTTTCTGAATTAATTACTTCCTGAAAACTTTGACCTGAATTACATCAAAAGACACGTAACACATGGCTATGAAGAAAAGATTTAAGTCCTGCAGTTTCTTTCCTGTTTTTTGTTGTTGTTGTTGTTTGTTTGTTTGATTGATTTTTTGAGACAGAGTTTTGCTCTTGTTGCCCAGGCTGGAGTGCAATGGCGCAATCTCGGCCCACTGCAACCTCCACCTCCCAGGTTCAAACAAGTCTCCCGACTCAGCCTCCCAAGTAGCTGGGACCACAGGCATGCGCCATCACACCTAGCAAATTTTATATTTTTAGTAGAGATGGGGTGTCTCCATTTTGGTCAGGCTGGTCTCGAACTCCCCACTTCAGGTGATCTGCCCGCCTTGGCCTCCCAAAGTGCTGGGATTACAGGGGTGAGCCACCGTTCCTGGCCAGTTTATTTCCTCTTTTACCAGAAGGACAGATGTCTCTTTATCCTTGGGCATGCAAACAGTGACATGCTGGAAGAACTTTGTGAATGATTACCTTGGTACTAGGCAGATGGCCTCTCATAATGATTATTACACTCTTGCGGGAGGCAACTTAAACATTATCAGTAAAAGAAGTGCTACCAAGGTGCAGTCAAGTTGCTAATCATCTGTTATTTCACTATAGGAAGCTGAAATAGCTGCTTCCAGCTTTCACTTTGCTTTGCTGTCAGTGTAGTAACATTTCAGGGATAAGTATTTTTATGTGGACTCTAAACCTTAACTATACTTAAATGAAAATTGAAATACTACTGTGTTAAATTGACAGGATATAATAAATGTAGCAGTTTTTTAATACATTACATTTCTGTGTATTAAGGAGATGGGTTGAAGTACTACTAGCGAGGCACAAATTGAAAATACTTGATGTTTAGTGATATTGGGCTCTTACCACAATAAATTTAAGAGGGAAAAACATTTTTTAAAGTAAACAATTGAAATTTACTATAAGATGTTACATCCTGCTCTAGGAATGGGGTTATTTATGGTTGATATTCCTCTGAACCCTGTCATCTTCATGATGTCTCATTATTATGGAGCATAATGTTCATACAGAAAGCGTGTCAAAAGAAAACTCATAGAAGATTTGCATAACAGAAAACTTATCCAAGTAGATTGAAAGCTATCTGTTAGATCATGAAAAAAAAGGAATACAGCAGATACTCCAGAGCTGCTATCAACAGTCTCTTTCACCTCTCTCTAACTGGTAGAATGATTTTGTTCAGGTTTATACCCCCACCTCTTAGCCCCTGTCTGACTCAGGGAAGGGGTGACTCTATCCTCGGCTAGGTGGGTCAATCTGGCTGGATTAATCTAAGGCAGGGGTCATGGTCTAATTTCCCTTGTCAGGAGTGAGGGTGTGAAGCTGATCCAGCCAATGGGGCATGAGTGGAAGTCCAAGGGTGACTTTCTGACAAAGATATGATGGCTATTAAAAGAGACATGGGACTAGGCATGGTGGCTCCCATCTATAATCCCAACAGTTTGGGAGGCTGAGGTGGCAGGATCGCTTGAGGCCAGGAGCTCAAGACTGGTCAACATGGCAAGACCCTGTCTCTACAAAAAATGTGAAACTTAGCTGGGCACAGTGGTACATACCTGTAACCCCAGCTACTTGGGGGGCGAGGCAAGAGGATGCCTTGAGCCAGGATTTGGAAGCTGCAGTGAGCTATGACAGCATCACTGCCTGGGTGACAAAACAAGATTCTGTCTCTAAAATAAAAATAAAAAAAAGAGAGACATGGGAACCAGTAATGCCCTCTTTTCCACTGGGTGTTGTCTTGTCTGCATGTGATTTTTGGAACTACGGCAGCCTTTGGAGGATGGTGAGGAGAACAAGCCTCCAAAGACACAGCTGGCATTCTAAGAATTCCAGAGGTGTAAAAACCTGGTGTTCTTCATGAAAAAATGGTCTCTGAACTAATTCCTTAGATTTTCTTTACCTTGAACTTTCATGTTATTAGTTTTTCTCAGTGTTTGAGCCAGTGGTTCCCAAACTGTGCTGCACATGGGAATCACATAGAGTGCTTTTGAAAGTCTCAATGCCCAGCTCTCAGCCCATTGCAATTTGATCAGAATGTTGGGGTGGGAGCCAGACATCACTATGTTTTAAGAATCCCCAGGTGATTCCATTATGCAGCAACATTTGGAAACCATATGGTTTGAGCAATTTTGAATTATATCTTTCATTTCTATCTGAGTTTTTCATAACTGAAACAACAAAAACTAAAAAAGAAAATCCAGACTGAAAACATTATTTGTGCCAGTAGGTTCACTGGATAATAAGACAGAAAAAAAAATTAAGAAGAGTATAATAGAGTCAACAAAATGCTTTCATAGTTTTCAAAAGGAACTCCAAGTCAATTACTTAGAGATCAGTTTGAACCATATTCAAATGTAATCAAGTACCTACTACTTTTGATAGAGTAGTCTCACTGCTTATTTCCTTTGATAAAGCTTTGTATCCATTAAATATCCTGTAGTATCTTTTATGTAAAATAATTAAAAGTGAGAGACTCCTTTCATCTTTATTAAATTTAGTCTTTGAAGAATATGTCTACATAACAGAAACAAATATTAGATTCTATTATATCTAATTTCAAGAGAGGAAGATTAGTTATCTTTGTCACTTGTTACAAATCCCCCCACCTGCACACAACACATGCACACCCTTTTTAAAACACCACTGCTGAATCCTTGATTAAGGCCCTTTAATACCTTACCTCTTGTCTGACCCACGAATTATAATTTAGGAAACTAACTAAGAAATGGCCCATAGTGATTTAAACTCCACATGGGAGACATAGGCCACAAACCTGACAGCTTATTGTGAATCCTGGTAACAATTCTTTGACTCACCCAATTTACAGAAGAAACATTCTCTATCCTCTGAAAGGCTGTATGTCCACTTATTTTGAGGAAGGGAACTTATCATCATCTACCTCTCCAGATCACATAGCAATGTCTTAAATCCTTTCCCTCATCTGAGATACAGAGGGAAGCTGCCTGTCCTTTCTCACATAAAACACTATGCACTGGATCCATCATCTTGCAGAGAATCTGTGTCACCTTTCAGCCCCAAAGTGGACATTTCAGCACTGTAACTCCTGACCATGTTTGTGATCACACTACATTGTTGTCTAATATGACAGCTGCTAAACTACCAGTTTCAAGGAAGACCTCCTTGATTTCTCACAGCTATTGTTAATCTCATCCCTCTTCTCCATTGCTCAGTTGTTAGATGTAGGCCTTGATTTCCTACTTCATCTTTAAGTAAGATGATAAAAACTGTGGTAGATATTATATAAGCAGGCATCCTTATTCTTTATCCAACAGCAGGATAGGCCACTCAGTTTAAAAAACAAACCTTTTTTTTAAAATGACAGATGAATGTGCTTTGCATTTCATAGGTCATATCAGTGTAGAATTTCTTTAATTTTGTAATACACAGAGATAACTTGCTTAACAGAGGAGAAATATGACTACACAATCTTATCATTTAAGTGAAAGACTTTTTAAAATATGCATTTAGATAGGCAGTAAGAACATAAAGAAGACACCATAAACTTTGAAACAGGCATGGAATCAGAAGGTTGTTTTTCTTTAATGCTGAGCTATGCTGACAATTATCTCCAATAAAAATGAATGAGCAATGTGAGAGGAATAATCAGTGTCTGAGAGATTCTTTGCATTTACATGAATTGATAGCATTTACCAGATTGAGGGTAAGTACTAATGAAGCACTTCAACCTAATTAAAACTTTCTGAGCTTCCCTTTCCCCCTTTACAAACTAACTTAGATTTTTATAGGATTTAATTTGAAGGTGATGGAAGTACAAAGGCAGATTTTTGCCATCCCCAAAGACAGGTTAATAATGTATTCAAATTCACATCTTCTTTCACTTTGATAAAACTGACCTACTTTCTCTTTTAGAGAGAAAATGTCTTATGAAATATTATTCACATTAAAAAATGTTGCGTTTTGATGCCTTTTTCCATACTATAATTGAACCTGGCATATCACTTCCAAAAGTTAAATGAAGTTTAGTTCATTTTCAGGTCTGGGCTTTTTAATGAGTTAGCATCTCTGCTACTTGAGACAAGCCGCATTCAGTGCTTTGCATGCCAGGGAATTTTTCTGACAGTAGTGATAATGATGCAGATGTTCCTCTTTGCAGGGATTTTCCAACAATGTTCCTAATGAAAACACATGTCTACTTCCTGGCAAATAAAAAAAATCATTTTTCAAAACAAAAAATTCAAATGCTTTCATCCTAAAATGGCAAATGTAAACAGCCATTATTTTCTCCACATCATTTTTGCTGTTTTTTTTTTCAGCAATAAAGTGATTCATTTCTTTTTTTTTCTCATCTTGATATGGAAACAACTTTAACAAAATCTTATGCAGATCCCAAGTGAAGTGGAGATGGTTAGAGCAGTGGGGTCAAGCCTTGCGTATTGAGTCTTGGAGTTGATTTGCCATGTCATCTTAAGCCTTATGTCTGGGTCAGCTGATTTCAACACAGAAATAATAACAGTTGCTGCAAGTATTACGCCCTTAAACTTATGAGTGTAACTTTGTCTTTTGAGACTTCTATAGATATAAATAATGAAAAAATATCTGTATAAGTCATGTTTTAACAAATCTTTTTATTTTAAAAATTACATGAAATTTCACTCAATTCAGTGAGGTTTCTGCAAAAACAAAATTCCAGATACATTTTGAGGGTTGAGTAAATATTTGGTGCTGCCTTTTCTTCAAAGGAACATTTTAATGTTGTTAAAAAAAAACAAACAAACAAGCCTTTCATCATTCATTAGTTAGCTGTTAAAAAAGAGTTTCCAGCTTATATGCAAAAGAAATGTCCTTACCCTATGGTTAAGCATCATAACCCATACCACCAGATGGGGTATAGGATAGGGTGAGGACCAGAGATGTCTGTTGTGTCTATAACTTGATCCTTAAAAAAATGCTTTAAAGTAATTTTTCTATGTTAAGAGGACTATGTCAAAATGCCACATCATATAGACTACATCAAGATATGTTTTCACATGTTACTACCAATGAGGTCATTATGAGTCTTCTTTCTCTCTTCCTTGGGTGACAGTGCCATTATGGTCATTAGGACATATAATTAAACACTCATCAGAATAGAAGGTCAAAGGGCCTGGGAAATCTGGATAATTCAAGCCAAATAAAATCTATGGTTAATTGCGGCTTGGCTAAGTTTATGTGCACCTTTGAAAAGGTGATTATGTGCTCTCTTTCTCCCTTCTTTAAGCCGACACATTGACTGTCTTTTTGTAGATCAAACCTTAGAACTTGATTTAGACTCTACCTCTATAAACAAAGTATGTTTAATTATGCATATTTACTGCCTCTATATCAATTATCTAGTTTAATCTACAAGAAAGCAGAGAACTAAATCATTATTTGTGAGAGTCTATTCAGTCGTTGAAATAATGAACTTGAAATAGAACTCTAATAGAAATCAGCCTTAAGTCAGCATCCTTAATATCTTCTTCCTTTCCTTCCTCTTTCTTTCTATCAAAGCTGCACATGCAGGAGAGCTAAAGCCCATCTTAGGCTACAAATCAGAACCTAGTGATTGTTTTATAGTCTTGACATCCATCTTGTGAAATTAATTATACAGAGCCAAGCGTGGTGCATTTACCATAACTTGAATGTAACAGAACACATGAGAAAAGATGTAATGGAAAACTCCTCTCTGTGAAGAGTATAGTCTGGCATTTTGGTAACAGTGAGTCAGGATGGTGTTAGTAAAGGTAAGCCCAATCTGGAATCTTTAATTCTGTACCTTCTTTTTCTGTAGAAAAACTTGAGTCATCTAATGTATGCACTCAAGTTCCCAGCTGAGGATGAACAAGGCAATGCTCTGCCTTCCTGTTACAACAACTTGTAATGAAGTGGGCTTTTTGCCATCTATTTAGTGCCTTATTCATCACATTGTTGTGCCTTTTCTTGGTGATTTTGCTGTTTCAAATGGCCCCTCATCATAGTGCTGAAGTGCTATCTACTGTTTGTCAGTACACGAAGTTGATGATGTGCCTTAGAGAGAAAATACGTGTTAGATAAGCTTCGTTCAGACATGCATTATAGCGCTGTTGGCCTTGAGTTCAATGTTAGCAAATCAACAATATGTATTAAATAAGATGTCTTTAAACAAAAAACATTCATAAAACTGTTATGAATTGATTGTTGGTGAAAATGTAACCAGAGATTCAGAGAAACCTAACCATGTATTTTCTCTAGAAACAGTGGTTCAGAATTTGCTAATTTAGTCTTTGCAGGGACTTTATACAACATTCCTGCAAATAAAAAGAATCAGTGATAGTCCTTATTTTCAATATAATCAATTGAAGAAAAGAGGTCAGACCTAGGTATACAGTTGTATCACATAAAAGGTTAAGATCCATAATTTTAAAGGATTCCTGGAAATTGTGAAATATGATGAAACTCTTTTTGCAGGCTTTACAGATTACCAAATTGTGACTCACTCTCTGTTCGGTTAGTATAAGCTGAAGGACTTGGTGATAGTTGAGACAGTTATAACCTCAACTATCTGGTAAGTTCTTTGGAAAATAACCAAGTCATCTATTTCTCTATTTAGAGATCTATTTTGAGGGTCACACAACTATTATCTTAAAAGTCTTCAAATGATTCTAATACCATCACATTGATGATGGCTCCTTTAAAATAATCTAAAAGAATATTTAATTAGTGGGGAAAGTGTTCACAATATTTTAAGTGAAAAATCAGGTTACATACAATCTGGTGCAAGACTGGCTTCAGAGACAACTCTCAAAAACCTGCCTCACAGAGCTGCCTGCTCCAGGAACTAGTCATCTTTAAGTCATGTCTGTTTTCTGACCAAGATAATTGCTTAGATTGGTTTTATATCCTCTGGGCTGCCAAGGGCAGCTAGTTGCCCAGGAAATGTGAGATTGTCTGCAGGTTATGAGCAGAGCTCCTCTGGGCACCTCGCTTTGCAACCAAGGATCAGTGGCTCCCTGGGACATCAGTGTTGACTAATTAAGACAAGGAGACAGTCAGGACAGTAAAGGCAGTGGCATCTCAGGGTGTATCTGCTTCTCACTGCAGAGTATCTGCACAACTAAACCTTCCTGAAGAAAACTCACTTTAGTCCAGACCTCCGTTCATGGCCCAGTGGTGGTTGTAGCAGCCCTGGACTCCAGGCAGAAGCCAACTGCCCCATCTGTCGGGATTACATGAGTGACCCCGTCACCATCAAATGTGGGCACAACTTCTGTCACTCCTCCATCAAGCAGCGCTGGGTGGATTTATAGGACAGCTTCCCTTGCCTGTCCGGTGTCACCAGTGCCAAGAGGGCCACTGCAGGAGCAACACCCTGCAGGGAAGGACGACTGAAACTCCCGAGATACTCCACATCACCGGGAACAAAATGAAGAGGCAGGCACCAAAGTGTTGTGCAAGGAGCACTATCGGATCCTGACCCTTTTCTGTGAGGAAGACCTAGAGGTGTGACGTCTCCTGTGTACTCAGCCCTCTGACCACCAGGGTCAGTCACCACTTGAGGCCCAGAGAGAAAGCTGCCTCTCATCACCAGAAGAGGCTCAGCAGTTACATTAAGTCTCTGGAAAGGAAAGTTGTAGACAGTGCAAAATTAGTAGCCACTCAAGATAGAAAACCTTTACAACTGAGAAATAGGGTGAAAAACCAGATACAGACATCCTTCTCTAAATGTGAGCACCTGAACATATTTGCGGATCATGAGCAAGAGGCAGTTCTCTCAAGGTTAGTTGATGAAGAGAAGAATATTCAAAAGAAACTTAATGCAAAGATAGCATTTTCAGATGACATTTCCACAATCAAAGATCTACTAAAGGAGGTGGCAGAAAAGAGTGTCATGTCAGAAATGAAAGTGCTGCTGGGCATCAAGAGTATCTGCAACAGGCATGAACGCCTGAAAACTTCAGCTCTCTATTCACTCCTGTGCAGTTTATCCAGTTGCTCTGGGTTCCAGAATGATGTAGTTTATCCTGTTGTTCTGGGTTCTGAAGACTTTGATTCCTGCCAGCATTACTGAGAGGCTGAAGTGGTCCATTCACCACCCTGAATTAACTCTTGAGGGCTGTAAAGACTCCCTCTTCAGGAAAGGAAAGTGATCTCTATCAGAACAGACAGATGCTGGACAACGGAGCTACAGAATGGTAACTCTGTTGCTTGAAGCACTATTTTAGTCATCCTTCTGCTAAAGGAAAAGGCCAGAGTAGTTGGCATCTATCTGGACTATGAGTTTGGCAACATTTTGTGTTGCAATTTGAATGACTTGTCTCACATCCATTCTTTCATTGATGTCAATTTTTCTGAAATACTAAGCTTTATTTCAGTATTGAACATGATTCTAAACTTCTTGCAGTCTGTGCGGTAACAGATGCAATAATTATTATTGGCACACACTGGGGTGCCAAAACTCTACCAAAGGGGTAATATACCAATATCTATCAACACTGGAAATGCATATACTTTTGACTCAGTAATCTACTTCAATGAATTTATCATAAAGAGATGTTCTCACACTTACAAAACACAGATATTCAAGGTTATTTCTTGCTGTACAGATTGTAAGAAAAAAAAGCACCTCATCAGAGGATTGATTAAATGAATTATGATGCATCCAAATTGGAGTAATATGAAGCTTTAAGTAGAATAAGCATTAATATGTACTCACATGTCATAATTTCCAAATAGTGTAAAAAATAAAGAAAACAAAATATTAGATTATAAAAAGTATGTAATGATTGGCTTGATTTAAAAAACTAATAAACATTAAAAGTAAGTATGATAGATTGTTAATAGTGGTTGTCCTTTGGCATGGAATTATAAATCATTTTAATTTCTTGCTTATATGTATCTATATTGTACATATTTTCTATAGTGTATAGGAATTACTTTTACTTTAAAATCATTTGTTAAAAATTTGGGGTTTTATTGTATTTGTTTTCCCCTAAATATAATCCATTTAAAAAGGAGTATATGTGAGTTATTTAATTTTTTTAAAAAGATGTCTTGGCTCAATAGGTTCAATATGATTAAGGCTGGGCTTATAAATGACATAAATAGATGTTGGAGCCCCTCAAAATTCTCTCATTTTCTCATTCTCAATCTCTCCTAGAGGGTAAAGTATACACAAAGCTTCTTCTGACAAAGAAATAACTCACAAATTATATTTTATAGCGTACATTTTCCCTCTGAGCTTTAGACCTGCATATGCAGCTGTCTACTGAACATCTCCTCCTAGAGATCACAAAATGACTCAAACAACATTGTCTGAAATCAAACTTATTAACCCACCCACATCTTTTACCATGACATCAAACTGGACCTCTTCCTATCTTTTGTAACCTGAGCCTACAATCATCAAATTACATTGTTTGCTCCCTAATTATACTCACTGTTGTTAACATCTCTCACCTCCCAAACTATAAGTCTTGTTTTTAACCTTAATTCATTTATGATGCAGTATTAACGGTGTGTCAAATATTATATGGAACACACTTAAGCTAGAAATTTATTCATTGTTTATCTGAAATTCTAATTTAATTGGGCATCCAATATTTTTATTGCTACATCTGGCAACCTTATTATTAGCTATAATAATTTTAATTCAATCAACTGAATAATCAGGTTGGCTCTTATTCACTGAGTTAAATTTTTTCCTCAGCATTCATTTGATTAGCTGATATGACTCCTGTGACAATGACAATGTATCCCTAATTGTTCCTGGATAATATATTCACCTGATAAAGACCTATTTTAAAAAGTAAACCTTATTTTACAACCCTTGCAAACTTTTAAGTACACTAGTAAATTTCAAGTCTGCTGAGCCAATATCTAAGCACTTCACAATCCTTCATAAAATTTCACATCAGCGTAATCCAAACAGTGAAAATTAAGGCATATTTGAAGCCCCAAACCTTGTTTGAATTTTACCCAAAATAAGCAAATAAAGATAATTCAGTCACTTTGAATGGTACTATGCTAATTGAAAATGACATCTTCCCAAAATTTTGCTCAGGCATTTCCTGTCACAGAGGATTCTGACTGTGTAACAAGGACAAGACAGGGAACAGCTGCCTTAAGGGAATTCTTTTTTGAACAACTTAAAAAAAAAAAAAAAAAGAAATTTCTTCTTGGTGGCTTGGCCACCTGCCATGTAGAGTAGAAACACCCTGTTATTTGTGATCTCACTTTTTCCTTGAAGTTATTAAATGATTTGTACAAGTTATTTGATGTGAACTACTTTATTAAAGTTATATATGTTAAGAGCCACTAGGAAATATAAACCAATTATAAAAATAGGTAGGGAAATTAAGATTAATAGCATAGCTTTAAAATTATAGTCATTCTTCAGTTTTATAGTTTCCCAACTAATTATTCTGCTTTTATGTAATAGAATAATTAGTTTTGAAACTATAAATTTGAGCAAAGTATATTCTATTTACTTTGGAAAATTAAGTGTGTGGCATGGTCATTTTAATTCACCTAAAACAAGTGATATAAATAGCTTCTGGACATTTGAAAATTGGTAGACACTTTTGAAGACTGTGCTATATTATGTACCTATAGTCCTGATGCCTCCCTACTGAGCTCCCACAAAGCCAGAATCAAATAAAAGGATGTGCCATTTACTGTCAGGCACAAGGAGACATTTAATCGTCTCTGTTAAGTGTTTCTAGAATACCATCCTAGAGGGTCTCCCCATCCTTTACTCATCATTTAAGAGGTAGAGTGCTGGAGACGTTTCTCATGTGTCCTTCTCATTAAACTTAATCTATAAACATCATTTCAGAAAAAGGCCCAGTTTCTTTGTAACTTGGCTAGGCAGATGGTTAGATATTTAAGGCCATCACTGTGTCCAAAATCCTTCTCATCTTCATCTAATCTGAGCATTGGAGATGACTTGCAACTTGAGACTACATTTTTCTTCAATCTGGTAAAACCATTTTCACAGAAATTGGCTTTAAGACATGAGATTGGTCATAAATTATGAATAATTTCAATTTGACTTTTCTATATCTGCAGTCTAGTTAATGTCCTTTAAAGCAAATCATAAATGGCATGTATCACATTGAAGCAAAATGTCTGAGTCATGTAGTTGAGCTCAGAAATATGCTTGTGGGCTGTAAGAAGTAGACATGAGGTTTCAGTGCTATTAAGATGGTATTCTATCCAGGCGCCCAGTAGTGCTCAAATCCTCTTCCACATTCTGTCCTTCCTTCTCAGGGATTACTACCAAAGGAAGCCAGATACAAGGGCCATAACCAAATGGGAAACAAAGTACCACTTTGCTATCAGCATGGAAAGCACCAAGATCTTCTCTAGTGAAGCTTTTTCTGATAAAATATAGATTGGAAAATGAAGACTGGGCCCAGATGCCTAAGTAAACTATCTGTTTTACTCCACTCTGAATCTAAGATATCTGGCTTGGCCTAGAAGGTGGAATATAAAATGAGAAGACTAGCTGTATCGGCTCCAAGCAGGTACCCCCACCTAAGTTCTCGTGACATGGATGCAGAAAGAGAAGAAGGTGTATCTCACAGAGCCAACCTTTGAGAGACACTATCAATACCACTAGTAAAGCCATGACCTTGTACAGTTCCTGCATGCTGATCAACCACACGGGCAGATCTTCCTTCCATAAGGATATTGGGGCAACTAATAAACAGGTGTGCAGAGGCTAAATTGTGTGCCAATGGGCAGGAAGTTTTTAATCCCAAAGTATCACGTTTGCATCACATTTGTTTTCAATCGTCAAATTCAGTGGAGTTTTTGTTTTGTTTTGTTTTGTTTTTAGTTATAAGTATTGCCATCCTATTAATAACTTGGTTGTCAGATACATCTTGTCAGGATACGACTGAAGTAGTAGGCTCTAGAGGTAGGCTGATTTTGTTTCTTGAAGACAATAGTGATATATTAATGAGTGTTAACTGAAGTTTCTTCTTCAGTGCTGAAAGGAAGCACTTTGTAGCCAAAGGCACTTTACACTGCATCAGCATGGTTTAAAATACCAATGAAAGTAATGGAGCTAATAGCCTACACGAAGGTCTTGTATGTCCTTTGTGACTAAAAACTGGAGAGTTCATTTGTTTTTCGTCCTTGTTTGAGGACATAAAGAGTATTTCACATGGCACAGTTACCACTGAACCTAGGAGGAATGCTTCCTCTCCAAGACCTTGACCTATTCCTAGAGTTTGTCAACTGGTAAAACCAATTTGCCACATTTATTTTACCAGTAATACTATCAAATATCTGCTTTAATGGTGGAGCCCTCTTTTATAACTCATTTCGACCTAACAAAGATGTTGTCCTTTGCTTCTTTATACCTGTCAGTATTTTTTCTTGTCCGACGGGTGACATGTTTTCATCGAAGTTGATGGCTGCAGAGAAATGTAGAAAGATAGTACTCTGGAAATTCTATCCTTCTTGGATTTTCACTGGGTCGATTT
This sequence comes from Homo sapiens, assembly GCF_000001405.40. Lineage (NCBI taxonomy): Eukaryota > Metazoa > Chordata > Mammalia > Primates > Hominidae > Homo > Homo sapiens. The sequence continues at coordinate 80,856,180 of NC_000012.12, read as the reverse complement.
GAGCCTTGATGATCTTACTGTAGTAGACATGACTTGTATACAGTCTGTACCATTGCCATTTAATTTTTCTTTTTTCTTTTTTTGCAAAAAATGGCTGGCCGCAGGCAGTGAATTCCATAACCTAAATTTTTTAGTTTATAGGAATTCTAACACTACAGTTTTAAACAATATTTTCCACAGTTACAAAAGCATATAGAAAAGATATATGAAAGCTATATGGATAGCTATAGCTTAAAATATATAAAATTTATATGTGGCTGCCAGGTTTTCAAAATGAAAGGATAAAAGACAATAAATAGATATTTTTAAAACATCTCTTCCTTAGTAGATGAATCAGTTATTTTCACAAAACTTCCTAAAACAAGCAGACCAAATTGTTGGTGACTTAAGTTCTATTTCTATTTTATTCTAGTCATATCAAGTACAGTATGTACATTTACATCAGGGCACTTAATTTTGCAGGCATGGACTCCATTCCACTGAATGCAATTAAACTTAGAGCCTCAAATGATCCCCAAATTCATTTTAGATACCTCCCTTGGCCTAAAATCTGCTTTCAAGAAGCCTGCAGTATTATTATATTATGATAAATACATTATGGCTTAATATTATGAATGTTTTCCAACTACCCAGGTGGCCTATAATTGTAAAAGAGTGTGGGGAGCTAAATTTTTATTTTTAATGTAATGAAGATTTTAAAATATTTTAAAGTCAGATACCACATCAAATAATTTTTCTTTATTCAACTCTTATCTGAGTTTCCCAATCAGAAAAATCAAGAAATCCATTTAAAAAGTGTAGATAGGTATAGATATTAATCTTAATTTTTATAATTTTTCTTATTAAAAAACCATTCTTACTTGCTTTTTAAGAAAAGCCATACACTTAACAAGGCTTAATGCACACTATAATGTGCTGAGATTTAGACCTCATCATTTTCCCATGTGTCCTTTCATTTGCTCTGATAATACCTATTATATGTCTTTTCACTTTTTTCCCTCTTGAGATAACTTGGTCTAATGTCACTTTGTTGTTGAAGCATTTACTTTTTTTTTTCCAGTCATTGATAGAGAGGGGTTTATATGATGCTAATTGTAATTCTATTGACATTTTAGTAGCCAACCCATCTATAACGAGGCACTACAAAATCTCTGGAGCATCCTATGTTTTAAAGAGATGTTCTTATCCATTAAATATATCTACTGTTTTCCATGCTGATAAACTTTGTGGAATGAGGATGAATGTCATGTTATTATTATATGAAATATATTCTTAGATATATATGTCTTTATGTTTCAAACCCTTACTTTTAGCTTCTGAAATCATGATTAAGTTTCTGAATATTTTCATCTCTTTAAAATATTTTCTGCTTTCCTATGTCTTAAAAAATATTTTTTGCTTTTTAAAAAGTCAGTCTTTCGAAGTATAATTTAGACAGTAATAGTTCTACTTTTTAGTGTGTTGTTCTAAGAGCTGTAATAATCACATACAATCATGTAATCATTACATGATTATGAATATATAGAACAGTTCCAACATTCCCAAAAATTTCATCATACTTGGTCTAATCTGTTGGTCCCCACCCTTAGCCTCTGGCAGCCTTTGATCTGCTTTCTATCCGTATTGTTTTGTCTTTTTCAAAGTGTCACATAAAATCATTATAATGTCTGGCTTTTTTTTTTTTTTTTTTTTTTGGCTTAGCAACATGCATTTCAGATTCATCTACACTGCTGTATATATGAGTAGTTGTTCCTTTCTAAATAAATTTTGTAGAGATGGGGTCTCACTATGCTGCCAAGTCTTGTCTAGAATACCTGCGCTCAAGTGATCCTCCTGCCTCAGGCTCCCAAGGTGCTGAGATTACAGATGTGAGCCACTGTGCCCAGCCAGTTGTTCCTTTTTAATGCCAAGTAGTCCATTGTATGGCTATACCACCAGTTAATTATTCATTCACACCTGAAGGCTATTTGGGTTGTTTCCAGTTTGTGCCAATTATGAATAAAGTTGCTATAAGTATTTCCATATTGTTTTTGTATGAATATAACTTTTTCTTTATCTTGGATAAATAGCTAGAAGAAGATGAGTGGATCTTACATTAAATCTTGCAGGAAACTGTTACTCTGTTTTCTCAAATAGCTGTACCATTTTGTATTTCCACTAGCAATGTTCAAGAGTTCTAGTTCTTCAGCAGGGGCACAGTGGCTCATGCCTGTAATCCCAGAACTTTGGGAAGCCGAGGCCGTCGGATCACTTGAGGTCAGGAGTTCGAGACCAGCCTGAACAATATAGTGAAACCCCGTCTCTATTAAAAATACAAAAAAATTAGCTGGGCATGGTGGTGGACGGCTGTAAGCTACTCAGGAGGCTGAGACAGCAGAATCGCTTGAATCTGGGAGGCAGAGATTACAGTGAGACGAGATAGTGCCACTGCATTCCAGCCTGGGTGACAGAGTGAGACTCCGTCTCAAAAAAAGAAAAAAAAATTCTAGTTCTCCAACATTCTCACCTACACTAGATATCGTCAGTATGTTTTTTTTTTTTAACCTACACATTCTAATAAGTGTGTAGGTGTATCTAAGTATGGTTTCAATTTGAATTTTCCCAAGTGACTAATGATGTTGAGTATCTTTTCATATTTGCTACCCATATATCTTCCATGATAATGTACCTGTTCAAATACTTAACCCATTTTTAACTGTGTTGTTTACTTTTTGGCTTTTGACAGTTCTTTATAGATTCTGAATATGAAGCCTTTATCAGATATATGTTTTGCAAACATTTTCTGCCAGTTGGCTTGTCTTTTCATTTTTTTTAACAGTGTTTTTCAAAGAGTTTCTTTTTTTTTTAACTATTATTTTAGGCTATCTTTTTGGTTTGTAGGCCCTCATATTAACAAATTTGCACTAATTTCTGATGGACAAAATTATAAGTTTCAGAATTGGAAGGAACAGAAGAAAAGAGACCCTAAAGATAGCATAGTTCTATATAACATTTACTTGAGAAATATAGCAATCAGGAACTTTTTTGGCTGAAAGTAGCAGAAAGTCCAGCTGTAGTGGCTTAAACAAGAATGCTTTTCTTCGTTATAACAAATTCAGAGATAGGCAGGTGTTTTGCATGCACTTAGAAGTTCCATGTAATCAGAACTGACATCTGTACACTTCCTTGGTCCTTCTCTCTGAAGTTGAAGGTTGCCACTACAGCTGATAATATCCACACACAAGACAAGAAGTAGAAGACAGGGAAAAGACAGCACTTGCACCACGAGAGTAACGCTTTCCCAGCAGCTTCTCACCTGCTTCCGATTGAATTGTCATTGGACAGAACTGGGTCATATGGTCAGACAATACTGGGAGAAGGGGATTGAAACTGGGGATTGTGTGAGATGAGTCTGTCTAGTGTCTGCCTCAGCAGAAAGTTTTAAATAACATCAAAATACAAAAGGCAATAAACCTCTACTATAAAAGTAGAAGAGAGAACAACCAAAATCTAGCTTTAAATTCAAAGTTTTTTCAAACTTGCTGCTGGCTAAGCAACTAAATTCTAAAGGCACTTTTCCAATTGCATCTTGTGTATATATATATAATAGTAATAATAGAAATAATAGCAGCTATTAGAATAAAAGCATAATAAGAATAATGGGTTATGGTTTGTGAAGTCACATACTTTATCTTCTTTGATTGCCTCTTTGAATATAGGCTTTTACATAATAGACAACTAAGGTACACAGATAGTAGGTTACTTGAAGTCATGTAGAAAAGAGATCCAGAATGAGAAACTCACAATAAAGGCTTGTCATCCCTTACCTAGCTTTCTGTACCAATTAGGGTTTTCAAGATCAAGACGAACTATGCAATGTAAAGTTTATATTGTGATAATGATTGCATAACCTGTGTATGTAAACTTGGTAAATAAATTAAAGTGAAGCTTGTACTTCATTTATACTTGTTATTCTCTCAGGGATAAAATTTCCATCCGGAAAAAGTATTCTATTTTCATTTAAATATAAAGAAAAATAAAATGGAAATTTTTCACTTAAAAAACTGAAAACAGCCCTTCTATAGTGAAAATTTTGTTTCAAACATTAATTAAAAACAACCATTATTTTTTATTTTCATAATTTAGCCCAGATGCCTAATACATTGACTAGAATTGCTCCTAAATGTTAGCTGAACAAATGAATAAATGAACTTTCTGAACCAACTCACTATAATTTTATTGCTTTTTTAAGTTAATCTTTTTCAATTTTCAGTAGCTTGGAATAAGTTCTAAACATGCAAAATGCTACTGAATCTGTGCAATTTATTCAAGGTTAGGAAATTAATAATGCTGAGATATATAAAACCCCTATGAGTTTCTATGAATTATTTGGCTTACACTAGGAACTAAACCCATTTTACCAATGAAATGTCTTACAAATGCTGTAGCTGAAGTTTGTCATACATTCTGGGACCCAAAGAATTCAGGAGTCTATAAGCCCCACGTATAAGCCCCTCATTAAAGCACATACAACTATTTTCTGTTTTCCCTTTAAGAACTCTCTCAGGGTATCTGGTAAAATACTTTGGCTTTCCATGAAAACTTGCTTCAGATTTTTACAAATACTTTAAAAATTGTCCTTGAAAAGTAAGATAGGCATGGATATATTTTGCGCCTTAGGAAATGAGAGGCTAAGGAAGTTCATAAGGTGACACAGCTAATGGAAATAGAATTAATATCTCCAGGATTTGACCTGACTCTACAACCAGATCATGTCCTCTTCAGCTCACTTTTGAAAACCAGCTAATCAGAATCTATTGTGTTTTGTAGACAAAAAAAAAAAAAAGACTAGCAATTATATTGGATTCATTCCACTAAGTCTTCATATATTATAATCATAAGGAAGATTAAAATGATATTTCACTGTGGACTAATGAATTTATTGGTTTCAAAATTGTTGTATTGTATATTTGCAGCCCTCACTTGTTTAATGGTAGCCACTGTATAAAACCTAGATTCCTTTATTCAAAATATAAAGAAATTCTCATAACACCTGCAAGTTTTTGTTCACACTGATACTGCCAAAATAGTAATGATCTGATGCTGTTTTAATATAAGAAAGTCTGATACGGTTGAAAGAGGAAAGATTTTGAAGGGAGATAGAGATGAGTTGCTGTATCAAATCTGCAACAAATTAGCTGTGTGGTCATCGGTATGTTCCCACCTCTGTGACTCAGTGTCTTTGTGTGTAGAGTGCCCAAATAAGAAGTTAGGAGAATTAACCGAGCTCATGGATATAAAATGGTTAGCATTACATTTGGCCCATGGTGATTTCTCATTAAATATATACCAGAATTATGGTAATTTACTCCAACAAATATTTATTGAATGTTTTACAAGAGCCTTTACTCAGTGCTATCCAAGTCTGTTTTTACAGCTTACCAATCATTGCACGTACGAAGAAAAGGTATAGCTTAATTCCTTAGATCAGGATTTCTCAATCTCAGCCCTATTGACATTTTGGCAGATAATTCTTTGTTCTGTGAGGCTTCACTGTGCATTGTAGGAATTTAGCAGCATCCTTGGCCACCACATGCTAGATGCAGTAGCATCCCATTTATGACAACCAAAAATGCCTCCAGACATTGCCAAATGTCTCCTGAAGGGCAACATTGTCCCCAGTTGAGAACTACAGCCCTTGATCAATTCTATGTAAACAGTGTTCACGAACTGCTCATCTTAGGAGATTTTCCCCAAAAGATCCATGGTCAAATAAGATGAGAAACATCAAATGCCAGCAACAGCATAACAATGATAGCTAACTTTTGGAAACATACTAAACATGGCAAATTGTTCTTATCTTATTTAATCCTCATAACAGACCTAGAAGTTACTTACTATTTTAAGGCACATTTTTAAAATGAGGAAATTGAGGATCAGAGAAATCAAGTGACTGACAAACATCATACAATTAAATGGTACAGCTACGGTTTGCTTCCAAGCCATCTTCAGAGTCTGTGAAATTATCTACTACACAGTATTGCTCCTTGAATATACCACTTTCTAATTCAAAATCAATTTGGGGTCTTAAGGCTAATTATTCTTAATTTGTGATATTTATTAGGTACAGGTATTTATCTCCAGCACTTACAAAATCACCTTTTGTTTTATTCAATTGATGACAATATTCCAATTATTTGCTAAATGATTGTCTTCATAAACATCCTTGGATGCAGGCAAAGTCACTTTCCCTGGCAATGTTAACCAAAATAACTTCAAACAAATTCAGATGACCAGGAACTGTGGAGAGACTCACTCTGCTTGAGGGAGGCAGAAAACATTTAATAGAGGAGACAATATTTGAATTTGACCTTTTATCATCATATTAAATTTGGATGAATAAGAGTCTGCCAGGTGGAAGGGCATTCCTAGCAGAGTAAACGGCATGTGCAGAGACCTAGGTAACTTGGAGAGTTCAATATGTTTGAGGAATGGTGGGGGTGGAGAAAAGAAAACAGGAAAATAAAACTAGAGAGAAGGCTGAGTTCTGCATTATTATCTGTGGCTTGACTCCTGTAGGTATTTGCCCTTATCACCTTTGCAGTAAGGGCAGCAGACAGCCAAGAGCACAGCAGGGACATGGTCAGGTAGGTACTTGATGATCACCAAAGTGTATATGGTTTGATGGCAGGGAGACCCAATTAAGTCACTAATGCAATGCTTGCAGCAAGAGATAATGAGCTAGGGTGGAATGAAGGGTCAGATTTGAGAGAGTTTATTACAAGAGAAGCAGGGCAGGGAAAATCCTCCTCTGAAATGGGCTATTAGAGCAAATAGTATAATTTATTTTTGGAAAGGCTGTCTCTATGAAACAAAATAATGCATTTCCAAGGAAATAATCTGGAAGTACGTTTAGCAGCTGTTCAGGTAACCTGGAGAATTTGCAGTAACATATCTCAGATTCCATAAATGATCTTCTGGAAACTTGTTCCTGTCTCCATTCAGATTTCCCATAGAAATTGAACACCTCATAATTGTTAAGTGGAGATTCAGAGCTAAAAGTTAGATTCTGAATTGCACTGTTGCCTTTTTAGTACAGACTACTTTGTCAATTTCCTTCTAACCATGTCACCTGGGAAAGATGAGTCAGCGTTAGTGGAGATTCAACCAAATGTATTTGAGAAATTATGAGCCAGTCAAAAATGCAGGGAAGAGATTAGTCCCAGACACTCAACAAATAGTTGTTGAATGGGTGAATTAATCAAATGTTGGATTCACTTATTTAATTTTTGAGTTAAGCATGTAAAATAAGATTAATATAAAGGAAGAAAAAAACCTTTCAACCTTCGATTGCAGTTTTTCCCTTTCCTTTTTTACTGAAATAGCTAATGGATCACTCCCCAAAAATACTCTAGCCTAGTACCAAATGGACTTTTATTGCTATGCATTATGCAATAAATTTTTACGTATACTATTTAAATCCAAAATGAACATATAGTCCAACACATTTAACCTTGTTACTTTTTTCCAAACATCTTCCTCAAGGCATCCTTTAAGTTTTTTTTTTTCTGTACTTTAGTTTAAGCAATTTATTTTACCATAGATACAAAGATTTTATAATCCCATCCCTGGAAGTTTATAAGAAACAATTTTTTTCTACTACATTTTAATGATTTCTGTAATTGTATCTAAAATCACAATGAGTAATAATATCTGCTGTTTAAGGAGTGCTATCAGGTACATTCCCAAACATCAGACCTATGTTATTTTGCAATAGAGAATTTTTTTCCTACAGTGAAAATATAATTTTCTTTCTGCAATAAAAGAATTATTATTCTTCATGTTCTTACACATTCTTCTTTTTATGTGAACATTTTAGGTGTATCAATATATGCATGAAACGATAACTGTTAATGGCTGTCCCGAATTCCGTGCGAGGGCAACAGCAAAGGTAAGGCTTGAGTAACTTTAAAAATATACTTGACCCCAGTTATCTAGTAATTGATTGTGCGCGTGTGTGTTTCAGGTATTCTCGTGTGTACACTGTAAGAGAATTTAGACATCAGTGGCAGCCCAGAGTCTAGAACCAGTACTACTTCTCAGGTAAAAATCCTAATGGAAAATTGAACGTTTCTGCTGCTTCTGTAGCTTAAGAAAGGAGAATGATTTCATTAAACTCACTTAATGTCCATTTGGCACAAGCAAATCTACTGGTTCATTGTGTGAAATACTATATGATTTTCAGACACATTCTTCTGATCTGAAAGAACCTGTATCATATTCAGTGCATGAAGATTTATTTGCACCGGTCTAAAGATTTGATTTCAAATAGACAGGAAAAGAATTCACCTGACACCCACTGATCTAGGATACTTCTGTGTATTCAGCTGAGCAGTGGGTAACTTGCTGAAAGGATGTGGCATAGACCTTATAGAAAACGCCTGTCACCTTTTGTGGTAGTGACCACATCTGCCCTTTAAAGACTCAAATCCAGAGACTGTAGAGACCCTACTAATGGAAATGTTATACCGATAACATCAGGAAATTATCAGGAAAATAGGCCATTAGGAAATACCAATTTTAAACTAAAATCACTGATGCAGCTCTTCTTTTACAAACACACAAATGTTATAATAGAAACATGACTTGCTTTTAAAAATACTTTATTTTTCTAATAATGTATAAGAAATAACCATTGAAAATGAGTAGAATTTTCCATTTAATTATTTTGTGTTACATCAACGCTTGTTTAGTTTCTCTCTTGATTTTTTAGTTTTTACTCTGTAACTGAACACTGTAGATTTGTAAGGTTTTTTTGTTTTGTTTTGTTTTGTTTAAACTCAGGGAAAAAAAGAGGGTGTTATTATCATCATGTCATGCTTTGCTTGTACTGAAGTGGAACACACACAGAAAAATGATCCCTACGTGGTTTAATTAAGGGGAAAGTGAATTGTGTAGTGTTTTACCATTCTCATTTCTTATTCATGTAGAACAGCAGGATAGCAGCATAATGTTGCAATAGCACAGTATTTTCTGGTTGTTTCTGGGCTGTCTGCATTGCATCCATGTCAGCCATTAAAATCTATGCATGACAATGAGGTTTGCATGAGCAAATGCATGTAGCTAAAAACAAGCCATTGTTTTCATGTCATTCACTATCTTTCACTAAATGCAGACAGTAGCATAATGCTAAATTGATGTGATAATGCTGTGTGTGGAAAAGAAGGTACAGTCGTTGGGAATAAATATTTTCACAGTGTTGAGTAAGTCACTTTATAGCAGGCATCTAATCAACTGTGATCAAGGTGAATTAATAAAAGTGAAAAATAAGCAGGCACAGAATCATTTCTTGATAGAAACTACCTAAGTGCTGTTATTTTATTTCTATGGGGTTAGTGGGAACTAATGGTAAGTTGTTTTCTTGAACTCATTTAATGAAATCAGTACATGAATTTTAAAACAAATTATGTCCATATTAAATGATGTTTTGTATATCTAGGTATAAAATCATTGACTTCATATTGCCTATTTTGTTATAATAATTGAAATATTAATGTATAATATAGGAAGAAAAATCCTGTTCCAGATAAGATTTCTCAGTATGGAATAATAATATGGTATATTGGTATAAGCTAACAATAATCTGTTTGAATCTATTATTTTATTTTAGTTTTCATTCTCTTTAAGGCATCCTTAATTTTTTAAAAAAGTTAAATTTGCTAAGCTTTTGGGTTGGCAATAGCAAGATTACATATGTATTCAAAAGTATGTATACATACAAGTGCTCTTCAATTTATTAAAAAAATACTTATGAACTTTTATGTGCAAGCACCAGATTAGACTCTGTGTCATACAAAAGAGTGCAAGACGCCATCTCTGCTCTTAAGGTGCTCATAGTCAACACATGTATAAAATAATTATAATAGTAGATAGTACATATAACAAAGTTATTTGGACTCCAGGAATAGGAAGAATTGCAGCTAACCAAGGTAACTGGAAAGGATTTTTATGAAGACAGGAAAATTCTGTCATAACAGATAAGCCCTAGGAAGCTGGAAATAGATGAGTGGGACTTTACCAAAGAAAGAAATCCTAGATGGCATCTAAATGAAGAAAGTCCTCTGCTTTTTGTGTTCTTTCTTTCACAGGAGAATACTATAAAAATATGAGAAGTTGCCTGAGCTACCCACTGCAAAGCATATGATTAGCCTTTATTTCCCTCATTTTATTACCAAAAGACCATCTTTTTTTTTTTTTTTCAGGCAACAGTTGCAGCTTTTGCAGCTAGTGAAGGCCACTCCCACCCTCGAGTAGTTGAACTGCCAAAGACTGATGAAGGCCTTGGTTTTAATGTGATGGGAGGAAAGGAGCAAAATTCCCCCATTTATATCTCTCGCATAATTCCTGGAGGGGTGGCTGAAAGACACGGAGGCCTCAAAAGAGGAGACCAGCTGCTATCAGTGAACGGAGTGGTATGTTTATAAAATAACCAGAGATTTTCTCCTTAAGCACATTCTTTTTTTTTGCCCCCTGCTATTACTGAAGTCAACGTTGAAAACCTAGAATAAATATTCATTTTATGTCTAACCAGCTTTCTAAGCATTGATGGATATTAAACCTATAAAAGCTGCAATCTAATTTTTATGTCTCATTTCATTATGTTCAGTTATGATAAATATCAGTGAGTTGAAAAAACATCCCAGGAAATTAATCCAACTAGCTGACTTTCTTCCCATAATACTCCAAGTAACATTTACAAGAATACAGTAATTTCAAGATACTTTTTATCCTAAGTTACTATAAGCAAATACATACATTTTAAGAATAAAGATATAGCTCCTTACTTTGTAATGTGTGTGGGTTTTTCATTTTAATTACAGAGGAAGGGTAATTTTAATGTTTATGTAATAATAACACATATGAAAAAGGCTAATGCACTCAAAATTTTTTTTTTTTTTTTTTTTTGAGATGGAATCTCACACTGTCCCCCAGGCTGGAGTGCAGTGGTGCCATCTCAGCTCACTGCAAGCTCCGCCTCCCGGGTTCACACCATTCTGCTGCCTCAGCCTCCCAAGTAGCTGGGACTACAGGCGCCCGCCACCAAGCCCGGTTAATTTTTGTATTTTTAGTAGAGATGAGGTTTCACCATGTTAGCCAGGATTGTCTCAATCTCCTGATCTCGTGATCCGCCTGCCTCGGCCTCCCAAAGTGCTGGGATTACAGGCGTGAACCATCGCGCCCGGCCTCAAAATTCTTGAAGCCAGATCTACAGCTATAGTATAATAAAAACATATTAGCCTTCCTCCAAAAAAGAGTTTGATTAAATTACCTATTCATAATATATGCTTTCGTTTTTAAATGAAATTAGAGTAAATTAAAATATGTAACATTTTAAAGTAAAAGTATGAATATACATTTTCTCATAACATATTCTCTGGATGCCACCACTTCCACTTGTAATAAGGAGTTGCTAAAGAAATTGTTTCCTATGAAACAAACATTTTCTCCCTATAACATCCACTTATATTAAACATAAATTACCTAAAAGCATACATTTCAGAAATATAAACAGAAACTTATCAATGTTACCTTTCGATTAACCTAAGATCTTTTTTCTAAGAACTTAAGGATTTTAATATATAAACTCGATTTCAGTTATTTGTGGCCAGATTGATTTATGCTTGGGACACAATATCCAAAATCAAATGTAATTGGAACATGATATTTTATTGGTAACTGTAGAATGAAATTCTTCTGTATTCATATCTTGAATTTTATTCATTTGTTTCTTATTTTTAGACTGACTAGTAGTTTCATAGAACCCAAAACTATTCCTTCAACTCTGCTGTCCTCTAATGTATATCAAAATTCTCAACCCATGAATATTTTCTATCACTTCAGCATTCCAATTACTACTTACTTTTTTCTATGTAATAATGTTTTGAGATAAGCTTTTTATTGACCTTTAGATAACTGTGACTTTTTCAAAGCATGTTTCAAGTGATAATTTCAGAGTCTAACTTTCTGGTAGAGGACTCTAGAGCTAGGTCACACAATTGCGTCACATAGAGGCTTATGCCCCAGAGTATGAACTTGCAATTTCTCTGAATATATTATATAAATCAAATAAGGTATAGATTTAAAAACAGTATGAAAAGTTTAAAAAATTTCAAAGTATATTAACAGTAATTATAATTGTGTAAAGTAAGAATATATATATATATAATAAATTTAATACGTGGTTGACTTTGAGCTTTCTTATAAGGGAGCTAAACAGACCTTGTTTAGCATAAACATTTGCAGGGAACACACTGTACGCATTTCATAATTACTTACCCATTCCTTGCAATGATGTTTTGATATACCTGGGAGGCGGCAGTTACCTTATCTGGAATCAAACACATAAGGTTCTACCACTCAATATTCATATGATTATGGATTAGTATCCCCTAAACTTTAATCCCCTTATCTGAAAAAAGGGAATAGTAACTAATTTGAAGGGCTCTGATGAAGAATAAAATGAGGCAAAATGTTTGTTGAGAGCTATCCTGTGTTAATTTGGTCATACAAACCTTTGACAGGTAAATGTGGCTACTGGTGAAGGTTGAGGTTGGTGAGGATTAACAACCTCCCAGTGATACTGCTTTTGCTAGTTAGGTTAAAAGTAAGTCTTATGGCAAACTCTGCTACATATATAAGCATATGTTAGCAAACGTTAATTAGCAAGAAGGCAGTGTTCGACTCACAACCCCTTCCATAAATTTGATACAACCCCAGGTCTCTGTCCATTTAGGTGTTCTAATCATAACCTTAGAAAAAGGTTCACGTGAGGCAGATGAGACAACTTTGTTACCCTTATATTCAGCATCAGACAATCAGAAATCCTATTAGATTGACAGTTGAAAATAGGGTAGTTTAGTGATCAAACTTTGGTCATTAATCCTATGGTATAGGCCATGGGCCTCCCTAAGATTTTTATATCCTCTTCATGCAAAGGTGAGGAATGTCTCCAAGATTGTAATATCCCACATATATTTAAACCTCTCATCTTACCAATTAAGTTCCATTTATAACATTTATTTTGCTAGTTAATGGGCTACTAATTTCACCAAAGAAAATCCATTTCTGACATATTCTTGCTAATAAGTAAAGCATCATTTTTTCATTGAAGTAGGTGCAACAGCTACTCATATAGTAGCCACCTCTAGAGTATTATCTTTCCAATCTAATGCTAATGCTGGCTAACTACCCTAGACTGGTTTATTAAGCTCCTAAAGTTGAAGGTTAAAGTATTACACATTCATATAGTCAAACTATATATTATAAACTACCTATTTTAAACTGTTTAAAAGTAAGTTATGTGCTCTTTAACAATGCCTAATATTGACCAGGTGTTCATCAAAAAGCAGTTTTCTGTAAATAAGAGACTTCATGACCCAGTGACTTGTTCATAGTCACACAAATAATAGTTAATCCAATTCTAGAACTCTGGGCTTCTAACAAACACTGAGCCCAGAGGTTTTATCAGTGTAAATAATTCTAGGCAGGTAACAATATTTAATGAAAAAAAAATCTGTAATGGAAAGGCCAAAAAAGAAAAGATTAGCAAATGATTGAATGATTTATATTTTTGGCTTTAAATAAGGTACAATTTCAGGAGATTAAATATGGAAGATTTTCAGAACATGCCATTCTAAACTGAGAAATTATGAAAGGAAGTGCTTTGGAGGGCTAAAGCAAACCTTAACTACTTTAGTATAAGTTCTCTGAACTTTAAATTATATATATATTTAGGCAGATCCATGACATATCCTTTTTCTAAATGCAGGCAAAATATAAAACTAGACAAACAATCAAAGATAAGCAGGACAACACATCAGATGTCTTTTCAGATGTTTAAATGTCCATGGAATAATTTCTTTACTTTTTAAATAGGACAGAAATATATATATACACACACAGAACTATTAACATGGAATGTTAGGTTATAAAGTGTGATGGAAAGGGGGGGAAATCAATAAATAAAAATAAAGACAAAATACAGCAATTGAACAATTGATTTTTTCCTCCTAGCTTCTAAGAAGTCAAAAACAGATGGAAACTCATGTCAGCTCAGCAATCATTGGGAGAGAAAATTTTTTCTATCCCTAGGCACCAAGAGAAATTTCCCATGGGAATGTTACAAATGAGACATTGAACCACCTAATACAATTCCATAGAAAATACAGAGGCCTTTGGTGTATGGCTACTTCTTATATCAATCCTCAGTGAAACCTTACAACTGAATGCTGAATTAAAATTTAACATTAATAGGAGGTCAAAATGTTACAGTAAGAATTTATAGCTTTCTAATGATCTCCTTTTCACCCTTTTATGCTCAAGTGTTTTCTCCGCAATTTTAAGAGAGAACTCAAGGACTATTTATAAGGGTTGCAGCCAATGTGGAGCCAGCGGCAACCGTAAATATATTTAGTGATAGAGTCAGGATATAAAAAGTCTCAATAGAATGGTACAATAGGCCTATTTTAATAAGAATCTTCATGAAGTCCTGCTCCTGTGCCCAAAAAAACTAGCTACATATATGCAGAATCAGGGAGGAACAACTAAATATCAAAGCCTGGGGAAAAAAATTTTAGGGAATTTTAATGTTGATTTCAAGAGGAATATAAAGCAAGTTGAGGGAGGGGGACAAAACATAATGTGATTGTAGGGGCTCTGATATAAATATCTTGTATAGAACACAGAAAGAGATTGGTCCAGCTCTTGAGGGTGCTGTTCGTACTTTCTTTCCCTCCTTCCTTCCTTCCTTCCTTCCTTCCTTCCTTCCTTCCTTCCTTCCTTCCTTCCTTCCTTCCTTCCCTCCCTCTTTCTTTTCATTTCTTTTCTTTTCTTTTCTTTTTTCTTTCTTTCTTTCTCATGGTCTCACTCTGTCGCCCAGGCTGGAGTGCAGTGGTATGATCTCAGCTCACTGCAACCTCTGCCTCCTGGGCTTAAGCTCACACCCTATTGTGCTCATTCCATCCTTGCAAAGAAAAATAAGCTCACCCAGAGAAGAGCAACCTTGTATATGAGGAACATGTTAAAGAATGACTTGAATTGTTTATAGTGGAGAAGAGAATATTTAGGGGAATGATGACTGTCTTCAGCTATCATCCATTGTATGGGGCACCAGATGGCAGAACCAAGACCAGTGTGTAAAAGTCATGGGGTAGTCATCTTATTATAATAAAGAGCTTTTAAACACTTAAAGCTCTCTAAATGGAGAAAGACTAAATCATAAGGCAGAATTTGCTCATCATTTGAAGTTTTAATCAGAGATTAGGAGACCACCTGATCAGAGTATTTCAAAATATGAGTACCATGTACAGAGTTGGAATGGTTGGCCCCAAAGTCCCTTCTAAGTCTGTGACTATGTGATTCTATGTCTTCCAATGGGATTCTGCTGAGAGTACCATATAACCCTCCCCTGACCAACACACACATGCTGCCTTACACTCTGAGGCAGATGAGTAGGCTCTACCTATGCTCTGTGTACCCTATTCATAAGACATTTTTTTCTGAATGGAAAGATGAGAAATCTAACACAATATGTTTTATTTATTTAGTACTTTATAGTTTTTTTTAACAGTATTTACATTATGTTCTCTCATTTGTTCCTCAGAAACACAGTCTCATGAAAGAGTAGGGCCAGGAGTGTTTCCTCCCTCTCTCTCTCTGTCCCTCTGTCACACACACAACCCAATGGATACACACAAAAGCACACATGAACTCACATCCAAAGACACACGTGCACACGTGCACGCAGGTGAGAAAGTGGATTTCAACCTTTACTGCAATCATAACTGATGCTTACCAAATGTAATAACTGGTTATGTTAAAAACAAATCCCACTGAAATCTGAGTAAGCTCTCTGAATTGTACCAATTCCAATTCGCTGGTTTAATATGATTTTGTAAGATGTTAATATTGGGGAAAGCTGGGTAAAGGATGCATGTGATGTCCCTGTACATTACTTTTCAACTTCTCTTAAATCTATAATTATTTATTTATTTTTATAAAGCAAGAAAGTCCAAAAGGTGATATTTTACTGGTACTGATGGGAGAGAGGCAGGTGAGGAACAGGAAAGAAAAGGATAGAAAGATAAAATATAAGCATGAGGACTTAAAAAAAATATGGCATACTGAAAAGAAGCCCTCATTTGCTTCTGAAATGCAAACATTGTCTTAGAGCACCATTGGTGGGAAATTGCAGCTGAATTTACCTAGCTTTACAGTTAAAACTAAATAAAATTGTCTATACAGTGTATACAGATTGCTAATTGATTTTTAAGCATAACAGATGAGTGAATAAAAGTTTAGGGATGGGACAGAATAAATTGTTTTCCTGCCATCGGCTTTTTTTACATTTTATAAATACCTATATCAAGTTGAAAGTAAGTACTCACAGCCCAAATTACTTATGCAGAATGGCTGTCAGGTGTGGGATGAAGATGAAATAAAAATTAGAACTGTAGATTCGAGCTCTGTGAAGCTACAGCATCCCAGAGGGGAAATCTGTATTAAGATCTTATTTATCTGTGTCGGAACAAAGAGAAAACATAAAAAGTTTTTTTAATTGCTATGAACTACACTGCAAGATTTAAGTTTCACAATAAAATGCATGTTCCAATGATGGCAGTAATTTGTATTCATTGCCTTATCCCAATTCTTAGAACAGTCCCTGTATATAGTCAAAGCTCTCTATATATTTGTTGAATGCCAGACACTGCTGTAAGCACTCTACATAATGAATTCATTATTTACCCGTAATGATCCTCAGTGGTAGGTGTTATTATTATCAGTCCCATTTTACAAATGAAGAAACTGAGGAAGAGAGAGATCAAGCAACTTGCCCAATCTCCTATAGCTACTAAATGGCAGAACTAGAGATTCTAACTCAGGCAGTCTAGCCTTATTAATCATAATTTAAGGTAAATAAATATCTTAGCCATTAATAAATTAGTACTTTCATGTACAATGTAGAAAAGATCAAGTTTTCTTAGCCTTTATGGGTTTGCATAAGTAAATTTTTGGTGGAGAGAGATCAGTTGTTTTTCTTAACTACTCATAAGAGACTTTGACCTTTAAAAAGTTAAAAACCACTTCTAAAGATAGTAAGGTTTTGAAAAGGAATTTACTCTGATTCAAATGGCTCAGTACTCTAATTCACCACTGCAGATGTGTGAAGAGTTTGGTTTGAATGTGTTTGAATTGTTCCATATCTGCATCATTCCAGTTTGCACCAGGCACTTTGCATTCCCGGCTAACTGAACAGCCCTGGTCCACAAGCACTCTCTAAAGCCACTTGGCCCTTAGAGGGGAGCAGATGCTTGCATGAAGAGGGGAAAGACAGAAGCTCAGTCTTCAGTTCCCCTATAGGCCTGGCACACAGATCCCCAGCTTAATTCCAGCTAAGAGACCTCAAGTAAAGCTATTCTCACAATCTCTCTATTCCTAGAAGTCGTTAGCAGATGCTTTACCTTTCTCAGAAGCTGAGTGGGGGACTGTTTAGGTTATAATTAAATAGGAGTGCAAGCTGAAATTTCAGTTCTAAGTGCTGAAAATTTTTATTCTCGGCATGACATCATGTGACACTTCACTCACATTTGTGAAGAAGCCAAGAGAAGTACATTTATGTTGTTTTATCCCAGTCACTTTCAGAAGAGCACAAACAATGCAGCATGATCTGGTATATTTTGCAACACTGAGAAGGCAGTATTCTACCCCCCTTCATTCTGAGTTGGCTCACAATAAGAGATCTTTTAATTTAAAAAGCAGAACAGGGAAATATCGTGCTATCTCAATAGCACAGGTAACTATAGTTCACAGGTTAGAACAACTACATTCCCACCTGGTGATTTCAGCCTGCAAGAATGGGCACCAGGTCTCTCATTCCTTCATAGATCAACTTGAGCTTTGAGCATACAAGAGATTGTGCTGATAGTGTGTCAGTGCCAGAACACACTCACAGTCAGTCGGTGCTAAACGGCAAGTCTCTAAATGAGGGAAGCATTCCCACACATGGGATCAGACTGACCTAAATCTCTATTTAGATTGCTGGTAATGGGTATTTGACTATTCAGTTTAGTTACTGGTGCAGTCTTTCTCATAGTTATTTTTACCATTTATTGTTTGTGTTTTCCTTCTATTTGTGCTGTTATTTTAGCAATGCTTTTCTTTCATTCAACAATTATTTGTAGAGAAATTATTATGTGCCAGCTACTGAGCTAAGTCCTGGATATGGAGTGGTAAACAAAAAAAAAGGGTTATAATCTGGTAGAAAGTAAGAACATGATGATGATGATGATGATGATGATGATGAGGATGATGATGATGATAAATACATACATATAAATGTAACATATCCATCAGTTATCCCAGCCTAAGGGAAATGCTCCCAGTGATTTTGTTCAGGTTCACACTGGTCACAGTAACAGGATTTTTTAACTCCGTTATGTGTATATTAGTTTCCTATGGCTGCTATAACAAATTACCACACACGGTGGTTTTTAAACAACAGAAATGTATTATCTCACAGCCCTGGAAGCCAAAAATCCCAAATCAGTTTCACTAGCTCCAAACCAAGGCATCAACAGGGCTGTGCTCCCTCTAGAGGTGCTATTGGGGAATCTGTTCCTTGCTCCCTTCAGCTTCTGGTGACTGCAGCATTCTTTGATTTGTGGCCACCTCATTCCAATCTCTATCTCCATGGTAACGTTATTACCTTCTTCTCTGCGCCAAATCTCCCACCTCCCTCTATAAGGATACTTGTGAGTTCTTAGGGCCCACTGAGATAATGCAGGGTAATCGCCTCATTTCAAGATCCTTAACCTAATTGTATCTGAAAAGACCTTTTTTTCTATAAAAGGTAATATTTACAGGTTCTGGGGAATAGGACCTGATATTAATATCTTTGAGAAATTATCCAGTCCTCTACAATGTGTAAATATCATAAATCTAGAGTGCTTACAAGTGTATAGGGCTATGGAATGGAACCAGTTGTCCACAGAGCATGGGCACGTTGGTTTTCTAGTCTCAAAACAGCACACACTGAATATTTTCCACTCTACTCCTAGTTCTGACAATGCAAGTTCTTTCTTCCCTTTTCACTTTCAGACTTTTCTCCTTCTGCTTCTGCCTATCCAATCAATAAAGCCATTCAGACTCCTCTTCCTTCTTTCCCCGCCCCCCATCTTGCCTGGTCTTTGATGAGAAAAAAAAAAAAAATGTACGTGAAAACATGCAGCCAAAACATTCTGCTGCACAGCAAAGACCTTCAGATATTTTTCAGTCCTTTTTTACTCCTAAGGTGTGGGCTGAAGGAAGCAGAATGGGAGGGAAAATTCACAAAGAACACGAATTAATACTTCAGAATATAACATGGCCTCATAATTAAACACTGTGATAAGTGTTACAGAGGGGAAAGAAGAAAACAAGGAGCCATGTAATGGAACAAGAGAAGCTACTTTTAAAATATATATATATACATATTTATTTATTTATTTTTTGAGACAGGGTCTCATTCTGTGGCCCAGGCTGGAGTGCAGTGGCGTGATCTTGGCTCACTGCAAACTCTGCCTCCCAGACTAAGCAATCCTCCCACCTCAGCCTCCTGAGTGGCTGGGACCACAGGCACATGCCACCATGCCGGCTAGTTTTTGTATTTTTGATAGAAACAGGCTTTCACTATGTTGCCCAAACTGGTCTCAAACTCCTGAGCTCGAGCAATCCACCAGCCTTGGCCTTCCAAAGTGCTGGGATTACAGATGTTGAGCCACCATGCCAGGAGCTAGTTTTAATAGTGTTAGAAATGGCCTCTTTGAAGGGTGACATTTAAACTGAGATTAAGGAGAAGAGTCTGTTATCATAAGAAAGAGCTTGTGTGAAGGTCTTGAGATAAGGAAGTCCATGATTTGCCATGTAGGAGCAGCTGAAAGAACAAAGTGACTAAAGTATACATAGTGGGATAAGATGAGGCTGAAGAACTGATTGGGAGCCAACCAATGGAGTTTTAAGGTTGATACCCAAAAGTTTTCATTTTACTCTAAGTGCATTAGGAATCTGAAATCAATTCTGAAATCTGATGATATGCCAAGAGTCTCTAATACATCCTGAGGCTGTTCATTATGAAATGAAATGTATTCTACTTTTTTTTTCTGTTAGCTTATTATTATTTTTTGTATTGAAATTTTCTTTCTATATCCTTAAATCACTTGACTAGGATATTGCATATGATAACAACTTAAGAGCAATTTTCCCTTTTTTTCTGTCATCATATTTAATGAAAATTACAAACTTTTACTTTATTGTGAATTGATATTTTCAACATTTCAAAAGGGACTCATTCAAATTCAAGTTCTTATGGTTTCTCAGGAGTTAAGGTTATTCTAACCATAATACGTTTATTTACTCTTTGAGACTCTATTTTGTCATACGTAAAGCAAAAATAGCAATATCTTTCTCACAGGTTTAATCCAAAGATTAAATAAGAGAAAGTATGTAAGAGTGTCTGGCATTACGCTGGATACCTTTTAAATACCCAGTAACTATAAATTTTTTCTTTTAAATCAGATAATAGTCTTTTCTTTCTTATAATTTTATCTCCCTATAGAGTTAGACTCTCCGCCCAGTTTAAGTCATCTCCTCTGCTTTTTGTTTATCTTCAAGAGACAATAAAAGTCCCCCATTAAATACTCTAATTTCAGAGGAAATTGGATCCTTGTCATTGGTGGGTTGATTATGGGCAAGTCATTGGAATTTTTGGTGTCTTTATATCTGCAGGACTGATGTAACAACACCTGTCCTGTCTACCTTTCCTAATAGTAATTAGGATAAAAAAGAGAAATGATAAATACAGCATTAAAAGATAAGACTTATGCTTCCACAATTACACAGCATTGTTGCTGTATATTATTATTAAACAGCCTTTCACCAAACTTCCAGATGCATCTCTCCATGTTTCCTATTGCAACATTTTTCCTTAATTTACAAAAACAGAATATGTAAACCAAGTAATGGTCCTTCTTCTGTTCTAGCTGAGAAATGTGTGGTTTATCTCAAATGAATAGAATATTTGTCTTGAAATCCTGTGCTGGTCCAAAAAAGCATCATTTATATTTTGTGGAACTCACCAAGCCCAATTACCAGTGATTGCTTTAAACATTAGTGAAAAGCCAATGATTCGATTTAATCCTAACTTGGGAGGAACATTCTTCTAACTTATTTATGCTGGTCTACAGACTGTTGGCACTAGCCTAAAGCAAGGTTGGAATGTTAATATGCCACAGCTACATGAGTATACCTAGTGAAATGCAAGCCAAGTGTAAGTCTAAGGGTTTATATAATTTTCCATAATGGATTTATATCTTGTTCTGTTTTTAATTATATTCTCAAAAACAGAAGACACTGATACATATGGCAATCAGATGACATGTCACAAGCCACATGTGATTGCTCACAGGTTCATGTGAGATAACCAAACTTTAACTCAAATGTTGGTTGCTGAGTCTCAGATATGGGAAATGAGTATCAGCAATTGTGGTATTAGAACTACATCTTTCTAAGTTCAGCCAGGAGGTATGGGCTGTTTCAATAAATTTGCAAATGAATCACATTTGATCATAGGCCTTTCCTACTTGGGTTTCTTTCTCTTCTCTCATAGATACAAAATCATTAGTTGCTAATTTTATCACAGCCAACCTTACTCTGAATTGTAAATTATTGACCTTGCCCTTCAGTGACACCAAATCACTTCTCAAGAGAAGTCATGTTTTCTATTTACAGAGGTGCCTATTATCACCAACTGTGTAAATATATAGCATATCTTAAGCTTTAAGAATATAAATTTGAATAAGAACCAAAGCATAAGACTTTAGATCCTGAAGTCAAAATCTGTATATGTAGTATACAAGATTTGATCTAGCATCAGCCTGAACCTATCTTATCACCCAGCACTACCATTTCAACATAGATTTTTCATTCTGAACTAATCACTATATATGTGGTAGTCCTTACATACTTAAAAATCGAGTAAAATGTGACATCAGAAGAGTTGAGGATTCTGGGCAGTCTCTGAGCTTCTACCTCTGAAAGTCAAGGGAACATGACATTGTACTAGATTTGGTTTTGCAAAAGGCTATCCAGGAAGTAGGAGTGGTTAAATTTGACTATTTTAGGGTCCAGAAGGAGATTAGATAAGTGAGCAGAGATAATCAAGAGGGAAAGATGGCAATCTAGAGGAGAAATGCCCTATTACAATTCTAGCCGGTTATTGCCATTTGGTACTGTGGACAGTGTAGCGAAAATTCAGAATTTAAAAACAAGCAAACAACACCTTCTGCCTTTGTAGAGGAAATGGTATATATAATAAGAAGCATTTTAAAGGATTAATAGTAGTTATCTATGGAATGTTAGAATGAATAGGTTGATGGAGGGCATTCTAGACAGAGGGACAACATCTACAGAAACATATAAGAAACAACATGTTTGTAGCTAAAGAGTAGGGTTGAAGGGATGGGCTTGAGCCACATCATGGAAGACACCATAAGCCATCACAAGGAGCCCGGACTTAACATTTGAAAGTGGTAGGAAATTGCCAAAATGACATGAATTTTTATAGGTTATTCTGGCAATTGCCAACATGTGGGCATAGGGTGTGTGAAGGCATGGAGGAAAAGCCGGAGGTGGAAGATCAACCAGGACACTCTTAGAAGTTCTGGAGGGACATGGTGGAGGTCTTAACTGGAAGAGGGGCAATTTGGAGAGAAAGGAAAAGATTTGAAAATGACTTTGGATGTAACGGGACTATAAACAAGAACTGGTGATTGACTGGATATGCAAGGTGAAGAATAGGGAGTTACCAAGAACTCTTGGGTTTCTGACAAGGATCTTGCCTCTTGTTGACACAGCAGAAAAGATGGTTCAGGTGAGAGTGAGCAGCTGAGTACTTGGAGGTTGTGTTGTCTATGGCTCAGCCATATGAACATAAACAAGGGCATAGGTTTTAATTTAGTTTTGCCTTTTCCAAGATGTAAATTTAATTAACTGAGCTCTATCAAACTGACAGCATTTCGAAGTAGAACACTTAAAAATTATATTATGTAAACTTTTCACTCAATTACATTTGTCAACCAGGATTTCTCACCCTTGAAATTGCTGATATTTTGAATGGGATAATTCTTTCTGGGGGAGGCCATTCTGTGCATTGTAGAATGTTTATCCTGGCCAGTAACACCCTCCCCATCCAGTCACCACAACAAAAAATGTCCCCAGACCTTTTGAACTGTCCCCTAACAAGCAAAATCATCCTTGGTTGAGAATCACTATCTTAAACTAAATTAGTTCATTTTCATGAAAACAGTTCCAAACCATATAGTAGCTACAATATTAAAATCTGAAAAATGCACACATTGTACACTATGCCATAAATATGAATAGAATGGACTTCTACCAAATCATAGCATCAACATGTTTGTAGCTAAAGAGTAGAGTTGAAGGGATGGCCTGGAGCCATGTCACGGAAGCTACCATAAGCCATCATAAGGAGCCTAGACTTCCCATTTGAAGGTGGCCATTTCCTACCACCTTCAAATGGTAAGTCCAGGCTCCTTCTGATTCAATAAATGAGGAGCATTCTGGAAAAGAGATTTCATCCAAGGCTTGATCTCAATTGAATGTTCTGTGTGGAGGAGCACCAGAGTTGATCCCAATTACCATGGATGACAAAGGCAAAGCAATTGACAGCTTGCCATTATTAAATTTGGTATTGAATCTGTCTCTACAGGCAAACGTTATTGTAAGAATATCACTTTAAAATCTTCAGTCAGACTGCTAATAAGATTTATTAACCATGGTACCATGTCTGGCACTGGGAAAGGAACAGTTTAAAGAAAACGTAGATCATACCCTAAGGGAGCTTACTTTGATCTAATTATCCTAGAAACACCAAGTTAAGTTTTTCATAAGTAGAAATGGATGCACTACTCCTAATTGCCTTAGCTTTAGCTTTGAGTGATTTGTAGAAATATTGTGCCAATATGTCATGAACAGAAATATGCCAAAGCCTCACCACTCTTCTTTTTTGCCTAAATCTAGAAGGCACAATATCTATTTGACCACTCAGTAAAGTCTGTAACCAAAACCTGCAGGGTACCTGAATGCTGTCTGTCTCTCAGTTTTACAATGGATCTGAAATGAGACTGGCCACCAGGCTAGACAGTGCACAGCCACTCATCCTGAAATTCCCCTTATTTTTGTGGCCATGATCTGTTTACATTTTGAAAATCTAAATTACATGATAATTATTATTTTGCTATGCACTCTTAGGCAATGTAAGAGCAACTTTAAATATCATTGCCCATGTTATAGCAATTTAGACACAGCTAATTACCACAGGAACCTAGGGCACACACCATTTCACATGAGTCGTGTTTTATTAGATGAAATTGGCAGGAGGGATAATGCAAAGTTGTATGATGTTGGTTATCACACCACACATCATGTTATGGGACAGGATTTGTAATTGCTTCAAATATATTTTCCTTCAGTTGTATTGGATATAATTTTGCATATATTGGCAGTGTTTCACAAAGAAGCCCAATCACTTTCAGTCTGCTTGGTCTCTAATAAATTTGTTTACTCTTCTAGAAAAGGATTAATAATTATGTGCAACTTTTAGTATGTCTATTTTGTAAATAAAACAAATCAAATATATTCATTAAAATTCCCCTGATGCATTATCAATTATTTATAGGAATGTGAGACCTTGGGTCAGACTTTTAACTTTAGCTGTCTTTGTTTTGTTACTCTGCCTAGATCCAAGCACATTCATCTGCTTTCAGTAATATATTAACTGCTCAGTGACTCCACCAAAGCCTTAGTTTGAGAGATGTTAGATAGGGCAATAAATCGACAAAATATACATGAACTTGTATCTAAAGCACCTGTGTAGCCAAACAAGGCTATATAACATTGCTTGGCCAGTTTCAATAGTCATTCACTCAGTCACTCAATAAGCATTTATTAGGCATCTACATTGTACAATTTGAAGCAGTCAGGATTCTTTAATGAAAAAAAAGAGACAAAAAAGTCCTTACCTTTGTGGAGTTCACATTCTAGTATGGCAGATAAGCAATAAACAAAATAAATAAGGAAATCCATATAGTGTTAGAGATGGCAAGTGCTAAGAAAATTAATCAGTACAGCGTAAGGAGGCTAGGGGATGCTATGGCAGGGAGAGTGTGGTGCCGGTCAGAGTAGCCTCAGTTAAGGGGTGATATTCAAGGTGGAGGTCAAAGGAGATAAGGGAGTGAGCCACACCTAGGGAAGAACATTCAGATCATTCTCCTGTGACCATCAGAGGAAAGTGTCAACACCAAGTCTTTAAGGTTTGAAGGGCACTGGCATTCGAGAGAAGCAACGAAAAACCAGTGAAACTGGAGTGGATTGGAGTAGAGGGGAGAAGGAAATGAGTTCAGTGTTAGTAATTCACTTTCATTTTCAATTTTTAGTTTTTTTCTAATTAAAAAAAATCAACTTTTAAAAAATATATCTTCTACTCAATTATATGTGCCATTGTGTTAAAATGGCAATTTTTAAATCCCCAGACATTAAGTTTAGAAATAAAGCAAGCACCCCCAAATGTAGTAACAACATTGGTAACAAAAGTAATGGAAAATACTTCCTTCCAGGGCTTCTAAGCCAAGCGTCTGCAGAGCACTCTAAATGCACTGGGCCCTTTAGTTCTCAGTAAATCCCTATAGGGCACAAATTCAATGTCATTGGTGGAGTTTGGTGAATAATTTGCTAACTTATCTGAACCTTAGTTTTCTCATTGCTAAAAGATGATAATATAAGAAGCTACTTAGTTTTTCTATTTTAGTGTTTAAATGGCATAACACAGTTCCTGAACATGTAGTAAGTACTAAATAAATGTTAGTGCTTATAATCATTGCTAGTTTATAATCAAGGCAGCAAGCCATTGATTTAAGCAAGCAGGTGAACGGAGGCAGTGAGGAAGGTGAAAGAGACATCACAAGGAAGGGCCCAGAGACAAGAAAAAATTGCATGTTCTCCTGTTTGGACCTTCATGGATTAGCAAATGAGGGTGAAAATATACACAGGGGCCAGATCACAAAGGGTGAGGTACACTAGGCTGAAAGACTTCAGCCTGTATCTGCAATACAGGCACATGTAATTATTTTAAGCACGAGAGTGCATTTTGGAATGATTACTATGATTGCAATGTGAAGAGTGGTTTAGAAGTGGCCAGAATTAAAGGCAGGGCCACCAGATGTGGATGTAAGTTAATATTTAGTGAGAGAAACACAGATCTCATTAGTATCTATCTCATTATGATCTATTATGTAGAGAATATTGATGTTTCTTTGTTATGACACATTATTATTTGGGGAAGGGGGATAAGATCAACAGTAATTGTACCAAAGAAGAAAGACAAAGCCAACTCATTTCATTTTCAGAAAAATTCCTAGGTCAACTGATTACTCTCTGTGGAATCTCACATCTATCAAGATTGAGATCACTGCAAGTTTGTTTGTTTGTTTTTAATCTCAGGAGCCATTAGATGAAAAGCAAAATTTTAAACATGAAGTATTTCATAATCCTTCCTTATGATTTTTCCATTGAACATTATTCCTTGAAAACATGGATTTATAGCCTATATATTGAACCATGAATGATCTGCCATGCCGTATAAGTGATATGCTGGCCCCGACAAATAAACAACTGAGAGGAAATATAGGAAAGGAAAACTTGGGTTTCAGCAAATTAACGATGTCGGGAGAAAAACCATTCAGTCATGATAGTTCAAACAGAATATCATTGGCATTACATTGTGACTGAGGTTTTGAAGCTCCCACAGACTATACTTCTACATCTGTAAATTTTGAGGTAACTTTGCTAAAATCCCTTCATTTCACCTGAGTTACCCAGGCAATTATAGAATTATAGTTGTAGGGATTTTTGCTTTTGTTTTGGGGGACTTATTTTGCCCAAACTACTTGAAAGCTCTGCCTGAAAGTACTATTTAAACAAAATTATGCTTTGTCCCACCTTCTTTGGTTTGTTCTAGAATGACCTTTCCTCTCATGATCCTTATGGGATGATACTGGGCTATTGTATTTAAAAATATACAATAAATATGTAAATGCATTCTTAGCAAATTTTTAAATAATTCAGTGTGGAAAGACTAAAATCAGATTTTTTAAAGAGTCCCTTTAACTGTTTTCCTCAATCCGTTCCAGCCCCTCTCTCTCTCCACGTGTAGAAACACCATTGTAGTGAGCATGCATCTGAACGTTTCTCTTTGTATTCAAGCACACACATACACCACACACACACACACCCCACATTTATTTACTTATTTATTTATTTTTAAATACAAACATATGAGACAATGCAGGGCTGTGATTAAGAGGTCAGCCTCCAGACAATGATTTGTTACCCATTAACGGTGTGGCCATGGAAACTTACTTAACCTTTCTGTGTCTCAGTTTCCTCATATATGAAATTGGGATGATAACATTACATAACTTGCAGTGTTGTTATGAGAAGTCACTATTTTGCTACATTTAAAGCCCTTGAAACAGTACCTGATAGTAAATACTCAATGAATATAAGCTACTATTATTATTATTATATGTAATTTTCTTAAATGCACTGCTATTTTTACATATACGTATTATCTATGACTTGCTTTCTTGGTTAATAATGTCTTGGAGATTTTGCCTCATCTGTACATAGACCTTTTTAAATCTTCTATATAATATTCTATATATGGTGCATTTAACTATTCCCCTGTTGATGGACATTTAGTTTGTTAACCAAATGGTTTTTTGTTTAATTTTGTTTCACTATTTTGAGTACTGCTTGAATGAAAATCTTTATGTATATGAGTAACTATTTTTCTCAGGTAGATCCTAATATATGCAAGCCAGGATAGGAAGATATGGATATACTTTATTTTAATAGATATTGCCAAATTGACTCAAAAAGCCTATATCAATTTATACTTCTATGTTTTATGAAGATATAAATTTCACCAAATCCTTGGGGATACATTCTTTTTTTAAGCATGTGAATGATTTTGATCTCATTTTAGATTTAATCTGCATCTCCCTAACTGATAGTAGAGTTGAGCATCTCGTAGCTGAGAACTTTATGTGAAGAAGCTAGTCATACAAAATTCTGGCAGGAATGAACTAGGTATAAGCAAGAACAAAAAAAACGTCCAGAATGATTTGAATATGAATGATGGGGAGAGTATTAGACATAAGGTTATAGAGGCCAGCTGGGAGTGAAGAGTGAAGGTCCTTGTAAACCATCATAAAGTGTTTGCTATTTATTTTGAGCAAGAAAGTGACATAATAGAGAATAAGTACTGTTTGGGATGGGCTTTGAATGATGGGTGGGGGGTTATTAAAACAGAGTGGAGGAAGGACATTCTACACTGAGGGAATAAAACTGAGAGATTATAGAAACATGAAAACACATGCTGAAATCAAAAGCATAGTGTTGCTTCTATGTTGAAGATTAATATTAGGAAATATAATTGGACCTGCCTGTACATGGGAAGTGCTTTGCATGATACAGGATGTTTTCATTTTCATTTCTAGAAAATTGAAAAATATGTATGGGGTAATGCATTTATTGGGTACATTCTGTGAGCCAGGTTTAGTACTTGGCACTTTACACGGGTAGTCCATATAAACCTAAATGACTTCTGTGAAGGAAATGTTTTGTTTGTTTGTTTGTTTGTTTGTGACAGAGTCTCACTCTGTCACCCAGGGTGGAGTGCAGTGGCAGGATCTCAGCTCACTGCAAGCTCCGCCTCCCGGGTTCACGCCATTCTCCTGCCTCAGCCTCCCGAGTAGCTGGGACTACAGGCACCCACCACCACGCCCAGCTAATTTTTTGTATTTTTAGTAGAGATGGGGTTTCACCGTGTTAGCCAGGATGGTCTCAATCTCCTGACCTCGTGATCTGCTCACCTTGGCCTCTCAAAGTGCTGGGATTACAGACCTGAGCCACTGTGCCAGCCCTGAAGGAGATGTTATTAATGCCATTTTGCATATATGGGAACTGAGAGGCTCAGGGAAATGAAATAACCTTCTTACAGCAGTAATCTTTGACCTAAGCTTTAAAGTCAGCCCTCTTCAGATTAGCTAAACAAACACTGGATGAGTACTGTGCACTGTGCTAGGTATCAGGGATAAACCATCAATGTAGCAAGGTCCCTGCCCTCAAGGACAGTGCCTATCATAGTTGTGTTCTTTCTACTCATCAATAGATTTTAAGCAAGGGCATGCAAAAACCAAGCAACTCAGCCAGGGGTGGTGGCTCACGCCTGTAATCCCAGCACTTTGGGAGACTGAGACAGTAGGATCACTTGAGGTCAGGAGCTCGAGACCAACCTGGCCAACACGGTGAAATCCCATCTCTACTAAAAATACAAAAATTAGCCAGGCATGGTGGCACATGCCTATAGTCCCAGCTACTCGGGAGGCGGAGGCAGGAGAATAGCTTGAACTCAGGAGGGGAAAGTTGCAGTGAGCCAAGACCATGCCACCGCACTCTAGGCTGAGCCACAGAGAAAGACTCCATCTAAAAAAAAAGGAGTAAAGTAACTCTGGCTGGAATAGGTAGAAGCATTTAGACAAGAGAGGAAATCCAGGCAAGAAATCATAAGAAATAAGAGGGAGGAGAGGATGAGATGCAATTGTGGTAATTGACGCATTAATATCAACCAGTATTGGTGGTTAATTGGATGTAGATTGAGGGAAGATGTCCCCAGGAGGGTCCAACTTGGGTGGCTACATGACTAGTGATAGCAGGAACTAGAGAAGAGGGTTGAAAAGAATCTTTGGAGGTTAGAGCCAGTTAGAGCATTTAAAATAAGCAAAAGATCTTAGTATAAATCAATGGTGACAAAAGCAAAGAATATTCTGTGGGTGTACATTTAATTGGAAAAGACATTTATATGCACAGCTACAGAGATATTGGACAATAAACCTGAAATAGCCTTTAAATTTTGACTTCTCCTGCAAGAAAGCATCTGCAATGTTGAATCTCTCCAATTAAATTAAATGTTATAGCTATTATTAATGTTTTATTATTCATGGTACACATCAACATAAATGTCCATGCCATTTTACACTTTATAGGAAACACATTTGACAGTGCCAGGCTCAGACAACTTCTGCCCAGATTTGCTGTATTTCCCCCTGATGTTTTATATTAAATTGCCTGGGCTTCTAGGATTATAAAACAGGCTAGATATTTAAAGTATATCTTTTGAAGGGTTTGGTTGAATAATTTCAGCAATCTATTGTTGTCTCTATGACACCACTTGAAAAACTATGATCTCTGTGAGCTCACTAGAGTAAGATACTTACAGAAAAAAAAAAATCTATTCTGATTGACGGAATTCTAGGAGATGTCATTGCCCATGATACTTGCTGTCATCTTGGAAGAGGAGATAGGATGATGTATTCCTTGCTTAGGGAAATAAGATTTCTCAAAAACTTCCTATAGGCTAAGCCTTTTTCTAGGTTGCAAATCTTTTATAGAACCCCCTAGCTTCAGCCCTGTTTCCATCACTGTAACAGCCCACCTGTCATAAAAGTCAGGGAAAACGATTTGAAGTGTGGGCCTTGTTACTTATTCTGAGGGATCTCAATCAGTATCCCAGTACACAACACTGCTTCATAAACATTTTAAAGTCTTCATCTGATTATGGGTACTCTTTCTAAGCTAGTTTCACATTTTAAACCAGGCTGTATCATCCCTGGGATTCTGCAGTGGCAGAAGGAGATAATGCCCCATGGCACTAGGTCTGCCCTTAGGGTCTTGGCAGAATTGCAGAGTGGGCAAAAATGACTTAACTGCCCTCGAACCTAACTGTTTCAAACTTTTCTTATCACTCAGATCTCTCCTTCCTTTCCCCTTCTTCATGCTGGCAATGACGCATTCTCTGATAAAACCCCTTCCCTTCCTGGCTATTGATTTTTAAAAAAAATTTATAAAGAAATAACATTTAGGGTTTCTAGGTATACAATCATATTATCAGCAAATCGCAGCAGTTTGAGCTCCTCTTGACTGATTTGGATGCCCTTTCTTTCTCGTTTGATTGCTCTGGCGAGGACTTCCAGTACTATGTTGAATAGAAGTGCTGAAAGTGGGCATCCTTGTCTTGTTGCAGTTCTCAGAGGAAATGCTTTCTACTTTTCCCCATTCAGTATAATGTTGGCTGGTGGTTTGTTGTCAATGGTTTTTATTACCTTAAGGTATGTCCCTTCTATGCCGATTTTGCTGAGGGTTTTAATCATAAAGGATGCTGGATTTTGTCAAAAGCTTTTTCTGCATCTATTGAGATGATCATGTGATTTTCGTTTTTAATTCTGTTTATGTGGTGTAGCACATTTATTGACTTATGTATGTTAAACCATCCCTGCATCCCTGATAAGAAACCCACCTGATCATGGTGGATTATCTTTTTGATATGTTGTTGGATTTGGTTAGCTAGTATTTTGTTAAGGATTTCTGCATCTATGTTCATCAAGGATATTGGTCTGTAGTTTTAATTTTTTGTTATGTCCTTTCCTGGTTTTGGTATTAAGGTGATACTGGCTTCATAGAATGATTTAGGGAGGATTTCCTCTTTATCTTGTGGAATAGTGTTAATAAGATTGGTACCAATTCTTCTTTGAATGTCTGATAGAATTCAGCTGTGAATCCATCTGGTCCTGGACTTTTTTTTTTGTTGGCAATGTTTTTTATTACCATTTCTGTCTTACTGCTTGTTATTAGTCTGTTCAGAGATTCTATATTTTCCTGGTTTAATCTAGGAAAGTTGTACATTTCCAGGAATTTATCCATCTCCTCTAGGTTTTCTAGTCTATGTGTATAAAGGTGTTCACAGTAGCCTTGAATAATCTTTTGTATTTCTGTGGTATCAGTTGTAATATCCCCTGTTTCATTTCTAATTAAGCTTATTTGGATTTTCTCTCTTTTTGGTTAATCTCATTAATTGACTATCAATTTTATTTGTCTTTTCAAATAATCAGCTTCTTGTTTCATTTATCTTTTGTATTTTTTGTTTCATTTCATTTAGTTCTGCCCTGATCTTAGTTATTTCTTTTCTTCTGCTGGGTTTGGGTTTGGATTGTTCTTGTTTCTCTAGTTTTGTGAGGTCTGACCTTAGATTGTCTATTTGTGCTCTTTCAGACTTTTTGATGTAGGCATTTAATGCTATGAAGTTTCTTCTTAGCTCCACTTTTGCTGTATCCCAGAGGTTTTGATAGGTTGTGTCACTATTATTATTCAGTTCAAAGATTTGTAAATTTCCATCTTGATTTCATTGTTGACCCAACAATCGTTCAGAAGCAGATTATTTAATTTCCATGTGTCACAGAATCCTTGGGGTGTCACATTTCTGGCTGGAAGCCTCTGTGTCCAGTGACGCCTTTGCCCAAATTTTGCTTGGGCCTGCTGGGCTTGTTCCACACATTCAGCCTGGCAAGTTGTGCTCAGCTTCTGCTACTCGCCTGGATCCTGTGCCTACCAGGGGCAAGTCAGATGCAGAGTGGTGAGGAGTGTGTGAGCAAGTGAGCATGGAGTCCAGCCACTGCACAGAGCCAGGCATGCTGGCTGTGGCAGGGTGGGCAGCTCTAGGTGCTGGCACAGGGGCTGGCTCCCTAGAAGGCTGTGGCTGGACCAGGTGTACCACAAACAGCTTCCATGCCTGGCACCAGGGACTGCAGTGGTGCCTGGAAGCTTGGAGTAGCCAGGAACTGCAAAGCCCCAAAGAGGGTGTCACAACCCTGGCTCGGGGAGCTCTTAGGTCTGGGCTCCCCAAAAGGCCGTAGCTCCTCTCTCCTTCTCATCACCCACAACGTTATGAGCAAGGGGCATGTTTGAGCCCTGTTTGTGTTACAGGTCTTTCAGCCCTGCCATTTGGCAGGTCCCAAGTTCTTGTCCTATGTCCAGGAAGAATGAGGTAGGTAGACAAGTGGAGAGTGAGCAAAGCGAAGAGGTGCTTTATTGAGCAACAGAACAGCTCAGAAGAGACCCACAGTGGGTAGCTCCTCTCTGCAGACTGGTCGACCCATCATCTGCATGAGTCTGGCTGAATCTGGGGTTTGTATGGGCTTCAGAGGGGAGTAGGTGCATGCTGATTGGTCCATAGGCAGACCAAGAGAAAGCACCATAAGTTCTCACTCTGGTCCGTTGAACAGGCAGCCCAGCCCCTGGGCTTCAGGCTGTCCCTGGCTTGAAGGTGGGGCTTCACCAGCAATCCACCCCTTTCCACCCAGGAGTCTGCCTGCCTCCTGCCACCATTAACCTGCCATCCTTGATGCCCATGGCACCCTGGCTCTTTGTGCTGAGAGACACCTACAGTCCTGTGCCGAGCCACCCTTAGGCCCCCTCGGCTTTCCTTCCTGATATGGTTTGACTGTGTCCCCACCCAAATCTCATCTTGAATTGTAGCTCCCATAATGCCCATGTGTTGTGGAAGGGTCCCAGTGGGAGATAATTAAATCACTGGGGCAGTTACCCCTTTTATTTTTATTTATATTTTGTGTGCTTGTGTGATAGAGTTTCACTCTTTCACCCAGGCTGGAGTGAAGTGGTGCGATCTTGGCTCACTGCAACCTCCACCCCCTGGGTTCAAGCAATTCTCCTGCCTCAGCCTCCTGAGTAGCTGGAATTCCAGGCGCCTGCCATCACACCCAGCTAATTTTTGTATTTTTAGTAGAAATGGGGTTTCACCATGTTGGCCAGTCTGGTCGCAAACTCCTGACCTCAGGTGATCCACCCACCTCAGCCTCCCAAAGTGCTAGGATTACAGACACGAGCCACTGCACACAGCGCCCCCATATTGTTCTTGTGGTAGTGAATAAGTCTCACAAGATCTGATGGTTTTATAAGCAGTTTCCCATTTCACTTGGCTCTCATTCTCTTTGCCTGCTGCCATGTAGCTTTGCGCCTTCTTGCTTTCTGCCATGATTGTGAGGCCTCCCCAGCTATGTGGAACTGTGAGTCAATTAAACCTCTTTCCTTTATAAACTACCCAGTCTCAAGTGTCTCTTTATTAGCAGTGTGAAAACGGACTAATACTTTGGGCTCGTTAGTGCCCAAAGTCCACAGAGGGCTGAGGTGTCAGGGGGTTGGCTTGTCAGTGCTCCCCTGAGTGCACACACGTCTGGCCTGGTTGCAACAGTGCCTGCACTTAGTATCAACTTTGCTGTGAAATCTGAGCAGGCACAGGCAGCTGGGAGAGGCCAGGCAACAGGAGCAGGCACTTCTGAGCCTGCAAGGGGAGAGGGGTTTCATGGGTCCCTGAGAATGCAGAGATGCCTGGGTCTGCACCTGCAGCTGGGCAACTGCAGCTGAGCCCAAGAGGGTGGGGCTCTCGCCCCTCCAATTTGGAAGGGGTGGGGTTTCCGCCTGTTGCTGGCTCCCACTGGCTCCCTAAAGCCCACAGCCCTGCAGCACCTCCCCCACTGTAGCTGGTGTCTTCGCAGTGTCCACTCCAGACTGGCTGCAGCTGCAATCACATGTATTTGCATTGTTGTCTTATTTTAAGAAATTACCACAGCCACCCCAATCTTTAGCAACCACTACTGTGATCAGTCAACAGCCATCCATATAAAGACAAAACCCTCCATCCGCAAAAAGATTATGATTTACTGAAGGCTCAGATGATCATTAGCATTGTTAACAATAAAGTATTTTTAATTAAAAAAAAAAGGAAAATTTACCAGGCACTACTATGCACTGTGCACATGTGCAACATCTTGTGTCTTGGGTGACTTATTATCTTAGTTTGCCCAGGCCTGATGCATTTCCTGGGACTTTCAGTGCTAAAACTGGAACAGTCCCTAGCTGAGAGGGGAGAGGTCACACTGTTAATATAAGCAACTTGTCTAAGATTCAAATCCAGATCCTCCTGACCCCAATCCCTGGCCTTTCTGCCCTGGCACCCTGGCTCTGCTAAGGCTTTGGTGGTTTAAGAAGTCACAGTGAATTTTAGTGGCTAAGATGTATTTGCATTTTGTAAGTGGAACTGTAATGGGGTGAGTATGGGGGAGGTAGTTCTTGGCGGATATGTAGGGGATGGTGGTGATCACCACTTCCATAACCCTTTCCCTATCCTAATGCAGACCTGGAGGCAAACAATGAGAACTGGCGGTCACAACACTCTGCTTAGGAGTATGTACATTTCTAAGCCTTTGCTCATTGGGGGTGTAGTGTCACAGAGTGTCATGGGTTGGGAGAGCATGGGGGTGCACAGCCTGCATCTCAGAGATAAACCAGTGTGAATCACAGTTGGTAAGTGTTCTCTATTATCCCTGCTTCCTGGGTGAAACCCACCACTCAAGAATTAGTAGACTGATTTAAAGGTATCATTTTCGAGGAATATTTTCCCAGGCAGCTTTGTTCTGTTTTCAGACCTCTAAAGCTCATGTTTGTACTCCTGAAGATGGGTGTGTGTGTGTGTGTGTGTGTGTGTGTATTTAATCTTCATTCCAACAACCATCAGGACTTTTCCCCCCTTTTGGTGCAGACATCAAGGATCAAGCAGTTACTATAAAGCATTACCACCAGGATGTAGTAGCTGCATTTGTTTCCAGTTTTAGTCTCCAGATCTGAAAGGTGGGCTGAGGTCAACCAAATGTTAGATTTGTGAATATCTGATTGCTAGAAGGCACTGATCTTTTTCTAAAGCTTTTTTGCTCGTTTTCAGTTTTCTGCCCCCAGGCTTACTGATAATGCTCTGCATTCTCCACTTTCATGGTCCAAAAATTCTTCTATTTCTAACTGCTCTCACAGGATAAGAATATGTATAATTATATACACTTTTTTTTCCATTAACCTCCTTGCTCTTTTGTGGTGTTTAGTTATTTGATGATTTTCCCCTCTCAAGTTCCCTCACATTATGCATGCTCCTATCAGGTAAATCTCCTGCACGTTCCTTCTTTACCTAACAGAGCGCGACATTGTTGAGGGACTGAGAGGAACAGTTTTAATGAATAACTAATGATCATTTGTAATTAGCATATCAATTGTATGAATGGAAATGATGCCACTAAATTACTTGAGGATGATTAACAGCAGTGGATTCACCTAGATAGTTTTAAACATTCTTCTAACAAGCCCCATACACTATTAATTTACTTGGTAAACTTTTACTTCCCAAATAATATAAAGAAAACTTCTACTTACACCAAAGGCAAAATCATATTTTGTTGCTGTTGTTGTCTGTAAACATCTAAAGCCCTAAGCAACGCCATTAACAAGAAAATAGTTCAACAAAGAACTAATGTTTGTTGGACGCTTTGTAAATCCTAGGCACTGTTCCAAGTGCTTTATGTATGTTAAATTTAATGCTCATAATAATCCTATAAACTAAGTACACTATGATGCCCAATTTACAGACAAGGAAAGTGAAGCTTTGAAATATTAAGCAGCTTGTCTGTGTTCACAGAGCTGGTGAGGGAAGAAGCTCAGATTCAAACCCAGGCAATACTGGTTCCTTAGCCTATAAGACTTTATATTTTATATTGATGTTATATTCATTGACTATTTATTGAGTTCATAATAAATGCTGGACACACACATAAATAAATTAGACTCATCCTGCTCTTGGACAGTCTGGTGGCAACAGAATGATGGTGAACTGATAAATTATAGTGCACTTGTGATAGATATTAGCATAAAGCAAGAACAAAGTACTATGGGAGATCATTAGCATATTTTTCCAAGAGATAAATGTGATACTTTTAATACATTTTCCACTTTTCTTAATCAAAAAAGACTACATTTAGAACAGGAAAATTAACACATTTGAAAAAAGGGAAAGATGAAACATCATAAAATTCTTTTCTGAATAATGTATACTACATTTTTTCCTTTACTGTGCATACATATTTAGGATGGTTTAATTTATAAATGAGGCACAGTAAGAGATTAACAACAATAATAGAACAATTATAACAATGTACTGCAATCAAAGTTATGTGAATGTGATGTCTCATTCTCTCTCTCAAAATATCCCATTGTGCTGTACTCACCTATTTTTGGACCTTGATTGACCCTGGGTAACTGAAACTGTGCATAAGGAGGCATTATTGTATATCCTGTAGCTTATTAAAAGATATTTCTTTCTTAATTAAATACCCAATCAACATTGTTTTTCTTTAATGATCAAAAATGCCAACTATAGAGCTAAATCAAGGCAAAATCATAAGATTTCCCTCATCTAACCAACACTTTTTTCTGTAGTAAGGTTGTAGAGAAACCCTTAAGATGACTTTTACTATTTTGGTTAGTTCTATTTGGGTTTAGAGTAGTGTGTCCAAACACAAATCTACATGTCAGAGACTGACTGGCTGGATCAGAGTTTTGTATTTATATATTCCTAGGTCATATTGCTACAGATCTTAATATGGCAAGGCTGGGAAGAGCCTAGGTCTCTATATTTAAAAAGTTCTTCAGTTGACTACTATGTACATCAAGGTTTAAGAATGACTGGCCTAAACATCTCTATCAGTAAGCAAAACTGCCAATGTGATACTTACTTTTTCTTTATTATTTTATTTAAGATTAAGGATTGGTAGGTAAGAGCCTCGACTCTAGAAACAGATAAAGCTCATTTCAGGTTGATCTGTTCGACTTACTAGCTGGTGACCTAGGACACATTTCTTAACCTTTTCATTACCTTTTTAACAGATATGTTGCAAGGATTAGATAAAATGCACAGAAAACAGCCTTTTACTTAATAAATGGTCAATAAAAACTACAGTATACATATACACACATGCATGTTTACACACATTTATATGTATGAACACACACACTCTTAAAATAAAATGATAGTGAAAGAACTTCATGGGGAGGCGGAGCTTGCAGTGAGCCAAGATCCGGCCACTGCACTCCAGCCTGGGGGACAGAGCGAGACTCCATCTCAAAAAGAAAACAAACAAACAAACAAACAAAAGAACTTCATGGAACAAAAGTAAAACTATCATAAGAAAAAAATAATCACTGTTATCTTTTTGGGAAAGGAATAGGTCTTTGCTTGGTTATACTGGGCCTTTTCAAAGTTGAGAATCATAACCCCCTAATCCTAGTAGTAGTGAGTCCTTCAGGTAGCCCCATGCTATTCCTTCACTCCAGCTCACACTTTTGAGCTAGGAGTTGCCAGATCTTTTTCTTGCCATTAGTTCCTATCCTTTTGCATCACACAAAAATGACACTCCATGTATTTCATTTCGGGATTAGTTAAGCTAGAAAATTAGCATACGGTTGTTGAAAGAGCAGTCATCAAGAAAAATGAGTTCTAATCCAGACCTACAACTAACGGACTTATAAAATGGAGTAAGTCATAGCCAGTCTTGGTGTCTGTTTCCTTAAGTATTAAGATATAAGGACATAAATGAGATTATTTCTAAAGGTCTTTTTAGGTATAATGTTCTGTGTTTCTGAGCTATCTAATTCACTAAGGTATAATTACCTAATACCCTTGATGTCCTTTACTCCAAATGATGATAACATCATTTGGCCTTTAATCTAAAGGAATGACTGATGTTTTTTAGGAGTCTATGCATAAACCTGGCTGTAGATATGCCTTGAATAACTACAAGGTCTAGCCAACTCTTGTTGTCCAACAAAGTGTTTAAGTAACTTACACATCAGAAAACTGGATCAAGATGATATCTATGTAATTCCCACAGAGAAAAACCTGCCTAAAAACTTAGCCAGTTGATGACTGATAGTGCACAGATCACATGATTGCTTCCCAGGGCAGGCATTGCTTCCATCTGAGATCTAGCCAGGGTCAAAATTTAACCCTCTATGGAAGCGGGAGAGAGAGAGCACATGTCATGAGCAAATTCATGTATGTAGTGCAATTCAAATTCTCTCTTATAAGGGATGATCCTTAATCAACCAGGAAGTTGAGCATACCAGAAATACGAGCATACCAGAAATAAGCTGCCATTTTAATATCTCACAGTGTATACAAATAGTAAAACTATTGAATGAACAGAATGCAGCCATGTTTAAAACTTGGTTGAGTCTGGGCACGGTGGCTCATTCCTGTAAACCCAGCACTTTGCGAGGCTGAAGCAGGCGCATCACTTGAGCCCAGGAGTTCGAGATCAGCCTGGCCAATGTGGCAAACCCTGTCTTTACTAAAAATACAAAAAGTAGCTGGGCATGGTGGCAGGCACCTATAGTCCCAGCTACTCGGGAGGCTGAGGCACAAGAGTCGCTTGGACCTGGGAGATGGAGGTTGCAGTAAGCCAAGATCGTGCCATTGCACTCCTGCCTGGGTGACAGAGTAAGACTTCATCTCAAAACAAAACGAAGCAAAGAAAACCTTGGTTCATTTACCAGCCATTGATTTGCTAAACTTCAATCAAATTAACTAACTTGAAAGCTGCCTAGAGCTTACTGCTGTATGAGGTTGCTGATGAAACAAGTATGCCTTTGGTTATCTACTGAGCTATTTTTTTCCCAGCTTCCTAAATGAAAATATATTTCTTTGTACATCAATGTTATAGGAGATCCAGTTTGTATGGTTTTTATATCAGTTTAGTATTTTATTAGCTTGTGTTTATTGTAATACAACTTTTTGAAGGCTCCATATATATATATAACTATTGTATATAATAACTAATGTATATAATAGTGTGTGTGTGTGAGTGTGTATATATACACTTTTTTTTTTTGAGACAGAGTCTTGCTCTGTTGCCTAGGCTAGAGTGCAGTGACACAAACATGGCTCCCCACAGCCCCGACCTCCTGGGTTCAAGCCATTCTCTTGGTTCAGCATCCCAAGTAGTTGGGACCACAGACACATGCCACTCGCCCCAGCTATTTAAAAAATAAAAATTCTTTGTAGAGATGGGGTCTTGCCATGTTGCTCAGATTGGTCTTGAACTCCTAGGCTCAGGCAATCTTCCTTCCTGCCTCAGCCTCCCAAATGGCTGGGATTACAGGCAAGAGCCACTGTGCTTGACCTCATATTAATCTTTATGTTTATTGTTAAAAGATTTATCAGCTAAAGATAGAAGCATTTTCAGGATGGGAATGTACAGTCTTCATAGTGCATTTTAATTCATTTCAAGTATGCTCATGGCCAGCCTAGGCATAATTTTGGGGTAGGTAACATTTCTTTTTAGGGGTTTTTCTGTTTTAGGCTATACTTCTCTTTGGTCAAAATATTTCCTGGGTACCTACTATATACCCTCAGGCTGTTCTCATCACTCCTCACCTTCTTAATAAAATCCAATTTTACCAGACGTCCATTGCAAGGCCTTGTTAAATTAATTTATGCTAATGCAATAGGTACAACAAAACTCTTAAAGCAAGGGGATAAAACTTAAAAATATAGAATTTCAGCTTTTAAATGGAGGAGGGGGTTTCACTGTAAAATAAGAAGTCTTTTTAGAGCTCTTAAAGTCATATAAGAACCACCTTCTCAGCCTATGTAGGAAGCTGGTGCTACAAGTTTTCAGTGATTGCTCAAACTTACACTGGTTCTTATAAAAGACAACTCTGAATCAGGAGTGCTTGTATATACAGCTTTGATAAAAATAGCTTAACTGTTTATAAATAACCTATCACATTTCAAAATATGTCTTAAATATTTAGCTAGAAATGATGCATACTTTCATTAAGAGTGAGACACAGACTAAGTCAAAAGCAAGAATAGATGCTGAACTTTCAGGGCTCAAGGAATACCTGTGAAGGGCTTGCACATCAACATTTATACCCTAACTGAGTAGATCTTTTGGCTTCTTTTTATTCATGCAACAAGACTTCTGTGGCAAGATGGTTTGATTTCTTGTTCTTACCTTAAAAGGGAAAGAAAGAAGAAGAGAAAACTGCCTTATTCTTATTACAAAGTTATACTGATGGACTAAAAGCACTCCAGAGATAAATAATAGGTTAAGGAGACAAGCATATGTACTCAAAAGTATTTACAAAGTAGGCAAAGCTAGTGGGGAAAAAAAGGCCACAAAAATAATCCTTAAGACAAGATATGCTTCTGAAAACAATTAAAAAGCAAAGTTGAGGAGTGTTTGAAATAAAAATTTTTCAAGTATGCTTATATTTCTTAATATCTTTCTAAAATTCACTTCTTAGCTGCTTAATTATATAATTTGTAGGATGTTAGTAAAGCATTTCAGTAGTACAAATGAGGAACTGTGACACTGCCCAGATCTCTCATAGTGGCTCTGTGTCCTGGTGGGAAAGACAGTAGAGCCAAACCAACAGACCTGTTGACTCTGTTGAGCCTTAAAGAGAATCTGAGTCCTTGTCTAAACTGAAGATAAAGCATGAAGGCAAAATTTCTGGAATTGAAAACTGTGGAGTCTGCTTTTGATACATTGTTAACTGTGTGGGAGAGGGCAGAGCAGGGACTGGAAGAGGATAACCTTGATGGTTTTGCAGGGCCTGGTGTGTGGTGCACCAGCCAGCCGTTTTTCTCTCAACTCTTCACCACCACCGTGAGAGCCTAATGGCCCACACACATTAGTACCACAGCCCTCCTGTGGCAACTGAATCGCAGACACAGTGCCAAAACAGAGATAATGGGCCTCTAAAGGTCTGGCCTAGAATCTCCAACCCTATTAAATAAAAGCAAATAGAACAAAAGCCACGAAGAAGTCTACAGACTGATGATCTGGCCTAGAAACTGGGTGAACCATTATTAAAACATAAACATGTAAGTTTTAATATTAAAAAAGAAATTAGAGAAGGGTATGTAGACAACCAAATCACCAAGTTTTCCTTTCAAAGGAAAATTATATGCATTAACAAATCATCATGGGACCAGTTATAAAGAAATTACAAACATACTGAAAATAGGGTTTATATTGCACGATGCTGTCAAAGTTTACCTTCCTTTCATGTTTTCTCAAGAAACGTAGTAGACTATAATTCATAAAATAAATGCTTAATAAACATATTAGTTGAGTGGCTAAGCCAATGATCAAATGATCCCTTAAGTCTCCAAATCTGCAGTAGAAATTATGAATCTGAAGGTATAATTCAAGGGTGCTTAAGATTTCACTTCCTTTATTTTTCTGTAACTCAATTTAGTATCTTTTTGAGTTTCCCTTCTGCTTGGATTGTGAAAATGTAATGTCAAACAATTGAGGGTGGCCTTCTCTGCCTCTTCAGTGTGACTCCTAGGTCGTCTGACACTCTTTAACCTTATCTCAGTCTCCATCTATCACACTGCACAGTGATTTTTTTTCTCTGTACTTTACCCAAGAAGCAAGGCAAAAAGGCC
Organism: Homo sapiens; assembly: GCF_000001405.40. NCBI lineage: Eukaryota > Metazoa > Chordata > Mammalia > Primates > Hominidae > Homo > Homo sapiens. Next base: position 80,813,837 of record NC_000012.12, on the reverse strand, counting down.
TTGGCAGTTCAATCCTGTAAATTAAGGGTTCTGTCATCTGCCCTGGTGATCCGCTCAGAGGGGCAGGAGCCAGGGTTTCCTTATGTAGGGTCCTATAAAGTCTAATTACAACTTTCTTCTTTTTGCTTCTCCATCATCCTAACCTGGAGAATCTTCAGAAGATTGGGAAAAAAGCAGCATTGTGTTTACTTAGAGGAAGCATAGTTTCTCCAAGTATTGTCTACGCCATGATGTTCAAAAGACTGTTTTGAAACTCAAAAGCCAAGAATTGATTTGTTTTTTGTTTTCTGTATCTATCTTATAAGTATGTGTGCCTATTTGATTGTATCCTGAATAGATTTTTCTTAATATAAAATTATTCACTTATAATAAGGGCTTATTCAATGCATAACGATAGTGCCCTCCAGAAAAATTTCACCAGTTTTTGTTAAGTTATTAGCAGTCTGAGTCCAATTTTCCTACATCCTTGTCTGTACACCAAATTTTAAAATATATATTTATCATTTTTAAGTTAAAAATGAAATATTGACCAGGCACGGTGGCTTACGCCTGTAATCCCAGCACTTTGGGAGGCCGAGGTGGGCGGATCACAAGGTCAGGAGATCAAGACCATCCTGGCTAACATGGTGAAACCCTGTCTTTACTAAAAATAGAAAAAAATTAGCTGGGCGTGGTGGCAGGCACCTGTAGTCCCAGCTACTCGGGAGGCTGAGGCAGGAGAATGGCATGAACCCGGGAGGCGGAGCTTGCAGTGAGCCAAGATCGCGCCATTGCACTCTAGCCTGGGCAACAGAGCAAGACTCCGTCTCAAAAAAAAATATATCTGTATATTTATTTTTATGTCGGTCTATACTTCTTTGATTACTAGGGAGTTTGAATATCTTTTCTGAGGTCTATTGTCCATTTATATTTTTTATTTTTTGTCCATGCATGTCAACTGCTCATTCTGCTTAGATCTTTATTGACTTGTTAGAAGAATGAAGGGCAGGCTGGGTGTGGTGGCTCATGCCTGTACTCCCAGCAGCTTGAGAGGCTGAGGGAGGTGGATCGCTTGAGGTCAGGAGTTCAAGACCAGCCTGGCCAACATAGTGAAACGCCATCTCTACTAAAAATATAAAATTAGCCGGGCGTGGTGTTGCACACCTTTAATCCCAGCTACTCGAGAGGCTGAGGCAGGAGAATCTCTTGAACCCAGGAGGCGGAGGTGGTGGTGAGCCCAGATCAGGCCACTGCACACCAGCCTGGCCAACAAGAGTGAAACTCTGTCTCAAAAAAACAAAAAAGGGCAAATAAACCAGAAAAAAAACCCTTTTGCACTAAGTATATGACAGTCACATACTGAAACTGTTTTTCTGGTTTGCCTTTTTTTTTTTTTTTTTTTTTTTTTACAGTGTTTGAGACATAGAAACTTACACTGTGCACATCTGATTTCGTGGTTATTTTTCCTGTGGCATTTTAAATTAAGAATTCCTTTTCTATTGAAAAATGATTAATGTTCACCTTTCTTTTATTTTAGTTACTTTATGTTTTTATGTTACATTTAAATTTTAATTAATCTGTTATATTTAGCATAGTGTATGAGATTGAGTCTCCATTATTTTGTATTATTTAATTTAGTTAATAGTCCTTTTCTCCTTTGGTCTAAAGTCCACATTAATAATAAATAAAGCTTTCCATGTGATGACTCTCCTTCTGGACTCTGTGCTATGTTCTACTATCTCTTTTATACACACAATAAGACACCACTTTAATCATTGTAGATTCTTAATAAATTTTAATATCTGATACAGAAATTTTCTCTTTGTTACTATGTTTTAATTTTTTTCAAAATTTTGTTGACTAGTGCATTTACTCTTCCAGATAAAATTTGGAAATTTCATTCCTAATGTTAGCATTATAATTTAGGTCTTCATTGCTTTTCACCCTTATGACCTGAATCCCCACACAGTCCATTCTGTGACCTAGTGCAGCCTAACCTGCTTATAGTTTAACCACAATGTAATAAATAATAACGATGATGGTAAGATAACTCATTTGCCATGTTTTCTTAAAATTTTAAATTTTGGGTTCTTAATGTGATATTAATTTCAGATTTGTCTCCAGGGAAAAGAACATTGAACCTCCTCCCTTTAAGAAGTGTCATTGTATTTTCAGAGTGTGGAAGGAGAACACCATGAGAAAGCTGTGGAACTACTCAAGGCTGCTAAAGACAGCGTCAAGCTGGTGGTGCGATACACCCCAAAAGTTCTGGAAGAAATGGAGGCTCGCTTTGAAAAGCTACGAACAGCCAGGCGTCGGCAGCAGCAGCAATTGCTAATTCAGCAGCAGCAACAGCAGCAGCAGCAACAAACACAACAAAACCACATGTCATAGGTGAGAAGTGACTTATTCTATACAAGGAGTATATATATATATATACACACACACATATATGTATATATGAATATACTTAAAATATATTTTAGATATGTTCTAAAATATATTTTCTTAGCTGAAACAAAATCATTAGATTTAAATAATCCAAACAAAATCAATCAAACAAAAGACAGTGATCTAAAAGTATATAAGCAAGATAGTTTATGTGCCATTCAGCTATATTCTCCACAAATATAAGATAATTTGGAAAATGATATACTTTGAAAGGGGCAAGTACAGGCTCTAGGATGCTTTTATACAAATTAAGAAAATGCAGCCTCTGTGCAAACCCAGATCCTAAGGAGAAGAGTGTGGGCTGGATTCCAGGCCTCACTCACCCTGTTGGCCAGTTGCCTTTACACAGTGTATTAACTGCACAACCTTATAGTGCTGACCCTGGAAAGATCTCCTTTAGAATACTGAGATACAATTTATTGGAAAAGTGCCCCACTGAAAAGAATGAAGCTGAGACCTGCCACTGTCTATGCTGTAAGAGATTCTGAAGTTCTCTGCGGATGCTCCTTTAAAGTGTGTCTAACATACAAATGGCCAACAGCTATATGAAAAAATGCTCAACATCTCTAATCATCAGAGAAATGCAAATTAAAACCACAATGAGATATCACCTCATACCTTTTAATTTGGCTATTATCAAAAAGAGGAAAGATAACAAGTGCTAGTGAGGATGTGAAGAAAAGGGAACCCTTGTACACCGTTGGTGGGAATATAAATTGCTACAGCCAATTTGACAGACAATATGGAGGTTCCTCAAAAAAGTTCATAGAATTCCATATGATCCAGCAATTCTGCTTCTGGGGAGATATTCAAAGGAATTGAAATCAATATGTCAAAGAGATGTTTACACTCCCATGTTCAATACAGCATTATTACAACAGCTAAGATATGAAAACAACTGAAGTGCTATCAAGGGATGAATACATTTTTTAAATGTGGTAAGTATGTGATAGATATCTATATCTACCTACACACACACACACACACACACACACACACACACACACACACACAGATGTATACCATTTAATATTTAGCCTTTAAAAAGCAGGAAATGTCATTTTTGTCAGCGTGGATGGGCCTAGAGAACATCATGCTAAGTGAAATAAGCCAAGCATGGGCAGACAAATACCACATGATCTCACCTATGTGTGGAATCTGAAAAACTTTAATTCATAGAAGTAGAGAGTAGAATGTGGTTTCCAGAGGCTGGGAGGCTGGGGGAGGAGGGTAGACAGAGAAAAGGGAAAAGGTCTTAGCTAAAGGTTACAAGTTTCAGTTAGGTAGAAGGGGAATAAGTTAAGATGATCTATTATACAACTTGGTAACTATAGTTAATAATACTACATTGCATATTTCAAAATAGCTGAGAGAATGGACTGTAAATATTCTCACCACAAAGAAACAATAAGTATTTGTGGTAACAACTTTGGTAGCCTGATTTGATCATTCCACAATGTATACATGCATTGAAATATCGCATTATAATCCATAAATATATAAAATTATTACTTGTCAATGAAAAATAAAACTTTAAGAGTTTTGAAAAAGTTGTAAAGTAGAAATAAAATGTGTCTAAGATTCTCCTGCCTTTTTCTAAATTCCACTTTGTAACAAAGAACACTAAATCAGGTTTTGCTGTATATTATCAAGAGAATTGAAGAAAAAATGTTAAGAGACCCCATCTTAGAAGTTCCTACTATGCCCTATGCCCTTATCACATTTTATCCCTAATCCTCAGAAAAAAACCTTCAAGGCAAGTATCAATAAATAGTTTTTTAGATGAAAATATGAAGCTAAAATAGCTTCAGTGGATTTCCCATGACTGCATTTACAGAAACATAGAATTCTTTTCCTTTTTACTCCATCAGGTTTTCATCTGCCAACATCAGATATTCTGGAGTTATATAAATTTTCCTTGCTATCCTTTGGAGAAGACAGTTCATATTGTTAGATACCTTTACACTATGATGTCTGTGAATGTGTATTTGAAGTGAACTTCAAATATTCTTGGAAAAATGATTGTGGGTAATAGTGGTTTTAGGTCATTCAACATCAGATTACTATTTGCACAAACAGAAATATTGGATATAACATGAGGCTTTTAATTGTTTGTGACACTTGTGAAAAGAAGAAGCTACAGGCTGGGAGCAGTGTCTCATGCTTGTAATCCCAGCACTTTGGGAAGCCGAGGTGGGTGGATGACGAGGTCAGGAGTTTGAGACCAGCCTGACCAACATCGTCAAATCCCATCTCTATTAAAATTCAAAAATTAGCTCCTGTAGCCCCAGCTACTTGGGAGGCTGAGGCAGGAGAATTGCTTGAACCCAGGAGATGGAGATTGCAGTAAGCCGAGATCGAGCCATTGCACTCAAGCCTGAGCAACAAGAGTGAAACTCTGTCTCAAAAAAACCACAAAAAAAAAAAAATGAAAAGAAGAAGCTACACAGAAAAGGGGGGAAAAGATAGGGATTTGTCCTACAACAATCCTGGGAATTCAACAATCTATCTATCTTTCATAGGCTGCTATTTTTATTATATGTACCATATTTTAGTATCTTTATCTAAAATTGCATTCTATCCTAAAAAATACATTTATTGGGAGCCAAGCGTGGTGGCTCACGCCTGTAATCCCAGCACTTTGGGAGGCCGAGGCAGGTGGATCACGAGATCGGGAGATCAAGACCATCCTGGCTAACATGGTGAAACCTCGTCTCTACTAAAAATACAAAAAATTAGCCGGGCGTGGTGGCGGGCGCCTGTAGTCCCAGCTACTCAGGAGGCTGAGGCAGGAGAATGGCGTGAACCTGGGAGGTGGAGCTGGCAGTAAGCCGAGATCGCGTCACTGCACTCCAGCCTGGGTGACAGAGCGAGACTCTATCTCAAAAAAAAAAAAAAAAGAAAAAAGAAAAAAGAAATACATTTATTGCACATTATTTATTTGACACTGTTACAAGCGAGGCACTGTTTAATGAGCTGCAAAAATGGCATGAATAATGCAAAGTTTTTGCCCTCATGCCTACATTCTGGTTGCAGGAGATAGTTAATAAACAAATAAACAAGTAAATAAAAATATCCTATTGGGACCAGTACTTTGCAGAGTAAAAATAGGGGGTTTAAATAGAGAACTGCTTGGTAGCAACTTGACTGTGTGATCAGGGAAGATCTCTCAAAGGAGGTAACATTGCAGATGAGACTGAATCACAAGAAGCCAGGAAAAGAGACTAAAACGAGAAAGAAATAGCCAATGCAGTAGCTCTATGACAGGCATGTTTGAGGAACAGAAAGAAAGCCAGAGTAGTTAGAGAATAGTGAGTCAGAAGAACAGTGGTGGTGGCTATGGGGTCAATAGGATAGCTGGGGACCAGGTCACAGAGAGCTTTGTGAGCCACTGAGGGAAGTTAGATTTTATTGCACCGGAAGCCACTAAAGGTTTTTAAGCACAGGAGAGACATGGTTGGATTTATTAAAAAGATTGCTCTGGCTGCTGTGAGAATAGATTATTGCAGACTGAGAGTGGAAGCAGAGACCAATTAGGAGGCTAATGTGTAGTAGTCCAGGCAGGAAATATGGTGACTTGGTCTAGGATGATGTAGTTGAGACAGAAGTCTATAGACAGACAAGGACGAGTCATTTTGTCCACATCCTTCTTCTCTGTTATCCATTCCAAATGTAAAGCCACTTTACATTTGTACTTTTAGAACTCTTAAAGATCTCTTTTGTGGTAATGACAACGCATTATTCCTTAGTTAAACATTTACACTCTTTTTGCTAACTCATTTTTCTCTCATCCTTGATAATATAGACTTATACCAATTCTCCTAATTGATTTGCCACATTGGTCCATAGTAAAATTGTGCAAGTATTTTGAAAGAAATATGTTCCTATTCAGATTTCTGAGGTCTTACTAAAGACTTCCAATATTATGCTCATTCAATCATCTTTAAAAGTATACGACTTGGCCAGAATTATTTGCTCAGCCATATTACTCAATTCCATTTCTCAGTTCCATCCATCTTAATTAAATCTCCATCTTCGGGCCAGGTGCGGTGGCTCATGCCTGTAATCCCAGCACTTTGGGAGGCCAAGGCAGGTGGATCACAAGGTCAGGAGATCGAGACCATCCTGGCTAATTCGGTGAAACCCCGTCTCTACTAAAAATAAAAAAATTAGCTGGGCGTGGTGGCGGGCGCCTGTAGTCCCAGCTACTCAGGAGGCTGAGGCAGGAGAATGGTGTGAACCCAAGAGGCGGAGCTTGCAGTGAGCCAAGATCGCGCCACTGCACTCCAGCCTGGGTGACAGAGCGAGACTCCGTCAAAAAAAAAAAAAAAAAAAAAAAAAAAACTCCATCTTCATTAAATTTCCTATGGTTTCACCACCACAGACTAGTATTTTTAGTAAAAAGCATTTATTATACAAACTATGTTATTTCTGGCATGAGATATAGTAGAGTTCGATTTAAGTGAACATGAAATTTGTATTTGTGCCTGCCAAGATGGCACTTGCAATACACACACATTGAGATAAAACTGTAGTGACCATTTCAGGTACAAATAAAATACATCCAAGTCATGTCATTCATGGATTTTATGGTGACTTCAGTCAAAGAGACTTACATTAGCTCTTAATTACATTTTAATTAATTTGATTTTTAAGGACTAAATGGGATTGTCACACTTGCTAATTCTTACTACAGTTGCTTCTGAGAAAAGTTTGAAGCTAATTTGAACTATTAGACTTTAAGCATCTCAGGTTTTTATAAAATTTAACCAGTCAAGCAAAAACCAAGTAAAATCAAAATACTTGTCTGATATTATCTTATTGTTTATCAAATGAAATGCAATTTCTACTCTGAAATTAGAAATAATATGTTTTTTTATCTGAGATGGTAAAAGTTATAAAGCACCTGGCAATGGTAAATAGTGAATACAAGTGGAAAAAAGATTTAATGCAAGTACTGTGCAGGAAATTTTCTCTTATGCTTACTTTTAATTGTAAACTCTCTTAAAGTAAAAATCAATAGTCTTTTCCCCTAACTTCTATATTTGATAATATTGAAGGATACACATTACATTTTCTAAAATGTAAAAAAATTATTGCTGCACAATAATATGCTAGAAATGTTAACAGAGAATATGAATTCGGGTTTTATTCGTGCTATACCCACTTTTTTTGAGAAAGAGTTGTATTAGTTCATTTTCACGCTGCCGATAAAAATGTACCCAAAACCGGGAACAAAAAGAGACTTAATTGGACTTACAGTTCCACATGGCCACAGAATCATGGCTGGAGGGGAAAGCCACTATTTTTTGTTTGTTTTTTGTTTTTTTAATACAGAGTCTCTCTCTGTCACCCAGGCTACAGTGCCGTGGTGCGATCTCAGCTCACTGCAACCTCTGCCTCCTGGGTTCAAGCGATTCTCCTACCTCAGCCTCCCAAGTAGCTGGGATTACAGATGTGAGCCACCATGCCCAGACTGAAAGGCACGTCTTACATGGTCTCAGCAAGAGAAAAATGAGGAATAAACACAAGCAGAAACCCCTGATAAACCCATCAGATCTCGTGAGACTTATTCACTATCACAAGAACAGCACAGGAAAGACCAGCCACCATGATTCAATTACCTCCCCCTGGGTCCCTTCCACAACACGGGAATTCTGGGAGATACAACTCAAGTTGAGATTTGGGTGGGGACACAGTCAAACCATATCAGAGTGTTATATTTATTCAGCTTGAAGCACCTCAGTTTTTTATTGTGACTCCATGTATATAATATTTCACCCAGATTCTCAAAAAATAAAAATAAGAAGAAAGAGGAATATCTCTGGAGATATCAACATTCTGAGGAAGTCAAGACCAAAATCGTGTCCCTGACCTCCATGGCTAGATCTAGGGTGGAGAATTCATTCCAGTCAAAACCAGCCTGTATCTTATTAAATTTACAAAGTTGCTGGCATTTGACAGTAGCCTCACCAAATCTCTTTTTCCTCCCACTCTAAAGACCCCCCATTTTCTTTATTTTGCCTACCTTTAAAACCCTTCTCTACCTTCTTCTAGCATTACCACATGCATGATCCTGATGATCTAATCCAGGGAATTATTACGAAAACTATCCGCCTAGTCACTAAGAAAACCAAGTTCCAGGGGATGACTCCAATAAAATCGAATGCAAGGAACCCAGAGTTTCCAAGCAGAACACCGGACAGAAATAATCATAAAGCTGACTAACACTTATTAAACAATTAGTGTGTGCCAAGAACTCTTTTAAGTGCCTCATATATATTAAATTACTTAATCTTTACAATAGCCTTATGCAGATTAGGTACTATGTTTAATCTTGTTTTAAAGAGTAAACTAATTAGTACAACCACTATGGAGAACAGTTTGGAGGTTCCCACTGCAGATATCTGCACTCCCATGTTTGCTGCAGCTCTGTTCACATTAGCCAAGATTTAGAAGCAACCTAAGTGTCCATCAACAGATGAATGGATAAAGAAAATGTGGTACTTGTACACAATGGAGTACTATTCAGCAATAAAAGAGAATGAGATTCATGCCAGGCACGGTGGCTCACACCTGTAATCCCAATATTTTGGGAGGCCAAAGCGGCTGGATCACTTGAGACCAGGAGTTTGAGACCAGCCTGGCCAACATGGCAAAACCCCATCTCTAGTAAAAATACAAAAAAAAGAAAAAAAAAAATTAGCCAGAGCTGGTGACACACGCCTATAATCCCAGCTACTTTGGAGTCTGAGGCACAAGAATCATTTGAACACAGGAGCTGGAGGTTGCAGTGAGCCAGGTTCATGCCACTGCACTCCAGCCTTGATGGCAGATCAAGACTCTGTCTCAGAAAAAAAAAAAAAATTCAGTAATTTGCAATAACATGGAGATCATTATTTTCAGTGAAATAAGCCAAGCACAGAAAGACAAACATCACATATTCTCACTTATTTGTGGGAACTAAAAATCAAAGCAATTGAGCCCATGGAGATAGAGGGTAGAAGGATGGTTACCAGAGGCTGGGAAGGATAGTGGAGGAGTGGGGAGGGAGGTGGGGATGGTTAACGGGTACAAAAACACAATGAATGCATAAGGCCTAGTATTTGACAGCACAACAGGGTGACTATAGTCAATAATAATTTAGCTATACCCTTAAAAATAACTAAATGAGTACAACTGGATTGTTTGTAACACAAAGGATAAATACTTAAGAGGATGCATACCCCACTTTCCATGATGTGATTATGACACATTGCATGTCTGTATCAAAACATCTCATGGACCCCATAAATATATATATCATGTACCCACAAAAATTAAAAATTAAAAAAATTTAAAAATAAAGTGGAAACTGAAGCATATAGGAGTTTTTTAAATGTACCTAACATTTCACAGCTATTATAACAAGTAATAGGGCCACGATTCAAACACAGGAACATGGGCTTTAAAGCCTCTTGCTCTTATTCATATTGCCACCCTTACTTTTCCTGACCCCACTTCACAGACATATTTGTGAACTGTCTGGGGATTCAGTCTTATGCAGTTATCCAAATCACCCTTATCGATTACCTTTAAAATAGTACCCCATACTTCAAATTACTTCATCCTCAAAGATGCATTAGCTTTCCATGGCTACCATAAAAATTACCACAAATATAGTAGCTTAAAATAACACAAATTTATTGTTTCCTATAATGCTGTAGAATTCAATGCTCTTACTATCAAAATTCCAATGTCATTTTTCACAGAAGTAGGAAAAAAAAATCCCAAAATTTGCATGGAACCACAAAAGACATCAAATAGCCAAATCAACTTTGAGCATAAAGAACCAGACTGAAGGCCTCACACTACCTGACCTCAGGGTCTATTACAAAGCTATGGTAATCAAAACAACATGCTGTTGACATAAAGACAGACACATAGACCAATGGAACAAGCTAGAGAACCCAGAAATAAATCCACATATTTACAGTTAATTGATTTTTGACAAAGGTATCAAAAACATGCAATGGATAAAGGACAATCTCTTCAATCAATGGTGTTGGGAAAACTGGATATCCAAAGCAGAAGAATGAAATTGGACCCTTATCTCACCCCATAACAAAACCAACTTAAAATGATTGGAAACTTAACTGTAAGACTTGAAACTGTGAAACTACTAGACGAAAATGAAAGAAACGCTCCACAACATTGGTTTGGGCAAAGATTTATTGGATACCTTCCCAAAATCACAGGCAACAAAAGTAAAAATAGACATACAGGATTCTACCCAACTAAACAGCTTCTTCACAGCAAAGGAAACAACAGATTGAAGAAATAACCCATGGATTAGAAGAAAATATTTGCAAACCATACATCTGATAAAGGACTAATATCCAAAATATGTATGGAACTTAAACAACTCAATAGCAAGAAAACAAATAACCCAATCAAAAATGGGGAAATGACTTAATAGACATTTCTCAAAAGAAGCCTAAGGTATAGCTAACAGATGCATGAAAAATGCTCATTGTCACTAATAATCAGGGTAATGCAAATTAAAACCACAGTGAGGTTTCACCTCACACCTGTTAGAATGGCTGTTATCAAAAAAAGACAAAGCCAGATGTGGTAGCAAGCACCTGTAGTCCCGGCTACACAGGAGGAGGAGGGTGAGGCAGGAGGATTGCCTGAGTCCAGGAATTTGAGTCCACCCTAGGCAACATAGTGAGACCCCCATCTCTAAAAAAAAAAAAAAAGTAAAATTTTAAATTTTAAAAAAGAAAAAAGATAACAAGTGTTTGCAAACGTATGGAGTAAGAGGAATCCTTGTGCACCAGTGGTGGGAATGTAAATTAATACAGCCATTTTGGAAAATAATATGGAGGAGGGTCCTCAAAAACTAAAATTAGAACCACCATATGATCCAGCAATCTCACTTCTGGGGATATATCCAAATGAATTGAAATTAGCATGTTAAAAGGATACCTGCAGTACATGTAGATTGCAGCATTGTTCACAATAGCTAAGATAAGGGAGCAACGTAGGTGTCCAGCTTCAGCTAAATAGACATACATAACAGAATACTATTCAGCCTTAAAAGGGAGGGAAATCTTTCATTTGCAACAACATGGATGAACCTGGAAGACATTGTGCTAAATGAAATAAGCCAGGCACAGAAGAACAAATACCACATGTCTCACTTATAAGCGGAATCTTAAAAAGTTAGACTCGGCCAGGTGCGGTGGCTCACACCTGTAATTCCAGCACTTTGGGAGGCCGAAGTGGGTGGATCACGAGGTCAGGAGTTTGAGACCAGCCTGGCCAATATGGTGAAACCCTGTCTCTACTAAAAATACAAAAATTAGCCAGGTGTGGTGGTGCACCTCTAATCCCAGCTACTCAGGAGGCTGAGGCAAAAGAATAGATTGAACCCAGGAGGTGGAGGTTGCAGTGAGCCGAGATCGCACCACTGCACTCCAGCTTGGGCAACGGAGGAAGACACTGTCTCAAAAAAAAAAAAAAAAAGTTAGACTCATAGAAGTAGAGAGTAGAATAGTGATTATCAGAGGTAGAGGAGAAGGGTGATCGGGGAAAGAAAGGGGAGAAGTTGACCAAAGGGTATAAAGTTTCAGTTAGACAGGAGGAATAAGCTTTAGTGATCTATTGCACAGAATGATGAGTTAAATAATAATATCTATTTCAAAATTGTTAAAAGGATAGCTTTTAAATATTTCCACCACAAAAAATAAGTATGTGTGGTGATAAAATGTGTTAATTATTTTATCTGGTTTAATCATTTCACATTTTAAACATATCAAAACATCAATTCAATATATTTATACATCACAAATTTATTTGTACATCACAAATTTGTACATCACAAATGTATACAATTATTATTTGCCAATTGAATATACAATTTTAAAAATATATCTTGTAATTCTGTAGGATAGAAGTCCAACACAGTTTTACTGGGCTTTAGGAGGCTCTAGGGGAAAATTCATTGCTTCCTGGGCCCTTCCTCCATCTTCAAAACGAGTAGCGGTAGTGGAATCCTTCTCACATTGCATTTCTCTGACCTCTGCCTTCATCACAACGCTGTTTTCTGTCCCCCTCTTTCACTTTTGTTGTTGTCTTGGTGCTTGCAAAACTGTTAATTTATTTCTATTGATTTACATTTGATGTTTGTGTATGAAAGTGACACTTTTTCATTGCAAAATTTTTAGACAGTAGAGAAGTATAAAGAATAAATTAACTTTTCAGCTATAATCTCACTTCATTTTAGTACACAGTTTTTTCTCCAGAAATGTTATTTCTATATATGTATGTTTATATGTATGTTTATATATATATATATATGCTTATTTTCACTCATATTTTACATGCTAAATTATAACCTGATTTTTAAAAATTAAACAATATGGTTAACATTAGTAGACTTAGGTCTACATTTTAAATATCTGTGTAAAGTTTTAATTTCTAGGTATACAATAATCAATCTCTTCTGAATGGACATTAAGGTCATTAACATTTTTAAATCTTGTTGGATTTGATTTGCTAACTTTTGTTGAGGGTTTTTAAATTTATGTTCTTGAGAGATATTGGTCTGTAGTTGGTTTTTTTTTCTTCTAGTGTCTTCGTCTGGCTTTGGTATTAATGTAATGCTGGCCATATAGAATGAGTTAGGAAATATTCGCTCTGCTTCTATCTGATATGCTGAAAGCAATTATAGACAATTGGTATAACTTATTTCTTAAATTTTGGTAGAATTCTCCAGTGAACCTATCAGGGTCGGGTGCTTCCTGCTTTGGAAGGCTACTAAGTATTGATTCGATTTCTTTTATAAATATAGACCTATTCAAATTGTCTATTTCTTCTCATGTGAGTTTTAGCAGATTGTGTCTTTTTTTTTTTTTTTTTTTTTTTTTTTTTTGAGACGGAGTTTCACTCTTGCTGCCCAGGCTGGAGTGCAATGGCACGATCGCAGCTCACTGCAACCTCCACCTCCCGGGTTCAAGCAATTCTCCTGCCTCAGCCTTCCGAGTAGTTGGGATTAGAGGCATGCGCCACCACACCCAGCTAATTTTGTATTTTTAGTAGAGACCAGTTTTCTCCATGTTGGTCAGACTGGTCTCAAACTCCCGACCTCAGATGATCCGCCAGCCTCGGCCTCCCAAAATGCTGGGATTACAGGTGTGAGCCACCGTACCCGGCCCAGACTGTGTCTTTCAAGGAATTGTCCATTTCATCTAGGTTATCAAAATGGTGGATATAAAGTTGTTCATAGTATTTTTTTACTATGCTTTTAATGTCCATGGTATTTGTAGTGATGTGACCACTTTCATTTCTAATAGAAGTAATAATTTGTGTCTTCTCTTCCTTTTTGTTAGCTTGGCTAGAAGTTTATTGATTTTATCCGTCTTTTTATTTTATTTTTTTCGAGATGAAGGGTCTTGCTATGTTGCCTAGGCTGGACTTAAATTCCTGGGCTCACATAGTTCTTCCATCTCAGTCTCCTAAGTAGCTGGGACTACAGGCATGCACCACAGTGCTTGGTTTTTATTGATCATTTTAAATAATCAGCTTTTGATTTCATTGATTTTCTCTATTAATTTCCTATTTTCAATTTCATTGATTTCTTCCACATTAATTTTTATTAATGAAAAATTAATCTTCATTAATGTTTATTATTTGTTTTCTTCTGCTTACTTTGGATATAATTTGCCCTTTTTCTAGTTTCCTAAGGAAGAAGCATAGATGATTGATTTTTTGGTTCCCACAACTTATCAAAACATTTTTATTTTTTATTTTTACTTGGTTCAAAATATTCTTAAATTTCTCTTGTGATTTTTTTTCTTTGACTCATCCCTCTTCCACTTTTAATTACATTGGATTGAACTAAATAATCCAGGGTTATTTCCCTATTTTAACATAGGCTTCTTAGCAACCTTAATTTCATTTACAACCTTAACTGCCCTTTATCATGTAATCAAACATATTTATAGTTTATGGAGATTAGGATGTGGACTTAACATTTAGTGGACGAGGAGGCACTATTCTGCCTACCACAATGGCTCTTTTAAGAGTTAGTAGGCAATTTGATCAACAAGACACACTAATATGGAAAAGAAGCTTTTCTTAAAAATAAATTGTTAATCAGTTAAATTATAAATCATGACTGAGGGCAATACTAACATTTGTTGCAGCTGGTTCTTCCCAACAGGTATGTCAGTGGCCCACATGTTGAATGCCCAGTGCTCTCTCTCAGGCTGACTCCTGCCCTGGATAGATGAAGAGATCCAAGACTTACTAAAATTCACCTGTTCTGAGTCCCATTCCTTCAGGACATGTAGTTATATTATCATTTAATTCATTAAGAACTCAGCCTCTAGGCCAGGCACGGTGGCTCACACCTGTAATCCCAGCACTTTGGAGGCCAAGGCAGGCAGATTACCTGCGGTCAGGAGTTTGAGACCAGACTGGCTCACATGAGGAAACCCCATCTCTACTAAAAATACAAAAATTAGCTGGAGGTGGTGGCACATGCCTGTAGTCCCAGCTACTCAGGAGGCTGAGGCAGAAGAATCGCTTGAGTCTGGGAAGTGAAGATTTACTTCAACTCAAAAAAAAAAAAAAGAACTCAGTCTAGATCTCTGGTCACTTTGTAGCTAAATGACCTTTAGGAAGTTATTCAATCTAAGATTCAGTAAAATGGTCTGTTGTGGAGATTAAATATGAAAAAAAAATGTGAAACTCTTAGCAAAATATGTGACACTTAGTGAGCACTCAATAAATTTTCATTAGTGATAGAAGTAGTAGTCAGAATGATGATATTATAATAGTTAAAATGTTAATGCTTATGTGTTGTTATATAATATCTCGTTGGTGACTCCTGAGGAAACACAATGGGTTTATGCACGGTTTTCAATCCACTCAGTAGGCCCCAGGGGAGGTTGGGCACATCTCTTTAAAGCATGACAGCTGGAGAGTGTTGACGCAAAGTAAACAGAACAATTTTGTTAAAATCTGTTTTCAATATGGTGCTTGGCATTCATTGAAATAAAAATATCTGCAGCTTTGAGAACGAAGATGTAAAAATCACTGTTCTCTCTGAAAGAAATGACCCTCTAATAGTGGAAGAGTGGCAGGTATGGGGGTAGTATCTGGCAAGACTGCTCCCCAAACTCTGACCATAGAGGTAATTGCCTACTCTGTTTCATGTGGTGTCAGGCTGACCTTATGAAGAGAGACAGATTTAATGTCCACGTCAGAGAAGGAATATTGGTGCTCCCAGCCTAGCAGAGAGAGGTTTTGCTGGCTTCTACCTCAACAAAAGCACTACTAAAAGCCCTAAGAGTCGTAACATAAATGTTGGTTATTCTTTGCCTTCATGAGGAAAAATAGAATCATCTGGAAATGGAAGAAGGAAATGTTTTACATTTGAAATGTTTCCAAACTGGTGTTCTTTATTTCATTTTAGGGAACAACTGTGGCTTTTCCATCCTCATTTGATAATTACTTCCTTTGCAAACATCAAACGAATTTTTTCATATGTAGAAGATGGTGCATGAATGATAGCACCCAAAATAATCCTTGCTGTTCTCACATAGCATATGCTCTTTTGATATTTTTAGCATATTGTAGTTGACAAATGAATACTAATCACTGATTTCTCTTCACTCTTTTTCTCTTTCAGGCCCTTGAGGGAAAGCTACTTGATCAAACATCCGATAGTCACAAATTTGAAACCGTGCTTCAGAATCCCAGCACATAGTAAAAGACAACACTGATAATTATACCTGTCAAGAAGCTGTGAACACATGGTGTATAAATTCTTTACCAAGGCAACTCAACACCTTCTTTCTCTGGGCTTGAACCGCCACTGCTCACGTGGGCTTTACATACATTGACCTTCCATTCACTGCAGTGGGAATTCTCAGTGTGCAGAGGGAGAGGTTTTCTAGTCTGCAAACTGAAACAGTGTAAGAAGAATAAAGTCTATGACTTTTAAATAAATCACCAGGGCCAAGATTGAGTGAATCTTGGGTCCATAGCTTTTCCAGATATTAGCAAACCCCTCATTAGGCTATAATTCAAACTGCATC
Source organism: Homo sapiens (assembly GCF_000001405.40). Lineage (NCBI taxonomy): Eukaryota > Metazoa > Chordata > Mammalia > Primates > Hominidae > Homo > Homo sapiens. Next base: position 80,797,317 of record NC_000012.12, on the reverse strand, counting down.
AGTTCAAAGTGAAACCTACACATTGCTCCTTACCCTCACCTGCTCCACAATCCATAGTGCTGAGTTGTCTGAATTGGAATTCCAGTTAATTGCAAGTTCAACCTGTTTTCCTCTTGAAAATCGCAAGGTATCATACTATATTTATATTTTCTTCAGGTTCTAGAAGCAATCGGCTTTTTCTTTTGTTTCCATGAATTTTATTATGCATTAATAGAATGGACCAATTTTAGCTCAACTTTTAGTTTGTTAGAAGCAAGTGTAGGAACTCTAGCACTGTAGTTTTTAATTATTGCTTGTATCTATTATTATTAATTCCAACAGAGTATAATGTATATTTATTCTATAAAATATATATTATCAGAGTGCATTTGTTACAACTTAGGTTCTTTTCTTACCAAGTATTAAGAATCTAGTAAGAGAATACTAGCAAAGGACCTAGCCCTGTGAACAGATTCTCGTATGTTATATACATAAACCCACTCTCAATATTTTTTGAGTTTTATACTTTTTGATTGATAAACACTGAAGAAATCTAAACTCTACTCACACTGATGTGCTGTCATAGAAGCCTATTTCATATTTTAAAGCTTAGCAAAACTAAATTATATGTGCATATATATTCAAATATTTGTGTCACACAAAGTTTAGGTCAATTTCCCCAAATATAAACCAGATATTTTTGGCACTCTCAGATAAACAAGTATTATTTCTCTTATAATTGGGCAGGTGGAAACCAGTGATATCAATATTGTGAATGGCAGATGCTGCTTCCTCTAGAAAAATAAAATAAAATCACCAACTTTAATATATTCCCATAGGTAAATAGACAATGAGATATCATTTTTCAGAAAATATCATTCACTGGAAAATAATCTGTTATAACTACATTTACAGGTCATAATTTTTGGTTTATGGTAAATCTAGGCACCTAAGTCTGATTTTACTTTATGAAATAAATAGGAAGCAATAATTGTTTGGGCATTTGAATACCTTAAGCACATAAATGAACCTAAGAAAAGAATAATTGCTTAGTTGAAGTATTCAAAATAGATCAGTAAACCACAGGCAAATATTTGAATGTTCCCTTTTCTCAAATACAGAAATTGATTCCCCAAGATACAATACAATTTGACACTTCAGATAATCCCCCAAAATAGAAATGTATGAAGCTCAGTTTAGACTGTCTTCTTGAAAATAAAACAAAACCAATCAAAACTACCCAGCACATTTTATTATGCCCTGTTGGGTGATAGTATTGTCAATACCAGGTTTTCCCTGCTCTTCACAATGCATCCCTCACCAGAGGAAAAACAGCAAGAAAACTAGGACATTTGCTAATTTCAACAATACACCCCTGTGATAACAGATTCCCATCCTTGAATACATATCATTTTTTACTAGAGAGAACGGGGGTGGTGAGGTGGGGGCAGTTAGGACCCTGTATGTTATGTAAAATAGATTTACAAAAAGGACAAGCATGATAAAAGGGAATGAATGGAGACGATGTATTATTCAGTTTGAAAGAGATAGTTCACATTTTTATAAGAAAAATTTAATAAAACATATATTTTAGTTATCATTTAACAAAGATATATTAAAGCTATTCAGGCAATGCCACAGGATTCTCATGAAGGGAAATCACTGAACCCTTGTCATGAGAAAATGGTCATTTCAACACATTTCAATACATTGTATAAATTTGGAGCTTAAGGTGAGTGAGTATGTTTTCACTTAGTCATAAATGTTTGGTCAAAATTAAAGTTATCATATGGTTTCACATCAATACAAATATTGTCACAGTGTTACAGAAACAACTATCAAATGGTAAGATAGTTTACATTTGTGTTTTCTAGAAACCTTTGTATTTATGCTTCATTTGGTTAATGTTAAGTGCTGATAAAGGCATACCAGATTGTTTGTCAAAGTAAAGAAGCAATCCATCACACCTAGGACATCTAAGGATGGATTATACGTCAGAGTGGTCTCATATACAAATGACCATTTTCCTTCAGTAAAATCTTGTTGGTTGAAATGTAAGTCTTTTCCTAAAGTTTTAATCAGAGGTAGCCATCACTAAGACTTAAGCCACCTGTGGTTCTCTTAAGTTTCACTGAAGCCAGAAGAAGGAAATTACCACAACTTGTATTATACTAATTATCTTCATTATTAACGATCATATTAGAGCCACTGACATGTCCCAAATTATATTAAAATAAAAACCTGCATTGCTCTGACATGAAGCTCAATTCAATGTAATAAACAAATTAGGTATTAAACGTTATAATTTAAAAAACTTCTACGATATCACCAGAAATCCTGGTGAAATTTAATTTTTTCCCTTTTTTAGGTCAGTGGCCGGTGGGATAGATTTTTCTAAACTTTTTCCTGCTATGATTTTGAAGGCAAATACATAGAGCACAGTTCAGTAAAAGAGTTTCCAAGCCTTTTCACTGGAGCATTTACATTTTGATTCTGTTGTCATTTGAAATAGAACATCTGCAGGGAGATAATGAGCTTAAGTTACAATTGACTTTGGAAAGAATAACAGACTTTTGTGTTTCCTCAATCATGTAGTCAATAGGGAATTCTCCAGTTATGTGAACAATCACAGTCTTTTAAGACAATACTTAGATCTAAATGCAAAATCTAGCATGCAGAGGCTTTTTAAGGATTTTAGACTGTCTCCAAAGAACTTGGCTCGAGATGGATTACACAGATTTACAAATGCAGTTTTCAACTGTGACATCAAACTGATCTTATCTCATTTCATGTTACTCAACTGTGCCCGTAGGACCCCAAGAGGTGGAATATTTTGTCTACATTATTTTAAACATCTATAGATATGTGTGGATGTGTGAATAATGCCTAAATTTCTCATCTTTTAACTAGTTTGTTTTTATCATACAGACACAGCCTGTTCATAAGACCAGCTTTAGACAACTTAGAACTCAATGCTCTGAAGATTCAGGGAGGCCAACATAGAAAAAGATCTTCCAAAATATGGGGTGGTCCAACCCATCTCATCCCTCTCTAGCTGGAAAACTATAGAGAAAGGGCTGTGACTGCCTTGACCACTGCCTGGCACAATGTAGGCACTCGGTATTTGTTGGATGAATAAGTGGCTGAATCAGTGAATAGACAAAAAACATGGATTTTGCCTTCTGAAAATCTCACAAATTTTACCAGCTTATATTATACTGATTGTCACTATGATTTCTAAGTTTCATGGTTAGAACCATATTTTGAGTCTATATAAAAACTTTTTAGATGTATGAATTTGAAATTTCATTAATTACTTTAAAGGCTTCAAAGATTTGAGGACATTTGAACAGTGGATAAGGAACAATGTTTGGGGATACAGAGTTTTTATGCTGAGTTGAACTCAACCTTTCTAGTTCTTTATACAAGCTTCCTGAATTATCTGGCAGGAATGATTCAAACATAAAACCCCATTTTTAAATTTTATAAAAGATATTTTCATTTTTATATAAAAAGATCATCAGGCATATTATCCCCTTTGATATTTATTAACAACCATTCTCTAAGAAATTCATAATAATTGGAGACACCATCCCTAAATCTCTTCCTATTTTCAAAAGATCATTTATCCTTTCATATTTGATTCCTGGAATACACTAAGCTGAAGTTTAATCACATACTTACTCAGATGTTTCCATGTGTTTATTCATTTAACAAATACTTATTGTGTACCTAGTGCATGCTAGGTTCTGGAAATGCAACAGCAAACAAGACAGACACAATCCCTCTTGGAGGTTACTGTGAGAAACTCTCCAACATTTACTCTAGCAATAACTAGAGAGTTTACTGTCCATTGGGTCCTCTTCACACCTGATAGAAAAAATAAAATTCCTCACCCCATGGAAGTCATGAAATACTCCCTGCACAGATTTGTGTGAGCTTGCTTTTCTAAAACCACTGCTCAAAAATGCTGCTTAGTTTATCTATAAACCACGGTTATACCCCAGTGAGGTAGGTAAGTAATTTATTCATAACTAACATTTATGCAGCTCTATTTTCTAGCCACTGTGCTGAGTGCTTTTATGGACTATCTCACCAAATCCCTTCAACAACTCTATTCAGTAGGTTCCATTTTATAGATACAAAAACTGAAGCACAGATATATTATGTGACTTGTCCAAGGTCACACAGCTAGCAGGTGGAACTGGGATTTGAACCCATGCAATCTGACACAAGAGTTCATGTGTCTAATCATTATCTGTGGTTTGGGGGACACCATTACATTAAAATGAATGAGTCACTAAGTGAGTCACTGTATATAAAATACTTGGAAATTGTAAAGTAATATACAAAAGATATTAACAAAGTATTATTCATGGTAAACAAATCACATCAGTAGCAAACACAGGGTGGGAACTCAATCTTATGTTATAGCTTACTCTTAAGAAGAATATGTGAAGCCAGGAACATGGTTAAAGGTACAGACCAGAAAATTTCTGACATGTGATAAATATTTCAGTGACTTTTCAGATTTATTTCTTGTTAGCCGCTGTGTCTATTTGGTGCTACAAAAACTGAAAGAAACAAAATCCCTGATGTAAGGGCTTATAATAAATACACAGTTTGGAGATGAACTAAGGATATTTTACATTTACGGGAAAGGATTGGACAATAGTATCATTTTCTCACCATTTGCATGTACATCATGTCTTTCCAATTGTTTTCATTATTTTTCTGAAAGAGCTGCAAAATTGTGCAGTGGTTCAACCTGACCAAAGTGGTATTATGCTGCTGGGAAGTAAAAGTATTAGACACCAAACTGGAAGTATTGTTTTCATTATCAAATGACTTTAAGTTCTTTTAAAGCATGGATGTAAAAGAATTTTTAGATACTGAAGACACCTCAATATTGGGATGCTAAGTTTCTTGGGTTTCTCCATTCTTGACCACACAGTGGTGTCATTCTATTGAGGGCTTAGATTCTGTAAAGGAAAAGACAAATTTTTTTTTTTTTTGCTTTCTAGTCTCAAACTCAACATAGAACACTTCTGTGACCAAATGTAAAGGTTTCCCCACCCCCCCACCCCATCAATTTTCCAAGCAGGTACCAAATGGATGTCCTATAATTCAATTCAATTCTGAAACTATTTACTTGAAGATGGTGTAGATTCCACAGATTGAGGGCTCAGTCTCACAACACTTAGCCTACTTAAGATGCCAATTGCAAGTAGTAGGTTGTCACCTGTCCTTTGACTGGCTGGAGACTGAGATTCTCACAAGCCCTTCTTTGGGTTCAGCTGGGACAGCTCACAAAACTGAGGAAAACACCTACTTAGTTTACTGGTTTATTATAAAATGAATCATAAAGGGAATTTTTACCCAGTTCAAATTATATGGTCATGTAGTTACCAGAAACCTATATTCAAGAATGTTTATCAGTGTCCTTTCCATCCTTTCACAAACCTCTTTGAAGACACAAATATTCTAGGATTTTGCTTGCTTGTGAAGTTTTCAGAAACTGCATCAGAATTAAGCAATTAACTGTGGAAATGACTTAAGATAGGCATAAGGACACAATCCACAAGGAAATTTGGTTATATCTGTGGCCTACAATAATTTAACATATTAACCATAATTATGAGTGATAGTCTATACCCAGACATATCAGAATTTTAGGAGTCCCATACAATTTTGGAACATATATTAATAACATATTTATGAAATACAACTCAAAGAAGGTTAAACATCATTTCGTATTTGATAAGGCTTCCCATGTAATTTAATACATCAAATAATTCTATTTCTCTCGCTTTTGGAAGCTGCAGGGACCTTCTCTAGCATCCTAACTTTAGAGGTCAAAAAAAAAAAAAGACTTAATTATGAAGATGAAATTTGATTTTAGGAAACCTGTCAAATATGTGTTTTAAAACACTTAACCAAAATAGAATCACAGGCCACTGTAAAATAATGATCATCCATGTAGCCAAAATAATAATTTAAAGATTTTGAAAAAAAGCAAAAACCTTTACTCTTTGAGAGAAGACCCGGTTTCCCAAACAATCAAAATACCTGAGAGATAGAGCATGAGATGGAATATGTCTCTCTCTCATCACTGTTTCTTATTTTTTGCTTTTTACTCAAAAGGTGAACAAAAACATTTTACTGACATATTAACACTACAAAAAATTTTTGTTCAAAAGAGAAAACCAAATTTTACTTTTGGATTAGTATATTATCAACACTAAAGCTAATTTTAATAAAACCTTATAAATCTATCAGATCTGTCATCTTATAGCCACACAATATTTTCATACACACTTTTTTGTTTTACATTTTCTAGCTCTTCCAAACTCTCTATATTCATTTAGTTTTACCTATTTCGTATTCAATTTGAAATTTTTAAGAAACTTCTACACTAGACAAAATTATTTTTATGTCAACACACACCTTTATGCCTTTACAACTTTCCTCACCAAAAGCGTATCTTGCTTTTGTTTATACATTCTGTATAAATAATTGTTTTTTTCATATCTAGTAGTTTTAATTACATTAACTCCAATTTTAACTCTCAGTAACCCTAATTTCTAGTGAAAATATTAGGAAGAAATTTTGAACTGTTTTATATCAGTATTTATAGATAAAAAGAAGTTTATAGTTTTTTAGAAAGACATTTTCCTAAATTATTGTTAACAGATCTAAATATATTTAGCTTTTCTATACTGTATAAAAATAATATGTCAAGGTATATAGACTTAAACTCATGCCTGATAACTAATATTTCAGTATTTTACCTTATTTAAAAATGACTCAGGCATTTTATGACTATTAATTTAACAAAAGTTGACTTTAAAATTTTAAATTACTGAAAATAATTTTGAAACTGTTACCAGGGGTCCTTGCTCCCAGAGCTCCCAAGATGGTGGTGGGCCACTTCCAAGATGGTGGCAAGACTCGTGTTCTCTGACCTGGGGTTCTTGGCCTCACGGATTCCAAGGAATGGAATCTTGGGCCATGCAGTAAGTGTTATAGCTCTATTAGAAGTTGTGGGTCATGGAAGAGAACCGTGGAACCCAGTGACTAGTGTTCAGCTGGATTAGGATGAACCCAGGCACTTAGCCATGCAGGAACAATGGCAAGCCTTTAACCCAATCGGGAGTGGCAATGGGCACCTTGCTGGATCAGGAGCACAGCGGGCACCCTGCTGGATCCAGAGGGATGGAAGTCAGTGGCGGGTCTGTGACAGCGGCAAAACAGCAGTGGTGGATGGTGAGCGAAAGCTCAGCTGGAGCCGTAACAAACATGGACCAGAAGAGTGCAGTTGCAAGATTTAATAGAGTGAAATAGAGTGAAAACAGAGCTCCCATACAAGGAGGGGACCCAAAGAGGGTTGCCGATGCTGGCTGCAATGCCTGGGTTTATATGCGGATCCTTGTCCCTCCCGCTGGGCTCTCAGGCAATAAATGATTGGCTATTTCTTTACCTCCTGTTTTTGCCTAATTAGCATTTTAGTGAGCTCTCTGATTGGTTGGGTGTGAACTAAGTTGCAAGCCCCATGTTTAAAGGTGAATGTGGTCACCTTCCCAGCTAGGCTTAGGGATTCTTAGTCAGCCTAGGAAATCCAGCTAGTCCTGTCTCTCCAAACTATAGCACAAATACCCTACCCAATGTCTTTCCTAGTCATCCTGGGTTCCAGATAGCCACGTGGCACCCAAGAGGACTATGAAAAGCAGGGCTTGAGTCCTGTATTTATATACCAGGTATTGAGGTCAGGATAAAAGACAGAGCCAGGGAGAAAATGTTTGGAGGATGGAAACCCTCCCAGAATAGCCAGGAGGCAAAGCTGAGACAAAGAAGAAGGGTCCATAGTGGGCCTGTCTCTGTCTTATAGCTGCTGGTCTAGGTACTGAGAACATGTCCCCATGCCTCACAATGACCACCTACTCAGACTCTCAAATCCAGAGGCTCAACCAAAAACACAAGCTTGCAGTCAAATCAAGCAAGTACTGAATTATATTTAACTGATAATTTTGAAGCCATTCCTATTTTACCAACAATTTTTAAAACTAGCTTTTTTTCTTTTTTTTTTTTTACCAAATATTATCACATACACATAATGTATACGGACATACAAACACAGATAGAAGCAGATCTTACAGCTTTTATAAAGGATTCTCATTTGTCAGACTCTAAGTGGATTTCCCCCCTTCAGCCTATCAATCTTCCAATTACCTGTTTCATTGTTCTAAGCAGTTGTTAAGTAGGCACCAAAGTGGTATTTCTAAAGGCACAATTCTTACGTGAAACAAGATTTGTATTTCAAAAGCACAGAGCTAAAAGTTTAGGCCTACATATTGTATCATTTGCTCAAACCAAGGAAAAACTGGTGTAAGTAAAAGTTCAGTTAAGACAAGATGTGAGAAAAGCACCTTAAACAAAGGTATGACTTTGTCAGGCCTCTGAGCCCAAGCTAAGCCATCATATCCCCTGTGACCTGCACGTACACATCCAGATGGCCGGTTCCTGCCTTAACTGATGACATTCCACCACAAAAGAAGTGAAAATGCCCTGTTCCTGCCTTAACGGATGGTATTATCTTGTGAAATTCCTTCTCCTGGCTCATCCTGGCTCAAAAGCTCCCCTACTGAGCACCTTGTGACCCCCCAACTCCTGCCCGCCAAAAAAACAACCCCCCTTTTCCTTTACCTATCCAAATCCTATAAAAACGGCCCCACCCCTATCTCCCTTTGCTGACTCTCTTTTCGAACTCAGCCCGCCTGCACCCAGGTGAAATAAACAGCCATGTTGCTCATACAAAGCCTGTTTGGTGGTCTCTTCACACGGACGCGCATGAAATTTGGTGCCGTGACTCGGATTGGGGGACCTTCCTTGGGAGATCAATCCCCTGTCCTCCTGCTCTTTGCTTCATGAGAAAGATCCACCTACGACCTCAGGTCCTCAGACCAACCAGCCCAAGAAACATCTCACCAATTTCAAATCTGGTAAGCGGCCTCTTTTTACTCTCTTCTCCAACCTCTCTCACCGTCCCTCAGCCACTTTCTCCTTTCCACTCTTCAATCTCTCCCTTCTTTTAATTTCAGTTCCTTTCATTTTCTGGTAGAGACAAAGGAGATACGTTTTATCCGTGGACCCAAAACTCTGGTGCCGGTCACGGACTAGTGAAGGCAGCCTTCCCTTGGTGTTTAATCATTGGAGGGACGCTTCTCTGATTATTCACCCAGGTTTCGGAGGTGTCAGACCACTCAGGGATGCCTGCCTTGGTCCTTCACCCTTAGCAGCAAGTCCTGCTTTTCTGGGGTAGGGGCAAATACCTCAGCCCCTTCTCTCCGTGTCTCTACCCCTTCTCCTCCTTTCTGGGGGGCAAGAAACCCCCAACCCCTTCTCCTTCACTCTTAGTGGCAAGTCCCGATTTTCTAAAGGAGGGGCAAGTACCCCAACCTCTTATCTCTGTGCCCCAATCCCTTATTTCCATGCCCCAACCTCTTATATCTCTGCGCCCCAATCCCTTATTTCTGCACACTGCTTATCTCTGTGCCCCAATCCCTTATTTCCGTGCCCTGACATCTTATATCTCTGCACCCTGATCCCTTATTTCCGCTCCCCAACCTCTTATATCTCTGTTCCCTGATCCCTTATTTCTGCACCCCAACCTCGTATCTCTGTGCCCCAACCCCTTTCCCACTTTTCTGGAGGGTAAGAACCCCTGAACCGCTTCCCTCTGTGTCTCTACTCTCCCTTTTCTTTAAACTTGCCTCCTTCACTATGGGCAACCTTCCACCCTCTATTCCTCCTTCTTCTCCCTTAGCCTGTGTTCTTAAGAACTTAAAACCTCTTCAACTCTCACCTGACCTAAAATCTAAGCATCTTATTTTCTTCTGCAATGCTGCTTGACCCCGATACAAACTCGACAGTAGTTCCAAATAGCCAGAAAACAGCACTTTCAATTGTTCCATCCTGCAAGATCTAAATAATTCTTGTCGTAAAATGGGCAAACGGTCTGAGGTGCCTGATGTCCAGGCATTCTTTTACACATCGGTCCCTCCCTAGTCTCTGTGCCTAGTGCAACTCGTCTCAAATCTTCCTTCTTTCCCTCCCACCTGTCCCCTCAGTCCCAACCCAAAGCATCACTGAGTCTTTCTAATCTTCCTTTTCTACAGACCCATCTGACCTCTCCCCTCCTCCCCAGTCTGCTCCTCGCCAGGCCGAGCTAGGTCCCAATTCTTCCTCAGCCTCTGCTCCTCCACCCTATAATCTTTTTATCACCTCCCCTCCTCACACCTGGTCCGGCTTACAGTTTCTTTCCGTGACTAGCCCTCCCCCACCTGCCCAGCAATTTACTCTTAAAAAGGTGGCTGGAGCTAAAGGCATAGTCAAAGTTAATGCTCCTTTTTCTTTATCCCAAATCAGATAGCGTTTAGGCTCTTTTTCATCAAATATAAAAATCCAGCCCAGTTCATGGCTCGTTTGGCAGCAACCCTGAGACACTTTACAGCCTTAGACCCTAAAAGGTCAAAAGGCCGTCTTATTCTCAAAATACATTTTATTACTCAATCTGCTCCCGACATTAAATAAAACTCCAAAAATTAAATTCCGGCCCTCAAACCCCACAACAGGATTTAATTAACCTCACCTTCAAGGTGTACAATAATAGAAAAAAGTTGCAATTCCTTGCCTCCACTGTGAGACAAACCCCAGCCACATCTCCTGCACACAAGAACTTCCAAATGCCTGAACTGCAGCAGCCAGGCGTTCCTCCAGAACCTCCTCCCCCAGGAGCTTGCTACAAGTGCCAGAAATCTGGCCACCAGGCCAAGGAATGCCTGCAGCCCAGATTCCTCCTAAGCCGCGTCCCATCTGTGTGGGACCCCACTGGAAATCGGACTGTCCAACTCACCTGGCAGCCACTCCCAGAGCCCCTGGAACTCTGGCCCAAGGCTCTCTGACTCCTTCCCAGATCTTCTTGGTTTAGCGGCTGAAGACTGATGCTGCCCGATCGCCTTGGAAGCCCCCTAGACCATCACAGATGCCGAGCTTCGGGTAACTCTCACAGTGCAAGGTAAGTCCGCCCCTTCTTAATCAATACGGAGATTACCCACTCCACATTACCTTATTTTCAAGGGCTTGTTTCCCTTGCCTCCATAACTGTTGTGGGTATTGACAGCCAGGCTTCTAAACCTCTTAAAACTCCCCAACTCTGGTGCCAACTTAGACAATACTCTTTTAAGCACTCCTTTTAGTTATCCCCACCTGCCCAGTTCCCTTATTAGGCCGAGACACTTTAACTAAATTATCTGCTTCCCTGACTATTCCTGGATTACAGCTACATCTCATTGCTGCCCTTCTTCCCAATCCAAAGCCTCCTTTGCGTCCTCCTCTTGTACTCCCCCACCTTAACCCACAAGTATAAGATACCTCTACTCCCTCCTTGGCGACCGATCATGCACCCCTTACCATCTCACTAAAACCTAATCACCCTTACCCCGCTCAATGCCAATATCCCATCCCACAGCATGCTTTGAAAGGATTAAAGCCTGTTATCACTCGCCTGCTACAGCATGGCCTTTTAAAGCCTATAAACTCTCCTTATCATTCCCCCAATTTACCTGTCCTAAAACCAGACAAACCTTAGAAGTTAGTTCAGGATCTATGCCTTATCAACCAATTTGTTTTGCCTATCCACCCCATGGTGCCAAACCCATATACTCTCCTATCCTCAATACCTCCCTCCACAATCCATTATTCTATTCTGGATCTCAAGCATGCTTTCTTTACTATTCCTTTGCACCCATCATCCCAGCCTCTCTTCGCTTTCACTTGGACTGACCCTGACACCCATCGGGCTCAGCAAATTACCTGGGCTGTACTGCCGCAAAGCTTCACAGACAGCCCCCATTACTTCAGTCAAGCCTAAATTTCTTCCTTATCTGTTACCTATCTCAGCATAATTCTCATAAAAACACACGTGCTCTCCCTGCTGATCGTGTCCGATTAATCTCCCAAACCTCAATCCCTTACAAAGCAACAACTCATTTCCTTCCTAGGCATGGTTAGTGCAGTCAGAATTCTTACACAAGAGCCAGGACCGCACCCTGTAGCCTTTCTGTCCAAACAACTTGACCTTACTGTTTTAGCCTAGCCATCATGTCTCTGTGCAGCGGCTGCTGCCACCCTAATACTTTTAGAGGCCCTCAAAATCACAAACTATCCTCAACTTACTCTCTACATTTCTCATAACTTCCAAAATCTATTTTCTTCCTCATACCTGACGCATATACTTTCTGCTCCCCAGCTCCTTCAGCTGTACTCACTCTTTGTTAAGTCCCACAATTACCATTGTTCCTGGCCCGGACTTCAATCCGGCCTCCCACATTATTCCTGATACCACACCTGACCCACATGACTGTATCTCTCTGATCCACCTGATGTTCACCCCATTTCCCCACATTTCCTTCTTCCCTGTTTCTCACCCTGATCACACTTGGTTTATTTATGGCAGTTCCACCCGGCCTAATCGCCACACACCAGGAAAGGCAGGCTATGCTATAGTACAAGCCACTAGCCCGTCTCTTAGAACCTCTTATTTCCTTTCCATCATGGAAATCTATCCTCAAGGAGATCACTTATCAGTGATCCATCTGCTATTCTACTACCCCTCAGGGATTGTTCAGGTCCCCTCCCTTTCCTACACATCAAGCTCAAAGATTTGTCCCTGCCCAGGACTGGCAAATTGACTTTACTCACATGCCCCGAGTCAGATAACTAAAATACCTCTTAGTCTAGGTAGACACTTTCACTGGATAGGTAGAGTCCTTTCATACAGGGTCTGAGAAGGCCACCGTGGTCATTTCTTCCCTTCTGTCAGACGTAATTCCTCAGTTTGGCCTTCCCACCTCTATACAGTCTGATAACAGACCAGCCTTTATTAGTCAAATCAGCCAAGCATTTTTTCAGGCTCTTGGTATTCAGTGAAACCCTTATATCCCTTACGGTCCTCAGTCTTCAGGAAAGGTAGAACGAACTAATGGTCTTTTAAAAACACTCCTCACCAAGCTCAGCCACCAACTTAAAAAAGACTGGACAATACTTTTACCACTTTCCCTTCTCAGCATTCAGGCCTGTCCTTGGAATGCTACAAGGTACAGCCCATTTGAGCTCCTGTATAGACACTCCTTTTTATTAGGCCCCAGTCTCATTCCAGACACCAGACCAACTTAGACTGTGCCCCAAAAAAACTTGTCATCCCTACTATCTTCTTTCTAGTCATACTCCTATTCACCATTCTCAACTACTCATACATGCCCTGCTGTTGTTTACACTGCCGGTTTACACTGTTTTTCCAAGCCATCACAGCTGATATCTCCTGGTGCTATCCCCAAACCGCCACTCTTAACTCTTGAAGTAAATAAATAATCTTTGCTGGCAGGACTATGCTGAATCTCCTTAGGCACTCTCTAATTAGATGTCCTGGGTCCTCCCAATTCTTAGACCTTTAATACCTGTTTTTCTCCTTCTCTTATTCCGTTTAGTTTTTCAATTCATACAAAACCGTATCCAGGCCATCACCAATAATTCTAAATGACAAATGTTTCTTCTAACAGTCCCACAATATCACCCCTTACCACAAAATCTTCCTTCAGCTTAATCTCTTCCACTCTAGGTTCCCACGCCGCCCCTAATCCCGCTCAAAGCAGCCCATTGCCCATTATCTCTCCATACCATCCCCAAAAATTTTCGCCGTCCCAACACTTTACCACTATTTCATTTTATTTTTCTTATTAATATAAGAAGACAGAAATGTCAGGCCTCTGAACCCAAGCTAAGCCATCATATCTCCTGTGACCTGCACGTACACATCCAGGTGGCCAGTTCCTGCCTTAACTGATGACATTCCACCACAAAAGAAGTGAAAATGGCCTGTTTCTGCCTTAACAGATGGCATTATCTTGTGAAATTCCTTCTCCTGGCTCATCCTGGCTCAAAAGCTCCCCTACTGAGCACCTTGTGACCCCCCAACTCCTGCCCGCCAGAGAACAACCCCCCTTCTCCTTTATCTACCCAAATCCTACAAAACAGCCCCACCCCTATCTCCCTTTGCTGACTCTCTTTTCGAACTCAGCCCGCCTGCACCCAGGTGAAATAAACAGCCATGTTGCTCACACAAAGCCTGTTTGGTGGTCTCTTCACAGGGACGCTCATGAAAGAATTGTCATACCTAAAACAATGGTTAAGAGTTTCTAATGTACATAGACAGAGCTCTTACAAATGGAGATTTCCTTTATAGATGTAAATTGCTTTTACAAACGTCTTTCAAGATAGCTGGTTAAGTGCCAGGTAGGTGTGTTTTAGTTTGATAGATGATCTTTTTAATTCAGCTGCTCTTTCTTAGCTAAAATTACTGAGTTCGGGGTGGAGTACATTAAGGAATAGGACAAAGAAAGCATTCTCTATACCTGAACTCAGTATGGATAGATCTGAAAAAGAAGCAAGCCTACTTTACTGAGTATCTTCTTTTTCTAAAGACATTATCTAGGATAGCTTTCTTTTCACCTTTGGGATGGAATAGTAACGGCCTTAATCAGGGTTCTCTAGAGGGACAGAACTAATAGAATATGTGTGTGTGTGTGTGTGTGTGTGTGTGTGTGTGTGTGTGTGTTTGTGTATGAGAGTTTACTAAGTATTAATTCACATGATCACAAGGTCACACAATAGGCCGTCTGCAAGCTGAGGAGCAAGGAAAGCCAGTTTGAGTCCCCAAAACTGAAGAACTTGTAGTCCAATGTTCAAGGACAAGAAGGGTCCAGCATGGGAGAAAGATGTAGGCTGGGAGGCTAGGCCAGTCTAGTCTTTTCACATTTTTTTTTTTTGTTTGTTTGTTTTTTGTTTTTTGTTTTTTCTGCCTGCTTTATATTCTAGCCATTCTGGCAGCTGATTAGATGGTGCCCACGCAGATTAAGGATGGGTCTGCCTTTCCCAGCTCACTAACTCAAATGTTAATTTTCTTTGGCAACACCCTCACAGACATACCCAGGATCAATCCAATCAAGTTGATACTCAGTATTAACCATCATAGTAACTAAGTGAAAATGTTAGCAGTTTCCATTTTTCTTCTCAATTAGTTGCTTGAGCTTTTTATTTGCCTTAAGCAAAAGTCTTTTCTTGTTTAAAAAATAAATAAAAAAAGACTCCTCCGTGGATGAGACTAATTAGGGGGCCCTCACTTTCAAATGCACTTCTTAAAGTGCAATGTTGTTCACTTGGAATGTTCCACTCTAATTTTAAACTATCTTTAGTAAGATTTTGCCATTTCTATAACCATTTGCTGCTTCTGGGGCCTAATACTTTTCATGTGTAAATGTAGGCATAGCTGGAAGGTAGATTACTCAGTTCTTAAGAAATTAAGGATCCCATTTTTACTCTGAATCTTGGCTTTGACTCTCAGATCTCCTTGATCAACTTAATAATTTTTCCATACCCAAATGCCCAGGAAAAATTGACAAAAATCTCTGTAAATGTATGAAAGCTGAAGTTTGCATCCCCTGTAGTATAACCATTTAATCCTAGTTTCTCTCTGAGCCAGTCAGACACCTAAGACCTCTAACTAGATCCAATTCAGTTAATTAACAGAGCCAATCTGATTCTGGGCCCAGCCGAATTTATGCTGCAACTTCCAACCCAGTTTGGATCAGAAATTTGCTCAAACTCAGAATGCCTCAAAACACAAATCTGTGGGGCTTCAGAATTCAAGGGAGAACTAACCAATAATCCCCAGTTTCAACAAGAAGACAATGGATACAATGGGCCCAGCAGGTACCTTGCTTGGTCACTCAGTGCTCCTGGGGGTCACTGGAAGCTTTTCTTTGGATCCCACTTCTGACATCATCTGTAAACAGAAAAAAACCTTAGACAAATCAAATTTGATAGAGTTCAATTGAACAAAGAATATTTCAGGAATTGAGCAGCCTCCCAAGCAAGAGTAGGCTTAGAGAGACTCCAGCACAGCTGTGTGATGGAAGAAGACTTAGGGGCAGAATAAGGAAAATGACCTACAGAAAATGGAAGTGAGGTACAGGAACAGCCAGATCATGTACAGCTCAGCATTTACCCTATTTGAACATAGTTTTAATAGATGGAACTTGATGATTGCCATAAGAGTAGGTTACAGTGTGTTTACATGTCAATTTAGGTTAGGTTATAGTTCACTGTGTATGGAGAAATCTTTAGGCTGAATTTTAAATATGTAAGGAGGCAGCTTTAGGCTAAACTTAACAACTAGCACAGCTCTACAGTACAAAATATCTACCATGACTACATCAGATTATGACCAACAAATTTCAAAGTATTTGCTGAGAATGTGGTGTGTGTGTGTGTGTGTGTGTGTGCGATGAGGGGATGAGGGACTGAGCAAAGTTCAGTGATAGGCTAACATGCTAACTAACATTAGGGAGTAATATGGTTTGGAATGTGTATTTCCCTACTAAATGGCACTGCTTTTCTAGCCTTATTAATCTTGCAGTCGAAATTGACCACTACCTATTCCTGGAAACTGTCCCAAACTTTCTTTCTTCTTAGATTTTGATTATTCCTGAAATGCCTCTTTCATTCCTCAGAAAAAAATCCCCAACATAAAAGGCCCATTTCAAATAGCTTCTTTTCCAAGGAGGTTTTTCTAATTTTTTTCAGACGTGACGTTATCTATTCCATCATCAAACCCCACTGTGATATTTGTTATTTGTAACCCCTCTTTAGCATTTTTCTTAGCTTGTCTTGTAGTGGACCCATTTGTGTCTTTGTCATTTTAATTTCTCCTATAGTAATTACCTACCAAGTGGGTACTTAATATTACTTAAAAGAAATTTTCTTTCACCTCTCAACTTTATAGAATGGCTGCTGGATTATCTTGGGTCTATCTCAGTTCTCTATAGCTCACTCACAAAGTTCATCTGGGTTGAGAACTCAACACCACACACTTCTAAGAAAGAAAAGAGCTTTAATTATTATTATTATTATTTCTACAAAGAGGAGATAAAGAATGTAAAGATAAAAGTGGTCATCCTTATCTCTTATTCCCTGGTTGTTCTGATCTTATTCTTATCCTCAGGATGAATGTAGAGGTTAATGTAAATATTAACCATATTAATATTAAATACCCAATCCCCCCACCAAATGACTTTACTGTAGATACATATTTCGTTGCTTATTTCATGGGAGAAATTCTAAAGTGTAAAGTGAGTTTTAAATTAGCAAGGTGGGCACAATAATACTACTTCCATATGCCTGAGTCTGTATTAATGGTCCTGCCTATTGCCATTGCCCATCAGAACACAAGCCCCACTTACACTACAGTAGTTCTCCTCTGCCCCTAAGCCATTATATCAGGTACAGGAGATTGTGAGATTAATTACTGTTGTCTCAGCTGTAGCCTATAGAGGAAGATAAAAGGTGATCATCGAAATCAAAACATTTCTTCAGCTTTAGCCCACATTGTGTTCATCTGTGTTGCTAACACAAAGTTTTATCTGAGTTTTAACTTTTATATACCATATATATTCAACAACTAACTTAAACATTATATTAATTTGCTACTTCTACTGCCTCCCCGACACCAAGGATAGAAAACATAATATCTTGAAGGAAAATTATCATACATGAGAACTAATACCTAATTTTTTTCTTCCTTTAAGTTATAGTGATTACAAACACAAATTCAAGAACTATCCCACACAAACACAACGTAGTTCCAAAGAGTTTAATTGCTACCTGTTCCATAAATCTTTGCTTCCTGTGAGTTTTTGTTTATTAGCTGTATTTTTGTAGATAATAGGGTTGTAAGGGTGAGAGGCTGACTGTCTGCTACAAAGAAGGGACCCATAGAAGGTCTAGACCTGGATTTTTGTAACACAACAATCCAGCATCTAATCCTCAGCTTTGAAGATCCAGCTTTTCTGATTTTTTTCTGGGAAACCCAAAGAGACAGTCTCATTTAGCACTAGGTTTTTCAGAATAATTATTACTAGCACTCCATTTTGCTCTCAGAAGTGTCCCAATATAGATAATACATTATGTAGTCAACATATCTATAGGTGATATAGCACTGGAGAATCATTCATATTAACCTGCCTCAGTTCACAAGAAGCTTAGGATTCTTTTCTTTTTGCAATTAACCAAAACACAACTCACTTGAGCTTGAGAAGAAAAAAAAAAGAGAGAGAGAATCAATTACTTCCAAAACAGGACAGATCCAGGTCTCAGTATCTCAGTGTTGATAGAATTCTTACCTCTTCTTACCCTTCTGTCTTCCTCAGTGCTGCTTGTCTCTCCTCTTTTTGATCGTAGCTCTTGTTCTCTCCCACTGCAGTCATTTTCTCTCCTTTGGATGTTCCTCTCCTAGTCTCGATTCCATTCTTATAGCTCTTCATCTAAAAGAAAAACCAGACTCTTTCCCTCAGTGCCTATATCTTACAGGTAGTATCTGAATGACTTGGGTCTGGTGCTCACTTCTTAAGGAGATTATTATGGGAAATGGTAGCATGACTGGCCAGGTCTGGGATATATCCTTGTACCTCCTGGATGTCCACTTACTAGCTGTAGGAAAAGCAAGATGAGTAGGACACTAACACCTCTAATAGAAAACAAGTTAAAAAAAAAGCTAAAAAGGGACACAAATATCAAAATGGGGTTCAATTATAGGGGAGATAACACATCACTTGAGGAAATTAGAAAAATCTTCTTGGAAGAGATGCCAATTGAAATAGATGCTAAAAGTTGAGTGAGATTTGACAGTACGAAAGGAGTCTGAAATAGCACTGAGATAGACATTGACAAGAGGAAGATTGCTCTCCAAAATTTTGACTTAAAATAAGAATCATTTATTTTGTTACTCATCCTGAAAGTCACAGAATTAGGCTGAGCTCAGCCGGGCTGTTCTGGGTTTGACTGGCTGGGCCTCCCCATGTGCCTGTAATCAATTGAACATCAGCTAAGCAGCTCTGTTTCTGGGGTTGGCTGACTTCCAATTGAAGTGACTCAGCTTTTTTCCCCATGGTCTATTACCCTCAGTAGGCTAGTTTGGGCTTGTTCTCATAATAGAGGAAAAAATCTCAAGAGAGAGCAAAAGTCCACAAGACCTTCTGAGAGTTAGGCTCAGACAGGCAAAATGTAATTTCTATCACATTCTATTGGCCAAAACAAGTCACTAGCCCAGCCCAGAGTCAGCAACTGGGGGAAAAGTCTCTACCTCTTGATCATTGTAAAAGGCATTTATACACAGAGGAACAGAAAATTGGGCTGCTTTTGCAATCTACAACAGTGTTTTACCGAAATAAGATAATTAGAGAAGTATTTTGGGTAGACAAAGCTATACTTAACAGCTAACATTTATTGAGTTGTATTTTTTTTCTCTAATTTCATTTTTATCCTGACCTTTATCTTTTGTCAGAATACTTAACTTGCTAAAGTGTCTGACCCGTGTCCAATTGTTCTTCTCACAGGAAACTTATTTACACTGGCAAATGCCCTTGTGACTCTCACCAGACCTGTGAATAGTTTATTCCTACCAAGATAGCCACTCTGTAGGAGAGCCCTGACTGGAAAAGAAGTTAGGTTCGGGTATGTTGGTCGTGTGAGATGCAGAAGAGGCAGCACAACAAAACACATGGTATATTAATCCGTTTTCACACTGCTAATAAAGACATACCAGAGACTGGGTAACTTATACAGGGTAGATGTTTAATGGACTCACAGTTCCACATGGATGGGAGGCCTCACAATTATGATGGAAGGCAAGGAGGAACAAGTCACGCCTTACATGGATGACAGCAGGCAAAGAGAGAGCTTGTGCAGGGAAACTCCCCTTTTTAAAACCATCAGATCTCGTGAGACTTATTCACTATCACGAGAACAGCACAGGAAAGACCCACCCCCAAGATTCAATTACCTCCCACTGGGTCCCTCCCACAACATGTGGGAATTGTGGGAGCTACAATTCAAGATGAAATTTGGGTAGGGACACAGCCAAACTATATCACATGGAATAATAGAAGCAGTTTTATTACTCACATATACCCTAGAGAGAAGAGAGCAGCACATTTTTCAGGACCGACAGGAAGGAGGGAGTCCAGGACACACACTCAACTGTCAAGTGGGGAGCAAGAGAGATAGAGTAAGAGACCTGAGGTCCAAAGACTTTATTGGGGTTCAGGCCATTTCCTAGGTAGATTTCCGGTGGGGAGTTACAACTGGTGGGTTTAAGAGCAAGTGGGCAGTTTGATGCAGTCCTGCAGTGACTGAAAGGTGGTCACTGTGGCCTATCTACAAAGCACATGCCACATGTGGGAGTGGGTAGAGCAAGTAGGTTGAATGTAACTATCTCGTAGGGAAGTAGTCACCAGGAGGCAGTTAATGAGACAGATATCTGAATGAAACACCTTGAAAAACTGGGAAGAGGTGGAGAACTGAAAACTCTGTCAAGGGTGACTAAGCTCTGCCTCTTGTATGAGGAAGTCAAACCTATTAACTCATTGAATATGGAAAGTCAAGCCATTTACATTCAAAATGGATGTTGAAGCAACATACAATTATAAGAATTCATTATATTTGTACTTACTATGTGTCAAGTGCTGTTCTAAGAACTTCACATATATTAACAGATTTTAATTATTGTGATATCCTTTATTTCAGAGAAACAGACTACCTGCATATGAACGTTTAGGCAGGGTTTACTAATAGTAAAGGAAACCTAGCTGGGTCTAAAGTTAGGAATTCCCTGCACCCTGGGCTGTTGCTCCTCATTAGAAGTTAAGCTACCCAGCATAGTCACTGCTTAAGTTCCCAGCTGCCTATGTAGAATGTGACAAATAATAGGATAGTTTTGACTTTCTTCTTTCAATCCAATTGCAATCTACTGAGGCAAATATGATATGATATTATATGTTATAAGATCTCATGTTTACATATGAGAGTAATATGTTTTTATTGGGCCAGAATTATAGCTAAGATTTGAAGATGAAATAGAAGTTAACTGCATATTCCCATACTCTAAAGAAAGCCATTATATTAGTCTGTTCTCACTCGGCTAGGAAGAAATACTTGAGACTGGATAATTGACAAAGGGAAGAGGTTTAATTGACTCATAGTTATGGATTGCTGGGGAGGCCTCAGGAAACTTACAATCATGGCAGAAGGCAAACGAGAAGCAGTCACCTTCTTTACATGGCAGCAAGGCGGAGTGAGTATGTGTAGGGGAAATGCCAGATGCTTATAAAACCATCAGATCTCACAAGAACTCACTCACTATCATGAGAACAGCATGGGAGAAACTACCCCCATGATCCAATTACCTCCACCTGGACCTGTCCTTGACACATAGGGATTATGGGGATTACAATTTGAGATAAGATTTCAGTGGGGACACAGAGTCAAACCATATCATCCCTATACTATCTAAAAATAATAGCACTGGGCCCATTCAATTCAAAGCACCCTTCCTCTTCCATATATCAGATCAACAGAGAAATAAAAGTGTAAGAAATGATGTTTTTGGGAGAGGTTTTTCTATGTCCACCTTCACTCTTGCCCAGCCCAACCCATGTGAAGGAGAGGAGCTTAAAGATAAACTATCAGAAAAATTTAGTAGGGTTAACACTGGATCACCCAGATTCATAATAAATATTACTAGCTCTAAAGAGAGAGATAGACTGGAATATAATTAGAGTGGGGAAACTTCAGTACTTCACTCTCAGCATTAGCATTAGCATCTAGACAGAAAATCAACAAAGAAACATTGGATTTAAACTAAACTTTAGACCAAATGGACCTAACAGATGTTTAGAGAACATTCTATCCAACAACTGAAGAATATACATTCTTTTCTTTGGCGCATGGAGCATTCTCCAGGATAGACCATATGTTAGGCTACAAAATCAGTCTCAACAAATTTAAAAACTTAAAATCATGTCAAGTAACCTCTCAGACTACAATGGAATAAAACCAGAAATTAATACCAAGAGGAACTCTGGAAACTGTACACATACATGAAAATTAAGCAACATGTTTTTGAATGACAATTGGGTCAATAAAGAAATTAAGATGGAAATCAAAAAATTTCTGGAGACAAATAAATATGGAAACACAACATACCAGAACCTGTGTGATACAGTAAAAGAGGTGCTAGGAGGAAAGTTTATAACAATAAATGCCTACATCAAAAAAGCAGAAAGATTACAAACTAACAATCTAACAATGCACCTCAAGGAGTTAGAAACAGAAGATATAACCAGGCCAGGCATGGTGGCTAACACCTGTAATCCTAGCACTTTGGGAGGCCGAGGTGGGCAGATCATGAGGTCAGGAGTTCGAGACCCAGCCTGGCCAACATACTGAAACCCCGTCTCTCCTAAAAATACAAAAAATTAGCTGGGCGTAGTGGCAGGCCCCTTTAATCCCAGCTACTTGGGAGTCTGATGAAGGAGAATCATATGAACCCAGGAGGCAGAGGTTGCAGTAAGCCGAGATTGCACCACTGCACTCCAGCCTAAGCAACAGTGGGAGACTCCATCTCAAGAAAAAAAAAAAAAAAAAAAAAGAAAAGAACTAACCAAACCCCAAATTATCAGAAGAAAGGAAGTAACACAGATCAGAACAGACCTAAGTGAAATAGAGCTTAAAAAATGCAAAGAATCAGTGGAATGAAAAGTTAGTTCATTGAAAAGATAAACAAAACTGAAAAACTGCTAGTCAAACTAAAAAAGAAAAGAAAACACCCAAATAAACAAATCAGAAATGGAAAAGGAGGCATTAAAACAGATACCACAGATACATGAAAGGTCATCAGAGAGTATTATGAATAACTATATTCTGAAAAACTAGAAAACATATGGGAAATGGGTAAGTTCCTGGAAACATACAACCCACAAAGACTGAATCAGAAAGACAAAGAAAACCCAAACAGATCAATAAACAAGTAGTGAGACTCAATCAGTAATAAAAAGTCTCCCAAAAAAGAAATGCCTGGGACCAGTGGGATTCACAGCTGAATTCTATCCAACATACAAAGACAAACTAATATCAATTCTCCTGAAACTATTACAAAAAAATTGAAGAGGAAGAAATTCTCCCTAACTTGTTCTATGAGGCCAGCAATACCCCGATCCTCAAATCAGACAAGGACACAACCAAAAAAAAAAAAAAAAGAAAACATCAGGCTACTATCCCTGATGAATATAAAGGCAAAAATTCTCAACAAAGTACTAGCAAACCAAATCCAACAGCCCATCAAAAAGATAATATACCACCATTAGTTGGGATTTATACCAGGATGGTTTAAAATATGCAAATAAGTAAATGTGATGCATCATATGATCATCTCAATAGATGCAGAAAAAACATTTTATAAAATTTAACATTTCTTCATGATAAAAGTCCTCACCAGTTGTGGTGGCTCACACCTGTTCTCAGCCTATTTAAAATTTTAGTTTTAAATTTCTTTAAAAATTAAAAGTAGAATCCCAGCACTTTGGGAGGCTGAGAAAGGTGGATTGTTTAAACCCAGGAGTTCAAGACCAGTTCAAGAAACCACATTTCTACAAAAAGTACAAAAAAATAAAATAAAATAGCTTGATATGGCAGGGTGTGCCTGCAGTTCCAGCTGCTCAGGAGGCTGAGGTAGGAGTATTGCTTGAGCTCAGGGAGATAGAGGTTGCAGTGAGTTGTGATCACACAACTGCACTCCAGTCTGGTTGACAAAATTAGACCCTGTCAAAAAACAAACAAAACAAAACAAAACAAAAATAAATAAAACCTGTAATCCCAGCATTTTGGGAGGCCGAGGTGGGTGGATCATGAGGTCAGGAGTTCGAGACCAGCCTGGCCAGCAGGGTGAAACCCCGTCTCTACTGAAAATACAAAAAATTAGCCAGGCATGGTGGCATGCACCTGTAGTCCTAGCTACTCAGGAGGCTGAGGCAGGAGAATCACTTGAACCCAGGAGGCAGAGGCTGCAGTAAGCTGAGATTGCACTATTGTACTCCAGCCTGGATGACAGAATGAGACTCTGTCAAAAAAAAAAAAAAAAATTCAACTCAAAATGTTCTAAAGACTTATGTGTAAGATCTGAAACTATAAAAATACTAGATGAAAATCTAGGAAGAACTCATGGACACTGGCCCAGGCAAAGAATTTATAAGACCTCAAAAGCAAGGCAATGAAAAGAAAATAAATAAATGGGACCTAATCAAACTAAAAAGATTCTGCACAGCAAAAGAAATAGTCAACACAGTGAAGAGACACCCTGTTGAATGGAAGAAAAATCTGCAAACTGTTCATCTGACAGGGAATAATATCCAGAATATAAAAGGAACTCAAACAATTCGAGATGAAAACAACAAACAATCCCATTAGAAAGTGGGCAAAGGATATGACTAGATATTTCTACAAAGAAGACATACATACAGCCAACAGGTAAATGAAAAAATACTCAATCAAGATGGCAACCCCATTTTCAATAGCTAGGAATAATTTATAAGATTAATCATCAGAGAATTGTACATCAGCATCACAATGAGATATAATCTTACACCAGTCAGAATGGCTTTATTAAAAAGACAAAAATAACAGATGTTGGCAAGGATGAATAGAAAAGAGAACTCTTATACGCTGTTGGTGAGAATGTAAACTACTAGAGCCACTATAAAAAACAGTATGGAAATTTCTTTAAAAACTAAAAATAGAATAACTTTTTTTCTTTTTTCTTTTTTCTTTTTTTTTTTTTTTTTTGAGACAGAGTCTCACTCTGTTGCCCAGGCTGGAGTGTGTGGCACAATCTCAACTCACTGCAACCTCCACCTCCCAAGTTCAAGTGATTCTCCTACTTCAGCCTCCTGAGTAGCCAGGATTACAGGTGTGCACCACAACACCCAGCTATTTTTTTTTTTTTTTTTTTTTTTTAGTAGAGAGAGAGTTTCACCATGTTGGCCAGGCTGGTCTCGAACTCCTGAACTCAAATGATCCACCCTCCTCGGCCTCCAAAAGTACCGGGATTATGGGCATGGGCCACTGTGCCAGGCCTAGAATTACCATTTGATCCAGCAATTCCACTACTGGGTGGCTACCCAAATGAAAATAAATCAATACATCAAAGTGATACCTCCACTCACATGTTTATTGCAGCGCTATTCACAATAGCAAATATATTGAATCAACCATCAGCAAATAAATGGATAAAGAAAATGTGATGTATATACAAAATGGAATACTATTCAGCCATAAAAAATGTGGTAACATGGATGAGCTTGGAGAACATTATGTTAAGTAAAATAAGCCAGACACACAAACACAAAAATCATATGTTCTCAATTATATGTGGGAGATAAATTATTTGAACACGTGGAGGGAGAGAGTAGAAAAATAGATAGCAGAGACTAGGAAGGGTGGGGGGCAGGGGTAGGATGAAAAGAAGTAGGTTAAATCTTACAAACATACAGTAAGATGGAATAATTTCAATGTGTGATAGCACATTAGAATGATCATACTTAGCAAAAATGTATTGTACTCAGGTGATGGACACCCTGAATAACCTGATTAGATCACTATTCATTAGATACATGTAACAAAATTTCTCATGTACCTCATAAAGCTATGAAAAAAAGAAAAATATGTATATATATGATTTTTAAAAATGTAGGGGTGCTATGGTTTGAATATTTGTCTCCTCCAAAACTCATGTTGAAACTTAATCCCTAATGTAACAGCATTAAGAGGTAAGGCCTTTAAGAGATGATTGGGTCGAGGGCCCTGCTTTTGCAAATGGATTAATCCATTCATGAATTGATGAATTAGTGGGTCAATGGACTAATGGTTTGTCATGTAGCTGAGTCTATTATCAAAGCCACTTTGCTTCTCCCTTATATGCTCATCACCATGTGATGCCCTACATTGAAGGCCAGGAGACTCTAAAGGGAGTCCCCACCAGCAATAAGCCCCTTACCAGATGTAGCAGGTATTCAGTTATAGCAACAAAAATAAACCAGGACAAGAGGTGACTATAAGGAAATATCTTTGGAAACTGACTCCCCAGGTAGATGAAGCTGAGCTGCAGTAATCTTGAGTTCTTCAAAGGTGCCATTGCTTCTGTAGCTGAAAGTCATGAGGGCTTTTCAGAGAGCTTTGAGATCTGCCCCTCAAGGTGTGGGGGCGCACATGGACAAGACACTAAGTTAGGGAAGACTTCTGTAGGTTCTGTACCAACAGAGCTTGAAGGAAATGTGGTGCTTGGGAAGATGATGGGAACAAATCTCCACTACATCCCAATTCCCTGTGATTATCAGGATTTACGGAAGAGGGCCTCAGCAGTGCCATTGGGTCCATGTGATAGGGCCTCAGAGTTTAAGAAGGTGCTTATGATAGGGCCTCAGAGTTTAAGAAGGTGCTTATATGGGATTGGATGTTACATAAAAGTCAAATTAATATACATATATCTAAATACTTAATTTGCCTCTGACCACTAGCAAATCATTCATAGACCAAAAACATTCTATGGGCAACACTGAGCAGGACTGATTAAGTATGCTTGGGGTAAGAAGAACTTTAGATCAAATATAAAAATGTTGCAGTTTTAAATAAATAGAATTGGGTTTAATTTTGATAATCATAAGCAAGCAGAAAATTGTAGATGATATTGTTTAAAAGGCTTGCAAGGAGAAATGCAAGAAAACACTGCCGAAAATGATGGGAAAAAAACAAACAAACAAAAAAATCCAAAACATTGTTTGTACTCCAAGATGTAGAAGTTCTTCAGTAAACTCATTACATATAATCATTCTATTATATTCTCACTTTATGTCATCCTTTTGCAAGTGCTTATATTGGAATAAAGTCCAATCATAACAATGGACCTGCTTAAAAATTGAACAATTTGAGTAACAGGCCCAATTGTTTTCTTCTCTGGCAGGTACACGATGGAATGTCACACACACAAAAATTTTCCCACAAGGCATAGTCAGTTTTTCTATTAGCAGATTTACTACACTTTCTTTGTTCATAATTTTTATTCAAAAATCTGTTCAGTGGAATTCAGAGTCTTGTCAAAATGATTGATAAACCCACACTGTTAGGTTTCCTCTAGAAAAGCCATGGAGAAGAAAAAAAGAATTTAAGAAATAATACAATAATTCCTGTGAGAAGAAAGGCTGTCTCGGACTGGCATGTGGAGGGTGAAAGGAGAAGAAAAGGCTAGCCTAGGGCAAAATACACTGGGCTGTAAAAGGATACATTAGAGAAAAGCAGTTTAATTCTGCTCTTTCTTGCTGCTTTCACACCTTAATAATGCCTAAGGGCAGCCTCCTATGCAGAGATCTGGGAGAATGCTCAGGCCCCTAGTGCAGGCATCCACAGGAGTGAGATTAAGGTGAGCTGGAGCCCTGCTCAGCTGTCAGCCTAGCCTCAAGCACTGAGACCTCCATCCTTTCCCTTCTAAACCCCCAGAGCTGGTGGATTATCATGGATGATAGGTACTTCCTCTTAATACTAACTCTCCCTGGGAGTTGAAATTAAATCAGAATAGTAAAGTTGTTTGGTGGGAAGTTTCAAATGGCAGTGATTGTAGCTGTGGTTTAATAGTGCCTGGGGCTCTTCCCTTTTCCTCTTCCTTGATATCTTGGGATCTAGCAGAATAAAGTCTGGTTTTCAGTCTTCCTGAAGTGAGAATTATGAATCCAACACTTTAACCTAGGTAAAGAAGAAAAGGAGAATTTATAATTGGGACACAGGGGTTTGTATCAGACCCCAAAGGCCTTCAGAAGAGCAGAGGGTCATCTCCACCATATGTAGCTTCTCTCCACACTTCCCTCTATGTCTGCTTCATTCTTTCTTTGCCTATACTGGGTTTTTAAATGTTGCATGTTGTGCATGGAAGCTGCCCACACTGCAGCACCTCTAAGGAGGATTACAATTTCTTTCAGTGACAATCGCAAGTTGCCGGGAAGTAGTTCTGATTGGCCCAACTTAGGTCCGGTGTCCAATCCACCGTGAGCAAGAATTTGTGGTCATGTGGTACACTGTAGTTGCCAGGGGTGGGAAGTGGTGGTGGAAGAGATGTAATAACAAAATTAATGACTTCATTGTGAGCCTGGCAGATACTGCCCTCCAACACCAAAAAAAGAGTCCAGCGTAATACTGTATTCAAGATTCAGAAAAATCCGATGAACTCTCCAAAATCAATTGTATGATTTTGCAGATTGTACTTTTCACAAATGCATCCAGCCAAGAGGGTAAATGGAAGGCTGGTTTGTTAGCCTTGGGTTGTTTATCAGTTTAAAAGAGTGTTTTGTTTTTTAGATTTTCATTGTTTATTTACCCAAAGAGATGCCTTTTGTAATTCATCTGCCCAGAGAGTGTTTGGTTTTTTTTTTTTGTTTGTTGTTTTTTTGTTTTTTGTTTTTTTTTTTCAATCCTTCTGCTGGAGGCAACTTTTTACAATTCAAACAAATGTGACATTGATGATCTAGTAATTTTTACTAAATTAATCTCTAGTTCCTAAAATATTAAGAGCTCTGAATGAACTGTTCTCTCCTACAGTGTTAGAAACACAAAGTCTTAAATTCTACATTTCTTCGGTTTATGTGGATAAAGAGAATCTCTATATCCCTCCACTCTATCTTTCCCACATTGTAGTCATTAGGGGACCAATAAACTGATTCATGTTAAGTCACACGCAGTCAGGAGTCTTGACAAATACAGATCTCTAAGATTGCTTTCTGTAGCATGTATATAATTCTTAGTGCATTATTAATGAAGTCTTAATTCTTAGAGCATGATTTAGGACAAATCACTTAATCTTGCTAGTTAGCCAAAAGAGCAAATGATCAAAGACTGAGCCCACAGTAAAGTATAATCGATTCATGGTAAATCAGCAGTGCTTGAATGCTATGTATAAAATCCATACAGGCAAGAATCTGAAATATTTCTTCGTTTAATTATTCATCCATATCCTAGACTGAAGAAGAAAGCCAGGGGACAATTAGAAGATGGGAACAAACGATTATATAGAAAATCCAGTTCCCAAAGTAGTTCTCCTAATAATTCTGTCCTTTTGAAAATTTAAATTTTGCTCTTCTGTAACAGCAGTATCAAATATTTGGTCATTAGTATATATCTCCTTCATTAAAAATTGATTAAGCCAATATGCTAATCTTTCTCATTGCCTGTACAAGAAAAACTAGTCAGTAGTATGGTTCATTGCCAGTATCAACACAAGCCACCAACTGCAGGACATCCAGCACATCAAAGTGCTTGCAGTGTTTCCTGGGTCTAAAACTAAATCAAGTCCCTTTAATACTCTTTTTTACCTCCTGAATTACAAACACGAATTCTATACTATTTAGATAAATACCTAATTTAGAACCTAGAGAAGCATACAAAACTGTAAGGGAAAGGTTTACTTTTTCCAGCCTTTTGAAGAAACTGGATAGGCCAATAAATAGAGGCCCATCATATTTATATGTTCCAGTAAAATTTGCCTATTGTACTTAAACAAGCTTTTGGATTTACAATTCTCATTTCAAATATACTTTTAGAGCCAGGATAATACTCAACATGGCATTAACAGAATTTCATTTCTTGTTTCATATTGGATAGACTACCGTAGCTGTAATAGGCTTATTGCCTGATGCATACAGCAAGTCAATACACCAAGATGCTGAGCTGGCGCAGAGAAAGAGATTCAATTGTAGGGTCACTGAACAAGGAGATGGGAAGAAGCCTCAAATCCATCTCCCTGAAGAATTTGAGGATAAAATTTTTAAGGGTTTTGGAGTGAACTGAAGTGTGGAGATTGTTGATTGGTCCCAGAGTGCACAGTGAAGTCATGGAATAGGGAGATGAATGAGGTGTATTCTGCTGATCTCACTCTTCTGTGGGGGTCTTCAAACTGGCTGCTGGAATTAGGGGTCTGAAAAACAATCTTGAGTGAAGCAGAAGTAAGGTCTTAAAGAAAAATTGCAAAGATATAAATGTATTTATTTAGAATGAGAATAGAAATCACAAGAAATGAGAAATTTTACAAAATTTAACAAAAGCCTTAAACAAAAGCCTTATGATTCTAATGACAGAGATCCTGTCTGTAGGAACAACGGGGATGCAAATTATTTCTTAAATAGTCTATGACACTCATGTCAGACATCCTCCCTATGGGAGCAGTGGGCATGCAAATCGATTCTTAAACAGCCTATGACCCTAATGTCAGAAATTCTATCTATGGAACAATGAGCATGCAAATGGCCAGTATCTAGTGCTACATGAGTTTTAACAACAAGGAAGTGGGCCAGAGTGCAGCCTGATTAATGCTTAATTATAACTATATTTCTGTCCAGAACTCAACATGCAATTCTTGTGAACTTTGTGGAGATGGTTTCAACATCACAGTATGAAAGATGTCATTATAATACATATTCCTATTAGAAATTTCTGGGCACAGAAAATAATACATGCTACCTTTGTCACAAAATACAAACCTGCTATGTAGGAATCAGACAGCAGTGGCTTGCTTATCTTTCTTGTCCAGTGTCCCTGGTACTAACAGCACCTAGATGATGATGATGATGATGATGATTGTTATTATTTTAACAAGAAATAATTGCATCTTGAGAAATACTAACATCCCATTTCAGAGCAGCCCAGGAAGCACTGTAAATTGAATGAAAACTGAGGAGAGGGGTCTTAGATGAAACTGAGGCTATTAGGTTGTTTAGATTTTGTTTTTTTTATTTTCCTTTCCAGCATGGTTGTGGTAAAGACTTGAAGAGTAGCAAGTTTAAAAGGTGTAAGCAGGTCTGCTACATTAGAGATACAGACATAATTCATTCTGGAGATGGAATGTTAAGAGGGTGGCCTTTTAGTTAATCAAATGCAAAGCCATTACACAGCCTTTATTCTTAGATGAGATTGAATCACAATTGGCAGTGTGTGTGCATGAATGTGTATGTCTGTGACCACACTTTGTAAGTATTGAGAAGGGACCCACAATTGCTAAGAGTTACAGTGGAGGTGTGTATAGGAATAAACTTTTGTTTTGGGGGGCACGAAGCTTATCTGGAGAGAGGCAGAAAATAAGGTTTTTAAGAAAATTTACGAAGATGCAAATGTATTTATTTAGAATGAGAAAAGAAATCACAAGAAATTCAAAATTTTCAGAAGTTGACAAATACAAAAATCCAGAAATACTGCACAATTGCACTTATTAACAACCTTAAAAACACCATAATACTTTTTTCTAACATATGTATTTTTGCTGTATACTCTGAATTGCCTCTTGATATGACATTGATTTTATAATATTTTCCATGGAGAGAATAGAAAGATAATTCAGTCTTTCCTCTAGATTGATCAAAAAAATTTTTTTAATTTGGTAGTTTAGAATAATTTATTATAATTTCGTTACTTATTGTTTGGGATGTCAAATTAAATTTTTAGGATTGCGGATAATTTGGGAAACTCTCTGTCAAGTTTTTGTTTGTTTGTTTTTGAGACAGAGTCCCACTCTGTTGTCCAGGCTGGAGTGCAGTGACACGATAACAGCTCAGTGCAGCCTTGATCTCCCAAGCTCAAGCGATGCTCCTACCTCAGGCCCTCATCCCAAGTAGCTGGGACTACAGGCATGCACCACAATGCCCCGCTAATTTTTGTATTTTTTGTACAAACAGGGTTTCACCATGTTGTCCAGGCTGGTCTCAAACTCCTGGGCTCAAAGGACCTGCCTGCCTTGGCATCCCAAAGTGCTGGGATTACAGGTGTGAGCCACCATGCCTAGCATATTAAGTTCTGTTCATATGAGTCATAGGTTCTGAGGGCAATTTTTGCACAATATTATCAATTTAAGAGAATTCCATGAATTATCTTGGAATTGATAATATTTTTTAAACACTTTGCTATTGATGTTCTCACTGTAGTTGGGATGTATTATGAGTTTTTACATTTTCTTCAGCCAGTATTTCTTGTTAAATCGGCAAGATATTTACATTATTTCCACTTTGTCTGTATGGAACTCTTCCTTTTGATTTCATTGTCAATCCAAGCACTTACTCATTACTCCCATTCAAACTTATCTTTTCCTTTTAATGAGTTATTCTTTTGGATATGATGTGATTTCATTGTGGTTGTTATAATTTACTTCTTGATATCAGAGTAATTTCTATTGATTGTATTATTTATTCTTGTGGTTTTTCTTTTCATATTTCATTAATTTGAATTCTTTTGGTTATATAGTAAATACATTTTAAAATGGCAAAAGAATATCCTTCACATGTATCTACATCAAGAATCTATAATTTCTCTATCGTTTTATTGAAATTTTCCAAACTGTTTTTCTAAATTACAATTAAAATGGAATATCTTCAACACAACTTCCCCTTGTTTCAAAGTCGTAATGCCCAAGGCCATTCTAAGGGAAAGTATGAAGGAAAGCCAGTCATAGTGGAAAATGGTCTTGACAGGATTACATTAAAATTTTTCCTCCTCAGCTTTATTAAGGTATAATTGACAAATGAAAATTATATTAATGTATACAACATGATAATTTGAGATACACATACATTGTATAATAATTACCACAATCAAATTAATTAACACTTTCTTCACCACACAATTACAGCCTCTCCAGTAACTGGGTATACAGGCACGGGCCACTACACCTGGCTAATTTTTAAATTTTTTTTTTTTTTTTTTTTTTTAGAAACAGGGTCTCACTATGTTGCCCAGGCTTGTCTTGAACTCCTAGACTCAGGCAATCCTCCTGCGTAGGCCTCACAAAGTACTGGGATATACACACCAGACCAGGCGTCCATACATTTTTCATGGGCTTGGAGATTTACTTAACTTGCAGGAGAGGAAAAGTAGAGAGGAGAAACTGAAGCAGTAGTTTTCTAGGCAAACCTATCTTTTTCCTTGTGGGGTGTCTGTGTGTGTGTGAAGAGCAGAAAAAAAAAAAAGGAAGAAGAAAACTTTGGTCTTACCACTCCAGCACATTTTCTCTTGCATTTCCAGGAATGATTTTTAATCTTGCTTTCCTCCTTCTTTTTCCCTAACATCAGACCTCCCAGACTACAGCTGCATACACTAGAAAGTAAGCATATTGAAATTTCCCTGTATACGTTATAATAAAAGGAACATTTGGAACCTCAGTTGGATTAAGGAAACAATAACTTAATGCGGGATCCATCTGCTGATAAAATGTGAGGTAACACACTTCTGAATGCCAATTTGAAGGATTTTTTTTTTTTAAGGTTGGGGAAAAAAAAAACCGTTTGAACACTTGAAGTTGCAAATTTTTATCTGACCACCAGGGAGCAGACAAATGCCTTGAAAGAAAGGCTCTTCAATCAAATGAAAAAGTCAAAAACCACAAAAGGAAAACAAATGAAGTGTGTTAATTACCATAAATGAAATGAAAAACGCATTTTTTATTTTGAAAATAAAAAATACCAGAAGGCATATGTTAAAACAAAACATTTCAACCATTTTCCATCTGACTATATTTAAAGGTTTTCTCATCCCTCTATCACTTGGAGGAGGCAATGTCTCCCCTCTTTGAAGGCAAACAAGTCCTACTTAATGGAAAGATGTGCCAATTTACCGTCTACTCCCTGGAATTACTTGACACACGTAAAGAAAGTAAAGGTTGCGAGCTACCATGACAATCTATGGACACAGGCTTCCTTACAAGTTCTCTTTAGTCACAGCAAAGCAAGCTGAAAAAAAGAAGTTGGTTTTCAGTTTAATTTAGTGTGTATAAATGTCAATAAAGACTCAGTTTACTCATTGGCACATTTTAAAGTAAACACCAGTCTGTCAATTATAAAATCAATACAATGGTTGCATAAAATTCTTGATTGTAGGCAATTTTAAGCAAATTATTCTTAATGAACAATACCAGCATGTTATATACTCAATTTCATTTAAAGGAATCACTTCATGTTATAAAAAACCTTCCTTGGTTTTATTTAAACACGCCTTCCCCAGAGGATAGAGTCTTCAGTAAATTTAAGTTAGAAAATTCATCTTTGAAATCTGGGTGTTAGTAACCTCCATTCCCCAGTTTTTAACTCTTACTTCTATAATCCCACCTTCATCTTCCTGGAGTGCCATATATATATGCTTGCTCCTCTCTTCCTCTTAACACCTGTTGTCACAAACACAATTGTGACATAATGACCAGCTTTCAAAGTTGCCCTTCCAAGCACTGACTGCATTTTTATAGAGCTTGAATACTACAGTGAAAGGGTAAAGGTCTAGTGCAGAACTTTAGGCTCAGAATGCGGGGTTTAAATCTCAGCTTTACTACTTAATTAACAAATCACTTAACGTCTCTATAATTTCTTTACCTCTTTTGTAAAATGGGGAAAATAGTTATGGAACCTAACTCATAGGGCTGTTGTGACCCTTAAGTGAGAGAGTGTGTCCGGAATGATATAATCTCTTAATGAATGTTAGTTGTATGTCTTCTTTACAAGGGAGGTTTGTAATTTTTTCATTTTTTAAAATAATTATAATAATTATTATTTTTGAAACAGAGTCTCACTCTGTCGCCTAGGCTGGAGTAGAGTGGTACTATCTTGGCTCACTGCAACCTTCACCTCCTGGCTTCCAGCGATTCTCCTGCCTCAGCCTCCCCAGTAGCTGGGATTACAGGCATGAGCTACCATACCTGGCAATTTTTTGTATTTTTAGTAGAGACAGGGTTTCACCATGTTGTCCAGGATGGTCTCGAACTCCTGACCTCAAGTGATCAGCCCACCTTGGCCTCCCAAAGTGCTGGGATTACAGTTGTGAGACACCGTGCACTGGCACAAGGGAGTTTTTTTTTTTTAAAGCCCCTTCTTTAGTGACTGGAATTATTAGCCCTGGAAGGTTTTCACTTAAACAGGCCAGAGGATTCTGAACTTGGCTATGATTTATTGCCCAGACAGTACTTTAAAAGAACAACTGTGCATGACAATTGTTATGCTGCGTAGCCTTGTGCAATTCATTGAATTGTTTTTACAAATGAACTTCTTAATTTGTAAAGAAAGAATATTGATTAGGCAGACAGATACCATATTTACTGTGGTCTCTAAGCTCCTTCTCAACTAAGAAGTATGAAGGTACAATCTCAGATGATGAATACACATGTCAAACCCAGTACACTCAAAACTGAACTCCTGACCACCCTGCCCCCACATTCAGGGAGTACCCGCATCTTAATTTGTGGCTGCTCCACCCTGCCCCTTGTTTAAGCAATACTTAGTGGAGTGATTCCCCTACTTCACGCGTTCTCTCACACTCACATCCAGTCTGTTAGGAAATTCTGTTGACTCAACCTTCAAGGTATAAACAGTAGCTGCGCCCTTTGCACTGCTTCCATTGCTGTCATTTCAGTCCTGGCCATCATCTCCCACCTGAATCACCATGATAACTTCCTGCTGGTCTTCCCGATTCCAGGTCCCCCAGCCCCCACCTGGCCCCTGCCCTGCCCCAATCTATCCTCAACACAGCAGTTGGTCTCCAAAAGGAGTTGCTGTCTTTAAAGCAACTCCTTTAATAAAAGCATAAGTCAGACTGTGTCACTCCTCTGCTTAGAACCCTGTAATGACCCTTTAGAGTAAAAACAGATTCTTTTAAGAGCCTTCAAGGCTTTTTGTGATCTATCTCTCTCTTACTCCTCTGCCACATGTCCTACTAGCCCCGCTTAGCTCACTCCCCTCCAACCACATTGGCCCCTGAGCTGTTTCTCAGGAACATTGGGTATGTCTACCTTAGGACATTTGAGCTAGCCTTCTCTCTGCTTAGGATACTTTCTTCGAGACAACTGCTGGGCTAATTCCTGCAGATCCTTCAACACTTCGTTGGGATCTTGTTTTCACAGTATGGCCTACTCTATCTACTTTATTTAATATTTTCCTTTGTTCGTCAGTATTTATTAGCTTCCAACATGCATATCTGTGTCTGTATCTGCCCCCTGCACTAGCCCTTCTCTTTCTCTCTTCTGTGCTGCTTATTTTTCATTGTTTCCCTCTTCTGAATTAAAAACTTTACAAAGGCAGAGATTTTAATCTGTTTTATTCATCGGTGTGCCCCCACTTCCTAAAAAACTCAATAAATATTTGCTGAATAATTGAATGGGTGGGAAGGAGGAAAGAGTAATGTGTAGAGCGGATCTGAGAAACATTGAAGATGATTTATTGAGCACTGTTCTTACTTGTTTTCCCCTTTAATATAAGATTGACAAAATGCAAGCCTCGGTTCTATCACAATTTCTTGTCTAGAAGTTACTCTTCAAATACCAGGAGTAGATGGTGAAACACAACCCTCATATCACCCGTTGAGTATAACTGGGCCAGAACAATAACAATAAGAATAATATGAAACAATAAATAGGTAGACAAGAAAATGGCAAATTCTTTGAATGTCGCTTCGAGGTAAGTCAGTAGTTTTCCCATGCTTCAGGGTTAAAAGGATTCAGAAAGCACTACCCCAGAGTATGCTGCCTTGGCATATTGACGATTTCAAACAGAAGGAATTTGAGAAACAGCAGGTGCAGGAAGGACTCTCTGAGCTTCTTCCCCTTAAGCAGGTCATGAGACTCTCATGTGAGAGGTGCACTCCCTGTACCTGGAGGAAAGGAGCATCCTGATCTCTGAAGATGGAGAGTTACCAGGAGGAATCTGAAAGAACAGACTTTGCTAAATGTCCCCCACTTTACTACACTTAGCCCTTTCTCCTATGATATCTTTTTGTACTATCAAATTTTCCCAAGACTCTCCACTCTTCATCACACCTAGCATAAAACCATTCAAGATTAACAGTCTCTTGAGGTCTTTATTTCCTTAGGAAGGCTCCTGTGTCATGTGAAACTTATAGTAAATAAATTAGTGTGTTTTTCTCTTGACAATCTGTCTTTCGTCGGTCTAATTTACAAGACTCCATTCAATGAGCCTAAGATGTGTAGGAAAGAAAAGGGTTTTTTTTTTTCTTGCCCTACAAGGTCTAACAATCTAGTTCATCAAATATAAGTTCACATTTGTATTAGTTCTCAGGAAAACTGGTTTGGATCCAGCCTATTAAAAAATTGCCTCAGAAGAAGTTAAAACTGATAATTTAAAAGACCAGTAAACATATACTGAGTGAGATATAAGCAGTGTGTGAGTTGCGAGTGGGAAAAAATAAAAAAGACACTGTCTTTGCCCAGTAAGTGGTTATAATTGGGTAGGAGACACAAAGATGTAACAGCAATAATTACAATCCTCTGTAGAATGTGATAAATGCTATAATAAAGGTACAAAAATGTATAAAACAACAATAGAATAGATTAATTACAATACTTTGAGATATTCATTTTTTTGAATTTTATTTTAAATGTGTTTTTATTTCTTGCAAGACGGTTCAACTAAACTGACCTCGGTCAACAACAAAAAATTGCTATGAGTTTTATTTTATGTTACCAGACTCTATTCTCTTCATTTCCCACTACCTCAGTTTGTTTAAGCAATGCTTTGAAAAGTACAAACTCCTGAACCCTAAAGCTTTAAAGAGTATTTTTAATCTAGTAATTCCCCATAATCTAAAGTGCTAACAAGACTCAATTCAATTCGTTTTATTATCTAAGGTTGAAATTAATCAGAAAATATAGTGTAGATCCCATAAAACACAATTCTTGCACCTACTGAAATACTGAATACTATTATCTGATCGAATTTCATTTAGATGATCACACTTATACAACCAGAACAAAAATTATGATGAAATTCCTACACTAACATTCCCTATTTCAGTTATTCACTGAAATGTTATTATTCATAACATTAGAATCAGAAACTTGGGAATTATTTTGAAATCTTTCTTTTCTTCCTCTCATCCAATAGTCAATCAATCACACAGTCTTTCCAATAAATCTCTTGGTCTCTTTACTGTTATCCTAATCCAATCTACTACCTTATCTTTTTTTTCCAACATAAAATTCTATTTTATTTTATTTTCAACTGTCAGATAATAATTGTATGTATTTATGGGATGCAGTGTGATATTTCAAAATACATATACATTGTGGAATGATCAAATCAGTAATTAGCATATACATCAACACAAATATTTATCATTTCTTATGGTGAGAACATTTAACATTCTCTCTTTCAGCTATTTTGAAACATACAATATATTATTAATAACTGTAGTCACCTTACTATCCAACAGAATGCCAGAAATTATTCCTTCTGTTTAATTGTACCCTCTTACCTGTTGATCAGTGTCTCCTCTATCCCTATTTACTCCCAAACTCCCATGTCTAGTAACCATTATTCTACTCTTTACTTCTGTGAGTTCAACTTTTTTAGATTCCTCATGTAAGTGAGACCGTGTGGTGTTTTTTTCTCTGTGTTTGGATTATTTCATTTATCTTAATGTCCTCTAGGTTCATCCACATTGTCACAAATGAAAAAATTTTGTTTTTTTTTTAAAAGGCTGAATAGTATTCCATTGTGTGTGTGTGTGTGTGAGTATATATATATGTATATATCACATTTTTAATCCATTCATTTGTTGATGGACATTTAGATTGTTTCTATATCTTGGCTATTGTGAATAGTAGTGAGATTGCTTGGCCATATGGTATTTCTATTTTTCAGATTTTTGAGGAACTTCCATACTATTTTTCAAAGTGGCTATACTAATTTACAATACCACCAGTAGTGCATAAGGGCTTCCTCTTATCCACATGCTCACCAACACTTGTTATCTTTCATCTTCTTTATAATAGCCAATCTAAGAGTCTGAGGTTTTATCTCATTGTGGTTTTATTTTGCAAAATAAAGCCACAATGACTTTGATGACTAGAGATGTAGAGCTCTTAAAAAATATGTCTGTTGGCCATTTCTGTGTCTTCCTTTGAAAAATGTCTACTCCAGTCCTTTGCCCATTTTTAATTAGGGTTATTTGTTTTCTTGTCACATACTTCTTCTTCATCACTTGAGATAATCATGTGGTCTTTTTCCTTTATTCTCATAATGCGGTGCATTGTATTTATTGATTTCTGTATGTTAAACCAACTTTCTTGGTTTGTTGGTTTGTTCAACCATCCCAGGAATAAAACCCACTTGATCATGGTGAATGACTCTTTTAATGTACTGCTGAATATGGTTTGCTAATATTTTGTTGAGGATTTTTCAGCTATGTTCATCAGAGTAATTTGTCTTTAATTTTTCTCTCTTTCATTGTGAGGTCTTTGTCTGGGGTATTAGTTTAATACTAGCCTTGTAAAATGAGTTGGAAAGTATTCTCTCCTCTTCAACTTTTGGAAGAGTATGAAAAGGATTGGTATTAGTTCTTCTTTAAATCTTTGGTAGAATTCAACTGCAAAGCCATATAGTTGTGGGCTTTTCTTTGATGGAGGATTTTAAATTACTGATTCAGTCTCCTTACTCATTACTGATCTATTCAGATTTCCAAATTTTTCATGATTCAGTCTTGGTATGTTACATATTTCTAAGAATTTAACTATTTCTTCAAGGTGGTCCAATTTAATTACATGTAATTGCCTATAGTAGTTTCTTATGATCCTTTGTATTTCTGTGTTATCAGTTATAATGTCTCTTCTTTCATTTCTGATTTTTCAAATTTGAGTCTTCTCTCTTTTTCCTTAATTCAATGAAGAATTCGTTCATTTTGTTTAGCTTTTCAAAAAATCAAGTCTTTGTTTTGTTTATCTTTTCTATTGTTCTAATCTCTATTTCATTTATTTCTGTTCTGATCTTTGTTATTTTCTTCCTTCTGCTAATTTTAGGCTTAGTTTGTTCTTATTTGTCTAGTTCCTTGACATGTAATGTTAGGTTGTTTATTTGAAATCTTTTTATTTTTTTCCTCTGTTTTTGATGCAGACATTTATTGGTATTAAACTTCTCTCTCAAAATGGTTGTTGCTGCATCTCATAAGTTTTGGTATTTTGTGTTTTCATTTTCATTTATCTCAATATATTTTTAAATTTCCCCTTTACTTACTTCTTTGACCCAATAGTTGTTCAGGAGCATGTTGTTTAATTTCCACATACTTGTTAATATTTCATGATTCCTCCTGTTATTAATTTCTAGGTTCATACTATTGTACCCCCAAACATTACTTGGATGATTGCAATGGATTAATATCTGGTCATTTTAGATTGACTTTTGCTCTCCTATAAGTCTCCACACTACAGCAAGAGTGATTCTTGGTTGAGTGTGTGGTTATTTTGGGACCGTGGGTGTTAAGAGTTGGATTACTCATATTTCTCAGCTCATGGCACTCTATCTTCATCAGTCCATGCAATGTTTCCCTCTTACTTTATATCTCATTATTTTTTCCCTGCACTGCCCATCAACATTCTTTTCTCCTTTCACTCTGCTTATTTATATAATTAGATGTACTTGCAAGAAATGTGATTTTGCTTCAGTATGATGGATTTTAAAACAGAATATATGTTACTATGCAAAGATTATACTCTTCATTTTACTTTATTTCACTGAACATTGAATCTTAATATTGGCCTATGATGCTGTTTGAATATCTACTTATTTTACCTGATGTCTATTTATTCACTAGGTATTCACTACACTTTTATTCATCTTACCATGAATATGAATTATTTTGTTCAACATGTATTTATTGAGTACCAACTAATTGTCAGACAATTTTATAGGCCATGGAGATAATAAGAGAAAAATAAAATGGACACAAATTCATGTCTCTTAGGAATTTACATTTTAGGGGCAGAAACAGATAATAAGATAAATAAGCAAAATATAAATTATGTTACATGGTACTAGTTACAGGAAAAAAATTAAGCAGACAAAAATGTAAGAAGTGTGTATGGATTGAGAATGGTCAGGGAATACTCTTGTGTTCTAAGAAGGTGACATTTAAATTAAGACCCAAAGGACATGAGGGTGTGAGCCACATGAGTATTTGGAGGAAAAGCATCTCAAATACAGAAAGGATAAATTAAAAACCCAAGGGGAGAGTGTACACATATGCTCAAGAAACAGCAAGGAGGCCAACATGGTTACAGTAGAGTGAGGTAAAGAATAGGATAGGTGAGATTAGAGAAGTAATATGGAAAAGCATCTTCTAGGGCTTTGTATTAATATATCACTTGAAGAAATTTAGCTTTCAGACTGAATTAGATGAGAAACCATTGAAGTATTTGAGTAGAGGAATAACATGATTATATATGCGTTTCATCAGGATCTTTCATATTACTGTGTTGAAAATAAGCAAGGTAGAAGTAAGGAGACTATTTTAGAGAGTCTTGCAACAGTCTTGTAAGGGAAAATGGTAGCTAAAACCAATGTGATAGCAGTGGAGGTGGTAGGAAGTTATTTCACTTTTGATGTATTTATTTGAGATATATATTTAGAATGTGGAGACAAGCAATTTTTTTGATAAATCACAACAGTATGAAATAAACAGAATTTTAAAAGATTCAGAAGTTTTTGTTCTGAGCGACTGAAATAATAAATTGTCATCTACTGGTGGGAGGAGACCGCAAAAGAAGCAGTTTTGGAGAATAAAGATTCAGGTTTGTCCATGTGGTTTGAGATGCCTTTTAAACCTCTAAGTAGAGTGGTTGACCAGACCATTGGTTTTATGAGTCTAGAGTTCAGAGGGAGGAATCTAGGTCAGAGATATAACTTTGGAAGTATTCAACATTTGAAAATATTTAAAGCTATGAAATTGAATGAGTTCACTAAGAGAATAAGTATATTCAAGATAAGGGAAGGCACCAAGAATTGATGCCTGAGTCATGCTAACATTTGTAGATCAGGTGGATGAGGAAACACAGTAGAAGTGTCCAAATTCAATTCTCCATCTAGTCTAATAGAGATTTTTTAAAAGCTTGACTGTTTTAGTTTATGGAAATACACCTTAGGTCAAAACAAGGACCTAGGTCTGGGGTGTTGATGAGTTGGCAATACCAGGAGAAATTGTACACAAACACAAATTAGTACATAAACACAATTCCTACAATACCAAGAGAAATTGTACATAAACACAAATTAGTACATAAACACATTTCCCACAATGCCAAGAGAAATTGTACATAAACACAAGTTGTACATAAATACATTTCCCATTTGCCACAAGAATACTCGCCGGAGGCCTTGCAGCTGCAACATTTACCTAAAGATAACTCACGGATTATAGTCCTAATCTTACCGTCAAAGTTTTTCCAATTATTAACTACTGATCACTATATACATTTCTGTTATATTAGGATTAGAGACAAGTTCTGTTTAGAAATAACTCCAAGAACGGTTTTTACGTTTTATTTTCACATTGAAAATCAGTTAGATTTGCTTCAGCCTCAAAGCGTGTGTTCATGTAAAATTAAATGAGCACTGGCAGTAGCTGCACTTTTTTTTTCTTTGTTTTTGAGACAGTCTCATGCTCTCGCCCAGGCTGGAGTGCAGTGGCACGATCTTGGCTCAGCCTCTGCCTCCTGGGTCCAAGCAGTTCTCTTGCCTCAGCCTCCCTATTAGCTGGGATTACAGGCACCCACCTCCACACCCAGCCAATTTTTGTATTTTTAATAGAGATGGGGTTTCACCATGTTGGTCAGGCTGGTCTCCAACTCCTGACTTCAAGTGATCCTCCCACCTAGGCCTCCCAAAGTGCTGGGATTATAGGCGTGAGCCACTGCACCCAGCCCACTTTTTTTTTTTTTTAAATAAACATGAAATGAGTTAAGTAGCTTTAACTTTTCAATTTCCCCAGCAAGCTGAAGGCTCTGTACCTATTTTGAGGGGACACACACACACACACACACTGAACCAAACCAACAAACGAAAGGACATCTGTGAGTAAGCAAGAGCCTCAGATGGGGGTGGAAGGCACATGCTGCATATCTAGGGATTAACAGTCTCTCTCACTAGCTCAGCTACTGCTCACTACTAGTCAGTGTGTCTCATGGTCTTACTTGCAGATGTCTTTGCCAAGGTCTTCATCAAGGGTAGGAGTTGCCTATTGGTCTGCACATGGCGATTTGCAACAGCTCTACACACTCTCAAGGATGCAGGGAGTCAATGTGAGCCTATATAATAATTAGGGAAACTGGGTACTCTGGAATCACCCATTCTACTGGTTTTCAGTCACATCAACTTCATTCTTATTGTTCAGGCCCAAAGTTACATAAACCATTATATTTATAATTATATAATGTTTTTATGAGTTATATTACTCCTCATGAATATATTCCAGACCTCCTTTACTTTTCAAAATATAATTACGTCTTTCAGGTACAGCAGGTGTTTATCTTTGCTGAGTTAGGTGCCTCTTGCTTATTCAAAAATGGAGAAAGAATGTTCCCAACTTCAACTATTGAGAAAAATATGTTTACAAGCCAAAGAACAATTTGGTAGGAAAACTTGTATACCATTTTTAAGCACAGAAAACAGATGTTTATTTATTCTTATTAAAATGTAAAATGAGGCATCCTTTACAAAAACTTATTTGAAATATGACTTACGCATAACTATATTTCATTCCTCTGCTTCAGATTCTTCAAGGACTTCCTGGCAATATAAAGACCAAAATGTCTAAAGTGACCACTTGAATCCTTCAAGGTTTGGCCTCAACCCATCTCCCTAGTTTCATCTCAGAACAATCCTCCTTCATCCACACTGGTCTTTTTGATTGAACCCACGTTCAGTGCAGGAACTTTGTATGCAATTCTCTCTGCTAGGAAATCTTTTCTCCACCCCTAGTCTCCAGCTACCTTCCATCCACCCAATTAATTCCCTTAAATCTCAGATCATTTATTTCTTCCTCAGGAAAGCCATTCCTAATGCTCCAACTATATCAGGGCACCTGTCATGTGCTTGTAAGGCACTTTATAATCAATGCATCACCTGTAATTTTACTTCTATTTGTATAATTCTTATTTGACTAAAGTCTTTCTAACTAGAGAGTAAATTTCATTGCATCCCAGAAATTAGTGCAATGCCTTATTACATAGTAATACGTAGTAATTACATAGTAATTGTGTAATTGAGTGAATCAATAAATTGAATAGGATTGAAGGGATTTGTCATTGGATTCTAGTGGGATAGGGCAGATTTCTTAAAGTTCTTACTTTTTCACTTACAAACTCTAAGTTAGAAGCAGCGAGTTGTATTGAGAAGTTCTGCATTTAATGGTTAAATTTACCACGAAACTGGATTTTTGCCTTAATGATGCAGAAGCTAGAATAATAGATATTATAATTCATGCTCAGTGATGTTTTACACAGCAAATATGATTTGCTGTTAGTCTGAGTAACTAAAACCTATACATTACAACTGGAAGAGCACAGCTTACTAAGCAATAAATGTAAGTGGAATTTGACTCATTAAGCATCCATAGTTTTTATAATGAATTTTGGGATTTTATAGAGCATAGTCATAATGCCTACGGGCATGAATTATAAAATGCTTGAATTGAATATGCTCACATTTAATCAAAGAGAAAATTTGGCAATTCTGTTGACACTTCAGTGCTTCCACTAGAAATTTTAAAATTGCAGTGTGTATTCTAGGTTAACTGTTATTCATATTTCTTGACTATTGGTTATGTAGGCTTGCAG
Source organism: Homo sapiens (assembly GCF_000001405.40). Classification (NCBI taxonomy): domain Eukaryota; kingdom Metazoa; phylum Chordata; class Mammalia; order Primates; family Hominidae; genus Homo; species Homo sapiens. The sequence continues at coordinate 80,752,718 of NC_000012.12, read as the reverse complement.
AATTTTGGACTGCCATTCATCTCAGCCTAGCCAATGACTCATTAAATATCTGTGTAGACAGCATTTGCTCACTGTTATGTTTATCATCCAGGAGAAAGACATTTTTGCCTCTGTGTATGCTAATTCCCCCACACCAACAATCAATTCTTTATACACTAAGTCCAAACAAAACACCCCACTTTCTTCTTTATTTCCTGAAATATTTATTTGATCATTTGGCTAGGGAGACAAAAAAATACAGGCTGTTTGCTAAGAAATTTGTAGTTTTATTTTAGGCCTAAATGAGTAGAAGGAAGGAGTCTTGAGTGTGGAGTAGAAAAGGGCAGGAAGTTCAAAGCGGGGAGGAGAAGGAACAGCAAAAGACTCAAGATTTTGCCCAGTCTGAGCAATGTGCCTTCCACAGGACAGCTTTGAGTAAGCAGAAAGCTGGAGAGTTGATCAGAATCTGTTAATAAAATTTTAAAGAATTTTGGTTTAACTAAACCCTGGAAAAGTTGTACCTATTTTTGCCTTTATTCATAATCTTTCATATAATACTGTTGCATTTTCATCACAGCACTAATCATTACCTAAGATGTAAAATGTATACATACTTTTATGTATGTATGCATGTCTATATGTATTAGTTCATAAGCTCTCTAACCCTACTCTGTAAACTCAGAGACTTTGTTGGTGAACTGTAATCCCGCTACATAGACAAGTATATGGCAGGAGATAGGACTCTCAAGAAATCTTTACAATCCCAACAAATATTTTTATTTTCTCTGTGAAGTCTTTCCTCATTCCTTTAGGCAAGTAAGTCACTCCCTCTATATTCCATTCTGGATTATATATATAAATATTTCAATGAATGTTTATTAGTTCTCAAAACTAATCTATCTAAAACTAACAACTCTCTTGATAGTACAGCCTGAAACACATACAGTTCTATCTCTGGAACTAACTGACTTCATCCAAGGGGTTGAACTCTGATTCTAACAGATTTTTAAAAAACTTTTGTGGGTACATGGTAGGTGTCTATATTTATGGGGTACATGGGATATTTTGATATAGGCATGCAATGTGAATAAAGCACATCATGGAGAATGGGGTATTCATTCCCTCAGGCATTTATCCTGTGTGTTAAAAACAATCCAATTGTAGTCTTTTAGTTATTTTTAACTGTACAATTAAGTTATTATTGACTAAAGTCACCATATTGTGCTATCAAGTAGTAGGTCTTATTCATTCTTTCTATTTTTTATGTACCCATTAATCATCCCTACCTCCCCCTCAGCCTCTCATTACCCTTCCTAGCCTCTGGTAACCATTCTATTCTCTATGTCCGTGAGTTAAGTTGTTTTGATTTTTAAATCCCACAAGTAAGTGAGAGCATGTGATGTTTGTCTTTCTGTGCCTGGATAATTTCACTTAACGTAATGACCTCCATTTCCATCCATGTTGTTGCAAATGACTGGATGTCATTCTTTTTTATGGCTCAATAGTACTCCGTTGTGTATATGTACCATGTTTTCTTCATCCATTAATCTGTTGATGGACACTCAGGTTGTTTCCAAGTCTTAGCTATTATAAACAGTGCTGCAACAAACATAGGAGTGCCGGTATCTCTTCCACATACTGATTTCCTTTATTTTGGGTATATACCCAGCAGTGGGATTGCTGGATCAAATGGTAGCTCAATTTTTAGATTTTTTGAGGAAACTCCAAACTGTTCTTCAAAGTGGTTGTACTAATTTACATTTCCACCAACAGTGTACAAGGGTTCCTTTTCTCTACATCCTCACCAGCATTTATTATTGCCTGTATTTTGGATATAAGATATTTTAACTGGGGTGAGACGATATCTCATTGTAGTTTTGATTTGCATTTCTCTGATGATCAGTGATGTTGAGCACCTTTTCATATGCCTGTTTTCCACTTGCATGTCTTCTTTTGAAAACTGTCTATTCAAATCTTTTGCCCATTTTATTTTTGGATTATTAGACTTTTTTCCTATAGGGTTGTTTGAGCTTCTTATATATTCCAGTTATTAATCCCTTATCACATAGGTAGTTTGCAAATATTTTCTCCCATTCTGTGCATTGTCTCTGCACTCTGGATTATATTTTATTCATTCATCCTTCTATTCATAAATTCATTCATTCACTCATTCATACAACACACATTCATTGAGTATGTGCACTATGCCAAGCACTGTGCAAAACATTGAGGCTATAAAACTGAATAAAACTCCACCTTCATGTTACAGTCTAGATAAAGAGACAGGAAGGCCAGGACAATGATAGAGATGTGCACAGGCTTTTATGAGAGTACATAGGAAGAGCTCTTAATCCAGCCTTGCAGGGTCAGAAAAAGCTTCTTAGGGAAGAAATAATTTAAGCTGAGATCTGAAGAATGAGTAGAAGGTAATCACATTTTAGAAAGAAGAGATAGCACTTATAAGGCTGAGAGCCTAAAATAGAGCATGGCATATGCTGGGAACTACATTACTTACCTGGCAAATCCCAGCAGATGGACAACACTCAGTATATAATAAGTACTCAGTACATGTTTATCTCCATGGTTGTATGGTTTCTCCGTTGATAAACAGAATAACCATCCATGACAAATTACTCTTTGATTTTCTCACCTTGATTTAAGACCACTATAATTTCTCTGTCCTCTTGCATTGATAGATGGCTGAAATAGCATTTATTCCTACACATATTGTATTTTTACTACATTAAAGGATATGTTTTCCATGCAGTCCCACCACTGCACAACACTTCATGTTTTAGTGGTGCAGCAACTTTCATTGTGGGAGGTAAAAGTACCAACCGTTTCCCCACCCTGTCCTCAACCACTCCATGTCTGAAAGGAAATCATCTTCTACTTCTGTCTTAGGAGAAAGAAACAGGTGCTCAGAATCTATCAAAAAGCTTTCACTGCTCCTTGGAGAAGACAATGAACTCCATTATTCTTTCAGTATTCTGTGTCTTCCAGTATATTCCATGCTAGTTAATACAAAATAACTTTGGAGGATTTCTTGGCAATTGTAATTCATGGCTGATTTCTCTCTGTTCTTTATGATTTCCAGCCAACTCCCATCTGTTCTGTAGTTTCAATATGAGCCTGTCATAAAAGAGATTCACTGCCCGTCTAAGGTTCAAAGTGATGGCACAAAAGCTGCAGAGATGTTTCACATCTCAATCTGTAAGACAAATGCAAGTGCTAGTACCCAGGGTATTCAGGAAGCCTGTGAGCGTCAGAAAGTAGGCCAGTTATTGAGAAAATGAAAAGACATCCAAAATAGATAGCTCATTAGTTAAATCACACTAAAACAAAAGTAAAAACCATCATGGAATATAATAGGGAGAGGGATTGCCAAGACAATGTCAGCAATAACCTGCATAACATTTGACATTGTACCTTGACACTCATCTCAGCCCCAAAGCCTTTCATCATTATACTCTATCCCTTTTCTCTCTTCTCTTTATAACTTCTCCCTTTCCCCACAATACATATGCACAATTAGGAAGGTTTAAAAACATGACTCTTTTACATATACATTGGGATTCTCAGTTTATCTTGTTAAAAAAAAAAAAAGAACCTAATTATTTCCTGGTGATAATTAGCCAGAGCTAACGTTGCACACTCCTTGGATTTCCTTGTTTGCCCCAAAACCTCACTAATTTTAAAAATTGCACACAGCCTCTTTTACTTGTTTATATCACCTGTCTAGTTTCTATAGGAATTTGAGTTTCATTCCTCCGATTTTATATTTATTTAGTTAGTTTTTGAGATGGAATCTCGCTCCATCACCCAGGCTGGAGTGCAGTGGCGTGCTCACCGAAATCTCAGTCTCCTGGGTTCAAGTGATTCTCCTGCCTCAGCCTCCCAAGTAGCTGGGACTACAGGCATGCGCCACCATGCTCTGCTAATTTTTGTATTTTTAGTAGAGATGGGGTTTCACCATGTTGGCCAGGCTAATCTCAAACTCCTGATCTCAGGTGATCCACCGACCACAGTCTCCCAAAGTGCTGGGATTACAGGTGTTAGCCACCATGTCTGGCCTGATTTTATTTGTTAATGCATGTATTACTTAATGTCTGTTCTTCTAATTATCTATACACAAGTCTTTCCCTTTATTCAAACTATTAGACCGATAAGAATTCACTGCTTTATTTTTGAATTTCCAAAGGGCCTGTAATGGATAGTCAATAAATATTTGATGAAAGGATAGTGCAATAGATGAGACAATATCACAGAGTGGAAAAGAATTGGTCCAGGAGTCAGGATATCTATGCTTTTTAATCTTCATCAAAGATTATAACTCAATTTCGGGGGTCTCAGTTTCTGTGTTTCTATAAATAGGGAAGTTAATATGGATGATCACATCTTCTTTTTACTCTAAAATTTTATTATTCCAGAGTTCTTTGAACTGGATTTTTCTCAATTTCTGTAATTTGTCAGCTGGGTCACAAAATCCTCTCTCTTCCCCATGGAATATGAGTGGGAAGTTATTCTAATTATGGTTTTGCAAAGGCAGACAACAAAGTATGTCAAAGAAAATAATACTTGGCACATCGAGAATGAGATTTTAAACCAAATATTTTTAGGCTGTGTTCTTTCTTTGATGTGTCGTTATCTAAACCCTCCCTGCAGAGCTCCTATTTCAGATGTGACTTAGAGTTAATAATATGGTAAGAGTCAAGCAACTCTGTCTTCCCTTGTTATGCTGCACAAAAGAGGAGAATACAGGCACCAGGCAACTTGTGATGAGGAATTTACAGAGTCATATGCTCCTTTATATTCTGCAAAGCAGTGAGAATTCTACTGTCTCTTGAAAAATAACAATAATTGTAAGAAATTCTTCTTTATTCTCAACAGGGCTGTCAGAATTTGAACAATACCTTTTCACAATATTGGCAACCAGGAGACACATGCTCCCTAATGTCTTTGAGACTCAGAATCATTTCTTGTGATACATTCTCTTTCCCTTGACTTGGGTGAAAGTCTCAAGTAAAGAAAGCAATTTACTTTTTAAATGTATCACTATAGAAATATTAATCCTTGTTAAAAAGTTAAAATATAAATACAAAAATATATATTAGAATCAAAATATCTAAAATGCTGCCATGTAAACAGTTACTCTTAACACTTCCAAGTACAGGCACAACACACATATACATATATTTTGAAGAGGACGTTGATCATTTTGTTTTCTAGCACCTTTCCCTTCCTGTTAGCACTCATATCCTTATGGAGTATCCTCTCTACCCTCTAGCATGTAGTTTTGGTGAGATGGTAAATCTAGCTGTTAGGGAGAAACGCTATTTCCCAACTCATACAGTATTTCAATATGGTGCCATGTTTCTCAGCCTTGCCACTACTGACATATTGGGTCTCATCATTCTTTGCTGCTATTGCTTTCCTGTGCATTGCAGGATGTTTAGCCGCGTTCCTGTCTCTTGCCCACTAGATCCAGTAACACCTCTCCAATTTTGACAACCAAAAATTACTCTAGACATTGCCAAATGTCTCCTGGAGAGTAAAATTGTCCCTGGTTGAGGACTAGTAGTATAGTGTGACTGTCCCAGACTAAAATTCCAGGCCTCTTATAAAGAAGGAGTGACTTACCTCCCCTTCCATAAGAAGGAGGCAAGAAATGAGCATGAGTGGCTTAGCACATACCAGCTTTACTTTGGGATTGGCTTGCCTTCAGAGAATACATTATGGTCTACTCTTAGGCTTCTGGCAACATATTAACTTGTAATATATTAACGTTTTGGTAGCAGCTCATTAATTAAGTGGGTTTTTTTTTCAGAGATGGGGTCCCACTCCATTGCCCAGGCTGAACGATCATGGCTCATGGTAGCCTCAGTTGCCTAGGCTCAAGCAATTCTCCCACTGCAGCCTCCAAAGTAGCTGGGACTACAGGCACATGCCACCACTCCTGGCTAACTTATTATTATTATTATTATTACTATATTATTTTGGTAGAGATGGGATCTTCCTATGTTGTCCAGGCTAGTCTTGAACTCGAGCTCAAGCAATTGTCCTGCTTGGCCTCCCAAAGTTCTGGGATTACATGGGCCACCACACCTGGCCCCAAGTGCTCAGTTTTTAAACCTAGGTGATAGTCAAAATTGTACTCCATAGCATGCTTTTAAGGTTGTGTAGTTGACATTAAACTGGCATGATTTAAGAGAGTAGCTTTAGGATTTGGAGTTTCGTTGAGTGCAAAGCTATGAGGGATTTTGACACTGGCATGTCACCACAGCTTAGGGTAGCTTTATGTTCAGGCAATTGATTCTATCTCAGCAAAAATGGCCCATAATGCCATAATGGCCTTGGCAGATGTCGGCTGCTTGGGTTCTGCAATGCAAGCTGCTGTAGCTTGACTGTCAGCTGCATTCTGCCTTGGCATTGCAAGTGAGACAGAAAAATTGATTCGTTCTTTCTGAACATGGGTAGGGAGAAAAATATTTGCTGCTTACACTGTGTTTTTCAGCCAGGCTTTCAGATTGGGAATTTGAACTACACAGACTGTTGTGTTTCCAAATGGACTTCACTAGTGTATTTCAAACTTTAAGTTATTAGTGCCAGGAACTGTTTACAGAAGGTGCCAGATCAGCTGCCTGAAATTCCATGCTTCTTTTTGTAGTATTGAGCTGCATTCTTGATAAAGGAATAGCTAACATCTTTGACTCACGTGCTTTGTCCGTATGTTCTTACATGTACCCGTTGCCTCCAGCCTACTACCATTGCCACATGGTCTCAAAATGGCTATGATTTTGTTTACTACACAAGTTTTGACTTAAATTTTAGAAGCCTAAACTATGACTTTACTCATGTTAGAATGGTCAATTTTGGTAATTATGAAAAAATATTTTATGGTCCCTTGCTAAATAAAGTGTGTATCTTCTTATTGGTTGGAGGTAGAGAAACAACTCAATAAGACTTTTACAAAATGAAAGGTCACGGAAGTAATTAAAGACATCTGTCCTGACCTCTTTATGTTTCTTGGAATCACAGTTAACAAGAAACCAAGGAATGGTTTGAAAAAATAGGTTTCAGTTATACATTTAGAAAGGAGCAAGGAAAGAATAAAAATAAATAAAGGAAGGCAATTAATTAAACTTGAAGAAGAGAAAAATCCATAATTTAAAAATCATAGAAGACATTCTAGACAGATATATAAGGGACAACGATATTAGATCTTCAAAGTCATGATAAGTGGATATTTTTTAAAAAGCAAAAGAAGTGCTTCCAGGTCTCCTTTCTTTTAAAGAGATTATATGAAACAGAAGAATTATTTGGGTTTTCACAAAGGGTATTTAGGGTCCAATAACTTCTAATAGAGGAAGAGAAGCAAGATCTTAAAGAGCAGGTCAAAATTACTGCTTCACAAAGAGCAGGATTCAGGAAATTACTGGCTTTGAACCATGCAGTTGGTGGTTCAAGGAAAGGTGCAGTCAAAGTGAGCACACAGGAAAAACCTTTGAGGAATAGGACAGCTATATCAATCTGTTTTAATATAGAAAATTTGGACCTATTTGAGAAAGAAAAGCCAGGAAGATAAATGCAGAAACTCAAAAATTACTTGGTGAACTTTCAAGGTGAAAGTTACCATTGACAGGCTTGTGCAGATTGCCTATGCCTTGAAAAAACATGTTCCAGGAAGTTTTGATATTATGAATGCATGGAAAGGCATGGACAAGATATGACATACTAAGGGAAGCTGGGCAGAGCAATAATAGAGCCCTGCCTGATCTGAATGTTTGTCTGATGGAAGATTATCCAACTTGGGGAAATAAAGGTGAAGACTTTTATTTGAATAGTGGAATCTTTAAGCAGTTCCATAAAACTGATGTTTCTGTCTATGATGGATGCAGACAAGATAAACTCTAAAAGAATATGCAATAAATATAAAGTCTGAGCCAGAAAGGAAAAGAAAAAACAAGACACTCAAATCCAGCAAATACTGTTAGCTCTATCTGTACAAAGTAGGAAAGGGGGCAACTTAAGAATCAGGTAAAATGTTCAAGTTGGACTGAAGTTTTCTCAAAGGAGTAGGAGCATATCAAAGGTAAATAAACAAAGAATATAACAAATATGTAGCAAGAAAGATCTGGAACATTTAAGTCCTTCAGGAAGACAAAGTCTTTGGGACATGGGACATGGGACATGGCAGAGGGATTGTCTTCACTGGGTCCTGGAGTTCTAGCTTCAATTTAACAGTAGTGTCAATTCATGAATTTGCCGAAGGTGATTCTGCAGCTGAACAAATGTGAAGAACATTTGAAATCGTTCATTAGCATGCTGGTTTCACAAGCCTGAAAGTAATACACAAAAAGCAGGAAGAGCAGCCATTATGCTTGTGCCCAGGAGAAAATGGAGGCTTTGTCAGTTAGTGCAGAACCAGAGCATCAAGCAGATTCTAGAGGGAGATGAAAATAAAGGAGTTTTGAATGTGCTGAATAAGAAATAATCAAACCTCATGACTGGGATCCCACATTGCAAATTTTAAACTTTGTAAGGAATAGCAAAATTGCAATGTGTCTAGGTAAGCAGTTGTCAGGCAGTTAAGGAAGGAATATTGTTCCAGAGAGATAATAGTGTCTTCAAGACAAGGAGGAGTGAGACTAATGTTACAATTGGAGGATTGCAATTAGGGATGGAATGTGGTAATGCTAAGAAGTGAAGCCAGAGACCAAGATCTTATGTATAAAGAGCTTGACCCATAATAGGCAATAAATATTTGTTACAAAGGTGTATGAAACCAAACCAAAAGAAAAAAACCCAGATCTACTGATGGAAATACGTAAAACATCTTCAGAAAAGGAGCAGCTAGTAATATTAGTGACTATTGATAAAATTGGGCTGGGGAGAGAAGGAATGCTACTGAGAGAGATAAATAAATAACTATATACGGTATCAATCATCTTTTGCTGCATAGTATTGTGCCCCCAAATGTAGTAGCTCAACACACCAAATTTTGGTAGCTTATAACAGTTTTATTGTTTTTCACAATTCTGTAGGTTGGTGGGCAGCTCTTCTGCTGGTTTCACTTGAATTTCTTTCTGTGGCTGTTTTGTACTGGTTGCCAGCTGGAGCTTGTGCCCAGCTGGAGCAGCAGCGATGGCTGGGCCCTTCTGACTACATAGTCTTTTATCCTCAAGAAAACTTGGTTGAGCTTCTTTATAGCATGATAGTCTCAGGGGTACAAGGAGGAAAGATGACAGCTGCAAGGTTTCTTGAGTACTAGGTTCAGGAACACGTACAATATCACTTATACCACATTTTATTTGTCAAAGCAAGTCATAACTCCTAATCCAGTGCTCTTTCCAATATATCAGAGAGAAGAAGAACTAATCTCAAACACCTGAATTAAAATTCAAAGACAAAATCTTTGGGTAGAGTCACATGTTCTCACTTATAAGTAGGAGCTAAACAATGAGGACACATGAACATAAAGTTGGAAATAATAGACACTGGGGACTCCAAAAGGTGGGGAGGCATGGCAAGGGATGAAAAATTACCTATGGGTGCAATGCTTACTATTTGGGTAATGCGTACATTAGAAGCCCAACTCCCAGCAGTACAAAATATAGTCACATAACAAACATACACATGTACCCCCTTAATCTAAAACAAAGTCAAATGTTAAAAAAGAAAAGCAAATAAAATCTAGCAACTAGCCTATAATGTCAGCCCCGTCCCCAGATTGCTCCCAGTTTTTCAGTTCTGTAAGTCCTACTCAGAATGATGATGTAGAGTGTGAATTATTCCTCCTTTCCTGCACTTTTTATTTTCCATAGAATTAATTTTTGTTTTGTTTGTTGTGTGGATGTTGTGTTTGTTCATCATTCATTTTTCCCCAACTCTCCCACATTTAGTTAATGTCTTCTCAATATATCTAAAAGCAGAAGGTATTCTTTAGTTTTATCTTCCTGAAGATGTTCTTTGTGCAGAATTTTTTTTGCTCTAGTCAGATTATCCAGCTGAGTAGCCATCCCCTTGAAGTCTCCCTTTCCTGTGTTTGATTTAGAAAGGCTTTCCCTGTGTTTGATTTCCTGTTTCATGGATCTTACAACTTGTTCTTTGTAAACCCTTCCTACTAACAAAGCACATCCTCCAGTAACTTTCTAAAAGACAGATTGCCCAGATATAATTTTTTGAAATTGTACATATCTATCTAAAATGTCCTTATTCCACCTTCACAGTTAATAGAAAGAAAGTCTAGATGGGAAATATAATTTTCACTCAGAATCTGAGAGTGTTACTTTGCTGTCTTCTGCCTTTTTGCGTTATTCTTGAGATGTCTGTTGTCTTTCTGATGTTGATTAGGTATATAAAATCTATGTTCTCTCTGGGACATTTTAGAATCTTCTCTTTGTTTTTAATTTTCTGAAATTGCATATTGATGTTATCTGGTTTGAGTCAATATTCACGGGCATTCAATAGATTGATTTGATCTGAAAAATTCTGTATTTTTATTACTGGGGAATTTTTAAGAATTATTTGGAACTTTTTGAATTATTCCTTCCCTCTGTTTTTGTTTGTTTTTCTTTTTTAGAACTACTATTATGTTTATGTTAAACTGCCTGACCCAGTCCAATAAAATGTCTGATCTTTTCTCTGCTATTTTCTCTCTTCTATTTTCTTTAAACTTTATTGTTCTATCCTTCTTTTGATTATTTCATTGTTATCATATTTTTAATTTCCATGAGCTCCTTTTTGCTTTCCAAATATCTCTTTATTCACAGGATTTTTTTCTTCTTTTATGATACAATAATTTCTAAGCATCATGAGGGCTGAACTTTTTTCTCTTCTACTTAATGGTGAATCCCTAGTGCCTAACACATAGGGGGTTGTCAAATATTTGTTGATTGAATCTGAGAATATTTTTGTACATGTTTGAAGTTTTTTCTCTCTGCATAGTTGCTATGTCCTCCAAAATTTTATTTTCTGTTTATTTTGGCTTTTTCATGGTGCATCTGCTGATTCTTGCTTGTCTGCTCATATTTAGGAGCTTAGCTCTAAAAAACTAATGGAAAGCACTGTATACACATGCAGAACTGGTTGACAGTGAATTTCTGCCCGTGCATTTAAATTTAATTTTAAATATTTAAATTAAAAGTATTCAATCCCAGTTTTTAACACACATTTAGTTAAATTTAACTACGGAGTGTTCTAAATCATGTGGGATATATTTAAATGTCTAATTTTAACACTTTCCTCCATTTTTTTCATCTTCCTGAATCTCTTAATCTTTACTGTTGTGGTCTACATAGAGTACGGCCACGTCAAATGCTTTCTCTCTTAATTTTACCTTCTAAATATTTTCATATAAATATCCAAAGATCCACATACAAGAATATTCATTGCAGTGTTGGTTGTAAATAAACTATATGTTTGTCACTGTGGGACAAGCAAAATAAATGATGGTATAGTCATATGATGAAATGCTACACTATTTTTTAAAAGTCTTAGAGGCTTATATATGCTTATGTGGAAAGATGTCTACATTTTGTTTTAAACAAGGTGCAGAACATAAAGAAATGTGTAGTGTCCCAATTCTATAAATGAATAAGCACAGAATTAATTTCTCACTCTCCTACACATAAATCCTGGGTTGTTTGGGAGAGAAACAGATTCTGCCTTCTTTGGCAACTATTTCTAGAGATTAACAGAAATTCAGGACAGTAAAATTATTTTTATGTCATTCTTAACTAAAACAAATTTTAAGTTATTTACTTATATATTACCACAATGCAGGCACTCTTTTACATACATGCACATTTCAGATACATTACATGTAGTAATTGTAATTCTCACAAGTAAATATAAAGTAGATACTATTATGATCTCCATTTTTGTTAGATTAGAATATTTAAAAAGAAAAAATCAGTAATTTGCTCAAGTTTGCTAGCTAAGATCTGAATCTACAAAATCTATGCTTAACCACTATGTCATATTTATTTAACCATTATAGGTTGAGTTTTGTTACTTTCAACTGAAAGCATTTCTAGCTGATACACGATAGGAAAGACCAACTTTTATCATTAAACTTATAGTTGCTGATTCCAAAGAAAATGAGTTTAAGACTTTTTAATCAAAGTATTATTTAATTTAATATACATTATTACTTTTATCCTCCTCTTTATTGCATTTATTTATTTCATTTTTATAACTAATTTTTTTTAACTTTTAAGCTCAGGAGTACAAGTGCAGGTTTGTTATGTAGGTAAACTTGTGTCATGGGGGTTTGTTGTACAGATTATTCCTCACCCAGGTATTAAATCTAGTACCCTTTAGTTATTTTTCCTGATCCTCTCTCTCCTCCCACCCTCCAAAATGCCCCGGTGTGTGTTGTTTCCCTCTATGTGCCAATGTGTTCTATTATTAAGACTTCTCCTGGATGTCTTCCTCTTCCGTAGCTAGAGATAGAGTCAGAACACTGGCAGAATCATCATGGCATGGGCTCAGTCTTGATTCAAGAAATATATCCTTCCCTCTGAATTATGCCAAACAGTACCTAATAGCTAATAAAGTACAATTTAATTAAATTATACTTATGTAATATCACTGGCATGCCAAAGTTATTCTATTCCTATACTGGGTAAGAAAATGAAGCAAACTAGAATAATAAAACCCTAAGTACTTCAGCTCCAGTTCTAGCTCTATATTTTTTAAAAAAGTAATTTTATTGAGTGAAAGGGACTGATTTTATTTTTTAAATGTCCTAGGAGCCCCTGGAAATTTTCCTATCAAGCTCACTTTACCCTAACTGGCTTTTTCTATTGCAAAAACATCCTCTTGAGAGAAAACTATTTTAAAGGATAGTGGATGCTGTTGTGTTCTCTGCAGGTCCCCTCAGACCCCTTTGATCCTTTTTTTCCTGTGTGCCCATCCACAGGGTCTGTGTGCCTTGTTTCTACACAGAGAAAGCTGACCTTAGCTAGAGACACTTTGTCTACAAGTGCAGAGAGCAAGAAATTTCTGGGAGGTCACATCTCCCCAAGGGATCCTTTAGCCAATGACTTTGGCTTGATGCTCAAGCATGAAAACCCAGTTCCTTTGCCCTTAGTAAGAACACATTCTGAAATATACACCTGACCTTTGAGCAGCACGCGGATTTTTTTCAATAGAAGTCACACAGAGTGTGCCTGTCTGTCCTGCCTCCCCTTCCACCTCCTCTACCTTCTCCACCTTCTCCACCGTCTCCACCTCTGCCACCCCTGAGACAGCAGGACCAACCCCTCCCTTCTCCTCCCCTTCAGCCTACTTAATATGAAGATGATGAGAATGAAGACCTTTATGATGATCCCACTTCCACTTAATGAATAGTAAATATATTCTATCTTCTTTATAGTTTTCTTAAAAACATTCTCTTTTCTCTAGCTTACTTTATTGTAAGAATATAGTATACAATACATATAACATCCAAAATATGTGTTAATCGACTGTTTATGTTATCGATATGGCTTCCAGTCAACAGTAGGCTTTAGTAGTTATGTTCTGGAGGAGTCGAAAGCTATACAAATTTTCAGCTTCATGGGGTGGGAAGATTGGTACCCTATTCAGTACATTGTTTAAGAGTCAATTGTAATTTGCACTCCAGAGATCCCATGTGATCAGCTTGACACTGGAGCTTTGTCTGAAATTGCACCCTTGCTTGGCTTCTTCCCCTTCCCTGTTCTGATTTGCTCACCTCCGTATTAGATTTGTTTGGGAGCACTTTAATAAACCACTTGTATATGAATCCCCACTTTGGACTCTACCTCCAGGGGTGCCAAGTTCGTAATGTAAGACGTGAAGGGATAGATTTTTATCAGTTGTTTATAGCCTGAGTCTCCCCACTTTCAGCCCCAACCCTCCTGTCTCTGCTTTCGTACGGGCCAGATATATTTGCTTTAGCAGGTAGGCATTCTCTCCCCATCAAGCTAACGCATGCTACTGTGGAATTTGCATGTGTTTGTTTCTTTTCTTGGAGTTTATTTTAAAAGTTCAGTGTTCTTCTGGCTATTGAGTATGGTCTCTACCGCACAGCCTCCTAAAACTGTATACTTTGCTACTGATTCCTTCTCAGGCATTAAGGTCTGGATTCCCTATTATGTATTTCAAGTTCTTAAATAATTTTATACATATATACATATATAATTAATATACATTAAAATGTAGTTTTTGGAAGCCAAAGTCTTAGATATTTTCTCCTTCACCCTTACCACCCCCAGGTAATTGTTTCTCAAAATGTGGATTGCTGCATCAGAGTCACCTGGGTCAAGGCAATTTTTGCTGCTACTCGAATGAAAACATATTTTTACATTATGATTCAATATGCATACACAGACCCACCCATACTCACACACATAAACACACATGTATATAACTGAAATAACATTTTTAAGAAATAATACTCTTAGTACACATCATATGGCCTGATATTTATATTTTGATTCCACTCAAAATACATTAACTTTAGAACATAACCTTTATCTCTCAGACTGTATTTCCATTTGTTTTACCCACATCATCTTATGTGATCAATTTTTATGATTCAACTTCTTTTATTGATCTCACTCTGATAACTATCTACAACAAAAGTACATATAGGCTGGGCACAGTGGCTCAAGCCTATAATCCCAGCACTTTGGGAGACTGAGATGGAAGGATCACTTGAGCCCAGGAGTTTGAGACCAACCTGGACAACATAGGGAGGCATCATCTCTACAAACTAAAAATTTAAAAATCAGCCATTCATAGTTGTGCACACCTGTAGTCCTTTCTACTTGGAAGGCCGAGGCAAGAGGACGACTTGAGCCCAGAATGTCAAGGCTGCAGTGAGCCATGATCATACCACTGTACTCCAGCCTGGGCAGCAGGGCAAGATCCTGTCTCTTAAAAAAAGTACACATATAATTTAAATTTTAAAAAGAAAACTTCCTCTGACTATAAAATACTAAGTGTTAAAAATTTATTCAGAATTAAGTTATGGTTTTACAGTTAATAGTAATATATAATTGATCAAAACAACTAATGTATTGCACATTTTGATAATTCTTAAATTTAGAGAGTAAAATTTATATTGGAAATATCTCAATAAAATACACAGGGTTTTTCAGGGGGAAAAGGGGAGGCCTCCTTAGACAATTCATGTATCCAAGGATGACTATTACTTACAGCTAGAATAAGACAAGGTCTAGATCAATTCTACTTTTTTCCCATAAAAATAAGCACTAACAAATCTTATTCACATTCCTAAGTACATATGAATGGAAGAAGATTTTTGGATTAATATCATTCAATTCATTGAACTGTTTCTGAGTTAAATGTCAAAATCACTTAGTGATTTATGATAAAACATTTTAATGAACTATTAGCAAATACCTTGATTCAGTCCTCTGTTAAATTAAATAAAAGCAAATTATTAGAAACCTTCTGACATGACAAAGCTAGATAGAAGTTATTCACTTTCCTAATAAAAATACATATATATTAATAAAGTTATTCACTTTCCTTATGTATTTACCAGTATTTTAAGTTGTTTCATTATTCGGCACCCTAGAGATTTTTACACCTGGGGTTGATGTACTATATAGTAAATTTCAGGATGTGTGAGAAGACGCCTTTGACTTACAAAGTAAGAGAAAGATTATTGTGAGAGGGGAAATGGAAATGAACACATGAAAAGCTTCTCCAGGGATGTTCTTGTGCATACCAAATTTAGGAAAGCATCTATGTGGAAATTGGAGATCTAAAAATTTATTAATTTAAAACTGTCATTTCATACACTTGGAATGCTTTTGTGTACTTCGAGATATATAGGCAACTCAGTCTAAAGACCTCTGCCCAAGGGTTTGCATAATTAGAAATAAAACTGGTTTCTCATAGGCTATGTGCATCATCAAAATTACTAGTTAAGGCCAAATTATTCTCTCAAATGGTTGTGCCAATTCATACTCCCAATGGCGGTGTAGCAGAGTTTCCATTAGTCCACATCCTTACCAACATCTGAGGTTGTCAGTTGCTTTTTTGTATAAATTTATGGGATACAAATGCAATTTTGCTGCATGTATATGTTGCATAATAGTCACAGACTAATTTTTGCCAGTCTAGTATGCATAAAATAATAACCAATTGTAGTTTTGATTTGTAATTTCTTAATTTCAAATGGGGTTGAGAAACTTTCCTCTTTTTTTTTCTTTCATTATTATAAAATTTAGTAAATAGAGACAGGGTTTCACTATGTTACCCAGGCTGGTCTCAAACTCTTGGGGGCAAGCAATCTGCCCACTTCGGCCTCCCCAGCTGCTGGGATTACGGACTTGAGCCACCACACCTGGCTAAAATTGACTAACTTTCTACATGTTTATTGGCCATTCAAGTTTCTTCTTTTGTGATTTTCCATGTTATATATTTTACCTATTTTTTAATTTGTTTACTTTCTTATTTTTGATTTGAAAAGATTATATACATGTAATAAACATAGAAAATACAACCTTTTTTGGTTACATATTGTAAATATCTTCTTCTTGTTTCCTTCTTGTCACTTGTATTTTCACTTCTAAAAATTACATCTCTTGATGAACAAAACTTAAAATTTATAATGTGGAAGAATTTATCATTTTTTTCTACTTTATATTTTATGTAAGAATCTGCTACTACCTGAACATCACAAATATATTCTTCTATTTTTTCTTTTAAAAGTTTTGTTTCTCACATTTATATTCTACTTGGAGGTAGAACTTTTCTTGTGTTTTCCTTTCTTCCTCCCTTCCCTTCCTTTCCTTCCTTTCCATTCCTTTCCCTTCTCCTCCCTTCCCTTCTCCTCCAATAATAAAATATACAGGCGTAATTTATTGAAGACTAACAATTTTACTATTGAACTTCAAATGCCATCATTGTAATAAAGTGTCCACATAGAGGCGGGTCTATTTATTTTGAGGCGTTCTGTTGTTTTCTTTTGCCCTACTTGTCTATTTGTCACATAACCAATGTCAAACTGTCTAATTACTGTATCTCTTATAGTAACTCTTGTAGAACAAGGAACCCCATCTTTTGTCTCTGAATATGATGAACTAATTCTACTATTTCCTGTAAATGTTAGAGTTGGTTCATCATATTCACTAGTGAAGTTGTATTGAATGTATAGAGTAAATGTGATTAAAAAATGAAAAAAGAAAAAAACAGTAAGAACAGAGTCTTATTCTGTTGCTCAGGCTGGAGGGTAATGGCATGATCTTGGTTCACTGCAACCTCCACCTTCCGGATTCAAGTGATTCTCATGCCTCAGCCTCCCGAGTAGCTGAGATTACAGGTGCCTGCCACCATGTCCAGCTAATTTTTGTATTTTTATTGGAGACAAGGTTTTGCCATGTCGGTGAGGCTGGTCTCGAACTCCTGATCTCAAGTGATCCGCCAGCCTCAGCCTCCCAAAGTGCTGGGATTATAAGCATGAGCCACCGCGCCCAGCCTCACATTTTTCTATTTGCGGAGACAGTATAGCTTTATTTTTTTTTAGATATTCCTGAATTTCTTTTTATAATTTTCTCCAAAAATGTCAGGAATAATTTTATTAGCTTTATTCTTAGGTGTTTTTTTACTTTTTGTTCCTCTTGTAAATGGGAACATTACATTTTTATTGTATGCGTATAGAAATGCAATTAATTTTCAGATACAGATCTGACATTTAACAAGCTGTTTAAATTCTTATTAGCTCTAATAATTTGGTTAATATCTAAGTTTCCTACACAGCCAATTGTATTTCTGCAAATAAAGGCCATTTTGTTTCTTGCTTTCTAATTCTTATACCATTTCTTTTCCTTACATTGCTTCTATAGCTGCGCATCAAATACAGCTATGAATAAAACCAGTGCTGGTAGACAAGCTTCCTTTTGTAATATAAAAGAGAATGCTTCTGAAAATCTACTATTAAATATGATGTCTGTCTTGAGTTTTTTGTAGATACCTTTATCGGGATAAAGAAGATGTTTTTAATGCCTGCTTTGCTAATTTTCAAATCATTTCTATGCAAAATGCTCCTCTCCATCTATTGAAATGATCGTTTCATTTCTTCTACTTTAATCTCTATGTATTAAATTATATTAATAAATTATTGTAAATGTAAAAAATATTGCTTATTTGAGATAAATCCAACTTGAATTTAGTTTGCTAATATTTGTTTAGGATTTTGCCTCTATGTTCATAAATAATAATAGCTTGCTGTGATCTTTTTTTCCTCTCGTACTGCTATTATCTCACAACTGCATAAGACAAGTTAAGAATGCCCAACCTTTTGCTGTTAAATAACAGAATATATAAGCCGGGCGCGGTGGCTCACTTCTATAATCCCAGCACTTTGGGAGGCCGAGGCGGGTGGATCATCTGAGATCAGAAATTCAAGACCAGCCCGGCCAACATGGCGAAACCCTATCTCTACTTAAAAATACAAAAAGTAGCCGGGCAGGGTAGCAGGTGCCTGTAATCCCAGCTACTCAGGAGGCTGAGGTAGAAGAATCGCTTGAACCCGGGAGGCGGAGCTTGCAGTGAGCCGAGGTCGCGCCACTGCACTCCAGCCTTGGCGACTGAGCGAGACTCCGCCTCAAAGAAAAAAAAAAAAAAAAAAGAATATATAATACTGAAGGTTTAGTAGAATTTGTCCTTAAAACTATCTGGATGTGGTACTTTCTTTGTTAGGATATTTGTCACTATAGATTTAATTTTGTTAAAGATATAAGACTATTACAGTTTTCTAGTTCTTTTTTATCTGTTTTTAAAAGTTATATTGTTTTAGGAAATTACCTATATTGTATATAATTTTATGTTTCATGCGATTTTTTGCATATTAATCTCATTTTTAAAATCACAATAGCATTCAAAACTCTCAGCTTTCTCATTCCTAAAATGTTTGTGACCACTTCCATTTTATCTTGATTAATAAAGGCTTATCTATTCTACATTTTATATTTTATTATTTTTGTTCTATTGTAATTTTTAAATTTTTTGGTAATTTTTTGTTATTTTATTATTTTTATAATTTCTTAATTTGGTCAAATAGTTAACTAAATTTTAGTATTGATTTCTAATATGATATTTGGCAGTTTGTATCTTTTTTTTTTTTTTTTTTTGACAGAGTTTCACTCTTAGTTGCCCAATCTGGAGTGCAATGGCATGATTTCAGCTCACTGCAACCTCCGCCTTCCAGGTTCAAGTGATTCTCCTGCCTCAGCCTCCCGAGTAATCTCAGCTACTCAGCTGAGATTACAAGCATGCACCACCATGCCCGGCTAATTTTGTAATCTTAGTAGAGATGGGGTTTCTCCATGTTGGTCAGGCTGGTCTGGAACTCCCAACCTCAGTTGATCTGCCCACCTCAGCCTCCCAAAGTGTTAGGATTACAGGCATGAGCCACCTGACCTGGCTGGCAGTTTGTATCTTACAAATTTTGATATACTAAACATTCAGTTCTAAGGTTTTCCAATATCTATTTAAATCTTTGCCTTACCCCCTAAATTACTTATACAGGTAGTTTTAGTTTTAAAATTTAACATATGGATTTTTAAAGTTTTCATTTTTTATTTGAAATCAAAAATGATTTCAGCGTAGCCAAACGGCATGATCTGTTTGTTACTACTTATTTCAAATTTGTGGTGACTCCCTAATTTATCTGAGCCTTGGTTTCCATAACCTGTAAAATGATGCAGGTCCAGAGATAATCGCAGTGACTATCTCAAGGTAGATGCTCAGTAAATACTTGTTATCAACACAAGGTAGTGCACTTAATGTCCTTCTGGCTCTAGGAATATAAATACGTATCAGGAGTTGAGGGGCAACAGTTTTTCACCCCTGCCTTAAACTAACTGAGCACCAATTAGAATTATTTTATGAGACATCTGCTTCCAGTTGAATGGCTTTTCACATATCCCTACTGACTTTTTTAAGGAGCAGGACACTTGTTTCCAATTTTTCCTGACTACAAAATCAGAAGATGGGTTATAGAAACAACAGTTTTCTTTTGCTGAACCTAAAGTTTTTCACCAGATTGATGCATGCTGAGCTTTAGGGCTATCTCATGCATACTCTGCTAAATTAATCTGGGAAGTCTGAAAATAAGGGAACATCTAAAAACAGATGAACTACTTTAAAAATTCGTTTCTGTTACGCATAGAAATTGTGGAATCAACATTCCAATTTTGTACTCTTCAAGAAAATATATGTTCAGAATGTATATTTTCATGTTGTTCTGATTTCCTCAAGAACATTTGTTCCCCAGAAAGCACCAAACTGTGAATAAACTTACTGGAAACTTTAGTTAACATCTCCAAATGTGTGAGGAGTGCCCTAAGTAACTTATACCTGAAATAGGTTTCGCTTATTATTTCTTTCTTGATTCTTCAGGGTAAGATTGTTTCTCACCCTACAGAACCCTAAGTTCCTCAAGGGCAGTCCTGTTTTGTTGATTCTTATCCTTCACGTAATTCCTAGTATGTTCTCTACACACTGATGAGTCGTTGTATTTTAGGCCCATTGATTCTAAGCAGATGCAGAAGAAGTTGAATTCTGACTAAATTTAGAGTAGCCTTCTAAAGAAGGAACATTTGGGAAATATATTTGTTAAAAGGCACTCAAGAGTATCTCTTTCTGAAAGGGCACAGGAAAAACCCTGAAGCCAGTTGCATATCAGAAATGGCATCCATTAATCTCTCCGCCAAGCAGCATAAAGTAAAAAGGCATTTGAAAGGAGTTGCCCTTAAGAATGGAGTCATGGTTTAATGCGTTTTGTTTGGAGCACCTTCCTTTTAGAAGCCAACACCTGCAGCAAACTGACAGAGTCGCTGCTTCTGGGAGTGGACTAGGTAATGATACTGATGACATTTATGACCCAACATTTCAAGAATTAATTTACAATGGAAATGATTCTTAGTGCAGCGAATACATCATTGCAGTGAAAGATTGACTCCCAGTTTATCAGCTATAAACTATGCAGCCTAGGTTAAATCCTTTAGAAGGCAAGCATTACAGGCATTACTCACAGTTATTTGGGATTCAGAATTCTCTGGGAGGATATTTGAAATATGAAGGTATATGCCACTATAATAAAAACAAGAGCAAAAACCTAGAAAAGGATTTGGAGGGAGAGGGAAGGAATGGAGAAATGTATTCCAGGTAACCTCTCTGTCTCTTTTTCTCCTCTGGCCAGACTTACTATGGAAGCCACAAAATCTCATTCCCAACAATTTCCTATATTCTAATTTTCTAACTTAGCAGGGTCTCACCAAAACATTTTATTCATTGAGCTTCTTTTTTTGAGCCTCTTCCTCTTCCTCTTCTTCTTCTTCTTCTTTCTTAGACAGGGTCTTACTTTGTCACCCAGCAGGCTGGAGTGCAGAGGCATGACCTTGGCTCACTCCAGCCTCAACAGTCCAGGCTCAAGTGATCCTCAAGGCCTCCTGAGTAGCTGGGACTACAAGTATGTGCCACCATGCCTGGCTAATTTTTTGTATTTTTTAGCAGAGATGAGGTTTCACCATATTGCCCAGGCTGGTCTTGAACTTCTGGACTCAAGTGATCTGCCTGCTTTGGCCTCCCAAAGTGCTGGGATTACAGACATGAGTTTCCATGCCCAGCCTTACCATTTTCATTGGAAAGAATTTTTCTGTAAATCTATTAGAAAAATTTACATGAAGTGTATATCATTTTTTTTGTAGGTATTATGAAACTTTCCAAGTGATTCATTGCTAGCCTTCAGAAAAGACTAGTCTTTTCCTAGAACTTCTGACATGTTCTCCAAATTTCTTTAAGTATCTGTTAATTTTTTCAGGAGGAGATGTCTCTGTTCACTGGAAAAAAAAAGACTAGATAATAAACCCACATTTGAATTTTGACTAGATTTTTGAATATATAAGTGAGACATTGTATAATTGCAAAAATTAATACAAATTCTGGAAAGGGGTTTAAAATAAGCTACTATACTGCAGTAAACTAAAACTAATAGTTCCATTGCAAGGCTAGTGAAAAGCAGAGTTATTGTCACAATTATCAGTATCTATTCTTGACCTTAAAATAGACTTGGAATAAATTCTGTGATTGAAATTAATACTTTTCTATCTTTAAATTAGCATGGTCTTTGTCAGAGATTGCCTGAGTATAAATAGTACCTTTGGGGAAGAGCAAATCTGTAGGGAGTGGTCTGAGTGATCACTGGGGAATTGGGTAAAGAGATACACTCCAATTATCTATCACAAAGCTTTTTGCCAGGGTTCTGTATGATCTCAGTGGGGTTTTAGTAAGACTGGTAAGCATCCCAATGTCCACCCTCTAGATATCTCTCTTCTACCCCAACTTATCCTTCTGTCTTTCAGTCAAATCTAATGAGATTCAACGTACCCATGCGCAAACAGCACATGAAACATTAGGGCTGCTTTCAAAAGTTGACTAACTGAAAAGGAAATTACAGATTGGAAAATGTCCATAGAAGGAGAGTTTATATACTTTTCTGTGAAACTGTTTTGTTTCCATTATTAAAATATCCGTTTAGAAGACTTGGAAAAAAATTAAAAACAGTGGGGCAATTATTAATATATCTATAATTCCCTCATCCAAATGTATACTGTCTTTCTTTGTATGTTGATAACTGGAAATAAATAGTACAAGTGGTACATTATAGTATTTGTAGAATCCTATAGAATGTCATTACTTTTCGCTGAACATTTACTGGAAGCAAATACGTAAAGTAGTAAAGAAAACCCCATAAAAATAGAAGTCTTTCATATAACTTATCAGCAAGTGATGTGGCTCATTAAGCAAAGCTAGAATGGACATACCAGAGATGCTCAACCCTTTGTCAATGTTTTCAAATTCCACAGTAAATATAACACATGAAACTTAATAGCTGCAATTTTAAGAATTAACCTCCGGAGAGGACTAGACTAACAGAATCCTACGTATTATAACTTCAGTGAGTGAGAAGTCTTGACACAGCACTCTGTTTTGTTACACGTTGGTTTTAAAAAGTATGGCTTTGCCTACTACACTCTAGCAAGAATTAAAACTGATCTTATCACTTATGCAGGAGTAGGCATTTGAACCTAGATGGATTGAGGAATACTATGATTGTAGAACACTTATACCAGTCACTAGTACATGATTTCAGAATATAACTTGCATATTTTTCTCTAAGAATCACTAGAAAATAGTTTTAGTCATACTTAGGTGTTATATGCTCCCATATTTACTGATATTCCAGAGTTAAGTTTTTATTGTGAAAACATTTTAAAATTACAGAATCTTCAGTTAATAATTCAAAAAATAAAGACAAAATTTCAGAAGGTAGATGGGGTAAAGAAGATATAATCTCTGCTGTTAAAATAAGATTTTATTAAAACTTTAAATTAGCCAAAAATAAAATGAATAATTATTTTAGGTAATTTATTTAAGTAACTTTTATAATAGAGCAATCTATAAATTTCCATACGAACATTAGTATCTGCTTGGAAATCCTAGCATTTGCTAAACAGTTCGAAACTTCATTTTTGAATTTTGATTAAGTATTTATTGCTTAGGCAGGAATAAAAAAAGGGAAAATTAGTATGTTTATGTTTTCTCTAGTTCTGCCTGAACAACTTCTGGCTATGGTAGTTAGTCTATCACTATTGCTCAAGCATCTTAAATTAAACCAGACTATCAGTTGAGCCAACAATTTTTTAGATCCCTAGGTTAAGAAAAATTTAGTATATGGGAAAATATTTCTCACAACTCCTTCCCTCAGCGTTTTATATGAATTCTGCTGATCATTAATAGATTAAAGACAATCAGATCCAAGTATGGTGTGCATTCTCTGTACTAGGAACTGATTTCAGAGCATGGTACATATTATATATAACTCATCCTAAAACTATCTTGAGAAGGTGGGTATTGAGGACTGTACGTGCAGGAGGGAAAGTAGATTGGTTAATTTATAAAACAAGAACTTGTGACTTGACCAGGGTCACTCTTCAAAGCTTATTCTCTTAGCTATCATAAGTATTGCTTTCTAGATTCTTCATGTTGGATCAAAAGACCATAAAAAGTCCCCAGTGTGATATTAAAAAACTCTTAAGTTGTCAAATCACATCTTGAATTTGATTGGCAATACTGACATGAATCCTGCAGTCATCAAGGATCGTAAGGACTTTATACCAGTACAGAACAGTTAACCTTTCTGTCCTGGCCAGAAATCTAATTTGAGCAGTTTTACTTTGATGCTCTATTTTTGATTAGTTAAGCCCATTCATCCTGTTTGACAATGTTGTGTAGTGTTGCTATGCTTACTTTAAGCAGCTGTCACATTCCAGCCCAGAGGTGGGTGAAATGATTTTTGTTTATATGTAATTTAAAAAGGGCTTTTAGATGCCCTGAGTTGGCAATATGTCAATGTTAAAGACTATTTATCCCTCCAACTTAGCAAGCCTGAAAGACTTTCAAAATTCCTCATGTAACTTTATTTAAAAAAATACTTCTGCCATTCAATTGTTCACAAACTTTTTAATGCAACTATTTCTAACTCTATTATTAAATCTGTGATTGTAATGATGCTGTCCTTGCAGAAGATATTCATTTTTTAATATTGAATTCATTCTAAATTTGTATGGGACTACTCATATCATATATCCTGTCTTTCTGAAAGAGATTATAACATTTAAAACAGGATGGCTTTTCTGATCTACATGTATAGATGGAAAGAAATTTAAATTCCTCCTACAGAGATCTTACTCATGTGTATAAATTTGTATGACAATACAAAAATTTATTCAATTAACATTTATTTTATACCGTTTTTGTGTCTGAATCAAGACAAAGTACTAGGGATTGAGGGACCAGTTCTGCATTCAGGGAATGCATAAACTAATAGAAAAAAAAGCAAACATATAAAACCATACTCTTAATATTCTTTAGCCACAAACTAATTCTGCCTCCAAAATGTGTTACTAACTAAAGTTAATGGAGTTTTGGGTTTAGTGACCCAAGAAATCATCTCAATTCTCCTTGTCACTTCCCTGTGTAGATAGCTCATCTTCCCAGCTCTGATTATCCCTATTCAGATAATAAAAAAACAAACAAATGATTACAAAGAGTAACTTTAAAATCAGTAATTTCTTCAAGAAAAGAATATCCAACCCCAAACAGTCAATCTCTTTATCATAGTGCATACAAAACAACCAGTTAGTTGTTTTACTTGAACTGTCACTTAACAAGTCAGTTTAGTATCTGGACATAGAATTGGTTTGAATAAAAAGCATTATCTTCAATGATAAATTAATGATCTTATTTTCAAATTATATATACTTTAATTTGGGGATTCATTTTTCAAAAACAAAGATATTAGCTGGGCATGGTGACATGGACCTGTGGTCTCAGCTACGCAGGAGGCTGAGGTGGGAAGATCGCTTGAGTGCAGGAGGTGGAGGCTGCAATGAGCCATGATCATGCCACTGCACTCCAGCCTGGGCAACAGGGTGAGACCTCATCTCAATTAAAAAAAAAAGATGTATTTATTTTACATTATCACCATTACTTGATTATAACACTATGGTTTTATCAAAATTGGGATTCTTAAAACACATCATTCATACAATATAGTTCTTTAGTAGAATAATATTTACTTTTAGTGACCTGAATATGCGATTACAGTTCTTCACTTTTTATATCACATTTTAACTGAGCACACAAAGTGTTAACAGAAGGAAAGTGTTAACATTTAATTGCCTGTGAAATATTTTCAGAGTTAGCTTTGATGTGAAAACACAATAGTTACATAGAGAAGTATAATGCTGTAATGTTGAAACACTCAACCCGATGAAAATTTTTTATCTGTAAAGAAGAGAAGCCACAATAAAGAGTCTTTAAAATGCATCTCTGATAAGAAGAAGCTTTCACTTTCTTCATTATTTACTTGTTCTTGCTTATTTTCATATTTACCTGTTTGTTATGCCACCATTCCTTTTTTAGTGACTCATCAGTATTGCCAACCTGATTAACCATTCCCTAGTTAAAAGAAAAAAAAAGAATAGTAATTGGTACATGCTCAGATGAGTTAATTCAATGCTGTTTATCTGGATGAAAAGTAAAAAAGGCAGTCAATCAGTTAAAAGTTTCTAAATGTTTGATGGTGACATATCATGTAACCTTAACATCTGGATGACTGGATTTTAATCTTTATATCCAGATGTCTGGCATCAGGCAGACAGAACCTCAGTGGTTCAATCAGTCATCAACTTTCATTGAGCACCCCCCTTGTGTTGTACAACTCAGCGAGGGATGTAGAACATCACCTTATGTATGCGCTACTACAAAATCCTCTTAATTAGTCCTTCTGACTCTATTCTCTCCTCATTCCAAAATACCAGAATACTAAAATACCCTTTTCAAAATCTTAGTTATTTGCTCAAAATACTTGCCTTGCCTCAGGTTTCCACTGAACTTTCGTGGCTGCATAGAGCTGTAATAGGAGTGTTATAAGAACCCCACTTGTATTTGATCATGTTACACACACTCTCTATGTGTAACCCCTTACCCTGCAGTAGCCTGGAGTCAGTAATACCCAATTACCTGAGCTGTTTTTATGCTTGTTTATATATAATGCATATCAGACCCAAAAACACTTCCAGGTCATAGTAGTCACTCTATGAATGGAGGTAGTTTTCTAATCAACCAGTGATCAACATTAGTAATACATGTCAAACCCAGTTTCTAGTAAAAAAAGAAATGTTTAATAACTGTCCTTGATAAATTTCTTTTCTTAATCTTAATACCACATTTCCTTGACTCTAAAATCCCATTGATCATAAGAGGTTCAACTTGAAACAACTTTTTGCCTAAAAAAGAAGTCCTATTTCATTAAATGTAGGCAAAAACCATAAAACCCAGGCTGATTTTACAAATGTTACAGTGTGAAAAATCATGCTTCCTGAAGAAATACAGTTTTGTTTCTATTGCTACTACTACTATTACCTTTACAATTCCCTTTTGCCTTACGTTCCCAGCAAACTAAACTAATTGCTTTGAGGAAAGGGAGGAATCTAAAATAATTCCAAAACTTTCATCAAATGATGCCACGCAATGAAATAAAATGTGTAGAATAAGAAGAAGAATTCAGTTCTGTCCATATTGAGATTGACACCAAGGGGGAAATGTTTAGTTGGCCATTTAAAAATATGAATGGCCCTCTGTAGAGAAACCTGCAGATGAGCATTTGGAAGATGTTTTAATGTGATTCTTTTAGTTGCAGATCCACTCAAGCTATTTCATATATAGGAGACATGAGGAGTAATAAAAGGAACCACTTGAGCCCATAGCTACTAAAGCTGGAAGATATTTTGAGAATCAAGATAGTTCCAAAGAGTCCCACATAAGGAGTTTGTGAGTCTTTATTCTAAGCCTCAACCCATTATACTTTCCTTTTTGAATTACTATTTGATAAATATTTGTTATGTATTAGTCCCTAGGCTAAGCATTTTATATGTTTTATCTCATGCAATATTCACAATTCCTGTGATTTATATTCTATTATGTTCTATTATCCACATTTATAAATGAGAAACAGCTTTTGAGAATTTAAGCAACTTACCTAAGTTCCCTCAGCTAATTAGTGGTAAAGCTGGGATTTAACCTCAGCTTTTACCCAAGTCCTCAGTAGGACAATAGTAGGCACTTAGTGGGTACTATGCCCTATTCTGTCTCTGAATGTACCTTACACTACTTTCCACTGGCCTCTTCTATTCCCCTGTAATTTCAGCCTGTGTATGACCCATCCTAATCTCTCTAGGCCCATCCATATCATGACTTCAATTTAATTCTCATTGTTAACCGATGATTTATTTCTCTGTGAAACAGTCTGTTTATCTCAAAGCACATATTTGAATTAAACTATGCAGTTCATAAATATTGCTTAGTCTATATATTGGTTGCCCTCAGGTCAGGTGCCTATTGTTCACTGATTAACTATTATTTAAAAGACCAGTCAGGCCAAACAGAAGCTGCATGTGGGGTAGCTTCCTTAAGAAGAGAGTATTAATGAGGCAACAGTAGAAACATCTCTGCAATAAAAGACAGATAGGAGGTGAAGCTATGGGAATTGAAAGGACTACAGCAGACCAAAAAGAGAGGTGTCCACATAACAGAAACCTAAGAAACAAACATATAACAATTAATCAGAGTAAGAGAAGTCAGTGCAAGAAATTAACATAAAACAGAAAACTAAGAGAACCAGTAGAAAAATAGAAAATGATGTTAAGGAATCCTATGAAGATTTTTGAAAAAAGAAAGTACATTCCACAACAAAAAATGCTTCAGAAATGTCAGTTCATTTATTTTATATATATACATACATACACATATACACACACACACAATCTATCCTACTATAGTAGGATAACATATACATATATATTATATGTATGTATGCATAACTGTAAATATTTCCTACTATAATCCAGGGGACAACAGAGTTGGAAAAGAACAGGTCTTCTTGCTTTCATAAAGGAGGAAACAAATGTTAATCATCACAAAAATTAATACATAATTTTAATGATGAGACATAACACAGAGAAAAGATACATGGTACTTTGAGAGCATAGACTAAGAGTACCTGATACTGTATGAGAGTTCAGGGAAAACTTGCCTTAGATTGACGCCTGAGCTGCAGTTTAAAAGATGGGTGGGTATTGACCAGGTGAAGTAGAGGGGAGAAGAGGTTTCAGACAGAGATAATGGAATATATAAAACCTCTTTGGCAAAAGGAATATGATGACTGATAAAAGTCACTTCTGTGGCTGGAGTGGAGAGAGTAGAGACTTGACAAGAAAGAGATAATGCTAGAGAGGTGGATAGGAGACTGACACACAAAACTTTGAGGGTCATGTTAATGAGTCTGCTGTTTTGTTACCCTGCATGCAATAAGCTGGGAGGGAAAACAGAATGGTTGACATAATCAGATGAATATTCTGAGACAATTGCTGTAGCTGTAATAGGCAGAAGAGATCAAAGAGTGGTATTATACAAGATTATTTCTGTTTCAGTTAACAAAATTCCCACTCATACTGGTTTACGAAAAAAGACCATGTGTCGGCTCCTAAATTGTAAAGTGTAGCCAAGAGCAGATATTCAAGCATTTGGGGATCTGGATGCTCAATGATGTTTTCAGGAATATCTGCATCACAGTTCTGCTTTCTACTGTATTGCTTTATTTTTAGGCAGGATCTACTTTTTTGGGGGTGAGATGACAGCTGGCAGCCTGATACATAAGATAAAAAAATCTCATATATTATCACCCCAGCAGAAAGAGAACCTCCTTTTCTCTGTAGTTCCAACAAATATCCCAGGATGGACACTTACTAAACAACTTGGGTCACATGTGAATCTATGAAACAATAATTATGGTCAAGGAAGAGGATATACTCATGGTAAGAGAAGAATGACTTGCTCACTCTTCTAGAGCCAGGTGGTACTGTGAACAACATGAACTGAAAAGAGGAAAGGAACAGTCTCCACAGAAAAATATGGATGCCATCACCAGAAGTGGAAGATTTAAAGTAATTATGGAGGGACAGGTTAACAGGATCTTATGATATCCCTGAAATGAGATAGCCATAGTTTGAATTAAGGGTAAAGAGTAAACTCATAGGATTTTGTAATGAATTAGACAAGAGAGTAAGAGAGATTGAGATACCAAGAATATGTCCTAAATTTCTTGTTTAAATAACTGGTAAGTTCATTCACAGAGAGTGTCAACACTGTAAGTGAGCCAGGTTTAGAAGTAGGGAGAGAAGGGAAAGATGATGAGTTTAATTTGGAATACATTGAGTTGGAAGTGCCATTGAGACTTATGAGAGACTTTAAGAAGACAGTTGGATATATAGGACTGAAGATCAGGAAAGACATCACGCCTATAGGGATAAGCTTCACCCAGGACTGGAACAGTCCACTGGTTTGAAGGTTACCAGTGATCATGGACAGTCATAAAGGCAGAAGCCTGATTACAGTCAGTGGAATGGATAAAAGGTGAGGAAATAAAGACAGCAAGTATATAGTAGTCATTGTGGTAGTATTAACTATGTATGCAAATTTACTGCTATTTCCTTCCCTGATAAATAGAGTTTAATTTGCTTCTTTTGGATTCTGGGCTGGCCTTAGTAACTTGCTTGACCAGAAGAATGTAGTAGGAATAATGTTCTGGCACTTCCAATGCTACATCATAAGAAGACTTCTAACTTCTGCCTGAGCCTCCTGGAACACATGTAAAGAAGCCCAAATAGCCAGCTATGTCTTGGGCAAATTATTAAACCCCTTAAACCTCAGTTTTCTTATTTGCATAATGATAAGCACAGCACTCAATATTTGCCAGTTGCTGCTGTATCGCTATTTTCTGATTAATCTGTAATGAAGTGAATTTGTACCATAAACAGAGATAAGATTTGGCTAACTTCCCCTTTACAAAGGATTATTTTCATAATATTTTGACCCTACAATAATTTTGGTGTTCACTTTTATGATTTTATCATAAACCAACTCACTAGTCAACTAAAATATATACAATTAAAATTCTTAAAGGAAATAAATGTGATATCCTGTGCTTTTTGTGACAATGTAGGAACATTCAGTGGTGATATTTTCAGGAGCACTTTGCCATTCAAGCAGGGTTTTTCTGAAGTTACAAATAGCCGTACTCTAATATCATTTCCAGAAATACCACTTCTTCAAGTCAGAGAATTAAATTACCAGTTTAATCTAGTAACTGTTATAACTCCAAAGAGAGAATTTCAGGAAATACCACTCTCAGATTAAGTGTTCCTAAGAATGCCATCTTAAAGGGGAATTTATGGGTAGAATATGGCTACTAATTTTATGTAACTTGCATCTTTCAAAGGAGAAGAAAATAAGGACGATCAAGACACAACACCTGGATATATATAACAACTTGCATCCACATAACACACACAAATTTCCATAACTTCGCTGGACTCGGTTTTCATATATAACTCAGGGAACATGCATTTTGCAGCCATGAGAGGAAAGGAGGCTCTTTTGACTCTCACTTCCTGAAAACCTCTTCCCCATCACGCTTGCAGACGGGGAAGGGAATATTGTCCTAGTTGCTCTTAGAAATCTGACTGTTGGTTTGCTGCATGTTTTCCACCAGCTGAGGTGAAGTGGGCTAATACAAACTCAGAAACCCAAGTGTTCACTGCAGGAGATTTATAGATGACAAAATCCCATCCTTACTTCGATCTTTTTGTGAGTTCCATTTCTTTTTTTTCCCTGCTTTTTAAAAGAAAATAAGACCTTTCTGGATCTGAACCACTGGAAAACCAAT
The DNA here is from genome assembly GCF_000001405.40 of Homo sapiens. Taxonomy (NCBI): domain Eukaryota; kingdom Metazoa; phylum Chordata; class Mammalia; order Primates; family Hominidae; genus Homo; species Homo sapiens. Next base: position 80,721,382 of record NC_000012.12, on the reverse strand, counting down.
TTCCAAAGTTCCCTTGTCTAAAAAGAAGTATGTATGACTGCAAATGCTGTGTTGTGCTGAGCAGACATCAGCCTTCAATGTTAGTACATTGAAAATGAGATTAATTGAGCAACATGGCATGGAGAATATTGTTTTAAATTGTACATTAACCACCCCTTGTATTATATCCAGACCACTGAAAAGGCTCTAACTACTTCAAATTATCATTATCATATTCATTGAGAATATTAGGTATGCTTGCAAAGTTATAAAGCAATTGAGATTTGATTTGAAAAAGTTTAATTTTCATTCATTTGAACCAAAAATTTCATATTTTCTGCTTAATTATATTAAATGAAACAAAATATGGTAATGTGTTTAAAAATTGAAGTTTAAAAAACTAAACCAATATTTGAATTTTTTTCCTGTCTGATCCTATTAAAAACAAATCTCCAATGTCTCCATAGAAGTATCAAAAGGAGAAAATGTACCTAGCACAGTTTCTAACAAAAGTGGATAACCCAGACTTATGTTGGACATATACACAAATCTCTATCATGCCCTCTTGAATTCTTTTCATGTAAAATCCTCACACTCTGAAATCATGAGTAAAGACTTATATCTGTGTGCTAAAAGTCAGCGTTCCCTGTCAGGCCATGATGCTAACAGAGTGACAGTGGCCATCATATTTTTTAACTCAGCCCTTATACCTCCCTTATGGAATGATTCCCATTCCTTTAAGCTTCATGACTGCATAAGCATGAGCAAATCACACCAGAGAGAAAGAGAAACCTTCCTGAGAACAGTAGCATTGCCAAGCTCTAGTAAAGAGTCTGTATGCTTTTTTTAAATTAATGTATGTAACCACAAATCCTTAGGAATTTTAAATCAATGTACATATAAGAGGATTAAACAATTATCAATATTTGTTCTCTGTGAATAGCTACTTTAGATACTTTAAGAATCTCTTTTTAAAATCTCTCTCAATGGTAAACTTGTGATAATTATCCCAATCATTGTCTCAACCTAATTTTCCACTTAATTGTTCAATTTTTTCATATCAGTTCTTTCTAGAGGAGATTTAGGGTGATGAATATGAGACAAGTCTGTTTTACATACACACATGCACACACACGCATACATGATATGATTAATACAATAAAGTTTAAAAGGCTGTAAAAAGAAGGAAGAAAACTCAAGTCTGTCTCACTTCAGTATAATTTGTGTAAGTTTTCTTATGTTGGCACTCTAGCAATATAAAAAAAATCAGCCCAATACCTTTAAATATTTTATTGACAATATTAGTATATATTATCAAGATATTTTCAGGCAGGTAGTAAAAGTAAATATGATTTAACTCATGCCTTCTGTTGTACTATAGTTATTAAAATGATGTGATGTTGTATAGTCTTTTTTAAAAAAGCATGTGTTACTGTCCTGAATAACCTCTATCTTCCCTTCACACACAAACGACTTGATAGTATATGGTACAGTTCTAAGATAAAGGAAAAGTTTCATTTAGCAGGTTCACTTGAAATATATTTAAAATGAAAATATGACATTTTCACTTGTGACATCAACAGGACCTAAACTGGGTACATGAGAATGGTAAATATTCAGACTTATCTGAAAAGCCAACTGTTTAAGTATTTTCAGCTCACATGTAAAGATTTCATGTCAATGAACAGTAATTCCATTGGGGTGTTATTTTAAAAGATCATGAGCCAAAATATTTCTTGTAGTAAAAAATTTTATTTATGGTGGAATTTCCAAAATTTCTTATATCTTGAAATGATCCACAAAGTACTATTTTGTGCTTACATTTAAAAGATACATTTCTTACAAGAAAAGATCAAAATATATACATTAGGCAGTATTATATTTTTATTTAATACAATATAACTAAAGGATTAAAGAGAAAAGAAATAGTTAAATATATTTAAAATTCCATTTAACTGATTCTCAGCTGTTTTAATGTTTTAAAGAAAAAAATAAAGCTCTAAACACCAGAGACATTTTGATGAGCAATATTTATAATATATATATATGTATATATAAGTTAAGCATTGCAACAAGCTACCCTCAATCAATGGCCCCCTATCAGAAATAGTATTACTGGAACTATGTATTAATATCTAAGCAAAGAATAATAAAGAAGAAGAAAGTATTATTTGCAATGATGACTTTTTAGTTAAATACACTTTCTTATAAAGTGGCAAGGTAATCTTTACAAATTTACAACTGAAAAGAAATCTTTATGTACATGTTGTCTTGGTTTGGGACTTTTTGAAGCCTTCTTCTTCCTGTGTATTAGGCCCTCCTGGAAGAAGTCATATAGACCAGAAAATTAGTTCATAGCACATGATAGATAAGCCTGGAACTAGAAGCCCCTGGAGTTGCAGGCTGTGAATCGGTGCTGGCAACTGGAGAGAGAGAAGCCAGATCCTGGAGAGGCAACCCAGGTTGCTCTGAGGAGGTGATCCGGTCCACTATGTTGGATAAGCAATCCAAGCTGGATAAGGAGTTTTTATCTGTGGCATATACTAAGGATACAAGGAGAAAAGCATTAAAAAATAATTAGCCCAAGATAGACAGATTTGCTTATGTTGCTCCTTAAATTGTAGGTCAGCTCCTCTGACACCCAGAGGTCAGGTGGTCACAGAAAGCCTAACATAGAAATTTGCAACAAATATCTGGCAATTCCTGAGGGGTAGACGTGGGGAGTGGGGAAGCCCCCTGATAATATTTCAAGCAACATTGTGTGTGCATGTGTGTATGCATGTGTGCGTGCGTGTCTGCTAGGGGGATTTGGAGCAGAAGATGTGTTTATTTTGCTTTACCAAAGCCTCCCTATAAGAACCATCACTTCCATTCTCCCTTCCCCAATACTATCAGCAAGAACAGAATCTTATAGGCTGAATTGTTAGGTTGAACTGGTCTTTAAACTCCTGTGAAGTTATCAATTCTTACCATTTGATACATCAGGACAGTAGATGCTGTCAAAAGTACTGCTCTTTCTGGACCAGACAGGACTGTTACATTCGGGCTATAATACAAGACACACAACAAAGTTTGTTTTCAGGTCTTGGCAAAAGATGTTCTGACCAAAGGTGAGGCTGTGCTTGCCCACCAGCTCTGTAACCGAACACTGTCAATCACCTTCACTGCCTTGATTTAGGAAGGGCTAGCCCTCTCCAAATTCCCAGGGCACTGAGGTCAATCTCTGTGCTTGAAGAAGAGGAGAGCAGCAGCAAAGGGAAGAGGGGGTGGAATTCAGCAGCAATGTGCATTGGGTTAACCATGCAAAATGGATTGGAGTAGAAGAAAGCCACACTAATTCAGGGAAAGAACACTTTCCCAGGGCAAAAACACATTAAAACCTGGCAGCCTTGGAGCAAACGCCCTCTAAAAAGAATGCATCAACATCTTTCAGCCAGGCCTCATTGGAGCAGGAACTGGGGCCGTGTGGGTATTTCTTTCCATTTCCTCATTAAGTTAGAAACGGTGCCTTTAGATATTAGCGTAGGGCATGATCCACAGATGGCATATTTTGAAAATAAATTCAGGAATGGAGAAAACATCTGAGTGATCATTCACAGCCACCCATCTTCCATGTCAACACTCGATTACAGTGTACACCTAGAACCTGCTAGAAAGTTAAACTAAAATCTTGTTCAGCAGCGGTTTGGGGAGTCTTTCTAAATGTGGACCCCTCTCTTCTTTTAAAGCAACTCAGCATCTGCCTCCACCCCACTCTCCCCACCACACCAGGTTAAATGAGGTGTAAGGACTTTAGAAAAGATTAGGGTAGCCTAGCAGGTACCAGATCTATTGCTTACCATGCCATCAGAGCAGTTGGAGGTGGGGCTGGTGGGCTCCGAGCAGCTCTGTCCCGGCAGGCTATAGTAGTTCTCCACCTGCTCTCTCAGCAACTCCTGCAGGCTCTCGATGTAGCGGATGGCATTCCTGAGGATCTCCACCTTGGGCAGCCTCTGGTTGGGGTTGGTCGTGGTACACCTCTTGAGGGTTTCGAAAGCCTGGTTGACCTTCTTCAGGCGCCTCCGCTCGCGCATAGTGGCTGCCTTCCGCCGATCCATGGTGGTGGACTTCCTCTTGCAGGCTTTGCAGGCCCACATGAGGCAGTGACCAGCCTGGTGGTGGCCGGTAGGCGCTCGCACGTGCTCGTCCTCATCTGAGCCCTGCAGCTCTGCTTTGTGCGCTCCGAAGGCAGCCACTCGCGGCACAAACTCGTCCCCAAATTCACCCTCGGGGGACGGTATGCAGGAGCCGTCGTAGAAGTACTCAGAAGGTGAGAACTGGCAGCCATCCATCACGTCCATCCTGCTGAGAGGCAGGCGGTGCACCTGGACGGCAGCGAGAGGGATGGGGAGAAACGGGAGCCTGGCGCCTCCGCCGATGGGCAAATCCCGGGCGGAGCTCCCTAGTCTGTCGCTCCGGTAATTAACAAGGGCAGACGCCTGTTGGCCTGGGTAGACAAGCTGGGGTTGGGGTTCTTTATATATTCTTTCGGGAGGGAGGCCGGCCCCAGTGGCCAGGCACTATTAGCATATCCCACCGCAACCCCCGCGGGGGCTGTCTGGACAAACCTCCGCCTTTCCTCTACAGACAATCTGCTGTGTACTGCCCCTTTTGACGCTAATGGTTTTACTGTATTTCTGCTGGGGCGGCAGTGGGTCCCCAACCTGCTCATTTGCACTCTCTAGATAGGCTAAAACAAGGGATCACTTAAGGAGTGTTTCACACAAAAGTGACCAAGGCAGTCCAACTTTTTGCAATTGGACACACATTTTAAAATAGTGGTAATAAATAGAAATCCCTTTCAGCTGGCACCAAGAGCCGACCTGCCCTCCCAATCCTGGGCGTGAGGAATCACCTGATTTGGGGGTGTTTGTTTCTCTTTTTCATGAACTTCAATTATCTCGAAAACTTTTTCCAGCAATTGGATTGAATAACGGTTACTAAAAACTTGAAGTGGCATTTTCAATCTTGGAGTGAATACAGGGTTTGCCTTTCCAAATCTATTTTGTATAGCTTCAGATGAGTAAAGTTTTGCTCAGATTGTCATTTATTCTAGGCTCTACCTTATTGAGAGTAGGGAGGGAGGTTCCTTTTCCCATGACTGGGCTTGCTCTGAGTTCTCCCTGTATGTCTGCTCATCTAAAAGGAGGTGGGGCACAGGAGGGCCAGGTGACCAGGAACATTCCTCCCGTTCTTGCTTCCTTCATTTTCCCCTTCTGTACGTATTTGTTGAGCACCTTCTCCTTTGTGCCAGGCCTTCCCTAGATCCTGAGCAGGCCAAAGACCTGCACTGAAAGTGTCTCTAAGATTTCCAACAGAAGAAGCCCAGTTTTCGACGGCAAACTCCCTTTCCAGGGGTGAGTCTCCTTTCTCCCTCTCTTTCTGCTCCGCCCTGTCATTTCTACAGACTAAACAGCCAAGCTGGGCTTTGGGGTTGCTAATTTTCTGCTTTCAGGCAAACTAACACCGTTACAGATGCGTCCCAGCTGCCGCCACTGCAATCCTTGACTCGTGTAAAATTTCCAACTCCTCAAACCAGGAGTAACTTCACACACTTCAGTGACAAAAGCCTTCCAGAAAAGCAATCACAGCAGGGTCTTTAGAACTTCGATGGATAGAAGGCAAGAGGGGAGGGTTGTCATTTAAGTGGGAATGAATCTATTAATCAGCTTTTACCAATCCTCCTCCAACCTTAATCCACTTTCAGGTTATTTGGGTTGGGGAGGTGCTGTTTATATTTAGGAAAAGCAATTACTTAAGGTCTACACAATTAGTCTTGGGGTTTTGGACTAGGTCTTGTGGCCCCGTTGAAAGAAGCAGGAGTGTTCTCAACTCAATCTAGGGTAACCCAGTTCAATAAATATAGTGGCTCCGAAGTTATTGCGAGGAGGAGGGAGTTTTCCTTCCTATTATTATTATTATTTCTTTCAGTGAATGGTACTTTGTACTTTTTTTTCAGAATTATTTTCTTAAAGCAACACTGGTTCATTGATCCAGCATCTTCAGGGGCCAGAGAAGTAGCAACCTTTTCAGGGTGCGATCTCTCTAAAGTGAAGACCTTGAAAACCAGAGGTGGGAGAGTGACACTGTCAGTCACTAAGGTTTGCTAGCCACACCATTGCTGTCTCCTCTCTTCTGTCCTGTCATCTCTAAGAAAAAGATCTCTCCTGAAAATCAGGTTCCCTCTCACACCAATGGGCTGCTTAATCATCTGACCAGTGGGAAATCCATCTGCACCTTTTTTAGGGCTATTAACAAGTCTATGCCTTTGAAATGAATACGGTATCCAGGGCTACGCCAGATAAAAAGAGGCAAGTTCAAGAAGAACCCAGGTGGAAACTAAGATGCCATCCACGCTGGTGGAAACATTCAAATGCACAGCAAATGCAAAGCACATTGCTACCTCTGAAATACAATAGTGGGTAGATATCCTCCCCCAGGAATTCTCAGCCAAGTCCCACAGTTTCTATTAGCAGCCATATGACCACTTTTTTATTTTTTTGGCTGTGGAGTCCACAAATTAGCTCGGACTTGTGCTTTGGACACAAATAAACTTGGTCTTTAAAGTTTGAGTGAAAGTTAGAGGTTACGCTTCTGCTCATCTTTCAGCTAATTTCTGAAAGCACTTAACGTGATTTGTACTCAAGCCCCTCAGCGCGAAATATTTTTAACTAACAATTATTGAGAATTTTCTATTTGCCCCGCACTGTTCTCAACCCTTTCCTTAGATTAACTTAACAATTAATACTCCAAACCACCCTGTGGGAGCTATTATTGGGCCCATTGTAGAAAGAAAGTAAACTCGAGCTCCAGGGACTAGGTTATTTGCCCCAAGGTCATACAGGATTGGAAACTAGGCATCCTGTCATTATAGTTCCTACTCCTAGAGGTGATTTTGTTTGTTTTCTTCTTCAATTAATTTAGGCTCCGTGCGCTTCCTTAGGGCTCCAGAGCAGAAACTCGCAAAAGCTGGCTACTCAACATCTTTCCCTGGCTCCTGTGCCTGGGAAGACGCCGTCACTCAGGAGCCTCTGTCAGTAAGGGTAGTTCTCAGAGGTTAGAGCTGTCTCTGGTAAGGTGATCTCAAAACAAAGTTACCAGAGTGCCGCGAGCGAGTGGAACTAAAGAAGCCGAGAAAACACAAGCGCCCGGCGGCTTAATGGGACTTGCTAGCAGGAGAACAGGGTCCGGACTTGAGAGCCCTTGGGACGCAAGTGCTGAAAATAGGATCTCAGAGTACCAAAGTAAAAAGAAATAAGACAAAACTTTTAAAACGCTGTCAGGGGCGAGAGAAGAAAGAGAGAGAGAGAGAGAGAGAAAAAAAAAAGGCAATATGCTAAGACAGTAGGCAGCCAGCACCACAAAGATGGCTACAGTGTCCCAATTCAGGAGCGGTCTCCCTGCTCTTTTCCCAGGGGAGACCTGGAAGGGGAAAAAGAAAGAACTGGGTGAGCAACATAGAGAAAAGCATTTTTTTTTTTTGAGTGGGTTGGCCAGGGAAGCATGGGAAAAGTTTTAAAAATGGCTCTGAAAAGATCTACTCAGGGCACCCTTTTGTACTCAAAGTCGGATTAGATTGGCTTTTGCTCCTCACACAAAGAATGAAAATAAGTTTTCCACTATTTCTGCAAAGAAGTGGATTTCTTGCTTGCGGAGAAAACGCACATTTATTTCATATGTAAACAGGTTATTAGAAATGACACTCCAACACTGTCTGCTAGGAAAGTCTAACCATAGGTAGTTGAGGGGAAGAAAACCCAGTCACCTCTGGTGCTATAAATGGATACCCACTAAGGCTCTGGTGAAGTATTTATTTATTTATTTATTTCATTTTATATTCTGAAAAAATAAATACATTTGATTTTCTTACAATTTAGAATTATAACCAGGTTCTAACTGCAATGACCTTTACGTAACATCAACTTTTTTTTTAAGTGAAATCTGTGTTAGTTTAAGCATTATGGCAACACACTAATATTGATGGACAGATCACACCAGCAAAATGATGCTCATACCTTCTTCTTCTAATAAATTTTGCCCACCCTAGGCTTTCTGCATTATTGAAAATTCTCTATGCTTTTCTTGGAGGGAGAAACCAAATACATATAGAAGGATACATACATTCCAATTCACTTCTGCCCCTGCCTGCAGATCCTTATCAACTCCTGGACTAAGGGAGTTGTTCTTGATATTTTTTATATTATAGATGACTTCACAATGTGCTCAACAATTGCAAATTGCTATTAGCTCTGGGAATCAGGCACACCTAAGTAAACACATTAGTACCTGCCAGAGCTGCTGGAAGAATTTGTGAAGACAGCTGAGGAAGACATTGGCCTCTGCTTGAATTAGAGGACTTCCAGGAGAGATCAAAGGCCTAAGTAAGGACATTTAGCAGCCTTGAGAGTACAGAAAGTAGCCAGTTCTTACAGCATTATCTTTGTTCCAGCACATGGCATAGCCATTCCATCTCAGACTGACTCTGAACTAGGCTTGCAAAAAAATTGCTTTTTTCAGAGTGAAACCTCTATGATGGAGGATCATCTTTTATAAGTGTAATAGTTTAAGGGAGTGACTGGAGGGGCCTGTCAGAGAAATAGCTTGGTGGTTTGGCTCTTTGAGAAAATACTATGTTATTGATAATTTATCAATGCATTGGATTAGGCAATTAGATATTCAAAGCTTAAAAAAAATGTCAAAAAAAATTCCAGCTATGGTGTTGTGGGAGAGCGATTTTGAAACGACAAAATGGGATAAAATATTACTAGAAGAAAAACACAACTGGGTAAATTCTAACTTTAGTAAAAAAAAAAAAAGTCTTAATAAGGATAGAGATCACTTTCAGCATCTCAAGATTTCTCTGCTAGTTTCAGAAATAGTTGCAAACCCTAAATTCCAGCATTCCCTCCACTCCCAAAACAAATGCAAGAGTTTGAGGAAAAATAAATGAGACTGTTAGACCTAAGAGGATTTCCAGTGTTCAGGCTTGGAATTCAGTGATCCAGGTATTAAAATTAGTATGAAAGCTGGCATTTGATTTTCTGCAAATTATTTCTGTAGTAATATAATAAAGAAAATCACTCATTATTTTGTACTTGATAACTTTATACCTGCCTCTGGAAAGAGGCTTGAATTTAATCCCAAATTGCTTATCTTTACCAAGTTATTATGTCTTGATTATCTGCTTCCACAGCCCTGTTTATTTTGGCTTTGGCCTCAGTAAAGATTATCATCATTAATATCAAACAAAAACATTTTAATTGCAAACACACCAAGGATTTCACTGGAAAGCCTAACATGTCATCTGTAGCAGTGGAGGTCACATGAAGTCTTTGGGAAATATTTGCTCTATTTAATGAAGAGACTTCTATAGGCAAACTTATTCCAAACAATTTCTCAAGTTACCCAGCTAAGAGAGATAGAGAGGATTTGGCTTGCAAAGACTGAATAAAATCCATCAACAAGTAAAGTCCACGAATTAATAAAAGCATTCTGCTGTTGAGCCATTTATAACACAGATCTTACTATAAGTATAGGCTAAATTATAAATTAAATGAGTTCACCTAATCAGTTACATTATTTTGTGTTGCATAATAAATTTGAATTTTAAAAATAGAAGTGTGCATATATACAATTTGGGGAAAATCCCTATTGATTCTCAGGGAGAAAATGATGGGCATCTAATAAGCATAATTAATGGGCATAGACACTACCCAGACATATTCACACATGTTTTGGTTGGATAATTTGAAATGCTTTACCACTTATTTTTTTAAGTTACTGCTCTAATTTGGAGTTCGGTAGCTAGCCACTCTTGAGAGAGAGCTTTTAGAAAACAAACGCCAAGGAGAGCCAAATTTTTCCCCAGACCATAAAATGTTGCTTATTAATTTCCCAAGGCAAGCTGGGCTCAGTGGTATGGGCCTGTAGTCCCAGCTACCTGAAAGGCTGAGGCTGGAGGATCACTTGAATCCAGGAGTTCAAGCCTGGGCAACAGGGACACATCACCCCTTAAAAAGAAAAAAAAAAGGAGGAAAGAAAGAAATTAACAATGTGCCAAGGCATCTGTTTCACAGAGCATGATGGTTAAGAACACAGGCTTGAATCCACTGATAATTGCCTGGCTCTGAATCCTGGCTCTATGCAGTACTTAACCAAGTGCAGGAAACTCTGTTCCAAGGATCTTCGCAGTACCTCTCTCATCTGTTGTAGGATTATGAGTTAATATTTAAATACTAAGAATGGCTCATTTATGTTGCTTTTGTTCTCATTGTTGTCAATATTTTCCCCAGCCAGAGCAAGGAAAGGCTGAAGAAACTATGGCTTTTGATGGAAGAAAAGGGTCTTTGAATTGACTAATGAAGAAGAGAGCTGGCATCTAGTGTTTATTTTGTGCCATTTTGGCTAAGCACTTCACATGTGTTATCTCAGTGAATCTTCACAACCTCAGGAGGAAACAGGACTAAGAATGAGCAGTGACTAGCCCTAGACAGTGGCAGCCTGGATTCCATCTAGGTAGCCAACCCCACACAGGCTCAGCTAAATCTCCCACCTACCTCTCCCAAACCTTTAAAAGAGATTGTATGTCAATGTCAGCTTCCACTATGAACCTTTCTGCCTTTTAAATTTGTTTCAGAAGAAATCTGAATTTCCCATATACTCAGAAAACGCAGTGACTACTATCGCCAGGAAGAGGCTTTCCTTTCTGAGAGGAAAAAGGGGCAAGATACAGCTCTGTACCTCCAGGGGGCACTGTCTGTGGTGCTATCTGGAACTTAGGTGCGCAACAAGAAAGTACAGCCTTTGGAGGGTTAGGAAGGAAAGGGTGGGCTGGGAAATACTGAATCCGATTTGATTTTCACGTCTGCTAACTGAAGACTAGCTGTTGGGGAGGAGGAGGAAAGGTAGAAGTTCAGGGGTGGGGGAAGGGAGTGAAGGTGCCACTTACAGAATCTAAGAGAGGAGTCGCAATTCAAAAGAAATGGCTTCCTCCTCTCATCTGCCTCACTTCCCACTGTGTTTCTTGGTGGTCGTTTCTTCCTGAGGTTACAGGATAAACAAACCTGGCACACGTTGTAAAATCCGCATGGTGAGGAGCTCCTGGGGCTTCTAGCCTCTTTGGGGCTTTGCTGTTTGGCTCGGCTAAGAGGTTGCATGTGTGTTGTTGTTGTCTTTTGCCCTCAACCATTGAAACCTTCCCTCACTTGAAGCCGCCCTCCCTTCAAAGCAGCCCACCCCACCTCCAGAGACAGATTGCCCATTTCTTTTATCTTTCGTATATGGAAAACAAACCCAAGCCAAACGAGGCCTTGAGGATATTCCAGTCTGCTAGGGACCAGTCTAGTTCAAGAAAACTGGGGAGGGGGCCCGAGATCCGGCCCTGAGGATGCCGGATGCAGCCCCGGGAACTCCAGATCCACACTTCAGGACAAGAGCGGCCTGGGAAGGCTAAGAGGGAAGGCCGTTTGTGGGTAAATCCGCTGAAGATCTTTTTGGGAAATGAGCACAGTTTTGGTGTGGTAATTTCTTGCAACCATATTTTCCTAGATTGAAAATTCCATTGTTAACTTTGGGTAAGTAAATCTCACCCAGATCTCCAGGTATAGGAGTGTAAAACCAGACGGAAAAAGATGCTGATAAAAGGAAAAATGACATTTTTCTTCTGGGCACTATTCACTTCCAATGACAAGTGTGAGGTCTACGAGAGAGAGAACAGTATCCAGTTTAATTCAGACTAAGGAAAGCCAAATTTCCTTTCAATTGGCATGTAAGGAAACACCCAAATAAATGGGCTTGTGTGGTGTCTAAATTAAAATATGGCTCCTCTTTATTTTTGTACACATGCCTCCAAACATATTTTTCCAGTTCCATCAAATTAGGACCAACTTTGTTCATATAGAAACTTCTTTTTAATATTACAATACCAGGATCCTCGCACATTTTATATACATCATTCCACATTTAAAATATATTTCAGGTTTACGTAAAAAAAGAAAGTGTTAAACTATTTACAAAAATACATTAAATACCCCTAACATTAAATGCAACTTTCCCACTTTAGACAGGAATGAACTTCTTTTGAACATGGCACAAAAGGATCACCGTAATAAAAGTTAATATAGTATAAAACCAACCAAACAAAAACAAAATGAGGCTAGACCTAAGCCACTCGCAGTTCCAAAAAAATAAAAGCCCAAAGCCGAAAGGCGTTTTCATTTGAGCATGCACAACAGATTTCGCAATTTTCGCAACGTTTCTTTGTGAATGTGTCTCCTTCCCTTTCAGCAACTTTTCGGTCTGGGTTCCTAAATGTTAATGTAATGTGACCTAATCTAAAGGATTAGGCCAGGAAGGGTCGGTGGGATCTTCCTGCTGCGTGGAGAAGGTCTCAAGCGCAGGCTCAGTTACTTCTCCACCACTTCCTCCACGCAGGGGAGTTTGCGTTCCTCCGAGGAAATACTGTCCACGATGGAAGAAAGGCATCGAAGGCTACTCGAGGCTGACGAATCAATACTTGCTCCTCCTGAGCGAAAAAACAACACACAAACATAGCACCCAAAGAAGGAACACGAAGCAGCTCCGCGCCCCGCGCGAGGCCGCTTTGGCAGCGAGGAAAGGCCTGGTCCCGGCGCGCAAAGAGCGCCCTTTTCGCAGGGCGCGTCCCTGCTCTCGCTTCGAGCCCTCTCGGCCCAAGCATCCTATCCACCTCCCGGATTTTCTCTGGTGCGGCCCAGAGCCCTTTTACTTTACCTTCCTTAGCCGTTATCACGAGCCCCCTGGAATGATCGGAAACACTTGGCCACTGGGAGCTGCAGGTGCGCAGGAAATCCGCACCCTCAAGCTGGAGGGAAAACCAAGGCAGCGGCAGATTAGGAAAGAAACATCGGTTCCGGGGTTGGGGTGGGGTGGGGGGCGGCTTTCCTGCTTCCTCGGGCCGGGTACGCATTTCCTGCCTATTGCAAGCACCCGGTCTTCTTGGGTCACTGGGGGTTCATTAGAGACGGAGCGGGAGGGGCGGGCGAGAAAGGGGGAAGGGAAAAAAGACCAAGCAGCTGGAGGTTAAGGCCCCGCGGAAGGCGTTTAATCAGCCTTCGCATTTCCCTGCCCCGGCAGCATCTAGGCTTACATTTTCTTGTTTGGGTCTGTAGCTGAAGGGGTCCACCCCCAGCTCCTGCATCTTCTCCTGCTGATCCAGCCGGTGCAGCAGGTCCTGCAGCCGCTCAATATAGCTGATGGCGCTCCGCAGAATCTCCACCTTGGGCAGCCTCTGGTTGGGGTTGGCCACAGTTCGCCGCTTCAGTGCCTCGAAGGCCTCGTTGATTTTCTTTAGCCTCCTCCTTTCGCGCAGGGTGGCGGCTTTTCGCCGGTCAGTGGGGGCAGATTTTCTCTTGCAGGTCTTGCAAGCCCAGATCAGACACTGGCCGGGGCAGTGTGGAGGCTGCAGGCCCGGGGGCGCCAGGACATGTTCCTCTCCGCTGCTGTCGCTCCCCGCTTCCGGGGGCATTTGGTCCTGGCAGGGGGACAAGGTACCATCACTCCCTGGATACAAAGGAGAGCCTTCTGCCACTTCTAATGGCTGCAGAGTAACATTTTCCCCATCCAAGTAGAAGAAATAGGAGCCAGTTTCAAAAAGGTCCATCATCATGTTCTCCTCCTTGGCCTCTGACTCGATCTGAACTGGGTGATGGACTCAAAAACCCAGAGGAACCACCCAGATGGCATTTAATTAGTGCAGTGACATAAGTCGACCCAGCTTTATATATAGTAGCTCCTGAAACTCAATCCAACTTTTAGCTGTCATGGAGCATCAGTCTCCCAATGTGATTGCAGCTAGTGCTCTCTAGAACATCTAGTTTGAAAGAAAACTGAGAAGTGTCACCTCCCAGAGTGTTGTGACAATCTATGTGCAGACCAGGTTACACAGAGAGAATCACATAACTTAAACAAAGCATTGAACCCTTCCATTTTGGGCAGTTTAGATACTAACCTGCTTACAGGACAACTTCAAAACAACTGGGGATTAACATTGCCCTATTCCCCTCCCCCTGCGCTCATCTGAATTCTAAGTATAGACCCATGATGAAAGATTTCAAAGGCAATAGCCATTGCTCCAAAATAGCCGGGTTAATATTTGCAGAGTGGTTCAGCTCCTTTCTCTCTCCTGCCTCTCAAAAAGATGCTATTCCTGTGATTAAAACCATTACAGTGCTTCAAAGGTTATACATGACTTTCAGGCTTCAACCTCAATAGAAGCAGGTAAATCTCTTTCCTCTCTTTTACTAAGGCTGCAAGATGATTTGGGAAATGGAGGGGGTTGCTGAAGGGTGCTCACATCCCATGATACTGGATGAAATGATTCTCTGGGTCCTTCCATAGAGACCGTCCTTGACTATCTTTTTTTTTTTTTTTTCCTTTGGGGAGAGGGGCAACCAGGATCTGAATTCTGTACCCTTCCATTTGTGGAGCAGTATTACATATGAGGTAGGGAGTGGGATAGAGGATGGGGTTACAATACATGTAGTAACTCCTCCTTAAAAATAGTTTTAGTGAAAACAAGACTCACACCACAGCTACTTGATATTTCAGCATTTACTTGTGGCCCCCTCCAAGGTGCCTCTCTTATGATTCCAGTTCTGCACACTGTGTGCTCACCACTTTTTCTTTTGCATTCTCACTATCCATTGACTCCAAATAAGTTGTTTGATAGGATTTAAGTGAGAAAGGTTAGCAACCAAGGCACGAGCAAGGAAACAGCATTTTTTAAATTGCAGCTTGCCCATGGTCCACAAGATACATGTATTGTTCTTCGGGAGACAGTACAATATGAAGGTCAAGTGCGGGGGCCCTAGATTCCAAAGAACTATCAAGTCCTAGCAAGGTTAATTTCTATGTATATATCCATGGGTAAGTACTAGATCTTGATGTCTTCAAGATGATAGTGGTTTCCTTACAGTTTTAGTGAGGATTCAATCAAATGATACCATGCATGTGAAACACATAGCACATAGCTGCTTGATGAACAGTAGTTATCATTTGTAGTATAAAGCCATGTTAGGGCAAAGACTCATTCCTATGAATGAAATAAAGCATAGCTGTTGGAGAGGTTTTTCTTTTTCTTCCCTCTCTCTGTTTTGTTGTTCTTTCCCTTCCTTTCACCTTTCCTCCTAGAGCTCTAGAAAGACTTCCTAGCTGTAACTGGCCTTTGGGATGTCAGTTGACCTTGGTTTTGGTCTTTATAGTCAGTGCCTCAAAAACTATGTGGGAACATAAAATCTTATTGCTCTACCCCAAGCAGTAATGATTATAAGCTGTGTTCTTTATGACTTTATTTTAAAAAATGAATAGAGTGAAGATAATGCAGGAAATCAACTGTCAGATAATTTAGAAATTAGCTAATCAAGTCGCCTATTCTAGAAGATGATTCTTCACAGTTTCTATTGAGCCACAGACTGGATGTTAAGCTTTGATATTTTTGGCTGTTTTTATTCCTTATCAAGTTTAATACTATTCTTAGATTTTTGGAATGGTAAGAAGGAGAGAGAAGAGTTGCAAGAGGCCAATACTTCTTCTGTGACTTTTTTTTTTCTATTTTCGCCAGTTTCTTGGTTGCTCAAGTCAGCAATTAAAACTGCAGATTGAAAGTTTCAGCAACTCAGGGTATAATCTAACATCTATTATAGAAAATTAGCTTGTGCTCTTAACCACACTTTATGTTGTCTCTTGTAAATGTGAAGACAATTTGAAAAGTTAACTAAGATTATTGTGATAAAAATCATTAAGAACATTAAGATAAAAATGACTAATTTTTTTTATTCAGCATTTATTGGGTACCTACTAAGTGCCAGATAGTGTCCTAGGTGCTAAGGATAAAGCATTAAAAAAAATCTCTCTTCTCATGGAGTCTGAATCTAAAGAGGTGAGTTAAATTAACAGACCAAATGGGAGAAATAGCCTTGGAATTGGGATGGGGAAGGCCTAGATTATAGTCTTTTGGGGCCTGTGAGGATTTAATGAACTCTACTATCTCAAATTCTCAGATGTTTAATCCGTAACATTGGCATAATGACAAAAGATGTCCATATTTACAGGATGTTATAAAAATTAAACTTTTAAAAACATGAAACCCACCTCAAAAATGTAGCATCCTCTCTAAAAGTACTTTTATTATTGGAATTAGTATGTTCAGAGAAAAATAAGGGAGAAAAATATCACTACTAAGCAATTTTGAAGCCTGGGTGAAGAAATACATTTAAGGTGTTACCATTCTTAGACTTGCCACTGATTTTAAGAGGTATCAGATAGATGTTAGAGAGCCTTCATATCATGAACCCGCTAAAAAATATGGAAGTTCGCCTTTTCCTTTTTCTGTTTCTTTCATTCAAGTGTCACCACTGGAGAAAGAGCCAGTTTAGAAATGTAGAAAGAGAATTATTTTTTTAAAAAAGTATATAAAGCTTTGGGGTGCAGATCAGGAGCAACTTCTTAGGCAAGGGTGGCTTTTACTGGTATAAAGTCAACTTTCACCTATTGAATTCTTCCTTATTAAATTATGAATCCCCTTTTCCAACACGCTCTAGACCTCAGACCAGTAAAATTAGTGGGAGTGTTTACCCTGGTTTAAACAGATTTTTCCCCTTTTTTGTGGTTGTTTTGGGAGTTGAGGGCAGGAGGTGGGAGGAGAAAACAAGGAAATGCCAGCTTGGGAAATAATCACCCTTTATTAGATTAGGTCAATGGGAAAATACGCACTGATGCCAAACTTCTAACTAGTGAACTCTTGGAACTCAAACTGTTTACAAAATATGAGATGCCTGTAATTGCAATTATATCACTTCTCAGTAGAACTTGGAGACACAGACCTTGACAAGTGGTCAAATCAGTTTTACATAAACTGCAATCCTCCAAGCTTTAAATAGTCCAAATATTTTTTTAATTATGGAAAAAGTAAATGATAATAGGGGAATAATAATATTATCATTAATAAAATCACTCCAAGGGGACTAGACTTCATTCATCATAAAATCTGAAACTAGATTAGTGACAGGATGGGAAGTTTTCATGTGGTTTACCACCCTGTTGTTCTTACTTCATGCTTATTCATTTGCAAATGATTTTTTCCCCCCAAAAAAGCCTGAGTGCCTCCCAATTCTTTTCTGTGGGAAGAAGTGGGAAGGAAAGTATTATGGCTAGCTCACATCAGTGGATTTTAGCTATGAGCCTTTGGAAATGTTGCATATATGGTAGAAAGAGAAGAGACCTTTGGGGAAAGACAGAATCTGTGTTCTAGCCATTCTTAAGTATGTGTTTCTAGCCACAGTTTTATTAGAGATCAAAAAGCATATACATTACACATATCATAGGCTTTCTTTTCACACTAAATTAAATAATATATTTTGAGCCCATGGTATGAAATATGCACTCAGCAAATATTAATTCTCCTACTCAATTTGTAAGGCCTCTGATGGAAAGAATCATAGTGAATTCACTGAAAAACCTAGATTTGGTGAGAAAGATGTTTCTGAAAAATTTGGGGATTTGTGTTAATCAAGGTGAAAATATTGAAACTAGTCGCTCTAGTAGCAGAGCTTAATGTATTTATACCCTCATTAAATTTCCAGTTTACTGGGGAACAAGATACTAATTAAAAGTCACACAAATGAATAACCGAATTAGGAACTTTGAAAGAAAGGAATGTAGTTCTCTAAGAGTGTGTAACAGTAAAGTCACTCCTGAACAGGAAGCTTGAGAAAAGGATGGTTTGGGAACAGAAGTTCCTGAGGTATTGTGGTGGCATTTCTAGGGAACAAAGTTCAAGCTTTTTGAAAAGCCTTTGGAAAGTAACAGGATGATGGTGACAGTCAGAAAAAGCTCAAGGAAGAAACAGACATAGATGACTGTCAGAGACTAGGGAAGAGATTTGTGTGGGTGATAGCTGGGGAATTTGGTTACATAGTCAGATTCAAAGAAAGCAGTTTCAGCCACAGCTGATAAAGCAGAACTGAGGGCCGGATAGACGATGATTATACTCTTTCAACTATGAAAAATAGAAGAAAGAAAAGGGTATAGAAGAACGGAGAGAAGAGAGAGAGGAGAGAAACAGAGTGAACAGAACGCAGGCTAGCCCTCAGGACGAAGGGTCACCCAGCAAGGGCGGAGAGTAGCCATAAAGAATAGAAGGTAAAGGAGGAGCCCGCTGACTGAAAGGCAAAACTCAGAAGAGGCAGATTAGTGCTTTCAATTTGTGGCAGCTAAATGAGTAACATGAGCTCCTGCACCTGTAATTTACCTAATCGGCAGACAGTTTGTGCCCAGAGATTCCCAAACGCTGTGGTAAAAATAGTTTTGCACTTAGACCTACAGAACATCTGAGTCACTTCAGAGAACCTGGGGGAGGGGCATAAACCAAGCAGAGGAAAAGGAAAGATATTAAAGGCGAATCTTCTGCAATCTCCAGTAAGTGGCAGTGAGAAGTTATGCGTAGAAATGGGGCTGGACCTAGATTAGGAAGGGCTTCGGTTTCCAGGCCCACCATGGAGCACCCTTTTAAAAACAGCACCAAGGAAATGAGTCTAGAACAAGCGAAGGGGGAACCAACGAGGCTGCTCTTCAGATAATTCAAGAAACACATTTTTGCTCTTTGCTCTCACTCCTGATTCCAAAAATCTGTATTCAGTTATGTACTAGCTGCAAAACGACACTTAAGAAGGCTGCTATTCATTTCTTAATTCTCAGGCATAATTTCCAGGGAAGGTGACAATGAATGCTTTTCTCCCTGAGAAACACATATTCCTCAGTGCAAAACATGAAGCCTTCTTCATAATTCTGCACCTCCGTCCCCCCGCTTTTATTCAGATTTCTGAATTTAAGATTAAAATTTGGAAACCATTAGAATTTTTTCCAGGTTAAGTATTCTTTCCTGGTGAGGGGCCAACTGGCATAGGTTTGCTTAGGACTGAGCAGGTACCCAGGAGGCCAGATTTTCAGTGCTAAAACTGGGGAAATCCTGGTCAAGTCAGAATGAGTTTGTCATTCTATTTCCCAGAAAAAGCCCATAGAAACTGACATACATCTATTCATAAATAAGAACAATGTACAGAGTGCAGGATATATAAAGTATAGATTTTTTATTTAAAAAATTACTGTGATTATAAATATGGGTTTTGATATTAGACAAAGTTCTAGGCCCAGCTCTACTACTTGCTAATCATTTGACATCGGACATGTTTTATAATTTTTCTAAGCTTTAATTAACTAGTCTATAAAATAGAAATAATATTACTTTATAATATTGTTTTAAAGGTTAAATAATGTCAATAAAATCCAATATACAGTATCTAGCACATAAACAACATTCAACACAAATTATTTCAGCTATGATTGAAGGAAAAAAAATCATCCATTCCTTGTTGCTTCAATAAATCAAACCCTACTTTTTTGTTTTCTATATGAACAAAATTTTACATAATGTCATATGATAGAATGCAAATTTTGTTACTTTTTATTTAAATATAAATACAATATAATATTATGTATATATTGCCTTTTTCAAAGAAAATATTATATAAACATTTTATGATGCTAAAACAACTAATATTTTAAATGTTCAAAATCCAAAATATATGGAATGATTTTCCTATGATGTTTAATTCTTTTAAAAATGCAATGAATCATGATATTCAGATGACCCCAATTATAGTGGTGCTTGGTGTTACTAGCTTGCTAAGATAAACAAATGTCTCTAGTATAGTATGGTTAGCCAAGTATTTTGTTACTGCCCTCCAACTGGCTGGTTATGACATATTGCCCAAAATGTTTGGTGCTTTAATGGCTGTGTCAGGGTCTACCGTGACAGATAGCCACCACTGTACAAACACATTTATTCCATAAAGTTTCCCTACCAGTTTGGAAGAAAAAGTTGTTTAATCAGATATTCACTTACATCTCACGTTTTTTTTGAAAGTCCAGACATTTTTGTCTGTGGATAATACATGTTAGTTTTTAGGTTAGTGAGTGATAGAAAGTTATAATGTGTTTAAATTGCATATAATCTGGAGCTTTTTAAAGTACAGGCATTACATGTTCAACATGTCACTGGTCATATAAAATTAATCATATTAAATTTTATCTTCCCTGATTTTATATGATTTGGGCTAAGTGTTGTCATATTAGAAAAGACTGTCTGTGAATTTTACAATATTAGTATGGCCTTTTTATTAAGCCATTTAAATAGATTTTTTTCACTTTCTTGTATTTCAGTATAAGCTATCGCGAGATTTATGCTGCTTCTTTTGTAGCAATATAATGTTGAAGAATTGGTGCTTCCAAAAGAAAAGAATAAAAAGTAGTAATATATATAAGTTTTTTATTTTGTAAAATTGTAGCCATTGTTCAACTCTGAAAAAAAATAAGTTGCAGGCCCTTATATGTTGAAGTACTTTAAGTAAATGATCTCTTTACATCTTCACAATATTTTACCAAGTGTATAATATAATTGATTTCATTTTAAAAATACAGAAAGCAAAGCAAAGATAAGTTAATCTATTTGCCCAAGATTGCATGCTATATACTTAAACCTGGTTCATATGGCACTGATTCATATAATTAAAGAGAAGCTTTTCTTCTGAATCTCCTGACAGCGACCAAAAGAATAGTCTTCTAGGAGTTACCTACCTTACAGGAGCTTTGAGTGTTTATTTGGGAAACTTCAGGCTAACTTCTGTTTTTTTGTTTCTTTTTTGTTTTGTTTTGTTTTGTTTTCAGTCACATGTCCCAAAGAGGCATGTTGGTAACTGATGGCTGAGATTTGGACCTACGTATTGTCCCATTAGCAAATAATGACACAATGGTATTTTCCATGTACACTACTACGTACAGGCAGCCTGTCTCAGAGGTCACAAAATAGATGTTCAAGTGAAGATACTCAAAACACATGGTCTGATTCATTATTTTAAAACACACAGTGAGAAGCAAAAGGAAAAAGATGGAATAATTTAGTGCACTATTGTAGGGTAAATGTGGAGAAAACACATTTTCCAAATACTAAGTTACACAATGCTCTTATATCCTGTCTTTCTCTTTTCCCCAATTAGTCGGCTCCACTTACAGTAATAACAAGGACTAGGGTTGAGAGCGAGCAAGGGATCTTAGCAGGTAGAAGGTGTCTACAACCAATACACAGATCCTGTGAACAACTAGCCATATCTAACTCTCATGGATAGGACAGTCTTTTCCAATTGGACATCACATGTTTTGAGGATATTATGCTCACTTGAAATTACTGAGGTGTCTAACTATTGAGAAGGCTAAATGTAAATATGGTTGATAGAGATAAAGAGAAAAATAAAAGCAAATACTGATCTTACTTTTTCTACAAAGGAGCACATGGAAAAAGGCATTGTAGGATCTTTTGGAAGAGAAATTTTATTTTCTTAGTCTCCCATTAGATATGCTGAAACAAATTACATTTTGATATAATTATTTTTGCTATATTTGGTTTATTAATATAAATTATACTGAAGTTTAGCAAATTATTTTATGTAAGCCATTTATAAAGAAAGCCTTTATTAAGAAATACCTTTCACATAAAGTATTCCTAAGATAGAGATGGAATACACTTGAAATTTTCAATTTGTGTTAATTATGCTTTTAGTGAGATTTAATAATCAAAAATTTAAAAAAACTACTACTTATTTATTAGTTGACAGAATAGAGAGAATTTAGTTTTAAATGGGATTACAACTGAAAGAGGCTAAAACAAAACATCTTGGTTTGTTAACATATTTTAAACTCACTTAGAAATAAGTTAGCTTGGGCTTGAAAGGGTCTTTTCTTTCTCAAAATGATGGGCACAGTTTGATCCAAGAATTACCACATAAGCTGAGTGTAGAATTCCTTTCTAAATTTGTTTCCACGAAAATAGATGATCATATGCTGTTGGAGATCAACAAAATAAGGTGCTTCCATGACGCATAGTAAAGCATTCTTTTCTGTGAAACGCTTTAATGTGAACTGTGACAAGCATGACTCCTATGATGGATATTTGGTGAGGTACGACGTTCTTATTATGCAAACAAGAGCTTATTAACATGGTTTCCTCAACTCCACTTCTCACTTCCAAATCCTCTAGGAA
Source organism: Homo sapiens (assembly GCF_000001405.40). NCBI lineage: Eukaryota > Metazoa > Chordata > Mammalia > Primates > Hominidae > Homo > Homo sapiens. Next base: position 80,699,235 of record NC_000012.12, on the reverse strand, counting down.
TTGACACCAACTGTCCATTTTGACACTTGTTCATTAATTTTCTTTCAATAGAACTATTCTCTTCGCTCAGCTGTTGTAGCAATTTAAGATTTTACATACTTTTCTGATATGGCTCTTTGTTGGACATTCCTTCTGTGTTCAGAGGACCAAATAACACCAGAGTTCTAATGTATGTCACAAAGTCCTTAGTTCAGTTCACCACTTGTTCCATTACCCAATCTCATAAAAGGGAACTTCAGCTCGACCTCTTAAAAAGTGAAAAGAGCAAAATCAATTAGTTCTATCAAGACTTAATGGTCATGACAGCAATAAATCCATGCCAGTGCCTCCTTTCCTAACCTGAATCTTTTCACACACCTGCCAGTTGATTCCTGGTTATAAGTTGCTTACAGAAAATCTTTTTTTTTCTATTAGTAGGCGTGTGTGCACACATGTGTGAGTACACTCATATCACAGCCATGACTGGAAGCACTAACAGATCACAGGCAACAGATAATGATTATTTATTCCTTTGTGAAATATGCTCGACTTTGCAAATTTTTATTCGTGATCAGAAAGCACCCTCGTTTTGAGGATTAAAGGGCATAAAAATGAATAATATAAGGAATGGCTGCAGATGTGTCTAACATTTGTTTTGTAATAAAATAAAGTTGGACCGTGCAGTGGTATGATTTCTCCATGGCACAATACGCTCTTTTCTTGTGTCAGTTTTTGTTTGGGTTTAGTGAGAAACATCACATCACAAAGAAACAATGCAAGAATCAAGAGTTGCTTTGCACTTTACCGATCTGTCGTGCTGTTCCTGGAAACGTTTATATTTGAGGCTTGCCAAAAGACAGCAATTGTTTTGTGGTTGCTATGATTAAAACAGATATAAGTGTAATAACTGATGCTTGATGGTTTCGATATTCTTTTACTATTTTGTTCAGATTCATTAATATGCTTTAGTCTTTTAGATTTTGAATTATGTTACGATGCAGTAGCACTAAGAACATATGCTGCTTTTTAAAAAGAATGAACTCTTTTCCAGATATTAATTCTTTAATCTTAGGTATATGATTCTAAAATACCTAGACTTCTTATGTTTCCATACTTTATTTTTACTTCTTTGAGGATTTGGTATTCTAAATAGTTTCTAAATCTCTAATAGCAGAAATTTTTCTTTAATCTTATCCATGTCAATTTACCAAAAAGCTTATATTTTTCTGACTTTGAAGAAAATCCCAGACTTCTCAATGAATAAGTTATCTTTTGAAGATCAAAGTGATTATTAAAATCAGCTTTTGGATATATGATAATATTGTAATACTATTTTTGGCAGTGGTAAGTTACTTAAAGAGTTTTATAAGTACATCATAATAGCAATAACCTCAGACACAGGGAAAAATGAAGTACGATCTTATAAAATCTTATAAGATTAGCATGAAATTGTTCTGAGGGTGCAGTAATTTAGATGTGCCTTCAGAAGTGCAGAGCAAGACCTTTATAAGGCTCTGGGACTCTGGGACTTTGAATAGTCTATTAAAGACAAATAATGGAGAAAGAAAGAAACAGAATGAGAGAAAGAAGAGGAGAGTAAAAGAAGGAGGAAGAGGGAGAGTGTGGGGGAGAGAGGGAAAAGCTATAAGGGGGAAAGTGGGATTGTGAAGCCATTCTGAGTTCAGAATTGACCACTAGACGTCTATTAAAATCAACTCTAAAAAAATCACAGGGTTTTCAAAATCAATGCATACTCTGGAATTATTTAAAATGCTTAAAATACTGGGTTGACACAGAAGGCTTTAGGGTAAAGTACATCTCCTTGTTAATGATTTGCTTCTTTGGGAATACAATTTGGTAGAAAAGTTAGCACATAAGTCACAGAAAGCTTGGAAGTTCCTGATGTTGTTTCCTACATTTTTCTACTTCAAAATTCAGTCTGTAAGGAAATATTCATAAGGAGGCTATTTGTGGAGTGTGGATCATCAAACTATATTCACTTTTCATAGCTTGTATTGATTATAGTATCTGATTTTATGTTTACATATATCCTAGCACTTATCACATTGCCTTATAGTGCTTATTGTTCATATCACCCATTACATAGGGCAGGAAATATGCAATAATCAATATAGATTGCAGAAGACTATCTGTTCTAAAATAGACACTATGTAATTTTTGTGAGTGATTGAGTGAAAGTGGTAATAACTGTCAAAACCTTCTATCATCTATGAGAATGTCTTGAAATGGCATTTTTTATTCTTAGAATTTTAAATTTCTATTTCTATTTGGTATTTGCTTAAATTTTATTGGTGTTTTGCCCAAAAGATGCATATTTAAATCAATGCAAGACATAATGCTCATTTACTGTCTGAAAATAATTCCGCCAAAACTTTTGTTTTGGTAGAAGTTCCTGAAACCTCTATGGGACCAGAAGTTCTCTACTCAAAATACATTTTGTAACAAGACATTTTTTTTTTTCTGTAGCTAAAATTGCTAAGCTTTTGACACAAGTCTAGCTGTCACAACCAAATTTTAGTACACCAGTCAGACCTTCATGCTATGGTTACATAGATGAGTATGATTATTTATTGACTGTGTTTTTTAAAAGCAGTGGTGGGCTACTTGTTCCTAGTCACCTTGCTCCTGAGTACCTGGGCATCTTTGATGTCCTTGGTCTCTGTGTCAATAAGTCATTATTTCATCTAGCTGGGCTCATAAGTATAAGGGTCTCAAGACATGTGGTTATTTACCTTTGCTCACTCTTCAAAACAGTCATCAGAAGCTAATCTGTGTTGCTACCTTGTCACCTCCCAAACCTTGCTGGTTCAGAGTTTGATGGGAACCTGAAGATAGTCAGAACAGTATGGAACCCCACGTGGAAAACTAATCCTTACCTCTTCTTTTTGTATCCTTCACATTTTTTCTTTACAAAGCTGTTGATTTGTAGTAATAAAAATATTTTAGTTTACCTTAAAATAATTTTGTAAAACACTTTTTAGTCCAGTACATCTTCATTTTTAAAAAATGGTATCTTAAGTGTTACATACTGGGTAGCTCATTTCTGAGAGGCCTGTGAAATGATCACATTAGCCTATATAGTGCGATTGACATAATCAGGACTCAAGATTTATTAAGTAATAATCCTATGATCAATTGTAACCCTGGGGGAACTTGTTAAAATTTGGATTCCCAAGATCCACTGCAGCCCAACCGAACCAGAGTATTTCTGTAAATGCTAGTAGGGATTCTGATGAGATTAAATGTGTCCAGCCTAATGGTTCTTAAACCTGGCTGCACAATAGAATAACCTGGGAAATGGAAAATGATTAAAATGTGCAGCCACTACTGAGAACTTTTGGCCTAGCACAATGCCCAACACCTATTTTATGTTCAATGATTGACAGATACAGTTAAGTTAGATAAAAGAAAAGCTAGCAAGTGATTAAAAACCCTTCTCTCATTCTAATATATGTCATGAAAAGAAGATTAATGAAATTTCCTATCTAAAATTATTTTTATTTCAACTGGGAATGAATCTTGGCTTTTAGTAAGCATAAATTTACCTTCAAATACACAGTTAAATGATTTTACATTAGTAGAAATAAGTATCATTTAAATTATATATCACTTTGGCCACTGTATGTAATACAACTTCTTTTCTTCCTTAAAGTTCTACTTTAAAACATGGGTTCTAGAATACAATGTCAAGAAGAAATAAAACTGTATCAAGGATTCAATTACTGTAAAATCCAAATTCTCATATGATGATAGAGGTGATAAATACCACCAGTATGTATTGAGTACTGTTAGCCAGTTATTATTTAAAGTTCTTCAGATGTATTGACTTTTTGTTCACAATATCCCTAAGAGAGTTAATATCAGCCCCAGATCTTCATATTGTGCATTTAAAGTGAAAACAAACATACAGAAAAGAAATGCTAGGATAAATCACTTAGCCTCACATATTGTTTTATAAATAATTCTTTATTGGAATTAAATTTGCATAAACATCTCTCAAATTGTAATTTTATTTGCTTTAGAACATAAGGACCTTTTCTTGGTGTATAACCAGCTACCTTGATATACTATGAGAACTTAAGTACAAAGTATTCTATATCACTATAATGTCTACTGCTAGATTATGTGGCATATTGTTTAAAAATCAAGTAATAAGTTCCTGTTTGGTAGAGTTAGATTGTAGTCAGTATGCATACAGTTCATTAAAGTAAGTATGTAACATATTTCTTTATAGTTTCCCATGACAAATGAAATATTATTTCAAAAAAAATTTAAGGAAATTGAAAAAAATAAGACTAATATAACATGTTTTTAAAAATAGTAATTCATTGTCTTAGAAAAGACTTCATAATCATGAAAAACTCAGCAAAACAAGCCTTTTCTTTCAACTGAGTTAATTTAGCCAATTTTTGAATGGACTCACTTATTTAATAGTTTCTTATAAATTTCATTTAATTCAAGCCCAGGCCTTAAAAGCAAAATGGTCATAATTCTAACCAATGCCATAAATCCCCCAATTATGTCACTAGGTATCTTCATGAAATCTTACATTTCTTTTAGTGACCATGACCAGAAAAAAAAGGATTGGAAACATCACTCCAAATTGTTAATAAGAGTTACCCTTAGGTACTAGAGTTTAACGTGATATAATTTCATTTTACTTTTTAGATTTTTCTGTCATTTGTACAAATTGTATAATAATTTTATATTTTGTAATGAGAAAATAAATATTTGAGACAATAAAATAAAATCAGTAATTTAGGCACAAGTAGAAGAAGTGCATCTGGTGAATAAGACCAAATCTTAGTTTCTAGGACTGGGAAACAAGGCATGCACTACATTTACAGAAAGATTTTCTTGATGTTGATCTAAGAGTACTGAAGGAATATAATATTTTCCTAGATAAGGACTAAGTTCTTTCCAGAGTGAGGCTGAGCTTTCTGGTTAGATTGAGTTGCTTCTAAAATATAGAGACGAGGATGTTGGAGCAGGAAACCAGGTAGCTTGCTCCCAAAAATAAGCTTCAATTGCCTGGGAAATTCCATTATACAAATAAGGTCTGTTAAAAGATAAACTGAGACACTATACAAATTTTAGAGTTTATTTGGGCAAACAGTGGTACATACATTTGGGAAACACCAAATTGAAGGACGTCTTGAGCTCTACTAAAGAAATCCAAGTGGAAGGCTTTTATAGCATGACTGGGAAGCAAGAAATTGAAAATATTTGAGTGGTTACACTTATATAGTTGCTCTATTTGGTCTGTTCCATTGCTGGCAGCTTCTGATTTGTTGAACTTGTTTTCTTTTTAATGATTCTGGCATTTACAATAAATGGCCCAACTTGTTTTGCTTATGTTTGCAGTCCAAGCAAGATTAAGGTTACTTTCAAGGCTAGCTGGGTTTGTCTGCTTAGAAATTTTTCAAACCTGGTTTTCATTTTATTTTATTTTATTTTATTTTATTTTAACAAGTCCTTCCTAATTATAACAGATTATATTATAGGCTGCTTTTATTAAATTTGTTGTACCAGGAAGTAAGGCTACTCAAAGTAGTCTATTGACCTAAACTTTAGGTTTAGTTTCTTGATACACATCTTTGAATTCTGATAAATTGTGGAGAAAATGTAAATATCTAAAATTGGGGTTGGAGGATTCACTGGACATTAATTACCCTGAGAAGGGGGAAATTATTTATGGACTTTAAAGAGAAACAAGGCCTTGGGACATACTAAGATTTATTTTCTCCGTAATCCATTTTGGTTACTGGTGATGAGGTTATATCTTACACGACTCCATTATTTTCCTTACCTACAATCATTTAGTTCCCTACTATCATTTACTTAATAACTTTTGTTTTTTCCACTGGTGGGTGATATTTCCTTACTATTAAAATCTTTTAACACAGACTGTGTTAGAAAAACCTGTGTGTTTCATTGAGGCCTTGGTTGCTTTCATTGAGATAAAGTATGTTATCTCAACAATATACTTTTAACTTGTTTAGATAATAAACCATTTTAATACATGAAAGGGCAGTTCTTTTTTCATCATTTTTATTTTCTGAATTTTGAAACCCATTTCTCATTTATTCTTCCAGATGAACTTAACTTTTTTTTTTTCAAATTTGGAACAATTAAATGTTATGAAGACTTTTAAATTGGCATACTAAACCTATGAAGTAATTGGAGAATAATGATGTTCTTTATAATAGGCCTCTCTTACTTAAAAAAATCATATTTTGCATTTCCCTATGTTATAGTATTCTTTAGAAATGCACTATAAGTTTAGCCTCTCAATATTTTATTATAGTTTGGACATTGTCAGTGAACTAATTTTTCCTATTTTATCTTTCACTCATGTTAATTGACTACTTATGATTTTTATATATTTATTTTGCAGTCACCTGCATTAGAGAATTTCTTATTACGTATATATCTTTTTCAGTCTATTTATCTGTATTTTCTAGGTATGCAATATTTTTGTACCAAATAATGGGAATTTTGACTTATGTTATTTTTGTTTACTTTATTACTGCTTTGGTTAGATTAGTGGTAATACATTTTTGGTACCTGATTTTGATGATTCCCTGCCTCTAAAATGTCTTTAGTACCCTAAATTACTTAAAACATTGAAAAATTCATTCATGTACTCACTGAGTTACCATTTATTTAGTACTCTTAGGCACTGTAAACGATATTTATATATATGTGTGTGTGTGTGTGTGTGTATATATATATCTCTATATATTCATATGCAGGATATGAGGGGCCATTGAAACCCATCTGGGTCTCTACTTTGCATATCACCCTGAGGAAGTGAGCCACCACTGAGTCTAGCTGGCGAGTAGAATCTTGCTCCCTGCTGACCTGCTTCCCTGCCACTTGGACCTGCCTAGTGCCAGTTCCTGGATTCTCTTTAGCCTTGCTTCACCTGCCTGTTATGATATGCTACCTCTTGCTAGTCTACTCTCATGTGTCCTAGCTGGGTTCACCATCTGTTGCTCATTACTGTACTCTCTGGACCTGCTGTCTGCCTCCATGCATGTGCACATTGGCAACTGAATCCAGATCTGCCTCTGCATCTCTACCACCTGCTTCAGCCCTGTGGGATATCTTGTTCCAGCTTTCTTCTGAAACTGCCTTACCCTACCTTTTCAGTCTAATAAGTTTTGATGAGATCTTTTAAATAATATGTCAAACCCATTTCTGTCTCCTTAAACAGTAAACATAATGTAATTGAAAGAGAAAAAAAATGTTTTCTTAAAGATGCAGAGGCTGGTGTTGTAATATTTTTTTTTTATCCAGTGGCTATTGAAATATGTTGGATTTCAATAAATGGTCCCAAATTTTTAGGTTTTGAAGATATATGTGTTGTTAATAAGGAAGTGTGTGTGTGTGTGTTTGTGCACAAAATAAGTATATAAGCCATCAATTTTGCTGTTTCTGGATTGCCATGACCTGGAAAACCAAGTTTGTTGAAGTATTTATAATGTAAGAAAAAAAGACTGTTGATGAACTACTTTTTAATAAGTTGCTCAATTATACAGAATTCTTTTTTGTTGGCTTCAGTTGTTTAAAGGATTTTTACACACTATCAAGTTCCTGGTTACATTGTGGATAACTGATAATCCTGAGCAAATGATACATTAATCACTGTATGCCAGTTTTCCCTGCTCTTTCACCTTCATTTATCTTTGATCTACAAGTGTTTGTTTGTTCCCTGACTGCAAAGATATTTTAGCATGCGTGAATTGGTAGGAAAATACACTGTCACACAGACATTATTTTACTTCTGCTAAGGCAAACTGTCAATTGAACATTTTGTTTAAGTTTCTGTCATGAGTAAGATGTTATTTAAGTGTTACGTGGATAAAATTATGAGAATAACTTGGTCTTTGTTCACAACCAGTTGACAATCTAGTAAATGGAGAATGCCAGTGGATAAGAACCTGCAAAAACGCCTTCAGAATTCAGTTCTAAGAAAGGTCTTAGTTATTGAGGGAAATGTAGGAGCCAAAGCATGGTATTTGGGAACATGTAGGATGTGTTTTAGTAAGCAGCAAATATTCTAATTTGGTTTAGTTCTAGAAAAAAGAATACTGTGGGAAGATATTTTTAAAAAGTGAGTTTAATTTAATAGTCAATGAAGGGCTACTGAATAGATCAGTGAAATGATCAGAGCTGAGATTTAGACTTAAATCTCAGCGTTTCAGAGCTTTAGATTTAAATCTGGCAAGTGTAGAGTTGGAGCAAACAAACCATACAATTTGGTTTGGACCAAATGTATATTGGATGAGATAGTGAATAAGAGAAAGAGTATAGTACTAGACACCCAAATACAAAGGCTGGCACTATCACTGACTATATGACATGAATAACTTAATTTGCATAAAATAGCTATTACAGATACTATCCATAAGCTTCTGTTCTTGAAAGAGGGCATAGAGTTTATGTGTATGTACTACGTCCAAGTAGATATTATCATATATCTAGTGGTCTCCATGTAACATAACAGGATATGGTGGCAAACACTACAGGCTCTGAAGCCAGACTTCCTGTGTTCAAGTCTAGGCTCTTTCATTTACTTAATGTATAATCTAGGGCAGTTTATTTAACCTCTTTTTGCTTTGGTTTCCCTATCTGTAAAAGGCAGATAATAGCACCTAGTGCTATTATCCGAGAATTGTCATGAGGTTAATGAATTAATATTTGTAAAGCCCTTAGAAGAGTGCCCGGCACATGGTAATGATTCAATAAAGAAGATTATTATTAATTACAGTAAATAAAATTATTACAATTTTAAATGTATCACAATTATTCATATCACAATTTTAAGTATAATCTTTAACACGTAAGTAGGTAAAACTTCTGATTTAATAGCCCAGGGAGTCAGTACTAATCCTGTTACTATTTACCAACTTTGTGAATGTAGTACACTCAGATTGATGAAACCAACTCTGTGTTCCAGTGTCAGAGTCCAGCAAGTGAATTCATCATATTTTTCAAGGCAGTTCATGGGGTTATAAATACTAAGTGAATAGGAGCATAATTAATTCTTTGGGAAGAACTTGGAGCATATCAAGTTTTAATGTTTAAAATGTTTAAAAGACTGATTGTTAGTGCTTTGGGAATGGAGTAAGCATATAACAGAAGTAAGTAAATATTTTTCTCAGTGTTGTACTCATTCAACCAGGAGAGCTTGAATTATTATTATTGTGAAAATAATCCATAAACACTTTATGTCATTTATTTTAATAAATCATTAAAATTTAAAATTACCTGTTTTTTTAATTATAAAATTCATCAAACAAAAAACTATAAAGCATAATACAATAAATATTTTACTCATTACTTAATTTTAGCAAATCTGACAATGTTGACAGATAGGCTTCAAATTTTAAAACAAAAATTTACAAATGCATTGGAAGCCCTTGTGTATCCCAATCTGATTCCATCACAATCTATCTCCATACCTGCATTGCTCCCTTGCCAGGGGAAACCATGATTCTGATGTGAATTTTTACATTCCCATTCATTCCCTTGATTTTATGTCTGTACTAAGATGGATGCATCCACAAAAAATGTACTACCTGTTGTATTTTTTAAACATTATATGAATGGCATACAAATGTCTCAAAACTATTTTTTCATTATTTTTCTGTTTAGTAAATTGTATTGGTTTATAGTATACATAAAATAATACAATCATTGTATGTATACAACTTAAGGGATTTTACACATGAATATGCCTGTGTAAACAGCACTCCATTCAAGATAGAGAACACTTTCATCATTCCCAAAATGTTCCCTTTGGTCGACTAAATTCAGTTCCCCACTTACACCATACCCCAAGTAGTCATCATTTATTCAATTTCTATCACTATGGATTAGTTTGAACTATTCCAGAACTTCATAGAATGGATTCTTACAGTAGGTACTCTTTTGTGTCTGTCTTCTTTCACTCAGCGTATGTTTTTGAGAATTCTCCCTGCTCTTGTGTGTATTAGTAGTTTATTCCTATTTTATTGCCAATTTGTATTTCATTGCTCAAATAGACCACAACTTGTTTATCCACTCCTGTTGATTGTCATTTGGACCCTATATTTTTGTCCGTTATGAATAAAGCTGCTAAGAACATTAATACAACTTCTTTTCTGAAAGTATATTTTAATTTCTCTTAGATACATGACTAGGAGTGGTAATGTTGGGTAGTATGGTAATAATGGTAGTATGTTTAACTTTACGAGAAACTGCCAAACTGTTTTCCAAGTGGATTGTACCATTTTATACTTCCAGTTCCAGCTGCTCCAAATCCTTACCAAGATGACTTGATATTTTGATAATTTTAATTTTAATCATCCCATTGGGTGTGTGATGGTATCTCATGATTTTAATTTGCATTTCCTTGATAACTAATGGTATTGAACATCTTTTGTATTGGTGCTAAATATCATTTGACATACTGGCTATCTGTGTGTGTGTGTGTGTTATACTTTGTAAATATACATATATTCTGGATATAAGTACCAGGACTTGTATCCTATTACATGTATTGTGAATATTTTCTGCTATTCTTCCAGCCTGTGGCTTGACTTTCCATCTCATTTATTTATTTGCTTATTTATTTATTTAGAGATAGAGTCTCACTCAGTTGTTCAGGCTGGAGTGCAATGGCATGATCATAATTCACTGCAGCCTTGACCTCCTGGGTTCAAGAAGCAATCCTCCCACCTCAACCTCCCCAGTAGCTGGGATCACAGGCATGTGCCATCACACCTAGCTGATTTCTAAATTTTTTGTAGAGATGGGGTTTCCCTGTGTTGCCCACGCTGGTCTCAAATTCCTGGGCTCAATTGACCCTCTCACCTTGGCTTCCCAAAGTGCTGAGATTATAGGCATGAGAGACCATACCTGGCCTTATTTTCTTTTTTATTTTTATTTTATTTTATTTTATTTTCTTAACAGTGTCTTTTGAAGAGCAAGAAATTATACTTTGATGAAGGATAATTTATCAAGTTTTTCCTCGATGTTTTATTTTTGGTTTGTATACTAAGAAATCTTTGCTTATTGAAAGTTCATGAAGAATTTTTCTTACTTTTATCCCCATAAGCTAAATAGTTTTAGCCTTTACATTTAGGTCTCAGATCCATTTCAATTTAATCTTTGTGGGTATTTGTATAAAGGTGATGATTCGTGATTTTTCGTATAGACATCTAGTTGTTCCAATACTGTTTTTGGAAAGACTATATGTTCCCTGTTGAATTATTTTATCATCTTTGTTGAAAACCAATTTACCATCTGTGTGCAAGTTTATTTTTGGACCTTTTTTTCTGTAAATGAATCTATAGATCTATAGTGTAAATCTTTCAATTTTGTTCTATTTTAAAGTGTTTAGTCACTTTAGGTCTTTTGCACCATATAAACTATAAAACTAGTTCATCAATTTCTTTAAAAAAGTCCTATGGAATTTTTATTGAGATTTCACCAAATCTGTAAATCAATATGAAGAGAATTAACATCTTAACAATATTGAGTTTTGAGTTTATGAAAATGAATTTTGGAGAAATTTATTTTAATCTTAATTCCCATCATTAATGTTTAGTGGCTTTTAAGTATATCGATCTTGCACAGATTTTGTTAAATGTATCCTAAACTTTTCATGTTTGTGGATGCTTTTTTACAAATTTAATTTAATTTAATTTTAAGTTCTGGGATACCTGTGAGGACTTGCAGGTTTGTTACATAGGTAAGTGTGTGCTATGGTGGTTTGCTGCACCTACCAACCCATCACCTAGGTATTAAGCCCCTCATGCATTAGCTATTTATCCTGATGCTCTCCCTTCCCCCTGGATGCTATTGTTAATGGTATTTTTAACTGCAATATTCCAGTTGTTCATTACTAGTATGTAGAAGTAGATTTTTGTATCTTGACTTTATATCCTTTGACTCTTTTTTTAAAGCTACTTGTTATATCTAGTAGCTTTTTTGGTAGATTTCTTAAGATTTTTCTCATACATGATATATTTTTCTCTACTCACATAAGCAGTTTTATTTCTTCCTTTACACAATATATTCCATTCATTTCTTTTTCTTGCCTTATCATAAAGGCTAGAAACACCAGTAGAATGTTGAATACAAGTTGTGAGAGCAGGCATCCTTGACTTTTTCTTGATATTAGGGTGAAAGCCTTCAATATTTCACCATTGAGCATAATATTAGCTCCAGCTTTTTTCGTAATTGCTTTTGGTCAGTTTGAGGAAGTGCTTTCAGCACTTTGAATGTGTCATTCTATTTTCAGTTGGTTTGCACTGTTTCTGAATAGTAGCCAGAATATTTTCTTTTCTGTCATCCCCAGAACAGGTATCTCTCTTCTTGGTTGCCTTTAAAATTGTTATCTTTATCAGTGACTTGCCTTGATTATGCAAGCAATTGATCATGATATGCCTTGGTATAGGGGTGTGTGTGTGTGTGTGTGTGTATGTGTGTGTGCTTATGCAGAAATTATTGTAGCTACAAAAGTGAGAGTAATGATAGTGTGTATGCATGCGTGTGCACTTATCTGCCTAGATTTCTTTGAGATTCTTGAATCTATAGATTCATATTTTTCAAATAGAAATATTTGGACATTATTTCAAGTATTTTTTCTGCCCTCCTCCACCCCTAGTTCTGTAATTTGATTACACTTATGATAAACAATGTGAATTGATCTCCCAGGTCACTGAGAATCTTTATTGTGTTTTCAGGCCTGTTTTCTCTCTATGCTTCAGTTTTAGATCATTTCTATTCCTGTTCTTTAAGTTTGCTGATTTGTTTCTTCTCCAGTGTCTAATTTGCTCTTAATTGCATCCAGTAGCATTCTGATTTCAGCTATTATGGGTTTTAGCTTTAGAAGTTTATTTTAATTGTTTGTAGTTTCCAGTAATATTTATATTTGTTTCCCCTGTTAACATATTTTAATAGCTATATTAAAAGTTCTTGTCTGCTAATTATATCCATTTTTATTTATATGTGTGTTTCTAATAATGGATCCTTCTCCTGGTTATGGGTTGCTTTTTTCTGCCTAGTAATTTTTAACTGAATATCGGGTATTGTGAATGTTACATTATTAAATGTATTTACTTGGTTTAATTTTATAAGGGCTGGGATTTTTCTTTTTCTGTAATGTAGTTTAATTTGATGTTTCAAAACTTTTTAAAAAACGTTTTGTTGGGAGAGTCTAGTTTACTGCAGCTTCTTTAGGGTTTCTGTTGAAATCCCAGGTGTTGTTCTCTACTCAAATTTCATTTAAGAATTTTCTGAAGTTTTGAATTTAGAAATTGATTCAATCAATTTAGAAATTGTTTTATAATATAGTTTTATAATATAGTCTTGAACCCTACTAATGTGGTCTATTTCTCCACTTAAAGGGGTGTTTTGGTTTGTCCGTCAATTCCATATTTTCTCCAAAAGTGTTTCATGCACATAAATATCCTCTCTGCCTGCCAGTGAATAGCTCACACATAATTTGGTCACAAATGAGATCTCATTATGTCATTAGATTTTCTCTATTGTACTTTTTCCAGCTTCTCAAGTAAATGCTTACTATGTTTATATTTGAGGATATATATTTTAGGCCTCTAACCTTACCTTTATGTAACTTTATCAAAATTTTATAAAAGGTGCTTTGATATCATTCAATTCTGTTATATAGTTTTCATTGAGATTCTTCATATTAATCTGTGTGATATTTAGATATGTATTAATTTAGTTTCAAATATAGATTAAAAATTATTTTTTTGTAAATGTTTTACTTAACTGTCTTGTAGTCAGATAAATGGCTATGTATGATACTGAGTCTGAAATTATTTTCAACTTTCTTTGTGACACAGGAAGCAGTCATTCTTTGTGACTGATCCATGAGAACGTCAAAAGAATACGTGTTCTTTTTTTAGGGTATAAGAATTTCTCTCCCTAGAGAAATATTAATTCATATGTGTAGATTTTCTAATTCATTTATTTTATTTTCATATCATTAATTTATCTTCCTGATCTAAAACTTCTATTATTTTACAGGTATGTCTAGTTTGTAATAAATACATTAAATTTCTTTGGTATATTTCAGTATTTTGAGGTTATATTTATCATCTATTGAATCATTTATTTTTACTTAAAACTGTAATTATCTTTTTTTTAACCAAGAGATATATGGGTTTGAAATGAAGATATAAAAAAATTTAAAAGTGCTGTACTTCTTTTAAAAATATTATTTTTGCTTGGAAAAACTTTATTTGAATATTATAAAGATTAAAATTTAGAAAAATGCGGTTTATATAACAAGGAATTAGGTTGGAAATGCCTCAAAGTCAATAATCATATTTACTTTGTTTTCCTTTTTTAAAGTTAAAAGAAAAATACTGAATGTGAAATTCCACTAAAAACCAAGGAAGAATTCCCTCTATTCCCACTAGGCTAATTTGAAACTAATCATTATGATTATAATTCTGTATTCTGTATATTTTTCAAGTGGCTGTGTGAATCAATAGGTCATATTTTTGGCATATTTGAATTCTTACAGAAAAAAACATCATAACTGCTATCAATATTGACACAGGAGCTAGAAAGAAATTATTTAGGCAAATAGGGAAGGTAAAAGAGTCCTTGGCAAGATTTCCCTTCTAATAAAAAGCAGCCCCCAAATTATTTCTTTTCTAACAAGGAGCAGCCTGAAAAAATCGAGCTGCAGACATAGATAAGCAAGCTGGAAGCATTTGTTCCAATAGATAAAGGCTACCTGGGGGCCAGGTATGTTGAACATGGAGGGTCTATCTTCCCTTTTCTTTGTCACCACATGTACAGTAAAAGAAGCAGGCAACATGACGCCAGCCAGGTAGAAAACTCATCTGCATAATAAAAGATTAGAGTATGGGTGGCCAGATTTTCATGTACTATGCAAATAGCACACCTGGTCCGACCAATCTTTTGTGCCCTATGTAAATCAAACACCGCCTCCTCAAGCTCATCTCTAAAACCTCCTGCACTTCACCGCGGAAGTGGCAACCTATTTTCTCTGGGGCCCCTCTCTGTAGCAACAGAGCTTTTCTCTTTCTTTCGCCTATTAAACTTCTGCTCTTAACCTCACTCTGGTGTGTCAGCGTCCTTAATTTCCTTGGTGTGAGACAAGGGACCTTGGGTATTACCTCAGACAAATGACGCCGCTTCATTATCATTATGTATATTACAATCTAAACCTCACTGAGTGTTCACTCTGAACTAAGACTGCTCTACAAACATGTGAGGTAGCTATTATAATTATCTCCATATTAGGAATGAGGAAATTGAGGTACAAACTGGTTATTGCTTTTTGCCCCCAAATCACAAAATTAGTAAATACAGATGGATACCCATCCAATCTGGCCACAGATTTTAAAAATACTTATTTATATAAATTTAATTATAGCAGATGAATTAATAAGAGAAAGAATGAAAAAGAATGAACAAGAGAAAGACTAATTAATCTGAAAGTTCACCCAAGTAGGCTGTTTTCACATGTCCAAATTCCCTACAGTCCACATACATGTTAAAAAGTTTTGAAATGGAAGTGAGCGCAAAATAGGATTTAAAAAACTGTCTTCTTGAGGCCTGTTTATTCCCAGACTTCTGCGTGCTTCCTTTCAACATAAAATAAGGGTGATACATACCTGTGAAAGGAACTTGAACTCTAGCCACATAGACTTGGATTTGAATTCCAGACTACCAATTACTCTCTGTGAGAATCTGGGCAATCTTCCTCATACCTCCATGCTTCCATTTCCTACCCTTTTAATGGAGTTGACCTCATAGGTGTGGTTTAAATTAGATAACATGCCAACTCTTGTTATGATTCCAGCACAGTGCCAGGCACACCTTTAAGATTCAAATATTCAATTACAGAATCTTTCTTATGTTTTTCTTTCTTTTATATCTTCTAGTTCTCCTTTTTGTCCTCTTCCTTCTCTCCTTTTCTTACTCTTCCCCCTTCTTTTGATTATTAGTAGGGTAAAGGACTTGATAGTATTTGATTATATATACATACAATACATACACACATACACACACACACACACACACATATATATATATATGTATAGAAATGCTATGGAGCTTTTTTGACTTTAACAACCTCTTCTCTTTTTTTAGCTTTACTTTCATAATTCTTTAAATTCCAGTGTTCTTTTTTCTTTCATTTTTAATATTTTAATATTTTTTACTTTCTAAACTTTTCTTCTTTAATATTACTGTATTCATCAAGAATTATTTTTACTCTCTTAAATTCATTCTAAGAGCTTATTTACCTCTAGAATTGTCTGTGGTTTTTGTTACTTATTTTCATATGATTAGCAGAAAATCTCTAACTGGCTAATAGGGAATTAGGACATGTGATGATTATGACCTTTCTTTATCACGAGCATTTTACACTATTCAAAGCATGTCATTTGACTTATGGAGAGACTGGCATAACGTTATGGAAAGAGTACTTTTCGGGAGCCATAGAAACTCAGTTTTAACTTCAGCTTCAACTTTTACTAATGTGGTTTCAGGCACAGCAATTAAGCTTTCATTATCTTTCCCGTAATACAGGACCCTGCCGATCTTAAAGGATTTTGTAAGGATTAATAAGGTTGATGGATTTAAAAGTACTCTAAAAAGTTTATAATTTACTAAAATGACTTCCCAATCCAATAAAACTTTTAGTGAAATTAAAATAATTTAAGGTGGTGACTTTAGAAACATAATCTTGTTAACAGAAAATAATGCTTTTTTTTTTTTTACCTTCTATTAAATGAGTTTTATTTTCAGAGGACAATATCACAGATACTGACTTAGAATGTCCAGGTAATCTTCTGAAATGAAAATTTTCTTGACTTGTTTCCCAAATTATATCTTATATTATTTGTGTACCTGTCTACACATTCATTTTAATCAAAAATTCATTGAACAAGCACTAAATATTTTACTTAGTAAAGTATCAATAGTCTTACTTACCAGAAGTCAATATATCTGCCATAATTTTCTCTTCAGTCTGTGCATGCGAAATGGACATACAAATATGACACTAATACCCACAAAGTACAATACAATCTTAAAATGGGATGCATTATCTTTTTGATAAACATTACACATTGACCAGTCTTAGTAAAAGATTATCCTAACTTTGTAAAGTTCACTGTAATTTTCAAAACATTTTCCTATATGTAATCTAATCTGTTCCTCAGAACATCTCCATGAGCTGGTGGGTGTATTATCCCGATTCTACGTGGAAACTCTATCCATATTTATAAAGTCATTTACCACGAAATATTACTTGTCCTAAGAAGACAAGCTGTTTCACCAAGATTATGCTTTATACACTTTTTTCATATTTTCACTTTTAAATATAATTCAGTTGAGAATTTCAAATCATTGTGTCCTAAGTTTCTTAAAATATTTCACTGAGTTTTCTAAAAGTTAGCTAATGAAAATGGACATGATCATCAGAATAACAGCTTCAATTTATAGAATACTTTGCTGAACTTAAATTTTTATTTTAAAAGCTAGTGTTTGGTACAATATGTGGAATGAATCACCATCTCCTTTATGAAGAGGTCAACGTTTAATTAGTTTTTCTGCAAAAGACTTATTATACATTTCACCTATAAACTGAAAGAAGAAAATGAGGCATTTTAAAGCAGAATGAAAGTAGAGGTGATACCCACAGCTGCTGTTGTCTCTGGCAAAGCATTCTGAGAGGCTCCAGTTTCATTTGGTTCATATGAAACACATGTTGCTCATTTATTGTACATGTGCTTCAACGTATTTTGACAAATCTGATCTAAAAATGTTACAGATGTTCTTCATTATTTTAATTAGCACTTAGTAGCCACCTATAGAACCTGGGTATAAATTGGCCCTTTCACAATATCATTAAAAGAAAATTTAGCTGTCATTAATGTCTGGGTTTCAACTTAATTTTAGTTAGTGTCTTGATATAGCTAGCTATGCATATTTTATAAATGCTCTGTTACAATTTTTTTTATAATGAAGCCAAATCTTTTACAAACATGTTTTAAATAATTTTAGGTAGATCTAAAATTGTTATGATCCTGACTAATGTCTTTTAGAGATTCACACATTATTCAACATATATCCTGAAATTAGGCAGCAATTTTATAACTCAAGTACCTGCTAGAAATGACTCTCAGGACTATTCTCTTTTTACTGAAGCAGAATCTGCGTTTTAAGACAATCACCAGGTACTTTGTATAAACATTAAAGTTTGATAAGCATGGTTCGAAGAGACTTAATATTCAAACTGTGTTTTATGTATACACATATGCATATATACATGGGTCAAACTCTATCTTCTAAACATCTGATTTATACAGATATAACAGAAAGTGGACTGGCCTGTAGATTGAACTATGTTTTAAAATCATTTGATACACTAAAAAGTTACCTCACCAATACTTCCCACCGGTTATGTTATTTGTCTTTAACGAGTACAAAACCCCATACTGGCTTGCCATATATTTTCCATAATTGACATAAAGGAAACTAAAGAACGTATAACCCCAACTTGAATCTTTTAGAGTTCTCATCATTTTTTATTGTTTTCGGTAACTTTCTATAAACTTATTAGCTGGAACAGTAGTGGATTGTATTTATTTGTACTTCCTTGCCATGAAAAAAAAAGGAAGTAAATTTTACACTTTTCTAGAGACTGTGAGACTAAGGTCTTTAATTTCTTGGATAGTATATCCCACATTAAAATTACTTATGGATGTCTTAAGAAATAATTATATCTTAATTATTTATATTATATTACATAAATTATGTCATATTATACTTGTAGGTATATCTTTATTTTATGTATTTTATGTGAGGATTAGTATAATTATTATGTCTTAATAGGAGATACAAAATCAAATTTTTATTTATATAGGAACTTCTGAAATTATGCTGCAAGATAATTCATTAAAATTCAATTTTATTGGCCATAGCATTTCTTATATATATATGTTCCAGCGGAAATAAGCATAAGATATACTTCTTATCATAGAAGAGAATAATTAATACTATTTATTACTCTTAATTGAAATCTATGACAAAATGAGTTCATGTAATTCAAAACTTACCACATTGTCACTATTTAATAAGATGGAGGCTGAAAGATTTTCTATAAAGAAACCTTGAATTTGCTATACATGGTTAATTTCTTTGTTTTCAGTTCCACCAAGTATACTGCTCAAAATCAACCTTGGGAAATGAAATGACGGCCATTTAACATAATCCATTTGGAAGTCTCTGTTGGCACCACAGCAGCACATCATTGGTTTACAAGCTTGAAACACGCACAGTGTTTTTATTACTCTTTTGATACATTTTTGCTGAAGAAACTCTTCAGAATTGTTAATATTAGGTTGACTATATCTAATGGGCAAATACTCTGATACATTTACTATATATTTGAATATACAATACAGGGGGTAAAACTTGTGTTTTAAAGTTTACAAATGTAGGTTTGCTAGAATGGTACTCTGTAATTTCATGTGTGCAATTGCACTTTTAATTTTTCTTTTAAGGTTCTCAAACTGAAGATCACAATGCAAATTAAATAGCCCTAAGTGTCCCTGAAGAGCTACTGTGTGTTGTATAAAGGCCAAGTAATCCCTGCAGTGTCAGGGGGTTACTGTTCAGCTGTTCGGGATCATGAGATGATATCTCAGCACTCATAAAACAGAGGATTCAAAACACAGGGGTGTACATGGAAGTACAGATCATTATGACAGTCCTGGAAATTATCCACAAGAAACATCAATACCCTGTAAGCCAAAACAACACTACTGAATCAACATTTACAACTTTTGCTCAAAATTAAATCCAATACATAGGGAAAATTCACATTGAAACATTAATGCTAATATAATAATAATTTTCTATTTGGCTTATTCCAAAATATGGAGGACTTCAAAAACATATGGGATGTCTTTTCTTAAGCATTTAAAATGCATAATATTTATTCTGTACAAAACAAATAATTATTCTGTATTAGCTATTTTCAAGAACTAGTCTTAAAATGTTCAATCCGTTTGGAAAGGCACAGTGAGAGAAGCATAGATATTTCTTTAAGGTTGCACATTTCAATTCGGAAGAATGAGGGGGTAACTTTGGCCCCTGGGATTTAAAAATCTCTTCCAATTGTATCCTTTGGTCTGAATATTTACATAGTGGTTTCTTCCCATTCAAGCTCAACATCACCTATAACAGAAAGTAACATGTTACAAGAGAGTGTTGAAGTTAACAGTTCAAAATTGAAATGTTTCATGATAAAAATATAATGTAGACAGAAAGGGTATTATTAGCCCAACTTGGATTAGAGAAAAGTTAAAGAAAAAAAACCTGATCTGTGCACTAATCCAGCTTCTTAAACATTTTTAACATATGGTTATTCTGAAATTTATGTTCTTACCGTAGGTGGTAAACTAGTAAGCTGGGCATATACTGTTGTTTCTGTTTACCTTCCATGGCGTCCAAAGAGTCCATCTTCTGAAGTGCTGAATAGTTAACAAAACAGATGGGCTGATTACTTCCCTTATTTGATAAGAGATCCAGAATGCACTGGTGTAAAAAGATATACTGTGCCTAGACACCAAAGACAGAGTGGTTAAACAAATATATTGATGAAGAGTTTCATAAAGGGAGTTATATTGTTAAAGCTAAAAGCAGTACTGAATTCATCAAATAAATAGCTAAGTTACAGACACAGAATTTATCATAGTATAGATATGATTTTCTACCATTTCAAATAGGAGGCTTTCTAAATTCCTGTGGTCTCTTGAAGCTTCAAGTTTTTTTCTAACACTTGTCACTAAACACCAAGTATTAATATATTCTTTCTTGCTGTTATCATAAGAAGTAGAAAATTATATTACATAAATTTGTTTATGAGTTTTTTTCCTGTTAGACCTAATTGGTAAATTCTCTTACAGTTTTCTTGTTAGAATGACTGTTGGAATACAAATGCTAAATTTACTTTTGAAATCTGTGAGTCAGCATATCTATACATCATCAGCGCATTTAAAATATGTTTAACCAATAAATCTGTTAGTCACCTGGATATGTGGCCTGCTTAAGATCAAGTATCTGGTCCTGATTTGTAAATACAAGGCAGTGGGTCATTGAAGTACCCAAACATCCAGGTGCTGGACAAGGACTCCTACCATTGCATCTGAATGTTTGGGCTAAATTCAGTACCATTTGGATCCTTTAAATGTTTTCAATATAATTCAATAACCTACTAGCATCTCTGAGTTTGGACCTTATCAAAAGTAGTTAAAGCTAAAAAAAAAAGTATATTTCAAATCACCCTCATTTGCACATAACAAACATATCTGACTTTAAAGGAATATCATCAAATGTTTAAGACATATATTCAAATTGACAATGATTTAAATAGAACATTCTCAAAAGTGATCAGCCTCAGAGGTTATATTCGTATCTATTGCTACTGTACCTCAAAACCTTTTGGAACTCCTCTATTGAAATTGTCTTCAGAAATTGTTTGTCATTATTAGGAATATCTATTTCTTTGTGGATTACAAAATGTTTCCAAGAACATCTCATTACTGGAACGTCAGTTTTATAAAGGCAGAACTCTGTCATATTCACTGCTATATTCTGATTACCTATAATAGTGCCGGGCACATAGTAGTTGTATAATAAGTGTTTGTTGACTTAGTCTCATTTAATTCTCACAGCTAGTCAACCTTTACCATTTAAGGGCAGATGTAATTTAAAGAAAATTCAAATGTCATTAGGTGTTAAGTTTTGTAAATGAGGTGGATGATCTAGTTTATAGAATTCAATTTTGGTAAGAATTGAAGTGTTGTTATAAAGCAATAAAATTTCTACTGAAATTGCTAGTAAGTTACTTCTCGAGGTAATTCCAAGAGTGTGTTTTCAAACATACATGACACAGTGAATTACATTATTGACAGAAATATGTTGACACAATATAATCTTTTTGGAAATCATTTAAATTTATGAGTTCTAGTATTTAAAAAAATATGTGAAGTCACATTTGATATGTGAAACTTCTGACTGTCCTGATTTCATCTTCTCCACTGGAAAGAATGATAGGTGTAAACTTTGCCAGCAGAGCAGGCTGAACTCTGTGAGACAGTCCTACAGGTTCCAAGGTCCTTCTGCCGTTATGTGTTATTGCCAAGAAAGCAGCATACTGTTGTGAAAAAAGTTTAATTCCAGTTTCTGCCCTAGAGAGCCATATTACCTTAAGAATTAAACTCTTCTGATGCACAATTTCCTCATCTGGGGGTGGGAGTGTGTGTCATAAATCCTGTATTGTAAGATTTAAAGGATTTAACATACATAAAATGCCCGACAAAAAACTGGACATCCAAAATATGTTGACTTTTTTTCTTTTTCTTCCCCTATATGAGTTCACACCAGTAAATTTCCACTTCCTTGAGGCACTAAAAGTATCTTAGGATATTAGCTCACTACAGAGAGTTCTCTCATAAAGGCCTTTCAAATTTCCTGGGGCTACAATGTGTTGTTGTTGGTTTTGTTGTTGTTGTTGTTTGCAACAGAGTCTCGCTCTGTCGCCCAGGTTGGAGTGCAATGGCGCAGTCTTGGCTCACTGCAACCTCTGCCTCCCGGTTTCAAGCGATTCTCCTGTCTCAGCCTCCAGTGTAGCTGGGATTACAGGCACGCGCCACCACGCCTGGCTGATTTTGTATTTTTAGTATAGACGGGGTTTCACCATGTTGGTCAGGCTGGTCTCGAACTCCTGACCCCTGGTGATCCGCCCACCTTGGCCTCCCAAAGTGCTGGGATTACAGGCATAAGCCACCGCACCCAGTGCCCAGTGCATTGTTTTTTGAGTGAAAGAAATCAAAGCTTTCTCCTGGGTAAGGGCTATACACCTCAGTGCCTTTTAGTGGCAGTATATTGCTGAAGTTGCTGCTGTAGTATGTGCTAAGACAGGAATATTCCTCATAGAAACTGCAATCACTCTGGAGTGCAGGAGAAGAAAATAAGAAACTGCTGTTGTGCAAGGCAATGCTGGTTTGTAAGGACTGGAGGCAAGGGGTGGTCATTTTTCTGTCTGTCATCACAGGGAAAAAACAGTAAAGAGCCTAACTTCTGGGAACTAAGATCAAAGAGGGCTTCCGAGTACCTGATTTTCAGCAAGGAGAGAATCAGAAAAATCTCACTGGACATTTACTGCCTGCTGGGCACCATGTTGGTGATTTACAAACTTTCTCTTATTTAATACTGATAACAAGTTTGTGAAAAGTGTAACAGGGCAATTTTACAAAAGAGACATAGCTCAAAGAGGCTAACTAAACAAAGTCACAGAGCCAACAATTAGCAGAGATGTATTCGGAATTTAGTTCTCTGACTTCAAAAACCTTCTTTCTAATCCCTGCCCCACCCCTAAATCCCCATCCCAAGCTGTGACAATTTGCTATGGCTGGTTAAACAGAATAATGTATGAAGTTTATAACATATTTTGACTACTAAATTGGGTAAAATTATTAACAGACATTCTTGAACACACTCTTTACAGAATTTAATTCTACAAAGTTGCAGAGCATGGAAGTTTTTTCAGCTTTTACTGTTTGAAGATTGACTCTAGACTCTAGAAGGAAACCGTCAGTTCCATCCTCTATCCTACCCAAGAGAGCAAACCCTTAATTTCATTGAGAGCACTGATCCCCAGTGTCTATGTGTACACCTAGGGACATGGGAGGAAAATGTTAGCTTTTCATTTATCTTTGTTTTTAACTAAAAATGAGAAGGAAATTGAATTTTAATAATGAGTAATAGTTGGATTGATATTAGAACCTTCATAAGACCCCTTGATAAAGACCAGCTACCTAATTTGTTAGCCAAACTTGGATTAGAGAGAATGCAAAATGTAAAGTTCCACTACAAAATGTAAAGTTCCTGTCTCAAAATGTAATTTTAAGATTTTCAAGACAGTGACAGCAAACATTAAACCAATTTCAGGGCCCTTTTAAGTGTGAGGACCTGTGAAACTACCCATGTTGCCTACCCATGAAGCTGGCCCTGGTCATGTATAATATTCCATTTCTGAATCCTGGGGGAAGGGTGACATTTAACTCATTTGTTAACTCAGTATATGAGGGAATGTATATGCATTATATTACCTAGTTTACCTAACTAATTATCACAGAATTGAAGTAGTTAAGGAAGATTCCTACAAAGAGACTGTGGATTAAAGATAATATTTATCATGCAAGCCCAAATGAATGACAAAAAATTGGCAAGACTAACACATTCATCATACTCCTGGAATACTCTTGTAGCCATACTATGAGGTAAAAATAACAACATGTAATCAGACCTGACAAAAAGCTAGATCAGTTTTTTAAAAAAGCATAAAAATGTAAAATATGTACTTAAAACCACTATCAAAAGAGAAGTATTTTGTCTTAAGTATATATTTTCTTTTTTGAGAATACCTAATAATAAGTAGCCTTAGCAATTAGCAAGGTTTTGAAAATATTCCTTATTCAATATTTATCTCATGCTTTTCAATTTCTTATTTTATTTATGTTTACAATTTACATAACTAAATAATCTACATTTAAAGATAAATATATCTGTATTAGAGTAGAAGCTCAAATATCTTTCCTAAAAGGGACATTTGTCCAAAAAGTTTGGATATCTCTGGTCTGGAACAGCATCTTCCAAGGAGGATTAATGTTCCATGACATGGTATTACAGGTTTGAATCAAAAAGGGTTGAAGAGTTCTCCAGTCATCGAAGTTTAGGAAAAGTTGTCCATAGGGCTCTATCTTTGTAATTGTCAGTGAAATTAACATTAAGATCCTAAAAATTTATGTCTTTAAAAATCAGTTTAATTTCTTTCTCATACTTATTTTAGCAGATAACTCTTTTTCTGAAATGTTTAACTACTTTGATACCACTTCTGTTTTCTAGAATGTAACCTGGAAAATACAGTTACAGCAGGCCTGCGTATTTACTGCAAGAGAATCTCTATTTGTGTAACATACAAATTCCAATCCAAAGCTACAGATAGGAATATTGTGTATATTGTAGTTATACAGACTAGGGCTTGAATTTTGGCTCTGGCACTTATCAGTAATATTATCTTGGAATATCATTTAACTTCTTGGAACATGTGCTTCCCTGTTTGTAAAGCAGAGCCAGTAATATTTATGGTTTTACTGGCCCTGCCTTACAAATAAAGAATTTAATTTAATAAAGATTAAATAAGATAATACATGTGAAGGGTCTAGTATAGCTCCTGGAACCCAGTAGACACTCAGTAGAGGGTTTTAAGCCTCATTACCATAGTACTGTGTGATTTTTTAAAATAAAAATTGTATATATTTTGTAAATATTTTTTGCCTATAAGCCAAAACAACAAACAAAAACCTCACAGTTAATAGTTGATAGCGTGCTACAATAATCATTATTAGTACTGGTATGCAATAGGGATAAATATGGAGAAGTAAAACCCATAGAACTTTATTACAGTCAATATTTTAAACTGTTTTCCCATTTATAACTTTTCAAAAGATAATGATATTCAAAAGATATTGATTTGAGTTCATTTCCAGATATCCCAAAGTTGCTAAACGATAAAGATAAATCAATTTTATGTTACTGCCTACATGCCTATCAGTATAACAAGTTAAGATGAGCCATCAGTAACAATGCTGCAGGGTGACTATGGCATGTGGGCATTAGTTCTCCTATAATCTCTATCAGCTGCCCTCCCGAATCCTCCCCAAAAGGCTTATAATGTAGGAAAAGAAGGTGTCCACAGCTTCAAGCTCATGTCCATCCAGATTGCTGCCACTAAGATCTCCCATGTGGAAATTCTAGAACTTTAGAATGCAGTGCAGGTTTAGAGATCTTACCAGATTCTGCACCATGCACATTCTTTCACTTCTCAGTTCAGCTACTAGTCCATATATATCCACAAAATCATGGTCATTTATATGTTGTGTTAAATGGTCCAGAGCAATAAAAACTCCAGTTCTTCCAACTCCAGCACTACAGGAAGGGTAAATTACATGAAAATTATTCAGCAAAGGGTTGTTCATTTTGATGGGGATAAAGATAATGAGCTATGATAGCAATAAATTCTAATAGTTTCTTCTCTTATTTGGAGGCAGATTTTCTTTGGAGTGTCTTTGGATTTTTTATGGTTACCAAGATTGTGTTTAAACAAGGCAAGATGATTATCATTAATATGCTATCAAATATTTGAGTTTGTCTTTCTTTAATCAGTGGAACTTAACCTCTTATTTCTTAATATTTTAGGGTGTGTTGTTGAAGTATAGAGATTTTTTTAAAATCATTGAAAATTCTTAATACCAGAGACTCTGTATTGACCAAATATTCAGTTACCAGCAGAAATGCTAAATGTTACAAATGTAGAATATTTAGCTTATATAGCATTTTCTTTGTTTCATTTTGA
Source organism: Homo sapiens (assembly GCF_000001405.40). NCBI lineage: Eukaryota > Metazoa > Chordata > Mammalia > Primates > Hominidae > Homo > Homo sapiens. The sequence continues at coordinate 80,672,741 of NC_000012.12, read as the reverse complement.
AAAATAGTGTTGCAATTGTCCTTTTCACTTTCTTTCTCTAGAATTTATTTTGCCTCCTATAGATAATAAAATTGAAAAACTATTTTCATTTAAAAAATTACATCAATACTCAAAGACAGGTATATGCTCCATAGAAACTGTTAACTGATAAACCTCACAAGATTGATTCGGAAATTCCTATTGTCAGAAATTCCTATTATCAGAAAGACAAGATTCCTAGGAAATTAAATGGTTAATAGAGGAAGTTAATCGAAAAAAATTTTTGAAAGTTCATCTAGTCTTATAAATATTACTTTGAACCACATGAAACTGCCATTTTTGTAGTTCTGTAGTAAGAAACATTCAAACATTGGCAAGTTCCTATGATTTGACCTAAGAAATTGTGAGCCTATAACATAAAACTGAGTATAGTAACATGTATATATATATACATGCCACACAGCCATTGAATTGTTAAATATATTTTGAGTGTCAAACACTGTTCTGGGCACCTGGATCATAGCAGTGAACAATGCAAAGTCCCTGCACTTACAGAGTTTATAGTCCAGAGGAAAACGACACATAAATAAACAGACCAAGAATGTGCCTGGTAGTAAGAAGTCTCATACTGAAAAAAAGATGAATCAGGTTAAGGAGATAGAGGGTGATAGGGTAGGATAGGGTCAGCAGACAAAATTTCTCTGATAATGTAATATTTGAAAAGAAACTAGCATAAGGTTAGGGAGCACACCATGTGGGTATCTGGGAGAAGATCATGGTAGCCAGAAGAAGCAAAATGAGAACAGACCTGAGGTGGCAGCATTTTTGAATGTTCAAAAATCAGGGGAGACCAGGGAGGTGAGAGTACAGTGAGGAGTGTGGGGTAGTCAGGGATGAAAGTATTTGCTGGTGGGTTAGATGTGGAATGTGAGAGGAAGCAGAATCAAGGATGACTCCAGGGCTTCTGGCTCAAACAGAAAAACTTGCTTTTTACCAAGATAGGAACAACAGAGCAGGGGTGAATTTGGAGATTGAGTCAAATGTTCTGTTTTGTACACATCAAATTTCTAGAACTTTTTAGTCATTCAGTCTGTCAAGTTGAATTGGAAGCTAAATGTAGAAGTCTAAAGTCAAGGTGAGAAGTTGAAGTTGGAGATAAATATTTAGTAGATGGTTTTCAAATGATATTTAAAGATGGTCAATAATATGAACATACTTTCTTCTTATCTCTTATTTAAATCACAAAGGAGGAGACTCTATTCTTTTTGAGGCTAAAAAGGAGAAAGTACTTTTCTTTTAGTGCCCATGGCAGTGTATTTGCATGATACAGAGAAATTGAAGACAGCTACTGTCCATCAAAGGTTTTAATCATCAGTGATGCCAGCATAAAATCAATCATTGACTGTAGAAGCAAATTGTTATACTGTTTTTAGTATATACTATTATATTAAGCTTTATACCTATATGGAGGGATTTAAAATTGAGAAGGTAAAAATGAGGCTTTTACTTTTTGTTCTACATGTTTTATAAATATAAGCATTGTTCATATATTTTATAATGAGCAAGCATTTACGTATTAGTCTTATAATTTTAAAAATCCAGAAATTTATGGAAAATGTATAATCATTTAAATTACATATTGAGTTTTTTAAAATAAAAGTTTAAAAACTGAATGAATTTATCTTTTCTTATGTACAGTATTTAACCACATTAATTATAGTACACTCCTGTTAAAAATATTAAAAGTTATTGTTACTTTAAAAAAATCTTTTTATTGTGGTGAAAGATGAATAACAGAGAATCTACCATTTTGACCATTTTACATGTACAATTCAGTGGCATTAAGTATATTCTCAATGTTGTGCAAATATCAACACAGTATATTTCCAGAACTTTTCATCATCCCAAATAGAAGGTCTGTACCCATTAGATAATAATTTTTCATCTCCCTCCTCACTAATAACCACAACTCTACTTTCTGTTTCTATTTATTTACCTATTCTGAGTATCTCATTTAAGTAGAATTCATACTACATTTTCCTCTAATCTCCAAACTTCAACTGTGAAAAAGACTCGAGTCAAGACTGGTTTAGATCTATCATGTCAGAAAACATAAATCATACCAATGTGTCTAGAAATGCTAAATGTGAAATCTCTGAAGACGGCAAGCTGGAAGAAATTTACATGAACATTTTATAAAAAATAACCAATGGAATTTTAATAATAAAAAGACCAATGGGTTCAAAGGCCATTTCTGATCACTTTCTCACCTGCAGTGAACAATCATAGGTGTGGTGTCATGTGCCCTGCTTGCTCGAACCAACTTCACAAAGTGAATTAGAGGGGCGCTGTTCTCAGGAACCCCATGCTCTGGCCAGGCAGTAAAGTTACACTGTCGAACAGTCATGCAATCCCCATGCTAGACAAAGGGACGGATTAATGAATGACAAAATTATTTAAGTTCCACAATGAAGGTTGAAGGCAATAGTCCCAGTTTTTGAAGGTGATCTTTTAAAAATGACTATTTACCAAACCAAATAAAATGTTTTCATTATTTCCTATAAGAGAGATTTTTATTGTTACAATAAAGAGAATTGCCTTTCAATATGAATGAAAACATAAGAAAGCTTGGAAATAAATGTTAATATAGGACATTAATATTCAAATATAGTATGCCATTTTGTAGCACTCAGAATAATAGGTATTGAAACACTTTTGACCCAAAACTTAAATGAACACATTCACAAATTATTCCATACACAGGTATTGAGCATCTGTTATGTGAAAAGTATAAAGATCCTTATATCATCTTCTGTGTGTATAGGCATTTATATAAACTGAGATCCCATAAAGTGATCCCATAAAGATCTCATAAAGTGAGATCCCATACTACCTTTTCTATCTGGCTGCAGATTAAATAGAAAATCAAATTATTAGGATTCAGGAGATGAGTGACTTGGGAAATTGCTGTCTCAAGTCAGATATTACAGTTTCTTCATTAGATAAAATAAAGCTAGTGATCTCATCATTTTCTCTCCTTTTTCTGCTCTTGTCAACCTAAGAATGTGATGCTAATTGGTTAATACAGACTTTAACTAGAGTGATCTGGAACAAATACAGTGACATTGATACTAAAGTTGGATATCGATTCAAAATTCTGTTCAGAAGACAATACAAAAGCATTGTTGAATATACAGGTATCCTTGAAAGGGATAGTTCTAGAAATTAATTTTATTTTAGACATTTAGATCAATCATATTTTATATCATGTTCTCTCGTCCCCCCCTTTTTTTTTTACCCTTTCAATTTTCAGATCCCTGATAGTCCAATCTATTTGAACATCCTCCATTAGCTTTGTAATCACTATATCTCCAAAGACAGTAACTGGCTTGTTGTCCTCTGGCCAATACTGATGGCATCTGATCTGCATTCAGAGAAAATCATCAGTCATAAGCGTCATTGTTATATTGATATATATGTATACCACAGTTATTACGACTAAGTTAAAATTACTTTATAGATGTCCAGGTTATTGATGACTCACAGTATTAGATGAAATATTCACACATATGTTAACACAATCGTAAAACAACATTTGTAAAACATTTTCAAATAACTTACCCGTCCTTTTTCAAAACACTGTGTTAGCATTACTAATGTTTTTGCTCTGGTTTCCCACACCATTCTCCAAAAATCTCCAACTGTTCCTGGTAGTGGACCTTGAGTAGCAATAAATTCATTTGGACATAAATAACCCTAGAAGGATATAATTACAAACACTGCATCACTGTGTTCACAGATACAGTGTTTTAGTTTTCGATCAATGCATGAAACATATGCTGGTTGTAAAATTACCTAATATTTTAGAATACCGTAAATACTAGATAATCTTAAATACTCAAAATTTCCAACGTCTAAATTTATCCTCACAATCTGATATACTACACAACAAATGGTTCTCAAAATTTATGTCTAACTTTTGAATAAAACATTAAGGACTACATAATAATATTTACAATAATAACAGAACTTAATAAAGGTCTTAAGTCTGAGTCTTTGTAGCAGTTTGCTAAGCATCTTATATTCAATATTCTTATAAAATCATTGTGAATTAGTACTAATATTATGCTCATTTTATAGATGAAGATATTGAAGCTTAGAAAGGTGAAGTAACTTGCCAAGATCTCAAAATTGGTAAGGCAGGTTGAGCCCAGAACCAGCTCTCTAAACCCACTCCATGATGTTTCTGCCATGTATTTATTGGTTGTGCAGATATATGTACACTCTTCCTCTAAGAAATTACTTATCTACTTAAACTGTGGCATTAGTCATTAGTCTAGTGGCATTTACTGTCTGGAGTTCTGACCCAAGAAAAACATGGTAATATGAAGTTTCATTTTGCTAATACAGTAAACTCATAGGACATGAGATCTGTCTTAAATCTATTATGACATCCTTGTGTATATTTATCAAATTTCTCTGAAATTTGGTCTATTTACCTGGAACATAAAAGCATGACACTTGAGTTTATATAATTGTGAACAGTATCTGTGGATTTCTTTTAAAGAAAGGTAATGTATAAGTTAAAAAGTAGTAATGGAATGACATCTATTTCAAACAGGAAGATGCTTTAAGGAATATGGAATAAAAGGTAACATTTACTTTTTTACATTGAAATTGTCTCAGTAGTCAGAGAATAGTAATATACAAAAAATAACATATATTTAAATTTTCCAGGGACTCTAAAATGTAATCCAGCAAGTTTATTTTACTTTAAGGAACAATGAGGAGGCACTTTAGGTGATTTTCCCAAATTACAGTGCAAGCCAGGAACATTTGCTTGTAGAAAATCTTGATTCTCTTAAATACACAGTATACTGCAGCTTTTCTGTCTTTCCAGTCTCAACCGAAAGACCTAAATATGTAGTTAAAGTGTGAGGGATCTTTTCTTATTAAAAATAATATATGTTAATGTAGAATATTTTGAAAATTTAGAAAAATACATAATAGAAAGTAGAATTCACCTGTAATCCCACTATCCAGAGTGAAGGACCATTAACATTTTGGTTGATTTCTTTACAGATTTTTTAAATATGCACATTCTCCACTGAATCAATATTTGTGAGTGACTATTACATTCCAGGCACTATTTTAGGAGCTGGGGGTTCATCACTGACCAAAGACACTGAAATTCCTACCCTCGTTTATTTTATCATTAGGAGAAATAGACATTGTCTATTAATGTATATTATGTATGCAAATTACATAGAATTTATAAAAGTGATAAGGGCTATGAGAGAAAGTTTTCAGAAAATAGGCTTTTCAGAAAATAGGCTGTTCAGAAATAGGTTATTCAGAAAAAATAAATACTTCATGAGAATATGCGGTATTTATTTTTCTGTTCCTGGCTTATTTCACTTATCATAGTGTTCTCCAGCCCATCTCCAAACTTCACATATCACTGGTGATAATGTGAAGACAGTTTTGAAGAAGGAAAGAAGTGAGGCCTGCAGGATTCGGGGGAAAAGAATTGTGGGTAGAAGGAAAATCAAGTCCAACGACCTTAAAGGAGAAGGGTGTCAGGAATGTTCTAGGAACAGCAGGTGCCTGGAGTAGAGTAAATGAGGGGGAAGAGTAACAGATAATGGCTAGAAAAAGCAGGGAGTATAAGTGGTGCTTTAGGTCCTAAAAAGTAATTATAAGACTTTGCTTTTTACTCTGAATGACACAGAAAGTCACTGAAAGGTTTCAAACATAGTGTGTGGTTTAACAGTTTCACGTGGGCTTCCATAGACCAACCTATGGGAGTTTAAAAGGTGAAAGGAGGGAGAATAGTTAGAGGGTTATTGTAACAATTCAGCCAAGAAATATTGGTGGCATGGGTGATATCAATGGAGATGGTGAGAAGTGATCAGATATGGATACATTTTGAAGGCAAAACCAACTGAATTTGCTAATAGATTTGATATGAGGTATGAGAGAAACAGAGAAATCAATAACGACTCCAAAGGAAGATGGGGAAGACTCCAGATGAGCAGTTTTTAATAATCTTTTCTTATTATTTTGACACATAATAATTGCACATTTTTATGGAATACAGTGTGAAAATTTTCATACATGTATGCAATGTGTAATACTCAAGTCAGGGTAATGAGCACATCCATCTCCTTAAACATTTATAATTTCTTTATGTTGGGAACATCAAATTCTGCTCTTCTAGCTATTTGAAAATATACAATAAATTGTGGTTTGTTATAGTCACACTACAGAGCTATAGACACCAGTATTTATTTCTCCTATCTAGCTGTAATTTTGCATTCGTTAACCAATCTCTTACTCTCACCTCTTCCCCTTCCCAGCTTTTAACCACTATTCTACTCTCTACTTTCACGAGATCAACTTTTTCAGCCTCTGCATAAGTGAGAACATGTGGTATTTATTTTTCTGTTCCTGGATTATTTCAATTATCATAATGTTCTCCAAGCTCATCCATATTGCCACAAATGACAGGACTTTATTCTTTTACATGGCTAAATAGTATTCCATTGCGTATATACAGCATATTTTCTTTATTCATTCATCTGTTGATGAATACTTAGGCTGATTCTTTATCTCATCTATTGTGAATAGTGCTGCAGCACTTACTGCGTAAGCATAGATATGCCTTTGACATACTGATTTTCTTCCCTTTGGATATATACCCAGTAGTGGTATTGCTGGGTCATAATGATGGTTGTATTTTAGTTTTCTGAGGAAAACTAAATAGTGTATAATAGTGTATAATAATTCCACTTTCTCTGCATTCTTGCTGGCATTTGTTATTTTTTTGTCTTTTTGATAATAACCATTCTAAATGGGGAGAGATGGTGTTTCATTGTGGTTTTGATTTGTATTTCCTTGATGATTAGTGATGTTGAGCAATCTTTCATATGCCTGTTGGCCATTTGTATGTCTTCTTTTGAGAGATGTTCATTCAGCTCATTTGCCCATTTTTAAATTGGATTTTTTTTCTGCTATTGAGTTGAGTTCCTGGTATATTTTGGATATTAATCCCTTGTTGGATGAATAGTTTGCAAATATTTTCTCCCATTTTGCAGATTGTCTATTCATTCTGTTGATTGTTTCCTTTGTGTGCATATGATTTTTACTTTGATATAATCCCATTTGTATATTTTTGCTTTTACTGCCTGTGTTTTTGAGGTTTTAGTATGAACAGATTTGCAGGGAAAATAAAAAACTCACATTGGACATATTATGTTTGAAATCACTATTAGATATTCAGGTAGGAATGCCACGAAGGCAATTAGATATATGACTTTAGAATTCAGTAAGAAGTCCAAACTAGAGACATAAATTTGAAAGTAATCAGCTCATATCTCTTACTTAAAGTCATGAAAATTGGATGACATCACTGCGATGGTCAATATTGAGTGTCATCTTGATTGGATTGAAGAACACAAAGTATTGTTTCTGGGTGTGTCTGTGAGGGTATTGCCAAAGGAGATTAACATTTGAGTCAGTGGACTGGGAAATGCTGGATGCTTCCTGCCCTAGAACATCGGACTCCACGTACTTCAGCTTTTGGACTCTGGGACTTGCACCAGTAATTTGCCATGGCCCTTTGGTCATAGACTGAAGGCTGCACTATCAGCTTCCCTACTTTTGAGATTTTGGGACTTAGACTGGCTTCCTTGCTCCTCAGCTTGCAGATGGCCTATTTTGGGGCTTCACCTTGTGATTGTGTGAGTCAACACTCCTTAATAAACGCCCCTTCATATATACATCTATCCTGTTAGTTCTGTCCCTCTAGAGAACCCTGACTCTTACAATCACCAAGAAAAAGAGTTTAGAAAGAGATAGTAAATTCAAGTACTGAGCTCTAAATTATTTTGTTTGCAGGTCTGGAAGATGAGATAGAACCTATGAGACTAAGATGAAAGAGTCAGAGCTGCTGAAAAGTCAAATAAATTGGAGACTGAGACTTAAGGCTAATTTTCTGAGTAGTTAATTGATGACCTTGAAAATAGCTGATTCAGTGTTGTGCTTGCTTAGTATCCAAGTCTTATTTGAGGGTGCTGAAGAAATAAGAGAAGGGAATTGAAGATAGTAAGTGTTGACAATTCTTCAAGGGGCTATAATGTAAATAAAAAGAACAATAAAGAAGTAGAGAGAAACCTATAATATCAAGATATTTTTATGATGTAAGAAATTACAATAGATTTGTTTAGCTGCTAAAAGAGAAAAAATGATGATGCAGAAGGGAGAATTCCTCAACCCATGTTCTTGAGAGGCAAAGGGAGAGGTCATGTAGTGTCCAAGTGAGAGGGTTGGCTGTTATCAGGGACTAGGACAGTTCATATGCAGCCACAGGAGAAAGACTGAGTATATGGACACAGATGCAGACAAGTAGGGGACCTTGTGAATGTTCTCTTTTAATTGCTTTTGTTTTATCAGTGAAATATAAACAAGGCTATCAGATGTAGGTGAAAATGAGGAATATAGTGTTAGAGGCCAGAGAAGAAAGAAGAAGGAGAAAGAATCTCCTAGAAGAAAGGGAGATTGAATAGATTAGGAGGCTGTGTTTTTGAGGTTAGTGGCCATGAGTTTAAAGTGAGATATTTTGGCGTGATCATGAATTTTTCTCCAATACACTTCTAGTAACACAGAGAAGAATCCATGGAGGGTTTTATTTAGCAAAGTTTGGGGATTTATCAAAAGGTCGAGACTATAAGAGATAAATTTGAGAGTTGAGGATATATACAATAGAGGAAAGGAAACAAATAGGCATGCAGTTCAAGCTGAGCAAGAGAAAAAATGAAGTCTTGATTGGGTTAGGAGAAATGGAAAATTCGATAGAATCAAAGAGCTGTAGGGCAGAGCAGGGTTGAAGAATTATCAGAGTCCAGTGATCTGGAAAGAAGGATTTGGACAGATAGTGAGACATCTGCAATCAAGATTATGGAGAGGCTACAATTCTTGGTGGTGAAAAGGTCTAGGTTGTGAACATGGCAGAAAGTGATGAGGTCATGTGGAAGGCAAGTCACTGCAAGAGAAGAGGTCCAGAAAGTGATGAGCAGGGCTATGGGTCAATATTTTATATGAATTTTGACATCATCAATAATTATGACAGAAGAGTGATGAGAGAGAAGCAGTGATCCCGGAGTGAAATCTTTAAGAAACAAGAGAAAGTGACTTAGGGGATGGTAATTAACTTCCAAAAAGAGCAATGGTGTGTCCTATGCTTGATAGCATGAATTCAAGCTGGCAATTTTAGGGCAGAGGGATAGAGAATGATGTGGAGGTGGCACTGAGGATTGAGGCAACTTGACCCTTCTCTATGCTGAGTACGTACGGGAGGGTATGCAGACCCACTGGTGAGCAAGGCCAGAAAGCCAGTACCTGTAAGGGAGGAGTAGGTTCCACACAGAGTAATATAGACAATATATCACATATTGTATACTAAATATTATACTGTATATTTTATATACATACACATATATAAATAATTGGGATTATTCCTATACAATCTTGTTACAACTTATTTACAAAACTAACATTATATGATCTCAGTTTTCCAGGATTTGAAATATTATTTTATATTTCTTTTTAATACATATATCTATGTATTATCTGTTATTTAAATATATCTTTATATGGTCACATTTCCCCCCTTGATTCTCATGTAAAGAAGCTAAGACACATTTAAGTTTTCTTCCTGTAATGGCTAATTTATTTCAGAAAATGGTAAAGCACCAGGTAAAATGTTTGCCCAAAGGTGTTTTGGAGATATTTCCATTGTATCTTATGAAAATGAAGAAAGTATGTCAATTCTGTTTGCTATTTCTGCTTCTACCTTTGAATATGTGTGTGCAAACTTTTGAGTTTTTCTGAGAGGAAACTTCTTGCCTGGACTTTTGCCCTTTAATTGGAATATAGAGTTTACTGGTTTTTAAAGCTCTGTGATACATGGAACAAAGTGTAAGTTTCATTCCACAGGTCAACTTTCATTATGACCTTTACCCATGGATGCCACTTTTCATTGCAGTCCTTAAATTAGCTCAGAGATTTTCCTCTGGATTATCAGCCAGGAAAATGTAGAATCTACTACCATGAAACATCAACAGCAATAAAAATAACATGTATTTATTAAATGCTTCCAATGTGTAATTCAGTGAATAATTGAAATATGATTTAGCAGCAATGAATAAAGTAGGGTTGATTATTATTCCTACTTTATCAGTGTAGAAACTTCACTCAGAAAGTTTCAGGTCATACAGCTACAAAAATGCAGAGAAGGAATTTGAACTCAGGTCCATTTGAACTCTGAAGCATATGTATTTACCCATCTAAATATAATCCTCCTTTTTATGAACTCAATTATTAAATGCCTACTACATCTCAGGTATTGTGGAACTACATGCTAAAAAAGTAATTTAAATATTGCTTCCAAATCAATATTTTTATGCTTTATTCTAATCTCATACAGCAGTTATTCAGTTATATCCAGTGAATTTGTATATGCAGATACAATTAGTTTTAGAATAGCATATGAGATGGAGAAGGTCAGACCAATCCTTCTTTTCATCCTTTGAGATTTAACTATTGTGAATGTTGAATGGTGCAAACCTAATTATCTGCATACTTTCTCAATAATTCTAGCATTAAGTTTAGTGAAGATAAGGTATTTCATTAAATTTGTATAGAAGAAGGCAGTAAGTTTGAATAATGAAAACAATGTATAGGCCTAGAGACTAGAACACTGGTTTTGACTTTAGTCCTTTCTAATAGTGTACCCTGTAGAGCAGGCTACTTAAATAAGCTAATCTTCAGTTTCCTAATTATAAATTAGAGATAATCATTATTTTCTTGCACACCTCAGAGAGTCATTTTGAATACTATTTGTAAAATAAGGAATGTGAAATTGCTTTGAAAATTTTGAAGTGCTCTATAAATGTAAAGGTTTCCAAAAATTGCAGATTTTTTTATGTTAAAGTTTATCCATATTATACAGGAAATAATGACATTTTAGTGCCTATCAATGTCCTTGAACAGGTTTTCTTTATTTACCCATATAAGCTCTAGGGAAAAAAAATGTAAAATGTGCAGTTTATATTTACTCCTGCAAACACCCTCAATTGCTTTATTATGCTAAAGAAAATGTGTTGGGCATTGATGGTGATATATTTGTATATGCCTATAAGTATATGTGTGTATGTGTACATATATGTGTGTACATATACACATATATGTATATGTTTATATACAAATGTATACATATCGGCATATAAAAATATATCACCATATTCTATATTGTTTGATAATTATTCCAAAATTACAATATATATATTGGGTCCTATTGCTAAAGGAGTGAATAGTGGGAGAATTTATATACATGCATATACATATCTAGATACATACATACAAAATGTATATATGTTTATATTATATATATACATATATAAAATATAGACATATAAAATATAACTGTATATACACATATACAAATATATTTATGTATACACACATATATGTGTTTATATATATATATTTTTTCCTTTTGTATGATTATGATGTCATTAAAAGCAGAGATTCTTCATCTTAATATCCCCCAAACTGTCTAGCAAATCCTTGTAAATGATGTATATAAACATGCATGTGTGTTTGTGTTTTCATATGTATGTGTTTTAGGGGTCCTCAATTCATATTGAAGGATTGATAGTAAGATCATGAAGACTGAATCTCCATCCTTACGTGGTACTAAGATAAGAGGAAATATACATGCTTATCCTCATGTAGTGCCCAGTACCTTATGCTCTTCCTCACACAGAGAAGGCAGTTAATAAATGAGATCACTGTGAGTTAGAATCTGACAAAGGCTATGCTAAATATACAAAGTTTGGAGGGATCAAAGAAGAGAGGACGATCAATATTAATAAATTGATTTTGATTTATAAAATGTATCTCTTGTCATTTTCATTTCACTTTTTCAGGGACACAATATCCTTTAGTATTATAATGCTCTGTCAACATAGGAACAAATCTGATGTTTCTAATGTTACTGCAACCATTTGCATGATAGCCTTTAATCTCTAGTTGTGTTAAAAGCTGTCATCAAATTAAAGTAATTGCAGGCATCTGAAATTGACAGGAGAGATAATTTTGACGAGCCTTCCTCAAAATTAATTATAAGCCTTCCTCTTATACCTAAAATCACAGTATTTTCATTTTTGACTCTCTTGAAAACCTTTCTAAACTCATTTGTACAGTTGGTGGCAGATTATGGGGCTGCAATATCACTTCTTCCTACCTCTTTCACAGTCTATCCTTCATCAAAATCTTCCAGCCTTTCCAAGTCCTAACTCTGGGAGCACCATTCTCGAGAATGGCCAACGGCAGAGGAAAACACACATTGGCATGTTAACCTAGTTATAAACCCTGGGCTGGAGGGTCCCAGTCTTAACATACATCCCTCAGACCATATGCTGGTCCTCCTCTGTCTCTTCCCCAGACTTCAGTTTTTCATGTTTCTATCTGAACACTAGTTATTTTGCTTTCTTTCCTACCTCCCTCTATAGTTCTCTTCCCTTTGCCATAGCTTCCAAAGAAATTGAAACCCGGAATCCATTCATAGATGACCTCTGTCTTTTGCTCCTGGGACAAGTGTTCATAAACTTTCAATTGGAAGTGCTTTCGAATAAAATTTGGGGGTAGGGGGAAATTGATATACCAGACATTCTTTCTAAGGTGAAGATTGTAGGAATACGTAGGTGGAAAGTGAGGGCCACTGCAGTATCATTGCTACATCTGTTCCCATCTGTTCTTGACATCCTGAGCAAAGGAGATTTCTCTGAGTGCTACAGTACACTGCCAGCCCCAATATAGAAATCCGCCTTCTTGTAAAGTGCCTTCCATCTGAGCCTGCTTACCATGCAGCTCAGCAATGATTATGCATATCATTACATTGGGTCATAGTGACGTTGTTGTAAGATTTATTATATTACAACATCACTTGATTACAGCAGAATATATATCTTCAGGCTTCCTAGTTTATTGCTCATACCACGTTATCATTTGCTCATAGTTGTATGCTGACAACCTACCATATTTCAAGGGGACACTGGGGGTTTGCGAAAATTACTTTGCTTACATAATCTGTGTGGTTCAGCTACACCTACTAAAATTGTCTGTTTTTCTTCTTAATTATATTCATATCCTGTACTGTCATGCCTTATGGAACATTAGACAATATGAGCTGTTGATTTGTATCTACTTATTGGTGAATAAAAAATGATACAAATCAATAGGTCACTGATACAACCAGTTGTCCTTGTCCTGCTTGATGGCATTTGATTATCAGAGTAGTGATGAAATGTAAATATCTAAATGCATATATGCATCATTTTGTAAATCCAAGTAAAACTTTAACATGCTGTAGAGTTTAGATTTTAATGGAAATTGTAAGCATAAGATTTCACCAAAATGTTTACATTTTGAATTACATTTTAGAGGGAATCAATCATTTGATAAATGAATAAAATGTTACCATAATAGTAAATTCATGTAATTCTTTAAATACAGATTTAAAGTTCTAGCATTAAAATAGAATGAAATTTAAAGAATACCTTAGCTTCTCTAAACTTTCCTTCACTTCTCTGGTTAAAAAGTCTTAAAGTCTTAAATTCTCCCATTATTCACTCCTTTGACAACAGGACCCAATATATGATTGTAATTTTAGATTAGTTATCAACCAATATCAGATTTAGAACTAATTCGTTTTTTTCCTCCATGACAAAGGCTTGGAGGGAATGAGACACAGCACAAGTATGTTTGACGTTGGAGAAAGGGTGGAACGTCATATAACAAGAGCCTTAATAGAACTGAAGGAAATAGAGGGCATGGATGAGAAGACCTATGGATAAGAAAAAGCCTATGGAGAGTGTGGGCAGCAGAGGAAATCTTCATGTATTTGTAGATTCACCATAATGAAGATGGTTAAGCTTGCTATGCATTAGAATTTAAGTCAGTGGGTAAGAATATAAAGAGACATAACTTGGTTAAAAAAAAACCCAACAACTGTAAAGCAGAGTTGTTTAGAGATAGAATCCCGTCTTAGGAAGAAGTGGATGAATCAATGCCAAAAGAGGCTGACAGGAATTTTTTAGAGTTTCAAGGTGAATGGTCAAATTCAAGGCACTTCCTTCTTTAAGATTCCATGAATTTGCAAACCAAGTGGAGATCTTGAGTGCATATAAGGTTTCAATGTACCTATGATGGTGATGGCATTATTACCCGCTTGAAGGACTGCAGATCTAGAAGGGAAGAGCTGCATAATAAATTTTCATGTTATATGGACATAACTGTCCATTTGATAATTTTTAATTCACAGAGATTGGCAAACTTCATTGCATATGGAGAATACATTAACAAAGCATATGAATTAGTGGAAAGATCAGGGATGTGTAGCCTGAAGTTGAACATCTGCCGCGCACTGGTGAAATAATTTTTGATAAGTTAGTATCTCTGTTAGGCATATCCATATCCACATCTATAAAATAAGGGTACACAATGTGGCTGTAAATAACTAGCATATTAAGATCCATAGGAGTTGTAATAAATTTGTTGTTTTAAGTAATTGGAAAGATAATACAATTTCAGTAATTATGTTTTATACAATTATAAAATATATAAAATAGTAACTTACAGAAATATAGCTGGCATTAATATAATCCGAACCTGGAACACTAGCGTCAGCTATCAGCTTTACTCTGTTATTATTATCTAGAAGAAAATATAAGGAATCAATGTTAATTGGCTTTTTAAATTGTTACTACTTTTTTTACTATAAAAGTAATACAAAGGAGTTCATAATATAACATTCCAATTTCACAGATGGCGGTAAATTTTAAAAAGTTATTTCTTCTCCCATATTTCTACCACCCAGAGACAATGACTATTAATATGTCCTTGTATATATTTCCAGAATTTTCTATACATATTCTTTATATTCTAATTTTCTTTAGCTACAAATGGAGTGATATACAATCTGTTCTGCAAATCGTTTTTTTCATTTACCTATGTCTTTCCGTATCAGCATAAACAAAGATATGTAGTTAATTATTTTTAAAAGCTATACAGTATTTCACTGTTTGAATATATAATAATGTAGTTATTTAACCTTTTATTATTATTTAAATGATTCACTTTGTAATTATAAAATGTTGAATAGATATAATTGAAATTTTTGCATATTGCATATATATAGGAGTGTACTTGTAGAATATACTACCAGCAGTAAAATTTTTAGATTTTATATATATGCATTCCAAATTTTGAAAAACATTTCTCAATTGTTCTCTAACAATTCATACTCTGAACCAAAGTGTTTGAAAAATTCTGTTTTCTCTTACTTTCATTATCACAAGGTATTATTAAACACTTTATGTTCTTTGTACAAATACAAATTGATGTCTCATAATATTTATTTTGATTTCCTTAAATACAAGTGAAACTGAGCTTCTTTCCTTATGTTTACTGACCATTTTAATGCCTTTCCTATTAACTGCCTTTCACATTTTCTCACTTTTATTTAAAAAAAGTATGTTAAAAACAGAAGGCTACATATCGCCTTTTGTCATATTAATTAAAATTTTCTTCTTAGTTTGTCATTTGTCCATGAATTTGTCTATCAATTTTGCCGTACAAAAATTTATATTGTTATGCAATCAAATTTCTCATTATTTTTCACTATGACTTTGTACCATTTGTCAAAGTTGTCATTATAAATTATTATTATTTTACAAATTCTGTTTCTTCTGAAAATTTCATGGATTTTTCTGGTTTTAAGTATTTCAATCTTTGTCCCATTGGGACTTTTTTTTTTTTTTTTGAGGAATGAGGTATAAATATATCTTTTATTGTTTATCTGTTGTCGTTGGAACAACAAATAGTATCAATTTTTTAACATTTCATCTTTTGTCCCTGATTTGGAACACCACTTTGTTTTCTAGGTAGTTAGGTCTATTTCTAGACCATTCATTCTTTTCCATTAATTCATCTGCCTATTCTTTCTTTCAAATTTCTAATTACTACTTTTTAGAATATTTTAAGAGCTAGTAAAACTAGATACCCTGTACTCATTACTTTTCTTCAGAGAAAAATGTCAGAAACTATTTTTCCTGAGAAATTTTACCAAGTTGATATTATAATTGAAACATCCAGTAATGATTTTTAACTAAACATGAAATATCCACTACTTAATTGTTTTGATGGGTTGTTTGTTTTCAAGGAGGAAAAATGGGTAAACAGGATTGGGTCTGAATTCTAGATGATCTGCCTACCATACATATGGGCTTGGGTAAATTGCTAAGCTTCTCTGCTCCTTGGTTACCTCAGCTACAAGATGTCATTATAACACAGATTTTGTATAATCCTCTTGAAGAAAATTTACATGAAAGCTTATAATAGGCACTCAATACATGTTCTTACATTCTTAAAACTTAAGCACATAATATGTTAAAATGAATTAGTTGTATTGTTAGTAATCACAATTACTTGCCCAATGTGGTTATGTTTAGAAATGGGAATGATTAAACACATTTCTGCAAATGATTTATGTCCCAAATATAGAATTTTATATGATCTAGTTTAATGACATTGTAACTAGTCCTGTTACTAAGGAAGAGAATCATTATGTTTCTATTCACTAGATACACCTCCTTATAACTATCTGAGTCAACTACAAGCTAAACTTTTCTTTGTGGTGTTGGAATATTTCTGAAGGTCATAGGTCGTCTGTCAAACGGAGATTTGGAAATCTCTTCTGCAAGTATTTGCTGCTAATTCTAGCATCTTAAAGTGTTTTAAGCTAATGTCTTCTAAAACATGCTGTGATATTTGGCATTCTGCTTCTTACATTACTCAGGGGAGAGAAACAATGGACTTCATTTAGCTGGCTCAAGCTAAAATTCAAATTCTATTAGCTAAAATTCAAATTCTATTAAAATGAAATCAATCTCTGCAGGGAAAATAAATTTTCTTCAGCTTTATGGGTTCTCTGCAAGCACAATAGGATAATCTACTTAGTTTAAACATCTTATTTGCTTGTTCCTAGTGTGTGTGTGTACATGTGTGTGAGAGTGTGTATGGGTGTGTGTGTGTGAGAGAGAGAGAGACAGAGAGAGAGAGAGAGAGACAGAGAGAACCGGGGGTATACTTGCCCATAGAATAGATGTGCCTGTGACTTTACGGCTTGGTTTCTAACCCAGGCTAGAGATTTGGGTTTGTTATCTCCAGACATAGCCTAAATGCCTATGAATTAACCTTATTCACCCAGAAAGTTAGCAGCTCTTAAAAGGAAATGATCTATTAACCAATAAGATAAGAACTAATATTTTGAATGTTTCCTGTGTTCCAATACTGGGCAAAGCGATTTACATGATTATTTCATCTAATTTTTACAATACTCTTATGGGGTAGAGACCACTGAATAAAATGTCCAGAGTCACTAATGTAGTTAGTGGGTAAACAGATATGTAACCCAGGAAACCTGATTAATTTTTTATCTCAGCTTCAGATATGGAAAATTGGGGTAGTCATACTCCTCGGTCCTTTTTATTACTTTAAGATTGTTTATTTAGTCCCATCAACCACTCTTATTCTCTTCTCATCCTATAAGTAATAAGCTAAAATTGTCTAACATTTCTTACAGTCTTAAAGGGAACCCAGATAATAATGCACTGAAATCTTAATAAATGATTGAAAAGTCACACAGCAAAAAAACTTTCTGATCTATCAAATTTTACATATTTCAAATTAGACACTCCTTGGAAGTAAGTTAGACATATTTGAATTACTTACTTTATATATACTGATATATTATAAATTAATTATTATTATTATTTTTTGAGATAGAGTCTCGCTCTGTCACCCAGGATGGAATGCAATGGTGCGATCTCGGCTCACTGCAACCTCTGCCTCCCAGGTTCAAGCAAGTCTCCTGCCTCAGCCTCTCGAGTAGCTGGGATTACAGGCACCTGCCATCACGCCCGGCTAATTTTTTTTTTTTTTTTTGGATTTTTAGTACAGATGGGGTTTCACCACATTTGCCAGGCTAGTCTTGAACTTCTGACCTCAAGTGATCTGCCCGCCTCAGCCTCCCAACGTGCTGGGATTACAGGCGTGAGCCACCGCGCCAGGCCATTAATTCTATACAATTGAAAAAATACTAATTATTCCACAGTTACTGTCCCTTAATCAGATTACAGTATTTATTTTCACAGAATATCACCAAATAAGCATGAAGCAAACAGTCTGGATGAAATTTAGGTGCAGATAAATATAAAGACATGGGAATGTCCATAACTTTTATACTTACATTGCATCCAACCTAGGTTAACTCTCTAAAAGAAAGAATAAAAGGATGCGTTGAAAAATGTCCTGGTCTTAGAAATTTAACCAGCCTGACAAACATGGTGAAAAACCATCTCCACTTAAAATACAAAATTAGCTGGGCATGGCGGCACATGCCTGTAATCCCAGCTACTTGGGAGGCTGAGGCAGGAGATTGCTTGAACCCAGGAGGCAGAAGTTGCAGTGAGCCAAGGTTGCACTACCGCACTCCAGCCTGGACAACAAGATCAAAAGTCCAAAAAGAAAGAAAAGAAAAGAGAAAAGAAAAGAAAGGAAGAGAGATAAGAAAGAGAGAAAGAAAGAAAAGAAAGAAAGAAAAAAAAGAAAGAAAGAAAAAAAGAAAGAAAGAAAAAGAAATTATGAATGTTTATTTCCTCTGACTGAGTCTTGTTATCTTGCTCTTAAAATCATTTACTTATGATTTGTTTTGTTGCAGAAAGGATTTAGGTGGTTAAAGCTATTTGTATTTTCATCCTATTCTACTTCTTAGAAATTAACAGGTTCTAGTAGATTACTACTTCCTATATCATGTTTCCTTACATTTGTTTCCTTCGTGAACTTCATAAGTTATTCCCTAGTTCTAGAATATCAGAATTTGGTCTGTTTCTTCCTATGCATGTCCTTTACAATTCGACATTCTATGATCACATCCTTCTCTAGGTCTACGTCTTTCTAGAAAGAAGAATTCAATTTTTAAGAAGTGTAGCTATTCCCCCAATATACATTTGAAAAAGCATAGACAAAAATATATATATACACACACAGATGTATATTATCTTTAAAATTGGGAACATTTCAAAACTCTAGACTTTGAAACGTTTCAGGACATCACAATGTCACTTTTTAATTTCATAGTGTAAAATGTATTGAATCAGAATATTGAAAATAGGGATATCTGTTCAAAAATATAATAGCAAACATATAGTTATTAGTAACAGAGAAATGTCCTATTTTCCTTTCACATCACTGTTAATTCTTTAAGCAATAACACTGTTTATTTTCTTATTGATTGAAAAATGAAGCTGTATGTACTATGGTGAAGCTCATTCTGCCTCATATGTAAAATGAATTCATGTAAGTGCGCATTTACTCTGGTCTTCAATGAATATTTTACAATGCATTTTTTTTATGTTCCATAGGAAAACACTGCTATGCTGTGAAGGGAAACTAATGCACAAAGCTAAGTGAGAATATTCCCTTTGCATTTGATGCTAGGTCTGTAGGAAGATGTTAAACAGGTTCATTACTTGGGTTTAATTACAAAGCTAAGAAACTATTAGGTCTACAGTTTCTTGCACCTGCATAAGTGAACTTGTGTGAACAAACTGAAAACCACGTATACTAACTTTAGTTAAATATGAACAAAGCAAAAGATATATAATTTGGTAGTCACTGCCAATAAAATACATTATTATAATTCAAACAATATAAAATAAAATATATTAAGGAAACAAAAAAGTTAAGATGGTAGGCATTTAAAAATATTTCCTAGCTAAACCAAAACCAACAAATGCACATACATGGTTTTATGTTTGGGAAGCGGTTTTTTGCTCTATTCCAAGGCAGATCAGCATCAGTTGAAGAAAGATCCTGAAGAAATTTTGGTAATTCCTGTAAAATAAAGTCATTACAAAGTTTACATTTATCAGAGGTAAACAAGAAATTTCACTTATTAAAAGACAGTTATTTGTCCTAAACTTTTTTTTTAATTTTTAAATTAAAAACACCTATCATAACTGTGGAAACAAGGTCAAGTTAACAGTAATGAGTTTACCTAGGCTTTCACCAAAAATATCCTGAATAAAGTTGGTCAGCTGGGTTTTGCTCTTTCGGAGATAATTTCTTTGCACTTTGGGAAGCCTTAAGATGTGGCAACCATGTTAGTGACCATTTTACATATGTTACTAATGGTTTCATCAGGTACACACTATTGTTTAATATTTTAATGTCTACTTAGTAGGAAAAGGGATTTCAATGATTTATTTTTTGTTTTCTCTCCTCAGGCAGTGTGATTTCATGCCTATTAATTGGTACAACATTGGTCAGTTTGAGAAGATGCCAGAGGTCAATTCCTGCTCTTAATAAGCATTGCTAAATCAATAATGGAATGCAAAGGTGCAATTAAGAATTATCAGATATAGATGAAGGGTCAAGAAGATCTATTATTGACATTTGATGAAAATTTATGATATTATCTATCTACCTTGCTCTTGGCAAAGCAAGCATCATTAAAAAGTCTGGCATAAGAAAATATGTTCATTATTTTGTTGAGCTGAAAATTTACATGTGTGAAATTTATAGTTTTCCATTTTAGAAATCTCAACTTGCCAAATTCCATAAAAAGCACTAAAAATATGTGTTTTAACAATTTTTCAACATCAATATAAATTATTTCTTTTAATTGGATAAGTTTCCCTTTCTTATTTTTTTTTCTCAAAATTAAAATCTGGACAATTGTTTACATATGGGTATGTATTAAGGGACAGGAATGGTGTAAGATCTGAATTCTGATGTGTTGGCACCAAAGGCTTACAAAATTTTTTTAACCCAATAAGGAGTCCTAGAACAGCTTCCTTGTGTCAAAGTTTTGGAAATACATAAAGAAGGGAGAAAAAAGGTGAGTTTAAATAGACTGAAAGAGCACTTATATTTTATAATTATTTCACATAAAAGTTTCCATTTCTAGACTTAAGCAGCTCTGGCTTTGGTAAGCAATGCTCAAACACTAGGTTGATTGTTTAGATGGTAATGTTACACTGGGCAGTGTTATCCTTATCAGGGTGCACAAGGCCACAATTCTCCCTATTTAGCTCTTTCTCCTATTGCTTTCTCTCTTTTCAGTGGGACCACAGATGAGTTAGACCGTTTTTGCATTCCTATCCTTTTCCTGTCTCTGGAACACCTTTTTTCCTTTACCTTCTCATTAGACTTCTGCTCATCCTAAAGTTCATCCTGAAAGACACCTTTTTTATAAACTCTTTTCTGGTTGATATACAAACAGATTTGATCCTCAATCTTCATGCATATCTCCATCAAGATACAGTAAATTTGCAATTTTTACACATCTGCAGTTCTTACCATAATATGAGCTTCTTTATGGTAGAATTTATCATCGTAATAGCTAATACTTGTGCCAGCTACTGTTCTTAGTATTGCTTATATTCAATCATTTTATATTCATAATTTAATAAAGTAGATATTATAATTTTACAAATGAAGATATTGAGGCAAAGAGAGTTTAAGAAATTTGCCCAAAGTCACTTAGCTGGTAAGTGCTGATTGTATGTGCCAAATACAATGCCTATCACATAGTAGGAACTTATAAATATTTAAGATATGAGTGAATATGTCCTGAGTTAAAAGGTTTATCAAATATATGCACCAAAAATGTATTTATTAAAACATAATTTAATAATTTGCTTTAGAAATTCTTAACAAAGCATTAGACAAAATGAAATTTTTAAAAAGTTCTTCAAACTATGGTCTTCAAAAAACTTAAACTAGAAACTTTCTCATATATGTGAAAATGTTATTGCTAATAAAACTTTTTATCTACTTGGTCATGCATAATGTAATTACATTCACTCTTATTCTAGGGAAATTACACTTTTGCTCCTGAAAAATTGAGAATTCTTGCTGTCTAAATGCTAGGAAGAATTTTATGGCACTATTGATTTTGTTAAGTCCAGACCAATATTTCTTAAGAAGCATAACCAAAAGGCTGCAGGAAATACCATTAATCTTCTCTCATTTTTGTTATTATTCCCTAAGAGACTGAAATATTATAATTCTGAATTATTTAACCCAATTGTTTTATTCTTTGTTTCAGGAGTTCACACACTGGAAATTTCATGGAAAAAAATAAAATAGAAATAATGTTTTTGGTGACATGTAGAAATCTGTCTTTCTTAATAACAAAATAATCATCTAAGTTAGAAAAGATGCTTATAACTCTTAAAGTAGCTTGAAGATTTGATATCTACCTTATGTTTTTAAATAATTTCAATTTTATAGATATACAAAATGTTAAAAAAAAAACTATTCCCAACTTTTAAGTAGATTTAAAGTGACAAATTCTTAATTTTATACATTTTCATTATATGATACAGCATTTATTCCATAGTAACTTTAAAAAGGCCCCCTGTAAAACGTGGACATTACTTATCTTTTTTTTTATTTTTAGACAGTTCTAGAAATAATTTTCTTATAGTTTCTGGAAGCTTCAAGTTTTGATCTCACATTCATCTATATCACTAATGTAAACCAAGTAGGTAAACGTAAAATGAAATAATTTAGTGTCCAAATGTAAAATAATTACTTAAATATAAAACTACACTTATAGTATGACCTAAACCTTGAATACAAAACAAACTAATGAATATGGCATTCTACATTTGCACCTACATCTGGATGAAAGAGCAGAGAATAGACAAGGTCATGCTGCCAATACAGGGGAGGTCTGAAGAAGACCACCTTTTCCTGACACAGTAGGTGAATAATTCTGATCAGGTTGCACCAGAGGCGGCCCAGTGTAACATTACTATCAAAACAATCAACCTGGTAATTGGGTATTGATTATCAAGGCCAGAGTCCTTCATGGCCTTGCTTGCTTAAAATGGACATGAAATGTGACACATGAAACGACTGGAGGTCTTGCAATGTTGTGACAACTGCTAGTAACATACCGAAAATTCTTCTTGAAACTTTAGGTTGTTGTTTGTGCAAAGCTCTTCAACATGTTGCAGGAAGGATTTCTTGCTTATTGGCCTCCAAGTAAAGAAAGGTATAAAATAGGGTCATGTTAGATTGTATTTGTTCGCGTTAGCATTGGCACTGGCTTCACTTTTAACAAGTTAAAGAACAATGGACATCCCCAAAATCACAAACAACACAGCTTTTTAAAGTCACTCTGTTATACTTATAAAATTAACTTTTCTTCTTTAAGCTCACTTTCTTTGTATTCATGGCACAAAATTCCTTCAATTTTTTAGTGACATTAAATAAAGGATTTAGCATTTTAATGAAGAAAATTTTTCAAGTAAATGTAAGGGCATGAAGTTATCATTGACTCCTAAAGCACATAATACCTCTTTGTCAGACAGAAAACATTTTATACATTACAAGGTTTTAGAAGATATAAAATATTGCAGTGACCTCATTCTCATAATGACATGGTTTTCAAACCCCAAGGAGTTTAAATATCCCCGTATTACTTCCCAAGCTAAAATACAGACATGCAGGCTTCACCCCAGAGAGAGAGAAAGCATTTCTCCAGTTACCATGCAATTAGTCATGCTTTTATGATTTATATCCAGCTTGGAGGTTTTTCCAACAAACATACAAAAAGTGAATCACACATTAAGGTTCTACTGAGTCAGTGCATCTAACTTTGATATTCAAAAAGAAGAAAGAAAATATTTAACAAACTTACTTGATGGATTTTCTATAACTAAGTAACCTGCAATAGAGATTGTGTTAAATGCATTGTGAGTCAGAGTGGACAGCTAATTCTGAAAGAAGTGTAGATTAAAGTCAGAAAATTATAATAAATCAATAATGTAAAATGTGCTATGCCTTTAACTAATATATGATCATTATTTTAAATTTTATTTATTTTTTTGAAATTACATTATTTGGACTCAAACATGGCAAATAATTTACATTCTTTCTCGAGCTGAAAAGATGTTGTTGTTATTATAAATGTCATTATAAATGCTTAAAAATGTTAGGCATTTAGGATACTACATTAAAAATAGATCACTTTTTAATATATTGCATGGTATTTAGTGGTCTAAAAGAGCTAATGTGGATTTTAAAAATATTTCCTCTATATATAGAAAGTGTTGAACCAGACAGAATGAATCCATGAAACATGACATCACATTGGTTAAGTATTGTTTCATGAGTGAGTTTGGATAAATACACAGCAACAACAAATTATAACTATTTCCATTATTTTAGACCTATCTTTTGTGACAGATCATTGGCCAAATTACTTATACTCTGTAAACAAAAATAATTTTAACAGCTAAATAGGCTACACAACATACACAAACTTAGAGAGGGGCGTATCATTAATAACACTTACGTCATGCACAACAAATTAGCACTGCAAAAAACACAAAAGGCACAAAATATAATGAAATGAACTAAGGAACATATGACTTTTTCAAAGTTTTAAATCTAGAATAATATTAGGGATTTTACTATATTCTTTAATTGAAGAATATTTGTAAGAAGATATGTTTTTTGAAGCAAAGAATGAATAAAAGAAAAAAAATGGTTTGAAAAACAGAGCATAATAAATATGAAAATGGTCAAAAAGAGGTGTATTCAATGAAGAAAACAGGATTTAAAAGGAAGTATATTTCATTACAATACAGGAATTGTTGAAAAATATGGGGATGCTGGACCAGGTATTACAAAGTAGAATGTTAGAATTCTCAGTTAATGATGGGTGCCCCCCAAGCAGAAAGAGATGTTGTATCTTCCAGCTTCTCAGGGTAAACATAAAGTGATAGACTATTCCATTGCCAAACAGGGCATCTAAGTGACAAAGTAGCAGTGACTAACAAAGAGTCTTGGTGGATAAGCTTAAGAGTGCCCCACAATACCCTAGAGTGATTTAAAGAAAGCAAGAAAGAATTCCTTATTCTAGATGGATATGGAGATGGCTGAAAGGGCTACCAAATGAGAAGAATCTTTGATTTGGGGAAGGGAAAATAGAATGTCTGAATATTGGAGGCCCTGGAAATATCTCTGACATAGTAACAGTTGCAGTGGGGACTGAAGCCACAATCAATCTTTGTTAAAAATAATTACCCCTCAGCGAAGACCAGCAAGAAAGAAAGATAAACTACAGGCTACATCCACACATACTACCTAGCTCCCTTAAGATAACTTGTTGCCCAGTGCCCCTATGATACCTTGTTCTTCAGAAATAGGAAAGAATAGAAGGTTGTGTTGGGTAAATTCTGATCAACTGAACTTAAGATATAAATGACTGAGATGCTTTGATTACCAAGGTCTATTTCCCTGCTACCACATGGACATAGAAACTCTTGAACTTTGTGGAAATAACTTTTATAATAACAGCAAATATTATTCCATTGTGATTGGCAAAATTTAAGCACAATATATATGATTTAGTGACAGGCTAGTAGTCCACCTATATAAGGACAGTGAGACTGCCACCCATCGCAGAGAGATTCCTTTTTCCTAGAGGATCATTTGAGCCGGTACTGCAAAAGTATTTTTACTGAGATAACTAGAATCTAAAGTAGATGTTGGTTTCTGGGAAAATGTCAATAAACCATTTGAAGCATCAGTATACATTTGTGAAATCCCTAAGAGACATTAAATGTGAATAATCATATTAAAGAAAAGTGAGCAAGAAATAGCTAAAGCAAAATATTATTCATATTATTGCTCTTCTTTAATCATCTCTATTCTTCATTTCAGAAGTTATGATTAATTGAATAAATATACATTTTTTTGTTTTAAGTTCATGTCTTTTCAGTGAAAAACTCTACCAAAAGTTGCTGTTTCACTATTCTTAATTCATTTTGCATTTAAAATCTCTCCCTAAAGATTTTTTTTTTCGCAGAAATACATCATCGTAAATTTATTAAGTGCTGTGAAATTCAGATTTTTAAAAGTTTGTGCAGATGTCATTGGTGCCTAACCCACATCGCCTGGGCACTCAACATTCGCATGCAAGGAGATAGTTTCCTACTACAAGGACCTGCCACTCTCCTCGAGTGTCTCCTGCATCCAGGCTAGAAGCATCGGAGGGTAAATATTCCAAGAAACATCCATCAACCAATGACTAACCAGAGTTGGTGGATAAATACCCCAGCTCCCTCACCCCTCAAGGGGGATAATAAAGATGTGCATTTCATGATGTCCGCCTAAAGATATTTTAAACCATAACTGGCTATAATGGGTTTGGGTGGATATTTGTGAATTATTGCCTTATTAGAAAATATGATGCCTTTATTGGTTTCAAATACCTGCTTGAACAATTACTAGTTATATTATCATGTGCAATACTTAATTTTTCTGTGCCTCAGTTTCCTAGTTTGGGAAATGTATTAAATTAAGTTCATATATTTAAAGGTCTCTGCCTTTAGTAAGCAATACATAAGTATTGGTTACTATCAATAGTATGATAATTACTATTGCTAATTTAGTTTGTTCATCTCAAGCTGCTCCTATCCATACTGTTCTACAATTGATACTGATATAAGGAAGGGATTTTTTCCATTATTTCCAAAAGAATATTCTCTTAATTTTACTCAAAGATGGATAGACTATATTGTGCTAAAATATAGTAGTCACGAATATCTAGCTTTCAAATCCAAGTCTGGATTTCTAGCTCTCAATTCGAGATCCCAAACAAATCTCTAATACAATGACCATAATAATTCAGTTTTCATATAATCATGTAAAACATTTCTAACCATGCCCACATTTCTGACATTATTCCTTGTAACTCCTCTTCATGCATCCTGTTTGCACTCCAGATATTCTCTATATATCCCTCCCTCTCAATTTTATACCATTCCAGGCATTCTTCGTACAACGGAAATTTTACTTATTCTTTAATACCTGATTCAAATGTTAACAACCCTATCGATCTTACTCTGTTCTACTAAAAAGAAAATAATTTCCTTTGCCTGTAAAATCAAATTTCCAAGGACAAATCATCTTCTATGTTGTATTATGGCTATTTAAGTCCCTGCATTAAGGATACAAGTGTTTGGGCTCATATATACTTCAGGGCTGGGGCAGGATTAACACTTGGCTTACTAGATGTCCCTCATAACATTATTCACAGTAAACATTAAATAAAACATATCAAATATAAAATTGTGGATGAATTCAGATTAAGATACACAGAAAGCAAAATATGAATATTCTGGCTTTATTGTGAGGGAATATCTGAATTGAATACATTTTCACACTAAATTATTAAGAAACTGAGAATTCTCAAGAGGTCCTAACTCAAAGCTTTAAATACGTATAATCAATAGATTTATCAACAAAAAGCATGTGAGTCTAAGCAAAAGCCATAGCAGATAACCTAACGTTATAAATTAACAGGTGTACTTTGTTAGGAAGTTAGATAAATGAACAATAAAATTGCTCTTGCCTACTCAAGTGATAAACAAATAGGCACACACTTTAAGAAAAAGAGAGGTGGAATCTGATTTGGCTTTATTTTCTTTTGTATCACTCTTTTTTATCTAAATCCAATCACTTTTTAGAATCTGTTCTTCACATTTATGTTTATATAAGATAAGAAAGCTTCTAGTAGTCCAGTTTTTATGTAATTTTCTAGTCTGTACTTATGTCACAATCATTTGTGAGTTGAAATCTTCAAATACCTATTAGGAATGCTCAAATTGAGAAGACATTTTGAGGTACATTACCTGACTATTTCAAATAAAAGTTAGATATTTCCTTCCTCATTGTTGTCTGTAGTATACTTATCATTGCTTTCGTTCTTAGCCTCATGTTGTATAGGTGTATTTCTCCCTTAGGTGTTGGCTACATTCTAAATTGTATTTTTCTTTGAGGTTTTAAGCTTTAATGTTTATATACAAAAAAATTAATTTGACTGATTTATAGAGAGAATTAGAAAAGAAAATGGGACATACTATAAGGAAAATGCACTAACTTATCACTGAGAGGTATAATTAAATTCCTAATAGGAAAAACTGTTTGCTTAAATAAGCACTAGAAACTCACAGAAATTGATGTGCATGAAAATCAACAATGCTATTTCAGGAGTGCTAGTTTCGAATGAAGTGATCCAAGGAGATACTCAAACATACTCA
This sequence comes from Homo sapiens, assembly GCF_000001405.40. NCBI lineage: Eukaryota > Metazoa > Chordata > Mammalia > Primates > Hominidae > Homo > Homo sapiens. The sequence goes on along the minus strand of NC_000012.12, from coordinate 80,644,512 downwards.
AATAGAAAACTTTTTATTAACATTTTAAAAACTTAAAAAAAAACTGTTAAATGGAAAGCATTTTTAGACTGGTAGGATATTCATTTATGATAGTGAAGGTTACTGTCAGACTATAATCAGTTCATTACTGGATAAATCAATTTGGGAACTGTCCAGATTTCAATAAGATAACTGACTAATTTCCAATAGAAAGGGCTAAACACTTTTTATTACACGAATCTTAACTGTCTTAAATTCTATATCTTTTGGTTGAAAAGTGTCTTATTTCACGTCTGGACTCATTTCTTTAAAGCCTATCAAAAACTTAAATTCCACTCAGATTACTCTTGATGGATCTAGAAAGGAAGCATTTATTTATGTTGGCAGTGGTGATTGAAGACCATATTGTCACAGAGACTCAGCTTTCCCTCAAGGTCAATTAGTTGAAATCTATAGGGAATTAAAATATAGTCCTAATAGAGAGCCACAGATGATAACCTATAGCTGAGCAGCTTCAACCAGCATTACCAGTGGTATGGGACAAACTGAGAAACTTTTCTTCTACTTAACCAGTGATGTTAAGTTAAAAATAAAAGAATCTCAAATTTGTCAATTGGTGTAAAAATATGTATTTGTATCCCATAGCATGTACTTGCTACTTAGATTAAATTTGTGAAGAATCTATTTCTCTGGTACAATATTAATATTTCCAAGTTTTGTATGATACTGAGTGTGAGTTTTTAGTTTATATATTTCATCAAGTCACTAATGACACATAAATTACATCTACTTCTACAATATTCTATCGCTTATCCAAAGCATCTATTTTAATACTTTTAAAGGTGCCTTAATTTTTGTTATTTCCTATTAGTTTTCTTTATTTTGTTCTTTCACATCCTTCTGCATTCTTTCACATCCTTCTGCATTCTGTCACATCCTTCTGTATTCTTTTACCAAATCATTGATGTTTCCGTGGTGCTCAATATAAATTTAAAATATCCTAACCCATGGTTGGTCCTATACAGCTGATTCTAAAATTTTATAAGAGAAATATACCATAAGTGAGTAATAGAATACTTCCTTTTTTTTTTTTTTGAGATGGGATTTCACGATTGTTGCCCAGGCTGGAGTGCAATGGTGCAAACTCGGCTCATTGCAACCTCTGCCTCCTGGGTTCAAGCGATTCTCCTGCCTCAGCCTCCTGAGTAGCTGGGATTACAGGTGTCTGCCACTATGCCTGGCTAATTTTTGTACTTTTAGTAGAGACGGGATTTTGCCATGTTGGCCAGGCTGGTCTCGAACTCCTGACCTCAGGGGATCTACCCGCCTCGACCTCCCAAAGTGCTGGGATTACAGGCATGAGCCACCGCGCCTGGCCATGTAATACTTTTTTAAATCAGGAAAACAATTAATAGTAAATGATATGTATTACCTTCTCAACATATCTTCTCATATGTGTAGGACAAATCAGTTTAAAAGAAGCATTAAATTTGAAGGATAGCTCTTTGGAGGCAATGTTTCTTCCTTTCTCATCACACTATTCCCAGTGCCTAAAACAGTGCCTAGCACTTGAGAGATACTCAATTGTTTTTTTTTTTTTTTTTTTTTTTTTTTAAGACGGAGTCTCGCTCTGTCGCCCAGGCTGGAGTGCAGTGGCGGGATCTCGGCTCACTGCAAGCTCCGCCTCCCGGGTTCACGCCATTCTCCTGCCTCAGCCTCCCGAGTAGCTGGGACTACAGGCGCCCGCCACTACGCCCGGCTAATTTTTTGTATTTTTAGTAGAGACGGGGTTTCACCGTTTTAGCCGGGATGGTCTCGATCTCCTGACCTCGTGATCCGCCCGCCTCGGCCTCCCAAAGTGCTGGGATTACAGGCGTGAGCCACCGCGCCCGGCCCTCAATTGTTATTTATTTTTATTTAAACAAGATGAAATGGCCTTTTAGATGAGAAGTGAATGCAATATTCTTGCTGATGTCAAAAAGCTCAGAGGTATGATCCCCAGTGTGGCAGAAGTTGAATTTTCCTTATTACTAAGCCTTTCCACATTAGCACATTTGAAGAAATATTCTTGCCAGAAGTCTTCTTTTGTCAACCATGTATTCTAAATGAAAACCATGGGCATTGTTTAGCTACATCCGGGGCAACAGGGTAGAATTTGTAGATAGAGAGGAGAAAGAGACTGATCAAAGTTATGTGAAGAGATGGATGGGGCCCTGAGCAAGGACTCAATGAATAGGAGATACCAGAAGATATTATACCAGCTAAAAATAAGGCCTTACTGCCTGTTAGCCAAGATGACAGGCAGGCAATAACATTTCTCTGTTAGATGTTAGAAGCAACCTCAGAAAACTGGATTTGGAACAAGACAGATCTACTTTAAATAGTATGACGTATGTAGAGGTGTTCTATAAAGGTTCTGACTAACACAAATGATTAAGTTTAGCTGTGTCAGGGTAAGGGCTCTGATTGAGCAGGGTACTAGTCACTGATTCTAGGAAAGAAAATTTGGCGTTAGAGAGAGGAAAGCAAGAAAAAAGAAAGAAGCAAGCAAGCAAGAAAAGAAAGAAAGAAGAAAAAAGAGAAAGAAGAGAAAGAAAATAGAGAGAGAGGGAAGGAGGGAGAGAAAGAGAGAGAGCGAGAGAGAGAGAGCAAGAGAGAGAGAGAGAGAGTGAGAGAGAGAGAAAGAGAGAAGGAGAAAAAGAATAGGAAAAGGATTCTATTTTATGATGATGAAGAAAGACATTCAGCAGAGTTGCTCAACCAAACCGCCTCTGAGTCTGGAATGGCCCAGAGGTTAACTTTGAGTGCTGGTTGAAAATTGATATTTTATGTGTAATGTGATCAATTAAATCTTCAGTTTAACAGTGTCTTACTTTGACAAATGTTTGAACCCCATCAAGCAGGTCCTCTGAAGGAAATGTATTTTCATTAAAGTATTTTAATTCTGTCAATGGGAACTTGGTAACTAGTTAATCTGAAGTTAAAACAAGGTTACTTATGATTCCCAAATGCTAAATGTGATTAGATTAGAAATAGACCGGGCTTCCTTGATTTTAATAATGCAGAGTATTATTCATGGTTAACCAGACTATCAGGAGCTTTGGCCCCATTCAGCCTTATAGCTCATGAAGACGGATTCTTCTTTAGTAAGGCGTGTGATTTTGAAATCAAATGCCTTTTTATTCTCTGCCTCCATTCATATTCCTTCATTTACATTCTTTGCATGAAGAAATTTATTATGTTTGGGACGCTCAATCAGTTACTGGGGTCCCTGCTAGTGCTGATATTCTGCTATGCTACTCTCAGAATGTAACAAAAAATGTTTGTGCCAGGATACAAATGGCATTTCTGAGCATCAGGGGAGTGCCTGGAAGCGTGCACAGTTGGCTACCCATTGGTCAGTGGAGAAATAACGTTTCCATGAAATATGCCATTCTGTGTATGCACTAGAGAGTCAGGGAACAAGAAATGTCATTGTCTTGGTCCTTACAGGTTAACCATCTACAGTTGCAAAAATGAGCTTGTATGAAATGTAAATATAGTTTCCACCCATCAGATGTAGAGCTCAACTCTTGCGTCATGTTGATAACAGAATGAGAAGCCTGTACAGGAATCTAGGTGCAAACTTAATTTGCTATCAAATCTAACACAACATGAGAACACAGCAAATTCTCAGGACATGCACATTATGAGTCAATGTGCATTTTGATAAGATTAACTTGACCATTATCAATAGCATGCAATATTATAAAGGACATGTTGTAAATAGAAATATAGCTTTTGGGGGGAGCTTTGGAAAAAATAGTGCATTAAACAACAAGATGTTCAATATTATGTATTTTAAAATATAGAGCACACCACCTGACAAGATTAAAATAATCACAGCAGAGTTCTGCATTACCACAGTAACTTACTGGATGACAAAAATCTCCTTGCGTCTAAAGAAAAATGAAGAGTATCTGCAAGTAAAGATTCATTATTTAGTATACAAACACACTGAATTATTTTTGATTTGTTATTACAAGAATATGAGCATTAAGTATCTCCAATTTCATTCTAAGCATAGAACATTTCTTGTATTCCGAATTCACAAATTTTTGCCATTGTTTGCAAAGATAGCTTAAGTTTAGAACGGAAGTAAAATATATGAACAGAATTTGTCAAAGAATGATGACACTTAAAATGTGAACTATTAGAATTTCATATATCAGTCAAAAATTATGAGTTATTATTGAAGCCAAAATAAAAATTACACTACTAAAAGTTTTCCAGTTCCTGCAAGTTTGAGTCAACATTAAATGCCATCACTTCTTTGCTTCATATCATGAGACAACAAAGAAATCCAAAGAGGAACCTCTTTCTTTAGACTCATTCTCATCATAGAAAATGCTGCTGAGGAAGAATTCCATGGGTCTTTGTCTATTTAAGAAAGTTTACATTAATCTTCTCTAGTATGCTTCGAAGTTAAACACACACACACACACACACACACACACACACACACACACGTGTATCTTCATACCTCAGAGAAAGACCTGGGCTAGCTTGTAGCTCTCCTGCTTATTAGCTGTATGACCTTAGACATTTACATAAACCTGTCCTATCATCATTTTTTAATCCATCTGTAAAATGGGGATAGGTGTACCTACCACTAAGGTTTGAAAGAGTTAAGTGAAATCACTACATGCAGAGTTTAACACAGGAGTTGCTCATAAACAGTAGCTATTATTTTGTTAGCAAACTCTATATATGAAAGTAGACCGGGGTAGTATTCAATATTACAAATATAAATCACAATAGTAACAATACCAAAGGTATTCTGGTTTACAGTTTACAAAGTACATATGTAGAATTTTTTTAAGCAGTAATCTTCCTGAAGACATAACTGTGTATTTAACAAAAATTCAACATGTACACTTCTGAAGTTACTGAAGAAAGAAAATTATTGAAGAAGACTTCTCTTAAAATAGAAATTTTTCCAACTCATTAGATTGTTTACTTTATCTTGTGAATTTTAATTCTATTCGTGATTATTGGATTGGGCTTTGAGGCTTAAAATAATGTGCCATTACATTCACTCAACTAAAATAGGCAGGGTAATTAATATGAAGTGGTGCATAAAATTTTTGAAAAAAAATTGAGGACTAAAAGAAACTGAGTTTCTGTCAAGTAAGAATATTAGTGACATTGATTAATGTTGTTTTACTATTCTTTTCTGATTTAGTCGGCATAAGAAACAAAACTTCCGTGACTTAAATGCGGAAAGAAGATAGTAAAAAATAAGCTTATTTAGCAAATAGCATTTTTAGCTTACGAAAATTCTGTTGGGTTATTTAATTATAAGTGATGTGACTCTCATGGGAAGGTAATCGTTGTACAGTTAAAGTAGTTAAAGGCAATCCACAAGGTGAGTCAGTCTCAGTGATACAGGTCTGTGTCTTACTGTGCGTGTCTGTGTCTGCTGATCTTGCCAATAAGAGCTCTAAGAAACCTTTCTAACTTCAGTGGGCTAAGTGGTGGTGTTTTGCAGGAGCCATCACAAAATGTTGTTCTGTATGTTTATTAGATAACAAAACCCAAGGATCATTTCCTAATTCGGTAAGTGTGAAACAGATGAGCCCAAAATGTTACATATTCTTCCTAAGAATTATAGTTTGTGTTATCTAAACTTAAACATAAAATGTGAATAATCTTTGTACATAATATAATTATCATTCAAATTGAGAATTTAAAACGTTATTTTAGTATATCCTTGAATGTTTTCATAGAATTAAAGAGTACTACATCTTTATTTGACTCCTGCTCTCATTTGGGAAGAAATAGTATAGAATGATAGAGTGAGAGAAGGCATTTTCAAAAGTTTTGTGAAACAAAGTGGAGCATAATTAAATAATGAGTTTACAAATAACAAAAATTACAGAATGGGTTTTAAAGTGTAAATATACAGGCAGAGAGTATAAAATAGTTAAATAATTTCTAAAATATGAAACCACAAATCATTGAAAGGACTTAGTACCAAGCACCATGTTTGTTTTTTGTTTTATTTTTGCCTAGTTGGTAACTTCCTAAAATTAATATTTTAATTATTGATTAGAGATTCTTCTTTTATCATTTATCTTTTGGACATGGGAAAACATACAGGACTCAGAAAAGTTATGAGCTCAATTTTGCATGAAAAATTTAGCAGGTTGGAATAAAAAGGACATGCCTAAGAATCAAGTAGAGAGAGCGTATGTTAGCTGGGTAGATTTTTTTTTTTTTTTTTTAACGGAGTTTCACTCTTGTTGCCCAGGCTGGAGTGCAATGGTGTGATCTTGGCTCACTGCCACTTTCAGCCTCCTGGGTTCAAGTGATTCTCCTGCCTCAGCCTCCTGAGTAGCTGGGATTACAGGCATGCGCCACCATGCCTGGCTAATTTTTGTATTTTTAGTAGAGATGGGGTTTCACCATGTTGGGCCGGCTGGTCTCAAAATCCTGACCTCAGGTGATCCACCCACCTAGGCCTCCCAAAGTGCTGAGATTACAGGCATGAGCCACTATGCCCAGCCTATTAGCTGGGTAGATTTAAGAGAAATTATGGAAGTTCTTTCCTGCAGATAACAAAGACATATGGTGGAAGTCTGCCAACAATTTAGGGAGCTAAATCAGACTTCTTGATTCTCACTCCTAGAATCTACCATCAGTCTCTGATTGACTTTGAACGGATTTAGATCTTCAAACACCTCAAAACAGATGAAGAGTTTTAGAGCTTCACCAAATGACAGGATCCACTCATATGTACATGCAGCTAATTATATTTGTTATTTTTTCCAGTCTTATTGTCTAATGTTTTAGTGACTTTATTAACATAAAAATATTGCATAAATAGTAAAGCTGGACACAGATCTCTGTACTGAAGAATTAATGCCCAAATCACTTAATTGTTATTTTAATGCATTTCTGTAATAAGTCCAGCAAAGCATGTTATTATGTGCCATTGGAATTACAAACAATTGTGAATACCAGAATCACAACAAACAAGTGAAAAAGTGAAAAGCATGGAAACTAATATTTCCAATTTTGCTATTATCATGGGTAATATATACTAATTCTCTGTGTGTAACAAAATAAAAATTATCTGAAATATTATTTCACTTTTAAACCCTTTTACAAATAATGCAATATGTAAATAAACACAGAAGTGGAAAAATAAATAATGAAGAGTGAAGGTCAAATAAAGTAGACCCTGAATTATAAATAACCAATAGTAAACAATCTGTACATTCCTTGCCCACCTTTTTCATGATCTGAAACTTTTCTGTAGCTGCCATGACAGTCATTCTTAAAAAAAAAAAATCTACTCTTTTTGTTTGACATGGAGTCTCGCTCTGTCACCCAGGCTGGAGTAGCTGGGACTACAGGCACATGCCACCATGCTGGGCTAATTTTATATTTTTAATAGAGATGGGGTTTCACCATGCTAGCCAGGCTGGTTTCAAACTCCTGACCTCAGGTTATTCACCCTCCACAGCCTCCCAAAGTGCTGGGATTACAGGCATGAGTCACCACACCCGACCTTTTCTAATTTTTTTATGATGATGTATTTAGTGTTCAGAAGTAGAGAAAGGGGCAAGCTGTGAAAATATATAGTGCTTAGGGGATTGAATCTCACCACAGTCTGCCTCGAATGTAACCTCTTCGATAAATAATACTTTCTCCAATATTGACTGTTTAAAAACATGACATAATAAACAAAAAGAGTGCTTTTTCACGTTATTACATTTGCTGAAGATATACTTATTCAGGATTTTTCACGGGCTACTAAGTATTCTTTTAACAAAATGAAAATGCCTACCAGTGTTGGGGAGGGGGTCGGTCTTAGAAGTTTACATTTTAGTATGAACAGATTCAACTATATTGTTCAAATAGCTAAAATTAATTGCATTGAGAGATTTGAATTTTTTCCCTTGTGCATTTTCAGTTGTAGAATAAAGGGATGGGCCACACAGGCCTGAGGAGGGGCAAAAGGAACTGACGATGGAGTGCAGGAAGGAGGCTAGGAGGATACCACTAAAATTCATTTGGCCCATAGGGGAAAAGGAGGAAAAACTTTCTTTGATGATGCAGAATGATTCCTTAAGGGCTGAGACACAGTCTAGTAGTAGCAGTGCTTGTGTTCCTATGATATGGTTTTACTTAGATGAGTTACCCTGGGAATCTTTTATTGATTCTTTTTACATATTTGATATTTTGTACATAATATTTCTTATATAGAAAACTATGTCTTGGATAACTTACAATCATCTGACACTTAAATCTTTGGAGTACTATCCATTTGTGGATAGGACCACTGTATTAGAACACAAAGATCAACATCTGAATGTTTAAAAAGTCAGCTGTCATATCCAAGAAAACACATTTCCCTGCAATTTAGTGATAACATTGAATAACCTTCATTTTGTAGCATTTGGAAGGACTTTGCTTATCAGATGACACTTCCCTCTATAGCACATATTAGGTATTTTTAGATATGCTGGAAATATACTTGCAAAGTCCATCTATTAGATAAAGACCAACTTTAACAAGTGACAACTACAAATGAATAACTTTTTGAGTCCAAGACATTTGATGCCATATTTTCAAAATTAATAATAATTTTTTTAATTTTAACAGAGCTGAGCAAATACTTGGTAACAACTACTTTGTGCTTATAAGCATTACATGTTATTGAATCTTATAAAAATGCAAACGTTAAAATAGCCTGATGGTAGTTTTCATTAAGAATTTGATGAATTATCTTAATAGACAAGTTTTTATAATGTGCCAACATTTTGAATAATTGATAATGCTTTTAAAAGGATTTATAATTATTTTTTCTTTAAAATTATGTACTTTACTATTTCCAATAGGTACCAATGAAACATATTTAGTACACATGTTTTTACTTTTCCCTCTGAAGGTAACTTTTTACTTTATATTTAATTTTTAAATACAAAGAAATGTAAAAATGATATCATATACAACTTAGACTTTTATGTACTTTTATACTGAAATAGTTATTAAAAAGCTTTTATAAAAATGGATATAAATAATATCAAGTAGTTATAAATTTAATTAATTTAAACCTGTGATTGAAAATGTGGACACTTCCAGAAAAGTTTAATGTAAAAATCTATCATATGAAATGAATTATTAAACATAATGTCAAAGGTTTAATGTGGAAAAATATTTGTCCCAGGAAAATAATCCTGATTGAACATTATAGTCCAAAGTTCATATTTAACTCAAAATATTAGGAAGATTAAGTGATTCTCTGAACAGCAGTGAGAAGTGTGTAGAAGACGGAGGTCACTCTTTGAAAGAAGATCTCTGTGACCTGTGTAAATTAGAGCCCCACAAACACTTCCAACAAGCATAGGTCAGAATAGGGTCATGGCTCCAGGCCCTCTGGACCACAGTTCACCCAGAGGAGTGTGCTCACCGCGTTAATCTCTCGTCCTTCAGTTCCAGGTCTGCCACTGTGATGAGCTGATCCAGCTTCAATTTAGTGTCAATAATTTCTGCATCCTGAGGAGAGTATGTGCCACCTTCTTTCTGCTTCTGTCGAATTCTAAAACAAGCGGAGTAAAGTCCAAGAAGGGAGTTTCACACAAAGTATATAAAATTAGGTTTAGTTTTCTTTTTAAGTAAAGACATTTAGTCAAATAATTTCCTTGTTAAAATCACCTCTCTGAATATGTTGCAAATTTATAGCTACTCGACTTCTTTTTCTTGTTTTAATTCCATAGAACCTATTCTACTTTCTTTTTTTTCTAATAAGTTATTGGGATGAAGTTCTAAATTTAAGAAGAATTAGTTGACGAAGGCCTGAGCCATTGGTACATTTAAATATAGAGCCAAGAAGACTTACGTTGTGATCTTGTTTCTCTTCTCTCTAGCTATGTCATTGATTTGTCATATAAAGGAACTATGCCAAAGTGAAAATAGTTCAATGCTATCAATAGTATTGCTAACAGATAATGCCCCATTGTGTTCACATATATGAAATATTTTTACATGCATGAAAATACTTAAAAATTATTTTCAAATTATCTTATTGAATTTTTATAAAAATATTGTGAGTAGATATTATCTTTACAATCAGAAAACTTAGGTTCAAAAATAAAAGCCACATGAATCTGAGAATCAAATCAGATTCTTTTCATCTTAAACCCTTTAAATGCTTATTTCTCCATGACACAGTATGGTATATTACAAAGTAATGTTTAGCTATTCTATCTTTCACATTTCAAATATTTAGTATTTATTAAGAGTTGGACATCAAGGATGATATGGAAAGTATAAAACATGTTCCCTACCCTCAAAGACATTACAATTTAGTTGAGAGGCAAGATTTCAATGCAGAAAAAACATGAAAAGAGAAAAAAAGATTCAAATTACAACACATAAGACAGTGCCTGATTAGTTACATAAATAGTTATTATTATTTAGAGGAGGTAAAGAAGTAGAATTTGACTTGGATGTCCCAGGATGAGAAGGAGGAGGAAGCACATTTCAGGGTGACTGAACAAAAGCAGAATGTATAAAAGCCCAAGGAATGTTCAGGTGAGAATAGATCTCTTTAGCTAGTGAGTAGGCAAGTTGTGGGGAATAAGGAGGACCATTTCCTACTCACACAAGGAGTTCATCTTGTAGAGAAATGAGAAGTCAGAAAAGATTTTAGAGCAGGGAAATTACATAAATGTGGCCAGTCCATACTCCTTAGGGAAAGGCCCATATTTTACACATTATAGCATTCAAAGTGCCTCGAATGATAACTCTCTCACTGTCTTCTGGCTAAATCTGCAAATAGTTATGTGGTATAGAGAAAATATCTTTTTCAAGAGCCTTTCAAATTATCTATTAAAATTATGCTTTAAGAGAGTCAAGATGAACCATAATGCATGGCATTTAGAATACAGAACTACATTCTTCAGTTGAAATAAAAATAGTCTATTGAACTATTTAGGAAATTGGTAGAAAGTTTACTTTACAAATGTAAGGTCCCTTTAACTCGGCAATCTGCCTTAAGAAGCTAGATTTTGAGGTCAGAAGTAAGATTTCCAACGAGGCCCTGTAAATAATAAGGGAAGTAGGATGCTGATGCTGAGAATGGAAAGATACACTTGGAAAATTCAGCACAGACATGTTCAGAAAGTAAGCATGAGAAGGGGGTCTACCATATAAGGAAGCTGGATATTTTACAAGTGTTGTTCTAACTATAAAAAAGATCTCTTTCTGTATAAACTTTAATATTTAGACCTGATTGAGATATTTTAAATTAAACCTATAAGAGTTACAAATTACTTTAAAAGATGTAGGTGGCCTGAAAGCTTCTGCTTTTGTGTTTTCACCTTGTTGTCTCTCATCTCCAAACCTCCTTTTTTTTGCTGTGCTCTTTGATATTGGAGCTGGAACCTGCATTTCTCCTTTGCCAGCCGGCCGAAAGTGAGGCTTTGTCAATAGAGGGCACTAGAGTGACCCTGAGAGGCAGTAGGAAGAGGAAAACACTGCCCTTGTGGGATCCAATCCTGCATTATTGTTATTCATTGTGAGAGCCCAGCAGCTCACTTGGATGAGCTCTTGTTGCCTCTGAAGTGAACGTTCTGCCCATGCCATTCGTGAACAGTCTCAAGTAGTACCAGCTCACCTACACCATTCAGCAAGAATGGGATGCTTCTATTACCAATTTCAGCCTGCCTACCATCTAATAATGACGGGTAGCTTCTACGGAACAGCTCCAACCCCTTCCCTCTGTCATATTTCTTTGCTCACTGTTTGGTGATAGGTTGCATGTGCTAGAAGTAGCGATTCCATGTAAGTCTTGGGAGACAACTTCTTTCAGTTCTTAGTTGTTTACTGTCCTCTCTCCTTCAAGTTAAAGAGAGTAGCTGCTTTGTTTTGCTTGCTACTTCTGGACTCTTAGATTTCTCTTTTACTCTCTTTAGTAGTTAGCCATTTCTGCTAGTTAACAATTCTTTACATTAAATGTTTTCTGTTCAAATGGCAGGATTTCTTTCCTTTTATGGCTAGATTTAGTCACTACACAACGCATATACACTTTAAAGTATCATATTGTACATGATAAATACATTTTTATCTGTCTATTAAAAATAAAAATGTTTCCCATTCAAGTAACTGTTGTGGCTTCTGTCTCCTGATTGGACTATGACTGATATAATGCCCATAAAGCATCCTGGAATGTAAGCGCAAATAAATCTTACCTTGCAAATGCAAAAATAGCTGTTCCAAGGAGAATTATTGAAAGGATACACAAAGTGACGGAAAGAATGATCTCTACGGTTCTTTCTGAAAGTCCTTCCCCTGGAGAAGAGGGATAACAGGATCATTAAATATTATTATGGAATCTTATTTTGAATCCCAAACTACCAAAAAATATTATCTTGGCATAAGAAAATATTCTTTGCTGAAGAATACTAGTAAAATGTAGCAGCTTGTTTGTTCCTCTTCTCCTAGATTTTTTAACTTTGGGGCTCAGTCCCGGGTCTTCTTGCTTTTTCTATCTAAACTCACTCCCAGTGTGAGCCCATCTAGCCTCACAGTTTTAATTTCATCTATATGATGATGACTACTTAGTTTTTATCCACCAGACTTCAGACTTATATATCTAACTGCCTACCAGACGTCTTTATTTTGAAGTATACTTAAAATGTTAAATTGATATGTCCAAAACTGAACATGTACACTTCCCTCCTTTCAACTGTATCCTCCCACCTCTCAGTTGATGGACACTCCATTACTGTAGTTGCTAAGGCCAAAACCCTGGAGTCATCTTTGACTCTCTTTCATAGAATACATCCAAAACATGTGAGGAAATCCTGTAGGCTCTATCTTCAACATATTTGTAATTTTCACCAAAGAAACTATGTAACTTTGGAAAGATGGTAATTGCAAAGTGGGAGGAAGGAACTAAACAAATTCAAGACATATAATGGTGCTAGAGATCTAGGAAGCTAACAAAAGGCTACTGGTATAAAAGGAACAAATGATCCTCCTGAAGGGGCTCCTACTGGCCAAAGAGGGAAGAATTCAAGCCTTATATTTAATAAAAATGGAAATTGATCAGAAATAAAAAATAAGATTATTTAATAAAAGAAATACAAATAACAAAAATACTGATTTTTTTTTAAACTTTTATCTTCAATTCGGAGGCCACATGTGAATGTTTGTTATATAAGATAAACTTGTGTCACAGGAGCTTTTTGCACAGATGATTTCATCAACCAGGTATCAAGCCCAGTACCCAATAGTTTAAAAAAAGTACTAATTTGTAAACTCTGGCTATAACTAGACCATCTCCTTGGCCTAAATATTCTTAATTAATTTATAATTGAAATGTATACTTTTCTGGGTTTCTTATCTGAACTACATTTTATGACTTTTTAAAAATAGCCCTAGTTAAGGAGATAAAGCTCATTATTAGAAGATAATTTTGCTGCATAAATGTTAAAGGAGTGACAAAATTAGAAATTAATAAACAGGGCTGGGCACGGTGGCTCATGCCTATAATCCCAGCACTTTGGGAAGCCGAGGCAGGCAGATCCCAAGGTTAGGAGTTCGAGACAACCTGGCCAACATGGTGAAACCCCGTCTCTACTAAAAATACAAAAATTAGCTGGGCGTGGTGGCAGGCGCCTGTAATCCCAGCTACTCGGTAGGCTGAGGCAGGAGAATAGCTTGAAATCGGAAGGTGGAGGTTGCAGTGAGCCGACATCGTGCCACTGCACTCCAGCCTGGGTAACAAGAGCAAAACACCAGCTCAAAATAAAAAAAAATTAATAATCAGTATTTCTAACGAAATAGTTGATTCAGGTAACAAACATAAATGTATTCTAAAATGATTAGGAGGAAAGTTAATGGGGAATTGGACATTTACAGGATGACAAAATATCGCTGTATAGATTATACGCTTGTTATAAGTGGTCAAAACCAACTTTCCAATGAAGGATCATGCTGTTGCTGCCACCAAGCCTACTGATCAATTTTAGCATCACGTGTAACAATCAGATATTCTACACTTCCTGATGGAAGGTATTTTGATCTAGTGAGCAAGACCTATAAAGTACTTCTGACAAAAATGTTGACTGCGAATACTCAAAGCTTTAGATCTTATTTCTAATTTATAAGAAAGTGGTGGAAAGAAAAAAAATTAAAGGACATCAAGAGAAAACCACCAGACAGATCCAAAATATGGGACTTCCTACGTGACAACCTATCTGATTGCTTCAGGGAGTCTATGACATAGGGGGGAAGGAAAGGAGAAAAGAAGGCTCTTTAAAAAAATAATAGAAGAAACAGAACAATCAAAGATAATGTGTAAATTCCTATTTGGATCCTGATTCAAATAAATTAACTTTAAAGAAAAAAATCAAAGACTGATTTGAAAACGTATATACAAGTAGCTTAAATAATATCAATAATTTATTGTTAAGTTTAATCACAGCAATATAATAAAAATGTACTTATTAGAGAAACATACTAAAGTATTTAGGAGTGGAATATGCGTTATGTGACTTACTTTACTTCAGAAATAAGTGAACAATGTCTAAATAAAACAAATGTGGCCAAATGTTAATTATTATTAAATTGAGTTAGTAGGTATTTGGGGGTTCATGACACCATTTTTTCTAGTTTTATGTATGTTCCATTCACTTTGCTCCACCTTTGCTGCTGATAATCTGATCTAGGCCACCATCCTGTCTTGCATGAATTAAAAACTTAGCAAGTCTGCCTGTATCCACCTTTGTCCTTGTTCCACCTATTTTCAACATACAAGCAAGGACAATCGTTTTAAAACATTATTTCTCTGCTTAAAATCCTCCTCATCTCCCACTGAGAAAAGCCCATATCCTTCCAGTGGCATGTGTGATCTGGTCCCTCATTAACTGTCTGGTCCCCTGTTACCCCTCTGATTTCCCTTCCAGTCCCCACCTTGCTTGCTCACTCCTAGGGAGCCAGATTAGCCTCCTTATTGATGAATAACACAAGGCCATTGTTGACACATGGCTTTTGCAGCAGCTTCTTCCTCTGCCTGCAAAGGTGTGTATGCCTTGTATATCTTTCTGGGTAGCCACTTCACTTCCTTTAAAGGTTTGCTGAAATACCTTCTCAATGATCATATATTATGGGCTGAATACATGTGTTTCCCCCAAATTAATATGTTGAAGCCCTAATCCCCAGTGTGGCTGTATTTGGAGTAAGAAAGGAATTACAGTTAAATGAGGCCATAGGGTGAGGCCCCGATCTGATGGGATTAGTGACTTATAAGAAGAGACACAGAGAGCTTGTTCTCCATCTCTCTCTCTCTCTTTCTCTCTCTCTGTGTGTGTGTGTGTGTGTGTGCCACTCACTCCTTTCTCCTCCTCCTCCCCCCACCATATTTTCTCTATCTCCATCCATGCACCAAGGAAAGGCCATGTAAGAACACTGCAAGAAGGCAACCATCTGTAAGCCAGAAAGAGAGCCCTCACCTGATACCAAATGGGCAGGAAACTTGATCCTAGATTTCTAGCCTTCTGGACTGTGAGGAAATAAACTTCTATTGTTTAACACACCCCATCTATGATATTTTGTGATGGCAGCCTGAGCAGACTAACACAGCACACTATTTAAAATTGAAAGACACAACTCCCTGCATTTTCTGCCTCCTCCTCCCCCTCCTTCTTCCCTCTGTTCTACTTTTTTCCTCCATAACTTTATCTTATTTTAACATATAAATCACTTATTTATTATTCTTACTATTTATTCTCTGTCCTTTCCTCCAGAATGTAAGCCCCCTTGAGTACAGGGGTTTTTGTTTTATACAAAACTATTCCACGGTCTGAGAGATGTACTGGGCACAGAGTAAATATTAAATAAATATTTGCTAAATTTACTAATGAACAAATATATTGATTTTGAAAAAGATTAAAAATGTTCGTGTTTGAAGATCAGGCATTGAACCAAATAAGAATATAAAAATTATTAAGCACAACTACTAATTATAATTGTAATCAATTTTAAGTTACATAATTTATAATTTTACTGCACAAAGTATTACAGTCAAGTGACAAAATAGGTTACCAATGTGTAAAATAGGCACGTATTAATGCTTCATCTTTTTGTCCTGTATTGGTACTTATGTAATGTTACCAATATAAAAGAGTTCCTGTGGCTATCCTGCATGGTGGATTTGAATAAATACTGAATTTAAAACAGTTATCAGCACTTCATGGTCTGCTAGAATCTCCTGCTAAATTTAAAAAATGAGAAAGCAGCATGTATCACCTAAAGTATTTTAGGTACATTTTTTTATACATTAAAATACGAACGGTTTGATTTATGAATTTTCACATGGTGACTCTAATTGGATATGCTTGGGAAAGGAGGCATGAAGATGAATAAAGAATCCTCTTTATTAGGTAATAATGAATCACTGGGCCTTAGAACTCAGTGGGAAAAAAATGTTCTCATAGACCACACAAAAAATTTTTTTTAGATTAGATTACCATTTCAAAGCACTGGCCAAATGAGGAAATGACATATAATATATTAATAAACAATATGTAATCCTTTGGGCACATGAATTACAAAAGTGTCACTAAGAGAGGACAAAATGTTCCCTGATTATCAAGTACACTTTCTGATTCACTGTTATGCATGGACCCACAGAGCATTAACAGTAGAGAATGATGTCACTTCTCCAAATCCTTTAATAGAAAATGGAATTCTTTTACTTAAAAATATAAACATGTTTCTTTTTGTAGTAGGTGCAAGTCATTTCTGACTAGACTTAAAATCCTGTGACAAATCACATTAAATTGGTCTGTTTACATAATAAATTGTACTACTATAATTTGGCAAATCATAATTCTAAAGCACTAATTTTTCATAAGTATTATCTTCTGACTGAAGTTATCATTATTTAAATTCAGCATATGTATCCAACTTTTTAAGTCTGTTTTTAAGCCTATTCTCTAAGGAGAAACTTGAATTCAATTAGATATAAAGCTCATAGTACAATGCCTGGCTCCTGATAAAGATGCATATAAAATGGAAAGTCTTTTCCTCCTTATTTCTCCCTCTCCTTCTTCTCCTCCTCCCCTTCCTCCTCCTCCTCCTCTTCCTCCTTCTTTATTATTATTATTATTATTATTATTATTATTATTATAAAAATTGAGTTCTTATAACAGGACTAAAGTATAGGGAGTTCATCTTCTCTTTTGGCCCAGTGCTAGTCACCTAGGGTATTCAAACACTGAGCAAATAATTTACTAAAAGTTACTCAATTCCATAAGTCAAGAAATAGAGTTAGATAGGAGGAATAAATGATAAGTGCTTGAGGTGATGGATTTGTTAATTAACTTGATTCAATAATTGCACATGGTATACATATATCATGGCATCACTCTGTTCCCCATAAATATATACGTGTATAATTTGTCAATATTCAATAAAATTTTAAACATATAGATTAAAACACCCCATTGGGATGAACATCATTTTCATCCATACAGACAGGAAAAAATTTAAAGGTAGCTAATAAAGTGTTTGCTAGGGTGTGAGAAAAGTCACATTATTCGGTGTTAAAAAAATAAAAAGAAACCATATCTCTAAACACAAAAGCAACACATGCTTATCTGTGAACACTAACCTCAAAAGCCAAGACAAAGTGTGAGAAAAGAGAGCTGCTAGAAATAATTAAAACTATCAAGAAGAGAAAATGGTACAGCAAAGATAGGTTGTGGGAGCAGAAACATCACCCATAGTAATGAACTGGGGGCTACTTGGGGACTTAGTGATTTGCAGGTAGTGTGTGCAGTGGTTACAAGTACAGCACTGACTGAGGTCACGCTGCCTGGGTCTGAAAGCAGGTTCTGCCACCACCTTTGGGATGGTTAAAAAGCTTGGTCAAGTTAGTAAAAAACACAATGCTTCAAACTTCTTACCTAGAAATTGGCGCTATGTAAATAGGAGGTGTTGTTACAGAGTTGCAGTGAAGATGCATGAGTTTATATGTAAAACCCCTTAAAGACTTGGTACATAAACAATGACAGGTATCTTTATTAACAAACATTTCATATTTATTCATCCATTTTATTCATCTGATTTAATCTCCTAGTTAGCTTCTAAAATGAGTATTAGTATTCTCATTTTAGAAATAAGATTTCAGAACTTAAAAATAATTTTTTAAGTAACTAACCCACAATCTCATAAATTCAATATATACCAAGCCTGCCTGAAATACGTCTGTCTTGACTACAGAGTATGTGAGGTTCACCACCACATTACCACTGTCTCGTTAACAAAATACAATCTTCCTCTGTTCCTCTGGTGACTTTAGGGAAGTAATCCTTTGGATGCAAAAGATACATAGCAACTCCCTATTTCTGAATCTAAGTGAGCACATTGGAACTTTTCATTGTTAGCATAGTAATTAAATGAGAAGTGTTATGACAAAAGAAAACAATCACAGAGTGCCTTTGCCATGGGGTTTAAGATTTCATCATGTTCAGCTTTAATGAGAGCCCTGTAAGGTACAGAAACGGGTGTCTGGTTTTCAAATCACAGGATCCCTCTATAATTAAACCTTGTAATCAAAACATTGCCTACAAGCACTTTCCATAAACTGATGTGCCTAGGGAAGATTTTTTCAAAAAGTTTAAGAGGGTTTTTTGTGAATTTTGATAATAAAAATGCCAATACTCAATCTTGAGTAAAAACGAAATCAAATAAGTTTCAAGTATTTATTTAGGATTAAAATAATGCATACGTTATCTTCCCTGTTTATCCCTACAGGCCAGAAAGGTTTCCCTAAATGCAAACTGCTCTTCCACAGACTCATACTTATCCATCCAGTGAAGTTCTACCTGGCCATCTCTCACTTGTACTTTCATTAGTCCCTTTCACTAAACTTAAACATTTTTAAGATTATCAGTCTATGGTGATTCTTTTGCCCCTAATTTTAAACTCCAAATAATAACGTCTCTGAGAGGCATAATTACCACTACAATGGTCTGTGGAAACAGAGTCGTGCAAAAGCTCTTAAATCCCAAAGTTTCAACAGACAGGCAACTCGGCTTAGTGCTCATTGCCTGTGGTGTGCAAAATACCAGTGAATGAATGCTTATCCCCTGGTGGGTGGATGACCTTGATGGGACCTAGACTTCTCTCTGTAGTCTGGGATTACATGCACACATATGTCTTCAGCAGCTTACCAGGAATGTTTGAGTCCCTAGCCTGCTGCAAATGATTCATATATCCCAACACATGACATATTTGAGAGAAAAAAAGGACTCAATCACCCTTTGTCATCTTCTGATGACACCAGGGGTATTATATGAATGCACTTTATTATTTGCCTGCCTTCATTCTCACAACCATGAAACCATTCTTGCCACTAACCATTGGAGAATTGATCAACTTTGTTTTCTTTTTGAGTTCTTCTAGAGTTTCTTCCCTGGCAATGTTCTTTTACTAAGAACTCTTTTGAATCTGTGGCGAGCTTGTCCAACTCGCAGCTCATGGGCTGCATGTGGCCCAGGACAACTTTGGACGTGGGCCAACAGAAATTTGTAAACTTTCTTAAAACATTAGGATATGGTTTTACAATTTTTTTTGGTTCATCGGCTATTGTTAGTGTTGATGTATTTTATATGTAGTCCAAGACAATTCTTCTTATTCCAATGTGGCCTAGAAAAGCCAATAGATTGGACACCCCTGATCTACAGCGTTCTATCAATGTCAAATGGACCAGGACCACTTCTAGGGGATGTTGTTTGTTTCTTGACCTATGAAAGTGACTCTAATCTCCATAGAACCACGACACTCAATAGTCTGGTAGAAAGCAAATATGACAACAGTAATTGATGGTGTTAAATCCATTAACCAGAGAAATGGCTGGGCTGCTTTGCTAGTCATTGAGGAATTCTGCTCCAGGGGTGCATTCTCATTTCACTACAACTAACGATTACAAACCAAGCAAGTTCCTTTGATTCCACTTGTCACTGTCTTACTCGCTATAAATGACTATCTAAATAGCAGAACTCCATGTGGTCAATCCAGAATAAGCACTGTAGGGCAAAGGCCAATTAACAAAGCTGCTGTATCTCAGGAGAGAGTCCCTGGAAGATCACTCTAAGGAGCAACCTAAAAGACTGTCATCATGTCACTGGTCTACAAAAAATACACTGAACTCTGAGTAATTTGATCATAGACACATAGGACCCTTCCTTGTCACTATCCCTCAGCAGCCCAGTGCCTTTCTATATATTGTGTCCAGTCTACATTTCACCAGTCCCTCCTTCCTTAGTCTTGGCAGGATCCTGTGCTCTGTCCTTCATTACACATCTTTTACTCACTGTAGACTCCTTCTGTTTCCAGAGCACACAAAGATTCATACCTAGATGATTGGGGTGGCAGTGGTTATACTTCCAAAGAAGGAATCAAAAACCTGACTGTGTATTTCTGCTACATTCCAGGATTAATGGTTGTATTCCACCACCTTGACTGTGAGTGGAAAGAAGAAAGAGAAGACCATTGCTGAGGAGCTCTTTGAGATTACTTATAGTGCTGGATGAGGCCATCATTGGGCAGAGAGAAGCCATTTAGCAGAATCTAAGGAATCATGCTCCTGTGCACTGTGGTTCCTGATGCTTGGCGCTCCCCCCCTTTTATAGCTTTTCTTTCTCATTTCCATTACCCTGAATGTCTCAACTTTGCCTCTCAGATAACTGACGGAACATGTTGCCTTCCCATGAATAATCTGTATGAAACCAGTAAGTTGATGAAAGACAACATCATACAATACAGCAAGGCTAGCTCCTTTCAGCACTGCTCCTATAAAATATTATCTCCTAAGACACATGGGTTATCTATCTTGTCTAGGTCTTTTACCTTCCATTGGCAAATGCACCAGGATCACTACTTAGCTGAAGTAATGGCTTATGAATGCTGTAACCTATAGGAAATTATGCTGATGACAAGAAGACATTTATTTTACTGTGGTGGCATCAGAGTGTGATAGACTCACCTATCAAATGAAGAAACACTTGATACAATTTCAAAACCACAAAACTAATCAGCTAGCTTTAAAATGATGAAATTATTGGGTAAAATTAATCAAACCAATGATTTGTATAAAATTAAACAAACATTTTAGCCAAAGAAATTTGTTATTTCTCTACAAACATCTATGTAGCAAACTACATGCCCCCTCTATTTCTTCAAGATGCAAAGTTTCCTTGACTACATGTAGAGGCTGTGGAGGCTGGCTTTTTATACAATTAGTATTTCCATAACCCAATGAGAATTTCTGGCTAAAAATGGTGGGACAATCCGTCTTTCTCCAGTCATAACTCTCACTGAAGTCTATTAGCAGTTCAAGATACACTGAGCAACAGCTCGCCAGGATCTGGGCAACACATGAAGTCTTACATTTTCAAGTGGTGCCCCAGAAATACCCTGTTCATGCAATTCTTTAAGACGAATAAACTGGGGCTTTTGAGGGCCTGGCACAAACAATGTAGAATGTTGTGATCCTCTCAGTGAAATTCTAGAGAAATAATTTCTCCTAAATAAAAATGTTTCTAAAATATTTTATTATAACCTATCCAAAAAAGCTATTAAACTTTAAAAATTTACTAACTATAAAATATTAATATATTTATATATGTTGTTTTACACAAAACTTCAACAACCCCTCAAGGATGATACTCTTATCAATATTTTCCCAACAAAGGAAACTCAGATTTATAGAAATTAAATTATTTTCTCAAGTGACAGAGCCAAGATTTGAACCCAGGTCTAAATCCCATATTTGTAATGTAATGTTATGAAATCCTGTTCTGTAATGTTGGAATCCTGGCCTAGCCACTTAAATACTGAAAGAATCTGGGTGTTGGTTTCCTCATCTGTAAAATGGAGTCAACATTAGGGCTTAAGTCAGAGTTTCTCATCCTCAGGACCACTGACATTACGGGCTGTTTTGTGCATTGTGGAAATTTAGCAGCATTCCTAATCTTTGCCCACTAGATGCCAGTAGCATGCACCACCACCACTACCATCCTGTTATGGCAGCCAAAAATGGCTCCAGACTTTGCCAAATATCCCCTGGGGTATAAAATCCCTCTGAGAAGCACTGACCTAACTTAAAGGATAGTTAAGATGAGATGACAGATGTTTGTGTAACAAACCTTCACAGGTACTCCTAAACCTAAAAGAAAAAATTTTAAAAACCCACAAATATTACTAGAGAGGCTAATTAACATTTAAATGAGTTTATATTTTAAAACATCTAGACATGGATTAATACATTTACTAATAAATGTTCCAACTTTGATAAATATGTTGAGATTATAAATGAATTACAAAAATGTCTTACCTAAAGTCTTAACAGGGTCAGAATAATCAGAGTCAGTAAATTGTCCCATAATATTTGTAGCTCTAAATTTAAATCTATAAAATAAAAAAAGAAAAATCAACACTTTGCATATCATGTGATTTTTCCTATGAATAACTCAAGAAGTAATTATAAAAACTATTTATTTAATTCAAAAGAAAATGAATTTACAAGATGAAAATTTGGAATGGAATCATCATCAGGAGAAATATATGCTATATTTATATGAGACAAATAATTATCTCGTACTTTGACCCATTGAATTTGATGAGGCAGGGGCTAAAAATTTGGTAAACTCGTGAGCAGTTAGCAGTTTGAACAACTGAATCAGCTCACCTCCTTCAAGGATTTGTTTAGATGGAATGATTTGATATCTGTGAAGGGTGTTACACTAACATAATTTATAAATAAAAGGCATAACTGTTATACCTCAATCACTTTTGCAAATGCTAGTGAATTAGATTAAAATGATGATATAGAACTTGTCTTGTTCACATATAAACACATTAAGAAAATGTTTGTTATTTCTGTGTGTGCACAGTTGCATTTGTATACTTTTTTGCTTCCATAGCATTTGAAGTAAAGGATACAGAAGAAGATCAAGCTTAAAAATTACAAAAAGAATCTAAGATCCTCAGAGACAATTGAAATTTACTTAATTTAAAAATAAAGGCACAAGGGCATTTAAAAACATAAAACCAATACGTTGCAATACATGATTGAACCTCTACCATTATAAAATTCTTATGATTTTATTTGTTATATGAAGAGTCTGTTTCAGGAACAAATATGCAAAATAAATAAACTATAAATATGAATAAACATGATACTTGGTAGTATATCATTTTTATAACTATCATATGTGTATAGCTATTCAGGCAATAACCTAGAATTTGAACCAAAGTAATTGCATTTAATAGAGATGATAAAGCATTATTTTTATTTGCCTAATTTCTCTAATTTTTCCAATGTTAACTTGGCTTAGGATATTTGTAAAGAATTTGATAATGTTTTAACTAACAGGCACAAATGAAAGCACCTGCATTTAAAAAATTACTAGTAAAAATTATATTTTGAAAATCACACAAGGATAAGATGATTCTTTTAAAAATTGTAGTCTTACAATACAAAAATAACATAATCAATTCAAAAGGAAGATAATCAATTTAGCAAATAATTTAATACAGCCAAAATATCAAATTGATTTTAAAATGTTGGGTTTTTAGGGGCTACAAAAAGCTAAATATTAAAGGTGGTATTAAATATTTCTATCACTCATTCATGAGATAAAAAGCAGAGAGTTATTGTTATGAGTGACATAAAGGGAAGCCACTGTTAAATCAAAGGATAGGATAGTGTTTCAAAAATCCTGTACATCAGCATGGATGGTAAAATAATAAGTGAAAAACACATTAGTCACATTGTCCTCTACAGAAAGAATTAAATTCTCCTATATACCTATGTTCTCCAATAGCACATTTTTCATATGGTCTTTATGTAACTTATATCAAATCATAATTACTCTTAGGGTTGCCTGCTTCCCCTATAATACTGTATGTTTATGGAATGTAAGAATAATTTTCAGTTTATCTTTCTATTCCTAGTGCCAGAAAAATCAGGTCACTATACGTGGCGGACATCCAGTGCTTATTGGAAAGATGAAAGGACAGGCAGATGGATGGATGAAAGATACTAACTAGCTTGCTAACAGAATGCATGGTAGATATAACCTATACTTACAAGTATTGCTTTTTTGGTTTCAGTGGTCCATTGCAAATTTTGTCTTCATTGCCAGGAATCATGCATGCATTATCAGCACCTATGATGTAGATTTCTTCATTGCCACTAAACTTTGTCTTTCCTTCTGTACATGGAGGGTTAGGAAAGCCTTCATTTGTAAAATATGGCCTTGCTTTATTAAAATATGCATCATACCACTTTGTTACATTTCCATCATGCTGAGCTGTTTTCAGAAACAAAGAGAACAATAATTCCAAGTAACATATGAATATATTTTTACAATTATAAATAGTGTTTTTATAATTGTATAAGGGGACTCTCGATGCAACATCAGTCACCAGAGATAATTCAAGTGATCCACCTGTATAGGCAGGTAACCCTGTTCTTCTCTGTTACATGTGAATCTACAGGAACTGTTATAAAGGATGATTTATCAGGTAGAGAAAGAGCATCCCTCAATCAAGAGTAACTCACTTGTTCACCCCTCCAAAGAAGCTATCAAGATTCCATCTTACCAAAATCAAAACATGTTTATCTACTAGTATATGGAATTAATAAATCACATATTTTAACTGTGCCTTTCTTGATAGGTAAAAAAGAATAAATAATTGGTATAAATAAATGACATTTATAAAAGTTTTACAAATAAAATAAATAAATAATTTATTTATTTACAAAGAAATGATTGGTATCATTAATAATAATATTGACAATCTATTAATCTCAAGAGGTGTGTGATAACTGGGAGTCAATCTTAATTTGAACTAAATTCTTTTTAGCACTCAGTAATCTACACTCCACAATTTAACAAGATAAATTGACATGTGATGATACCTCCTGTTTCTGTCACAAGCACTTGTACATTTTTTATTGGTCCATGATCATCACTGTAGTAACATATTGGCATTCTGATTGTAATTGTTGTTGAAGTCACAAGCAGTTTTCCTGTGGCATCATAAATAGGGGTTGGTTTGGTTTTTGGTCGTGCTGGAGCTATAAACAAAGAAGAAATATCACTGCAATTGATGTTATTGTTTCATCAACAAAAGAAAAAATCTTTCTCCTTTCATGCAGTTAATTTACAGATAAAGTGATGACAAACATAAATAACAAATTATAGAGAATTGTGCTTGGAGACAGCAGACATTTAGCAATTATTATCTCCTGAAAGCATAATTATACATTTGAGACTTCCCTGAGATAATAGAGCCCAGGTGTGATTTTCAGGCACCTGACTCCTCTTTGCATATTAAAAATTCAATTTATACATGCTCTCACTCATATATATTTTTTATAAATGCATAAACATATTTACTTTTTACTATAATTTTAGTGTAGTTTCTTTTGCTTCTTTTAGCTGGTTTACTAATTTCTGTTCTAGTCATACTAGCACCCCTCCCACAGTTAATCCATGCTAAACATCTAGATGATAGCATCCCATATTTTTTTCCATGTTCACATAATCATATAAAAATACATAAATAGTCATGCACAACACACTCTTCTCACTGTTTGCTTTTTCTAATGGGGCTCTAGTATGTATTATAATTACCCCTCATATTGCTTTTTTTGCTTAAATATAACTTGGTTAAATGTTTCCAAGTGACCAGGTACAGAGCTAACTCATTCTTCTTAATGACTATATTATATATCATGGTGCAGCTGCATCATATTTATTCAACCGTTCATCTGGTGATGGGAATTCACTTTTCCTCCAGTTTTTAAACATGTTTTACAATAATTAGCTTTGTTTTACAATGAGCTTTATTTACTGATCTTTTTGTCTCTATGAAATAGATTCCTAAGAGCAGAATTTCTAGAACAAAAGATATATGTACTTTTAACCTTAACAGATTAACAGAATAACTTCTAGAAGAGCCATGATAATTCATAATTTGTCATCAATGCATACAAATATCTCCAAAATATATGTATAGAAGCTCTGCTTGTTTCATTTGGTCTTATAGCTCACTGTGTGTGTGTGTGTGTGTGTGTGTGTGTGTGTGTGTGTGTGTGAATGTAGTGCTTGAGCATCAGTAAGTTACTTAACCAAATTTCAATTTCCATATTTTTAAGAATCTTTTTTAAAAAGCTTCTCAATAATCCCACAGGATTATCAACATTGTTTTTATTTTGTAGATAGGGAAAAGAGCTTATGTCATACAGTTATCAAAGATAACTATCAACATTTGAATCACATTTTTTTGACTCGGTTCTGTAGTTCACTCTTTTTTGAGCATCAGATTCAAATGCAAATTTCTTACTCAATGTATCAGTTTGGGTACTAAGAGAAATAAAGGCTAAAATGAGACTGGATGTGTAAGAGGTTTTTTGGGGGAATTATCTGTGAAGAATTAAGGGACAGAGGGAAGGAGTAAGTGCCACAGATCACAGGTATGACACCTGTAAAAGGGAAGATGAAAGGCAGGATTCAGTAGGAAGAGGCTCAGGTTTCAGGTAGTTCTGAGATTCTCAGCCAGGCCACTTGGGAGTCCCCAGGAAAAGATTTCCAGTTAGAGGAATCCAGCATTGGACATTACTATCCAACTTCATAATATCTGTCAAATGCAAATTTCATGAGACTACTACCAATTGAATATTCCACATCATTAATAAAATAATGTGTATTAGTAGAGAAAACATAATTTCTCTAGGATCCCACCACTAAGACATTGTTCATATATCTTCTCTAGACTAGAAGTCGTAAGTCTGCCTGCCTTAGGTAAGGAGTAAAAGTCAAGATTAACCAACCTGGCATGGGGATGGGAATAGCATCTGAAATGGGAAGTTTTACTAAAGCATAAAAGTGATGCATGTATTGCTATCTGTACACCTACACGTCTGCCACTGAATAACAAAGATAAATTTAAAAGGTATGACTCATACTATTCTTTGTGAAGTCATTTTGTGAAATAATTGATGTTTTTAAAGACCTTATGCATTTGTACTTCCCAAAGTAAATAATTTATCAATTTAAATCAAACACTTATAAAGAGTATCACAATTATATAAATAATCCATTGACAAAAAGATAAAATTTATCAGTTTCATCTAACAGTGAATATTTTTTATTCTTAATAGTACATGTTTCCAGGCAGGGGTCTTAAGGGTTTTTTCAGATTCTCTTTTAATCCTCAAAGTTAGTAACTTTGAGATAGGAACCAGTATTATCTCCATTTTTCAGGCCTATAGAGGTTAAGAAACTTTCTCAAAGTCAAATAGATATCAAGTGGCTAATCCATGATTCAATCCAGCAGTTTGACCCTAAACCCAGCCTAATGCTGTCACCTTTAATCACTGTGCTCTGCTGTATTTGCCAAAGACTGAAAAAAGTTACTTTTTGCTTTAGAAAGAGACATATCAGGTAGAATTCTACTAAAAGTCCATCCACTTCTGTTTTTAAAACCTCTCTGAAGGTTTTATTACACATTTTTAGAGAGATGGCATAATTATTACCTGCTGGTTTTCACTCTCAAGAAGAGAGGGCACCGTGATCATTCGAATGGCCCTAAATTCCTCTTAATCATCTTTTTTGGGTTTCATGGTTTGTTTGTTTGTTTTATTTTGAAAGGATGACCCAAATTTTAGTTATATTTTCTATAAAAAATACTTGCCAGAATCATGAATTGATAGATTTACTTTACTGTCAGAATCATAAACCAACCTACATGGTAGTTCAAAAAACACTATTTAATTAACTGAAAGAATCTCACTTCCAAAATAAAAATCAGTCAAACAATCTAATAATCTAATTAGACCTAGTCAAAGTCTAATGATAGGCAATTTAAACACACTTTCTTTTCGATAACATTTAAAGAAACATCAAATAACGGACTATAAAATTTGTCTTTAAAAATTTAAACTTAGAAATATAAAATATATTAAAGAAATATAAAATAAAGACATTCTCCTTATTTAACATGGTAATTCACATCATCATTTAAACGTTTTTAACTATAGCTTTAATAACCACACATTTTTACTTAGTATGTGCTTAATATATGCATATTTATCACTTAAAGGCTTGTCTACATCCTTATTTCAAGTATGGAATTTAAATTATAATCACTGATTAATAGCATTTCATAGGAAGGTAGCTCATGTATGTACCTTTGATATCCATGGTTATTCTCATCGGAACCTTTGGACCTGCACCAGCACTATTGACTGCGTAAACCTAAAACAAACAAATATTTGTTACTATTTTCAAGTGATTGCTTATGTATGTGTGTGTATATATATATATATGCATGTATCTATATATGTATGTATATATATAGTTATATATATATATATAAAACTGATTATGGTTACATGTAATTTTAAATAATTCTTTAAAAAACAACTGCATATAGTCTATTAATTGTATTTTCTTGCACTTGAATATAATATATGTAGGAAGAACATTAACAATGAAGTATTTCTAAAAATTGATGTTCTGGTACTAAACGCTGAGAACAAAGGCTGAGTGATCTAAACAGCCCTATCACTGAGACCTGGACTGACCATGATTTTAATGTGAATGTAGGAAGAACAGAGCACTACAGCCACTGTATCTACGCTCTCCCTTCATCTACTCTAACATCTGTTCCTTCTCTCTGTAGCTAGGTAACTCTGGCCTTCTGTAAATCCATATTCAAGATCCTCTTTTTTTCCCTCTCTAAGATGAAATCCTATTCCTTCAGCCTCCCAGTTTTCCTGTATTAAATCATTCCCCTGAAAGATGGCCTTTATGCCCTTCTTCACCCCTGCCCCAAAGTATCTGACGCTATAACCTGCATAATGCAGCATATACACATAAAACATTTCTGTTTGTATACACAGAGGGTGATTTACACAAACGTGAATCCTTTCAATTAACTTTGTGCTAAGGAAGCTGTAGACAGAGAATCTTCTTTTCTTCACTTTATCTTGCTATATTAAACAGAGACTATATTCTTGGCTTATTTCATTGTACTCGATAAACCCAATTCAGTATACGAAATGTTTATTGGAATTACTTAATTTGTTTTATATATTAGTGGCCCACCCTCCCACACTCTAGATACTTTTAAAATGTTTTTATTGAGTTAATATTACAATATACATGTGGTAGATATGATAAATAAACCAAGACCATAAAATGTGGCTTGAAAATGCCTAGAGAAAATATTTGAGTTTGTAAATTCAAAAAAAAAGTATTAAAAATAAAAAACGTATGTTATAGTATGGTCCATTATTTTTATTTCTTTATGGTAGAATCTAACATTTAAGTGAAATAATAAGTGAAAATTTGGGCACTGCCTCTGAAATTGCAGTGTGCAAAGAAGTCATTCGCACACCTTGTTAAATGCAAATATGCAGATTTTGATTCAGTAGGTCAATACAGGTGCTAAAGTTATACATCCTAACAAACTTCAAGGTTTTAAGGATACTGCAAATTGCAGTCTGCAAACAGGATTTTTAAAAATTATTAATTAGTTGCACATTTTTGGTTCCTATTTTCTCTCTTCCAATAGCCAAAATATATGTACCATTCACTACCTACCATAACTATGAATATTTAATCCTCACAAATATCCTATAAAGAAGTTATTATTCCTATTACCAATTTTTCACATAAGAAAACTGGGCTCAGATTTGATAAAGCTGCCCTGGCACAGACGCCAGTATTTGAACCCAGGTTACTTTATTCTCTTAGTCACCGTCTTCCCTCTAATCGATCTTTCACAATGGTGGTCCACTTAATGGGACATGCAAAAAGAATCCCCAAAAGATTTATTTTATAAAGATATAAAGTCAAAGTGACTGAGAGAAGTAGTAAATATATTCATTTTATACACATATACATATACAAATTATTATCAATGACCTGATAATTACATTGATATTAATCAAGAGTTGGTAGGCAGATTACTAAACTACTTGAAGATTTAGAGTAAATTCTGTTTCTTAGAAGATGATTTCTCTGAACCATATAATTTTATTTGAAAATTTCAAGATGATCTAAAAGTAGGCAAGGAATAAAACAAATTGTGTCTGTATATGTCTCTGTGTATGTATATGAACTCATGCATACATTTCTGTCCAAATATAGGGAATTTAGAATTAAGACATAAAATGCTATTAGCTTTTAGTAATACTTGGTTAAAATGCATGAGAATTTTAAACAGGTAAACAATTATTTCTGTCTTTTGTCCTTAAAATTTGCTTTTCCATTTTAAATTCATAATCATATAGCTTTTTTTTAGGCAGAGTTATCTCTTTATATATCACTGTTCTTTTACTTTTAATGTGCATTTTCTTTCTCTTTTATGTCTGAGTTTCTACTATTATTGTGCAAACTTCTTGGTTATTTACATATTTTAATTTAATAGTACTTGTATTATAGCAGAAAATAGGTAATTTCAGTTCTCAAAATTTATTTTTGTTGAGATGTCAAACAATCTCACAAAAAGATATGGGAAATGTCATGTGTACACAAACTGCAATATTTTTAAATGCCAAGTTCATAAACTGACATTGTCATTTGGGTAATTAACTGAAGCTACGGATTCTTACACTGATATTGTATGTATGTCCACCTTTTAGTCCTTCTAGCATTGCAATGACGAATGTGTTGGTTTTCTGTATAATACTGAGGTTGTGAATCTGGACAGCAGTAGGATCATCTTCTCGGTAAACCAGAGCTTGATATACTTGGATATTTCCATTAGGTTGAGAAGGAGGAAGGAACGTTAATTGAAATTTTGTAACTTCATCTGGTATCTTCTGAAATGTCATGTTGTTAGGTGGGTCCTTTGGGGCTAAAATAAAATATTTAACAATTAATTTTTAAAAATATTGTATTCCTTTTTATCTCCACATAAATTTATTTGCTTTGAACTTCTGTTTTTAAAGAGTATTCCACAAATTAAACCATATAAACTGCAAAAACTAGCAAAATGACTGACGCATTATAGAATCATTGACATCTGTAATTCACAGCAACCATAATGGTGATCCAGTTTGTTTGTTTTATATGCACTTATTTTTACACAGAATGTGTTTCTATGACATTTTAATCTTTTGTTTGTTTTCGAGACAGGGTCTCCCTTTGTCACCCTGACTGGAGTGCAATGGCATGACAATTTAGAGTCAAAAGAAGTGGCAAAAACAGGACATACCATTTAACTTTCTCCCAGTTTTCCCCATTGGTAATATCTTATGTAACTGGAGTTTATATGAAACCAGGAAACTGATATTGGTACAATACTGTTAATGCTACAGACTTTATCCCAATTTCACCCCTTTCCATGTTTTGTTATACTTTTATGCAATTTTGTCTTCTGTATAGATTCCTTTAACCACCACCGTAAACAAGATATAAAACTATTACATCACCCTAAAGAAACTCTCTCCTAGTATCCTCTTTTATTTGCAGTATATGCTTCTTCACAACACTAATAACTCTTCCTCTGTATAGTTTTGTCATTTTGAAAATGACAATAGCACAATGGCCTTGAGGTCCATCAAGGTGGATACTACATGTATTAATAGTACATTCTTCTTTTTATTGCCGAGTAGTGTTCCATTTTGTGGATGTAGCAGAGTTTGTTTAATCATGGAAAAACATTTGGGTTGTTTCCAGTTTTCATTATTACTAATAAAACTGCAATCAATCTTGGTGACAGATGTTTGTGTGAGCATAATTTTTCAATTCTCTGTGATCAGTGCCCAAGAGTGTGACTACTGGGTCACACAGTAATTTCATGTTTAGTTTTATAAGTGGCTGCAAAATTATTTTCCATTGTGGCTATTCCATTTTACATTCCTACTAGCAATGTATGAGAGGTCCAGTCTTTCTGCATCCCTTGCCAGCATTGGGTATCATCGCCATATTTTAAATTATTACCTTATCTGTTCTAGTACATAGACAATAATACCTTATTGTGGCTTTAATTTGCATTTTCCGAATGGCTAATGGTATTGAAAACTTATGTTGTCATTTTTTGTTTGTTTGTTTGTTTTACCAACAATGTCTCCTTTGTGGTGAAATGTCTGTTCATGTCTTCTGCCAATTTTCTAATTGGATTTTTTTAAATTGCTGGGTTTTAAGAGTTCTTTATATAGTATAAATATTTTAGTTTATTTTAGATAAATAACAGCTTAACATATGACAAGCTAAGCACCAATACATTATTAAAATATGTATGAGGATAAAAGTTATTTTATGAATAAAGGAGCTACTTCTTGATGCATAACATAATTAGTGTTCTTTATATAAGTGACTGATTGAATGACTATATCTATTTTGTTCAACTTGAAATAGTTATATCCTTCCATACTAAGTAAAGAATTTCCATGAAGAAATGTAATATTTGGCTGTCAACAGTTCAGATATTCAAGCTTCATTATCTTGCAAAAAATGTAAATAAATTAACAGCAAAGAATAAAAGAGAGAGAAGCAGATAAACGTACTATTGTGTCAAATATTTCATTTTAAATGGAAAAATGCAAAGCTAAAATAAAGGTTAAGTTGGTTCAAGAGAGATATTTTTGCATTTGTTACTACACGTTTTTATGCTGTGTCATAAATATATTTTCTTATGAGATGTTTCTCTAAATTTAGGATGTGATTTTAAGTCAGATAAACCAAGGAATTCTCTCAATGTTGTAAAAAATTTCCTAGTACCCAGATTTTTGGTTATACACATAAAATTCTACTCTTAGAGATTTAGTAAAAATGTATTAAATTGTGATATCCTTGAAACAGATAGCACATTAAGATTTGACAAACAATGCTTTATGGTATAAATGTGAGTACATTCATCATATCTTTCCTCACAGGTAGGAGGGATTGAGAAGTAAAAAGCATAATCAGAAAATAGATACCTGTGATACTTGGCAGACGAATAGGAACAAATGGAATTTTAGGATGCTGATAATAAAATTTACCTTTTAATTTAGAACCATAACTTTACAGACAAAATGCATAGAGAATATAATGTAACGAAAAAAACTAGCTGTAAAAAAATTTTACTTCCTATACTTACCTTACAGATAGCAACAAATAAACTATAGCAACATATCCCTTCATCTGCTTTTTCCAATGATATATCTGGTGGCAAAGAACATCAGGAGTCTGAAGGAGGATGGGGCAAGCAAGTTCTGGGATGTTGATTTCCAAATTTATTTCTTATTGGTTACAATCTTATTATTCATTCAGACCCTGTTCATAAGAACTTGAGGAAATCTGTATGTATTCTGACATTTATCAAAGAGTTATATAATAAGACATATATTACTTGACTAAGGGAAGACAACAGCTGTGATAAATGTGAGCTGGATTCTACTTTCGAATTCCAGATTATTTAATACTCACAGAGTATTACAAGTTTAATATTCATTCAAATAATGGGACAGAAATAATTGAAATAGAATTTTAGTTGAAGTGTTATTGGATATAGACAGTTGGAAATATTATCTCTTAGGCAAGCTTACTTAATTTCTGAAACAACTAGCAGATTAAATAAGTGCAAAGAAATACAGCGGATACCTTTAATTGTTGCTGTATTTACAAGGATTGAATATTCTACATAACTCCTCTTTACCTCAAAAATATAAATAGAAATCTTCCTTTTTGTCAGTTGCAGAGAGTCACTAATTTTTTTGTTTATATGCTTTAAAAACTTCTCATAACACATATCCTTTTTTGGTGGAGTATGATGAACTGTAAGAAAGCCAGCTAAATCTCAGTCAATTTTTAGCAAGGTTGAGAAATTCTCCTTACCTGATTCTAAAGTAGTAACAATCATTTCAGCACTTGACTTCCCTTCTACATATGCAGCACTAATGTTCCCAGTAAATGCAGTGATCACTACAGAATACCTTGTGAATATTTCTAAATCTTTAATTTCTATGGTTTTATTTTCTTCATTTGACTTGATGAAGGATATATTAAATTCATCATTATCTACCTATAGGAAAATATAAGTAAAAATTAAGGAAGCAGCACTTGAAATCTGAGTCACCAAAACATAATAATACAAAGCTACGTGAGATGTATTTATCTAGCCAAATTTGTATTTATTTATTTTACAATCAGATTGCTCTGGGAAATCTAAAGTGCTATTATAACAGCTTACTAATTATTAATTATTTTAATAGTTGAAAGTAAAAGAAAAAAGACAAACCAGCCAACCGTGATTAACCAACCCATTAAATAAATAAGCAAAAATCATCTTTGCAGTCAATGAAACTCTACTTTTGACTCCAATATTTTGTAGAAGAAAGCATAGAGGTTTTGGTACCTAATCACACAGGCCTCAAATCCCAAATTGGCCACTTATAGCTCCTGTAGTATTTGAGAAACCACCTACACAGTCTAGTCTTTCAATGCATGTAAAATTGGGCTAATAACAACTATTTACAGTGTTTCACTGAGATTTAGAAAGGACAAATCTAAAGTAGTTGGCACATAGATTTCAATATTTTTTCACCATTACCCACAAAAGGAAACACTCTTTGTAACATAATTCAGAAGATAAGACTGATAGATATAAAATATATACGTATCTTATGACTGTAACACATTTTTCAGAAATACACCATCTTTCTGAAGTACACTTTGATATTTTCTGCTCTTTTTAACTTTATTCCACCTCATTTAAAAATTCTGATGATGGCTGCAGTTTGAAAAACTCTGATTTAGTACTATGTGTAGCACTGGATAGTAATTAATTGTGGATGTCATAATTATTAATGTGCATAAATGAGTGTCTTTAGGCATATGAAATGTAGCTATATGATTTGTTCAAACATAGTCTGTCCTTTATGGAGGTTCTGGCCTATTCACTCCAGATATTAAACATAACTAAACTTGCTAGCACTAAGTAGAAGGGCTTTTCCCAAGATAACCATGAGAAAATTCAAAATCCTATCATACATACTACTTTCAGGTATCTTAATTGAAACACTTAAAACCAGGTTTTATACACAGTGAACACTATTAAGTCCATTTTCAACTTGACCTTCCCTTATAACTTTGAAATATTTTTTGTTTGGTTGGTTGGTTCAATGTATTCTTTTAATGCTCTTTGCTAAGAACATATTTTATTGATAATATGGCGAAACACACATTGATTTGCATATGGTATAACTATATTGTAAATGTTGTCCTGGAAACTCATTTATAGAGATGTTTGCTGAGGTAATGTAAATAAAATTAACTCAATTTTTTTTTAAAAAAAAGATGTTGCTATAAAAAAAGAAAAAAAAGAAACATAGTAAAAGGATGATATAAATAATACTATCGTTGCATACAGTCAAATAGATCATTCCCACCTTAAGACAGAGCAGTGGACAGAAATGCCCCACTTCTCGAAAATGGAAGAAAAACAAATCAGCGTAGAAATCCTATTGATCAGGAATATATGCCACTGGCAGAAAATGTGTATTTAACTAGTTGTTAACATTTGAATATCACATAAAAATATGCTTTTTGTAATTTTCCTTAAGACTAGGCTTAATTTCATGCTGAAAAAATATTATTGAGAGGTGCAGAGATGGGTAACTATTGACCTCTGTAAAGGGGCCTGGGTCCCATTCATTGGAGCCCCACTCAATTGGCTTCACTTTGACTACTGGTTCATGTCACTTGTCTTTTATAGCTATTTGAATTCTGATTTTATAGAGGTAAGGTGACTTCCTCAGGGTTACTTAGTAGCAGAGGAAGGATTTGAGCCCAGGTCTTTCAAGAGTCCATAGAATTCTACACTTCCACAAGGTCACTGGGTTTGATCTTATAAATTTAACTATTTATAATTTATAAATTATAAATTTATAATTTATAAGTATAATTTATAAATTATACTCTTCCAATGCCTTCCATTAAAACAATAGATAACAAATATCAAGTCGCAAAATATGACATGGCACGCATATATTATATCTTTAAAAGTATTTAACAAAATTTGAAAGGAATTCTCGGTCCTCAAATTTGGCAGTACAAAAGATCATCATTACCTTTCTTTATTAAACCTACTACACCTTTGTTGTTGTTAGCTATTACTTGTCCACTTACCCAGGACTGAAATCACATCTTTCTGACTCATTTTCCTTCAATCAATTCCAAGTTTGTTTGCTCATATTGTACTTGATAATCTATTGTTATAAAATGTCTTTCATCATTTTTGAAGTGTTACTTTATATTCATTATCAGCAATTAGACTCTGGTTCTCCTCTTCCTGCCCCACTTCCTATTTTTTTTCTCTTCCTACCCCGCCTCCACCCTTTCCCATCTTGTGTACCCCTATTCATTCGTCAAGTCCTAGAATATATTTAACCTGCTCTATGAAGTCTCCTTTATCTTCTATTCCTCCCATAACAGGAACTTTAATTATTTTGTTACCTTATATTCCCCACAAAACTTCATACCTCAAACTCTATAATTAGCTGTTTCTATTCCAGTGTGTACCACTAGGGTGTGAGCTACCTGACAGCAGAGCTTTATGTTTTTCATCCTTGTCTTGATGCACAGAAGCTACTCATAACAATTTGTTCAGTCAAAGAGTAAAAGGAACAATGAAAATGATCCTAAATGCATTAATTTCCAGCAGAATCATCTAGGATGATATTTACATTTTATTAAGATTGACAATTTTTGTTTACACTTTTAAAGTTAAGAGTTTTATCGGTGTGGCTAGTATTTTGTAGAAGACAGGCTGCACAATAAGTCCCAAGTGCAATGCTATGTATTCTTCCTTAGTCTGGGAACCAGTGATTCTTGAATGTTGATAATTACATATTAATGAAATGAGCTGCAGAAGTGCTTTATCAGAGTTGTTCACTTCTACATATCCAGCACCTAGCACAGTTCTGGTACATTGGAAGTATTTTAAAATGTGTGAGGAAGGAAGGAAGGAAGTAAGGGAAGGAGGGAGGGTGGGAGGGAGGAAGGAAGGAAGGAAGGAAGGAAGGAAGGAAATACCTCTACTTAATTCCAAGAATCCTAAAGAAACTGTGAATTACTAGGTTCTATCTGAATCTGTTCTTGCTATTGTTGATCTAAAGGAGTTTTGGTGAGGCTATATTTATGTTGGCGAATTTTATTTGTTATTTAATGACCTTCCCTTTCTCCTGTCAAACCATTGTTGATCTGTTAGTTTTAGCCAAGTCTTAGCTCTGTGAGAAGTTATTCACCGTCTCTGTTCCTTAGATTTCTTTTATGCAAAATGAAGGTAATAATGTTTATATGAAAATATTGCTGGATAACATATAATAAGATAATGAATAGGAAGAGATGAACATGTAACTTGTAGAAAATAAGCAATTAAAATATTTGTTATCTTCCCATTCTACCCTCTTTCCCTTGCTCACTTTGAAACTCAGCAAGAAGGCTACAAGAATGAGATTACAAAATCACTTCTTAATATGTTTTATTTTTTTTGTTCCTTTAAGCAGAATTTCCAAGGGAGAACTATTTTCATTAATAAAGTGCCTTTCATTTGACAGAGTAAAGCTTTATCATTTTATAATTTGTTTTTAATGCATATTCCCAGGGCATTCATCATTCGTGCTAATTATTTTTGGCTAATTACATACTAAAATCTTCACAAATATGCTCTACAAAAGGAACAGAAAATAGAGACTGAATTGGAGAACAAATACATCAACAATTCTTTCAATTTTATTTTAATGATGACAGGTCTTTTGAGATAGAAGCATTATATCTCCATTTAAGGAATACTACAAAGACATAATAAAATTATAAAGTTGGTCAAGAGACAGAGAGAAAGGAGGAGAAATCACTATGCTATACAATTTAATGCATAAGATGCTATTAGAAAACTGTGTTCATCAGGCCCAGCAAAACCCAAGCAGGGTGCAAAGGAAATACTTCCAGTCTTTATTCTGGCTAACAGTTCTGCATTATTGACATCATTGAGCATCCTATCTTATATGAAGGGTTTGACTTTCATACCTGGATTTCCATCCAAATGGCTATCTACTCCCATTCAGTCTCTTCAATGGCCTCTTATTTAAGTGTTGATAGTCCCCAGGGTGCTGTCCTTAGGTTGTCATCTTACTTTGCACATTCCATAGTGAATCTCATTCACTCTTATAATTTTGACTATCTTCTAAATACTAACATTACCCAAATCTGGAAATCCAGAATTTCTCTCCTGAGCTCCAGATCCATATTTAATACTGCCAATGGGTGTATTGACCTGGAGGACTGCCACATATTTCAAACTCAGTGTGTCTAATACTGAACTCATTCCTTTCCTCTACAGATCTGTTCCTCCTCATAATCTTCTGTCATATAACTTACAATCATCCTTAATTATCCTACTCACTCACCATCATGAGTTAGTTGATTTTTCACCAAATTCTATAGGTTTAGATTATTTTTCATTCGTTCTCTTGCTACATTTCCTCTGTTCTTTTTCCTTGCCCTTTTATAGTTTCCTGTCTCCTTGCCTGATTTTACACCCCCCATACTGCTCTCAATCTATCCTCTACACTGCAACCATGCCTATGTTATACAGTAGAAATCTGTATCACCAACTGGCACCCCACTGCCCTTAACATAAAACCCTAACTCTGTAACTTGTTGTATAGTCAGCCTCTGGATCTAGCCTCATCTCTTAGAACTTATTTTTTTTAATGCTATAGCCTGGGATTGCCAAAAGACTTGATTTTTCTTGAATGAGGCTTACTTTTTTACACCCCTATTCCCATTTACCTTTTATGTTCTGCTTCACTTATTTTTCAAGACTTAGCTCTGATGTTATTTTATCTGGAAGATATTTCTCCTAATGCCTTCTCTCTTCTCATTTTGTATTATGAATTACTTTCTACCGTACTGTAAACCAGATATTTGTATTACTACCAATTTAACCACTTGTATGTGTGTATATATACATACATATATATACACATTCTATACACTGATAAAACATATTATAATAATGTTACTAATATCTTATATTTATTGAGCATTTACCATATCTCAGGGAATGTTCCAAGTTCTTTATGCATGTTAACTGATTCAGTCCTCATACCCTGTTTACTATTATTAATCTTTACAGATGTAGACATTGAAACACAAACAAGTAAAGTAATTTTCCTACTGTCTAACAGAGCCAAAATTCAAATTCAAATAGTCTGGTTCCAAATCTTGTATTATTAACCATTTTATACTGGCTTTTACAGAAGGTAAGACATGCCTTACCGATTTGACATCAATCAGATAACATGTTGGTCCAGTAATGACAGCAGGTTCACTCCAGCTTATGCTGATGCTAAAAGGTGATGTTGCTACTACATGAACATTTTCAGGAGGACCATCTGGAGCTATGACAATAGAAAATTAATTATCTAGCTACATTAGAATTAGTACTTGCTACAGCACAATAATAGAAAAGACCATGAAAAATGGATAGTCATAATAAATTAATTTTAATTTTACATTAATTTATATTTCACAGAGTGCTAAAGGCATTACCAAATAAAAAGATCCAATTCTTTAAAATTAGTTACTCTAGATGAACAACTTCCACATGAAAACTTAATTAATTAAAATCATAAGTTCATTATTTTAAAACTTGAAATAATATTTTGAAAGGAAAGCATTACTATTGCTAAAGTAAACCTTTTTAAGCAAATATTTTTATTTTAAAACAGTTAACCTAGCAATGCTGTTTTAAGAAAACCCTTGCAGAAACGTAGTATTTGACTACAGAGAGATAGAGAAGCACAGCTGAAAATTAAAACTGGTATAATGAAAGTATACATATATTGTTTTACAAATGTAAATTGAGTTGATTTTATTGTTTTCACTGAGGGTGGAGAATATGAAATGGTTATTCAATTGTTCTGATCTATTATTAGAAATGCAATCTTCAAATATTTCTTGAATTCCTTATGACTCCAATTAAATTCTTTAATTTGTTCTACTTTCTTAATTTGTCCTACTTTGTTATTTTTTCAGTAACGCAAAACAAGAGACAATATCTTAAAAATGTTTCTGTTTAAAATCCTTATGTGTACAATTTCAATTTGTGAAGCCACTGGGAATTAGGAGAGATAATAGTATGCAGGGAAAGATTTAGCCACAGTTAATTTCACACAGACATTAACCTAAGAACACTGCTGCACACACCTCTGTCCTCCTGGGGCCCCTAGTCAATTCTAATGATATTAAATATTGAGAGATAAGTATTTCCCAATATTTTCAATTTTTAAATACATATGGGCAAACATTATTGAAAAAGTACTATCCCACAGATCCGGAGAAGATATAATCAGGAAGATGAAATATTCCTTTCCTCAAATAACTCATAATCTAGCAAGAATACAAGTTGTATGATCTTGGTGAAACACCAAAATGTTTGGACCTCAGTTTCCCCATCATATGAATATTTTATAGTGCTTTAAAAGAAATTATGAAAACAAAGTATGTAAAAGTGGCTAGTTCAGTATTTGCCACATTGTTGTCAATTACCAAGGTATCATAAAAGATAAAGATAAGGGATAAATAGAAATAAATAACATATAATCTACAATGAGAGAGCAAAGTGATGATACAGATGGGGCAGGGTTGCAAGGTAAAGATGCACAGTGAAGGTGGGAATTGCACTAGTCTTTGATAGATGAGAAGGATAGAGCAGGGTTAGGGGCACTTCTGTGATAAGGGGAGGATCATAGAAAAGCCACAAAGACATAAACAACAGGACCCACAGACAGATAGAGTTGTATTGCTGTAGAATTGCTTATCTTGGTAATGTTATTATTTTACAAGTAAAAAATAAATTACTCTAGGAAGGAGTCAATAAACTTCACCAGATTTCCAAAGGGATTCATGGTACAAAAAAAGATTCAGAATCCCTAAATCCAAGAAACAGAACTATCACAGAGAGACCAGTATTTATGGAGGAATAAAAATGTACAAGCCCAAGTAGTAATTTAGGAATTAAGCTAGAGAGTACCTGATTGTTACGTTAAAGAATTTGGAGTTTATTCTTTAAATAGTGGGATTCCGCTGAGGTTTTTGAGAAAAGAATTATTTTTCCATTGATTTAGGAAGACAACTCAGGTAACTATGAAAAAGTTAAGTTATTTGAAAAACACTGAGTGTAGATAAGCTCTTTCCAAAAGGCCAAGTAAAACATGAGATCCTAAATAAGAATAGTGACAGAAGGGATAGATAGAAGGAGATGAAACCTAGAGTCACTATAGAAAGATTAATAAAAAGAACTCGGAATAATTTGATGTGGGTGCAAATTGAGATAGAGAAAGTAGTAAAAGCTAACTCATGCATTAATATTAGTGAATTTTGGCAGTTCACAACAGCACATTCAGGAACATACACTGATTTTGGTGGGGTAAGACTATGGTAGGAGATGACAAATTTGGATTCATATTCATTGAGTTTGAGAACCTCCAGAAGTCTGAGAGGCCTATCTGGCAAATGGAAAGATGAGCTTGGAATGAGGCAAATAGGATCAGAATGGAGAAAGTTTCTGTCTTTGTTTTTAAATTGCAGATAATTTCTTGCAAGTTGGGATGGTATAAATATGGGCAGTATATCTGGTTCAAGTGAATCACATGCTCTGAAGAGAGTCAAAAGGTTTATTTCAATACTAGAGAGCTATAAGATGTTACTATCATTTGAACATGTCCCCTCCAAAATTTAGATGTTGAAATACAATGGCCAATGTGATGGTATGAAGAGGTGGGGCCTATAAGAGGTGATTACGTCATGAGAATACCTCCCATGGTGAATGGGATTAAGGTCCTTATAAGACAGGCTTCACTAAGCATTTGGATAGCTTGCTCTTCTGCTTTCCACTGTGTGAGGACACGCGTTCCTCCCCTCCAGAGGGTGCAACCCTCACCAGATAAGCAAATCTGTCTGCACCTTCATCTTGGACCTCCCAGCTTCCAGAACTATAAGAAAACAAATGTCTATTCTTACAAATTACCAAGTCTCTGATACTTTCTTATAGCAACACAAAACAGACTAAGAGATTAATAGTGGTGACAATCTTTAAACTGTGAATAAGTAATTGATATTTAGAATATATTTCTTAGGCATATAACATTATGTCTATGGAATTTAGGTGCACAACTCAATCCAAAAATATTTTAATAATAGCATTGACATATTTTAATAATAGTACTTGAATATAACTATACAGGAATCTAGAAAATACATTTCAGGAACTTTCAGTGAACAAATACCTTTGGAGTGACAAAGATACTCTTCCTATTTGTACTTCTGAAAACTGTACAATAATCTGAACATTGACACCCCGTACTCAAAGATCCAGTTTTACATTGCCAAGAAAACATCCAGGGGAGAGGGTAAAGAAAGAATGCTCCAGGATTCGATTTGATGAGCTAAGAGATGCTAATGATGAAGACAGAATTGGGTACACAGTTTCTGCAACAACTAAGGTATCAAGGAATCATACACATACCCTGCATAAACAGACATTTTCATTCTTTTTACTGCTAGCTTTATGGTCCTAGGAAAACTGCCTCAAATTGTAGCCTAATTCATTTAGGTAATTATACATAACAGATGAGAGCTATAAGAGGTCTCCTGCCATCAGCATAATTAATTGCCTTGAAAAATATAAATATAAGATGCTTTGTGGGTTTCAATGGCCTCTCTTCTGCCTCTGACTCTATAAAAGGGGATGGGATATGACCTCTGTATAAATGTATTAAGGCTCCCTTATTATTAATGTTATTTGAAAAATTTGACTTCCAGCTCTGTAAGAACCAGTGTGGACAGAAACAATTTTCTGATCGGCCACACATTTCAAGTGGTATAAAACAGGAAAATATTTTAGAGTCCCCTTGTCTTTATTATAACCAAATGTTTAGTTGGCCTTGAGAATAAATTTATGCATTCATTGAATGAATAAATATTTATTAAGTGCTTACTATGTGCTAGGCACTAAGAGGACAAAAAGCTCATACAGGTGATCAAGGTAGCTTTGGATCCATCCATAAAGCTTCTACTGTTTAACCCTTTTCATTTAGCAACAGTTTACTGAACACCTATGGCATGCCAGGCACTTTGGAAGTGCTGGAAATATAGAAGAGAACCAAAGAGACAAAGACCATGGAACTTCCATTTTAATGGAGAGAGACAAATAATATATATTAGAAAAATATAAATAAATGAATATATAATACACAAGTAAATTATATACCATGTTAGGAAGTATTATGTACCATGGTGAAAAATGAGACAAGGTCATGGGCATGAAGATGCTTAGGGCGTTACTATTTTAAATATAGTGGTCAGCTCATGCCTCACTAAGCAGATAACATTTAAACAAATATTTGAAGGAGGTAAGGGAATACTGTTTGGCTGTTTGGAGAAAGAGTGTCCAGGAGGAGAATGGCCAGCGTGAAGACCCTGAGGCAGGATTTCGCCTGGTATGTCCTAAGAATAACAAGGACCACAGTGAAGCTGAAGCCCAGTTGAGTTGGAATGAGAGAATCCGAGAGGAAATGGGGGCCAGAAAATGTAAGGCCGTTAAGACCAGCGTTAATGTCTTCTTTTGTTAGGATGGCTATTGTGAACAAAAAGACAAACGCCATGAAGTAGAAGGGGCTGTGATAGACTGTGATCCTTGGTATCTAACTCATACCAGAAAGATGGGCTAAAATTAATTACGTCAAAAAGGAAAGATCATCTCCAACATCTATTTGATTCATGTACCTCTGTAACATATACTACTCGATGCTGTTGGGACTATACTTTTCAACCTAACTCATTCTAGCAAGCAAGTAGAGTGGCACATTATCGTTGCCCAGACATCATGAAAAATGTATTGAGAATTTTCTGCGGCTAAGAAAGTTGTGAGATTTTTCTGCGGTAGCTTGTATCTGGAAAAATTTCTGTATCTCTGCTCTATAATGGCTTCTTCGGGTCTCATTTGAGGACAAAGTGCAAAGTTTTCCCAAGGAAAACTCTGGCTTGTGAGTGTGTCTGTATGCCAGCTCAGAAAGAAATATAGCGCTTTGCTTTCAACTTCTCTTCTTTCACAATAAAATGTCAACCCTGCAATCATTCCTTTAATACTAGCAATCAAATCTCTCATCAGGGAGTGTGTGACCCCAAGCAGAGGTAAGAGAAAAATGACATTCAAAGATCATTCATGACAACACATATAATCACCTATACTACTAAATATTTTAATTTCCTTGCACTGATCAATCATTATAAAAAAGCAAGGTATTTAGCCCCTTGCTGAGCTATGCTTTAATGCCATTTCTTGAACTTTTCCAAAAATCGTTTTCCCTTCTTTCTTCATTTTTTAAAAGAAACAATCACTGTAAACAATGTTTGCATTTTCAGTAAAGTTCTTGATAAAATTGCCTGTCTTGTTACACAAGTTTTCTGTGTTGAATCCTTTGCCAAAAATTTCCTTCAGAATGTATTTTGTCAACTTGTATTCTTGAAGGATTAGAGCTCCTAAATCCAAACTGAAAAATAAAAGTAAACTTATATAACTGAATATATATTAATATATAATATATAACAATATGTGTTTCACCTGTCTGGAGCAATGAAAGGTAACTGTTTGATTAATTCATAGGTAATTTAAGAGAAATATTTAGAACACCAAAATGCCCATCTATTATAAAACAGCACTTAATTATTTTAGTATTGTAGAGTATTATAATATACTTAAATAC
This sequence comes from Homo sapiens, assembly GCF_000001405.40. Lineage (NCBI taxonomy): Eukaryota > Metazoa > Chordata > Mammalia > Primates > Hominidae > Homo > Homo sapiens. The sequence continues at coordinate 80,599,691 of NC_000012.12, read as the reverse complement.
ATATAAAATTATTTTAGGTATCTTTCTTATGAAATTTAACAAAATCCCAAAACATATAATAAAATATATCCAGCATTTTCCCTTTTATCACAGCATATAGTAAACTATTACTAGTGTCACATAAGGGTGGCTACAGAATTACATTTATGAATGTCAGCTACAAAAATAAATGGAGCTGATGGTGGCAAAAGTATGAGGAGTTGAAAATATGCCAGTTTAAAAGCTTAGTAACTTATAAGCATCTTTGGGAGCTTTGTTTGTCTCCCCATAAACTGTCACATTCTGATTTAGGATTGTTTGTGAAATGAATCTAGTCAGTAATGGGCCAAGATATCACTATACCCTTTCTCTTATAAATCACAGCAATTTACTCAGTAGGAATGATCTATCCTTATTCTCTCATTCCCCATAATCCAATCACTTCCTCTCATAAGCACTTTCCCCCTGGTTTTCACCATAATGCATTTTCTGTAACTAACAACCATCATTTCCTGATTATCATGCTTCTATCCTTGCACAGGAATGTGGGTCTTATGTGGGTCAGGGTCATCTTTCCCATCCATCTGTGTCTTGATGCTGAGTGTGTTAGCTCAAAGGTGAGTCTGGATAGACCATCATTTTGCCTAGTCCATATAAAAATTTGAATGCCCCCATCCATGCCACTTTGTTTAAGAATCAACAAGTTTTGTTGTGCCTGATACTATACTTTTAAAATAAGCACATTCAAAGACTTATTTGTAACTTTGCCATCTGCAGATCCCTGTAAGTCTAACTTAATAGTGGAAAATATTCTAGAAAATACTCTATGGTTTTTAGTGTACCTCGTTATGATCACTTTCCTAAAAGAATAAACATAAATGAATATATGGTTTAACATCAACTTACAAAACAGAAAACTTCAGCTCTATATACCTTCAATTTAAATTGTCTGCACAATTATTTGAATTTAAGTTCAGTATAAAGTTTATTAAAAGGGCCTACCACTCAGGGTGTTTTAGTTTCAGAATTTGGTGCACTAGGCCACCAGATTTCTAGTGACTGTCATCACTAAGTGAAGGGCTCTGTCCTTTCTCAGCTATACAAATATTAACAACTTCAAGGACTACAAGTCGACTTTGACTCAGCACACCTGGACAAATTAGCACTGACTGTTAGATGTCTCTCAGGACTAGAAGAAATCCAACTCGCTGGTGGATTCCTGTGTCTTAAGCAATTCAGGGCATCAAGGGCCCTGAAGAAGCTCTGCAATTGGATTCATCTTATTTCCACACAGCAAGAGTATCTCAGGACATATTCCTGTCCACTGGTTAAAACACTTTGATAACTGGCTATCCTTTTGTAGTTTGGATGTTTTCCTAGAGCCCAGTGATTTCGCTGACCAAAACGCATCACCACTGTCAGTGTAGGAAATATTTCCTATCATTTTATGAGATGTTAAGTGTGTTTTCTAATTAGATTTCCTAACCGCAAGGTGGTGCTGCAGAGGGTATAGCACAATAGTGTTACAAATACAGTAAGCCTAAGAATTTGTCAGATTAGATTCATGAATACTAAGAATGATTCATGGATGTTCATAGTATTAGACCTCACTGTATGATCATCTTATTTGATGCTTAAATGAGTTATTTCCTGACTAATTTCAGACTGGCTTAAGCTAGAAAAAAAATACAAAATAGAAAGAAAACCTCTCAGTTTCAATACTGGACATGCCAGGTAAGAATGAAAATATTCTAATTACTACTATTACTTTGGAATCAGAGAATACATATTTTCTGAGAATAGCATCATGTTTATAAAACAACTTTCTACAACAGTGGTCCTCAAAATGTGTCTCCAGGCCAGCAGCATCAACATCACTGGGGAAGCCATAGAAAAGCAGTTTCTGAGGCACTACCCCAGACTTACTGAATCAAAAACCGTGAGTGTGGGGCTTAGTAATTAACAGTCCTCCAGGTGGTTGTAATGACTGTAGTTCAAGTTTAAGAATCACTGCTCTATAACGTCGACATGCCATTTGAAAAAATAGTGACACTGCTCTTCAGATTAGATGACCAATGATTACAACTCTTAGAAATGAGTGGATTGGAAAAGGGGATTGAATTACTCCTTCTGTGAAGACTAGGGAAGTAGATGTAAAGGAAGTTTGGGAGCTGGTAATCAACATGGAAACATGTATCAAGCCATCAAATATTCCACAGACTGGTCTCCTATCTTTCATTCTATTTTAATTCTGGATAAACTATGAAGAGGGTTCTCCCTACTCACTTCCTCCAATTCCCAAAGTTTTTAGAACAACAGGTCAGCGTGTTCCATTAGAGCATAAAATATCACCATTTTCATGCTACCATGAAGCTCTGCATTGGAACAAACTGGAATAATTCAGGTAAGGCCATCGTCATACTGGAGTCTTAGGGCCAGGATAAATCTTGCTATTTTCTTCTCCTGTTCATTTGTATGCAGGCATAATTGGGGTAAAAAATATCTAGGATATCATTAAAGAAAAATGAAAATCAAGGGTATCAGAAACCTCAAAAGTATAATTTTGAGGTGCATGTCAAAATTCTCACTCAATTTGTTTTGGGAGATGATTGGACAGTTGGATAGCTTCTCTATGTCATATCAGTTAGTACCTCTCCATCTCTTGGTACTTTTCTACCACCCTGAGGCTTTGCTCAAGTCCTAGTCAAGATCTAAGAGTGTAGACTCTGTGCTAGAAATAAAGACTTATGAATGAATCAATGTTTTAAGTACTTAGAATAGTACCAGCACATAGCAAACACACAGTAAGGTAAGTCATTGCTAATATTCTTAACTGTGCAGCCTATGGATCTCAATTGATTTACTAGGCATGAACAAAAAGTGACCAAGACACCATACATAGTAATCCCAGGATTTTTCTATAGTTTGGAATTTTCATAGTTAAATCAGAATTCTTTCTTGGTAAATGCAGAAGAAATAGGAGCTGAAATTTTGCTGACCTAGGGCCTAATGCTGAGCTAGAACTTAGAACTGAGGTTAAAGACAAAAATTCACAATGTATTACACCTACTTTACACTTCTTGTTGAATGGACAGAAAGAAGATTCTCAGAAGAGTAAAAGTTAATTCAATTCAATGTGAAATTTAGTCTGAGATCTCAGAGAAAATAGGAGAATTCATTTGAAGTTTAAAAAGATAAAATACAGCTAAGCTATTAATGGGGAGAAAATTTCCTCCCCTTTTTCCTTTATGAAAATCAGACTTTCTAAAATATTGATGATTTAAAAAAAAACAGTGATAATCTTTACACTTTTCTTTGTTTGATTTTTAGTGATTTTGCTACAACTTTCTACTTGCTTATGTAAATAGGATTTCAAAAACAAGTATTTTTATTTAAATTCTAGAATATTTGCATCATAATCTAGCATAAGGTCTTTTGACATTAAATATATAGTTGAATACTTTATTAGATACTTTAATGTTATATGCTTTCTATCATTTCCTTTAAATTATGATTTCACCCATATATCTCCTCTTTGTAATCACACTTAGCACTCTAAATTTAAACATTGTTCTTCCCCTTTGTTCTTTCATGGACCATCAATCTATTATAACTCTGTCTCACTATACATACTTATTACCAGCTAATTATCTCAGTTAATCATTTAGATATTTTTAATGCTTCTCCAATCTATTCTGAAATGGACATTTATTATTTTCCTTCACTGTTTGAAATATTTCTAAATGCAATAATTATTTCCTTTCTATATGCAATAATTCATATTTCTTACATGCAATACAAATATTTCCTATATGCAATAATTTATATTTCTTATGTTAATTAATGAAAAGGAAAATCACAAAATGATCAACAATATAAAATATACTGGTTTTCAAACACCGCATATTCTCTCTCATAGGTAGGAATTGAACAATGCGAACACATGGACACAGGAAGGGGAACATCACACTCTGGGGACTGTTGTGGGATGGGGGGAGGGGGGAGGGATAGCTTTAGGAGATATACCTAATGCTAAATGATGAGTTAATGGGTGCAGCACACCAGCATGGCACATGTATACATATGTAACTAACCTGCACATTGTGCACATGTACCCTAAAACTTAAAGTATAATAATAATAATAAATATATACTGGTTTTGTGAAATAAAAGAAGCTGAATATATCAAACATGAAAAGCTACTGGCCAAGAGAATTTTAATTTTGGCAATAACAATGCAAGCATTTGAAAGACAAGCATTAGACCAAAAAAATTAAAAAATATCAGCATGAACTATTTTAAAATATGGAGAATTTTGACACTGTAACACTTTAACATTAAAGTCAAATGCCTTTCTTCCATATTCATAACAAATCTTAGATTAAAAGTAGGCACAGGGGACAGAAAGGTACATAAGACATGCGCGGCTGGCTATTTATGCTTTTAAGGAACTCAAAGCCCCACTAAAGAAAGAGAGAGAAATAACTATGATGTAATATGCTCACTTGTTGAGAAACAAATTTTGGGAGGTGGGACTGGAAATAAGGATTTCTGAAAGGTTTCTCAAAAGAGATACTTAAAAACATAGCGAAAACAAAGCTGGTCACCAGAAGAGGAGGAAAGAAAGGACAATAAGAAAGAATAGCAAAGATTCTGGATCATAAAGGAGAAAGAACAGTGCATGTGTGAGAAATATAAACCAAATCATAAGTGACCTTGTAGAACTTACTAATGGGCATAGTTTTAACATGCAGGCATGTAGAAAATGATCAAAGATTTTCAGCAGAGGAAATTCATGGTCAGGCAGGTGTATTGAAATGCTGAGTTCAGGTGAATGGTAGAAAATGAGAGCAGAAAGACCATTTAGATCTCTTTTGTAATTATCTAAGAGATAAATGTAAAAGTCTGGATTTAGAGACACTTGAAAAGAAAAATAAACAAATACAAGAGATATTTAGAAGGTAAATACAATAGGACTCAGGTTTTGCCTCGTGGGGGATGAGAGTAGGTAAAAAGAACTAACAATGATTTCTAGATAACTAGTTTGAACAACTAGATGAATAGTGGTGCAGTAAACTGAGACACGGAACACACAGAAAGGAAAAGACTTGCAAGGGAAGGTGGCAATATGGAGTTTGAGATGTCTATGGGAACCTAAGTGGTTATACCAATAACTTCAATATTCGGGCCTAGAGGACAGAAATGTTGTCTTGAATTACCCATTAGGGAGTCCTGTGTAACTAATTTAGAAGATTTTCAACAGCATCTAACTAATTTTGCAGAAGTGCAACCATCATGTCTAGAATAAATGATATTTATTTTCTCTAGTGGCAGCAAGATGGAGCCCATCCTAATACTGCACTGCCACCAAATGAACTTCTAAATGTCTTGAATTATAGACTCCTATTTACTTATGGCTAAAATCACTTCTTACCATTATATAATTGCTTCTTTATAAAAAGGATAATTTCTACCTCTGTTACTATAACACTTATCACATAAGTGTATTACACAGTTTAGAAAAAACTAAGGAAAACAACTGATATTTAGTAACACATTGACAATTTTTAATTTTAAATAATGTTAAAGTGTACTTTGCCCTCTATTTGGTTTTCTTCTTTTTAGATCATAAAGTTGCATTCCTTAGAAACTTCTTTGATGAGGCATGTTTTGTTGAATTTTTTTTAACCTAACAGATGTTTGGGTAGTTAAAATTCCTCATGAGTATGGTATCCTGTGGTTTTCCCAACCTAAGTGTTACCCCAGGAATTTTCCTTTCTTGCTGTCTTCCAGTCTTGGTGGTCTATAGGAGACGCACATTATGAGAGTCCCATTCCATTTCATACTAATTTCACACCCACACTCCTTTAAAGTTGTACATTTCCTCAGCATAAGTATCTATTGTGCACCACAGAAACATTTAACAGCTTGTGACTTTACATCACCACCACATATATACACACACCACTCAAACTGCTTTTGACTTTAAGGATAATCAGAAAAATAGATGAGTAAAATAATTTGCATGACTGTAATGTTTCAAGGTAAATATTTCTGCCATTTTTTAAAATTTTTATGCTTATATTTGTATCTATACACTCTCAGCATGCAGTAGGATTATGGCTATTATACGGATTAGTTGAGAACAAAAGCAATTTGGCTTCAATGATCTAGGTGAGAGCATGTGAGAGAAAGAATGGTTAGCTTGAGTTGGTTGAATATTGTTTCCCTTATTTATTCTGTTTTACAGGTGTACACTCAGATTCACAGGGTAATCCAATTTAAATCTCAGCTTGCATTCTGACTTTTCTTCCTGATCTTCAATTTTGATGCTCTTTGTTATGGGCTCAGATAGTTAATGATAACATGTTTTCTGATTATATAATCCATTGTAGAAACTTTTATAATATTTATTATTAAAACTAGGTGGTCTTTTATTGGAGTTACTCAAATTTTAAACAATTTGATTTCAAACTACCCATTAATCAATAACTCTTTATAGAGAAGATCCAGGTTTTGACAAGATGTTATATTAGTAAGTGCTTGAGTACAACTTTATGTCATTAGGATAAAATGCAGTTCTCTGAGATAGTTATTTTGTACTATTTTATATTGTTGTTTAGTCTTTTCTCTAATTCAGAGAAAGAGTTATTATTTTATTTTATATCATGAAACAACATATTGCATTTTTATTTTATTTTTGAGATGGAGTCTGGCTTTGTAACCCAGGCTAGAGTGCAGTGGCACAATCTTGGCTCATTGCAAGCTCCACCTCCCGGGTCCAAGCAATTCTCCTCCCTCAGCCTCCCAAGGAGTTGGGATTACAGGTGCCCACCACCATGTTCGGATAATTTTTTGTATTTTTAGAAGAGACAGGGTTTCACCATGTTGGAAAGGCTGATTTCAAATTCCTGACCTCAAATGATCCGCCCGCATCAGCCTCCCAAAGTGCTGGGATTACAGGCATGAGCCACCACATGACTCATGCCACATTTTTAAGTGAATTATACATAATACAAAACTTATTAATATTCTTCATCCAAATTATTTTTTGAGTTTGCAACATGGCCATTATATTTTCATCTTTGGTATGCAGAAGCAACATCTATGAATGCCTTATTTTTAATATTAAAAGGATTATTGCTCTTCAAGACTTCCGTTACTTAACTGTTATAATTTCTTTTATTCTTATGTTATTTCACCATATATATTATGTTGCAATAATATATGCAGTTCCCCATATAATCTCAAATTATCTCTTCCTGACTTAATATAATAAATAGAACTTTTATTTTGATGTATAAATTATGAAATTTGGAAATTCAATTGTACAATATTTATCATTAGAAAAATGTCTTCTATTCCATTGGAAGCAAAAATTTCCTCCATTCTTGAAACTAAAAGACGAGTAACCAACTCATCGTCAAAATTTAAAGAATTATCCTCAACCACTTATGACTACTTAGTTGAAAAGCTATGAGTTTTGAGAATGCAATCATATGTTTGTTATCACGAAGTTGAAAAATATAAATCTTTTCATCTTTCTCTCCTAATCACAGTGGTAGAAAGACCATTTCCCCTGTGTCTCCTGGAAATAAAATATGGCCATAGAACTTAAACGGGGGTAAGAAGTGGAGGAAATAGGGTGGAAAGAATGATATTCAAGTGGAAAGACTTGAGAATGTAGGATTATTTAGAAATCCAACTTTTCAGTTTCATTTACCAACTTCTGAACTGATCATGTTATATGTTGTTTTATGCTAATTAAACATCTTGTATAATAGTGTCAAGTGTGCTTGCAAGAGACTGTGCATTTAAAAAGTTCACTTCCTGGCTCAGTGTGGCAATTAGAAGCAGGTACTCCCCAAGTGAGATACTCAGAATAGGAACTCTTAGTGGCAGCAGGCACAAAGGCACAGGCATAATTTAACCAAAGGTTACAAATCAGCTGTCCACAAGCCAGATCTAGGCTACTGATGTATTTGGTTTTGTTCTCTGGGCATTTATTTATTTCTGTTTTCTAGTTATATTAGAATAGCTATTTCTTGACAAAATCAGCAGGTTCAAAATAACCATACCTACTGACTAACCCCAAAGTAAACTGAATTTTTTCTATATTTTTGCTATCTTTGTTATAGTATCGTCATCCTTATCATCACCTGCACTGGAAAACAATCTGTTTTGTCCTACCCACTAGAACTTAATGAATCAAATTTCTCTCATTCAGGGAATATTTATAGAGTATCTACTGGTACTGGGAACTATTCTAGACAATAAGAAAATATGCGTGGGATGGTAGCTCATGCCTGAAATCTCAGCACTGTGGGAGGCCACGGCAGGAGGATCACTTGAGCCCAAGAGTTTAAGACCAGCTTGGGCAATATAGTGAGACCTCATCTCTATCAAAATTGTTTTTAAAATTAGCTGGTCACAGTGGCGTGTGCCTGTAGTCTTAGCTACTTAGGAGGCTGAGGTGGGAGGATTACTTGAGCCCAGGAGGTCGAGGCTGCAGTAAGCTGTGACCGTGCCCCAGCACCCCAGCCTGGGTGAAAGAATGAGATCCTGTCGCAAAAAAAAAAAAAAAAAAAAAAAGCAATGATCAAGGCAGATCCTAAACACAAGCAAATAAAAATGATCGTGTAATTATAAATGTTCATTAAAATAACATGATATTATATAAGATTACTGCATGACTATTTTTAGATTGAGTGGTCAGGGAAATTCATTCTGATCAGGGATCATTTAAGTAAAGATCTACGTTATAAGAAGCTGCTCATGTGAAGAAGGAGGTGGAAGAACATTCTAGTCAAAAGAAACAGGGAATACAAAGATGCAAGTTCTAAGAATTTATTTTGTGTAAGCAACAAAAAATGTCTAGTATGAGTGGAAGACAATGGTATGGGGGAAACATGGCTATAAATAATGTTAAAGTTTAAGGTAAAAGCCAGGTCATATAGGGCTTGTTAACCATGTTAAGAAATGTAAAATTTATTCTAAGAGCCATGGGAGTACATTGGATAGTTTTTTTTTTTTTTTTTTTTTTTTTGAGACGGAGTCTTGCTCTGTGCCCAGGCTGGAGTGCAGTGGTGCGATTTCGGCTCACTGCAAGCTCCGCCTTCCGGGTTCATGCCATTCTCCTGCCTCAGCCTCCCGAGTAGCTGGGACTACAGGCACCTGCCACCATGCCTGGCTAATTTTTTGTATTTTTTAGTAGAGACGGGGTTTCACCATGTTAGCCAGGATAGTCTCGATCTCCTGACCTCGTGATCCACCCGCCTCAGCCTCTCAAAGTGCAGGGATTACAGGCATGAACCACTGCGCCCAGCCCATTGGATAGTTTTAAGCAAGAAAGTGACATCATCTGCTTTAGGTTGAAAAAGACCAGTCTGGCAGTGTAGGAGGCTAGTTAGGCTAGTGCTGTGGGAGCAGTAATGAAGAGTTGTACTAATGTAATAGTAATGCAAATGGAGGAATTTGTTTAGATGGTGTGGTTGAAATGAATCATGGGCAGGATTGAGGAGGAAAGGAACAGTGCCTGGATTTTCATTTGCTGCAAACAGATAAATAATGATATGAGAAGGTTTGGTATTTGATCATGTTAATATAGAGAAGTATATTCAACACACAAGCCCAGTGATTAGTTGATCAGGCAGATATTCTGATCTGGAGTTCTAGGCAGCATTCAGGACTGGAAATAGTATTTGAGAATAGTCAAGATGTAAGCAGACTTCAAAGCTATAGACCAGAATAAGAGCAATTAAGGTAAAATCTCCTTGGGGTTGTGTGCTGATAAAGAAGAGAAAAGGGCCAAGTACAGCTCTCTCATCTCTCCAATGCTTACAGTTAAAAAACAATTATTTGCTGAGAATAATTCAGCAAAGAGGACGGAGACGGAGCTACCAGGAAGGTAGGAGAAAAAACAGAAGGGTAGATCTTACAGAAACCAAGTGTCAAAGTGCCAGAAAGAGAAAAGGTTGGACAATTGTGTCAAAGTCTGAGTTGTCAGGATTCTACCTCAAATGTCAAATTATATTAACAAACATTTATTGAACATTTACTATTACAGACATTATGCCAGATACTCTGGGAAATTGTAACAGGAGACACAATTGGTGGCCTAGAAAATAAAGCCCTCTAGATCAAAGTGTATTTCACTATCTATAAGTACTAACATGGTATTTGTCACTGAAAATCTATGTGTGTGTGTGTAGGTATGTTACTATACTAATAAGTATCAAAAATGTTTAAGAATATGTAATTTGGATTTGAAAGGAATCCCCTTTAAAGAGTCTCAGTCAAGATAGGAAGATGATAACATAAGGCCTATATCTGAAGGATTTATATGGGATGGGTGGCCTGGCAAACCTGAAATTTGCTCTGGAGGGCTGGGGCAGAAATGGCATTTCAGAGAATGCAGCCATTTCCCAGAGCTCTGGCTTGCAGGACTTGATTTGCAACTTATTTATGTTGCATAGTAACCATCACAATTCTATGTAAACAGAGTTCAGGATAAGGAATATACATTTTTTACTTAATTATGGTTAATGATATTCTCCAAGCAAGCAGGGCAACCAGTTAGCTATAAACATAAAACCTAAGTTGCAAGAGCAATCTTTACCTATACATTTAGTGGTTTGTATGGAAAAGCACTTAAAGTCCTGAAAGATGTATAGATGGCAAAACAATTTCAAGTATTTGTGTTTCTTCTCTGTATTTTCTTCTTCCCATCTCAAGCTGGGAGTTGAATGCTTGATATTTCTTTGCCTCAGAATTTTGTGCAGTTGAAAAACACAAGCTGAAAAACGACTTGCAGACAGATCAATCAGGGTTATTGTGGTCACACGTGTGTGTGTGTAAGTTTGAAGTCACTGAAAAGGTTGTAAAGTTGGGCTTAAAAGCAACAGAACCTCTAAATATGAAGGAAAAATGTGGGCCTGGGTCAAGGGCATTAGATAATAATCAGTATGGTTTAATGGTAGCGCATCAGAGTAGCTTCCCACAATGCACTGTTGCAATATGAGACTCTAGGACCTTGGCACAACTTTGGGAGTTTGAGAAAAGCCCTAATAATGACTAACATTGAATTTCTCATTGGGTTTCAACTAAATTAAAACTAAATATGTCGTTATATATGGTAGTGTCCTCAGTTATTTCTATGTTCAGTGATTTTACACACAATTAGATTAAGTATAAAGCATAATATATAGACAGATACAGAATATAACAGAAATCAGTATGTACATGTCAGGACAATACTCACGGCCAGGCAGAGTTTTTGTAGAAATCCAGTTTGAAGCATTGCCATAGCCAGCATTGGTGCTGGCAGCCACTTGGAATCTATACCATCTAAATTTCTTTAATCCATATACTGTCTCTTCAGTTAAGTGAGCTTCATAGAGGTATTGAATTTTTTGATATTCAACACATTCTTCGGATTCCCATTCTTTGCATTTTTGAGCACGAAGTTGAGTGGTAATTTTGTAATTTTGAAAGTAGCCAAGGATAGTGTCAGGTCTTATCCATGTCAATGTTGCACTAGTTGACTGAACATCAGAAAAAGCAATATTTGTGGGAACACTGGGAACTAAAAATTAAAGGGAAAAATTAAAAGCAGTTACAATTACCAAACACTTCATAAAGAGAAGAAAGAATAGAATTCTATTATGGAGGAGCTAGTAGAGATCTGTCAAATTACTATAGCTCTTAGATTAATTATCCCCACACTTAATGAGAAGAACCTTAGAGTGATGCTTCCGGGACCATCATTTTAAAAGGGTAGAGGACAAAATAATTGTAATTTATTAATTCTTGATTTTGCTTCCAAATTCAATCATAAGTGGCTTATATAAACAAACTTTGGCTTCAAATAGAACTATTTCACTGTTACAAAGGAAAACTGTATGCTCATATCATCCTAAGTACTTCCCTAGGTATGGTTTGAGTTTGTAATATTCAGTTCCAAGGGAAGATACTTGTGTATTTAAATGTCTAAATAAACACAAACACATCTTATATCTAGTAAATGTTGATTATAAAACAATTTTAAATAAACAATATTACTGACAGTTTTAATGTATATAATTCATCTATTTTTTTTTATTTTATCTCATGTATATTTAGAATTAACATGTAGTCCTGCTTGGAGTCATTTATTTGCTTCCACACTAACTACAGGTTTGCCAAATGCATACCATGTGTCAGGCTCTGAGCCTGGTGTTAGGGATTCAGGATACAATAAAGCTCATGTCCTGTTTTCAAGAGACAGTTTATTGGGCAAGTAATATACACATGTTATGGTTAGAAATAAGAAAGAGCAATCAATTAAGTGATATTGGAACTCTTCTTAACCATGCCTTTCTTTGTATATCTTCAACGGCCTTTGTTAAGAAGATGGAGATAAAGAGAATCAAAATGATGACATGTGAAAATTACATAATGCGAACTGTATATTAATATTCACATTTTAAAATAAGAAAATTAATAAATATTTAGAAAGCTCATTGATCTCTAAAGATATATTAATTCAACATTCAATAAATATCTAAGAGCATCTAATATGTACAGGTAGGATTATAGGTGCTGAAAATACAATGAACAAAACAGACAAAAATTCCTGCCCCTGAAAATTTACATTCAGGGGAGCTGTAAACAATAAAAGTATCAATAAGTATTGTACATAGTCACCTTTTGTATCCACAGGGTACTGGCTCCCAGACCTTCCACGGAGAACAAAATCAGAAGACGTTCAAATTCCTTATATAAAATGGTGTAGTATCTGCATATAAACTACACACATCTTCTCATATAATTCAAATAATCTCTAGGTTATTTACAATACCTAACACAATGTAAATGCTCTATAAATAGCTGTTGTACTGTTTAGAGATTAATGCCAAGAAATAAAAGTCTGGGCATGTGGGGTACAGACACATTTTGGTTTTGTATATTTTCCAGCTGTAGTTGATTGAATCCACGGATGCAGAACACATGGATTTGGAGGGCCAACTGTAGTGTTTTGGATGATGATCAGAGTTGCGGAGAAAAAGAAGAATGAGAAGAAGGAGAGTTTCAGGGATATTGAAAATTTAAATTAGGTAATCAGAGAAGGGATTAGAAGATACTAAATTCCTTTATAGCAGCATGATTTATAGTCCTTTGGGTATATACCCAGTAATGGGATGGCTGGGTCAAATGGTATTTCCAGTTCTAGATCCCTGAGGAATCGCCACACTGACTTCCACAATGGTTGAACTAGTTTACAGTCCCACCAACAGTGTAAAAGTGTTCCTATTTCTCCACATCCTCTCCAGCACCTGTTGTTTCCTGACTTTTTAATGATTGCCATTCTAACTGGTGTGAGATGGTATCTCATTGTGGTTTTGATTTGCATTTCTCTGATGGCCAGTGATGATGAGCATTTTTTCATGTGTCTTTTGGCTGCATAAATGTCTTCTTTTGAGAAGTGTCTGTTCATGTCCTTCGCCCACTTTTTGATGGGGTTGTTTGTTTTTTTCTTGTGTGTTTATTGCGGCATTATTCACGATAGCAAAGACTTGGAACCAACCCAAATGTCCAACAATGATAGACTGGATTAAGAAAATGTGGCACATATACACCATGGAATACTATGCATCCATAAAAAATGATGAGTTCATGTCCTTTGTAGGGACATGGGTGAAATTGGAAATCATCATTCTCAGTAAACTATCGCAAGAACAAAAAAACCAAACACCACATATTCTCACTCATAGGTGGGAATTGAACAATGAGATCACATGGACACAGGAAGGGGAACATCACACTCTGGGGACTGTTGTGGGGTGGGGGGAGGGGGGAGGGATAGCATTGGGAGATATACCTAATGCTAGATGACGAGTTAGTGGGTGCAGCGCACCAGCATGGCACATGTATACATATGTAACTAACCTGCACAATGTGCACATGTACCCTAAAACTTAAAGTATAATAATAAAAAAAAAAAGAAAAAGAAGATACTAAATTCCATATGTAGGTAGGGGACCTAGCCATGTCAATATTTCAGAAAGAGAAATTTGAAGCAGAGGAAACTGTATAGTTGGAGGCATGCCTGGTATATTTGGAGAATAACAAGAAGGACTGAGTGACTGGTACAAGCTACCAGTACATGACACTAGAGGACATTGTCATGGCTTTCATTTGAGCAGAGAAGTGGCAGGCTCTCTCTTTCACAGAATCACTCTAGCTACTGTGTTGAGAACAGACTAAAGGGTAACAAGGCTGGAGAGTAATTAGCAGGCAACTGCAATGTCAACACAAGAGATCACAGTGGCCTGGTCCAAGGTGGTAGTGGCAGAAGTGAAGAGAAACATTCAGCTCCTGAATATAATGTGAAGGAGAGCTGGCAGGGTTTGCTGATGTGTGGTATGTGAAATATCAGAGAAAGAGAGGAATAAAAAATGCCCTAAGGTTTATGGATTGAGCAAATAAAAAGATGAAGTCACTATTAATCAAGATGTGGGTGACCGTAAGAGGGGTAAGCTTTGGGGAGGAAGATTAACAATTTCTTTTGAGTAGGTTAACTTTGAAATTCCTCTCAGACACCCAGAAGGAGAAATCAAATACTAGATAGAAGCTTGAGTCTGGATTCTGTAGAGAGAGGTCTGGACTTCAGTTAAAATTTTGGATTTCATCTTAAATTTTTATCGAATTATTTACAGATCTATTGCTTATTTACTATATATATATATATATTTACCAAAACTGGCACACTATTTACAACACATTCTGTTTTATCTTTACCTATCATGAAGAAAAGCAATTAGAGAAAACACTATCTTTAGGGAAAAAAAATGTAAATTTATAGAGGAAGAAGTTTTAGAATTTTCATAATTTTTTCAAATGCCTCAGTCACTAAATTTGAACTCAGATCATCTGAACATAAGATACATTTTCAAAATATTCTAATATAAATCAGATGTATTTGATTGACGTGGGTGTTCAGAAAATGTTTTTAGAGAAGAGATGGCACATGAGATGGAATTTCACTGATTGTAAAAGTGGAGATCATGGAAGAGAGGGTGATGTGAGCTAAGACAAGTTTAATTGCAGCTTGTAATTCATGTCGGCAATAACAAACAGCAAGACTGCACAATAGCTTGGGGACTTACTGTGTCAGAGGAAACTATAGATAGCTTGTCAGGCAATTGAAAGCTATAAAAAATGTCACAGTATGTCCAGAGGTACATTTTATCAACTACAGTCTGGTAATTGCAAAACAGGAAAAGGGAGAAATTCAGAGACTACTTGATTTGTCCAGGAAAGACGAAATTAGGTGATAGCAACAGTACAGAAGTCAGTTTTTAAGATATATTTTGGCGACTGAATCCATAAGAACAGGCAAATAAATGAGAAAAATCACGTAATCTCAGAATTTGAAATTGAGAGATCATCTTGGTCATCTTGTCTCTTTGTCTGACCTTTGTGTCTGCAGATATCCCTCAAGATTCCCGGTCCCTGTACAAAAACAGATTCTTCCACTTACTCAACCAAACACTGATCTAGGTACAGATGGAAAGCTATGTTGCTGCTGTAACTAAGAATCTTAATCAGTTTACTTTAAAATAGAGAGCTATCCAGTGGACCTGACCTTATAACCTGAGCCCTCTAAAAGGAGGATAGTATTTTTGGCCGTTTTCAGAAAAGGAAGTCAAAGCTTTAAAGAGATGGATTCAACGTACAAAAATTTCTCTATTGTTGGCTCTCAAGAAGGAGGGAGCTGCATGATAAGGAACACAGAACATCTTTGGGAGCTGAGAGAAGCCCTTAGCTAAAAGCCAGCCAGGGAAGGGGCTCTCAATCCTGTGACTGCAAGGAACTAAATTCTACCACAACCACGTGAACCTGAAAGAGGACCCTGAGTTACACAAGAAAATGTTGACTGACAAGTTGACTTCAGCTTGTGAGAATAAGTAGAAAACCTAGGCACAACACGCCTGGACTTCTGACCTATAGAACTATGAGCTAATAAATGGGTATTGTTTTAAGCCACTAAGTTTGTGATAATTTGTTACACAGCAATAGAAGACCAATACAAACCTCCCCCTACAAAATGAGCAATCACTACTTACCCAGCCTCTGCTTACATACATAGAGCAAGGGAAACTCAACATCTCAAGGGTAGTTTATTTTAAAATTCATTTTCAGATAGCTCTATTAGTTTGTATAGCCTGCATTATTTTGAACTGATATTTACTTTCCTATAAATCTCAGCTCTGCACTGAAAACCCACTCCAAAGAGGCCTAATCTACTTTCACCTCCACATCACCCCAACATTATATATAAAAGATTCAAAAAGATTTTGCTTCCGCATCCATCTCAATAAAAATATTGAAAAAAATCACTCAAAAATAGATGTTTATTTGTAGGTTATAAACACATAAAATGTCAATGTACATAACAGATTTTCTCTCTCAGAGTCTAGACTACTGAATGAAACAAAATGGTGATTCAATAAATGTTTTTTGAATGTGTGAGCAAATGAATCGAGGGTATAACAGGGGACTTTATTTGGCTTTCCTGGTGAAGGATAATTTAATTAGAGACCTGAAGGATAAGAAGAAGCTTCACAGATAAAAAATATCAGGATGTGTGAAGGTGTTAAGACCCTGAAGAAGAAGAGTGTCACACATTGAAAACACTTAATGAAGGCTGCTGGGTCTACAAGGAGATGAATGGGAAGGGGCGAAGTAGGCAATGTAAGTGGAATCACATTAAACTGAGTCCTTAAACCAAATATATGACTTTTAGCTTTATCTGAAGCACAGTGATATACTTGAAAAGTTTTTTTTGTTTTGTTTTTGTTTTTGTTTTTGTTTTGTTTTGACAAGGTCTCACTCTGTTGCACAGGCTGGAGTGCAGCCTTCCCTTTCTTTTCATCTAACCTCATATCCGACTCTCTTCTTCCTCCCAGTCCCTTCTCTCACTTCCAAAGAATATATCTAGAGTGACTGTCTTAGTTTGGCTGCTGTAGCAAGTTACTATAGACTGAGTGATTTACAAACAACAGAAATTTATTTCTCAACGTTCTGGAACTGAAAGTCAGATGAGGGTGCCAGCATGGCAGGTTTCTGGTGAGAACCAGCCTCCTGGTTCCAGACTGCTGGCTTCTTATTGTGTCCTTGTATAGCAGAAAGAGGGCAAAAGAGCTCTCTGCATTCTTTTTATAAGGGCATTAATCCCATTCATGAGGGTTCTACCCTAATGACCTAATTACCTCTGAAAGGCCTCACCTTCTAATAGCATCACACAGGGAGTTAGGACTACAACATATGATTCTAGGGGGGAAATAAACATTCACTCCATTGCAGCAAATTATTTGTTATACAGACAGGTCACTTTTGAGAGTAAAAGGCAATGTCTATTGGATGAAATGCCAGCACAGCAAGCATAAACCCAGACTGCCCTGGAAACTGGGATTTAGGGTCACTATATATATGCTTTGGATATATTTTGCCTTTTTCTTCAGTGTTTGGAGTTGTATGGAGTAAGCACATTGAAATGGATATATCGAATTTGATTTTACCAGCCTCTATGAAATGATATTAAGCTGTGTCCAATATTTGCAGTAAACAAGCTGTAATGTACAAGCCTATGCTTTCATATTCCACACATATGTGTGAGTAAATCTGTAGGATAATCGTTGCTAGGTAAAACATATGCATATTTGTAGCATTGGTAGACATTGCTAAATCACACTCCAGAAAGGTTTTACCAATACCTACTCCTGTCAACATGCATGAGAATGCCTGTTCCCCAAGCCAACAGAGTATGCAATAAAAGTTTCAGAGGGAAAAAATTCTGTTTCAGTGTGAAGCTTATTGCACTTCTCTCTCTTTAATTTCCTTTTTCATAAACTATCATTTGTATTTTTTCTACTTTTTTTTCTATTGGGTGTATGGCTTTGCTATTTATTTATTTAAGCCTTTAATATAACCTTTTTGTGATCCTTGATGAAGATATATTTTCCAAATCTGTTATTTGTCTTTTTATTTTGCTGATGATCGTTTTTATTATGTGGAAATTTTTACTTTTTTTTTCTTGAGACAGAGTCTTACTCTGTTGCTGAGGCTGGAATGCAGTGGCACAATCATGGCTCATTGCAGCCTCAACCTCCCAGGCTCATATGACCCTCCCAACCCAGTCTCTCGGGTAGCTGGAATCACAGGCGTGTGCCATCACACCCAACTAATTTCGTACTTTTTGTAGAGATGGAGTTGCGCCATGTTACCCAGGCTGGTCTTGAACTCCTGGGCTCAACTGATCTGCCCACCTCAGCCTCCCAAAGTGCTAGGATCACAAGCATGCGCCATGGCACCTGGCCTTGAAAATTTTTATATTGACTTTTGTTTTCATTAAAATCTTACACTCTACTCTTTCCTCATAAGAATCAGTGTACAAATGCTTTCCTTCTTTTATTTATTCTTTTTTAGATCTACTACCAGTTACCTTTCCCATGTTTCAATTTTCTCTCCCTAGAGTTTGCTAAACCACTGGAAATGAGAGGGAAATATTCACTAGCTAATGAACTAGAGAAGGCAGAAGAGGCTGCCCTTTGCTAATCCCATCTGGAGGGATGACTAGATGCCCATGCCTCTATGATCAACTATTTTTTCCTCCAATGTTCAGATTTTAGGATAGCTGGTGTTTGTTACTAGCAAATTTTGCTACACAGTAAAAATTTTCAGCAGATCAATATTCGTTCACAGACTCTAGTATTCTCCAATTAAGCTTTCAGAGAAGAAAAGGTCTTAAAAAGAAAAACCACTAAATCCAGGCAAGAGTTATTTGTAACCTGGCTATAGGAAACATAATGACAATTTCAGCCTCCTATTATGTGACAGGCACAGTGATGGGACACTGGAACATACTGGCACTCATAAGTGTTTGTTGACTGTGGAAATAAATGATGGTTCATTGAAACAGCCTTTTGTTTTCATGTGGTACAAAATCTAGTCCACATTTTCACTCAAATGTATTTAGAAAGATAAACCAAAAATGAATCTGATCTGAGGTGAAATATATGGTATAACTTGTAGACAATTTTTTAAACAAGGCTACCTCAGAAGTATTCATAAGTGACCAGCAGTAACCCTCATTTATATCCAGTATCTTCTCTTTGATGAACTGTGTGCTGAACTAGACTATTTCAAGGCAACTGCCCTATTGAATTACAGATAGAAAAAGGATTACACTCATTTCAGCATGGAGAATCAGATTTCCATTCTTTAAGAATGACTAAAAACCTCAAACTTTTTCTATCCACAGATGGTACTAATTTGAACACATCATTCCATGCTTCCTGGAGTAATCACACAGCTTGCTTAGATTTTCTAAACATGACTGAACTGTGATGAAGCGATCAACATTAACTGCCAAGGTATTCACTAAATTACATTTTTATTCATAAATTATTCTTATCACTAAAATACTTTCATCATGGTTGAAATTAGGGTCTGTAGATCTAAATAAGCAAGAATTTGTTATAGGTTTAAATGCATGAGAGTTTTTACTGACCAGTAAATTCTACTTAGAAGATGAATACATGTATAAAATGTAATTATTCTATAAACTTCTGAATATCAGTTATTAGAAATTGCCAAACTCTCCTGATAGGATTGTGAAGGTAGTTTTGTATTGACTTCTCATTGACCTGGATAAGTACACTAAGTTGGATGACCAAGTTTAAATTGTTTATTTATGACTATATATTTTTATTTTTCAGGAACAGATGTACTCTCTTTTAAGCAAAACAGATGTCTGAAAAGTTATATTTGTGAATTATATTTATAAAACATACAAAATTATCAACCCAATCTTCCCAAGTTTAAGAATATTTTTGTCTCTAGAAATTTTAAATAATCTACTATCCTTTTAGAAACACAACATACAGATAGATAATTTAAACATACACAAAGTAAAATTTGCTAACATTAATATAGTATGGATCAATACAAAAATGGAAATACCTTCAAAGTTAAGTTCAAAGCATATTTCAGCATACCAGCTACAAATTTTGCACTAGCTTGAATTTAATCAATAGCATTTATTGAACATTCACATTGAATGATGTGGGCAGGATACAAGTCAATGTATAAGAACCTTTTCATACATAGATGAAAAATATTTTAGTTAATAGAAATAACTACAAAGAGGTAAATGCAACAGGACAGAGAAGAAGATCTGGGAGCTCTAATTTGAAGGAACAACTGAGGATTAGTAAAGATGTGAAAGAAAAAGGATTCAGTGGGTTGAGTACGGGGAGAGATACATAAGTGGCAACAAAATGTTTGTCAAGGGCTGGGAAAAATCTTAGGCTGAAGGAAAATAGTGTAAGGCAGTCATAAGAAAAAAGTGTGGGGGATTATCAGGTTTGGTGTTATTGAAAGGCAGTGAAAGTTTGAAAGCAGTTTAGGTGACTACAGTAGGTGACAGAGAAACAACAGACAGAGATTAATTAGTGACATATAAACTTAAAAGTCTGAGCCTTCATATCACTTGTTATTAGGAATAGGCAAGTTTGATAAAAACTTGTTCGATATTTTACATATAAAGCACAACATAGATTACAATGATCTGGTAGGTTAAAAATAATTAGGAGTAGAGCTAAAGAAAAATGTAAAGAAATATTGACAGGATGTGATGGTATATTGAGCACAGAGAAAATAGGGGTAAAACAAATGGAATGAACCCAGGAATTAGATTAACTGACAAAATACACACTGTAGACTTCCTAGAAGTAAATTATAAATTTGGCTCTTTATAACAAATAAATAAAATAAAGGGAAAAGCAAGATAGTAAATCTTTGTTATCGCAAATAAAGATAAATTAAATGAACAAAAATACAATAATCTCTGATACTGAAACCAAAGATACATTTCTTCTGAAAAAACCCATAAAGAGGGTACCATAATTTAATAAGCAATGTCCTCGACAACATCCATACACAGTAAATACTAAGTATGTTTAATTTTTCCCATTCTTGGCCGGGTGCGGTGGCTCAGGCCTGTAATCCCAGCACTTTGGGAGGCCAAGGCGGGCGGATCACGAGGTCACGAGATCCAGACCATCCTGGCTAACACGGTGGAACCTCGTCTCTACTAAAAATACAACAAAAAATTAGCCGGGCGTAGTGGCAGGCGCCTGCAGCCCCAGCTACTCAGGAGGCTGAGGCAGGAGAATGGCATGAACCCGGGAGGCGGAGCTTGCAGTGAGCCCAGATCGCGCCACTGCACTCCAGCCCGGGCGACAGAGTGAGACTCCATCTCATAAAAAATAAATAAATAAATAAAAATAAAAATTTTTTCCCATTCTGATTTTTTGGGATGGGAAAAAAAATTTATTTTAAAAACCAAACACCCCATGTTCTCACTCATAGGTGGGAACTGAACAATGAGAACACATGGACACAGGAAGCGGAACGTCACACACCGGGGCCTGTTGTGGGGTGGGGGGAGGGGGGAGGGATAGCATTAGGAGATATACCTAATGCTAAATGACAAGTTAATGGGTGCAGCACACCAACATGGCACATGTATACATATGTAACAAACCTGCACGTTGTGCACATGTACCCTAAAACTTAAAGTATAATAAAAAATAAAAATTAAAAAAATCCAAAAAAAAAAATTTCCCATTCTTACAACGTCACTCTGAGTACGTAGGTGGAATAATTCTCAAATATGTTTTATTAAAACTATGTCTTCAGAGATTGTAAGTATACCGTTCATGTGCAACTCTCTCTGGTAGCCTGGCTTAATCCAGAGAAATTTTGGAGTATTTATCAAGTTATGAAACACAAACAGGATTTTGAGTGCTACTACAAAGCTGAGAATATGGACTGACCCATTCATACTAATGTGCCAAATTAGTCTTATAAATGTATTCAATGTGCATGAAATAGGAGTAAGATATTTTAAAATTGTTTTGTATCTGTTCCCATGCATGTATAGTTGGACAATTGGGGCCCCAAATATAAACCATGGCTATAATTTTAGTCTTAAAATTACATACTGTGAAACACTTACCTTTAAAAAATTTCTCAATAAAACTTCCAAAGAAAAAGTCATTTTTTAGGGATCGTTACAAGGAAAGCTAGTTATACATATAGTTATACATATTCTGTTTGGAGGCCAATATGGTTTGGCTGTGTCCCCACCCAAATCTCATCTTGAATTGTAGTTCCCATAATCCCCATATGTCATGGGAGGGACCAGGAAGAGATAATTGAATCATGGGTGTGGTTTCCCCCATCCTGTTCTCATGATAGTGAGTTAGGTCTCACAAGATCTGATAGTTTTATAAGGGGCTCGCCCCTTCAATGGGCACTCATACTTTTCCTTGCTGCTGCCATGTGAAGAAGGAGGTGTTTGGTTCCCTTTTTGCCATGACTGTAAGTTTCCTGAGGCCTCCCCAGTCATGCTGAACTGTGAGTCACTTAAACTTCTTTCCATTATAAATTGCCCAGTCTTAGCTATTTCTTCATAGCAGTGTGAGAACAGACTAATACAAAGGCAAAATGAGCTGGCTTGATTTATAAATTCATTAGTTTTGACAGCTGCATGCAGTAAGTCATCTCATGAGAATATTTATCAAAAATGACAACTTTGATTTTACATAGTTTATCTGAAACAGTTCTTAGAAGACTAATTAGAAAGCCAACTTAATTATCTATTGAGACCACTCCTATAACACCTGGAGACTAAATTGAACCATTGAGAGTGACGAAGAAATTAGAAAGACATACTGGCTTGTGGAGATTTACCCAAGAATGAGTATGAGGAAATAAAATGTTAGCTTCATATCTTGTTAGCAGGATAAACAGAGTTATCACAGGAGAGGTTTGTGTTAGCATAATGGGTCACGTAAAGGAATTTGGGAGAATTCCTGTATCTATAAGTAATTGAAATCATGAGAGTAAATGAACATTTGAAAGGAGTACTCATATTATCAAAACACCAGAGATGAAGAATTGAGTCTATATCAATAGTTAATGTACAGTGAAGTAGAATAGGAAAAAAAAAAAGGTCAGAAGAAACAGATAAGCATATAATGCCTGGCACACATTGATATTTAATAAGTACTTGCTTAGCAAAAATGTGAATCAGTGAACAAATCAACAGACGGATAGATGAATGGATGGATGGACAGATTTCAAAAATACAAGTTCCACCAAATGTTGAATATAATTGAATGTTATTTAAAATATCTTTTTTTTTTTCTTCTAAAAACTGGCTCGCCAGGCATGGGGGCTCACGCCTATAATCCCAACACTTTGGGAGGCAGGGCAGGAAGATCACCTGAGGTCAGGAATTTGAGACTAGCCTAGCCAACATGGTGAAACCCCATCTTTACTAAAAATATAAAAATTAGCTGGGTGTGATGGCACGTGCCTATAGTCCCAGCTACTCAGGAGGCTGAGGCAGGAGAATCTCTTGAACCCAGTAGGTGGAGGTTGCAGTGAGCCGAGATTGTGCCACTGCACTCCCCAGCCTAGGCAACAGAGCAAGACTCCGTCTCAAAAAGAAAAAAAAACCTGTGGCTGTAAAGAAAAACTTTATTGATTAAAATATACACAAGGAGTTCTGACTGTAAGCTTTGGGAAAATATCCATAAGAAAGAATAAAGAAAGAATTGGGATTGTTCAGGAGCCCATATGAGAAAGCGAGAGAGAAGGAAGAGATGGAAGGAGAAACAATGAGAACAAAGGCTCAAAGGAT
The DNA here is from genome assembly GCF_000001405.40 of Homo sapiens. NCBI lineage: Eukaryota > Metazoa > Chordata > Mammalia > Primates > Hominidae > Homo > Homo sapiens. The sequence goes on along the minus strand of NC_000012.12, from coordinate 80,575,957 downwards.
GGTGTGAGGTTGGGGACATGGGCCTCAGTGGTATAAAGCAACCAACAGAAAACTCTCTGATTGCCAAAAGATTTTCTTTTCTTTTTCTTTTTCTTTTTTCTTTTTTTTTTTTTTTTTTGAGATGGGGTTTCGCTCTTGTTGCCCAGGCTGGAGTGCAATGGCATGATCTTGGCTCACTGCAACCTCTGCCTCCTGATTTCAACCAATTGTCCCACCTCACCCTCCTGAGCAGCTGGGATTACAGGCATGTGCCACCACACCTGACTAATTTTGTATTTTTAGTAGAGACAGGGTTTCACCATGTTGGCCAGGCTGGTCTCGAAATCCTGACCTGGAGATCTGCCCACCCTGGCCTCCCAAAGTGCTGGGATTACAGGGATGAGGGTGCCATTTTGTTGCCCAGGCTGGAGTGCAGTGGTACCTTCATAGCTCAGTGTAACCTTAAACATCTGGGCTTAAGCAATCCTCCACCTCAGCCTCCTGAGTAGGTGGAACTACAGGCACACACCACCACTCTAGGCTAATTTTTTTTTTTGTACTAACGGGATCTCGCTACATTGCCAAGGCTGTTCTCAAACTCCTAGGCTCAAAAGATCCTCCCACCTCAGCCTTCCAAAGCTCTGTGATTACAGGTGTGAGCCACCACACTTGGATCAAAAGATTTTTAGAACAAAAATGTCTAATAATCAATTTAAAGCCATATATATTATTGCAATGTAAACTCCTCTTCTATCTACCCATCACCAAGTGACATTAAGGCTATTATACACTAAAGTGTTCAGTGTGACTAGATATTTTAATAAAAACCTTGAAAGGAGCTCAGATTCATATTTTGGGCAAAAATTTTGCAAAAGCAGCTAAGAATTTAAAACAAAATATTCCAACTTGAGGAACTCTGATCTGGTGATAACTTATATCAAACTATTCTGCAGATAACATGTATGAACTTGGAAAAGGAAAAAAAACGCAGCTATTGGCTTGAGGTGTCAGAGAATAAAGTATGAGGCTGCTAAAGTAGTTGGAAACAGAGGAGTTAGATCCAAAGTTTGGGACTAAACTCCCCTTAAATCCTTGCCTAATATTTTAATTATATGTACATGACGGAGAATCCAAGGAGCTCAGTAGAAAGACAGCTGAAAAACCGAGTGTGCATGCACACATACACACGTATATTAATATATATAGCTGACACGTATAACAACCTGACATCTATAAAAGTAAGTACAAAAAATATAACAATAACAGCAGAAACTACAGGGAAGTACATGGGAATACTTCTGCAAAATTCATGTATTTTATTTCCAGTTACATAAATTAAGTAGATATAAGTCAAGTATTCATATTGCAGTCCCTTGAGAAGCCACGAAAAATAATAATACAAAGAAACATAGCTAAAAGTCAAATAGAAGAATTAAAATATAATGCTAAAAATATATAGTTAACCCAGTAGAAGGCAAGAAAGAAAGCAAGAACAGAGGAACTAAAAATGAGATAGGACATATAGAAAACAAAGAAAAAATAGTACATCCAAAGTCAAGTAAATTAATACTAAGTTTAAATCTAAATGAAGTAAATACTCCATTTAAAAGTCAGAGGTTGTCAGACAAGATTAAAGACCTGATTATAGGTTGTTCACAAGAGACGTACTTTGTTGTCCACCAGCCACAGTTTAAATACAATACAAATAATTCACAAGTAAGAATAGAAAAAGATATATGATGCAAACCACGAATAAAAGAACATGTGTTATATTAATAACAGACAAAAAAGCCTTAATACAAGAAGTGTCCCCAAAGATAAAAGGGATAGTTTATAATGATCAAAGGATCAGTTAATTAGGAAAATATAACAATCACAATACGCATGTTTTTGGTAAAAACTTTTTTTTTAACTGAAACTACATGAAGCAAACCTGGACAGAACTGAAAGAAAAAAACCCACAATCGTAGTTAAATATTTTATCATTTCCTTCTCAATAACTGTTAGAACGATTAGGCGGAAAAGTGATAATGATACAGACATTTTGCAAAACACTATTAACCACATGGAACTAATACATAGAACCTTATGGCAAAATATTTAGAAGCAAGAAAATCATAATGATCAGAAATCGATGTAATGGAAAGCACAAAAACAATAGAGAACATTAATTAATATAAAAGTTGGTTATTTGGAAAAATTTATAAATTTCATAAACACTTATTAAGATGTATAAAAAGAAAGTAAACACAATTCACATCATGAATAAAATCAGGAATATCACTGCAGATTACAAAAAACCTTGAGCCAATATTTTCAACATTTTAAATAAAATGGTCAAGTTTCTTGGAAACATAACATATAAAATGATATAGAAATTCTGATGGGTTAATAGGTACAGCAAACCACCATGGCACATGTATACCTGTGTAACAAACCTGCACATTCTGTACATGTATCCCAGAACTTAAAATAATTTTTTTTTTTTTTAAGACGGAGTCTCACTCTGTGGCCCAGGCTGGAGTGCAGTGGCATGATCTCGGCTCACTGCAAGCTCCACCTCCCGGGTTCACGCCATTCTCCTGCCTCAGCCTCCCGAGTAGCTGGGACCACAGGCGCCCGCCACCATGCCCGGCTAATTTTTTCTATTTTTAGTAGAGACGGGGTTTCACTGTGTTAGCCAGGAAGGTCTCGATCTACTGACCTCGTGATCCGCCTGCCTTGGCCTCCCAAAGAGCTGGGATTACAGGCGTGAGCCACCGCGCCCGGCCCTAAAGTAAAATTTTTTAAAAAGAAAGTATGAGTAGTTCTATATTTATTAAAGAAGTCAAAGTAATACAAAATCTGCCACAATAGAAAACTCCAGGTTCAGATGGTTTCACTAGTGAATTCTATCAAATAGTTTAGGATGAAATAATAACTGTGAAAATAAAGGAGGAAAGAACATTCCCCAACTACTGATATTAGGGTAGTATAACTTTGATGTAAATATCTGAGAAAAAATGTTATAATAAAAGAAAATTATAGACCAATACCTATCCTGAACAAAAATACAACAATCTTAAGCAAAATGTTACTAAATCAAATCCAGCAATATATAGTAGAATAACACATCTGATCAAGTGTGTTTTATCCCAGGAATGTAAATATAATTTAACATTCAAAAATAAACCATGTAACTTATCACAGCAAGAGAATAAAAGAGAAAAAGCAAATTATTGCCTTAAATTCAGAATCAAGTGGCAAAATTTAACATCCATTCACAATAAATACTCATAGCAAACTATAAATGAAAGAATCTTCTTCAATTTAATAAGGGGTATCTACAGAAAGTCTACAGCCAATATCATATAAAATGATGAAAAACTAATCCTTCTCCCTGAAATTGGGAACAACACAAGGATATTGGCTTTTATCACCTCTGTTTAACACTGTACTGGAGAGTCAAGCCAGTGCTATAAGGCAAAACAAACAAACAATAAAGTCATGGAGTTAAGAAAGAAAGAAAGAGAGAAAAATACTTTTAATTTTAGAAGACACAATAATTTTAATATAGAATATTATTTAAATTTTTTTAACATTCCAGAACTAAGAAGTAAATTTAACAATGTCATAGGATACAATGTCAATATAAAAATTGATTGTGTTTCTGTATTTTGCATCAAACTAATGACTAAAATCAATTCTATTTAGAATAACATTAAAAAATTAAATACATGCAAATAATTTTAACAAAAGATATGCAAAATCCATTTACTTAAAACCACAAAACATTACTGAAATAAATAATTTTAAAAATGGAGAAATAATAACATATTCATTAGTAACTCATTGCTGAGATGTCAATTCTCCCCATGTATAGATGTATACATGCATGTATATAGATCTGATGCAATCCCAATGAAAATGCCATGGGCATTTTTGTAAAAATTAATAAGATCATTATAATTTAAAAGTTTATATGGACATGCAAAGACCAAAAATAGCCAGAAGAATTTTGAAAAAAGAACACATTTGTAGAACTTACACAAACTGATTTCAAGACTTATAATAAAGCTACAGTTATCAACACAGTGTGGTTTTATTACAATAACAGATAAATAAATCAATGGAATAAAATATATTCCAGAAATAAATTCAAGCACATAGGGTCAAGTGATTGACCTATATCAATTTATTATGACCTATGTTTATTTATTATAAATAAAAGTATCTTTAAAATAGTTATTAAATGTTTTGATAAATGTACAAAAAAAAACTTTGAATCACTTCTCATACTACACACCCAAAATTCAAGATGAATCAAAAATATAAATGTATAAGTTAAAACTATAACATTTCTAGAATAAAACCCAGGATATTATTTTCACAATATTTAATTAGGACACAAAATGTACTGACATGAGATTAAAAGTTGCTAATTTAGATTTCATCAAAATTAAACTCGTCTGATTATGCACAGGTGCCATTAAGAAAACAGAAAGTCAAGCTATTGACTGGAACATAATATTTGTTATACATATCTCTAATAAAGAATTGTAGGCTGGGTGTGGTGGCTCACACCTGTAATCCAGGTACTTTGGGAGTCCAAGGCTGGTAGATCATGAGGTCAGCAGTTCGAGACCAGCCTGACCAACAGGGTGAAACCCTGTCTCTACTAAAAATATAAAAATTAGCCAGGTGGCACATGCCTGTAATCCCAGCTACTCAGGAGGCTGAGGCAGGAGAATCACTTGAACCCGGGAGGCAGAGGTTGCAGTGAGCCAAGATCATGCCATTGCACCCCAGCCTGGGTGACAGAGTGAGACTCCATAATTTATAGATTCAGTGCTATCCCCCTTGAAGCTACCATTGACTTTCTTCACAGAATTAGAAAAAAACCACTTTAAATTTCATATGGAACCAAAAAAGAGCACATAGCAAAGACAATCCTTAGCAAAAAGAACAAAGCTGGAGGCATCATGGTACCTGGCTTCAAACTATATTACAAGGCTACAGTAACCAAAACAGCATGGTACTGGTACCAAACAGATATATAGACCAATGGAACAGAACAGAGGCCTCAGAAATAAAGCCACACATCTAAAACCATCTGATCTTTGACAAAAATGACAGAAACAAGCAATGGGGAAATGATTCCCTATTTAATAAATGGTGTTGGGAAAACTGGCTAGCCATATGCAGAAAACTGAAACTGGACCCCTTCCTTACACCTTATACAAAAATTAACTCAAGATGGATTAAAGACTTAAATGTAAAACCTAAAACCCTAAAAACCCTAGAAGAAAACCTTACACAATACCATTCAGGACATAGGCATGGGCAAAGACTTCATGACTAAAACACCAAAAGCAATGGCAACAGAAGCCAAAATTGACAAATGGGATACAATTAAACTAAAGAGCTTCTGCACAGCAAAAGAAAGTATCATCAGAGTGAACAGGCAAACTATAGAATGGGAGAAAATTTTTGCAATCTATCCACCTGACAAAAAGCTAGCACCCAGAATCTATAAGGAACTTAAACAAATTTACAAGAAAAAAAACAAACAACCCCATCAAAATGTGGGCAAAGGATATGAACAGACATTTATCAAAAGAAGACATTTATGGAGCCAACAAAAATATGAAAGAAAGCTCATCATCACTGGTCATTACAGAAATGCAAATCAAACTACAATGAGATACCATCTCAAGCCAGTTAGAATGGCAATTATTAAAAAGTCAGGAAACAACAGATGCTGGAGAGGATGTGGAGAAACAGGAACACTTTTATACTGTTCGTAGGAGTGTAAATTAGTTCAACCATTGTGGAAGACAGTGTGGTGATTCCTCAAGGATCTAGAACTAGAAATACCATTTGACCCAGCAATCCCATTACTGGGTATATACCCAAAGGATTATAAATCACTCTACTATAAAGACACATGCACATGTATGTTTAGTGCAGCACTATTCACAATAGCAAAGACTTGGAACCAACCCAAATGCACATCAATGATAGACTGGATAAAGAAAATGTGGCACATATACACCATGGAATACTACGCAGCCATAAAAAAGAATGAGTTCATGTCCTTTGCAGGGACATGGATGAAGCTGGAAACCATCATTCTCAGCAAACTAACACAGGAACAGAAAACCAAATATCGTGTGTTCTCATAAGTGGGAGCTGAACAATAAGAACACATGGACACAAGGAGGGGAATATCACACACTGGGGCCTGTCGGGGGTGGGGGGCTAGGGGATGGATAGCATTAGGAGGAGTACCTAATATAGATGACGGTTTGATGGCGGCAGCAAACCACCATGGCTTGCATATACCTATGTAAGAAACCTGCATGTTCTGTGCATGTATCCCAGAACTTAAATTAAAAAAAAAAAATCAAATTTTTTTTGTTTTGTTCTTTTTGTTTTGTTTTGTTTTTAATTTATTATTATTATACTGTAAGTTTTAGGGTACATGTGCACAATGTGCAGGTTAGTTACATATGTATACATGTGCCATGCTGGTGTGCTGCACCCACTAACTCGTCATCTAGCATTAGGTATATCTCCCAATGCTATCCCTCCCCCCTCCCCCCACCCCACAACAGTCCCCAACCCAAATGTCCAACAATGATAGACTGGATTAAGAAAATGGGCACATATACACCATGGAATACTATGCAGCCATAAAAAATGATGAGTTCACGTCCTTTGTAGGGACATGGATGAAATTGGAAATCATCATTCTCAGTAAACTATCGCAAGAACAAAAAACCAAACACCGCATATTCTCACTCATAGGTGGGAATTGAACAATGAGAACACAAATTTTTTAAAAAGTAAAAAAAAAAAAAAAAAAAAGAATTGTATCCAAAATGTATAAAGAACTCCTATAACTCAGTACTAAAAAGACAGACAATTCAGGAGAAAAATGCAGTAATGACTTGAACAGAAACTTCCCTAAAGGAGATAAGTCAGTCCTTTGCACATTCCAATGTGCTTGAATTTTTGTTACTATGGTTTAGTTAAGTAACACCTGTCTTCTCAAAACAGAGTTTGAATTTGTTACTATCATATATTGGGTATGAAAAATTTTATAATATGAAAACTTTGCTTCTAGCTCTTTCATCCATAAAATCATTACATAAATAACAGATGCACATTATAATCAGTGACATCACTTTGTTCAAAATCTGTCATTGATTGGTCATTGTGCATTTGTTCTTCAGTTTATGCACAGGGAGAAAATTGTGTAGTTATGTTGCCTCCTTGTCTCACAGCAATGAACTCGTGTGACACATATTGGCTAACAAAGATGGTAGCAGAGCAACAAAAGTGAGAGTGCTGGAAATGAAATTTGAATATAACATAAACGGAGTTTCAGAACAAAGAGCTGACCATGGGAATGTTAACACTGCTGTTCAAGAAACTTTACATATGCAGCCAAGACAACTTACTGAAGACAAATATGGACAGAAATTAAAGCAAGTGGTTCTGATGAATTCAATGAAGGATGATGTCTTGAAGGAAGTAAAAAACAGCAAAACAAAAATTTCACACCAAGAGAACTCTTGCTGATATTTGACAATATTGAAAGTGCAAAGGATAAAATATTGAAAACTGATCTAAACTTTGAAAGTGTATAACAATTAACTGAAACATAGAAAAGAGGCCCTCTCTGTAACATAAGCTGAACAATGAGAAAAAAAATTCTTGATAAGTTTTTATACAAAAAAATCTCTATGTTTCTAATGTTTTAAATTAGTATACTAAATAATTTTTTGTTTTCACATACATTTATAATTGACACTTGAAGTTTTGAATATTGTAACAAAATTTTTGAAGGTCACAGAACAATCATAATTTTCTACATTGATTATTAGGATTACTTTGCACAAATTCAGTTTCTATAATCATTTTTTAGTCCTATACTACTATGTAAAGCAAAGACTGCCTGTATATGAATGGCCAATAATCATATGAAAGTATCCAACATAATGAATCATCAGAAAAATGTGAATTAAAGTTACAATAAAATATATACTTTTTATGTCACCTCGCAGGGCTAATATTATAACACCAAATTCTGCTGAGAATGAAATGTAATTAGAACTCTCATTCGGTGCTGTTGGGTATGTATTTCATACAGTGCAACTACTTTAGAAAACCATCAGTTTCTTGAACAATTAAATATATACCTACTCTATGACCCTGTAATTACAGAAAAAAGATTTGTACAAAAACATCTAGAGCAGTTTCATTCCTAATAGAAACAATCCATATGTCCATCAAAAGAAAACAGACACACTAATAATAGTATATTCATGTGATGGAAAATGACTCAACACTAACAGAACAAATTAAAAAAACTGTAGCAACAGTTATGTTGAAACAGGCCACCTAGCATAAGAGAACACAGACAGCTTAAGAACAAGTGAAACTAATCTATGTTGATTGAAATCAGGGCAGCAGTTGCCTTCAAGAATGGGTGTAAAAGGGAACTTTCTATGGGGGATGGAAATGCTCTATATGGTGGATGAATGGTGGTTCCATGGGTGTATGCCCTTGTCAAAACTCATTGAATTGTACACAAGTTCTGTACATGTCACTGCATATACATTTCCCATAAGTAGAAAATATTAAAAGCATGAAAAAAGCTTTCCCATAAAAATGTACAAATAATACTCAAAACAAGTCACAGGTTATGCATGTATATAGAAATTAAAAGTACTAGACACTCATACTTTCTAGATAATATTTTGTAAATGTAGATTTTTAATAGAAAAACAATCATGGGCTTTACTATATTTCTCATACATCCATATTAGAAAGGAAGCCTTAGCAATGATTAGCCCAAGTATGTCACCAACTACTTTCAACTATTGTTTGGTACCTGTTTAATCTGCAGTCAAAGTTCCTAATAGTGCTTCTGAGTATGGCATCCTATTTAGCTTTTAAGGTGCACACACAACTTTTAACATGTTTTACACAGTTAACCATTTCTTTGATAACAACCTAAATACAAATTTTGCTTTAAATTTCAAGTCCAAAGTTTAAAAATGCTAGACCTCTCATGCACAACAAATATCATTAATGTAGTGTGTTTAAAAATTACAAAATGTGATCTTGATTTTTAAAAAATATTAAAGTAGGCCAGTCACAGTGTCTCATGCCTGTAATCGCAGCATTTTGTGAGGCCAAGGCAGGAGGATTGATTGAGTTCAGTGGTTTGAGACCAGCCTAGGCAACATAGTGAGATCTTGTCTCAATAAAAATTTTAAAAATTAGCCAGGTGTGGTGGCATGTGCCTGTAGTCCCAGCTACTCGGGAGACTGAGGCAGGATGATCGCTTGAGCCCAAAAGGTTAAAGCTGCAGTGAGCTGTGATGGTGCCACTGCATATCCAGCCTGTGTGACAGAGTGAGATCCTGTCTCAAAAAAATAAAAATGAAAACACAAAAGTAGCGTTATTTTAATTAGTAATGAACCTATTTGGCTATTAATTTTTTTTTTTGAGATGGAGTCTCGCTCTGTCCCCCAGGCTGGAGTGCACTGGTGCAATCTTGGCTCACTGCAACCTCCGCCTCCTGGGTTCAAGCAATTCTCCTGCCTCAGCCTCCCAAGTAGCTGGGACTACAGGCACCTGCCACCATGCCCGGCTAACTTTTGTATTTTTAGTAGAGACGGGGTTTTGCCATGCTGGCCAGGCTGATCTCGAACTCCTGACTTCAAGTGATCCACCTGCCTCGGCCTCCCAAAGTGCTGGGATTACAGGCATGAGCCACCATGCCTGGCTTGGGCTATTAATTTTTAATGTATCTTTTAATAAGTATAGATTTCATTATTGCAATTCATATGGAATAATATTTATTATATTTCTAATATAAGTTGCTTTTAAAATAGTAATTCTGCATAAAAAGGTATCTAGACATAGAAGCAATGGGTGATTTATTCAAGGTTGTAGTGAGTAGGTAGTGAAAATTCAAATTGCAATGATAACTTATTAATATACTAAAAAATGCTACTTTTACCTTATTTGAATTTTGAATGTGTTTAATCTCATAGTGGCTGCAACTTATGCGTGTCTTACATTTATAAAATAGCTCCCTCCTCAAACTTGTATTTTCATATGCCATGAAACTTGTAATATTTGAAATTCAGTAAGCTGAGGTTAGTAGTATTTTGTACAGTCTTCTATCTGTTCAAATCCTTTTCTTTGTATTTACATTGCATTGATTTTAAATTAGGTCTAAATTAATTTCTTAAATGCAACATTGAAGAAATTTTGCTATTATTAAAATTCATGTATTCTACATTTCTGAATGTTTACATCATTAGTAAAAGTTTTTCCATGACGTTTATAATCTCAGACAAACAACAGGCACATTCCTGAAGCTTTCACGTCATATGGTTACCAGAAAGAAAGAAGAGGGCTTTTGCATGCACACACATGCTTAATTTACTTAAAAAGGGAAGTAAAAGAGAATAAGAAAAAAAATAGGGGAGGAGGTTGATATGTAAAGGCTGTTATGAAAAGTATCAACTACAGCTGCATAGGACAGGAATGGAAAATAGGGTAATAAGATATGCACCAGTTCCTAAATAAGTTAATAAAAACACTGCTCAAAGAACAGCTGGCCTTAGCTGGAGCTTGGATAAAGCAAAGAGTGGCTGCCTGGAGTCCACTTAATGAGAGATATTAAAGCATCAGTGGGGTCAAGGAGAATTATGCAGAGTAACCCAAATTCACTTTTTATAAAAGGAATTACATTTAAAGAACTTTTAAATTTATAAGTTGGAATTTGATACCTAAGATAATTTCAAAATAGCAAACATTACACTTTTGGAACTGATCCAAGATAAAAAATGTGATATGAATGTAGGAACTTTAAACATTTCCCATAATGGCCTCAGTATTTTACAGATCTTATTACGTTAACTCACAATATTTTTAGTTTTATAGACTAAGCATGGATTTGATCATAGAAATTTAGTTTTTTTTGAATTTTAAATCCACTTTGGACAAAAGTATGTATATACTCACATTATAAATGTATCTATACATGTTAATGAAGAAAGTTTTATAATGAAAGTAAATTTCCCTACTTCATAATGTCTGTACTTAGACATTGTGAAATAATGGAAGAAAACTCCTGTAATTCCAATGAACACAATGATGTATTGAATTTCTAAGGTAGGGGAGACAATATAGTAGAAAGAATTCTGGACTAGTAATAGTTTTGCAAATAATTAATTGTAGAAAACTCAACAAACACTTCAGTTGTGTGCTTCATTTCCTATGTCTGCAAAATGAAATGACTAAATGAAGTTATCTATGAGATTCAATGAAGATCTAAAATTATATAATTCTAAACTTTAATAGCACAAGAAATATATTCATTTCATTACAGTCATCCCAATACTTTCTACCACAGCACTTAATATGTGTTTAATAACTTGATCTTGAATAGATGGATAAAAAGTATCCTGCTTGATATTCAAAATATACCCATGGATGAACTTCTGCTTCAAGGAAGATGAAGTAGATGTATTCTTTCCACTCCTCCCACTATGTACTTAAAAATCATTAAATTCACAATAAATGAAAGGAGGCTGAAAGGTGGAGTTAGGAAGGTAGACCAGCTAGAGAGTGCAGCACTCAAGTAATAACATAGTGGTGAATTCCTTGGGTTTTCTTTTTGTCTCATATATCCTAGAAGCCAGCAATCTGGAAATACCAACCAACTGACCAAAAAAAGCCCCCATAAAAATCTGCTCTTAATGCTAGATGACGAGATAGTGGGTGCAGCGCACCAGCATGGCACATGTATACATATGTAACTAACCTGCACAATGTGCACGTGTACCCTAAAACTTAAAGTATATTAATAAAAATAAATAAATAAAAGAAAAAAAATCTGCTCTCTCTAGCTAAAAATTTAAAAAGCACACGCACACAAAAAAAACAGTGCAGTCTAGCAAGACAGAAAATTTTCAGACAATAACTGCTAGTCTACTCAAAAAAAAAAGCACAGAAAGAAACTATGATCTCATTCTTTCCCATACTGACAAATGTTGAATACAGAGCCTAGTCTTCTTCTCTCTCTTAGCAGTAATAAGGCACCGAACCATCATACAGTGATGTCAGAGACGGCAAAATAGGGAGCCAAGATTTTCACCCTCTCCAGTAGTAATAAGACCCTTCCACCATAATGTCAATGGAAAACATGTGGACATCAGTGAAAAGGTATCACTACTCCTCCCAACCAGGGTGATCCCAGTGGAGACTTAGTAGGGAGCCAAAAATCCCAAGCTAACCCAGGAGCAAGGAGAAATCCTCTCCTTGGGTATAACAAAGCCCAAGTTGGAAACCCGGATTTCTACCCCTACCTGGCAATAACAGACGTACTCCTCCCTTTCTCTACTAGAGTGGTATAAAAGAAAACTGCTTTGGTCTGAATATTTGCATCACCCCAAAATTCATATGTTGAAACCTAAACAGCAGTGTGATGACATTAGGATATAAGGCCTTTGGGAGGTGATTAGCTCATGAGGGCTCTGCCCTCACGAGTGGGATTAGGGCCCTTATGAGTGGGATTAGCTCATGAGGGCTCTGCCCTCACGAGTGGGATTAGGGCAGTAATCACGAGTGGGATTAGGCTGCAGAGTGCTGCCTCATCCCTTTCACCATATGAGGACACAACAAGAAGGAACCATCTATGAACACGAAAATGGGCCCTCACCAAGCACTGAATCTGCTGGTGCCCTGATGTTGGACTTTCCAGCTTCCAGACTGTAAGAAATAAAGTTTTGTTGTTTATCGGTCATCCAGTTTCTGGTATTATAGCAGCCCAAACAAAGAAACCATTATACACTTAATGTCTTTAATACTTATAGTATTAATTTTATTCAACTGTTCAAAATATTCAAATTACCTATTTCATATTAGGGAGTATAGTGTAGTAGGTGTGTTTCCTGAAGAATCAGTACATTTCATCTCATATATAAAATTTAACTGTGAGAGCTGTTTGTAGTATTCTCTTATTTTTTTTTTATGTCTGCAGTGTCTGCACTTGTTTCATTCTTGAATTTTCTCTTTTTTTCTTTGTCAGGCTTGCTAGAGATTTGTCAATTTTATTTATTTTTTCAAAGAACAAGCTTTTCATTTCATTGATTTTTCCTACTGTTTTTCTGTTTTCAATTTCATTGATTTCTGCATTTTATTATTCCCTGCCTTCTGCATGGTTTGGATTCTCTGCCTTTTCTATCTCTAGGCTTTCTTTTGTGGAGGGAATTTAGATTATTGGTCTATTTTCTCTTTTTAAATATATTCACTTAGTGCTACAAATTTCTTTCTTTTCACTGAGTCTCACAAATTTTGATATGTTGAATTTTCATTTCAATTCAATATATTTTAGCATATTCAGTTTGATGTATTTTAAAAATTATCTTAAGATTTCCTTTGCAATCTATGAATTATCGAGAAGTGTTGCTTTTTCTAACTTGTTTGATAGTATATTTCAGCTCAAACTTTGCATCCTGAGAGCATAAAAATGTAATTTTAAAATTCTCCAAAAAGACATCTCTAAGTTCAGATAGTTTCACTGGAGAACTCTCCCAATTGTTTAAAGATAAATGAATACCATTTCCACACAATCTGTTTTAGAAATTAGAAGAGATTCATTTCACACAGCTAGTATTACTCTTATACAGTAACTAGATAAAGGCAGTGCAAAAAAGCAAACTACTGACCAGTATTTTTCATAAATATAGATGCAAAAATCCTTAACAAAATATCATCAAATAGAAATCAGTTATATATACACATACATCAATGCCAAGTGGGGTAGGAATATGCATATCATGGCCAAGCAGTGTAAGAATCCCAAGGCTGGTTCAATATTAGAAGATCAATCAACATAATCCACCTTATTAACAAGCAAAGATGAAAAATTGCAAGAATACTATCAATCAATGCAAAAAAAAGCATTTGACAAAATTTAACCCCCATTTAAGATAAAAATTCTCAGAAAAATACAAGTAAAGGGTAATTTCCTCAACTCGATAAAGAGGAACCTACAGCTAACATCACAAACAATGGTAAAAGAATTGAATGCTTTCTCTCAAGATCAGGAACAAGGCAAGGGTGTCCTCTTTCATTGCTCTTATTCAACATAGAGCTAAATTTCTAGTCAGTGCAGTAAGACAGAAAAAACAAAAGGCATACAGATGAGAAAGGAAGAAGCAAAACTGACCCTTTTTACAAATGGCATGATTTTCTACGCAGAGAATCTCAAGCAATCTCCAAAAAGTTCCTCAAACTCAAAGAGTATGGGAAAATGGCTTGGCGTTTGAATACCACCGAGAAGCCAGTGGCTGTGCAGGCAGTCATATCAGTGTCTGCTCCAGGTCTCTGCCCCTCAACAGCATGGCATGACCGGTGGGTGACCCTGGAGTGAACCATGGAGATGGAGGTGGCACTGCTAAGCCATGGTTTTCCAAAGGTATGGCACTGTGCCTTCTGCCTTGCCCTAGTCTTCGTAATCCTGCCACCTCTGCTTCAGATATACACCCTACCTTCTCTGTTGAAGCCCATCCCACCTGGCAGTGAGCAGCACCTTCCCAGCCAGAGCAGATTTTTCAGAACGTAAAAGAAGATAATCATTACCAGCAGTGGAGACCATTGTAAATTGTTCTTAATCAGAACAAAGTTAGTGCTTTGGAAAATCAGCCTCACTCTGCAGTACTCACACCACCTAATTTTTCAGGTCTCTCCTGGATAAAGAAGGACCAGCTCAAATTTCCTCTCTGACAAGTTGGGATACTATGTGTTTCTCAAAGGACCAAGAAGATAAAATTAGGGAGGTTTATGAGCAAATTCTCAACGTCAAACTAGCAGAGAAATATGAATCGTTTGTGAAACTTACATGTGATCAGATCATACAGTCAAGTGGCAGAGGGCCAACCAGCAATGTTTCTTGAGGCTTTTCTCCATTTCTGGGTACCAGATTTGACCCAAGAGATAGCTGCAGTACACTTTTTGCAATTGTTTGATATACTATTTCAGCTCCAATTTTGCATCCTGAGGACAATTAACCATGTCCATAGGTCCATTTTTACATAACTTGAAAGCCCTTAAAACTTTTTGGTTATCACAACATATTTTTCTTTTATCTTATGCAATAAACAGGGTATCCTATAGTGATACATTTTCCAAAGAAAAAAACAGCTGGAGCAGCTATTTAGCAAAATATGACTTCTGTGGCTGTCAACAAATGAACAGTTTCACTAAACACATTTCCGTAAAAGATGTTATGTGTAAGAGTATCTGTGTTGTATGTATGTGTATCTTAAACTATTATTTGTGTTGTCCAAATTTTTTTTAATTTTGGGGATTCTGGGTGTGAATTTCTGTGCAAGAACTATAGTTAAAATGTTTTCTTGGCCTTCAGAAGATCATTAATATTTTGTGGCCATATAACAGTGGATTGTTTTGCATCCAGGTATTATTGTTAAACACAGAGACTATTTCCAGGCACAGAAAATAAATCATAAGTTAGTATGGGTAGTAGGTGTTATTATGATTAAATAATGAAGCTTTGCCATGTTAGGTCTACAAGTGATGTGAAGAATTTAAACAAACTAGAAACAGATCATTTGATACATGGACTTTGCTCAGCAGTGTCAGAAAAATACCTTGACACCAAGCCTTAAAATACCCACAGGGAATCTCTGCTCATCTCTTTGACAAAATCAAAGAGCTCCCAAGACACTGAACCTCCAAAGGATAAAGGTCTCTCCTGGAGCAGAGCATCAGGGTTTCCTGGGAAGTATAGCATAGGTAAGCATGTGGCCAGGCCACATCCCAGTGGCACTCTTACTTGGGAAGAGTCACTTCATGTTTGTTATTGTCACTAAAAATCAAACCTGACTTCTTTGGTCTCGTTTCCCCAAATTCTTTTAAGAGGTGTCCACATGTGGCTGCTTGAATCTTGTTTTGGCAATGCCCTGCCCAAATTGCTTACTGTTTTTCACCTTGTTCCCAAGGTTGAGGAACAGAAAGTAGCCTGTGGTTGGAGGAAGTGGAAGTTAAGTGTACATTTATTTTTATATTGTGACTTATTCAGGACCAGATTTTACAAAATGTGGACAGGAGAGGGGAGGGGAGGGAAGAAAATAAAGTTGTATTAAATTATTTTAGTTTCAAGATAGAATATATTTCTCAAATTAGGGGTTATTTGGAAAAACTAAATTTAATTCAAATGTATATCTATACCTTCCAAAGTAAGGTAATATTCACTGATGGTTGTTTTGATTAGAAAGCTAAGAGAAATTCTGGAATATTTATATCTGAAGAGTCCTTATTAATGAACATCATTAACTTAAATCTAACTTAAATTGGAACATTATTCTTTGTACGTTTTCAGTATACAGTATTAACAAGCATAGTTTCAAGCAACATACTAAGCTTCAAAAGAAAAAGCAATTCAATGGAGGAGAGACAGCTCTTTCATCAAGTGGTGCTAGAGCAATTAGACATCCATAGACACAATCCATAAAAGAAAAAATTGATAAATAGGACTTCATCAAAATTAAAAAGTTTTGCTTTGTAAAAGACCCTACTAACAGGATGAAAAGGCACACTACAGGCCGGGCGCGATGGCTGACGCCTGTAATCCCAGCACTTTGGGAGGCCGAGGTGGGCGGATCACGAAATCAGGAGATTGAGACCATCCTGGGTAACACTGCGAAGCTCTGCCTCTACTAAAAATACAAAAAATTAGCCGGGCATGGTGGCACGCGTCTGTAGTCCCAGCTACTCGGGAGGCTGGGGCAGGAGAATTGCTTGAACCCGGGAGGCGGAGGTTCCGGTGAGCTGAGATTGCGCCACTGCACTCCACCCCGGGCGACAGAGCGAGACTCCGTCTCAAAAAAAGAAAAGAAAGAAAAGAAAAGACAAGCTACAGCCTGGCAAAAATCATTTGCAAACCATATATCTAACAAAAACAAGTAGCTAGAATGTATTAAAAATGTCCCCAAACTCAACAATAAAACAAAACAATCCAATGAGGAAATGGGCAAAAGTAATGAACAGCCATTTCATAGAAGAGGATATACAGATGGTACATAAGTACATAAAAAATATATTCAATTAGCTATTGAACGTTAGCCATCAGGGAAACACAAAACCAGAATGATACATCATTATACACCTATGTGTGAACCTGGATGGCTCATACATTGTTGGTGTGAATTTAAAGGGGTACAATTCCTTTGGAAAACAGTTTGTCAGTTTCTTAAAAAAACTTAACATGCAACTACCATATGACTCAGCAATGTGCTCCTCAGTGCATATCCTAGACATAGGAAAATTTATGTTCCTACAAAAATTGTGCACGTGTGTTTATAGAAGCTTTATTTCTAATAGCCACAAAATGGACACAACTCACATGTCCTTCAACTAGTGAATGGTTAAGGGAACTGTGGTACATCCATACCAAAAAGAAAAAAAAAAAAAAAAAAAGGCCAGGTGCAGTGGCTCATGTCTGTAATCCCAGCACTTTGGGAGGCCGAGGTGGGCACATTGCCTGAGCTCAGGAGTTCAAGACCAGCCTGGCCAACATGGTGAAACCTTGTCTCTACTAAAAACACAAAAATTAGTTGGGTGCAGTGGCATGCGCCTGTAGTCCCAGCTACTCGGGAGGCTGAGGCAGAAGAATGACTTGAACCCGGGAGGCAGAGGTTGCAGTGAGTCGAGATCGCACCACTGCACTCCAGACTGGATGACAAAGCAAGACTGTTTCAAAAAGAAAAGAAAAGAAAGAAAAGAAAAGAAAAGAAAAGAAAAGAAAAGAAAAGAAAAGAAAAGAAAGAAAGAAAAGAAAGAAGAAAGGAGGGAGGGAGGGAAGGGGAGGGAAGGGAAGGGAAGGAAGGGAGGAAGGGAGAAAGAGAGAGAGAGGAAGGAAGATTGCTACACAAAAAAACTTGGTTGAATGTCTTTTTCTGGGTAAAAAAGGTTACATACTTTATAATTCCACTTATATAACATTGTTAAAATGAAAAAATTATAGAAAATGGAGAACAGATTAGTGGTGTCCAAGGGGTCAGAATGAGGAGAGATGCCAGGATGGTGGGCAGGAATTGGGTCTGTCTATGCAAAGGCAACTTGAGGGATTATTCTGATGGAAAGGTTTTCCATCTGATATACTATTTGTGTACAGTTTTGCAAGATGTCACTACTTGAGAGATGTTACCACTGGAAGAAAATGGATAAAGGATATGAAGGATTTCTCTGTATTATGTCTCATAACTACATTTGAATCTACAACTATCTTTAAAATGTTTAGTTAGAAAATACATTCATCAAGACATGCCTTTCTCATATGTTTTAATACATAACTGTTTAAAAATTGTTTTGTGACTGCAAGTTTCTACTTAAGACACCCAGCATATGCATACTTGGTGTTTGCTCTATGCCTATCACTCTTCTTGGCCTGTGCATTGATTGATTCATTCATTTATAATATACTTATTATCACGTATGCCAGATACTTTTCTGGACATTGGAAATAGGTTTGAACCAAGAAAAATCTCTGTCCCCATGCAGCATGTGAGAACAGACCCACAGATAATGGTACATATAATATATCCAAAAGAGAAAAGTAAAGCAGGAAAGGAGTATGGAAAATTCTAGCTGGGAGGAAGGACGTTCAAGGGCAAATTAGTCAGAAATCCTTTTTGAAGAGGTAGCATTTGAGCATAAATTTCAAGATAAGGGAAGTGACAGATAACTGGATTGAGAAGAAGGGCTTTATGGGCCATTGAAATGACTGGAGATTTTATTCTGTATTACTTAGGAGGCTCAGTAAATATGTAATGAACAAATCCTCCATCTAAAGAGATTTCTGCAGTGTTCAGGAAAATGGCCAAAAACAATCACTGTTTTTAGAATTACTTATGTTGTTTCCTTCTCTAAATTTAGCACAAGTTCCTGATTTTCTATTATAACAGATTCAAACTTCTGGGACAGTCACATCAAACTAAGAGCAGAGTAAGTAGGGGTCCACTTCAGTTATTCAACCTTCCTGCTTACACTCCTTCTAATAAAATACCCTCCTCTGTAGTCAAGCTTTGGTCTCAGCCTGACCCCTTGTACTGCATTCCTTTCTCCACTATGTGTTTTCTCTTGCTGTATCTTGAAATTCCTATTTATTCTCCTCTAACTACTATTCTCACTATTTTCATGAATAGTGAGGGTGTCGGAGGGCAGCTTACCATGAGTGCTTTAGTCAACCCATAATCTCTTCTGATCTCAACCTAACCATCCAAGATATTTCCAATAAAAGAGGAATGTTCTTTGATATGTACAATTGCCATTTTCTCATAGCATACTGATAAACCAAAAAGAACATTTAGAAAACCTGACTTTTATTGATCTATATCAGATGATCTAAGTAAACATTAGTGTACTTGTCTACGAAATTCAAGGTTCAAGACAAATATGTGCCATATCATCCTTTTCCAATTAGGTTACTGGTTCTTAACTTCCCATAGAAAGCAATTTTGAAACTATCAATAAGCAACATCCAATTCACATTTCACTCTTCAAAAAAGTTTCAATAAAATATTTTTCTCCTGAATATTTATTTAATTAAATCTTCAAGGCCAGGCATGGTGGCTCATGCCTGTAATCCCAGCACTTTGGGAGGCTGAGGTGAGCAGATCACCTGAGGTCAGGAGTTCGAAACCATCTTAGCCAACATGGCAAAACCCCATGTCTACTAAAAATACGAAAAATTAGCTGGGTGTGGTGGCACAGGCCTGTAGTCCCAGCTACTCAGGAGGCTGAGGCATGAGAATCACTTGAACCCAGGAGGCGGAAGTTGCAGTGAGCTGAGATTGTGCCACTGCACTCCAACCTGGACAACAGAGCAAGACTCTGTCTCAAAAAAAAAATCTTCAAGCCACAAAATTGACCAACATATTATGTAGGTTTGTGTTTGTTTTATACATATTAAATATGTTTTTATTATAATAATGGAGTTATTTGGATGTGCAGGGCAAAGATCCCCAATGCCACCTGGCACTCAAACTTGGGTCTTGAACCCCACACCTAGAACCTGAACATAGCAAGCAGTAAATAAGTATATATTGGTCAACTGTCCACTGCACTACAAGAAGTGTAAAAAGAGATTCCTCACCTGATGTTCACACTGAAGAAAAATATTATATTTAATAATTAAGTCTATATAAAAGATACTGTATAAAACACCTGAATTTCAATTAGATATACTAATAGTTATTTCCCTCTGATTTATGATAGGCAACTATAATGTCTTTTGTGCTTCTAGTGATTACCCACCGGTAAGTTGAATGTTTTTATTCACTTGCTTGAGAGCAATCAGAATCATGCAACTTTCCTACATCCTTTATTTCAAATCTTAATTCAGGAGATGGATGAGGAAAGCTATGTAAGTAGGATACAAAGGAAAAGTGAACTTTTGATTTAGTGCACTAATTTGTAGCCATAGAAGGGCAGCAGTTTTACTGCCCACATTCAATCTATTAAATGGTATATAAGAATTTTATAAATTCTTATAAAATATATAAGTAATGTATTTAACAAATAAGCTAGATTGGGTGTGTGGCTCATGCCTGTAATCCCAACACTTTGGGAGGCTGAAGCAGAAGGATTGCTTGAACCAGGAGTTTGAGACCAGCCTGGGCAACATAGTGAGACTATCTCTACAAAAATAAATAAAAAATTAGCTGGGCAGGCTGGGAGCGGTGGCTCACGCCTGTAATACCAGCATTTTGGGAGGCCGAGGCAGGTAGATCACATGAAGTCAGGAGTTCGATACCCAGACTGGCCCACATGGTGAAACCCTGTCTCTACTAAAAATACAAAAATTAGCCAGGTGTGGTGGTGCACACCTATGATCTCAGCTACTTGGGAGTCCTGAGGCACGAGAATTGCTTGAACCTGAGAGGTGGAGGCTGCAGTGAGTCAAGATAGCGCCACTTCACTCCAGCCTGGGCAAGAGAATGAGACCCTGTCTCAAACAAACAAACAAACAAAAAATAAGCTGGTCATGGTGGTGCAAACATGTAGTCCTAGCTACTCAGGAGGCTGAGGTAGAAGGATCACTTGAGCCCAGGAGGTTAAGGCTACAGTGAGCTGAGATAAAGCCACTGCACTCCAGCCTCGGTGACATAGTGCGATATTGTCTCTAAAATGATGATGATGATGATGATGATAATTAAATTGAATACATGCCAAGTCAATCATATTGTAGCATTAATATATTTGCAAGCTCAGTGGATTTCCAGTGGATCACTGCATATGCCTGATATCTTCCACTGGACAAAAAGCTAATAAAGAAATCACTGCAGAAAAGAACACCCCTAAAAACCAGAAATACACATTTTACTTTCCCTAAATTAAATTTTTGCATCTGAGGGAAGTACCTTATTTTTCTCTTTTGATTCTAAATTATGGAGCTTGGAAGAGCTCTGGATAAACCCAAATTATAAAATTATCTTCCACAAAAGACCAAGTTTTTAAAACCAAATATTAAATCCCAACATTTATTAGCTTTGTTTTAACTGGTTTTAAATTTTAAATCTTAAGTTTTTATGGGTACATAGTAGGTGTATGTATTTACAGGGTACACAAGATATTTTGATACAGGAATGCAAAGTATAATAATCACATCAGGGTAAATGAGGTATCCATCACCTCAAGCATTTATCATTTCCTGTGTTACAAAAATTCCAATTATACTATTTTAGCTACTTTTAAATGTAAAAGAAATTATTGACTAGTCACCCTGTTGTGCTATCAAATACTAGACCTTATTCATTCTACCTGCGTTTTTGTATCCTTAACCATCCCCGCTTTTCCTACCCCCCCTGCCCCTCCTACCTTTTCCAGGCTCTGGAAACCATCATTCTACACTCTATCTCCATGAGTTCAATTGTTTTAGTTTTTGGCTGCCACAAATGAGTGAGAACACATGAAGTTTGTCTTTCTGTGCCTGGCTTATTTCACTTAACATAATGTCCTCCAGTTCCATCCACGTTATGCTAAGTTTTGATAGTAAAATGAATAAGTGCATTTTGAATCAATTCAAGGTTCTAAAAATTAAATACCGCATGCACATGGACTTGCTGTATTATTTGTATTGGTTTATATGATATATTTGGGCATAAAATTGCTGTTAAAAATGTAGAACCAAGCTTGGGGGCCTTCATCTTTACTGCCCTGTTCCAACATATCTGACTGTGACAAGGGAACCAGCTTAGACACCAAACACTAATCTCCTCATAAATTCAATCGTCACGATACATGTTTAGCTGCATCCAGATTTGACCAAGTTTACATTAAAAAAATACCCAATAATCCCTGGAAGGTCAGACACTAGGCAGTGAGAGAGTGAGCCAAATTTGATTTCACTTTATGTCAAAAATAAGTACGGAGTCAGTGACTCAGAGCTGGCTATACACTGTGACTAATCTTAGACCACATAAATTAGAAGTATGCAACAGGCTGTAAAATTTTTTCCAATCTGAACAATAAATTCCCAGTTCTTACTAACCTCTTATCAACAAACAATTCATGTGAATCCATAAAAAATCAATTACCTAATAAATATTGTAATCATAAATATAATTACCTACTAGATGCAGAACAATTTTAAAAATAAAAATCAAAATATTTTTGAAGCAGCAATTAATACTCATGCTTTATATAAATGATTCTCCTTAAAGAATTTTTATATTTATATGGGAGAAAATATTTATAATTTTGCCTGATGGGAATGTGGAAATAATATATTGTAATGGAGTAAAAACCTCTATGAAAAATAATGAATTTTAGAAGAAAACAATTCATTTCTTTCTTCTACAACCATTTGAATGCCTACAATGTCCAAGGCTTTCTGTTAGAACTGTGAGTAAATAAAGACAAATAAGACATGGTTCCTACAAGCAAAGAGTTTGCGGTGGAAATGAGTGGTTCCCAAATTCAGCATTGTATTATTCACATGTCTTGTTTAAATGAAGATCTGAGTCCTAATTCCCAAATTCTGACTCCATAAGTCTAGAACCATGCCACAGTGCTGCACATTCTGATGCAGAATTCAAGCTTTGAGAAGCAATGGTACTCAGTAGTAGGAAAGTACATAGTTCATAGTACAATATGTTTAATAACTGCTTAATTCTTTGATTTTGAATCCCCTCAATCTCTACATATGTTGCCTTTTAATCCTGAGTTAAGACGGAATTCAAATTTCCAAATATATATATATATATATATATATATATATATATATATATATATATATAATTTTTTTTTTTTACAAAGACCTGGACCTTAAATTTAGGTGGCTCTACATCAGGTGCACATTGCGATTTGGATTATGAATCACAGTTCTACTAACTGAATTTCTGCTTCATTCCTGTGTCTAAGCTGTCACTTTGAGTACCAGTATACTCAATATTACTTTTAATGGCAAAAACTGCAGTTACTTTTGCACCAACCTAGTATCTCCTGCCTTGTTCCTGAATCTCTCATTTATTTCAGATATGTTGTCCTGTAATTTTATTTGCCAGTTCTCAAAGACTCAGCTCCTGCCCAATGATCAAGACCATTATACCTGGTGCTAGACCACCCTGATGCAGACCACCTACCTGGATTTTGACATTTTGACATTTTTTCTTCCCACAGACTCCACATAGCAATGATGTGCTGGCCACCCACTGGGAAAACACCTGTCACCCCTTGATGGACCTTTCTGACACTGTTTGCCTGTCCTCAAAAGTTCCTGGTAATCTACTCCAGTACTCTCCAATACATACAGAATATCGGAATTACCTAGAGAGATTCTTAAGTGCATGGATTCTTAAGCTTCACTCATTGAGGCTATGAGTCAGCAAGTCTGGGATGAAGTCCAGAAATGCCATTAAAGGCTTTAATAAAGAAGGCACATTTAAGCTGGGCTTTTAAAAATGAATAAAATTTTATGTGTCATAGAAAGGGAAAATAATAATACAGTTAAAGGAAGCAAAGCAATCTGATGATGAAAAATGGTTGGATATGTTTAAAGAAGAGAATCTAGTCAATTATTAGTTCATACTAGATGTTTAATAAATGTTTTCTGAGTTAAAATACTGAAATAGTGAAATAGCATGCTAAATAAATGAAGTTTGGCTGGAGACATCAGCTATATGAGAAGATACAATAAAAGGATATAAGAATAAAAAGCTAGAGAGAAGCCAAATTCTAATTAGCGATGGATTCTGGGATATTTTCTAGACAATGAGAATGAGCAAAATATTTGGAGTATTTTAACCCATCTCCTACACATGGTGCCTTTCATTATTACTTCTGTGCTTCAGGTACCCAACTTGACACGTCTAAACTTTATTGTTCAGATATTACATTTCACCTGCCAATGTATAAATGGTCTAATTGTATGTTAGAACCAATTCAATTAAGTGAGTAGGAGGAAAGATGAGACTTATGGGTAGGCTAAAGTAGTGTGGGTGATAAGGCTAGTTAAGATGTTATTACAGGAAGCAACAAGGTCCCTCTAATATACAATGGTGGTGGCCAAGGTGGAGAAGGGGCAAATTGCAGAGCCCTGATGGAAATTGAATTGATAAGACCTGATTGTATGTAGAAGAGATGGAGTAAGGAATTGTATAAAACTATGAGGCTTGGGGTCCAATGGATTGTCAAGAACAGGCATAGAAAACTAAGAAAAAGACAGTGATTTCATGTAACACAAATTCCATTTCATATATATTTGGAGTTGATACTCCAACTAGGTCTTCAGTTGGGATTTTTCAACAATTTGGGTGAATGTGCAAGAAAAAGAGAAAGAGGATAAATGCAGGAGATATTAGAATAAATTGATGGGGTAATATCCTAGAGAAGACATAAGATTAAAATGAAAATGAACAGCTAGATCCCTGAAAGAGGAAGGCAAGGACTTCCTAAGAGAAGATATCTGGAGGGCATAAATAAAGACATGGATAAATTTTGATGGAAGGAGGGCCTATCAATATATTTGATATTATTAGTAAAATAACAATAAATATGGATGATGGGGGAACAGACTAGGTTCAGAAAGAGAACAATTTTCATATGGAATAGAGAGTATTCCTATGAACATATTTCCTATGAAGAATAAACAAGGGATACATAGAAAATTTTGGAGCAGCTGGGACAATTAAGGACGATGAATTTATAGACAAACAAAGTAGAATCATTTCTATTTTTTCCTAGAAATATTTACCAGTCAGCATCTTGGAAAAAACAAATAATGGGGCCTTCTCAGAGTGAGGAAGCTTCCTGGAGGGTAAGTCACAATGACATGGTATGAGATCTAAGGAGCAAAGAGATGGTGTTGTTGAAATGTAACTATTCCATCCTGGAAAGGGAAACACCGTAGTCTGAAAAAATGTTGCACTGGAAGAATGAGAAGGAAAGGATGTGGAGTTAGATGCTGAAATCAGAGAGAAGGCAGACTATGTCTTGATGTTCTAGGTTTACAGCCTCAAGACGGCTTGAAAGACGTTTCCAAGATAAAGGGTCTGGATGTGCCAGAAGTTAACAATTATTGCCAATATCTACAGTGAAGTGGTGTTATCAGGAAAGAAACAGGTTTTAATTTATATAAGCAGGTAGAATATGGAAGAAAATAGGATGAAGGATATTATGATACAGGACAGAGCACTGCTAGGGAAGGTGAGAATTTCGTCTTGTGGACTAAAGCTTAACGACCCGGATATTTTATTCAAATAACATGAAAGATAAAGGCTGGTATAAAGGGGAGAAAATAGATGAAAATGAGTCTGATACTGCAACCATATAGTTCAGGAAAACATCTAGAATTCCATAAAAACAAGTAAGACTAAAAAGAGATATACATGAAAGGTTTACATGTTTATTTCTTCTTTTAAATCACAATAAAGCATAATTCATTAGGTGGGGGTTTTATATTTGTGGAAATACAGTAAAGAGGATCATCTCTCTTTTTTTCCTCCCTTCAATCTCCCAATGTTTTGGAGAAGGGTCAATGTAGTACACAGCTGGTACTCAAGCAACACGTGGGATAAAAAGCCTGTGTTGTATTTTTTAATATGTGCTTTGTAT
The DNA here is from genome assembly GCF_000001405.40 of Homo sapiens. Classification (NCBI taxonomy): domain Eukaryota; kingdom Metazoa; phylum Chordata; class Mammalia; order Primates; family Hominidae; genus Homo; species Homo sapiens. The sequence continues at coordinate 80,549,830 of NC_000012.12, read as the reverse complement.
GTTTAGATAAGTATGCTATAAAGATTGCAGGTGGTATTGACACAATCCCCAAATAGTTAAAGGTTTCATGTTAGTTACCTGTTTCACGTTAGTTACCTGTTTCAGGTAGTGTGCTGACATGGCATGTGCTTTCATCACCTTCACCAGCTGAGGTTGAAGCTCTTACTTTAAAGACATATGAGGTATTGGCAAGAAGCTTTATGAAAGTGTACATGTGATCTTGGGGAGAAACTTTTGTAGAATTCCTTTCAACTGTTACCATATACTGCGTTATTATTCCATTTGCCTTTTTGGGTGGATCCCATTTCACTAAAACTGACTGCCAGCTAGTTGCCATGCACTGCATATTCTGCACGACATCTGGAACTTAAGAGATAAACATATGCCCAAAGTTAAAGTGTATACATATGTAAGTAGATAATTGATTGAATTACGTGATCACTAGATACATCTGTGTTTAGAACTAGAAAAATATTTAATATATCAAATTTTCAATGTGTGCTTAAAAAGTCATTAACATAGACAGAATCAAAAGGCTGTTGACTTGCTTTTTATGCTATTGTATTAATCATTACAGTATTGAACCAGTCACTAAATATCTTCCAGTTCGAAGCACCAATCACATCCTCAAAAGCTCAGAAGCAAATGTGTAGCCTCAAGCCCAGGCCCAGGCAGTGTTTGATAACTGCTCTCTTAATTGGAAAGGAAAAATCTTAGCAATACTTTATTATGGAACATTTTTATGCAAAACATAGATGCAGGTGCCTCCCTGTTGTGACAAATCTGGGCTTCACAGTACTTGGAAACCCCTAACTAATTTAAAGGTACTGGTTTTTACCGGGATGGCTTCTTTGGAAGAATCTTGAGGATTTCATTTTTAAGTACCTTTTGTAGACATCATTGGAAGGAAGATTTAAGGAGTCTCAGTCTTATTTTCTAGAGCTTCTCTGAATTTACTTGAAACTAACCCAGCTTCTCAGAGGTCCTCTATATCTGGTAGGCCTGGTCAAAGAACAATATCCTAGCCCACCAAAGTGACTGCACATTAGAGAAACTGGTTACTTCCCACAGAAATGTCCAATTAGCCAATGTCCCCTAATGGTGGCATTAGTAGAATAACTTTTCTGGTCACAGTAAAAGATAATGGTAGAAGAAAAATTGGGACACAGTCAATTTGTGGATTACAAACAATGAAAATTGAAAGAAAATAACTTGCTGCCATTATGCAAAACATAGTGCTTTAAAGAATACTCAGGTGATCCCTGATCTGCCTACACCGCTCTACCTGGGTCTAAACTGAGCTGTTATAAACTTTTCTTCCTCTGTAAGATAAAGACACCAGTACTAAAGGAGAATATTTAGGGAATATGTGGCATTAAAAAATTTTTTAAAGATAATTTCTGGCTGATCAAGGGATCTGGCAATTAAATGCTATTAACTATTCACTTCCTTGTTTTCAGAATCATATAAGAACATTTTTATAAAATAAGTTAACATAAGATAGTTGACAATTTGCTGAACTTTAGTTTCTAAATCCAGATTTTGTGAATATCCATTTTCCTGATTTTTTGAACCTCAAAAAAAAATTAACCATTGATATTAAAACACTTAAAGGTGAAAATTTTATTTATTTAAATAATCAGAGTATAGAATGTTGGGGTACAATTTTATCTTACTGATAAAAAATATTTATGGGTTTACAGAGCACTTTCTACAAGATTAGCCCTGATTCTTATTGTCCTCATGTACAAATATTATTAAAATATTTTTTTATTTATGGGTTGAACATTTTTATATTCTATCACTCATTCACAACATGCATTTCCTGCAGTCATGTCCACTCTTCACTAGAAGTCAGAAGGCCAATGTTCTAGTTAGGTTCTTCACTAATTTTTTCAAGGTCCTTTTCATCTAATCTAGCTCAATCATGGCTTCTTCATCTGTAACATGGGAATGGGGGCAACAGTAATATTCAGGGGTCATTTACTGTGTGTCCAACACTCTATGAAGTGGGCATTTACTGTGTGTACAACACTCTATAAAGTGCTTTATGTGGATCTTTCCAAATATTTTTGACAACAACATTATGAGATGGCTACTGCTAATATGTGCTTCTTTTCAGTTAAGGTTACAGAGGCTCACAGAGTCATGAGCCTTTGCCAAGATTATACAACTAGTAGGTCATGGGGCTCAAATTCAAATCCAGAAAATGACTTCACAGCATGTACTTTTATCCATTATAAATGCTATTTATTTTGCATTTGTTACAGAAATGCACGAAAAACAGTGTCAGGTAGCCATAAATTTATGCAGAAATGATTAATTTAGTAGTCAGTGGTCTACAATCTCGATTTAAAGATTCACTAACATACCAGGAAGTGCATCCAGAGCTGATAAGAAGAAATGACTAGAACGGGATCTTTTGCTCATTCAATAAACATTGACAGAAGTAAACAAAAAAAAAATTAAGAAGAGGTGCTTTTAAAGGTATGGTGCAGTTGAGAAAAGGAAAAGTACATTTCTAAGCCATCATTAAATAGGTCCCAAATAAAAACTATTCAGTGTGCACACAAAGGCAAGATATGTCATGTATACTACATGTGTGACACAGCAGGTAAGCTGTTGATGAATTAGACCAATGATATTTCAGTGTCCGCCACATGGTAAAGATGGGATGATGGGAACATAGGGGGCTTATGCAATGACTCATGCTCTCCAAATGTCACAACTAATCTTCTTAAAAGAAAATTATAGATATTGTTTCATTAAAAATATAAATCAGCCCGTTAAAAGTGACTGCTAGTTCATTTCCCCCTTTTTCCCCAGCTGTCTCAAAGAGTTCTAAGAATTAGGTAATTTTCACAGATATCTAGAAGGCTATTTTGTTCCCAAACTACTATTTTATTTCAACTTCCTCTGTTCAAAAGGAAAAACCATGTGTGAAAATATATGTATAAACACACATACAGCATATGATTTCACACAAGACCAAGACTAAACGTAAAGCACTGAAATGCAATTTCCCTTTGAGTAGACTCTTAAGTAATGATACTTTATCATATAAACTAAGAAAAGGAAAAGAAAGGTGTTAAATATAAAAAGAAACATTTTAGGCTCAAAAACTGTATCTAACCTGATTCTTGGGTTGTGAATTTTACTACATTACTAAATTGATTGCCATTTCCAACTTTGGTGAACGCAGATACACGGATAGAGTAGGTGCTGACTGGTTCCAGTCCAACAAGTTTGGCTTCAGTTTTAAATCCTGATATATTCTGAAAAACAGAAAAAAAGTTATTAGTTAATGCACTGTCAAAAAATTGTTCATCAATGGAATATTTTCATTGAAGTTATTCCTTTTATATTTAACCTATAGTTTAATAAGCATGGATATTTTAAATTATAATAAAACAAATATTAGCATTTATTTTGTGCCATAGAGTGTGCTCAGTTTATGATACAAGGATGAATTGGGCACCTTCTTTTCCCTGAAGAACCTCATAATTGCCTTTTTTAGACTTTTTTTTTTTCTTGACAGAGTCTCATTTTGTTGCCCAGGTTGGAGTGCAGTGGGAGGTGGACTCCCAGGTTCAAGCCATTCTCCCTGCCTCAGCCTCCCAAGTAGCTGGGATTACAGGCATGTGCCACCACACCCAGCTAATATTTGTAGTTTTTAGTAGAGACAGAGTTTAGCCATGTTGGCCAGGCTGGTCTTGAACTCCTGACCTGAGGTGATCTGCCCACCTCGGCCTCCCAAAGTGCTGGGATTACAGGCGTGAGCCACTGCACCTGGCGTATAATTGCCTTTTTAAAAAACTAGAGTGTTTTATTTTCATGATTTTTACTTGGAATTATATACTCATTTTTTTTAATTTGCATAATTACAGTCTGCAATTTAAATCCAACTTGTGCATGGTCAGAGATACTTGAGTTTTCTGAACTCATCTAAATTCATTTTTAATACCCACAGCATTCCTGTGTAAATTTATTTATTCTTCAGCTACTGTATGTAGACACTGGCAAAACAGTAATAAATAATAATAACATTATTATATATAATAATAATAAATTATTATTATTTTAAAATAATAATTTTAAAATATCTGCTTCCATGAAGCTTAAATTGGGAGTTTTCCCAGCCGATTCCTCTATTTCTAATTTGACACTGTTTTTAGAGATATGAGAAAAGGAACAAAAGAGTATCATAGTTGCCCAAGGAGGAATACGCTTTCTCATAGAAAAAAATTATCATTAAGTACAAAGTTTTCATTCAAAGATAATTGTCCTAACCAAGAAAGCAGCTAAGATTAATCAGCTATCCTCATGGAAAGAGAAGATAATCTCCTATGTGATATAAATGTAGGAATCTTACATTATATCTGACAAAATATAAACCATGTTGATCATTTATCAAACATCACAGTAACAGAAATTTTAACAAGAATATTAATTCTTGGGGAATTTACAATTAGAATCCTATTTTAAAATAATCTCTAGAAATTCACTGAATTTAGGGGCTTACTGAATCTCTTTATTTCAGTCATTCTTTCCTGCTTACTATTTACAAAACATGCCATTAGATAATCTGGAGATTATAGACACATGTAAGGCATGGTCCCTGCCATCAAGGAATTTTTATATTAACTAGAGAAATCTACAATTTCTGAATGAGAAAAAATTAAACACAAAACAAGCAAATTATGATTTTGGTTAGGAAGGGCTAAAAACCAGAGAAACAACTGAACCCAAGAGGGCATAATAATAAGAGAATAGTTTATGGGATAGTGAACAGATTTACACAAGAATATGTTGTCAAAAAGAGAAACATGAGTGATGAATACTTACAAACATATTTTAATAGAACTTTGTACTAAATAAATAATTTCTTTCAGTATGTGTGAGTGACCTAAGTCACCTATTGATTTTATTATCTGTGGACCACAGTGGATTGACTGGGATAGCAGTAACATTTGAAGTGGTTCAAGCATTATTCTACCTCCACAAATGCACACATAATTTAAAAGAAGAAAAAGAATAGAAAAACAGAGAAAATAATATAAATTGATACTGTCAGGATATCAGGGTAGATGAAAGAGAAAGGAAAATAGAACACACTAGGAGAGAAAGCGAAATAGAAAAAGGAAAGCAGATATAGTAACTAGATGCCAAGACAGGGAAAAAGATGGCATGAGAGTACATTTAAAGGAATTTGAAAGCAAATAAGATTATGAAAATTGATGAAAGAGAAAATAGATGTAAAAAGGAGTAACATGACGCAGTAGATTTTAAAACACAAAACTACTGCCCATCCCAAATGATGTATTGAATACTTAATGGTATAAAGATGGTATTTTTGCTACTTCTGAAATATTAAAGATGTGCTTCTATTGAGAAAACCTGTTTACAAATCTTAGAATACAAGTTATTCTCATGTTCACATAATGGCATATTGTCATTTCATGCTTAGTGCTATTACAATGTTGGACAGTTTTTTTGTTCTTTTAAAAACTGTGTACAATTACAGCAACAATAGCTAACATATTTATCACATGCTTGGAATTGTTCAAAATGCTCTATGGAGACTTTCCTTTTTAATCCTCAATTTCGAATGTACACATCTTTGTAACTCCCATTTTGCATTAAGAGGTAAGCAATGTCCCTACTGAAGCACAGTAAGTCTCAAAGGCAGAATCTGAGCCAGGTAATTTGGAGTCAGAGCCCTTGCTTCACCGCTATGCTAAGAGAGCCTATGTTACAGATCACCATTCTGAGGAGACAAGATCCATATATAGACAACCACACTCTAACACACGTACACAATTATCCTAGGAATGCGATTACTCTGAGAAAATGATTCTTTTTTCCTTTTGATATCTATCTCCCAGTGACCCATACAGACAAAGCAAATAAAAAATGGAATAATGTTAAGATTAAACCAGGGATAGATATTAAAGGGCAAGAGGCTTCATGTCATTTAATGTTATTTCACACCTCTGGGAAACAAATTTCACATTTATGGAGTAATAGGATTCAAATTATACTCAGACTATCAAGTTTTAAAGTAATATCTTGGTTTCCAGAAAGAAAGTCATTGTTCCCGATGACATAAAGTTAATGCCTGCTTTTGACTTTTACTATTCAATTTGTAAACTACATATGCTATAACAATGATTTACCATAGTCATAAATTGTAATACTCATAATATTGAGTAAAATATTTACTGCAGATTTTTTGCACTCTTCTTGCTGTAAACTAAATAAGAACATTCCAGGACTTCATTTGCCTTTGGGGAAAAAAATAAGAAACTTTTCTTAAATAAATGCTTGTTAATTACATTTTGGCAATTAAATGCTAGAAATCACAGACATATATTTGAGACTCTTTGTTGCATCAGTTCTGTGGATATTTTTCACTAATTCTGAATTCCAAAAATGGAGGAGGGAAAATGTGGTTAGTGTTGCAAATGAATTACTCTTGAAAATAAAAAAAAAATAAGGATATATCGTAAAAGACCAATTAGTGTAGGATCATATGCTATCTGGAAAGATGACCAGAAGTCCAGAATAAAGATGAATACCTTTCTAAAAGGTTAAAAAGATTCCCTTGGTGCTGCTGTTAACAATAGATAGAAATACATTTTATATTTGTAAGTCAGGAAAAAAGTACTATACACTTTCCAGCATTAACAAAATGATGCAACTGTTTCTTAAATTGTAGATATCTGGAAGTTACAAATCTAAGTACATTGCTCTATGAAGTATTCAGCTTATATATCTGTCAAACGCTTGCTTGTGTTTTCCATAAGCATCCTTAAATTGTAGGAAATAAAGAAGTTTAAAAAAATAGTCATTGTTTAATTTAGTAGTCCATTTTCCTCCTATATGTCAAAAGATTTTAATTCAATTTCTGATTTTTAAAAATAAACATATACTGTTATAATCAACCTACCTTATAATATATAGTGTCAGTTTCATGTTCATGAATTTTAAAACTATATACTTTAACAATACCACCTGGAAGAGGACTTGGGCTCCATTTCAGCCATACAAAGTCTGAAGTACAGTTGATTAAAGTCAAATTTTGTGGAGGTGCTAACGGCACTGTAGGAAAACACATGAAGAAACTTACATTCATAAAACTTTTAACATAAAAATAGCACCGTGACTTACTTTCTTGAAGACACTAGTTTAAAAAGATTTATAAAATGATCATATTTAAATTTCAGAAACAAATATCATAATTAATTATAATTTGTATTTGGACAGAGTAGTTCCAAAGTAGCTTTAAACAGAACAGGAAATTCTGAAGCTCAAATTGCAAAAAAAAATCAACAAAGTAAATATAATGGTAAGGCTGTTACAAATAGACAATCAGATATCCTTTCATATTCCATGCTGTTCCTTAAAAAGAGAGAGCAGGCGCTGCAACAGTGAAATTGTTTGAAGAAATGTGGATTCTGGCTTACCTGACTCATCTGTGTAAAAGAAAAGAATACTGGAAGGACCAAGTCCTTTTCTAGTTCTTGCGGCAGCAAAAAAGCTATATAATGTAAATGGTGAAAGCTCTTCCAATATTATGTAATTATCAGAAGTAATGAAAGAATAATTTTCATTTGGTCCTTGTAAAGTTAAATCATAACTTATTATTGCACCATTTGGCTTTACTGGGGGATCCCATGATAAGAGAACTGAGGTAGAGGAAAGGTTTTTAAAAGTGTTGATTATTGGTGAAGTTTCTGGGACTATAAAAGAAAAAGAGAATATTAAATGAAACAAAAGTGAATCAGCATTAAAAAAAGAGGATTCAATCATAATGGGATTTGATTTTCTTAGCAGATTATTTTAAGAAACACTGTGTTTATTGAAAGGCTAATTACTTGAGATCAAACAGAATCAATATAATTGAAGACTATTTCCTATCAGAAAGCAATGTAAATGAAAAGAACAACAATCTGCTTAACAGACAATAAAAGGGTCTAGCCTACCATCTTCTTCAGTCTTGATGTATAGCTGGGCAGTATAGGTATCAGAGAATCCCTTTTCTGTTGATGGAGTAATTTTTAATATATAATCAGTGTATTTTTCCAGATTATCAAAATATATGCTTCTCTCATATGTAACAAGAGGTGGTCTCACATGGCGAGGAGTCTGCTGTAAGATCAGTGAAACATAGTAGAAGACTAGACCGTTTGGTTGAGCCGGTGGGACCCAGCTTACATTTATTGCAGTTGACGAAATGGATTCGTAAGTCAGGTTTCCAACAAACCCTTCAGGTACTATGATAGGTAATGGGCAAAATACAAAAATCATCAGTTACCCTAAACAGAATCTAAATTCACAAACTGAGTATAATTGTTGAAATGGCAACTATTACATCATCAGCTCTTAAATTATTTAAATGCAGATGTGGCAAACATTCACCTATTATAAAATATCTTCTAAATAATTATTTTAAAAATCATTCAAAATAAACTCTGTCATCTTTAATATGTATGGGAATTGTTTCTATAATATTCTCTTGACTCTTCTTTCCTACTATGTGGAGATTGTGTGTGTGTGCGTGTGTGTGCATAATATGTGTATGTATACTGCCTTATTTAAATATTTTGATAATTTATGTTATTTAAACCATCTTTTTAGCTTATTTCTTCTAAATATTACCCTTGTTGTACATATGAGGAAACTAAAGCTCAGCCATTAAGTTACTTCTCCAAGGTCATGTGGGTAGCCAGAAGAATCAATACTAAAAGCTTTCCCAAGATCTAGTCTCAAAATCTCTCCAGTCACCAGACTACCAACTCACATTTGTACATTACAAAGTTACTCTACTTACACACAAGTTCCAATTCTCAGATATAAGTTGTATTGTGATATTAAACTCTATTAACGTAAATTTGACATCCACCTGGAGTAGTGCATAGTAAGTGCTTATTATCCATGGTGTGGAAATTATAAGTGATAAAATGTCATAGGTTGGCAAAAATCCTGGGAGAGATCTGCATTTAAAGAATGCCTGAAATGGTATTGATCATATATTACAATATAACATTTTTGCTAAAGACTCCCCAAATACATATTTCCCCACATTTATCATTTATTTTTATGTTGACCAACTTGTCAACAATTCAAAAGACTGTTCCAACAACAAATCAAGCATTCACTTCTCATGCTTAAGGAATCTGTCAATTTATGGCTTTCAGATAATAAACATGGAGTTTTACTCCAGAAGTTTAGGTCACTGCCACTTCTCAATAAGGGATTAATCTTTGAAAATAAGCAAATGGATGACAGAAACAACTACAAGAAAAATAGGCAATGATCCACTTATCACTGTATTCTGAAAATTGAAACATAAAAAACATCAAGATCTTCAATCATTATAGTTTTCTGAATACTCGGGATAAATAGGATTCTTCAGAAGATGCATACGAGAAACTTCTGGAGTTAAGGAAAATACTCTGGATATATTAGTCACAAACACAGTGAGAAGAGATGTGCTGCAGAGTCCTGTGTAGATTCAAAGTCTGAAAAGAAAACAAGTTGCTAGAGATTTTTTAAGTCCTTAAGGAAAATGAATAAATAAATTAACTACTGGAAAATTCATCCATGTATGCAGTACTTTTTGTGCCCATAACTGGATGGCCACGACATCTTTTGAAGCAATAAAAAGAACAGAATTTTCATGAACGGATGTTAGCAGTTTTCTTGAACAGAAGAGGCTATTACTGCAATAGTTTTGTAAGTATATTAATTGCATTTTCAAACTCCTATAATGAACGTGTCTAAATAAAAGATGTTATTACAAATTCAAACAAATAGTAAAATTTCCTAAAATAATAAGTTTTAAATTAATCATATTAAAGATTAGTGTTTTTTGTTTACATACTGTCTTGATCTGTGTATACTTCAATGATGTCACTGCTTTTATTCCCATTTCCAACTGAAGTACTTGCTGTTAACCAAAATGTATAGTAGCTGAATATTGTCAGTTTATCTATAATTGTGGATACAGTCATATTGTCAAAGTCATTGGTTACTTCATGGAGTGTAAAATTCTGAAAAATAAACACATTCATTGTTCAGAATGTATTTTTTTAGTATGCATGAACACTTCAAACTAATTGTTATCAATGGATCGATTTTACTATTTATCATTATTTTAATATGTTGTTTTAGGAAAATCGACATAGAACATTTTTTATTGCAACAATTAAACTGGAAATATGTTTGTACTAAAAGAGAAATAGATGGTGGTTTTTATTGCAAAGCCAATACAAAAAAATAGCAAAGAATAAAAACTCCAAGCCAACAATGAAGAATGTCAAGTGGCCAAATGGAAATGCTACAACTGTGCTGATCAGCATCACTTTCCTTATAAAAACATTCAAGTAATTTTCAAAGCATCAGCTAATTTTAAACAAGTTTGGGAGTATTAGAAAACTTTTAATTGTGTTTCTTTCCATTTGTGATGAAGGAATTTCGAATGTGTTTGCCTGTTTCTATGAACTCAAATCGCTATTATTATTCACATTTAGTGGGCTTTCAGACTTTCACATTTCTTTTCAGACTTTACTTCTCACAGTTGTAGCAAAGGGATAGCAGACTGATGTACTCTCTGATGTGTAGAGTAAGAGAAAGTTTTAAATTCTCTTGACTGACTCCTAGTTGCATTTTTCCCCAAGGCTTAAAAAAAAGTATTAGGGTATGTATGTAATCATTTTCTTTCCTATCAAATTTTAAAAATAAAACATATAGCCAAATAAAATTAATTCTAAAATAAAAGGAGACTTAAACACATAGCTAATCAGTATGAATAATTTTATAATTTCCATCTGCAGAGTAACCTGAATCATTCCAATCCACATGAAGCCATTTAAGTCCTATAGACCTGCATTCAAATTCTGTCAGGGTATCCTGGATAAATCATTTAATCTCAAAGCTTTTCTTCCTTCAACTGTAAAATGGAAATAATCATCTCCACTTCACAGACAACTTGTGAGGATTAGATGACATGAAGCACAAAAAGCCATTAATACCATGTCTAGCACACAATTAAAAAAAAACAGTAATTAGTTTCATTTAAATGAATAACATAGGATAAGCAAATTTACCAAATTTATAGTAAGAATGGTTCTGAAATTTATCAACAAATTAAATTAGCAAAATTTTATGGTTCTTTTGCCAGTATTCAGGGAAAAATATAGTGCAATAAAAGATTTACTACAATTTTGTGGTGATTTACATAGAAATAGACAAGTTAAAGTAATATAGCAATCTCACACAAAATATGATCCATGAACTTTAATACCTTCCAATACATCTACTTTACACATGGAACAACTGGCTTATATAAAGCACCACTTAAAAGTATTAACATAGCTTTTTGATGTAAATTTTAATTTTTGTTATAGAATTTATTCTGATTACCTATGACCTTGATGGCTAATACATAACAAATTATCTGAATCACCCAGAAGTCATTCCTGCTGACTGTGTGACTTAATGTGCATAGGCATGTAACAAATTTGTAACATTAAATCAATTATCCAGATGATTATTTTATTCAGCTGTTTATTTTTGCAAAAACAAAATGTCTTTTGGCACAAATTATCTAAGTAAGGCTTATTCTTTTGTTTATATAAATATAGTCAGAAGGTATTTAGTAAAACTTTTTCAAATTTGACCAACCAACTAATATTCATTTAACACTTTTTTTTTCTTTAAAACAGAGTCTCACTCTGTTGCCCAGGCTAGAGGGCAGTGGCACGATCTCGGCTCACTGCAACCTCCACCTCCCAGGTTCACACCATTCTCCTGCCTCAGCCTCCTGAGTACCTGGGACTACAGGAGCCTGCCACCATGCCCGGCTAATTTTTTGTATTTTTAGTAGAGACAGGGTTTCACCTTGTTAGCCAGGATGGTCTCGATCTCCTGACCTCGTGATCCACCTGCTTCAGCCTCCCAAAGTGCTGGGATTACAGGCGTGAGCCACCACACCCGGCCCATTTAACACTTTTTAAAATAGAAGACATTATGCCAGGCACACTAAGGAAACATAAGTGGGTAAAACTTAAAAAGTAGAAAAGTTAATATGCTGTACAAAATACAATGTGCAACAACTGAAGGAAGAACAATATGGATTGCCAAGTAGTAGCAAAGAGGTTAAATTCTCCAAGATAAGAAAAAGGAAAGATGGCTTCGCTACATACTCAAGGGCTCCAAAATTATGACTATGTACTAAAAGTGATGTTGGTCTACTATAATATTTTTTAAATCTTTCAATTAAAATATGTATTGAGCATTAAACCTATGTCTGACATAGTTGCAGAAGACTTTTGGAGATGAAAAAATAAATATTACACAATTCTTTTTCTACAAGATGCTTGTCATGGCATAAGGGAACTAAGAGAAGCAACAGTTATCGGTAATAGGAGGCAGAACATGATATGCCATGCATGACATATTCTACAAAGTTCTGTAGGAAGGGGAAAGATGATAAGGAACAAATAAAAAGGTATACACTTATTCTGCTACATAATTTTCATTTTGAGGCTTTCTTCCACTAATTCAAAATAGAAAATTAGGTAGTGAAGGTATTGATGCTATTTTTAACATTAACTTTAGGAATAAGTTAAAGCACGGATAAACTTCAAGCAATATGAGACTATACTTCTGAAATATTTTAACATCATTAGCCTGTGCCCTCTTGCAGCTGTCACACTTAAAAGCATTCTTAAGATTATTTAATAAAAGATAACATGTTCTAAGGCAGATGAATTGCAAATTAGATCATATTACACACCCAGGTGTGAATAAGTAGGTTTAGAAGATCACGTTGGAACCATAGTTTGATACTTATGCTATATTATTTAGATATGGACAAAGAGAACCAAAATATAAATCACATAGAAGCCATAAGTAAATTGTACAGAGACAAAATGATTGCTAAAATTTAGAACTACTGGAACAATTGTGCAATGTTTTTTAAATGCATAAAAGAAGGAAAATCTCCAATTTGCATATCTTCTATGGGTATAATGACATATTGTTACAATTGTAAACAACATTTTGGTTAAAAAATAAATTGCCTCTCTAGGCCCCATTTCTCTTCCCTACAGAGAACAAAACAAAAAGCAAAAACTGCGTGACATAGAGAGTAGAAAACTAGACCTTCCTTTCTCCTTCTGCTCTTAAGGCATTTGTTCAAAAATGTTGATTTACGATTACATCTGTAACTATATCTACATGTCTTTCATTACAGCTATAATTATATCTACATGTCTTTTATAAAGTAGTTTTCTCTTTGCATCAAGTTTTAAATAGACAGACTTATACAACCCTACTCTTATAGAACAGAATATAAACACTAAACCACCTTCTGGACTTTGTCTTTCTCCCTGCTAGGTTAGTCCTGAGATAGCTTGCAAGTTCTGCTCTTGCCCTCTTCATTAGCCTACATTGCACTATAGCTGCACTAAAGTCTTAATTACAGAGGCTGTTACTCAGTAGAGCTAACTAGTGACTAAACTTGGGCTGTCAGTCACAAATGGGATTAGGTAACTCAGAATTTGTAAGACTTATCTTTCTTCTTCTTTTACTTAAAAGGATAGAAATAATTAAGAATCACCTAAGACACAAACATGTGGTCAATAATTTCTACCACTAAGGGATGTATTCTGTACATTGCAGCATTTCTTCTAAATTCGTGTTTTTCTTTTTCTTTTGAGATGGAGTCTCGCTCTCTCGCCCAGGCTGGAGTGCAGTGGCGGGATCTCAGCTCACTGCAAGCTCCGCCTCCCGGGTTGACGCCATTCTCCTGCCTCAGCCTCCCCAGTAGCTGGGACTACAGGCGCCTGCCACGACGCCTGGCTAATTTTTTGTATTTTTAGTAGAGACGGGGTTTCACCGTGTTAGCCAGGATGATCTCGATCTCCTGACCTTGTGATCCGCCCGCCTCGGCCTCCCAAAGTGCTGGGATTACAGGCGTGAGCCACCACGCCCGGCCGTGTTTTTCTAATTATATTCCAGCTCTCTGCATCTTTGATTCAATCATAATCATTCCAATTATCCTTTTTATATGTTAGAGTTCTGTGAAACATCTAATTTGAAGAAATAATATAATTCTGTTGAAAATTGAAAATATTTTTTCAAAGTAAATGCATGTTAGCTATTTTCATAGCCATCATCATTCACATCCTAGAGAGTGCCCATCTACAAACTGTGCAAGCCTAGAATCTTATCTATGACAAATTAATTAAACACATTCCGAGTGGTCTTCATTTCATCTGACATTAAACATTAACTACTAATATACTATTATTATAATAACCCTTCCTGCTATCAAAAACTTTTTTTAATTAAAGAAAAACAAACACATCCAAACACTAGAACTATTTATATCATATACAAACAAATGAAAAAAAATTTAGCTAATAAATAACTTTGAGGATAAATGATACCATCAGCACTTTAGAGAACACTTATTGGAGGAAGTGTAATTGAGGGCCATCTTTATAAACAGAATTTTCAGTAGGTGGCAGATTCACTATTTTTAATACATGTGAAGCTTATATAGAAGTTGTATGTGTGTGTGTGTGTGTGTGTCTGTAAAGAGAGATTAAATGTATCTGACATTTCTACACCGCATTTTTCTATGTCAATGGGAGTTTTATAAAATACATCTGTGCCTAATTATCAATGTAAGGTAAACAATTTCTTTTACTGTGACAAGTCTGTATTATTAATAAAACTTAAGGATGTTAATAAAGAACTAGAAGAAAATTCAGTTCTTACCTGCATAAAAGTACCTGAAGTATTTCTGTAATAAACAGAGTAATATTGTATAATCCCATTAGGTTTTGAAGGAGGTGTCCAGAAAAGAATTATTGATGAAGAACTGAGGTTTGCATAATAAACATCTTTGGGAGGATCGCTTGGTGCTATAAAACAAATAATTGAACAAATTACTGTATTTGTGTTTACAAGTAATGTCTGAAATGGCCTGAATTTTACCTACAGTTTATAAATTAAAGTGATAAAAAATGTTTTTCAAAAAAGCTTGAATTAGAAATGTCAGAAATGAAATCCATAAAACACATTGGGTCACCCCTCTAATACTTTATTATAGGCATATTCAAGCTGAAGACAGATAGATTTCTTACCCATAAAATACTATCTCCGTTCTAAAACCTGTCCACTGCTCTGGATATGAGAACAATATTATAACAGGTT
Source organism: Homo sapiens (assembly GCF_000001405.40). Taxonomy (NCBI): domain Eukaryota; kingdom Metazoa; phylum Chordata; class Mammalia; order Primates; family Hominidae; genus Homo; species Homo sapiens. The sequence continues at coordinate 80,534,599 of NC_000012.12, read as the reverse complement.
TCCAATACAAAATACATAATTTGAAATTCTAATATAACTTAGAATTTTTATATTGAATAATAAAAGTCATAGACAAATGATTCATGCATTTTATGTTGTTTCGTTTAATAAACACATAAAATTCTATTTGTCAAGTAACTTCTGTACTAAGTGCTTTTAAAAATATAAACTTATGTAATCTTCATAAGAACCCTGTGAAGTAGAATGATACTGTTTCCACATTACCAATGGGAAATTGAGGCACACAGAGATTAATTTTCCCAACATCACACAGCTAAAAAGTGATCAAAATGCAATTTTTCATCAAACTGATGATGAATATTAGGCTTCATCATACATTTTGATATTTGAATATTTTTCTGGGCAGGATTTTTTTTTTAAAGAAAAAGAACATTCTTTTAATTGGCATACATCCTTAACTCACCTCCCTCTGGTGTTTGAAAGCTAATGATATTGCTTCTTGTTTTCCCATCACCAAATCTGGTGCTAGCTGTTACATAAGCACTGTATTCAACATTATAATCCAAATCTGATAACTCCAATGATGTTTCAGTGACATTAATAGTTTTTAATGATGATCTATTCCTGAGATAAAAAGAATATTATCTGTAGAATTGAATTTTAAAAGTTAACAATACTTTTTGAGCACACTAACATTAAAAGTAAACAACATTAATATATGGAAATTTATTCTAGATTAATAGAAAAAAGATGTTGGTTATCCTGAAATACTGAAAATAGTAAATTTCAGAATTCTTTAGTAAATTAACTTATTTTGCTTTTAATTATATTCAGTAATTAGATCAAATGTTAATATGATGTTCATAATTAGAGTTTGCTTGGACCAATTTTAATGGATATTAAGGAATACTATGTACTAAAGTAATTACAGTATTCCCTTTCATACTGATGTTTTCATTGTCCAAACATTTGTTCATTTCAAATGCTGGCAAAATCTTATTTAAACTATTAATTTATAAAATAAATCTATCCTTCAAATATCGTACAAAAGTAACATTTACTTCAGGCCAACACAAATAAATAAATAACAAATATCTAAATAGTGATATGTAAAATAACAAGGCTGTGGGCTCTCCTATAGTTATTTAATAGAAATGAGATTGGAAACAACGTATGTATATCATACAGGAAAGAAGAAAATATAGCTCACACCTCTCACTCAATCAAAATCTTTAAAGTATTTACAATATCACTCCAGAAAAGAAAACAAATCAAATAAATATTGACTCAAAACTCTCCAAGTACATATCAAAATCTCAGGAAGGGAAAAAAGAGTCTAAAGAACAAAATATAACACTATTTTATTTCAGTCATGTTAGTTCAGTTTCCACAGTTTGAACTGGGTATAGATTAATATCTAAAACCAAAAAATGAACATGTGTATAGTGATGCTGAAAAATGTGCATTATTTTTTATTTATATTTTAGGAATAATAAAGTTAGTTATTAAAGAATTTAGATAAGGGAATATGATCAGTAACACTGAAAAAGTATATGTCTCATGTAATCTCATATTTTTCTACTTTAGACACACAAAGCACTGAAGAAGTAAATGAATATTCCCTCTGAATAGAAAAAGCTCTTTCTTTACCATTGAAATATTTGAAGCCTTGAATCATTAGGAGGAATAATAAATTTTAAATGAAGTAAGGGTTTCCACAGAGATACATTTCAGTCATGGTTTTACTGCCACAGAAGCACCAAGTTATTCCAAATATAAGTTTTGTTTTCTGAAAAATAGTTGGAAAGCTTACCACAGTGAGAAAAATATGGATTCGGAGTATGTGATTGGAGACAGGCAGGATTAGCCAGGCTATTCAGCAATTTGAAACAGTTTCATTTGACATCCTTTTTCAGGAGCAGTCGGGAGAGTTTTCTTTGACTCCATTGAGACCAGAGGAGAGGGGCTTTTAAAACTCTTGATACTGTGGCTATTAGTCGCCAGAAAAGATGCCTTTTCATAGAAACTACCTAATTCCATACTCTTATCATTGGTCACAGGTCATCAGGACACTACAGAAGAGCTAATCCAACATGGATCTCTAAAACTATGCAATTAAGACGAGTGTGGTGGCTCACACCTGTAATGCCGGCACTTCGGGAGACCAAGGCGGTTGGATCACTTGAGACCAGGAGTTTAAGGTCAGCCTGGGCAACATGGCAAAACCCTGTCTCCACTAAAAATAAAAAAATTAGCCCTGCGTGGTGGGCAGACCTGTGGTCCCAGCTTTCAGGAGGCTGAGGCACGAGAATTGCTTGAGCTCAGGAGGCGGAGGCTGAAGTGAGCCAATATCGGCAACTGCACTCCAGCCTGGGCAACAGAGCAAGACTGTGTCTCAAAAAAATAAATAAAATAAAATAAATAAAATAAAATAAAGCTATGCTATTAGCTCAAGTAATCTAATTGCATTACATCAATTTTAAAAATTATTTTCAAAAATGTATTTCAATGTTATCTGCTACCTTGCATCACTACCTTCTTGCCCTGATTTTCACAGCAAAATCTTGTACATAAGTATCTACCAACTGTAAAAAAAAAGCCTCAGATTATGTTCCATAGATAATGCAGAATCAAGGCAATTACCTGGAAATGGATATCAAAAATAAATTTTTATCTCAAATAGATATTTTAGTAAAAAGAAGCTTGTTGTTATAAATTATGTTAATAAAAACATAGTAGTTCACTTCAGTTTGCATATATATAGTTTCAACATCTAGCTTGGTTTACTCCCAAGAGACAAAATTAAGCTAAAAAAATTTTTTTCAGATGCCTCATCTGTTTAGGGTTTATTTTTCTTTTGCAGTTTAGGATTGTGGCTGATATTTTAATAAATAAGTTAGAAAAATAGGGTAGCATGAATATTAATTAAAACAATTCAGAATATATCAAATATGTAAGAGGTTATTTGCTATAAAACTGATAACTAAAAGAAAGAGAAAGGAGACAGAATTGAACTGTCACCAAGGCTCGAACTCCATTTTCCTAGTAGCTGTTACCGAATTGCAGATAACACATAAATCTCTGTGCTGAAGTGTGAGCTCTCTAATCAAAGGAGCAATCTTCTGAGCAATCCTGAAGCTCAAAGTGTTCACTCCCTTTGAGCAAACCCTGTGTAGGAAATTCGTATGTAGGAAATTCATTTTTGACACTGCTATAATAAGTTGTTACTCTTGCTTTCAGCTGGCTTAGTTTTAAAATCTGTTTTATTCTTATTAGCTTAAAAATATTATAATTATTATGTGTTCCATTATGTTTTATTTTCATTTATAAAAAAGCATATGTTCTATATCCTGATTTTTTTCTCTTATCATGTTAACACCAATGATCTATATCATAATGTTTTTGTAGTTGCATAATTTGGATATATCATAGTTATTTAGTCATTCTATGAGTTAACTTTCAGGCTTTTTCTCTTTTTTATTTCTTTAGCTATTATTAACAATGATGCCATAGTTATCCTTAAAGAAGTATCTTTTCATAATAGTACTTTTATTTCTACATATTAAATTGTGATTCCTTTTAAACTTCTTTAAATTTAAATATATATATTTTTTAGCGACAAGGTCTTGTTATGTTGCCTAGGCTGGACTTGAATCCTGGGCTCAAGGTAACCTACCACCTTAGCCTTCCTTCAGAGTAGCTGGTACTACAGGCATGCAACCCTACACCAGGATACAAATTGTGTGTTTCTTGAGTCAAATGGTTTGAATGCTTTTTAAAATTTTAAGATTACTACTCCAAAATGATTACTGTATCAAATTTTAAGTTATAATAATTATAATTATTTAGAATCATACCACCAATGTGTGAGAGTACCCATTTTGACAAACTCACATAAATCTCTGGATATTATAAATATAGTTAGATTTTAGTAGATTTTTAGTTAGATTTTAGTTAGCCATTCCTGGCTGTGAGTGAGACAGAATGTCTTCTTACATGTTTGTTCGTCATTTGTGATCCATTAAAACAAATAATCACAAAAATAAACTTATTTATGGTTTTTTATATTTCATTTTAGTCTTTTAAATGAAAAACATTATTAGTCTGAGCTCTTTAGACACCATTCGTTAGACAGTGCAAGCAAAGTTAACTTTCACACCTTCTGAATTTAGAGATGATATGTACAAAATCAATATTCAACAAAATCCAACAAAATGTAATTAGCATCTACTTTGTGTCGGGCACTACTTTAGGCATAAATATGAGTAAGATACAGCCCCTATCCTCAAAATAGAGAGATAAAGCAGTAAATAATTCTAAAACAATTTGCTAATGACAATGTGACTTCCTTAAGGACAAGGACAATAACTTTTTCCCTTAGTAGCTAAAAGTAAAGAACAAAGAAAGAAATGAGCAAAGAAATTAGTTGTGACCACAGTATAAAAAAAGAGAATAAGGCATGGCCCCAGAGATCCAGGAAATTATTCACTAGAAAGCCAGTTTGTAAAGTTTGAGAGTAGGATAGGGAGTTGAGGGAGGTGGGAGAAGAAGAGAGGAGGCCTACAGGACAAAGCAGGTCTAACTCTTACATATCCAAAGTCATAAACTGTGTACAAAGTGAGGGAATATAAATGTTACACAATAATTATTATCTAAAATATATTACTTTTCAACACTGGCCAAATCTCCCAACCCAGTGACTGTTTTCAAACTGAGATGAAACTTGAGGGAAGTCCTCAGTAAAATGATTTTACTTATTTAACTCTAAACCTATTTTTGAATAGGTTTCGAAGCTTTTTCTAATTTAGGAAATGAAAAAAAAATTTAATTACTTTGAAATTATTCTGTAAAAATACAAGATGTAGTTGTTCTGTCTTTACTCATGGGTAACGCCAAAAAAAGTCTTCAATTGGGATAAATAGTCTCTAAGATGAAGTTATTTCCTAATTAATTTACATTTTTTTTTCAAAAGACATACCACATTTTGACATCTAGTGCATAAAAGAAATTCTAGATCAAAAGAGCAATTAATTTGCTTTACCAATTTCTTTGTTTCTCTCTTACAACACCAAGTCCATGCTAGGCCTATGAAGGAATCCTGAATACCCAAACCACAGTAAATAAATTTCTCTGTTTCCATAAGTATAAATGTGTATGGTTCTCTAGACAAGGTTTGAGACCCTTTGAAAAGTCATAGTCTTAGTTTTAATCTTTATCATTTGATATTTTGTTCCATGTGCATAATCTACCCTGATGATACATCTATCCCTGTTCATTTTTGTGAATTTATTTTCAAAACTTTAATCAGTTATTATCTAAATGTTGTAGATTAATCCTTTCACTCACTAAATAGAACTCCCCAAAATGAAGAATGTGAACACTCACTTACTTGACTCTTTATTAGATTATTTTTTTCCTCATATGAACCAGTGATGTTCATTAATTTTCCCATTATATAAGGAAACTACTCTTCGATGTTGTACTTTAGCATAATTACTCTATACAACTTGCTAGCATCAGTAGGCTAGTGATTATGTATTAAATAATCCCAAACTAGCAAGGCATAAACAGTTGCACATTCCTAAAGCTGTTCTAGCATCTCAGAGACAGTCTGAGTCAAAGCAAGGTATTCATTTGTTGTTATTGTTCCTATTGTCATCATTTGGTTGACTGGCTAACTTGGTTTGGTTTGGTTTGGCTTTGTTTTGCTTGTTTGCTTTTGGTAGGAAAGATACATTTAAAAGATTAAAGGACAAAGCCACTGAAGAGAATGAGTTTGAAGCTGAGGAAGCATACACTAATAATCCATAGATAGCTTTAGAGCAGACACAAGGAATTAGGATCCAGAAGGCAGGAGGAAGGATTGCACTTGAACTGAAAGAGAGAGATTTCATCCTCTGAGAATGGATGTAAATGAGTTGATGGATTCTGGAAGCAGGAATTTGAAATAGTCAAATTTTTGAGATAGTCACCTCAACTTTAAGTTTAGAATGGAAGCTGGGTTTGTCTGCTTTGAATGAGATGAGTGAGATTTAGCAAAGGGCTTGAAAATAGAGATGATTTGGGAAAATTTCTGAGGACAACAGGAGAGGAAACTGATCAAAAACATGAAAAATGACTTCCCAGGGGTGCTCAAAGATTAGTGAGATTAGAAAAAACAAGACTTTTAAATGTACAATACTTCTTTCTTTCATTATTTCAACAAGTATTTATTGAGGGCCTAAAATATAAGTTATTATACTCTGTGATGGAAATATGAAGGTGACAAAGACATAACCTCTGGCTTCAATGGGTTTATAGCCACATATTATCATCCCATTAGGGCTCCAAAATTTGAGTAAAATACTTCAGAAAATGGGCTATTGGAGGAATATACAATTATTAACTACCCGTTTCTCTCCTTTAAAGCTTATAAACTATTCAGATATTTTTATTTTCTTTTACAAAGTGTATAAGTTATATCTTACTAGAAGTTTAAGATTTCATCCATTTGAAATTTATTGTCATAAGGTTATTTTAAATGTCCATTTATTTATTTATTTATTTATGAGACAGAGTCTCACTCTGTGACCCAGGCTGGAGTGCAGTGGTATGATCACAACTCACTGCAGCGTCGATGGCCCCAACCCCAGGCTCAGGTGCTCCTCCCATCTCAGTCTCCTGAATAGCTGGGATACAAGCATATGTTACCATACCTGTTTATTTTTTCTAGAGATGGGGTCTCACCATGGTGCCCAGGCTGATCGCAAACTCCTGGGTTCAAGCCATCTGCCCACCTTGGCCTCCCAAAGTGCTGGGATTACAGATATTTCTTAATTTTTAGATATCTGTAGTTATGGTGCCCACGCTGGTCTCAGACTCCTGGGATCAAGCCATCTGCCCACCTTGGCCTCCCAAAGTGCTGAGATTAAAGATATCTCTTAATTTTTGAGTTATCTGTAGTTATGTCTCCTTTTTCATTCCTAACATTAAATTAAATGTGCTTTTTCTCCTTTTTCTGGATCATCTCCCCATTTCTTTTTTAACTCTGTATTTTAAATTACTTATTAGTTTTGTTTTTCTCTTTTGTAAATTTTTAATTTAGCTTCTATAAGTATGGAATTTATGGATTATATATGATTATTAATGATAATATGGGAATAATTATTCATGTTTCTTCCCTGTCTGCTTGAGAACTTATCAATTTTGTACAAAGGGAGAGCAAAGCATAATATTTAATACTTTAAAGCATCATGAATTAAATGTTAGAACACAATTTTTATTTGGAAAAGGGTCAATTTTTGTGAACAATAATAGTATAGTATAATAATGAATTAAATAACTTTGGTGTAAATTAAATTGTGTTCAGATGAATACAAGGTTAACAATTACTTGACAGGGTTTACATAGTATAAATATTTTTCAAAACATTTTTCTACTGGAAATTTTCAAAAGTTACAGGTTCTATAAATATAATCATAAAATTAATTTTATAAATGAAAGTGTCTTTTAACACATTTAGTCAAGAAATAAGAAAGATGGCCTTTTTACTGAAAGTTTGCCATGTGTTGTAGAAACAAAAATGATTTTTAAAAAAAGCTAAGGTGATGCAAAGTGCTTAATGTATAGCAAGCTTTAAAATATAATCAGTGGTGGAATGTCTTTTAGTAGAGGCTTTTTATTTATAAGCATAAAGCTCTAAAGGTTGGAAAAAATTACTTAAATAATTTTTTTCAGTAAATCAGTGCCCTTCCACTTTACTAAAGATATTTTCTTTCATTTTTTCTTCAATAGTTTCAAATATCTGATCACCACATTAATTTCTCATCATAAGGCTTTAAAAAAACAAAAGCTCATTAATTTTCATTTCTTAGAGAAAGTCCTGGTTAGGACTCTTAAATGTAACCAAATAGTATCAACGTTAGCCCCTGCTTTAAAAAATTTTTAAACACATGGTACTTGCCTTACTACAAATTTATAATATTGTTACTCCTGGCTCTCCCCAAAGAACATAATTTCAAACTGTCTGTTCTTCAGTTCCTCTAAAAAGCTGTGGAAAGTGTTGCTTATGGAAGACTTGGAGGATGGGCAAAACTTTAAATTTACTATTTTGGCCTTTGATCAAGCAGAAGCTACAGAAAGCCATATACATTATACATTTGATCTTAATTGTCTGTGAAATCACCTTCACCTTACTATATATATTTTTTGGGGAAATTCTTATCACTTTCCAATTCTATACCCACATAATTCTATTCACCATACAAAAACCACACTAATAGTCTTTGGACTGATATGTCCAACTGACTCTTCTGAAAGTTTCTGGAATTCCAATGTACAGAACTAGTTCTCCAACTTAGTTTCCTCCAACCAAAGCTTTAGCTCCCAAATCTAGCCTCTCTGCAATCTTCCTTTCTGTAAACACCTGCTTCTCTGAGATGGCCAATTCTGGGTTCCAATTCATACCCTGTCTCCATAGATTTTGATTTTTATGTGAAGATCCATATACCAGAGAAAGCACAGATAGGATGGGGCATAGAACTGTGGAAATCCAGAGCATTAGAGAGGTTAAATTAAAATTGATTGACCACAAACATGCTGAAATATGTCCATGTGGTTTCTCCTCTAGATTTTTGATGCTATCTCTTAAAAATTGTTTAGAATACTTACTGTGTTTCAGGCACTGAGCTAGTGACTTGTGATAAAGTACAGTCACTACACTAGACCTCACCAACTCGCAGGAAGATCCTTATTAAACAAGAAAATACAAATGTTATGAGAATTATAGAAAGGGAACTGAGCTTTTCAATAGGTCAAGTACGTATTATAATAATAATCAGTAGTATACTCCCATTGTTTTTTATAGTATCCACATTATTTAGGGAGGGAGAACTAAGGCAATTCAGTAATAAATTGACTTCTTATAAGTAGAACCACATACACATACACAGAGTAAGAAACCCGAGAGTGACAGAGACAGAGAGAGAGAGAGAGAGAGAGAGAGACAGAGAGAGAGAATATGACTGTTAGTATTACACAGAATTTTAAAATTTTATTTAAACCATGTACCCAAAGATGTATGATCACACTCCTGGAGAAAACATTCCACGGGCTTTCCGCTGCACTCGCAAGAAAATTCAAACTTCTTATTCTGGCTTCAAGACTCAATGTATATGGCCTAACCAGCTCTCCAGCTTTATCTACTCCCACTTTTATCCTGTGCCATTATACACAAGACACAAAGGCCATCTCATTGTTGACCACATCAAGCTTCTTGCTGTTAACCACACCTGATAACATTATCAGGACATTTCAGCTATATGTATCAATATATTCCCATTTTTGCTTAAGCCAATTTGGGATGAGTCCAGTACTTGAAACAAAAAGAATCTTGACTATTAGTAATCTTGACCTGTTCCCTTATTTCAATAGTTCCGCATATGCCTTGATTCTGAGGATTTCCACCATCTTCATCACTTCTCCCTGAACAAGCTCTACTCTGTGTATTCAAACTGTACTAACCAGTAATCCAACTGGTTTGACTCATGAAATAGTGTAATTATCATTCTGTCATAATAGATACAGTCCACCAATGAACACAGACCAATATTAAGCCAATAATTTTTTGGTAGAAATATCCCACATGAGTTGATGCAATAAGCTTACTTAAACTCCCTAAATATTTTTCACACATGCTGTTACCAAATTCAGACTTCTATAATCCTATAAATGCGCTGTTTTATTTTTAGAACAAAGGCCAATTATAACACATATCCCTATTGGTGTAGTAAAAGCATAATTTGAGAGTAACACAGATCTGGGTGTGAATTCTTATTCTGTCATCCTTAGCTCTGTAACCTTACCTGTGTCCTTAATCTCATCAAGAACATTTCCACAACTATAAAATGGGGATAATATTCTTTTCTCTGTGGTATTTTTGAAAAAAGAAAAAAATATGTAAGAAACATTTGTCTCAAAATGGTAACTAGTACACGGTAAGCTAAAAATACAATCCTAAGCCTGTCAACCAACAGAATCTTAAAAACAATGGAGTTTCTGGCCATGACAGGATGGGAGGTCAGACACACCTCAGTATATCCCCCACCACTTACTGTTAGACACAACAGCTGACCTAAATTAATGCTAAAATTGTGCAATATTCTGTTTTTACGCTGCTGATAAAGACATACCTGAGACTGGTAATTCATAAAGAAAAAGAAGTTTAATGGACTCACAGTTCCATGTGGCTTAGGAGGCCTCACAATCATGGCAGCAGGCAAAAGGCATGTCTTAATGGCGACAGGCAAGAAAGGATGAAAGCCAAGCGAAAGGGGAAACCCCTTGTAAAACCATCAGGTCTCATCAGTGTTCTGTATTCAGGAAACCCATATCACATGCAGAGACACACATAGGCTCAAAATAAAGGGATGGAGGAAGATCTACCAAGCAAATGGAAAACAAGAAAAGGCAGGGGTTGCAAACCTAGTCTCTGATAAAACAGACTTTAAACCAACAAAGATCAAAAGAGACAAAGAAGGCCATTACATAATGCTAAAGGAATCAATTCAACAAGAAGAGCTATCGATCCTAAATATATACGCACTCAATACAGGAGCAACCAGATTCATAAACCAAGTCCTTCGAGACCTAGAAAGAGACTTAGACTCCCACACAATAATAATGGGAGACTTTAACACCCCCTGTCAACATTAGACAGATCAATGAGACAGAAAGTTAACAAGGATATCCAGGAATGGAACTCAGCTCTGCACCAAGCAGACCTAATAGACATCTACAGAACTCTCCACCCCAAATCAACAGAATATGCATTCTTTTCAGCACAACACCACACCTATTCCAAAATTGACCACATAGTTGGAAGTAAAGCACTCCTCAGCAAATGTAAAAGAACAGAAATTATAACAAACTATCTCTCAGATCACAGTGCAATCAAACTAGAACTCAGGATTAAGAAACTCTCTCAAAACTGCTCAACTACGTGGAAACTGAACACCCTGCTCCTGAATGACTACTGGGTACATAATGAAATGAAGGCAGAAATAAAGATGTTCTTTGAAACCAATGAGAACAAAGACACAACATACCAGAATATCTGGGACACATTCAAAGCAGTGTGTAGAGGGAAATTTATAGCACTAAATGCCCACAAGAGAAAGCAGGAAAGATCTAAAATTGACACCCTAACATCACAATCAAAAGAACTAGAGAAGCAAGAGCAAACACATTCAAAAGCTAGCAGAAAGCAAGAAATAACTAAGATCAGAGCAGAACTGAAGGAAATAGAAACACAAAAAACCCTTCAAAAAAATCAATGAATCCAGGAGCTGGTTTTTTGAAAAGATCAACAAAATTGATAGACCACTAGCAAGACTAATAAAGAAGGAAAGAGAGAAGAATCAAATAGACGCAATAAAAAATGCTAAAGGGGATATCACCACCGATCCCACAGAAATACAAACTACCATGAGAGAACACTATAAACACCTCTATGCAAATAAACCAGAAAATCTAGAAGAAATGGATAAATTCCTCGACACATACACCCTCCCAAGACTAAACCAGGAAGAAGTTGAATCTCTGAATAGACCAATAACAGGCTCTGAAATTGAGGCAATAATTAATAGCTTACCAACCAAAAAAAGTCCACGACCAGAAAAATTCACAGCCGAATTCTACCAGAGGTACAAGGAGGAGCTGGTACCATTCCTTCTGAAACTATTCCAATTGATAGAAAAAGAGAGAATCCTCCCTAACTCATTTTATGATGCCAGCATCATCCTGATACCAAAGCCTGGCAGAGACACAACAAAAAAAGAGAATTTTACATGAATATCCCTGATGAATATCAATGCAAAAATCCTCAATAAAATACTGGCAAACCAAATCCAGCAGCACATCAAAAAGCTTATCCACCATGATCAAGTGGGCTTCATCCCTGGGATGCAAGGCTGGCTCCACATATGCAAATCAATAAACATAATCCAGCATATAAACAGAACCAAAGACAAAAACCACATGATTATCTCAATAGATGCAGAAAAGGCCTTTGACAAAATTCAACAGCCCTTCACGTTAAAAACTCTCAATAAATTAGGTATTGATGGGACGTATTTCAAAATAATAAGAGCTATCTATGACAAACCCACAGCCAATATCATACTGAATGGGCAAAAACTGGAAGCATTCCCTTTGAAAACTGGCACAAGACAGGGATGCCCTCTCTCACCACTCCTATTCAACATAGTGTTGGAAGTTCTGGCCAGGTCGATTAGGCAGGAGAAGGAAATAAATGGTATTCAATTAGGAAAAGAGGAAGTCAAATTGTCCCTGTTTGCAGATGACATGATTGTATATCTAGAAAACTCCATCGTCTCAGCCCAAAGTCTCCTTAAGCTGATAGGCAACTTCAGCAAAGTCTCAGGATACAAAATCAATGTACAAAAATCACAAGCATTCTTATATACCAATAACAGACAAACAGATAGCCAAATCATGAGTGAACTCCCATTCACAATTGCTTCAAAGAGAATAAAATACCTAGGAATCCAACTTACAAGGGATGTGAAGGACCTCTTCAAGGAGAACTACAAACCACTGCTCAATGAATTAAAAGAGGATACAAACAAATGGAAGAACATCCCATGCTCATGGTAGGAAGAATCAATATCGTGAAAATGGCCACACTGCCCAAGGTAATTTATGGATTCTATGCCATCCCCATCAAGCTAGCAATGACTTTCTTCACAGAATTGGAAAAAACTACTTTAAAGTTCATATGGAACCAAAAAAGAGCCCACATTGCCAAGTCAATCCTAAGCCAAAAGAATGAAGCTGGAGGCATCACGCTACCTGACTTTAAACTATACTACAAGGCTACTGTAACCAAAACAGCATGGTACTGGTACCAAAACAGAGATATAGATCAATGGAACAGAACAGAGCCCTCAGAAATAACGCCTCATATCTACAACTATCTGATCTTTGACAAACCTGACAAAAAAAAGCAATGGGGAAAGGATTCCCTATTTAATAAATGGTGCTGGGAAAACTGGCTAGCCATATGTAGAAAGCTGAAACTGGATCCCTTCCTTACAACTTACACAAAAATTAATTCAAGATGGATTAAAGACTTAAATGTCAGACCTAAAACCATAAAAACTCTAGGAGAAAACCTAAGCAATACCATTCAGGACATAGGCATGGGCAAGGACTTCATGTCTAAAACACAAAAAGCAATGGCAACCAAAGCCAAAATTGACAAATGGGATCTAATTAAACTAAAGAGCTTCTGCACAGCAAAAGAAACTACCATCAGAGTGAACAGGCAACCTTCAGAATGGGAGAAAATTTTTGCAATCTACTCATCTGACAAAGGGCTAATATCCAGAATCTACAAAGAACTCAAACAAAATTTACAAGAAAAAAACAAACAACCCCATCAAAACGTGGGCAAAGGATATGAACAGACACTTCTGAAAAGAAGACATTTATGCAGCCAAAAGACACATGAAAAAATGCTCATCATCACTGGCCATCAGAGAAATGCAAATCAAAACCACAATGAGATACCATCTCACACCAGTTAGAATGGTGATCATTAAAAAGTCAGGAAACAACAGGTGCTGGAGAGGATGTGGAGAAATAGGAACACTTTTACACTGTTGGTGGGACTGTAAACTAGTTCAACCATTGTGGAAGTCAGTGTGGCGATTCCTCAGGGATCTAGAACTAGAAATACCATTTGACCCAGCCATCCCATTACTGGATATATACCCAAAGGATTATAAAACATGCTTCTATAAAGACACATGCACACGTATGTTTATTGTGGCACTATTCACAATAACAAAGACTTGCAACCAACCCAAATGTCCAACAATGATAGACTGGATTAAGAAAATGTGGCACATATACACCACGGAATACTATGCAGCCATAAAAAATGATGAATTCATGTCCTTTGTAGGGACATGGATGAAGCTGGAAACCATCATTCTCAGCAAACTATCACAAGGACAAAAAACCAAACACCGCATGTTCTCACTCATAGGTGGGAATTGAACAATGAGAACACATGGACACAGGAAGGGGAACATCACACACCGGGGCCTGTTGTGGGGTGGGGGGAGGGGGGAGGGATAGCATTAGGAGATACACCTAATGTTAAATGGTGAGTTAATGGGTACAGCACACCAACATGGCACATGTATAGATATGTAACAAACCTGCACGTTGTGCACATGTACCCTAAAACTTAAAGTATAATTTTAAAAAATTGTATTAAAAGTAATATGTGATTAAAGACATAAAATACAAAAAATAAAAAAGCCATCAGGTCTGATGAGACTTATTCACTACTATGAGAACAGTATGGGGGAAACCGCCACAGGATTCAATTATCTCCTACCAGTCCCTCCAACAACATGTGGAAATTATGGGAGATACAATTCAACATGAGATGAGAGTTGGGTGGGGACACAACCAAACCATATGAAATAGAGACCACGAGGCTGAGAGAACAGACTGTTCGTGACAATAAGATACCAAATTATAAACATGACATATGGCCATGTCAGGCAAGGGTTAAGACATGTATCCCCCCCAATCCCCACCCAAAACACACACTTAACCTATGCTCTAACTGCCATAGGTTTTATTTTTCTCTAGCAGTTAAACAAGCACTGGACTCAAGATAAGCAATATTAAAACAATTGTAGCTCACCATCAGACAGAGACTAACTGAGCCCCTGTTCCACAAGCCATAATTACAGCTTTGATTGGACAAGATACTGATTTCAGTAACTTTCTCCTGATAAGACCACTGACCATGGACTGGTTCTGGCTAATTTACAGAGGCTGTGCACTTGAATGACTTTGTGTACTGAAAAAATCATTTGATGTATAGGACCTAATTGTAATACATTTAAATGTGAAGTCTCAACCCCAAAGTGAACATGGATCGTTTGTTACATACATGTTTGTTCAATACACATGTGTCAGGACCACCTTCCTGAATATTCATAGCTCCTCCTGTAGCAGGTTAAATATGTATGTTTAGCTAACCCTTTCCGCATAAAGCTCCTACCCCGATCCCTCCTCCTTCAAAGTGCCCATCTCCGGTCTTTGCTGGAGGCACACTTCCCAGTGTGAGAGATGGCCACTTTGAAGGCTGTCATCCTTTAAAAGAAATAAAGTCTCCTTTCCAAATTTTTAGATTGTGAGATTTTTAAGTTAATAGCACTATTCTTGATTCAGTTCCTTCAGCTTTCTGAGACATTTTGTTCCCTAAGTCTGACATGCAAAGAAATCACAAACTCTCTCAGTGTTCTGCATTTCAAAAACTTGATGAGAAGATTGCCTAAATCAACAGTTAATAACTCAAGATTCAGACAAGTAAAATAAATGACTAAAAAGTTTCGTTTAAAATAAGGTTTGGTGGCAGGAAGTAAAAGTTCTCTATAATAAAAACTATAAAACATTGATGAAAAAAAGTGAAGAGGACACCAAAAAATGGAAAGCTATTCGATGTCATGGGGTGGAAGAATCAATATTATTAAAATATCCTATCTATACTACCCAAAGCAATCTACAGATGCAATGCAATCTCTGTCAAAATATCAAAGACATTCTTCACAGAAATAGAAAAAATATCCTAAAATTTATATGGAACCATGAAAGACCCAGAATAACAAAGCTATCCTAAGCAAAAAGAAAAAACTGGAGGAATCGCATTATCTGACTTCAAATTATACTACAGAGTTATAGTAACCAAAATAGTATGGTACTGGCATAAAAACAGACACATAGACCAATGGAACAGAATAGAGAACGCAGAAACAAGTTCACATACCTACAATGAACTCATTCTTGCTAAAGATGCCAAGAACATACATTGGATAAAGGACAGTCTCTTCAATAAATGGTGCTGGGAAAACTGGATATCCATATGCAGAAGAATGAAACTTGACCTCCATCTTTCACCATATACAAAAATTAAATCAAAATGGATTAAAGACTTAAATCTAAGACCTCAAACTATGAAACTATTGCATTGGGTAAAATCTCCAGGATATTGATCTGGGTGAAAATTTCTTGAGTAATACCCCACAAGCATAGGCAACCAAAGCAAAAACGGACAAACAGGATCACAACTAGTTAAAGAGCTTCTGTACAGCAAAGAAAACAATCAACAAAGAGAAAAGACAACCCACAGAATAGGAGAAAATATTTGCAAACTGTCAATCTGACAAGGGATTAATAACCAGAATGCATAAGCAGCTCAAACAACTCTACAGGAAAAAGAACTAACAATCCAATCAAAAATGGACAAAATATTTGAATAGACATTTCTCAAAAGATAACATACAGATGTCAAGGGGGCTTATGAAAAGGTGCTCAACATCATTGATCATCAGAGAAATGCAAATCAAAACTACAGTGAGATACCATCTCACCCCAGTTAAAATAGCTCTTCTCCAAAAGACAGGCAATAACAAATGTTGGAGAGAATGTGAAGAAAAGGGAACCCTTGTACACTGTTGGTGGGAATACAAATTAGTAAAATCACTACGGAGAACAGTTTGGAAGGTCCTCAAAAAACTAAAAATAGAGCTAATGTAAAATCTAGCAATCCTACTGCTGGGTATATAGCCAAAAGAAAGGAAATCAGTATATGGAAGAGATATCTGCACTTACATGTTTGTTGCAGTACTCTTCACAATAGCCAAGATTTGGAAGCAACCAAAATGTCCATCAATGGTTGACTCGATAAAGAAAATGTGGTACATCTATACGCAATGGAGTACTATGCAGCAATAAAAAAGAATGAGATGCCATCATGGTCATTGTGTTAAGTCAAATAAGTCAGGCACAAATGACAAACTTCACATGTTCTCATTTATTTGTGGATGCTAAATATCAAAACAATTGAATTTATAGAGATAGAGAGTAGAAGCATGGTTACCAGAAGGTGGGAAGGGTAGTGAGGAGGGGTGGGGAAAGTGGGGATGGTTAATGGGTATAAAAAAATAGAAAGAATGAATATGATCTAGTATTTGACAGTGCAACAGGGTGACTACAATAAATAATAATTAATTGTACATTATAAAATAACTAAAAGAGTATAATTGGATTGTTTATAACACTAAGGACAAATGCTTGAGGGGATGGATACCCCATTTTCCATGATGTTATTACTTGTTACACGCTTGTATCAAAGTATCTCATGTACCCCATAAATATATAAACCTACTATGTACCTACAAAATTTTCTTTCAGATAAAATGAAATAAGAGGGTGTGATGGGAATCACGGTAAACAACTAAGCAAATGCTTCAAATAAAAGACAGCCACCATTCAACTCTGCTGATTTTTTTTTGCCACAGGAAATATGGCAAAAGTGTTCTGATTTTTATAAGAAACAAAGGAAATTGAAGTTTTACAAGAGATCTACTCATTTTTTTAACACTGACAATCAATTCTAAATTTATGACCCACTTGCAAATCATGAGTGGCCATGGGCTTGACCTTGGCACTCAAGCTTCAGAGTGATTCAGAAAAATGACTATCAGGAAAGAGTTGAGAGAGAACATTGGTCAGAACATTGGTCATCCCACTAGAAACCTCATATTAAGCCCTAAAGAGCATTCATATGCTCTACCGCTCCATCTATCTGTATTTCTTTCTTTCATCTTCCCAACTTAGCCTCAGTACTCCATGTCTATAATGCTACTTGTCAAACTCTTGACAGTCATTCCTGCTGCCTTCATACACTGCCTCCACTGAGATGCTCTCCTAATTCACAAATCTATCTTTACCACTTTCACTCCAAAATGGATATAACTTCAGAAAATCTGAAATGGCCCCCTTCCCATTCTGATGATTGATCTATATTATATGCAGTAACCATGAGGTCATTTTTAACACGGTGAAAATCTTTTAGAAAACTTGGAGAAACTAGAGTAGGTATACTTTTTTAGGATTCAGAAGTCCATTTACAAAGGTAATCTTTTATGTTACTGAGGGAATTATTTGACCAGTGATATTTAATAAAGAGCTGCATTAGAATTATTTTGACTTCCTAATATATTCTTTGGCAAGTGTTTTTCAATTATTTCACATGGGCATATCTTATCTGCAATAAGTCATCAATCGTTTTAAGGTGCTGTATGTTATATATCTCCCCACAGAGTTTAATAAACATTTGTCAGACTGTTTCAGAATTACCTCTTATAATTACTACTAAGAAAATTGAGAAACATTTCAGAGTCAAGATTTGTATATAAGTTAGAACTTTCAGCATCACTTTCAGTCCTCAGTCTTTTAGCTATAGAGGGTATATTCTCTTAGAAGTTTCCTAAAGAAAGAAGAAAACTACTGTTAAATTTTACTGACACATCTAAAAGTAAAAGTGCTAAACAATTACAAGTTGAATTCAAGAAAATAGTAAATAAATAAGTTCTACTGGAACATCATGCCTCAATTCAAAATGAATTAAAACAATAAGCTTACAGTGCTCCAATAGAAATCCATTTATTTAATGGTGGTTGCCCTAGGAATTCAAGGACTGTGTATCATTTGAAAAATACGTGTTATTTATCAATAACTGCAGGGGGGAAATGCTAGTTTACCATCTTGATGGATGATAAAAGTTATTTTGCAAAGCAAACTTCAGAAGGAAAAATCATTTTAAAATGCAATGGATTAAAACAGATTTCTGAACATACCATCTACAAATCAAATGTGACTCATACAGTAATGGATATAAAATGGTTACACATTAACCCTCATGAGTTATTTTGTCAAGAAATATTCATGATAAAGAAAAAAGTTACCCAATATAATAAATGTCATAGGCAGCCTGCATTTTGAAGACACACTCAAAAAAAAAAAAAAAAGAAATATTCAGTCAGGTGTAGTGGCTCACGCCTGTAATCCCAGCACTTTGGGAGGCTGAGACAGGAGGATCACCTGAGGTCAGGAGTTCAAGACCAGCCTGGCCAACATGGCAAAACCCCATCTCTAGTGAAAAATAAAAAGAAATAAAAATAAATTAGCTAGGTGTGGTAATGGGCACCTGTAATCCCAGCTACTCGGGAGGCTGAGGCAGGAGAATCACTTGAACCCAGGAGGCAGAGGTTGCAGTGAGCCAAGATGGCGCCATTGCTCTCCAGCCTGGGCAACAGAGCGAGACCCCCTCTCAAAAAAAAAAAAAGGAAATATTCAAATAAATGTTTTTTACAAGAATTTGGTAATTATTGGAGCAGCTGAAATAATGGCAACTGAGAATTATGAGAGAACTATGGACTCCTGAAACAGTAATCCTGCTAACAATGATAGCTACCATTTATTAAGTACTTTACAGGAACCAAAGATAACTGAGTGTCAGAGCCAAGATTCAAACCCATGTCTCACTGACTAAAAACCCATGTGTATTACATTATGATACCTGCCTCCTCTCCCCAAAACTGATTATGGTAAGAGTCCCCAAAAAAGATTAGTGATCACTAATGAAGGAATCCAGAATTATGACCATTTCCTTCGCTACACTTACTATACCTTACAGGGCTATTTCCAACTAAGGATGTTAGTAAGACACTAAAGTATGTTAATAAGATACTAAAGCATAAAGCTTCCAGCAAGCATCTTAGTAAGACAATGCTGAAAATTTAAATATATGTGTATATTTAATTATATATATTACATATATATTATAGATAATATTCTTGAATATGTTAAGGTCTATCCTTTTTTGTTCTATCTTTATGTAATCTTACTCTTTTCCACTGAGTCATCCATTATCTGAAAAAGCATCACTATTCTTATTGCAGAAATACAATAAGAAAAAATATATATAACAATTATATATAATAATATGTAATAATTATATAATACCTAATGTAATATAATCATATATAATATATACATATACTTATATTGCATATATATCATATATAAAAATATATATTATACAAATATATATTTTGTATACAAAATATACAAATATATTTAAAAATTTGTATAATATATATACAAATATATTATATATATTATATAATATATATATTTGTATAATATATATTTATATATATATATATACAGTTTCTAACTTAAAACATACTCTTCATTCATTCATCCATTGAACAAATATTAAGTTTCAATTATGTGCCAGGTAATAGTCTCTTTTAAATACCGCAATGAACAAAGTAAATTTTAAAGCAGAGAGAGAGAGAGAGAGTGTGTGTGTGTGTGTGTGTGTGTGTGTGTAAAATAAAGCCAAGTTTTACTGAGGGAAAAGTGTTTTCTACGTTCCATTTACACATCAAGAGTCAATCCTGGATTATTTGCGACCACAGAGTTTTACAATTAGGTAGTTATAATTAAATTAAGACCCTTGAGGTGTAGAAAGGAAAGAGTATACGGAAGAAGGAAATTTCCATCAGTCAAAAGAAAGATAAAAGGAAAAATTTTGCACTACGAAAAAAGAGTGAGAGAAATAAAAGGGCAAAGCCATCACACTGGAGTGTCCCAAGATCTTAGGGTAAGGATTAAGTGGTGACAACACCTGAATAGATTTGGGAGAGAAATCCCAGTGTAAAGAAGACTTTGTTTTTTCTCAGGATGGAGATAAACATGACAAGCCGCTTAGAAAATCTCTGTGTCAAGCAAGATGTAAGGGCTCCTCTAGCAGATCATCCAGAGCTACAGCAGGGTGTGGAAGTACCTTTCTCAAATCCTTCACACTGTAGATTGGTGCAGAGAAATCAGCCGGGAGTATCTAGCTACCTGAGGTTCAACACAGACATGCTAGGGAACCAGGGGACTAGAATAAGCCTTGAGGTTGGACCAAGGATAAAACCGAAAATAGGAACCTTGAAACTGGAAGCCGTGACTGCAAGTTTGTGCCAGAATGATTCCATAAAAAGGTCAGGTGACGTTTCTCACGATATTGATATGGGAGTGGGGGCAGGGAAGTGCGGGGTAGAGAAGGGCGGGTCTCTGCCTAGCGCCCCACACCCGGGCTTGTTTGTGCCCAGGGACCTAGATGAGGACAGGCATTTCTGTTTTCCCGCCTAAATGTTGCATTTCCCAACACCACCCTGGCCCACCACGCCCCCATCCTGTGCCTATAAAAATCCCAAGACCCTAACGGGCACACACACAAGCGGCTGGACGTTGACAGGAACACGTTGGCGTAAGACACAACGGCTGGACATCGAGAGGAATGCAGCGGCCTAACAGCACACACTGACAGACGCCGCAGGCCAGCAGGCCATCAACCAGCGGAACAACGCACAGTTTGGCGGGTGAGGATGGAGGAGAGTCGCTGCTGAGTGGCCCGACTCCAGGGGAAAACCATCTTCCCACTCCATTTCCCTCTGGCTCCCCCCTCTGCTGAGAGTTATCTCCACTCAATAAATCGTGCTCTCCAAGCCCACGTGTGATCCAGTTCTGGTACTCCAAGGCAAGAAACCCCGGGATACAGAAAGCCCTCTGTCCTTGCGATAAGGCAGGGGGTCTAACTGAGCTAACACAAGCCCCCTACGGATGGCTAAACTAAAAGAGCATACTGTAACACACGCCCACTGGGGTTTCAGCTGTAAACATTCACCCCTAGACCCTGCCATGGGGTCGGAGCCCCACAGCCTGCCCGTCTGCATGCTCCCCCTAGAGGTTTGAGCAGGGGGGCACCAGAGAATTGAGACACACCCCGGTCGCACGCCCCGAGAGCAGGACAAGGGAACTTTTTCTGTTTCAATATCACGGATTTGAGATTCCCTCACCCCACTTTCATTGGGCTTCCCCTGTACCCAGACTACCTCAGAAAATGAGATAAGCATACCTCTTGAAGGATGAGAGAAAAAGTACAATTGAAGAGTTAAACTTTGAATTGATTGAATATTTACCCAAAAGAGACCGAATTAAACCCAGAGGGAATGAGAAATGAATAGTTTATCTAAAATCAGTGCTTTCATCAACCCCAGCATCATTGCAAAAAGCAAAAATAACCAGTTACAGAAAATAAAAGGTCATGTTCTATATGACATCAGAATTGTAGCATATAAAATTTGAGCCATGCTATATTCTTAAGAGGTGGTGTAATGTACATTGTCATTACTTATTCCTAACAAATCCTGGTACCTTTAGACATTTTGGAACTATAAATAGACAACTAAAGTTATAGCTAAGTTCCTAGAATAGGAGGCTCCCATTGACATGGAGTTCATACCCAGAGAGAGAAAAACTGGGTGAACAGCATCCCTTAAAATGCTATCCAACCACATGTGTTTCTGTCTAGGTGTGTTATGCATTATGCTAGATATACACGGAAGCTCTAGGAAGGGAAGCATGATCACTGTATAGAAGAAAACAATTATTCTCATAATGCAGGGCTGAAAATCCCAGCCAGAAAAATCTTGATTCTCACTTAATCTGTTTCATTTAAATTTTTTTCTAACTTAATCAATGCCATCAAATTCTAGTAGTAACCACACTTGATTCAAAAATCTAGAAGTCATCTTTGATTCTTCTCTTTTTCTTATCTGCACAGCCAATCCATCACCAAGTCCTGTTAGTTTTTCTTCCCAAATGTAGCTCAAAGCCACCTACTTCTCCCCTCTGTTGCCACTACCATCTCTTTCCCAGACTACTAAAATAGCCTAGCATCCCTGCTAACACTTTTGTCCCTGACAATTCATTCTTTATAAGGAATCTAAAGTGATTTAAATTATCTATGAACTCCCTTTATAGTTAAAATGAAAACAAAATCCTTACCATGGCTTGACTCCTGAACTTTATTTCCTGTCCCCACTGTTACCCTCCTCTGGTTCTCTAATCCCCAGCAACATTGACCTCCTTTCTGGTCTTCAAAGTGACAAGTTTTGTTTCCCCACAGAGCTTGTGCAGTTGGTATTCCCTCCTTCTTGAAAGTTCTGCCCTGTAGATTTTTACATGGCAAGAAGCTCTTTCTTGTCAACTGGATCACAGCTCAATGACACTTCTTCAAAGAGAACTTCCTGAAGCATCCCATCAAAAGTAGACCTCCTTCCCCCAACATTCCCTTGTTTGCTTGTTTATGGGTATATAATCCAGTTATCTCTTGGGAGTGTAAGAGATACAACACTCTTGAGGGCAACGGTCTTATGTGAGTCTTCTTCATGAGTATATAGGTATTCTATCAATATTGTTCAATGAATGAATGAGTGAATAAATAAATAGGGTAATGAAAAGGAATGGTAACCTTCTTCCCTGCTTCCTTTTCGCTAACTGGGAGTCAAGACACTCCCACTTTCGTCACGACTAGGCAAAGTCACTAGGAATCAGGCAACAAAGAAAACAAAAAATATAGTCTTAAAGAGAAATATGTAAAGGGGTTAAAGGGGAATTAGGGAAAGAAAAATCTTAACTTAGGAAAGAGAAGAAGAGGAGACTTCTTTAAAACATCATGGCATCTCCCTCAATGCTGGCCCTTCAAATTCAGAAATATAAAAGGAAATGGCTATGTTTTACGAAGTATTGTGTAAATTGTATTTTCTGAGTTGAAATATATGAAATCCACTAGGTAATGTGTTACCTAATTGGTGAATCTAAAGAGGATTTACATTACATCAAAGTAAAGATTTCAATCTACCAAGTTCTCATGAAGTAGTATAAGCATGCTAACTAACATGAGATACAATGTTGGATTTCATCTTTTTCACAATTGAAGGATAAACAGGCAATCAGGGTAACAGTGATCAGAAACGAAATACATTGTTTACATTTCAAATTAAAAATTGACCTTAAATAACAGATTTCTTTAAAAATAGCTATTTTAAATGTTTATTAAAATTACTCTGCTCAAGGGACACTTGAAAGACAATGACATGAGAGTACTTGTGTAAAACTTCAGAAGTGTAAAAGTATATGCTTACATTCATACAAATTGACTTGTCAATGACTTTTAAGAGTAGGAATTTAGTATAATTATGCGTAACACATAATTTTTTGTTTTAATTGCAAAATTATTTCATTTGACCATGATTGAACCACTACATAATATGGAAAAACTTGTTTCTTAATCAAAACATATTAACTAGCCTATTAATAATCAGGTTCCTAATGTAGCACCACATTCTGAAATCTAAAAGCTACATTCCTATTATGTTACAGATTAATATCTGTTCTCAGAACTATTTCCAAAAAAAAAATTATTACCAGACATAAACTGTGTAATAAAGGATAATTCCATTTGGCTCCAGGGGTGGTTGCCATGACAACTTCACCGTGACACCAGACAACTGTTTTACAGAGAAGTCTTGAGGGGGAGAATCAGGAGCTGTAAAGTTAGGGTATAGAATAATGTGTTTTATTAAACATATATAAGAAAAAGTTAACATGGAAATGCACACAATTTTTATTATAAACTTTCTGGTAAAGGAATTAGGTTCAGTGCTTTTCTCCAGAAGCACAAGAGACTGTTTACTTTCAAAATGAGATGATAAAGGAAGATTTTGCATGGTGGTATTAGAACATCTGTTTCTGTGATTCAATGGAAAAAAATATTTCATGAGAAAGAAGAACAAGGGGTATGTCACAGTGACTCACCTACTGTTCAAGTACATCTTGGTCAACTGTCATCCTCTAATAAAAATAAAAATTTTATTGAGGGTGAATAAATATACAGTAAAAGAGATCCCTAGACAATAAAAAAGAGGTGGGAAAAAAATCACACATCCAAGAAGTTGGGAAAGTGATAAGCATAACATTGAGAAAGCAGTTAAAATGACTGACCTCACAAATGATGAAAACTACATTCCTCAATC
Source organism: Homo sapiens (assembly GCF_000001405.40). Lineage (NCBI taxonomy): Eukaryota > Metazoa > Chordata > Mammalia > Primates > Hominidae > Homo > Homo sapiens. The sequence continues at coordinate 80,509,835 of NC_000012.12, read as the reverse complement.
TCTGTTGTGTCATTAAAAAGTAAAATAATATCAAACTCTGTTCACTCAGTCTTCAAAATTGAATGGTTTACAAAGGAAATGCCAATGTAGCACGTAAATAAGAAAATAGTTTAGAATCTACTTGTAACTCTGCTGTAATAGTGTAAAATATAAATACATTTGCTATTTGGCATTGAATAAGCAATAAAAACATTACTGCAAAATAGTCAGCCAACTTTATATTTCCATTTAGGTAAAACATTTAGAATGACATTTCTCAGCTGCTGTGTAATAACACAGTAATGTCTTAGAATAATGGAATACAACTTTTTACATGTAAAAAAGGAAAACACTAAAATTTGGTTCATTGTTACAGTTATGCACGGAATGTGAATTCGTAGGTAGCTAACAGAAATTCTGAGAATTTGTTTACATCTTTAAACAATGTCAATTGAAATACAGTTCATATACAGATCACTATTTCCAATAATTTGGACAGAATGCTACCTGACTTACTTCAATATTTTTTCTTTTTTACTTCTCTGAATAATCTCAGCTGTAGTTGTATGTGTTCCCATGTGTGCATGTTTTCATTATTTAACTAACAATAATTTTCCAAAAAAATTTTATTGAGCAGCAGAAAGTTTATGAGACAAGTTATAAGGAATAATAGTGATAGCTGTATTTGGTATTTTCATTCTGTTATTTTCACTGGCACTATAATAATGTTGCTATCAAATATTGATTATCACAGGAATGTATACATCAGTTAGAGATGTCTGTTTCCCAAGATAAGAATTATCTCTGAAAATTCTCTTTCATTTGTCAAAGCAAATACCTATAAATATTTTTCCTAGCATCCTTGTAAAATCTGTTTATTGTTTACAAAAAGGACTTCAATTAAAAATAGCAGTAACTTAGAAACTAATATGTTGCAACTAACCATTTCTACTCTATAATATGCTTTAAGATGCTTATGTGGAATACCAGATAAAGCGTGGTGTCTTTAAAAGCTAACCTTCAGTAGATCTCCGAATATTTTATTCTTAATGTAAAACATTTTATTGCTAAGTAAACGTAATTAACATGTCTATCTAAAAAAATCACTGTACATCCACTGTAGCAGACTAAGTTTTAATCATTTTGGCATATGTATTCTAAAATATTTTGGCACATGTATTCTAAAATACAATCTAACAAAATTGAAACTAGAAAAATTAGAACTTTTGCAGTGCATTCAATTTGTCATCTCAGAGCATCTCAAGGTAGCTGAGAAGAAACTTCACAATCTGTCACTCCTCTACCTGGCATGAGGACTTCACAAATCTCTCACTCCTCTACCTGGCATGATCTTTCCTATTTCTCACCCTCCCTCTTTATTCATTTTCATGTCACAGCTTCGACATAACTTCCACCGCTACGCTTTACCTCACACCCCAGAGTAACTTAGGTCCTTCTTTTGTCCTGGTGAATAATTTGGGGGAACATTTATACCAGTAATTAAAAATCATAAAAATTATTTGTCCACACATTTGTCAAATTTAGGTCTCTTGTTCTAACCGTGAGCTTCATGAGGGCAAGGAGTTCCTAATTCCCAAAGAGGCAAATGTTCTCAGATCTTTATCCATTCTCGATTTTCTGTAATTTTTCAACAAGGGAGTCTTGTTCTTTACCCTGTTCCTTAGAAATCATATGACTTGGCCAAGAATTTAGATGGAACTTTACCTTGAGGAAGCATATTTTTAACAGCCCAGGTAATTCAGATGCACAACATACTTTGGAACTATTGACTTGAGTGGTAAAACGTCTGCCTGCTCAAAATATATGTTCACTACTGGTCTCATTCCATCATATAAGATCTCAAATTCTTACCATTAGGAACTTTTGATTAGATTAGTTATAAAGAAGTGGGTACTATTTTCAAAAAGGCATTGGTAAAATTTTTACTACATATAATCTTAGGTATTACATAAGATAGAAAAGAGCACTAACTTTCTTCCCTAGTTTTTAACCATTGACTCATTTGGAAGGTTTTTTTATTAAGATAATTTTAACTTTCAGAGCAAGGAGAATCTATTTATGAAGAAAAATTGGAATTTGGGCAGGTAAGTTTTGATGGAAAAGCAAGCATTAGTAAGTAGATGCAATGATTAGGGAAAACTGACCCACAGAGGCAGCCCACTTAGAAACTGGGGCAACACAGACAGCCCTAGCCAAGATGCTTTGGTAGAGGTTAAAACATGGAGAGACCTGCAAAAAGAGAAGAGGGATTTGAAGACTTTATTATTTTGAAAAGAAAGAGAGCAATGCAGGGAAAAGTCTCCCTTCCTAGCAGTGTCTAAGCACATTCTGCCCTTAACAGTCACAGGCTATGGCCTAGCTTGAAGATGGGGAAACTTGAAAGAAAGAAAGATGAAAAAGAAAAGATACTCCACAAACACGTATGATACTTCCAGGCCTACCCTTCTTGGAAATAGGAATTCCTTTTACAGAAAAAAATAATAATTTTCTTTAAATATGCAATGTATAAAACATAAAATGCAAATCCTAACCCAAATATATCTTTCAGAAGTTATATTCTTAGCATAATATATGTCTAACTTGGTAAGGTATCAATGTAAAGTGGCCTCAGTAGTAAAGTTGACTTTATTTGGGTTAGGGAAAGGTATGTTTAAATATTCAGTATGAAAGCTACTAACTTTGGGGAATAGCATCTTGTCCAATTATGCAGAAGCCTGTACAATAGCCTGATCTCATTATCAAGTTAATCATTAATATCGTAAAAAAGTGCTGAACATTTACATAAACATAATCTGCTTCAAAGCTCATGTTAATGTCTATTCTTAAAAATGTAAAAGTTGAAAAACTCAGTCATGACATATATCAGTTAACGTTCAAACCAAATTTTAAGCCTTGAAAATCCCCATGGAAAAACATGACTGACTGTTTTTTACAGAGTACTGATGACTTCAGAAAATAAAAAACATTTTATGCCTGATTTCACTGAATGTAAATCTGATGTTGCTAGCTTCTTTTATACCATGACAATGAAATCTCTGTATAACGCTGGTATGGTACACAACTGATACCCATGACTAGAGGAGTTTTTACATTGTTTCATTCTATACGTGTGTTTCTTGGAATGTTATAGAATCAAAGTATATCAATATCCACTATTATATTTACCATCTTCCTCCGTCAGTATACTTATGGGAGCACTCCGAACTCCTTCACCTTTGAGTGTACTAGCAGACACCTCAATGATATATTGGGTATATTTCTTCAGTACTAAAGAGAAATCAAATAGGTAAGTTGAAACTTACAAAATATCATTTAATAATATGCAAGAGGCAAACTATGAAATGGCTGTCAACACAATCTTCCAAAAATAAAAACTAAGTGAAAATGTCATTCTTTGGCAATAGTAGCTCTTATTTATGAAGACAAAATGATATAGGATAATGTGGAAAAGGATGGATCTATAGTATTCTTTCATGTGACCTGCAATAAACTCCTAGCTTATTTAACCAAAAAGACAAAATTGTAATACCCTGCATGAAAATAATCTGAAACTATTAACATTAAACTAATATTTGTGGCTACTCTGTCATTATAAATGCAAATATCCAATATTAGATTTGTTCTTTTACCTTTAATGTTTTGGGTTAAAGAGGTTGTATTTATAGTTCTTTCCTCATTTCCATTACTTCTCTTGAGATAAATTGTATATTTTTGTATGATTCCATTGGGACTACTTGGGGGAAGGAATGATAGCTCAATCTCTCCAGAAGAAATATTTTTGTAAGTGATATTTTCTGGTGCACTATCAGGCACTGAAAGAAACAAAAATATAGATACATAAAACAATTCCATTCTAAAAATCTATTCTGCTGAAATTGTCACTGAAGTGCACTAGGTTATTTACAATTGAACCTTCACTAGAATGTAATCGTAATAAATATCCTGAATGAAGTAAAGTATAAATAAATTACAGTTCTTACAACTGTATAAGAAAAATTTTCATTCAAAAGAAAATGCTACTATGATTCCACAGAATAACAGTTATAAGATGATACGTTTACTAAAATACTTGGAACTATAGGAACATATCTTGCACTGAAGAACACACAGATGCAAGAAAGAGAATTTTAAAACATTTAAAACTTGATTCTACTTCTCATTAATAATAATATGAAAAAAAGATCAGTAGGTTAGTTTTGGTCGACAGCAAGGTCTGTGACAAGGCAAGGAGCCCCTCCTGGATGTGAGGTTGCATATTATGACCTGGCAGCAAAACCATCTCCCAAGAATATGGGATATCATTAAGTAAAACACTAGTTTTCTGTATCTAACAACATTTTTATACTGAATACATTATGCATAAAATGGTTTTCTATGTATATTTGAGTACAAAACTATATACAAGATTCTAATTCCGGTAAAATATTGGAACAGATACCCTAAACTGAGTGAATATCTTACTTAAAATAACTAAAACTCTGTATAACATTAAAATAAATTTTCTTTAAGAAGTTGTGGTGCTGAAAAGAAAGTTAGAATTCAGTGGTGACTGGCCAAAAAAAGTCACAGAAAAACAAACAAGTAAACAAAATGCAAAGACAGAAATCCTGAGAAGGAAGCTGATACTAAAGCCAGTTTTGCCTTGCCATAGATTGGTTAATCCTGGTGCCTTTGCATTTGTATAGTAACATATGTGTAGTGTGTCAGAGAAAGACTATAAAACCCTGGGGCCCGCTGAAAGATGAGTGATATCCCTGCAGAAAGACCTGAAACCCCCAAAGAATGCAACTTTAACCAGGGTTATTATACTGAAAAATTCTAGGGGATACTTCAGATTCTTCTGCATGTACCATAGAAGTCTATGTGAATGGTAACTCCTGGTCTTGTGCAATGTGATGCATTCATTCTCAGGAAATGGGAAGTGAGAAATAAATCTACCATGCAGAGAGGACAGAAAGGAAACCTTCTTTCTCTGTTGCCACTCCTCTGGGTGGAGAGATAGAAAAGAAATAAATAATATGCTGTTTTGGAATTATAAGCCTATTCCTATGATCATATGTTGACTAAATCCATGATATCTATATGTACCCTGAAGAAACCTCCACTTCAGAATTTAAAATAAAACTGTAGTCCTGAGCTGCTATTACTCCTAAGCAACTAGAAGTAAATAAAAATACTTGCTGGAGGAACTCAACTTCAACACAAACCACATAAATTTCTCACAGCTAAAGTTTCAAAGAATATGAGCTCACTGATAAAATCGCTAAACACACAAGCAAATCAGATATCAATAGTGAAAGTCAGCAAAGAAAAGAAAAAGAAAACACACACACACATACACAGTAGTCAGATTTTGAGATTCCAGATATTGAAATAAAATAGAAATGTTTAATGTGTTTCAAGAAATCAAACATATTTTAAAATATGAGCAAATAATTATTTAAATAATGGTAAATAATATTAAATAACCAAGCAAGTTTGAAAGAGAACAAGATAGACCTTCTGGAACAGAACAAAATAACTAAAATTAAAAATCTCTTGAGGTATTAAAGAGCAGATTAGATAAAGAAGAAGAGAACTTTAGTGAAAAGGATGATAGTATTGAAGAAATTATCAAGAATGTAGATCAAAGAAGACAGTTATGGAAAATATAAAATGGCAGTTGAGACATAGATGATATCCGGAGGGGGTCTAAAATAGTAGAGAAAATGAAGAAATATTTAAAGGGATAATGGCTGAGGCTCATCAAAATTATTCAACGACATCAAACATCAGATCAAATAATTTCAGTAAATCTCAAGCAGAAATTTTTAAACCATATTTAGACATATCATTGTGAAAATACAGAATATCAAAAAAGGAACCATCTTAACAGTACCAGAAAAAAAAAATCTTCTACATAGGAATGACAATTAGACTGACAATCAACATCAACTGAAAAACAACTGGAATTCCATACCCAGAAAAATAAAGAGTAGCAAACTAAAAACATATTCAGACAATAAAAAAAATTGAGGGATAATGCTTTCAACACATCCTCAGTAAATGAAATTGTAGACAATGTACTTTAGGTAGAAAACTATTTACCACAGATGAAAGATCAGAGTGGCCAAGATAATGGTTTAAAAATTGAGTACATAGAACAATAACATAAATAATTAACTTGGAGGGTTAAACAATATAAACTAAATAGGTAAATATTATTGCCATTCAAGAGTTCTGTTATAAAACTCTTTTCTTTCAAATGAAAGAAATTAAACTTTTTATTAGTATTCTAAATTGAATGCATATAAAAATTACTAATAATAAATTTAGTAGATAAATAAAATTCAGAAGCCTTAAAAATGTAGATACAGTGTCCCTCCCCTTGATTGTTACCAGTTATTGGGTTATGGTGTCAAGGCACACTTAATAGGAAAAACTAATTTAAGAATATTGATACTTTTAAAACTTTGAGAGGATTGCAATTCAATGCATAGTTCGATTTAGCAATATAATTCCACTATCCTTTCTATCTGAAATGTGCTAAATCTTCTCTAGTGTTTCCCCAGGCCAACCCATTACATTGAGGAAAATCCTCAACAACTACCCTCAATGCTTTCTTAACTTTCTAGCTCTAAGTGAAATCTTGGACCTGCTGAGAAATACTACTACAGTTTAGCCCTCTTGGGTATCATGTTTGTTTTTCTACCATAGTCTCACTAACGATAGGGTGTAGGAGTTGGGTAGTTGCATTTATTACTCCTTTTTTCTTCCTGAAGAACCACAGATCCTTTGAAGCCCCATTCCATTAGATACCATCACGTGCTACCCCTCTTTAAGACAGACAACTGGTAATACCTCTGTCACTTCTCTGAACATCTTAAAGATGCTATCACTTTGATAACTGACTTCTTCCCTACTACTCAGAGAGGCCAACTTCCATGCAAATGATCTATCCAGTTCCCTGGACTCTGTATTTCTTTATCTCTATAATTCCAATAATCTTTTCCCCCACCTTACTTTACCCCACCGTACCTCATTGGCTTTCATGGCAACACCTAAGACTTTGTCATTACCAATAACTGCCAATATTCCTCTCTTTGACAACTGACTCCTATCTTTCCAGTTTACTGACTCTTGTACTTTGAATCCAACAATTCTCTGACCCTCATCAAATCTTCACTGTGCATCACCTCTCTTATGCCTTCATTTCCCTACATGCTCAGGCTAGAGTCCACAGTCACTGTAATCACTTCCTAGCAATATCCATCAGGTCCTTCTGTTTCTATTTTACTTTCCTGGGAAAATTACAATTGGAATTAAACAAAACTCTGCTAGCTTCACATGCCCAGTGTAATAGCTGAAAATGGCTGAATAAAACACCATTCTATGCTGACTAGTTCCACTTAAATTTATAACATCAAATCTCAAATGGATCCTTTTCATTTCCTGATAGCTAATGTTTTTGTTTTAGTTAATTCAGTCTCCCACTCTTTAAAGTATGTTTTCACCATGTTCTCTCTTCACAAACCTCTGATATGCCCTCCCCCTCTTTATTTGAAGCTAATAAACTTGCTTCTCATTCCATAGCAAAAATAAAAACACTGAGAAGAGAGCTACATTATCATCTGACTTCAAATTTTCCCTTAACTGCCTTCCCTCTTTCCTCCTTTCCAAGCTCTATCCCTCCACGTCTGCACTGGATTTCACTCCTTCTGCCTATTCAGAGACTTTACATTTGAAGTTAGTCAGAGATACATGTGAACACACATACACTGTAATATACAGTCTGGGATTTAAAAAGTCTTCTTTTGATTGCACTTGTTCCTTCAGCTATTACTGAAGTCTACTCTCCACTTCTTATCAAAATTCCTCAAAATTTGCCATTCCTCATTTTCTACATTTTTTTTTGCCTATCATACTCTGTTAATCTGACTTCATTTTTCTCCATTATTTTTTCTGTAAAATCTACTCCTGTGAAGTCACCAATGACCTCCCTTCTTGCCAAACACTAATCAATTGTATGCCCCATCTTACTTTACTTGTCAGCAGCATGTGACATAGGGAATAAACTCCTTCTACTTGAAAATCTTTATTCACTTGGCTTTGAAGGCACTATCTTCTTCTGGTTTTCCTTCTATTTCCAGTGACTTCTGCTTTGTCCTTGATTAGCTCTTCTACTTCTCAAAGTCTATGTGTGGTATTGCCCACGACATAGCTGTAAGCTTCTTAACGTCTCCCCCTGTTGTCCAGTGATATGACTTTATCCTCATCCCTTGATTGAATACCAAAGATGTGGTGAGGCTCCAAATTATATATTCAGCTCTGTATCTTTTCCCTGAGCTTTAAACTTATTTATCTAACTGCCTTCATAATGGCACTTGGATATTTCAAACATGTTGCAAACAGAACTCCTGGATGTTCTCCATATTGACCTCTTCCCTGGACTGCCCCATCTAAGTAAATGGCACTACCACTCACCCAGATACTCAGACAAACAATCTAATAGTTTATCTTCATTTTTCTCTTTACTTCAACATTCAACATATTCAGCAGCAATCTTTGAAAACTGTAAATCATATAATGTTCCTATTCCATAATTCTCCAAAAGCTCCTCATTAAAATTAAACTCCAAAGTTCCTAGAATGGCACCTAAGAATCTCAGGATCCACCTCTGCCTCTCGCCTCATCTGTGAATTCTCTACCCCAACTCACACTGTTCAAGTGACAGAAATGCCCTGCTCTGCCCCAACTCCACAATTTTTTTCCTCTATAAGAAGTTGGCAATTGCTGTTCTTCCTCTGGAACACTTTTCATCCTCATCCTCATCTTATTCAATCCTGTACCTCATTAATATCACTGGGCAAATATAACCTCTCAGTGAGGTCTTTCCTCAGTCCTCCATCTCAAATAGCCCACTCACTACTCTTCCTCTCTTCTATCCTTGATATTTTTCACTTAGTAAAACTTACCACTACCAAAAATCACAAATTTGTTTACTGATTTATTTTCTAATGTCTAATTTTCTGATTGTCTAGTGTCAAGTTTCAGGAAGGTAGAGATTTATTGTGTCTTGTTTACTGCTACAGCTACACTACCTAGTACGGTGGTAGAACATAATATGGAACCCATAAAAGCTGTTTAGTGAATGAATCAATATATTTAATATGATACAGAATATATTAAAACAAGAGAGAAACTCACAGGTAAGGAACAGATAGATAAAAGATTGGGTTTAAAAACTCTTTAATTACAAAAAGGGAATTTGTGATGCTATGCTTGAATTTTATAGCTCGGTGTAACTTCTGATTTTGAAAATTTCCCATTAGATTGAAGTTTTCTCTCTGCAGTTGTCTGCCTACCACCAGTAGTCAGTGTGTAAATATGTATTCCTGACCCAAGGCTGATATCCTTTGCATTTTTATTCATTTACCCTTAGGGAATAACTAGTGCTGGATCATCAGGTAGATAAAGCAAGACAGACTCAATGACTTACTGATTTTGAAGAGTAATGACGCATTTAGAATTTTCTGAAATAGCAGAGTGTCCCCGAATTATAGAAATATTTTATAAAGTAGATAACTGATGGATAAAAAGGAATGATTATAATCAGTTGGAATAAGCTGAACCTATTAAAATTCCAAAACAGAAAAAATACATAGTCCATGATGATAGTAAAAAAGGGAAGTTACCTTGAATCTGCCAAAAGACTATTGTTTGGCATATAAAGCTTTAATGTATGCAGACAAATTTTAAAATGTTATTCATTAATACAAATAAATTTATGGGGGTCTACACAAAATTTTGGTCAACATCTAAGTTATTATCCACTCATGGTTGTTGCCCCAAATCAGACAAGGTGTTTTGTTAAAGGCTTACAGTAAAGATGGTTGTGTCTTAAAAAGGAAAGGGAATATGTATAGATCATCAAAAGAGTAATTTGTATGGGAACTTCTCAAAGTTGTATTTATGATTATTACACCCTAAGTATGAGAAAATAAAAACTAATCTTAGGCTTATTGGAAAACTGCACATCTATGATTAAAACACACACAAACACACACAGAGATACACACACACACACACAGAATCAATCTTGTATTGATCTTTCCTGCTTGAACACAAGGGTGTTTTACTTCCAAGCATTAGTAAACTCTATTTCTCTTAAAAAGATAAGGCATTTAACCAAATAACTTACTCCTATTTTTAATTAGTAATATTAACACATCACTGAGTTAACACATCACTCAATTTCTCATGAAACAATATTGAAGAGTGGGCCCATATTTTTTTACATGAATAGAAGGTATAATTACTGTATTTAATAAGATTATTTTGGGCCTAAACCCAGAAAAATAGTTGCTCTTGAGCTCATCTTGCTTCAAATGACACTTGAGACCCTACCTAACATTTTAGCTTCCTCTTTTGCCAAAGGAGCTAAAGTGGGTGGTTTAACAGTAGCAAACATAATCTAGGAAAAGTCACTAATGTAGATTCCATTGTCTTCCATTTTCATCCAGGTGGAAAATGCACAGAACTTGAGACTACCCTAACTTAGGACAGAGAACCAGATATTAGGAAGATGGGCATTAAACCCTATACTCTGATTGTTAGGCCTGGCTAGGAAGCCATGGGATATGTTGGTTTCCCCTTCTCTTTATTTTTTTAGCCATCTCAGGAGCCTATTAAGTGAGGCCTGTAATGGGGGTCAGGAGGCCTATAGTCAAGCCCCAATTTACTTCTCATGTACTATAACTTGTGAGTCCTTTTACCCAAATGGTCCTAGGTCTTCTCACCTAAAAAATAAAGGGCTCTGCATGTTTTCTAAGACACTTTCCAAAATTAAAATTCTCATTTTAAACTAAATCTCAAAATTTATATTCACTTAAAGTTTATTGTCCCTGCCTTTGAATTAAACTCATACAGACAATAAAACAGAAAATAAAATTACATTTTCAATACTAAGTAAAAGATTATGTGCATGTAATAATCAGAAAACAAAAACATTGCTTTATAATTCATCATTAAAATAAGGTGTTCTTGATGCTATGGCCACTTAAACGAAATACTTGATAAGCATTCATAAAAATGGTTATTATTTCATATCACAATAGAATCTTTCAAAGTTATTACTTTCCTCCCCATGCTGAGCAGAAGCCTAATGACAAAATATCAGTGTAACAATGAACAGAGAGATCTTAGATATAGTTTATAATTTACCAGCTTTGTTGATTACTTCAAAAACAGCATGTGCTGTGAAAGGGAAATGGGTTTTACAGTCAGATGGGTTTGGATTCTAATTCCAGCTCATCACTTTCCAGCTGATCACTTTCCAGCTGGTGCCATTAGGCAATGAAACACCCACCAACTAATAAAACTTAAGGAGGGAAGGAAATCCTTTTCTTCTACACTACTTTATCCCCAGTAAGGCCTGGTATATTATAAATATTTTTTGAATGAATGAACCTCTCAAACCCTCCATTTTTCGTTAGACTTAGTTTTCTGTGAAGATAACAATAATGTATTGCTTTAGTTTAGAATTTTTAAAAGACAGTTTCTGTGAAACCTATCAACAGGGCCCGTGACCCTTAATAGGTGCTAAAAATATGCTTGTTTCATTTCCTTAATCCACTGCAAAATAAAACTGAGTCATTAAAGAGCAGACATTTTTCTCAAAAATACTTATTTCAGGTACAATATCTACAAAAGCAATGAAACATGCCAATATATGGATTAATATCAATTAAGTGTCACTTCAAGGCTCTTGATAATGTAAAATGCTCCTTTCATTACTTTCTTATTCCTGCACTTTCAACTACTGCCATTATCTATGGGCTCTTTTGTATCATCTCATTGTATTCATTTCTGTGAATAGTCTCAACAGGATCCTTTTCTACAAAAGTAAGCTACTTTACTAGATTTCTAGATCCTCAAGGTCAAGACAGAAATTCGTATATAGTATCTGGCTGAACTATATGAAATTGCTGATATTTGGCCATTTGTGACCTATAAAAATTATTTCATGTGGTTCCACCAGTATCTAGTCAGTAAATATTTATTGTTTTAAACGTACAATTAAAATAGTAACTTTATATTTAGTTATTAATTCTCAAAATACATTGTAGAATTGGCCTAATAGTTATGCCACCAATATATAATTATAACACAATATAAACAACAAAATAAGATTAACAGACAAACTGTCTTACTCTAGTTTCACCGAAACTAAAACACAAGTAATTCCTTGCTTGTTTTACTTCCTTTAGATGGGATATCCTCTCCCAACCCATCCAGCAACCTCTATAACAGGGGTCCCCAATCCCAGCGCCACGGACTAGTACCAGCTGGTGGCCTGTTAGGAACTGGGCCACACAGCAGGTGAGCATCATAAAGCTTCTGTATTTACAGCCACTCCCTATCGCCTGAATTACTGCCTGAGCTCTGCCTCCTGTCAGATCAGTGTCGACATTAGATTTTCATTGGAGCGCAAACTCTATTGTGAATTGCCCATGCAAGGGATCTATGTTGTGTGCTTCTTATGAGAATTTAATGCCTGATGATCTGTCATTGTCTCCCATTACCCCCCAGATAGGACCATCTAGTTGCAGGAAAACAAGCTCAGGGCTCCCATTGATTCTGCATTATGGTGAGTTGTATAATTATTTCATTATATGTTACAATGTAATAATAATAGAAATAAAGTGCACAACAAACGTAACGTGCTTGAATCATCCAGAAACCAACCTCACTCCCCTCCCTAGTCCGGAGGGAGGGGAAAAATTGTCTTCCATGAAACTGGTCCCCAGTGCCAAAAAGGTTGGGGACCCCTGCTCTATAACATCCTTCTGCCCATTCCAACCTCCTCATTAAGATCCAGGCCAAATGCTGTCTCCTCCATAAGTCTTCTCCAGGCATGCCATTTTTGTGCTCCCACTCTGCATCACTATCTATACACATACCTCATTAGAATCTCAGAATCTATTCCTATGAGTATGTCTCAGTTTTACCTAACTCGAAAGCAAGTAGCCATTCAATCTAAAATTTATAGGTACATTGAAAGAATCCTTGGTTTCTCAAGGTCTTTTCATTTGAAAATTCACAGATTTTGATTAGAAGTTCCCTTATATAAATCAGACTTAAAAATTTGTACAATAAACCTTTTCCTGCACTTTTGCCTGAAAAAGAAAATTAATTTCTGGATTATATAAAACAAAATAATGAGGGATTTTAGGTTATGTAAAATGTAAACAACATGGCGATTATCAGCTTTGCTTACTATATCACTGTGTATTATTAAACAAACAAAGAAAACAAAAGCTCACCAGTCTCCGAAGTCCTTACAGAGAGTAAAGAAGATACCTGATTGCCATGACCAAATCTGGTGTAAGACCTTACAGAAATGTTATAGAGGGTGTGAGGTCTTAAGTTCCTTAATATTATGTCTGTTGTTGATGTGTTCTTCATATATAAAGTATCTATATTTTTATATAGCACTTCATAAGCAATAATGATCCCATTGGGCTTTTCGGGTGGTGACCACTTCAACCTTATTTCATCTGCGGTAACATCAATTACTTCGACATCTTGAGGTGATGATTCCGGTTCTAGGGGAAGAAAAGAACATTTGTAGTACCTATATTTTTATTGATGTTTGTTGCTTTAGACCCTAGAGGTAGCATGAAGTGAAGGCAGTGAGCATTTACAACCACTTTTTTAAAAAAATTAAAGCTGCAATTGATATTCTTACCATCTTCTGAAGTTCTCACAAAGATGTCATTTTCTTCAGACAAAGAACTTTCTCCAACGTGGGTTGAGGCTGCCACTCTCATTTTGTATTTTGTGTATTTCTTTAACCCTATAAGGACAAGAGACAAACTGTTTAATGTCCTTAAAATAATACTCTTGGGATTGGTGCCATTTAATATAAGGCCAGTAAGAAGAATTTATACGGGGGACTAGATATCTATATCGCTTCCAAATAATTGCAGTCTCCTCAAATTCTTGGGCTTATAGGCCTTTCCATGTTGGTGACTTCAAGTTCTCTCCTAAAATATTAAGGCAATAATTTAAAGTTGCAAAAGTAACTTTTTGGCACACTGCAGGGTGTATAGTTGACTTGGCACAAATACCATGTCAGCTGAATTACTTCAGCTGATTTTTGCATTCGTACATTTTAGTCTTCAATAATGAGTTATTTTGATATACCAGATACAGTATTCCTTCAGTTAAGTAAATTTCTATGAAGCTTGTGATCTGATGCTTTTTACTTCATTGTGGGTAAATCTAGTAAAAGAAAAACACATTTAATCGAGTTATGTATGCAGGTATTTTAAAAAGATTCATGGTGACACAAAACAACAAAATATGAAGTGACATAGCATGTGTTCTGTAGTATATAAGGCACAGGGAGATGGGCATATTTTCCACCAGAATAGAAATGTAAAATGAACAACAACAACAACAACAAAACATTGTTTTCTACCTGTTATGAGAAAGCTGTTATCTATGGTAGTTATCTGGAATGCTCTGTTTGTATCCAATTCCATTGCATAAATCGTATAGTGAGTTATTTTTCCATTGGGATATTCTGGAGGATCCCAATATAACAAAATAGATGAAGAACTAATATTTTTATAGTTTATAATTTTAATGGAGCTTGGCACTTAAAAAGAAGAATGAACATATGAATGAAAAAAAAGTATCACAGTGTACAACAGCAATATTTGCAGTTAATTGTTTCAAAGGAAATACATCCTTACCTTGCTGACGTGTCCTAACACTGAGAACTGTTGGTGGTCCTTCTCCCATGATGGTGAAAGCAGATACACTAATCATGTGCTCAGTGAAAGGTACAAGTCTCCTGATAACATAAGACAGCTGTTCAGCTGCAATGTCAGTAATATACTGATTCCTTGTAGTTACTGTTTGAATTCAGTAAAAAGAGAAAAAAAGAAAGGTGTTTGGCTTCACAATCAAAATTATTTTTTTCTTAGACTATAAAATCTTAAACCTGATTTCTCCGTATTCATTAATCTCTCCATGCACACCTCTATTAAAGTTAGGTGTGTAATAATAGTAAACATAAAAATATTAATTTTAGAGATCGTATTGAATATTACTATGAATTTCTGAGTACCTCCCAATAATAACCACAAACATTTTGTGTTCATAATATAATTTTGTTAGTTTTTACACATTACTCTGAAACATGACATTAGTGTTTTTAAGAAAACAACTTTCTTAAAGAGGCTGGTTAGGAATGTTTTCTGAAAAGAAAGAGTAGGCAATAATATATAAATGAAATATTATAAATCAATACCAGGATTTAGTAGAAGAGTTAAAGAAATATATAATTGAGATATTATAAATCAATACCAGGTTTTAGTAAAAGAGTTAAATAAATAAAGAGTTTTATTTGGACTCAAATTTCACCATATGTTCATACATTCAGTAAACCAAATAATTCTTGAAAGCAAGCATGCTTGGATAACTGACAAATAAATATCCCAGAAGAATTTCAAATGTTAGATTTTCGCTTTATTTAGAATTTGTGCTTCTAAAACTCTTAAGTAGCAATTAGGCCAAACTTGAAATATTTAAGGGAATGTCTGCATCAGAAATCATGGGACTCTTAATTTTCAGTGTTGCCCTCCAGTCTTCTTTGCACAAGAAAAATGGATCAGTAAGTGAAATATAAACATCTATTGAATGTAATGTGATTTTTTTTTACTAATTCTACCATAAATAGAATAACACTTTTAATTTTGAATGGGACAAGTACCAAATTAGAGAAAAGGTAATAAAATGTTTTTCTCATTTAACATTTTAGAAAAACTAGAGAGATAATATGTGTCAGGTGAGTATTTTTAATTTGCCACTTATGACATTCTCCTTTTAGAAACTGTAAGAGCCACTGACACTGAAGAGCAAGTGTATACACTAATGACATCACCACATCGTTGGGGTCACCTACACCTGTTTATCACACCATGCACTAGATTTGTAACTTTCTGACCTATTTACCTTTAGTGACACTTGAAAACCTATTAGTCAAAAGCTGTAGAGAATGTGAGGCCTGTAAATGATTTGAAGATATGTTAATCCCTTCCCATCACACCTGCTTTGGCAACTGTAATAACTGATTGTCTATGCAGCTTGGCCAGAGACTCTAGGGTGCTACTTTCTCCAGGAAGAAGGTCAAATGGGTTAGGAGGGGCCAGCTTCTGCCTGTGTGGCATTTCCATTTGTTGCATGAGGTTTTCCGACAGCTAAAAAAAAATCCGACTCCAGCCCAAAGACCATTAATAATATGGCTGAACTCTAAGCTTAGGTTCATTTCTGTGCTAGCTAGCACTGGTGGTTTAAATGAACTTTATAGAAAATCAAAATTCTACCTACCAACTGGTGAAGTCTGGTCTTCAGCTCTATTCCTTGCAGGAAAGTTTTTATCTGGATGGCTGTTATATATAAATGTAGCAAGTGAGTGAAGGTCAGACGACATCTCTGCTGAACCCTCATATAATCCTACCATTGGCTCTACTATGTTCACAATTTCTGGAGCCATGGGGTCATTTATATACTGTAATTAAAAGTAGATATTTTAAAAGACTGTGACAGTTACACTTCATGACTTAAATCAAGTATTAGTTCTAAAAAACCTATAACTTTGGAATCATGCTGTTATAAAAGATAACATATTTCCATGACCACTGTCTTCTTTAGATTCCAAAATTTCATTCTCCGGCTACTAATACCCTGAATCATTGTAACACATTGTGATCATTGTATTTCCTAAGAGAACAATACTGTATTTTGGGAAGAAACAGATTTTGTTCTGACTTGAGTTGGTTTCTTTATGGTAAGATAAGACGTCCTCATGCAAAGGTTTCATGACTGAGATATTGTAACTGATCACCCCCAAATGGTAAGTGTTCTAGGCATACTGATGTATTAGAATGTGTTTTGCTTTTCTAATTACCTGTCCTCATTTGTATACCATACATGAGAGGTCTATATGCCTGCTTGATATACATTAATGATAATAGTTTATAATAGAGTGAAGTTACATACCAGAATAAAACTACATGGTAATATTAATAGTTTTCACACAGGATTCATGGCATACCTGTCAAGACTCTGGACATAAGGAATATTTAAAGTAACTGCAATTGTTCCTAGATCCTATAATGTAATTCACACATGTCAAGTTCACCAAAATGGCAAACACTGAGGTGAAAACATCAGGAACAGATTATGGATGAATACAGTAGAGGTTTTCATTGAGCTAACTAGATGATTCTCATTTCTTCATCCCCACTAGCATAATTGATTGAAACAAAATGGGGAAAAGGTGTTATGGCCAAATAATATTGGATATTTGTGTAGAATGTTGACTTTGGAAATAAGACTACACATTAATCAAAGAAAATGTTGCTTTGTTTGGAGTCTAATTAGAACATACCTAATCAACATAGGATGTGAAGATAATCAAGGAAATCTGAATGTGTTCTAGGTATTAAATGATACCAGGATGGTATTAGTAATTTTGTTCATTGTGGTCATGGCATTATTTTATGGGTGGAAATGTCCATGGTTTTTAGAAATTCGTGCTTAGGCATATAGGAACAAAATGATGTTAAGTCTGGAATTTATTTAAAAACCGGAGGCAAGAATGGCAGCCTATTGATGATTACTGAATCCAGGTGGCAGGTATATGGAGGCTTATTAGACTCTTTTCTGTACTTTTAAACCTGTTCAAAATTTTCCAAAATCAAACAGTTTTGAAAAAAGAATATGCTGAAAAATCTACTCTCTTTTACTAATTTTTTTCAAGTTCTGCTTCAAAACTTACCTCCAAAACCCCTTTTTTTAAAAAAATTCTATTCCTTATCAATTCCATGCTCTTTTACCCTCAGAGTTTATATTAATTCATAATATAGGTTTCAGTTGTTTATAAGTTTTGGTATATCTGTCTTTTAATTATCTTACATGTTTTGGAGTTGTCTTCACTCAGAGAGCCAAAAACAGGTTTTCTAGGCCTTAGGAATATCAAAGCACTTAATACTTTCCAAAAAAGAAAGTAGGTGCTCAGGAAAAAGTTCAGTAAAGCAAGAAATTTTATGGCATTTCAGTTAACTATCTACAATGGCAAGTTACTTAAATATTAATTCTTCTGAAAGATAAAAGAATGGAGAAATGAGTCAAAAAATCTTCATTCCTCCAAATATTTACAAAATGCAATTGTCTAAATCTTGTTACAACTCTACCCAGAAAAGTGCTGTCATGAAAAGCAACAGGTTTCCCATAAAAGCTACTTTTTAAAAGTTGTGATAAAGAACTATGGATAGGGAACTCTATATGGGTTTGTTCCTATGTCCTTGTATGGGACAAAGTAAAGATCTTCTGTCTTACAACAGCTCACTTCAGCACTGCCTCCACAGGGAAATTAGGGAGGGCAGGAATCACAAACACATAACTCAGAGAAGCTCTGGTGTTGCAGTCAATACTTTATGCCCAAACCACACAGCTGTTTCCACTATCAATCAGTCACCCTTTGAAAATCTACTGTGTACAAAGCACTATAGAATGAACTATAGTGAGGTAGCACAAAGAATTTCCCCCTCAACTATGGTTTTGCATTAAATCTCTCAATATTTTCTATCCCATGTCAGACAAATTATGGAGAGTTAAAGCATAACATCCCATCAATTACATATGTTAAGCATCTCTGCTGACAAACTACCATTTCAAAGTGAGAGTTGACCCGAATGCTTTTGACTATGTGAATGACTCTCAAATTCTGATATTCTGACATTAGAAAAACCCTCCATAACTTGGGCAATGATTTGAACATTGGCTTTGTAACAACCCAGAATGTTATCACTAAGTGTGTCATGTTGCAAATATTTCTCACACTTAACCTCTTAAGAAAAGACATTAGGTTAGATGATAGTTAAGTTTTCATAATGAGAAAAAAAGTAATAATATTAAAAGCAAAAATGTTGGGAAAGAATTTGGACTTAAGAGAGTAGTGGGAAGGGGCAGAGAGAAGCAGCAGTAGAAATGAGAGAAATAGGAGGGAAAAAAGTCCATTGCAACACCTAAAAATTCGCAACTCACTGATTTAATACAGGGTTCCCAACCTCAGCACTACTGACATTCTGAATTAGATATTTTTCTGTTGCGGAGGCTGTCCTGTACATTGTAGGATGTTTAGCAGCTTCCCTGGCCCCCAGCTACCTCAGTTGTGACAATGAACATGTCTTCAAAGATTAACACATGTTTCTTGGAGAGCAAAACTGCCGCTGGTTGAGCACCATTGAGTTAGGGAATGTCACAATTTGTCAACATGAAAGGCCTTGCCTATGCTGCCCAGGAATTCTTGGAATTTATGTGAAAGAATTAGGAGTCTTCAGAGATAAATTCCTAATCCACCTGAATAAACCAACTTGATTTTACATGTAGTAATCTTCATTATAGTGAATGTAATTGTATTTTCTAAAAAACCCTATCACATCTATCAGTTTGGGGTCACTGGAGGTCTGCTGAATTGAATTAATGAAATGTTTGACTTATTCTTAAGAAATGCTTCTATATTTTAATGTAGACTAAAACATGATTTGTGCTGTTATCAAGAAGTGGTAAAAAGAAAAATTTTTTTAATTAGCATATGCTGGGAAATTTTCTGAAGGATACCGTATCATTCAACACATTATTCAGGTGAACAGATCTTTAAGTCTTGACTCCGTTTATGTTCCTAATGCTGAATAAAATAAACCTATCTCAAGACATTCCTAAACTACTCTTGGGTTCTGTCCTCAGCCTCATTCCTAGCAACCAGCCAAGCCCTTAGCACAAGACTTTCTTCTTACATTCACCAGTGACAAACGTTGATATTCTCAAGGAATATGTTGGATGAAAAGATGCATCTATATCAATCTCAGAAGTCTGTAATACTAGGCAGCAATATGTCTGTTGGAGAAAAATGTCTCAGGTTTCTAATTGAACAAGTACTGGATGGGATCTGACTGTGAAGTTCAAGCAAAGAGCAGTCCACGGAAATGACTTCAGGGTTTTTTAGACTTCAGTCTCAGTGGAATGAGGCTCCCAATGAAATGATTTTTTTTTATTTCACTGTTTTGAAAGAAGGAAGAAATTTACTTCGAAGGAGAAAATAATTATGCTCAATTTGGCTCCATTCAAACTCCATACAGAATATTGTGTTCAAGTGAGTAAGAGGATCCTTGACAAACTGGAAAATATGCACAGGAATATAATCCATGATATGAAGGACCTAGAAGCCATGACTAATAAAAACTAAGGATATTAAGTCTTCGGAAAACTCTGACCATTATCTTCAATGAGAAAGAGTTAAATCATTGTTTATTATTGTTGTTACTGCAAAGGCTAACATTTTAAGCTACTGTGTGTTACAGAGTGTTAAATACTTTTACTCATGTGATCTTGCTTTATTGTCCCCCCAAAGAGATAGATGATTTTTATCTCCATTTTACAGTCATCTGTTCAAGTTCACAAAACTAGTGACAGCAGAGGTAGGATTGGAACATTTTTCCTGGCTCCAAAGTTCATGTTCATAACCACTGGAATCTACTGTGTTGGTCTAGAGAGGAGACTTAGGACGAACTGATGAAAATTAAAAGACAGGTATTTCAGTTCAAAGTAAAGAACACCGTAGTTTCTTATTCATCTATGGGTTTCTGTACCTAACAGAGTGCCTAAAACCTCATGATTACTTAAGAAATAGATGCTTATGGGACCATAACAAAGAATACTTCAAAGCTTATAGGATAGGAGCTACTTTTGCAGTGGTAGATATCCTATAACAGTTGATCAAATATTTTAGCAGAGGCTGGATTCACCTCATTTATTAGGAATGTTATAGATCAGATACATATATAAGTGTGGAAGTTGAAATAAAAGATCTCAAACCCTGAGACTCATTTTGCTAATGTAATTTTCAAATATTTGTTTAAATATTAACAGTAAAATCTTATACATATTTCAGCTTGTTTAAATAATCCATATTTATTCAGAAACAAATAGATCATGGGATTCACTGGAAAAAAATTCAATAAGGGTAATGAGATCAAATCATGCCTAGCATAGGAGGGTTATATTTTTAAGTTTAATCATCATGTTATATCTACATGGCTACAAAAAAAGATGATGAAGGGTTTATAATGAAAATAACAATTCCCTGTTTATACCCTCCCTACCTCTTACTTCCCAGAAGCAACACTTTAAACCACTCCTGTTTTCAGTTCTTATGGTGTTTACCCCTAAAACACTAAATAATATGCATATACTGCTCTGTTAACACTCATTTTTAGAATCTATTGATTTTCTGCAATGCTAGTGAAGAGTTAGGTTACTTAAACACATATATACCTTCGTCATCTGTTCTCAATTCTTATTAGGTTACTTTCATAATGTAAATAACATACTTAAATCTGGAAGGATTATTCTAATAAGTGTTTGAAATATAAAATAGTAGGCTGGGGGAGTGTAGTGCATGGCCTCTCAGGTAGATACCCACTATACCCACCTCCTGTTGTTCCTGCTTTGTAAAATCTCCTCTTCTTTAGTTAGTTGGGACCTATGATTTGTATCTAACCAATAGAATAAGGCAAAAGGAATAACATGTCTCTCCCATGATCACATTATATAGACCCTTCTTACTAGCTTGATGAAGTAAATGGCCATGTTGAAAAAGGCCACATGGGACAAAAAAAAAAACAACTGTAAGGCACTAAGGGGATTCTCCAGCCAAGAGCCAGCAAGAATCCAGGGCCCTCAGTTCTAAAGCCAAAAGGAAATAAAATCTGCCAAAACCTGAATGAGGCTGCAAGTAGATTCTTCCCTAGTCAAGCCTCCAGATGAGAACACAGCTCAGCTAGTTTCTTACTTGCAGCCTTATGAGACTCTAAGAGGAGAACCAATCTAAGCTGTACCTAGACATCTGACCCAAAGAAACTGCGCGATTATAATTGTTTTAAGCTGCTAAGTTTGTGGAAAATTGTTATGGAACAATGGAAAACTAATATAGTGAGATAACAGTAGTCCAGGCAAGGGACTATGCAATCCTGAGCTGAAGTGGGGGATACAGGAATAAAATAAAGACATATGCAAGTCACATTCTGGATGTAGAAATAACTGACCTTAACATTAAGTGGCTATTGAATGCTAAGTAGGATCTAAGTCAGAAGTGACTCCAAGGTTTCAAGCCTTCATGACAGAGAGGATAATTGTTCCATTATCCAAAAAGACAAACATCAGACATATATCAATGCCATAAATGCTCACTCTTAAAGCCTTCTGGACCATGGTTTCTTAGACAATGACCTTGAGGTCAGAGATTTGTGTTATGTCCAGTCAGAGGGATTAGAAAATTCTAAACCCAGGTACCAAGACTTCAAGTCAGCCGCTCTTTAGGCCTTATTCTTGACACACTGACACTATTAATTGCCTGGACAGACCTTATGGGTGCCCTGTGGGAACCTGCACAGGTCACTATCACTGTCCCAAGATCTCTGTCCTCATTCCAATGTCACATCTTCCCTCCCATCATGAAGCCCCTATTATCTCAGAGAAGATTTCTGTTTTGTTTTATGGGGAGAAATTTATTTAGATGTAATGAGCCCTGGTGGACTCTTCCCACAAATGGCTGCAATTAGGAATCCAGAGCGTCAGAGAGAAGGATCAGAGTAGAAAGTAAGGCAAAAGAGTCAGACAAATAGGAAGCAGTGATTGAAACTGTTAGGTCTTCAAAAGAAAATGTTATGAGATGGCTGAAACCAAAGCTCTGTGGAACATCTTCACTAAAAAGTTAGAAAATAGAGAGAGTTAGCTTTTTGAACTTTCATTTTTAATTGTGCAAGGCCAAAGAATTGCAATGTCACAGTACATAAAATTGCAGAAAGTATTAAGGAACAAATAGTTTCAAAAGCTGAAAAGTGGGGGGACAGAGGGATGGATTTTGAAGGAGATAAGAACACAAGGGTGGTTAAAAATATTTAATTCTTGTGTTGCACACTGGGGAGGTCACTGGTGACTTCTAATAAGATTTCAAGCATTTAAAGAGTTCTTGAGTTGGGGAATGAGGCTACTTTTTCAGAAGATCAATAGAAATGGGAAGAGAGTCCTCATCCTGAGAGAGGTACCAAGGTCAAAGAAAGGAAAAACAAATGAAGAACACACTAAGCCACAAGTTGTATTTCTTATGTCATTTACTCCCAACCCTGTAAGGTGGCTATATAAGCCCCATTATATAAATGAAGGCACCAAGTCTCCAAAAGTTGATTTTTCTAAGGTCATAGACCTAGAACACGGCAGAGTCAGGCCAAGAACCCAGGGCCATTTGGATTTAAAGCTTCTGTCATATCTGTCTCCCCACATCAATCTCCTGAAAGGTAAACCCAAACACCAGCTACATGGGGAAGCAGAAATATCAGAAATGAGTCTGATCTAATAAAGAAAGATATAATCAGAGAAGTAAAGAGAAGCATAATGTCTCCTTTCATTGAGAGAGTATAAGGGAAGTAATATTGGGTAGCAACTAAGGTGGATGATCCTATGCCAAGATTAATGATCACAATAGGTCACAATTATTTAGCACAGCACTTACTATATGCCAGGTACAGTTCTAAGCTCTTTACACACATGAACCCATTAAATTCTCATTATTAACCCTTTGTTATAGGGACTTATAATCACTATCTTAGAGAAGAAGAAACTGATGTTCAGAGAGCTCAGGCCAACTTTTCCAGGGTTAAACAGTTAGTAATGGCAGAACTAGAGTTTAAACCTGGTTTACAGTCTTAACCACTTGCTATATAGCACAGTGAGAGACAAAATCATAATTTAAATCCAAATTTGTACGTCTCCAAAGCTCATGAGCTCTCTACTATGAGACGAGAATTGCAGACCAGATAGAGACAGAATCACAAAAAAAAAGCCTTTCTAGAACCTCTTAGCTTCATGGAAAAACAGGTGTGGCCACCCATTCAACAGATGTCATTAGCAGAAGTGGGAAACCTGTCATCTAGTACTAGGAAAGCTCAGTATCTAATTTAAGACCTTCTCAGCAGGAGCAAAGGGTTAAGCTTTTGCCCTTTGCCTGAGTTGTCAACCAGAGTATCACAGAAAGCATAATTCAACATCTTTTGCACAGAGGAAAGGAATCAACATAGGATTAAAATTTAACCCTGGGTTGAAGATGGTGAGCAACTTGGAGTGATAAGTCCTGGGTGGCCAGAATGCATTGAGCACATGGTGAGGTCAACTGTCACATACAGGTAAGTGCCAGAAATAGAGGAAGGCTGGGACTAGAAATAGAATGAAAGCATGTGTGGGGGAAAATAACAGCACAGGTAGAAGCAGCAGCAATTCTGAAACAACACAGCAGACGCCAGGTGCTGAATAACTATCGTGTTTGTCTTTAAGGCCCAGTGATTGCTGCACTGGTCCTAAGGAAGTTTATTCTTTGAATGCCCCGGGGAGCAGCCAGTATCTGGACATGACTAGCCTGGAGGCTGAAAGAGTCTCACAGGTGAACAGTTGATGAAGTGAGGTGAACAAAGACAGTGGAAAGAAAAATCAGTGTTGCCTGTACTTCCTAACAGAAACAAAAGGAAAAAAATAAGACTTCCAGTGTGAATAGAAGCAAACACATTGCCTAAAGATCCTGGTCCTCTTATTTAAAATCTATGAAACGACTTAAATTTCTTTTATTTAGTAATGTGACTCTTAATCAAATGTACTTTGAAAAAAAAAAAGAGGCAGCTTTGAGAAATTTAGCTTCCCAAGACCAAATAGAACAGAATCATTTGTCAACAACAGCTACTAAAGTTACTGTGCCTTTCACTGGCAACTGTTCCAAATTGCAAGCACAGCCTTTGAAGGAGCACTTAAATCATAACAAGAGTTTCCGAACAATTCATTAACTAATTTAGAAAAATAATATTAACTTATGAAAATACCTTTAGTCCTGTTTAATTGCACAATTAACATTTTTCATATGATGAAAAGGAATAATAGCACTTAACTAATAATATATAACCTAAAATGAAATATGATCTAGCTAGATTATCAACATGCCCCAAATTTACTTTACTTTGTACTAGTAAGTGGTCAAATATTACATGTGTGGGTGCTAGCAAATCTTCCAAGCTATCAGAGCCAGAACCAAGCAGAAAGGGTTCACCAATAAGTGAAATAAAAATGCAATACCTCATTATTTCCAGTGAGCAAAGTATTTTCCAAAATTATTCCTGTCTCTGGAACTAGCACTTTCACTCGGTATTGGTTAATAATTCCATTTGGTTGTCGTGGTTTCTTCCAAGTAATTCTTACTTGCGTGGATTCTACCTCTGCAAGTTGTAAATCAAACACTGCCCCTGGAACTAAGAAAGAAAGAAAGAAAGAAAAGAAAAGGGGGAAATTAAAAATATTTTTTCAAGTGAAAAAAGTGCCTAAATTCTTAGTTCACAATTTAAGATATATAAACAATTCTATTAGAAAACAGACTAGGCTAGGTGCGGTGGCTCATGGCTGTAATCCCAGCACTTTGGGAGGCCAAGGGAGGCCAATCACCTGAGGTAAGGAGTTCGAGACCAGCCTGACCAACATGGTGAAACCCCATCTCTACTAAAAAATACAAAAATAAGCCAGGCATGGTGGTGCGTGCCTGTAATCCCAGCTACTCAGGAGGCTGAGGCAGGAGAATTGCTTGAACCCAAGAGGCGGAGGTTACAGTGAGTGGAGATTGCACCACTGCACTCCAGCCTGGAAGAAAGAGCAAGACTCCATCAAAAAACAAACAAACAAACAAACAAACAAACAAACAAAAAACAAGAAAGAAAGAAAATAGACAAAAACAATTTATTTTGTTAAAAATTAAATAAGTCTTAAAAAAAGGATGAGGTCATGTCCTTTGCAGGGACATGGATAAAGCTGGAAACCATCATTCTCAGCAAACTATCACAAGGACAAAAAACCAAACGCCGCATGTTCACACTCATAAGAGGGAGCTGAACAATGAGAACACATGGACACAGGGAGAGGAACATCATACACCGGGGCCTGTCGGTGGGTGGGGGGCTAGGGGAGGGATAGCATTAGGAGAAGTACCTAATGTAGATGACACTTTGATGGGTGCAGTAAACCACCATGACACATGTATACCTATGTAACAAACCTATACGTTCTGCACATGTACCCCAGAACTGAAAGTATAATAAATTTTTGTTAAATTAAATGTCTTTAAATACATGGATATTTAATACTAAATTTCTTTTTTTTCTTTTATTATTATACTTTAAGTTTTAGGGTACATGTGCACATTGTGCAGGTTAGTTACATATGTATACATGTGCCACGCTGGTGCGCTGCACCCACTAACTCGTCATCTAGCATTAGGTATATCTCCCAATGCTATCCCTCCCCCCTCCCCCCACCCCACAACAGGCCCCAGAGTGTGATGTTCCCCTTCCTGTGTCCATGTGATCTCATTGTTCAATTCCCATCTATGAGTGAGAATATGCGGCGTTTGGTTTTTTGTTCTTGCGATAGTTTACTGAGAATGATGATTTCCAATTTCATCCATGTCCCTACAAAGGACATGAACTCATCATTTTTTATGGCTGCATAGTATTCCATGGTGTATATGTGCCACATTTTCTTAATCCAGTCTATCATTGTTGGACATTTGGATTGGTTCCAAGTCTTTGCTATTGTGAATAGTGCCACAATAAACATACGTGTGCATGTGTCTTTATAGCAGCATGATTTATAGTCCTTTGGGTATATACCCAGTAATGGGATGGCTGGGTCAAATGGTATTTCTAGTTCTAGATCCCTGAGGAATCGCCACACTGACTTCCACAATGGTTGAACTAGTTTACAGTCCCACCAACAGTGTAAAAGTGTTCCTATTTCTCCACATCCTCTCCAGCACCTGTTGTTTCCTGACTTTTTAATGATTGCCATTCTAACTGGTGTGAGATGATATCTCATTGTGGTTTTGATTTGCATTTCTCTGATGGCCAGTGATGATAAGCATTTTTTCATGTGTCTTTTGGCTGCATAAATGTCTTCTTTTGAGAAGTGTCTGTTCATGTCCTTCGCCCACTTTTTGATGGGGTTGTTTGTTTTTCTCTTGTAAATTTGTTTGAGTTCATTGCAGATTCTGGATATTAGCCCTTTGTCAGATGAGTAGGTTGTGACAATTTTCTCCCATTTTGTAGGTTGCCTGTTCGCTCTGATGGTAGTTTCTTTTGCTGTACAGAAGCTCTTTAGTTTAATTAGATCCCATTTGTCAATTTTGTCTTTTGTTGCCATTGCTTTTGGTGTTTTAGACATGAAGTCCTTGCCCATGCCTATGTCCTGAATGGTATTGCCTAGGTTTTCTTCTAGGGTTTTTATGGTTTTAGGTCTGACATTTAAGTCTTTAATCCATCTTGAATTAATTTTTGTATAAGGTGTAAGGAAGGGATCCAGTTTCAGCTTTCTACATATGGCTAGCCAGTTTTCCCAGCACCATTTATTAAATAAGGAATCCTTTCCCCATTGCTTGTTTTTCTCAGGTTTGTCAAAGATCAGATAGTTGTAGATATGCGGCGTTATTTCTGAGGGCTCTGTTCTGTTCCATTGATCTATATCTCTGTTTTGGTACCAGTACCATGCTGTTTTGGTTACTGTAGCCTTGTAGTATAGTTTAAAGTCAGGTAGTGTGATCCTCCAGCTTTGTTCTTTTGGCTTAGGATTGACTTGGCGATGCGGGCTCTTTTTTGGTTCCATATGAACTTTAAAGTAGTTTTTTCCAATTCTGTGAAGAAAGGCATTGGTAGCTTGATGGGGATGGCATTGAATCTGTAAATTACCTTGGGCAGTATGGCCATTTTCACGATATTGATTCTTCCTACCCATGAGCATGGAATGTTCTTCCATTTGTTTGTATCCTCTTTTATTTCATTGAGCAGCGGTTTGTAGTTCTCCTTGAAGACGTCCTTCACATCCCTTGTAAGTTGGATTCCTAGGTATTTTATTCTCTTTGAAGCAACTGTGAATGGGAGTTCACTCATGATTTGGCTCTCTGTTTGTCTGTTGTTGGTGTATAAGAATGCTTGTGATTTTTGTACATTGGTTTTGTATCCTGAGACTTTGCTGAAGTTGCTTATCAGATTAAGGAGATTTTGGGCTGAGACAATGGGGTTTTCTAGATATACAATCATGTCATCTGCAAGCAGGGACAATTTGACTTCCTCTTTTCCTAATTGAATGCCCTTTATTTCCTTCTCCTGCCTAATTGCCCTGGGCAGAACTTCCAACACTATGTTGAATAGGAGTGGTGAGAGGGGGCATCCCTGTCTTGTGCCAGTTTTCAAAGGGAATGCTTCCAGTTTTTGCCCATTCAGTATGATATTGGCTGTGGGTTTGTCATGGATGGCTCTTATTATTTTGAAATACGTCCCATCAATACCTAATTTATTGAGAGTTTTTAGCATGAAGGATTGTTGAATTTTGTCAAAGGCCTTTTCTGCATCTATTGAGATAATCATGTGATTTTTGTCTTTGGTTCTGTTTATATGCTGGATTATGTTTATTGATTTTAATATATTGAACCAGCCTTGCATCCCAGGGATGAAGCCCACTTGATCATGGTGGATAAGCTTTCTGATGTGCTGCTGGATTCGTTTTGCCAGTATTTTACTGAGGATTTTTGCATCAATGTTCATCAAGGATATTGGTCTAAAATTCTCTTTTTTGGTTGTGTCTCTGCCTGGCTTTGGTATCAGAATGATGCTGGCCTCATAAAATGAGTTAGGGAGGATTCCCTCTTTTTCTATTGATTGGAATAGTTTCAGAAGGAATGGTACCAGTTCCTCCTTGTACCTCTGGTAGAATTCGGCTGTGAATCCATCCGGTCCTGGACTCTTTTTGGTTGGTAAGCTATTGCTTATTGCCACAATTTCAGAGCCTGTTATTGGTCTATTCAGAGATTCAACTTCTTCCTGGTTTAGTCTTGGGAGAGTGTATGTGTCGAGGAATTTATTCATTCCTTCTAGATTTTCTAGTTTATTTGCATAGAGGTGTTTGTAGTATTCTCTGATGGTAGTTTGTATTTCTGTGGGATCGGTGGTGATATCCCCTTTATCATTTTGTATTGCGTCTATTTGATTCTTCTCTCTTTTTTTCTTTATTAGTCTTGCTAGTGGTCTATGTATTTTGTTGATCCTTTCAAAAAACCAGCTCCTGGATTCATTGATTTTTTGAAGGGTTTTTTGTGTCTCTGTTTCCTTCAGTTCTGCTCTGATTTTAGTTATTTCTTGCCTTCTGCTAGCTTTTGAATGTGTTTGCTCTTGCTTTTCTAGTTCTTTTAATTGTGATGTTAGGCTGTCAATTTTGGATCTTTCCTGCTTTCTCTTGTGGGCATTTAGTGCTATAAATTTCCCTCTACACACTGCTTTGAATGCGTCCCAGATATTCTGGTATGTTGTGTCTTTGTTCTAGTTGGTTTCAAAGAACATCTTTATTTCTGCCTTCATTTCATTATGTACCCAGTAGTCATTCAGGAGCAGGTTGTTCAGTTTCCATGAAGTTGAGCAGTTTTGAGTGAGATTCTTAATCCTGAGTTCTAGTTTGATTGCACTGTGGTCTCAGAGATAGTTTGTTATAATTTCTGTTCTTTTACATTTGCTGAGGAGAGCTTTACTTCCAAGTATGTAGTCAATTTTGGAATAGGTGTGGTGTGGTGCTGAAAAAAATGTATATTCTCTTGATTTGGGGTGGAGAGTTCTGTAGATGTCTATTAGGTCCACTTGGTGCAGAGCTGAGTTCAATTCCTGGGTATCCTTGTTGACTTTCTGTCTTGTTGATCTGTCTAATGTTGACAGTGGGGTGTTAAAGTCTCCCATTATTAATGTGTGGGAGTCTAAGTCTCTTTGTAGGTCACTCAGGACTTGCTTTATGAATCTGGGTGCTCCTGTATTGGGTGCATATATATTTAGGCTAGCTCTTCTTGTTGAATTGATCCCTTTACCATTATGTAATGGCCTTCTTTGTCTCTTTTGATCTTTATTGGTTTAAAGTCTGTTTTATCAGAGACTAGGATTGCAACCCCTGCCTTTTTTTGTTCTCCATTTGCTTGGTAGATCTTCCTCCATCCTTTTATTTTGAGCCTATGTGTGTCTCTGCACGTGAGATGGGTTTCCTGAATACAGCACACTGATGGGTCTTGACTCTTTATCCAATTTGCCAGTCTGTGTCTTTTAATTGGAGCATTTAGTCCATTTACATTTAAAGTTAATATTGTTATGTGTGAATTTGATCCTGTCATTATGATGTTAGCTGGTTATTTTGCTCATTAGTTGATGCAGTTTCTTCCTAGTCTCGATGGTCTTTACATTTTGGCATGATTTTGCAGTGGCTGGTACCAGTTGTTCCTTTCCATGTTTAGTGCTTCCTTCAGGAGCTCTTTTAGAGCAGGCCTGGTGGTGACAAAATCTCTCAGCATTTGCTTGTCTGTAAAGTATTTTATTTCTCCTTCACTTATGAAGCTTAGTTTGGCTGGATATGAAATTCTGGGTTGAAAATTCTTTTCTTTAAGAATGTTGAATATTGGCCCCCACTCTCTTCTGGCTTGTAGGGTTTCTGCCGAGAGATCTGCTGTTAGTCTGATGGGCTTCCCTTTGAGGGTAACCCGACCTTTCTCTCCGGCTGCCCTTAACATTTTTTCCTTCATTTCAACTTTGGTGAATCTGACAATTATGTGTCTTGGAGTTGCTCTTCTCAAGGAGTATCTTTGTGGTGTTCTCTGTATTTCCTGAATCTGAACGTTGGCCTGCCTTGCTAGATTGGGGAAGTTCTCCTGGATAATATCCTGCAGAGTGTTTTCCAACTTGGTTGCATTCTCCCCGTCACTTTCAGGTACACCAATCAGACGTAGATTTGGTCTTTTCACATAGTCCCATATTTCTTGGAGGCTTTGCTCATTTCTTTTTATTCATTTTTCTCTAAACTTCCCTTCTCGCTTCGTTTCATTCACTTCATCTTCCATTGCTGATACCCTTTCTTCCAGTTGATCGCATCGGCTCCTGAGGCTTCTGCATTCTTCACGTAGTTCTCGAGCCTTGGTTATAAGTTCCATCAGCTCCTTTAAGCACTTCTCTGTATTGGTTATTCTAGTTATACATTCTTCTAAATTTTTTTCACAGTTTTCAACTTCTTTGCCTTTGGTTTGAATGTCCTCCTGTAGCTCAGAGTAATTTGATCGTCTGAAGCTTCTCTCAGCTCGTCAAAGTCGTTCTCCGTCCAGCTTTGTTCCATTGCTGGTGAGGAACTGCATTCCTTTGGAGGAGGAGAGGCGCTCTGCTTTTTAGAGTTTCCAGTTTTTCTGTTCTGTTTTTTCCCCATCTTTGTGGTTTTATCTACTTTTGGTCTTTGATGATGGTGATGTACAGATGGGTTTTTGGTGTGGATGTCCTTTCTGTTTGTTAGTTTTCCTTCTAACAGACAGGACCCTCAGCTGCAGGTCTGTTGGAGTACCTGGCCATGTGAGGTGTCAGTGTGCCCCTGCTGGGGGATGCCTCCCAGTTAGGCTGCTCGGGGGTCAGGGGTCAGGGACCCACTTGAGGAGGCAGTTTCCCCTTTCTCAGATCTCCAGCTGCGTGCTGGGAGAACCACTGCTCTCCTCAAAGCTGTCAGACAGGGACATTTAAGTCTGCAGAGGTTACTGCTGTCTTTTTGTTTGTCTGTGCCCTGCCCCCAGAGGTGGAGCCTACAGAGGCAAGCAGGCCTCCTTGAGCTGTTGTGGGCTCCACCCAGTTGGAGCTTCCAGGCTGCTTTGTTTACCTAAGCAAGCCTGGGCAATGGCGGGCGCCCCTCACCCAGCTTCGCTGCCGCCTTGCAGTTTGATCTCAGACTGCTGTACTAGCAATCAGCGAGACTCCGTGGGCGTAGGACCCTCCGAGCCAGGTGTGGGATATAATCTCGTGGTGCGCCGTTTTTTAAGCCCGTCAGAAAAGCGCAGTATTCGGGTCGGAGTGACCCGATTTTCCAGGTGCCGTCCATCACCCCTTTCTTTGACAAGGGGAAAGGGAACTCCCTGACCCCTTGCGCTTCCCGAGTGAGGCAATGCCTCGCCCTGCTTCGGCTCGCACACGGTGCGCACACCCACTGACCTGCGCCCACTGTCTGGCCCTAGTGAGATGAACCCGGTACCTCAGATGGAAATGCAGAAATCACCCGTCTTCTGCGTCGTTCACGCTGGGAGCTGTAGACTGGAGCTGTTCCTATTCGGCCATCTTGCCTAAATTTCTAAACATTGTTCTCGAAATGTAAGTAAGGAGCAGAATAACAGAATAATTTTCCAAAATAAAAGTCATAACATTTGTTTGAAACAAATTAATTAATAAAAATAATTTTCTTGAGAATCTGCCTATTTGGTGATAATTAATGCCAGTTGAAATCTTGATGGTTTCATAAAAATTATAACAACAGATTGAAAATTAATATCCAGAAGACTCTGAATGCAATTAAATATAGTTGGTAAGTTAAATTAGACTGCGTTTTAATTTATTACATGAAATTGTTTGAAGAGTTGATTGATTTTTTTCTGATATTTTAAAAATAATCATGTTATTTTCAAATTTCAGGTGCCCTCACTCATTGCAATAGTAAATAAAAATAGGAACAAACTAACAATTGGTTTAAAATAAAGTACCAAGAACTTAAAGCAAGTTCTAGTTGTAAAGTCACTAAGAGTGACATCTAGGGAACTTCCCAGTTTCACAGGAGTAACGGGCAAAAAACAAATATCCCCTGGGCTTTTGATCATTTTTATTTACAGTTCAACTTGTGATTATGAATAGCTCATGCATCCCTCCAACCTCTACTTTCCTTATCTATAAAATGGGTGTCATTATAGCTTTCCTATTACTATACAGGTTACTATAAGGAACAAAGAGTTCAAGAAAATTTCTCAAATTTCTAAAACTTTTAAGAAAGAGAAAATGGCATAAAATTATGATCCCTTATTATCAGATTGTTGTTACACTTTCAGTTAATTTCCCTAAACTCTCTGGCAGCGGTACAGGTTTAGCAAATTCTAGTTAGAAGACAGGCATATAGTCTTAAAAGGGAACAAAGGAAAAATGACCCCCTTTCTTTTTAAGACAACAGAAAGGAATTGAAAAATAATTTTATAACTCCCATATATGTTATTTATAATGAGCAAATATAATTATGCTTAAGTTGGCTTTATAGTAACTATGACTATACAAAGTTTTCATCCAATAGATTGAGTTTTTTCCTTTGTCTTCATGAAGTAACCGGTAAAGACTCCCTAGATATTGTGACAATCGTTGGGCCATTCATTCATCATTCAACACACTGAGCATTGATCATATGATCACTGTTCTAGGCACTTGAGGACAGAGGAAGGAATAAGACAGATAAAGCCCTTTGCACAGGTCACCTCTAGTATGAGTTTTATTTCACTAAAATATATTGTACCTAGAGCTCATGTTTGCATCATCATATTTACCAATATGCAATTTACCAATATGCATTTTTCAAGGGTGGAGAAACTTTCCAATTAATTGTGTGGTGTAAAATAACATGGCTATTTAAATAGCAAAGCTCCTATTCCATCTCTTTTTAAAATTTTATTTTGCAGTTTTTATGCAGACAAAACAATAGCCAGTATTGCATAACTTAAGTCAGAGGAGATCTGGCACTTTTTCCATTTATTTTGAACTGATGTAGAATCTCAACTGAAAAAAAAAAAACAGCTAATGACTACATTGATCATATTAATCAGGCAACTAAACCCTGCCTATTGAAAGATAAGTGAAATGATCAGTTCAAGTCAACGCAACACACTAATGTGTTAGATATCAAATATTATGCAGGACAGCAGAAAACTATATATATTTTACTGTCTCTTATTTTGCTAGTGAAACCAAGAGTAGTAGCAGACACTATTTTTTATCTTTTAATTAGCATATATATTTCTATATATTCTATATATTCAATACTTACTTTCTTAGTAAGTGTTGCCCCATGATACTTAATGCCAAAAATTACAATCCAGGTAAAGATTAAGTGGTTCTATATTACCTTAAAATGTACCTCAAACTTGCATAAAAATAATGACTATAAACTTATCTTTTTTTTCCTATTTAAGCTTAGGGGATAAAGGAAATGGAGTCAACAGCATTGTATCTTGTCTTTAAAAAGATACTTGATCTGTTAGACCACAAATTCTTATGGGGAAACTAGAGAAGACTTTAATATTGATACAAAATTACCTAAAGAAAATCAAACACACAACTCAATTATTCATGGTTCAGCATCAGTTTTGAAGGTGATGTCCACAGGAAATACCTAAGAGTCATTCTCAAGTCGATACATTTACAAATTTTACAAATAAATGAGAAATAAGTTAGACATTTGGCCAAAAAAATCTCACATTTTCTTTACCCCAATGCCATTTTCTCCAACTTCAAAATTAATGCTGCTCGATGATGAATTTTCTAGATAATGGCAAAATAATTTTAATTTTGAAGGTGTTATATACATGGACTACCTAAGAATTATTCTCGAGTTAATATATTTATAAATTTTACTAATGCATTAGAAACACAATAGCATATGATTTATTAAAATATATTCCAAATGATTTGAAGTGTTCAAATGAAAAACTATGAGAAGAAATGAAATAGAGACAAACAGCATTGAGGTAAAAGAAAATACATTAAGATCATTTTTGCCATTATCTAGCAAATTAAAGTTTCTTTAGAAGTATATTTTGAAAAACAAGTAGTAAAAATTAAAGCCATTGCAAATCCTGAAAACACAAAGTTGGCAGGCTCTCAGTTATTTTCCTGCAAAGATTTTACTACTATTTGCAGAAAGTAACAAGTTTAAATCACTGAGGACAAACGTCTTCACTGCCATAGTCTGTTTAAGAGGGAGTAAACAAGAATCTCAGAAATTTGTCTGCTTTTAAGAAATGGTCATGCTAAACTACCCTGACAGAAAAGTTGTTAGACAATATTGAAGCATCACAGTCTGCTTATTTTTTTTACCCCTCACACAATTTAGAAGAATGCTGTTGCCTATGTTATATTCATCAGCATTATCTGATTTTGGAATAGGCAACTCTATGACATTTTATAGCTTTGGAGATTATTATCTTTTTTTTCCAAAATCATTTATTTTCATGCCTATGCAGAAATCTACTCATCAAAATATTAAGAGACATATAGAGGGCTTAGGAAATACATAAGAGAACTGCTAAAATAATAGGATGCTGATTTTCTTTCAAAGTAGACTATGGACCGTAACATCCCCAGGGGTAATGAAATCAACTCCACTGTAATGTAATAGCACATAACATTCTCTATAAGAGGTCAATGCAACATTTTTCTATGAGTATCTGGAGATTTATAAGAGCACCAATTGTTTTAAAAGGTAATTTAAAAGAAGCAAACTAGTCCTAATTATTTTTTAAATAGATGATAGACTGGTTTAAAATATGGAGAAGAAATTAAATTAAGTAACTTTAATTAGAATACTAAAAACCCTGTTGTATTAATGAAAAGGATAATATAAAATTAAGAAATCATTTTTAAATTGAAAGATAGTTCTAATGAGTTATCACATTGTTTTCATATAGTTTAAAGATCCATTTATTTCAAAGTTTTAAATACTGAAACCAGGATTAATTAGTGGTGTCAGAAGTAGAAAGCTACATTTACTGCATTTGCCAGAGTATTCCATTGAGGCAGCTCCTGTGGCTGAACTATCCCAAGAGAACTCCATGGATGAAGGCTGACATGAGGATATAAGAACCATGCCAACCCTGCCTTTGGTGGAACCCACCAGTTGCCAGGAGGCCCCTCTAAGACCC
Organism: Homo sapiens; assembly: GCF_000001405.40. Classification (NCBI taxonomy): domain Eukaryota; kingdom Metazoa; phylum Chordata; class Mammalia; order Primates; family Hominidae; genus Homo; species Homo sapiens. The sequence continues at coordinate 80,473,921 of NC_000012.12, read as the reverse complement.
ACCAGGGTGTGATCTATAGGAGGAGTGACTCAGGAAGATAACAGAATGAAACACAGGACAAATTGCTTTTTATAGAGGGCAAATGGAGTCATCTACTTAAAATGATTTGGTGTGAAAAATAGGCCTTGTGAAATATACTGAACTATGACCTGAAGATTCTACTTCTTTTGTGGATAAAAAATGTAGAAATTAAGGCAAGTAAATTTTAAAATAATCCAAGACAAATAACATGACATTGTACACAGCATATGCATTATCTATTTCCCTATTTTTGTCACATGCTGTAGTCCAAGAATGATGACAATAAAAATATGTTTATTGAGTTGTGGATTCTATTTGGAAGCACCAAAATCAGCTGGTCTTGAAAGAAGACAATAGTTCAGGATGTATTTAATTGTATAACAAGAATAGAAATCAATAGGTACATTGAGTTGGTTGAGAAAACTCTATTAAGACCAAAATCAAGGGCTCTGCTTTATTTGATAGTGTCCATAAATCTGTCTAGTTTCCTAGGACATGCTTAAGAGCAGTTTTTAGGTGGAGATGGAGGAAAACTTAAGATTTAAGGAAGAAGCTACACAATGCTAGGATTCTTCTGATAGAAACACAAAGGTAAAATTTTAATACAAAAAAAGAACATTTTCCTTATGAGTATGTACAACTTTCTTATATGTATTCTAAAACTATATATATGTCAGGATTTTCATCTGAAATAGATAAAACGTAACTTTTATGTTCTTTCAAAAAAATATCAATGGTTGTTTCTTTAAAGGGGAGAAGTACAAAATTTCCTAATAGTTACTGCCCTCTAATGGTCAAACGCTTGAACGATGAATGTATGACCTGTGTGTGTGTGTGTGTGTGTGTGTGTGTGCGTGTGTGTGAGTGTGTGTGTGTGTATACATGTCTACATTTCATTTATAAGTTACTGTATGTTAGCTTCCACACAAACAAAGTCTGGAAACTTTTCCAAGTGTTAATGTGTTATAAGAATTTACTGTTATTTTTGTCCATAATTACAATCCCTAAATAGAAATTAAGACATTTAGCAAGTTCAGTGTGGGCCTGAAAGATATGTTGTGAAATAGTATGGAAACATTCTTTTTAAAGTATAGTTCACCTAAAACAATGATGTTTAATGAATACTTATAAGGAAGTTTCTTGAGGAAAAATAATGTTTTCATAATTTCAGTAAATGCTGGTAAATCTATATCATACATCCACTCAGAATCTTCACTTGCTTAGAATCCCGTTTTGATTATAAACATATTTTGTTGAAAGAATTGGGAGTATAGGAATTCTTCTAAATACTAGTTCTGTGAGAAAAAATAGATTCCACATTTAAAAATGTAGTTAAACCATACTAAATGTGTTTGTTTACCTTATGACTTCTTGAGGTTTTGCTAAATTTTATTGTGAATCTCTAACAGGCCAATACTACATATGATATTTCCTAACCTTACCTGATCTTGGGTCCCTTTTATTATGAAGCATGCTATGAGTTTAACATTCTGGAGAACACATGTTCAGAATGAATTAGGTAGTAATTTAATAAGGAAATAACATGATTTAAGTAAATGTAAAACAAATTGCTTCTAATATCATGTTTTACCAATTCATGAAGTTCATAAGCATACCAAAAATATCTCACTCATTCCCTATGTTCTTACCATCTGGTGGAGTGAATACTGAAATATTTGACTTGGGCCCAGTCCCTGCACTGGTTTCAGCCGCAATATAGACATCATACATTGTAAATGGTGTTAGGTTAGTGAATGCAAACTTGAGGTCTTTTGTGCTGTTATCCAAAATGCGACCTGCAAAAAGTGGAAGATAGCTATGGATTATTTTTTATCAAGCGTGCAATCATGTTCACATTTAAGTACAGAGCCAAAGACAACAATTCAAGTGTTAACCTATGCACTAAAATTTGTTATTATAATATCAAAACTGCATATATTTTAAACATGTGGCTTAGTAGTGCACTGATATCAATTTAATGAAAATAAATGAAAGAACATGAAAATGTTCCAGTGCTTAAAATGACTTTTATTAAATCATAAAGCCTTTTTGAATTACCAGGTTATTTTTGACATATTGAAAAGGGAAGCATCAAATTTTATCAGTTCAAAAAGTGACCAGATTTTATACTCAAATTTATTCAATTAAAATGCTAAATAACTTTGGGAGGCCGAGGCGGGCGGATCACGAGGTCAGGAGATCGAGACCATCCCGGCTAAAACGGTGAAACCCCGTCTCTACTAAAAATACAAAAAATTAGCCGGGCGTAGTGGCGCGCGCCTGTAGTCCCAGCTACTTGGGAGGCTGAGGCAGGAGAATGGCGTGAACCCGGGAGGCGGAGCTTGCAGTGAGCCGAGATCCCGCCACTGCACTCCAGCCTGGGCGACAGAGCGAGACTCTGTCTCAAATAAAAAAAAAAAAAAAAATGCTAAATAATTTCATTATCTTCTATAAGAGGATATATTTAGAAAATATTTCTAGTTTAGCTTCTGAACAAAATTCCTTAGTCTGTCAGCACAATACTTTAAATCTTCGACTTTGCTTTAAATGTTTCCTTTACCTTCTTGCTCTAACTACAAACTGGCTCTTTCCTGAGAACACTGTTTTTGTTCCCCTGCAGCCACCCCAAATGGTGGCAGTCTGTTTTTGCCCCACAGCTCTCAAGTAACCAGGCCTTTAGGTGTGGTAGGTGTTGTCCTTGCTCCTCATTGCTCCACTTTATTTACTATTCTCTCTCCCTCCTTATAAAAGCCCACAGCTTTAAATACTGTATCACCAGTGAAATCCACTAGCCCTCACAGTTGTCGTAATCTACTAACCTGAGGGTCATTTACTCTCATTTACTTTCATGGTCTAGCTTTGGTTCAAGGCTACCATCTTAATTTGTGCTGATTTTAATATCCTGAGACTTAATCCTTAAATTACTTAGATATTTCCTTAAATAATCTAGTTTTTCAGAATTTCAGCCACTCCCTCAAGATCATAACTTGGACATTACTATCACCAATTACTCCGTATCATTAAGAATCTCAATTTCATGCAACTTTTTTCTAACCACTTTTGCTTACTTCCTTTACATTTCCTCTATAATTCTGAACTGATAATTCTTTAAATCCACTGAAATCAACAATCCATTGATTTAATCACCTATTTTATTTTTGTTTTATTTTATTTGGCCCCTCACCACTTGATTTCCACTCTACCCATCTTCAGTGTCAGTTTCAATTATAATCACTGCCTTACACAGGCCTCCAATTCCCTCGCCCTTCTGTTGTTGAAGGCAGCTCATTTACAGCACAAAGCCATTAATTGATGTCACTTTATTCATAGCCAAACCTTGAATGAGCCCTACATGGTGCCTGGAATCTTACTCAACTTACATAGTCAATGGTCCAATCACTCTACTCTTCTAGAAGATTATTTTACACTTACTCTTCTCTGCTCAGACCTCTAATACCTTCTGCCCTATCTTCACTCCCAACTAATAGTCTTGCTTCCCACTACACTGAAAAAGGTAAACCAGTTAGAAAATATTTGCCACAGGCTCCCACCAACACAACTATATATTTACCAGCATCTACACCCATATACTCTGCCTTACAACCTATAAGAACAACTTATGGACAAATTATCTGTTAGTATGGACAAATTATCTGTATTCTTATCTCAAACCAATGGCTACATTTGAGCAAAAGATCTCACCTTCTGCCCACACAGACACCTTTCCAGTAATTCTCGTTTTTCTTATATCATTAACATTTTCCTTATTTTCCTCATTTCCATCAGCAAACAAACATGCTTTATATGTTCTTACTGAAGAGACCTGTTGACTTCACTTATCCCTACCCTTACTCTCTATTCACTGCTTTGCTTTGCAGCTAAACTCAAAAGAATTTCTACACCCATTGTTCCAATGATCTTCTCCCATTCACTCTTAAACTAATTCAATCATGTATTTACCCCACATGTTCCACCATACTGAAAGCATGTGATCACTCCCATGTTGCTAAATGCAATTATTGCTACATGCCTCTCACTTGATTTATCAGCCAGCCTTACAAATGAAAGAGTACTTCAGCCAAGTATTGAACAATAATGTCAGACAGAAAAGATGTAGCTGTGTATCCATGTCTGTTTCTGTGTATCGGATGGGTGAGTGGAGGGAATTATCTTTTTTTAGGAAGTAAAAGTATTTCAGAATTTTAGGAGCATAAGTTACTTAGGGATGAAAGATAAAGGTTACTCATGATGGTGATGAGTGATTCATACCACAGAAATTGCAAAATAAAATGAGTTGGAACTCTGTATCTTTTTTGATGCCCCCAAATAAATGATAATATGTGGCTTTATTATTTATCTCATCATTGTTAGAATTAAACTTCTTTCATAGAATCAGAGGCTCTCAATCAGGAGAGAATTTTAGACTTTACATAATTCACTTCTAATGATATAATACTTGATCCTAATGATATAATACTTGATCCTCTCAAAGTATCTCTGGCAAGTGGATGCCCAGGTCCTGCTTGCTTACAAAGTTGGAGAACTTGCCACTTTATAAAGCTGCCCAAAAATTTTAATAGGTTTTCTTTTTTAAAGCAGTTTTAGGTCCACAGCAAAATAGAGCAGAAGATACAGAGATTTTCCATGTTATTTTTAGAGAGCTCTTTCTAATGATTAAAAACTAGGCTCCTAGCAGTGAATAGAAATCTAATTTAATATAGTCAAAGTCCATTGTTCTTCATGAATGTAAGCCAAGGACTTCTTGTTCAAATATTTGAAGATGTATATCTCCACTAACACTTTTTTCTTGAGGAGTTATCTCTAGTTTTTCACATGCATCACATGAAATGTGGAACATGAATAGTTTTGTCATTCTTATACTCATTTATGGTTTTGAATTAAAAAATCAAAGGACCTCCCCTTCCTTATGACTTTCCTATTGTTTGCTTCAATCTTAGAGTCTTTTAAAAAGAGTCTGATACTTTTAAACAGAGTTTGATATTGGTAACATATTTTATTATTCTCACTCCAAAAGGCAAACACAAAACCAATTAAGGCTTACCTGATGGTCCATATAATTCAACTCTATAACTAAATTTCCCTGTTACTATAGTTGGTGGGTCCCATAAAATTGAAAAGGACTTTCCTGTGATGTTGCCTGTTACGCAGTTTTGTGGTGGTCCTTCAGGCACTAAAATAATTATAGAAAATAAATACATAACATATATTTAAAATGAAAGCGCACCCTATTAAATACACATAATAAAACACAAAGGCAAAGAAGGAAAATAAAATATCGCGCTTAAAAGCAGAGTTTTTTTATCTTAAAAAAGAATAAATGGAATATAATTGAAAATTGTGAATAACACATGCTGGATCATCAGATAAACTTATTTTTAACAATTACTGATTTTATTTAATACTGTTTACTATTGCACTGCGCAAGTTTCATTCTAATATTCATTGTAATACATTTATTGCCAATGTTACATTGTCTTGAAACATTTATACCTGCATATATATACTGCATTCAACAAAGTCTGGATGAACAAAGTCTGGATATCTGGCTTGATAAACATTTTCTCTCTTATTAACACAGGTAGAAGTTTCAAGAAAATGACCCTCAAAATTATGAGCAAATAATTTTTACTTTTTGTATCAATATTTGTATTTATTCTAAGAACAAATTTATAATCTACATTTGGAGGATTCAAATGTAATATTGATAACATGAAAATAATAATGACATTTTAAATTACTCTATTTTTCTTAGATGTTTATTCTTTTAATTGAAATAAAACAATTCCAAATATTTTTCAAAACAAAATTATTGTCTAGCAAATTTCACCTTGTATGACCCTTATGAAATCATTGTTTTAAAAATTTTATTATTATTACACTTTAAGTTTTAGGGTACATGTGCACAACGTGCAGGTTAGTTACATATGTATACATGTGCCATGTTGGTTTGCTGCACCCATTAACTCGTCATTTAGCATTAGGTATAACTCCTAAAGCTATACCTCCCCCCTGCCCCCACCCCACAACAGTCCCCAGAGTGTGATGTTCCCCTTCCTGTGTCCATGTGTTCTCATTGTTCAATTCCCACCTATGAGTGAGAATATGCGGTGTTTGGTTTTTTGTTCTTGTGATAGTTTACTGAGAATGATGATTTCCAATTTCATCCATGTCCCTACAAAGGACATGAACTCATCATTTTTTATGGCTGCATAGTATTCCATGGTGTATATGTGCCACATTTTCTTAATCCAGTCTATCATTGTTGGACATTTGGGTTGGTTGCAAGTCTTTGCTATTGTGAATAATGCCGCAATAAACATATGTGTGCATGTGTCTTTATAGCAGCATGTTTTATAGTCCTTTGGGTATATACCCAGTAATGGGATGGCTGGGTCAAATGGTATTTCTAGTTCTAGATCCCTGAGGAATCGCCACACTGACTTCCACAATGGTTGAACTAGTTTACAGTCCCACCAACAGTGTAAAAATGTTCCTATTTCTCCACATCTTCTCCAGCACCTGTTGTTTCCTGACTTTTTAATGATTGCCATTCTAACTGGTGTGAGATGGTATCTCATTGTGGTTTTGATTTGCATTTATCTGATGGCCAGTGATGGTGAGCATCTTTTCATGTGTTTTTTGGCTGCATAAATGTCTTCTTTTGAGAAGTGTCTGTTCATGTCCTTCGCCCACTTTTTGATGGGGTTCTTTGCTTTTTCTTGTAAATTTGTTTGAGTTCATTGTAGATTCTGGATATTAGCCCTTTGTCAGATGAGTAGGTTGTGAAAATTTTCTCCCATTCTGAAGGTTGCCTGTTCACTCTGATGGTAGTTTCTTTTGCTATGCAGACGCTCTTTAGTTTAATTAGATCCCATTTGTCAATTTTGGCTTTTGTTGCCACTGCTTTTGGTGTTTTAGACATGAAGTCCTTGCCCATGCCTATGTCCTGAATGGTAATGCCTAGGTTTACTTCTAGGGTTTTTATGGTTTTAGGTCTAACATTTAAGTCTTTAATCTATCTTGAATTGATTTTTGTATAAGGTATAAGGAAGGGATCCAGTTTCAGCTTTCTACATATGGCTAGCCAGTTTTCCCAGCACCATTTATTAAATAGGGAATCCTTTCCACATTGCTTGTTTTTCTCAGGTTTGTCAAAGATCAGATAGTTGTAGATATGCAGCGTTATTTCAGAGGGCTCTGTTCTGTTCCACTGATCTATATCTCTGTTTTGGTACCAGTACCATTCTGTTTTGGTTACTGTAGCCTTGTAGTATAGTTTAAAGTCAGGTAGTGTGATGCCTCCAGCTTTGTTCTTTTGGCTTAGGATTGACTTGGCAATGCGGGCTCCTTTTTGGTTCCATATGAACTTTAAAGTAGTTTTTTCCAATTCTGTGAAGAAAGTCATTGGTAGCTTGATGGGGATGGCATAGAATCTATAAATTACCTTGGGCAGTGTGGCCATTTTCATGATATTGATTCTTCCTACCCATGAGCATGGAATGTTCTTTCATTTGTTTGTATCCTCTTTTATTTCATTGAGCACTGGTTTGTACTTCTCCTTGAAGAGGTCCTTCACATCCCTTGTAAGTTGGATTCCTAGGTATTTTATTCTCTTTGAAGCAACTGTGAATGGGAGTTCACTCATGATTTGGCTCTCTGTTTGTCTGTTGTTGGTGTATAAGAATGCCTATGATTTTTGTACATTGATTTTGTATCCTGAGACTTTGCTGAAATTGCTTATCAGCTTAAGGAGATTTTGGGCTGAGACGATGGGGTTTTCTAGATACACAATCATGTCGTCTGCAAACAGGGACATTTTGACTTCCTCTTTTCCTAATTGAATACCGTTTACTTCCTTCTCCTGCCTAATTGCCCTGGCCAGAACTTCCAACACTATGTTGAATAGGAGTGGTGAGAGGGGGCATCCCTGTCTTGTGCCAGTTTTCAAAGGGAATGCTTCCAGTTTTTGCCCATTCAGTATGATATTGGCTGTGGGTTTGTCATAGATAGCTCTTATTATTTTGAGATACGTCCCACCAATTCCTAATTTATTGAGGGTTTTTAGCATGGAGGGTTGTTGAATTTTGTCAAAGGCCTTTTCTGCATCTATTGAGATAATCATGTGGTTTTTGTCTTTGGTTCTGTTTATATGCTGGATTACATTTATTGATTTGTGTATATTGAACCAGCCTTGCATCCCAGGGATGAAGCCCACTTGATCATGGTGGATAAGCTTTTTGGTGTGCTGCTGGATTCCATTTGCCAGTATTTTACTGAGGATTTTTGCATCGATGTTCATCAAGGATATTGGTCTAAAATTCTCTTTTTTGGTTGTGTCTCTACCCGGCTTTGGTATCAGGATGATGCTGGCCTCATAAAATGAGTTAGGGAGGATTCCCTCTTTTTCTATTGATTGGAATAGTTTCAGAAGGAATGGTACCAGTTCCTCCTTGTACCTCTGGTAGAATTCGGCTGTGAATCCATCTGGTCCTGGACTCTTTTTGGTTGGTAAGCTATTGCTTATTGCCACAATTTCAGAGCCTGTTAGTGGTCTATTCAGAGAGTCAACTTCTTCCTGGTTTAGTCTTGGGAGGGTGTATGTGTCGAAAAATTTATCCATTTCTTCTAGATTTTCTAGTTTATTTGCATAGAGGTGTTTGTAGTATTCTCTGATGGTAGTTTGTATTTCTGTGGGATCAGTGGTAATATCCCCTTTATCATTTTTTATTGCATCTATTTGATTCTTCTCTCTTTTCTTCTTTATTAGTCTTGCTAGCGGTCTGTCAATTTTGTTGATCCTTTCAAAAAACCAGCTCCTGGATTCATTAATTTTTTGAAGGGTTTTTTGTGTCTCTATGTCCTTCAGTTCTGCTCTGATTTTAGTTATTTCTTGCCTTCTGCTAGCTTATGAATGTGTTTGCTCTTGCTTTTCTAGTTCTTTTAATTGTGATGTTAGGGTGTCAGTTTTGGATCTTTCCTGCTTTCTCTTGTGGGCATTTAGTGCTATAAATTGCCCTCTACACACTGCTTTGAATGCGTCCCAGTGATACTGGTATGTTGTGTCTTTGTTCTCGTTGGTTTCAAAGAACATCTTTATTTCTGCCTTCATTTTGTTAGGTACCCAGTAGTCATTCGGGAGCCGTTGTTCAGTTTCCATGTAGTTGAGCGGTTTTCAGTGAGTTTCTTAATCCTGAGTTCTAGTTTGATTGCACTGTGGTCTCAGAGACAGTTTGTTATAATTTCTGTTCTTTTACATTTGCTGAGGAGAGCTTTACTTCCAACTATGTGGTCAATTTTGGAATAGGTGTGGTGTGGTGCTGAAAAAATGTATATTCTGTTGATTTGGGGTGGAGAATTCCGTAGATGTCTATTAGGTCCGCTTGGTGCAAAGCTGAGTTCAATTCCTGGGTATCCTTGTTAACTTTCTGTCTAATGTTGACAGTGGGGTGTTAAAGTCTCCCATTATTATTGTATGGGAGTCTAAGTCTCTTTGTAGGTCACTCAGGACTTGCTTTATGAATCTGGGTGCTCCTGTATTGGGTGCATATATATTTAGGATAGTTAGCTCTTCTTGTTGAATTGATCCCTTTACCATTATGTAATGGCCTTCTTTGTCTCTTTTGATCTTTGTTGGTTTAAAGTCTGTTTTATCAGAGACTAGGATTGCAACCCCTGCCTTTGTTTGTTTTCCATTTGCTTGGTAGATCTTCCTCCATCCTTTTATTTTGAGCCTATGTGTGTCTCTGCATGTGAGATGGGTTTCCTGAATACAACACACTGATGGGTCTTGACTCTTTATCTAATTTGCCAGTCTGTGTCTTTTAATTGGAGCATTTAGTCCATTTACATTTAAAGTTAATATTGTTATGTGTGAATTTGAACCTGTCAGTATGATGTTAGCTGGTTTATTTTGCTCGTTAGTTGATGCAGTTTCTTCTTAGTCTCGATGGTCTTTACATTTTGGCATGATTTTGCAGCGGCTGGTACCAGTTGTTCCTTTCCATGTTTAGTGCTTCCTTCAGGAGCTCTTTTAGGGCAGGCCTGGTGGTGACAAAATCTCTCAGCATTTGCTTGTCTGTAAAGTATTTTATTTCTCCTTCACTTATGAAGCTTAGTTTGGCTGGATATGAAATTCTGGATTGAAAATTCTTTTCTTTAAGAATGTTGAATATTGGCCCCCACTCTCTTCTGGCTTCTAGGGTTTCTGCCGAGAGATCCACTGTTAGTCTGATGGGCTTCCCTTTGTGGGTAACCCGACCTTTCTCTCTGGCTGCCCTTAACATTTTTTCCTTCATTTCAACTTTGGTGAATCTGACAATTATGTGTCTTAGAGTTGCTCTTCTCAAGGAGTATCTTTGTGGCATTCTCTGTATTTCCTGAATCTGAATGTTGGCCTGCCTTGCTAGATTGGGGAAGTTCTCCTGGATAACATCCTGCAGAGTGTTTTCCAACTTGATTCCATTCTCGCCATCACTTTCAGGTATACCAATCATACGTAGATTTGGTCTTTTCACATAGTCCCGTATTTCTTGGAGGGTTTGTTCATTTCTTTTTATTCTTTTTTCTCTAAACTTCCCTTCTTGCTTCATTTCATTCATTTCATCTTCCATCGCTGATACCCTTTCTCCCAGTTGATTGCATTGGCTCCTGATGCTTCTGCATTCTTCACGTAGTTCTCGTGCCTTGGCTTTCAGCTCCATCAGCTCCTTTAAGCACTTCTCTGTATTGGTTATTCTAGTTATACATTCATCTACATTTTTTTCAAAGTTTTCAACTTCTTTGCCTTTGGTTTGAATTTCCTCCTGTAGCTCGGAGTAGTTTGATCGTCCGAAGCCTTCTTCTCTCAACTCGTGAAAGTCATTCTCTGTCCAGCTTTGTTCTGTTGCTGGTGAGGAACTGCCATCCTTTGGAGGAGGAGAGGTGCTCTGCTTTTTAGAGTTTCCAGTTTTTCTGCTCTGTTTTTTCCCCATCTTTGTGGTTTTATCTACTTTTGGTCTTTGATGATGGTGATGTACAGATGGGTTTTTGGTGTGGATGTCCTTTCTGTTTGTTAGTTTTCCTCCTAACAGACAGGACCCTCCGCTGCAGGTCTGTTGGAGTTTGCTAGAGGTCTACTCCAGACCCTGTTAGCCTGGGTACCAGCAGCGGTGGCTGCAGAACAGTGGATTTTCGTGAACCGCAAATGCTGCTGTCTGATCATTCCTCTGGAAGTTTTGTCTCAGAGGAGTACCCGGCCTTGTGAGGTGTCAGTCTGCCTCTACTGGGGGGTGCCTCCCAGTTAGGCTGCTCGGCGGTCAGGGGTCAGGGACCCACTTGAGGAGGCAGTCTGCCCGTTCTCAGATCTCCAGCTGTGTGCTGGGAGAACCACTGCTCTCTTCAAAGCTGTCAGACAGGGACATTTAAGTCTGCAGAGGTTACTGCTGTCTTTTTGTTTGTCTGTGCCCTGCCCCCAGAGGTGGAGCCTACAGAGGCAGGCAGGCCTCCTTGAGCTGTGGTGGGCTCCACCCAGTTGGAGCTTCCAGGCTGCTTTGTTTACCTAAGCAAGCCTGGGCAATGGCGGGTGCCCCTCACCCAGCCTCGCTGCCACCTTGCAGTTTGATCTCAGACTGCTGTGCTAGCAATCAGGCAGACTCCGTGGGGGTAGGACCCCCTGAGCCATGTGCAGGATATAATCTCCTGGTGTGCCGTTTTTTAAGCCTGTCGGAAAAGCGCAGTATTCGGGTGGGAGTGACTGGATTTTCCAGGTGCCATCTGTCACCCCTTTCTTTGACTAGGAAAGGGAACTCCCTGACCCCTTGTGCTCCCCAAGTGAGGCAATGCCTCGCCCTGCTTCGGCTCTCTCACGGCGCACTGCACGCACTGACCTGCATCCACTGTCTGGCACTCCCTAGTGAGACGAACGGGTACCTTAGATGAAAATGCGGAAATCACCCGTCTTCTGCATCGCTCATGCTGGGAGCTGTAGACCGGAGCTGTTCCTATTCGGCCATCTTGGCTCCCCCCGAAATCATTTTTTTATTGTATAAAAAGTAAGGAGTATGTAAGAAGAAAATGGTATAATTCAAAGATGGTTATTTAAATGAACAAAAAAACTTCAAACTTATATGAAATGAAAAATAATAGAAGCCAACAGCTATTTTATCAGAAAAAACATGCTTTAGTGAAATTACCCTACCAATAATTTTCAATACCTCAGAAATTAGCAATTACAACCTAATGCCTGATACTATATTATGATATATCTGTCAGCTATATATATTATATATATAATAAATACCTTATGTAATGTGGGACTATATCAATATCCCTTAAATTTTATAAATATATGAAATACATAAATACATGTATTTACATGAATACTGATATAGTACCATAATTAAATATATGAATACCTTACCAAAAATATGTTCTCATAAAATTCAGTAGTAATGATAATATCTAATTATTCTCATTTAATTTTAACACTGGCACCCTAAGGAAGGTACTATTACTGTCTCTATTTTTCAGATGAGGAAACTGCAGTGCAAATGGGATATAAGTAGGTATATATTTTAGCTACTGCTTGTATCTGATAACTAAATGTTGATCACATGCTCGTTCTGCTAGTGCAGGTATTTCTGCTTTTGATGATGGCAATAACAGTGAGAGAAGGGTGTAAATGATTATAAATCATTTAGAACGGCAAAGATGATTACTAAAAATTGCTGACATTATAAAATGATAAAAGCTATATGAGGATCACGGTCAGTGGCTCAAGAATTGTTTTTTGCAAATCTTTCTCCTTTCAAATACTTATTTTGTGCTATAATATAAAAGAGTATAGAAATTCGAAGAAACCCTTGATGGGATGCCTATGGTATATTATTAGGGGAAAAAAGTTACTGAAAGGTAAAGAAGATTAAAATTAAATATCTACATAAATTAAACATTATTCTCTAATCATTTAAATCTTTTTATCTACAAAAAGTGAACCATACCTGATTCTGGTGTTCTGACAATCGTACTATCAATATAACCTGCTTCAGTTGTAGCAGCTGAAACTTCAAAAAGATATGTTGTATAAGGTCTCAAGTGTGTCACTACAAAACTGATAGGCTCTTTCCACACAGAGCTGATCTCATTCTGTGTCAACGTGCTTGATGAATGTGTGGTACGCGATGGAGGTGTAACTCTACCAAGGGTTGGAGAAGGGCTGGCTGTACTCCATAAAAAAGATTCACTATTCTCCTAGTAAATAAAATAAGATCAATAGAGAAATAATGTTGTATCTCTTGGTGAACATAAGAATAAGAACATGTAATTCATTTCTTTTTCTTTTATGCTATACATACACACATAACATGCAAAAGTTATAGACAAATTTGCTAGATTTTAATTGTACCCATTTATGTCTGCAGTTTTAGAAGAGGACATATTTATTGTATTCCTTATACCTTAACCTTTACGAATAGAATTTCAAGTGGCTTAAAATAAAGGTAAAACTACAGCACAATCATCTGTAAGAATTTTTAAGCTTCATGTTAACAGTGCAAGAGCCAAAGAGCTGAAATAATTTTACTCTTGTGTATGTTCAAATGCTGCTTTCTTACTGTTAATGAACTTTTTTTTCTCATAAGTACTAAAAAGTAGTAGTATGCCACTAGCTCACACGTTAGGTGTGTGCGTGTATTAGAACTATATCATAAGTTGAAAAAGAAGATTTTTAGACTTTTATAAAGTATTTACAGCAAAAATAACTGTTTGACTGTGTTTGCATTAATAGTAACACAGAGATTACCAAAATGATTTTAGGAAAAGCATTATTATGCTTATCATATAATTAAAATGACGATGCTTATTCTATAATAAAGCATTACTATTATGAGGTTTATCATCAATGACCAGAGTAACGACAAATTCTTTACCAAAGATATGCACAACAATGACAGTCTACCTCTGCAAATTTAACCTCAACTATTACCCTACATGTACTCTTCCCTCCTGTCATATGGAAGTAAAATATTTTCTCCAATTATATCTTACACTTTTCCACCTCAGGGCTTTATAAAGTATCCTCCACCGGGAATGCCACCATCACAAAATCTCTATCTGTCCTTGCTCCATGGTGTATCACAAATGCTACTCCTTTGATGAAGTCTTTTCAGAATTCCCTAAATGATTTTAATCCCTCACTCTTGAATTCTCAAACCATTCCTGTATTCTACCTGAATGAGGCCAATTGTGTTACATGATACCCTAAGTAATCAAATAATAAAACGTTGTGTATAACATGATACCATAAGTAATCAAATAACTAATAAAACTTTGGTAAAAATATAGTATCTAGATGCTAGAAATATGAAAATTAAATTTATCTAAGATTTTTCAAGACATAGAAAGTGTTCTGTGATACTTACATTGCATTCTGGCAATTTCCCAGTCAAAATGTCCTCTACTCTGATTGAGACATCTTTCACTACTATCCCACTTCTGGCATGCTTGACACTAATCTTGAAGCTGGTAATTTTGCCATTTGGTTGCCGAGGTAAATACCAAATCAGCTTAACTGCTGAAGCGTTGTAGGCCTCAACTGTGAGATTCACCACTTTTCCTGGAGCTGGGGAAGAGAAAGATTGGGAAGGAAAAAACTTTGTTATAAAACTTAGAATTGCATTTATATAATTTCATGGTACATGAAATTAAATATATAATACACTGCATAAAATCTATTTGTGTAAGATTTTTATAAATGTATTTAACTGAACTTTGCCTAAAATAAAAAACTGGAGTTGGGGCAAGTCAACTTTACTTTAGGATAACTGGGCTAATACATGCATTGATGAAACGTTTCAAATAAGTATGAAAAAAATTCAATCAATAGTTGTGAATATACAAACAAGTTGGGATAAATTTCTTATTTCCTTAACTATTTTGGAATATGTAGTTTCATTAGATATGAAAAACATAGCAAACTGAATCAATTATACAACCATTTTCACCAAAAAGCAGATTTCTGGAATGTTTATAAATGTCTAGTGCCTAATATCAAGTGGATACCCTGCAATTGGTTGTAATTATTGTATTTTACATTTTCAAAATCAACTTACTTCAGAATTTCATTATGCTTTTCTATCAATTATTAATTATATAGAGTAATAATAATAATAATCTGAGTTCTATTTGAGTTGGCTTGAAACCAATATGAAGCTAGAATTAGGGGAAATTATTCCCATTAACCTCATGGTAAAGTGTGTAAAACTGATAGAGTAAAACACCAAGATCCTTCAGAATATAAAACAAACATGACAAGTCATTTTTGAAAGAAATCAAAATGAAACAAAACGTCTGAGATAAAAAAAAAATAAGTGATAGTAAAGATGCCTAGTATTAAGATGCCAAATAACTAGAGTTTAGGTTTACATTGTACAAAAGGATGCTAAAATATAATTTATAAGTAATAGCCACATAAATTACATAAGAAAGTTAGATCTTTGGAAGGAGGTCTATATGAATGATATAAGGTAGGAATTAAGGGACTTCAGGACAGCTGCATTCTAATAAAAATAAAATATAATGCAACAATTCTTGGGAATAATGTTGGACAGGATGTCAGCAATGAGTGTGAGATTCAGAATACACTTTGATGATTGTGCTGGTAAGATTTACTGATAGATTAGATGTGTACTGTGAGAGAAAAGAGCCACAGGTGACATCAAGATTTTTCCTCTATGCCCCTGGAAGAATGGAGGTATCTTAAATTGGTTTGGTAATGACTGCATGTTACCCAATAATATAATAACCATTAAAATCCGTGTTTCCAAAAGTCTTATGTTATAACAAGCTTATGACTTCATGTTAAAAAGAAAAGGCAGGATATAAACTTGCATATGTAGCACAAGCTTATTTTCATTAATGTATAGTCATATAGATACATATTAATGGGGGAAATAGACAAGCCAGAAATGCACCAAAATGATAAAAGCATTTTTTATATGATAAGTCTATGGATAATTTTCATTTTTTATTCTTGTTTTTTCAAAGTTTTGTAAGATAACATTTACTGTTCTTATAATCAGAAAGAATAATATATATTTTAAGGAATAAATTAGCTATCCGAAAGAACTCTAAAACTAATTAAGTGGCCATGCTACTGAGAATTATATGTATTTTAGTGTCAGTTTTTATTTATGTTCTTTATTATTTTAAACGACAAACTCATGACTAAGTCAATTTAAAATAAATGACAGGAAAATTACCACTTTCTGCAGTTTGGAAGAGAAATGGATCACTAAACACTCCAATGCCAGCACTGTTTTCAGCAGCAACCTAGAACAGACCAAAAGGATTGTGTTCAAACATTTTACTCCCTGAAAAAAGAGAATCTAAAATTTAAAACAAAACTTTGACTTATCCATAAGATAAATGCCAAAGATACTTTTTTAATACTCTCAAGGAAGAAGGCAAATATGAAGATATCTATACAATCAACAAATAAAGTATTATTGTCAAAATTGTATAGATGAGAAAACTGGCTGAGAGAGGTCAAATACCTTTGCCCAAGGTCACACAGGAATAAATGGTAGAGCAAGAATCCAGTTGCAGTTGGGTTTATTTTGAAAGCTCAGTCTTTCTCTGATATATCCACTACATAAAAGACATTACAATTATTTCTGTAACAAATGCAAGAGACCATGTATATGGTACCTTAATTTAGAGTTCACAATCTAATCAGGCAAACAAATACTCAAAAAACTGTTTTAAAAAAATAAATTAGATAAGTACATTTAATTAATAATTTAAACTAAGAATTCCAGAATTTTAAAGATAAAAAAATTTGATTTGAATAATATCTTCCAATAGACTAGAATAGAAAAAGAAAATGTCATTAATGAGAATAAGACTCAAGCTTTTGCAAATGCCATGACTGGAATCATAACCTTGGCTTAACTGTAGTTCTACCAATTCCCAGATAGTAGCTTTGAGCAATTTACTTAACTGTTGTAAGTAACATTTATCTTGTCTTTAAAATGGGAATAATAATGTATCTATGTTATAGGATTGTGCTGAGGACTAAATGAAATAGCACATGTAAAATACTTAACAGGATTTTTCCTATAACATTACTTACACTGAAGACATCAAATGTATCATGCCAAATACCCTTTGGAATTCTGCAATGGCTAACATTTATTTGAACAGAGTAAAGGTCACAAGAATGATTTATAAAGTGTGAGATGAAACGGAGAGTAAGGGCTTCCCAATAGACCTTAAATAAGAGAATTCACAGGAATAAAAATTCAAGCTCCATAAAAATAGATCTAAGCAGAACTAGGTTGACTAAATCACCTTCCTATCAGCAATAGTTTCTTACAGCACATTAAAAATTTTTAATTATCCCCAATAGCATATATTGACATGTTAATTAATCTGAATGTGTACATATTGACAGAAAATACCTATATTATATAATACTCAGATGTCAGTTAGAAAAAGGTTGCCTATTCTTTAAGCTATGTTTTCTTCATGAAATAGTCATCACAAATCTTTTATTTTGACTTCTACATAGGTAAGAATTTTTTTTCTTTTCTCATTGTAAGACTCACACTATTAGTATTTGCTTTCCAGTTCTGATCGTGTTCTTTAATTCTGCAAATAGGCACACTTCCAGTAAGAAAAAACTTCCTGGCAAAAATCTCTTCCAATATTTCTTATCCTCTAGGAAGAACATCTCATTTATATAAAATCACATATTTACACAGGTTTTATATATTTTCTTCTCTCTATTTAATTATTTTCAAGGTTCAAAGAAGATATTGATGTTATATTGAGGGAGGATCCAGAAGATATCTTTACCCTTTATTATCCCTTGGAAATGTCATACTTATCCCTTAACTGGAAGCATTTTCCTGTGGCCTAATTTAGCACTGCTTTTTATAAGCTCATCTTTCTGTAGTATTCAAATGAGATGATGTTAAATTTTACATATTAACTATGTAAAGGACGGCTGGGCGCGGTGGCTCACACCTGTAATCCCAGCACTTTGGAAGGCAGAAGTGGGCGAATCACGAGGTCAGGAGTTCGAGACCAGTCTGACCAACATAGTGAAACCCGTCTCTGCTAAAAAAAAATAAAATACGAAAAAATTAGCCGGGCATGGTGGCGGGCGCCTCTAGTCCCAGCTATTTGGGAGGCTGAGGCAGGAGAATGGCGTGAACCTGGGAGGCGGAGCTTGCAGTGAGCCGAGATCGGGCCACTGCACTCCAGCCTGGGCGACAGAGCGAGAGTCCATCTCAAAAAAAAAAAAAACAACTATGTAAAGGACGAGACTTTTTTATAAATGCAAAAGAAATAGTAAATGTTCAAGAAATATTTGTTGAAAGTAATTACATTGAGTTCACGATTCTTAGCAAAAGTGGCACTTTAGAAATGTTCAAACCAATATCCAAAATGTCAACAGACATGTAAAAACAAGAAGATTTGGAAGAAAAATGAAAAGCTAACTATAAGTTTTATTTTAAAATGAAATATTTTCAGTTATAAGGGCTAAATTATTTAATTTAAACTTGATTTATTTTTGAAAACGTCACTAAGCTAAAGTTTTTTTAAATAATTAACCAAAGTTATCAATTTCATAAAGTATAAACGATACTCTATAAAGACACTTTATAAAGTACAATGTGCAAAGAGCAAAAGCTATCTGTTTTTTTGTTTGTTTGTTTTGTTTTGTTTGGCGGCGTTTTGTTCTTGTTGTCCAGGCTGGAGTGCAATGGCATGATCTCAGCTCACTGCAACCTCTGCCTCCCGGGTTCAAGTGACTCTCCTGCCTCAACCCCCAGAGTAGCTGGGATTACAGGCACTCGCCACCATGCCCAGCTAATTTCTTGTATTTTGAGTAGAGATGGGATTTCGCCATATTGGCCAGGCTGGTCTTGAACTCCTCAGGTGATCCGCCCGCCTCGGCCTCCCAAAGTGCTGGGATTACAGGCATGAGGCACTGCACCCAGCCGAAGCTATCTGTTTTTAAAAGCTTTAGCTTAGTGACTTTTTTGGAAAATAAATTAAGTTTGAATTAAATAATTTCGCCTTTATAAGTTTTTTAAGTAAAAATATTCTACTTTTTTATTAAACTTAAAGTTTTTTTTTCAATATTTTTCTCCCAGCCCTGTTAGCCATATGATCGTCTCAACAGATGCAGGAAAAGCATTTAATAAAATCCAATATCCCTTCATGATAAAAACCCTCAACAAAGTAGGCATCAAAGGAACATATGTCAAAATAATAAGAGCTATATATGACAAACCACAGCCAACATAATCCTAAACGGAGAAAAGTTTAAAGGATTATCCCTAAGAAATGCAACAAAAGTAGGATGTCTACTCTCACCAATCCTATTGAACACAGTACTGGAAGGCCTAGCCAGAGCGATCAAGCAAGAGAAAGAAATAAAAGGCATCCATTTCTGCATTTCCATCTGAGGTACCGGGTTCATCTCACTAGGGAGTGCCAGACAGTGGGTGCAGGACAGTGGGTGCAGCGCACCGTGCGTGAGCCGAAGCAGGGCGAGGCATTGCCTCACTCGGGAAGTGCAAGGGGTCAGGGAGTTCCCTTTCCTAGTCAAAGAAAGGGGTGACAGATGGCACCTGGAAAATCCAGTCACTCCCACCCGAATACTGCGCTTTTCCGACGGGCTTAAAAAACGGCACACCAGGAGATTATATCCTGCACATGGCTCAGGGGGTCTTACCCCCACGGAGTCTGCCTGATTGCTAGCACAGCAGTCTGAGATCAAACTGCAAGGTGGCAGCGAGGCTGGGTGAGGGGCACCCGCCATTGCCCAGGCTTGCTTAGGTAAACAAAGCAACCTGGAAGCTCCAACTGGGTGGAGCCCACCACAGCTCCAGGAGGCCTGCCTGCCTCTGTAGGCTCCACCTCTGGGGGCAGGGCACAGACAAACAAAAAGACAGCAGTAACCTCTGCAGACTTAAATGTCCCTGTCTGACAGCTTTGAAGAGAGCAGTGGTTCTCCCAGCACACAGCTGGAGATCTGAGAACGGGCAGACTGCCTCCTCAAGTGGGTCCCTGACCCCTGACCGCCGAGCAGCCTAACTGGGAGGCACCCCCCAGTAGAGGCAGACTGACACCTCACAAGGCCGGGTACTCCTCTGAGACAAAACTTCCAGAGGAATGATCAGACAGCAGCATTTGCGGTTCACGAAAATCCACTGTTCTGCAGCCACCGCTGCTGGTACCCAGGCTAACAGGGTCTGGAGTAGACCTCTAGCAAACTCCAACAGACCTGCAGCGGAGGGTCCTGTCTGTTAGGAGGAAAACTAACAAACAGAAAGGACATCCACACCAAAAACCCATCTGTACATCACCATCATCAAAGACCAAAAGTAGATAAAACCACAAAGATGGGGAAAAAACAGAGCAGAAAAACTGGAAACTCTAAAAAGCAGAGCAGCTCTCCTCCTCCAAAGGAACGCAGTTCCTCACCAGCAACAGAACAAAGCTGGACAGAGAATGACTTTCACGAGTTGAGAGAAGAAGGCTTCGGACGATCAAACTACTCCGAGCTACAGGAGGAAATTCAAACCAAAGGCAAAGAAGTTGAAAACTATGAAAAAAATGTAGACGAATGTATAACTAGAATAACGAATATAGAGAAGTGCTTAAAGGAGCTGATGGAGCTGAAAGCCAAGGCTCGAAAACTACGTGAAGAATGCAGAAGCCTCAGGAGCCGATGCGATCAACTGGAAGAAAGGGTATCAGTGATGGAAGATGAAATGAATGAAATGAAGTGAGAAGGGAAGTTTAGAGAAAAAAGAATAAAAAGAAATGAACAAAGCCTCCAAGAAATACGGGACTATGTGAAAAGACCAAATCTACGTATGATTGGTATACCTGAAAGTGATGGGGAGAATGAAACCAAGTTGGAAAACACTGTGCAGGATATTATCCAGGAGAACTTCCCCAATCCAGCAAGGCAGGTCAACATTCACATTCAGGAAATACAGAGAACGCTACAAAGATACTCCTCGAGAAGAGCGACTCCAAGACACATAATTGTCATATTCACCAAAGTTGAAATGAAGGAAAAAATGTTAAGGGCAGCCAGAGAGAAAGGTCGGGTTACCCACAAAGGGAAGCCTATTAGACTAACAGCGGATCTCTCAGTAGAAACTCTAGAAGCCAGAAGAGAGTGGGGGCCAATATTCAACATTCTTAAAGAAAAGAATTTGCAACCCAGAATTTCATATCCAGCCAAACTAAGCTTCATAAGTGAAGGAGAAATAAAAACCATTATAGACAAACAAATGCTGAGAGATTTTGTCACCACCAGGCCTGCCCTAAAAGAGCTCCTGAAGGAAGCACTAAACATGGAAAAGAACAACCGGTACCAGCCACTGAAAAATCATGCCAAATTGTAAAGACCATCAAGGCTAGGAAGAAACTGCATCAACTAACGAGCAAAATAAACCAGCTAACATCATAATGACAGGATCAAATTCACACATAACAATATTGACTTTAAATGTAAATGGACTAAATGCTCCAATTAAAAGACACAGACTGGCAAATTGGATAAAGAGTCAAGACCCATCAGTGTGCTGTATTCAGGAAACCCATCTCACATGCAGAGACACACATAGGCTCAAAATAAAAGGATGGAGGAAGATCTACCAAGCAAATGGAAAACAAACAAAGGCAGGGGTTGCAATCCTAGTCTCTGATAAAACAGACTTTAAACCAACAAAGATCAAAAGAGACAAAGAAGGCCATTACATAATGGTAAAGGGATCAATTCAACAAGAAGAGCTAACTATCCTAAATATATATGCACCCAATACAGGAGCACCCAGATTCATAAAGCAAGTCCTGAGTGACCTACAAAGAGACTTAGACTCCCATACAATAATAATGGGAGACTTTAACACCCCACTGTCAACATTAGACAGAAAGTTAACAAGGATACCCAGGAATTGAACTCAGCTTTGCACCAAGCGGACCTAATAGACATCTACGGAATTCTCCACCCCAAATCAACAGAATATACATTTTTTCAGCACCACACCACACCTATTCCAAAATTGACCACATAGTTGGAAGTAAAGCTCTCCTCAGCAAATGTAAAAGAACAGAAATTATAACAAACTGTCTCTGAGACCACAGTGCAATCAAACTAGAACTCAGGATTAAGAAACTCACTGAAAACCGCTCAACTACATGGAAACTGAACAACGGCTCCCGAATGACTACTGGGTACCTAACAAAATGAAGGCAGAAATAAAGATGTTCTTTGAAACCAACGAGAACAAAGACACAACATACCAGTATCACTGGGACGCATTCAAAGCAGTGTGTAGAGGGCAATTTATAGCACTAAATGCCCACAAGAGAAAGCAGGAAAGATCCAAAACTGACACCCTAACATCACAATTAAAAGAACTAGAAAAGCAAGAGCAAACACATTCATAAGCTAGCAGAAGGCAAGAAATAACTAAAATCAGAGCAGAACTGAAGGACATAGAGACACAAAAAACCCTTCAAAAAATTAATGAATCCAGGAGCTGGTTTTTTGAAAGGATCAACAAAATTGACAGACCGCTAGCAAGACTAATAAAGAAGAAAAGAGAGAAGAATCAAATAGATGCAATAAAAAATGATAAAGGGGATATTACCACTGATCCCACAGAAATACAAACTACCATCAGAGAATACTACAAACACCTCTATGCAAATAAACTAGAAAATCTAGAAGGAATGGATAAATTCCTCGACACATACACCCTCCCAAGACTAAACCAGGAAGAAGTTGACTCTCTGAATAGACCACTAACAGGCTCTGAAATTGTGGCAATAAGCGATAGCTTGCCAACGAAAAAGAGTCCAGGACCAGACGGATTCACAGCCGAATTCTACCAGAGGTACAAGGAGGAACTGGTACTATTCCTTCTGAAACTATTCCAATCAATAGAAAAAGAGGGAATCCTCCCTAACTCATTTTATGAGGCCAGCATCATCCTGATACCAAAGCCAGGCAGAGACACAACCAAAAAAGAGAATTTTAGACCAATATCCTTGATGAACATCGATGCAAAAATCCTCAGTAAAATACTGGCAAATGGAATCCAGCAGCACACCAAAAAGCTTATCCACAATGATCAAGTGGGCTTCATCCCTGGGATGCAAGGCTGGTTCAATATACACAAATCAATAAATGTAATCTAGCACATAAACAAAATCAAAGACAAAAACCGCATGATTATCTCAATAGATGCAGAAAAGGCCTTTGACAAAATTCAACAATGCTTCATGCTAAAAACTCTCAATAAATTAGGTATTGATGGGACGTATCTCAAAATAATAAGAGCTATCTATGACAAACCCACAGCCAATATCATACTGAATGGGCAAAAACCAGAAGCATTCCCTTTGAAAACTGGCACAAGACAGGGATGCCCTCTCTCACCACTCCTATTCAACATAGTGTTGGAAGTTCTGCCCAGGGCAATTAGCCAGGAGAAGGAAATAAAGGGTATTCAATTAGGAAAAGAGGAAGTCAAATTGTCCCTGTTTGAAGATGACATGATTGTATATCTAGAAAACCCCATCGTCTCAGCCCAAAATCTCCTTAAGCTGATAGGCAACTTCAGCAAAGTCTCAGGATACAAAATCAATGTACAAAAATCACAGGCATTCTTATACACCAATAACAGACAAACAGAGAGCCAAATCATGAGTGAACTCCCATTCACAATTGATTCAAAGAGAATAAAATACCTAGGAATCCACCTTACAAGGGACGTGAAGGACCTCTTCAAGGAGAACTACAAACCACTGCTCAATGAAATATAAAAGAGGATACAAACAAAAGAAGAACATTCCATGCTCATGGGTAGGAAGAATGAATATCGTGAAAATGACCATACTGCCCAAGGTAATTTATAGATTCTATGCCATCCCCATCAAGCTACCAATGACTTTCTTCACAGAATTGGAAAAAACTACTTTAAAGTTCATATGGAACCAAAAAAGAGCCCACATCGCCAAGTCAATCCTAAGCCAAAAGAACGAAGCTGGAGGCATCACACTACCTGACTTTAAACTATACTATAAGGCTACAGTAACCAAAACAGCATGGTACTGGTACCAAAACAGAGATATAGATCAATGGAACAGAACAGAGCCCTCCGAAATCATGCCGCATATCTACAACTATCTGATCTTTGACAAACCTGAGAAAAACAAGCAATGGGGAAGGGATTCCCTATTTAATAAATGGTGCTGGGAAAACTGGCTAGCCATATGTAGAAAGCTGAAACTGGATCCCTTCCTTACACCTTATACAAAAATCAATTCAAGATGGATTAAAGACTTAAATGTTAGACCTAAAACCATAAAAACCCTAGAAGTAAACCTAGGCATTACCATTCAGGACATAGGCATGGGCAAGGACTTCACATCTAAAACACCAAAAGCAATGGCAACAAAAGACAAAATTGACAAATGGGATCTCATTAAACTAAAGAGCTTCTGCACAGCAAAAGAAACTACCATCAGAGTGAACAGGCAACCCAAAAAATGGGGGAAAATTTTCACAACCTACTCATCTGACAAAGGGCTAATATCCAGAACCTACAATGAACTCAAACAAATTTACAAGAAAAAAACAAACAACCCCATCAAAAAGTGGGTGAAGGACATGAACAGACACTTCTCAAAAGAAGACATTTATGCAGCCAAAAAACACATGAAAAAATGCTCAGTATCACTGGCCATCAGAGAAATGCAAATCAAAACCACAATGAGATACCATCTCACACCAGTTAGAATGGCAATCATTAAAAAGTCAGGAAAGAACAAGTGCTGGAGAGGATATGGAGAAATAGGAACACTTTTACACTGTTGGTGGGACTGTAAACTAGTTCAACCATTGTGGAAGTCAGTGTGGCGATTCCTCAGGGATCTAGAACTAGAAATACCATTTGACCCAGCCATCCCATTACTGGGTATATACCCAAAGGACTATAAATCATGCTGCTATAAAGACACATGCACACGTATGTTTATTGCGGCACTATTCACAATAGCAAAGACTTGGAACCAACCCAAATGTCCAACAATGATAGACTGGATTAAGAAAAAGTGGCACATATACACCATGGAATACTATGCAGCCATAAAAAATGATGAGTTCATGCCCTTTGTAGGGACATAGATGAAATTGGAAATCATCATTCTCAGTAAACTATCGCAAGAACGAAAAACCAAGTACCGCATATTCTCACTCATAGGTGGGAATTGAACAATGAGAACACATGGACACAGGAAGGGGAACATCACACTCTGGGGACTGTTGTGGGGTGGGGGGAGTGGGGAGGGATAGCATTGGGAGATATACCTAATTCTAGATGACGAGTTAGTGGGTGCAGCACACCAGCATGTCCCATGTATACATATGTAACTAACCTGCACATTGTGCACATGTACCCTAAAACTTAAAGTACAATAATTTTAAAAAGGCATCCAAATTGGAAAACAGGAAGCATACTATCTTTGTTCACTGATGACACAATTGTATATCTAGAAAACTCTAACGACAACTCAAAAATAATAATCCTAGACTTGATAAACAATTTCAATAAAGTTTTGGGATACAAATTCAGTGTACAAAAATAAGTGGAATTTCTATACACCAATAACATTCAGGCTGAGAATGAAATCAAGAATTCAATCCCATTTACGATAGCCACAAAAAAAATAAAATATCTAGGAATACATTTTACAAAGGAGGTGAAAATCTTTACAAGGAGAACTACAAGACACTCATGAAATAAATTAGAGATGACACAAACAAATGGAAAAACATTCCATGCTCTTGGATTGGAAGAATCAACATACCATACCACCCAAAGAAATCTACAGATTCAACACAATTCTTATGAAATTAGCAATGTAATTTTTCACAGAATTAGAACAGCAATCCTAAAGTTCATATGAAACCAAAAAAGAGCCCAAATAATGAAAGCAATCCTAAGCAAAAAGAACAAATCTGGAGGCATCACATTACCTGACTTCGAATTATACTACAAAGCTATAGTAACTAAAATAGCACAGTACTGATAGAAAAATACAGATATACTTTAATGGAAGAGAATAGAAAACCCAGAAATAAAGTCACATACCTACAACCAACTGATTTTTGACAAAGTTGACAAAAATAAACAATGGGGAAAGGATATTCTGTTCAATAAATGGTGCTGGGGAAACTGGCTGGCCATATCCAAGAGAATGAAACTGGATCCTTAGCTCTCAGCATATACAAAAATTAGCACATTCTGGATTAAGGACTTAAATATAAAACCTGAAACTATAAAAATACTAGTAAGAAAAACTAGGTAAAACTCTTCTGGATATTGGACTAGGCAAATAATTTATGACTGAGACATCAAAAGCAAATGCAACAAAAACTAAAATAGACTTAAATGGGACTTAGTTAAACTAAAAAGCTTCTGCACAGCAAAGGAAATAATTAACAGAGTAAACAGAAAACCTACAGAGCTGGAGAAAATATTTGCAAATTATGCTTCCAACAAGGGATGGATATCCAGAATCTACAAGGAATGAAAACAATACAAGGAGAAAAACCCCATTAAAAAGTGGACAAAAAACATAAACAGACATTTCTCAAAAGAAGACACACAAGTGGCCAGTAAGTATATAAAAAATGCTCAACATTAGGAATTATCAAAGAAATGTAAATTAAAACCACAATGAGACATCATCTTATACCAATCAGAATGGCTACTATTAAAAAGTCAAAAAAACAGATGGCAGTGTGGATGCAGAGAAAAGGGAACACTAATACACTGTTGCTAGAAATGTAACCTCTATGAGAAACAGTACGGAGATTTCTCAAAGACCTGAAAATAGATCTACCGTATTCAACCCAGCAATCTCACTGCTATGTATCTATCCAGGAAAAGAAATCATTGTATCACAAAGACACCATCACTCATGTTTATTACAGCATTATTCACAATAGCAAGGTCATGGAATCAACCTAAGTATCTATCATATGGGTAAAGAAAATGTGGTATATATACACCATGGAATACTATGCAGGCATAAAAAATAAAATCATGTTCTTTGCAGCAACATGGATGGAGCTGGAGAACATATCCTAAGTGAAATAATTCAAAAATAGAAAATCAAATACCACACATTCTCACTTACAAGTGGGAGCTATGAGTACACATGGGCATAACAATGGAAATAATAAACACGGGATTTCAAAAATGGGGAGGGTAGGAGAGGGTGAGGATTGAAAAATTACCTATTGGGTACAATGTTTACTATTTGGGTGATGGGTATACTAGAAGCCCAAACCCCACCATTACACAATATACCCACGTAACAAACCTGCACACATGTCCCCTGAATCAAAAATAATTTAAAAAAAAGACATTTCATTGGAGTCTAAATTTTATATACAGAACAAGGCCATGTTCTTAGACCACAATATCTCAAAACCTGGCAAAATTATTTTTACTAAGTATACTTTTATTATTTTACTGTTATGGAAAGAAGTTTACAAAATCCAGTCCTGCAGCTATTAATCCTTCAACGAAGACTTTCTTTCCAGTCTAAAGCACCAAAAAAAAAAAAAACTTGAGCTCCCATATGCAATTATTATACAATTTTCATACGTAAATTGTATAACAGATTTATTGCCCTTTTTACTGTGGTTTCTAGGAATTTGGAGAATAAAGTTTGCAAGTCAATTTTTAATAACTGTGTAACATCCTGTGGTTTACATACCTGCATTCAAACTACCCTGGCCTCTTGTTTGCATTTAAGTTTTCCTTCTTTAACTTTACATAATTTTTATTTCCTAGAGTATTGTATTATATTCATACATGTATATAAATATATGCAAAAATATTCATAGAAAAAATGAAATAGGTAATATATAAATATGCATAAAATTGAAATGAAAAGACACAATAACATTTTACCAAGTTTTAAAATCTCAGGTGGGTGTGAGGCCATGACTGTGAACGTTGTCAGTCACTGACTGTATTCAGCTGTAAAGGCTTGACAAGGTGAGAAAAACCTCCCACACTTTTAAAATGAATGAAATGTTTGAACACTAAGTAGTCATACACAAAATAATTACCTTAATTTCATATGTTGTTCCAGGATTAAGATTAGTAAGAAGAACTTCCAGACTGTCTGGCTTTGATCTGACTTGTGTATATACTGTTTGCATCCACGGACAAACTTCCTTATATTTGACAATGTAAGATATAATCCTTCCATTTGGATTAGGTGGTGTATTCCAAGACAGAAGAATCCCAGCAGATCCGACTCTTTCCCCGGCTAGGAAGACTGGAGGCCCTGGTTCTATTTTTAAAAAATCCATTTTGTTAAAAGGTCAAATAATTATTGCATTTTCACAAAAATACATAATAACAGTATTTATAAATGTAAAATTTGAAATTTCCAAAGAGCAATATGAGTTCACACTCCCTACAGCTCTGTTACTATTAAAAAAATACTATGTGGAATACCAAAAGCATTCCTTTATAAGAATGTGAAAAATGGAATGCTACTAAATAAATACTACATGCCGAATATACTTTTGTTGCCAAATCATTTTTAAAAGAAATTCACTTACGCAAGGCTTACACAGAAAAACTAAGAAAACAAGAAATAATCTTACAAATGGAATAATCCTTCCTGAGCAAATGTAGCCAGTTCATTTTCATGGTTCTGTATTATTTAAATGTTAGCATTAACAGTCTCTCTGATCTATTTCACAAACAAGTATAGAGTAATTATCTTTGCACTTTGAAAGTAAAGGAAGCTGAAGAAACAGCAGAATGCAGGTTCTAAGCAGATCACTTTCTTGTTTCCATTTTGCCTTATTCTACACTGTTTTCATGAATTTAATGTACATGTTGCCAGTATAAGTATTTCCATCCAGTAGAATTATACTGACTCCAAATACTTTACTTACAAAGTAATTTAAAACATATACTCACTTGTTACATTTGTTGTCACTATTCTAGTAACAGGTGAGGTGTATGTTGTAGAAATTGAAGAGATGGTTATATCGTACCTAGTACCAGGAACGACATTGGAAACATCAACCTAGAACACCACAAACAAATAGTTGCATTAAAATTCTTTCTGGAAAGCAAGCAAGCTAAAATAAATCTATCACTATAACAAAAATTAACTCTTCACTATATAACTCTGCACTGTTTATAACATCACAATAAGTTCCATATTATTGTAAGATACAAATATGTTATATAACTTTTTACCAAATGACTTTAAAATAAAAACTTACAAAACGTACTGCGTTATCACAGCCTAAGTCAGCATTTCTATCTATCCTAGTTCACTGTCACAAGGAACAACTATTCAAGTCTTGAGAAATCTACAGCCCATGACTTAGCCCTTGTTTTTAAAGAGTGTATACGAAATACCTGTGTCTCTGAAGTCCCAATAAAAAGTAAAAGAAAAATGATAAGAAAATCCATCTTTATTACATTTTTCAGCCAGTAGAATCACATTGATGGCTCTAGAGAGAAATGTTGCCTGCATTAATGATTTAAAGACAGATCCTTCTGGCAAGTACACAATTAATGAGCCCATATTACTCAATAGCTCTGCCTTTTCTTTGTTAAACTATTCATGAACCCTTGGATGACTGGCTGTAGGTTCAGGGTGAACTTAAAAAAAAAAAAAAAAAAAAAAAGCAGCATAGATGTTGCTAAGGTAACAGTCCACCAATGCTGAAACTTAACACTCATCAGTTTGACATCAACGTTTTTGTCTTCAACTTATGCTTTCAAAAACCCAACAAGGAGTAAGTTTTTGTGGTAGATGGGTTTCATAAAATAAAGAACTTTCCTATTAGGAGCAAAATATAAATACAAGTAGGCTCGGCAAGTACAATAATGAAAACTATACCTGATATTCTCCACCTCCAAGATCTCTGATAGTAACAAAGCCACTGTCAGGAACAAGATCCACTTGATACCTTTCCACATGACCAGAGGGTAGGCTCCAGTGCAGAGAAAAGGAATGTGTGGAAATATTGAAGGCTCTAAGTTTCTCAGGTTGTTCTGGTTCTGATATTGAAAAATAGAGGTTTAAAATAAAGTTATTCTCCTAAAGTTTCAAAAAAATGAAAACAAATAGTATAGGTTCAAGTTCCAAAATAATCATGTTGTTAGAAATCACTGAGTACAATAAATGATCTCTAAGTATACTTGGGTGTTAAACATGTAAATATTTAACAACACCTAGGTTTTAGGTATAACTATCATAAATAATATAACAATTAATTTTCTGTTTCTGAAATATGTCTTATTTGCTAAAAGTCTGCTAGTTGACCAGATTGTTTTTGAAAGCTTATGCTCTAATTGAAAATTTGAGTCATTTTAAAACAAAGTAAATATAAACTATTTATCCAATTACTTGGAAATTTACCAAACAGAAGATAATTGGAAAAATATATAATCAAAATCTTCCAGATTTTTTGAAGGGTGAGCATTTCTGATAAATATTTGTTATTTTATCTTTTTTAATTTTTAATGTCTTTTTCCCTTTACTGTGGTGCTGATCTGATAAATATTTTGTTAGGTGTTTCTTTAAAAGAAAAGATAAGGTTTCATATCAGAAATGAAATATAGTTTTAAAACAAGTACCAATTGTTTTAGCCATTTCAACCATATTTTTCTACCTTTGCTTCCACTTTTTCAAAAATTTTGTTCATGCTGCCTGTACCTCCTCGAAGGGAGTTTTCCACATAAAGTTCTTCTGATTGGTTGCCAATGAGTCAGGTTTGCACTCTGCCTTATCTTTAGTGCAGATTCCAGGCAAACAATATAGGGGGAGGAAGAGAGATTATGAAGCCAAGCATGTGAAAACACGCCTGATGCAGATTCAATCTAACACTGTTTCTAAAAGAAAGGAGGCTGGAATTAATTTTGAACCTCATTTATCATTTTAAAACCCCACTACCAGAAACGATTTGAAAATGGATATAATAAAATGTACATTTTCTAACAAAACTAACAGGGCACATTGCATATAACAAAAATATTAACATAATAGGTCACTTTCTTGGTGTTTCAGGGAAGAGCGTTTCTGAAATAGTTTTTCTTTATCGCCTTTGAAATTTCTTCTAATGATTATAACATAACGTTGTCCTCCATACCCAAAGCTTATATCAATTGATTAATGTCCACCCCAACATTCTCAAAGTTCCAAGCATTCTCTTGGCATCCACCGCTAATTGTCCACTATAGTTTTCTGGTAACTCTAGGAATACTGTAAACCCAAGGCAAAAAATCAGAGAAATACCCAGCCTGTGTTGGGTAGAATTTCATTGTTAGCTGCTGGCATTTTTTACAAGGTAAGCCAGACCTATGCCCTCTGTATTCTCAAGCTTGAGAGAAAAAAAGCTTGAATCTCCTATCTGCTACATTAAAATACACAAAAATCTACCATGACTGATCCGTCTAACCAACTACTACTCACATTTACTGATTTGTGTGAGGGTTAATACTATTGCTTCAGGGACCCCAGAGAGTAACTAGTATCTATGAAGTCTTAGACAAGAAACTAATGAAGATATGGAATAAGACTTTGGAAGAAAAAGGAAGATGTGAGAAGTGAAGCACTAGTTACTGGGATGGCAGTGAAATGGGATGTGGTTTCCTGGACTGAAGAACCCTTGCTTAGGAATGAACTATGTCTCACCAAGACAAAGAAAAATATATTGGTCTGGACAATTGCCAATCTGATCAAGAGGGAAGGCCTGGAATCTTCACAAGAGTTTGGTAAAGGCCTTTCCAAATAGCAAAGTGTATGGAAGTCCTGGAAATGAAAAAGGATTGGAGTAACTGAGGAAAGCCAGACTGAGATTCTGGGATCAAAAAAGAAAGGGGAACAGACTGATGATCATGTAGGTCATACTAGAGATTTTAGGGTTTTTTACCTAAATTCAATGGGAAGCCACTGAAGAATTTTAAGCAGGAAAGCAACAGGGCTTGTTTTTTGTTTAAAAATATAATTTTGAAATATGGGATATAAATTAGAGCAAGGCAAAAATGGCAGCAGGAAGCTAATTAGTAGGAAATCATGGTAGTCTAGGCCGAGAGGAGGAAAGCTTGCACTCAGAAAAAGGTAGAGGATCTACAGCAATGCTTAAATCATTATGAAAGAGTGCAGCTTTCTGGTTAAGAGCTAGAAGGTTCAACTAACTGAAAATAGACTCCATAATAAATATATAATTTATTCTCCATGGAATTTAATCTCTCAAAAAATAGGAAACCAAAAAACAAAAATACTATTCTCAACCTAATTCTTACTAACCAATAAAAATAACATTGGGAAGTTGAAATGTTTGGAGTTTTAAGAGGAAAAAAAACATTTCATATTCAACTTAATTAGGGCAAGCAAAAGGAATTCTAGGTTTATTTACGTGTTTCTTCCAGACTTTAATTTCCTAAAAATTAATCCTCAGAACCTTATATCATTAGAGCTTAATAGATGTTCTGTAATCAAACCACTTTGTCAAATAAGTTCTTTTTAAGTTAAGCAGCTTTCTTTATTGCAGTGTATTTTAAAGCCTCAGATATCCTAATATATCTTGTGATTCTCTAAACCATCAATGTCCAATAAAACTATAACGTGAGCCACACATGCAGTTTTGAATTTTCTAGTAGCCACATTTAAAAAGTAAACAGAAACATGTAAGATAATTTTAATAATGTATTTTATTTAACCCAATATATCAAAAGCATTATTTCACATATAATTACTATAAAATTATTGAAGTGGTTACATTAATTTTTTTCATACTAACTCTTTGAAATTTCACATACATTTTAAATTTACAGTACCTCTGAATTTGGACTGGCCATATTCCAAGATTAAATAGCCACATGCTGCCAAACACTACATATTGGACAGTACAGCTTTAACTACTACAGCATCTCTTAAGTTTTTCCTTGGCATTTCAGTGAATTTACCTAAATTTTATTTTGAGAAGCTGAGAAATAAGATCCCATGGTCTTTGTCTATAAAGGAAACAGCTCAACAGAGTTGGGAAGACATCCAATATATACAAAATCTTACATATCTCAGAACATTAAAAAAGAGTCAGACCTATCAAAATGGTATCAAGAAAGCAAAAGACTACAATGGGCAGATATTTTAAAATAAAATGCTAAGACTTTAAAAGTTTCATCATCATTGTTAACTTTATATTTTCTCTGCACTAACACTGTATCTGATAAGTTTTAAATCTCACATTTTAATTTTTCTGTGATTAAATTATAGATCGGACATAATGTATTCTATGACAGATAATGAGATGTACAAGCAGCAGACTTACAAAATAAAAAGAACTAACTCCTACTAAGTTTATGACACACTATGCACTGTGCTAAGCACTTTCATATATTGTTTTATGTAACACTTGCAACAACACCAGGAATACTATTATTGACATTTAAAAGTGAGGAACAAAGAATTTAAGTAATTCCAACAGGTCCCATAGCTAATGGGTAAATGGTAGAGCCAGGATTTAGACCCAGAGGCAAAGTCTTCAAGTTTTCAATCACTATGATAACTGTGTGCTCCTCTAACTTTCACAAAGTGGCTTACAAATAACAGCTGGTTTAAAAATCCTAAATGAATTAATTAATACTTTAAAATAGATTCAACCACAAAATTAGATGATCTATAATTTTTCTTTCAAGCCTATGATTATTATTTGAAGTGACCTCTAATTTTGGCTTAAGGGATTCAGTCTAAATATGTCCCATACCAGGGCAATGTATACTTATCAAGTGCCTGTAGCTTCCTCATATTTTAGAAATAGGCTATGAATAAATTATAAATAAAATAAACATCCTCTAAAAAGTCAGCATTATATCGGATGTCACCAGGGTGTAAAAATCAATTTTTAATACAGACACTGGGCACAGGCCCTAGAGTTGGATTGCTGGGTTCAAATCCTGACTCTGCCATATAAACAAGACTTTAAGCAAAATACTTAATATCTCCATACCTCACCAGCCTCATCTCTATGGGTATAATAACACCTCACACATTGTTGTGAAAATAAAATAAGTTAATACATGTGAAGTGCTTAGAAGACTGCCTTGAACATAGTAAGAACTAAGTACTAAATGTAAGCTATGATTAATAGTCTCTTGCTATTTCTACTATTTTTCTCTAAAAGCCCTGGTCATCTCTTAGTCAAACCATCATGTTACCTGTTCTTCATTTCTCAGCTTAGCCCCCTCCTCATATCCACTCAATGCTTTGCTCAAAATGGATCCCCAAGCACTGCTCCATCATCACTGCTCTTCTGTTTATAAAAACTAGGACAGCAAGATGTCTTCCTGCTCTGGAGACCTCCACCAGGGAACCCAGATTACCATCTTTTCCCATTTCCTCTTCTTATACTCATCTCTTAAGTCACTGTGCTGTTTTAACAGGGACTTCAATTACTTACCTGCAATCTCTCAAAACCATCACCTAAACCACACTAGGCGACCAGAACATCAAGTTCCTACTATTTTATAAAGCTCTCTTTTCTTTAAGTAAAATGAAAACAAACATTCTGTATCTTTTATGAAACTTTCCTGATATTGATACCACCTTGGTCACTTTTTCCTCTGACAAAATTTTCTCTAAGGGAGCAAATCCTGCCACTCACACTAACTGCACTCTTTCCTTTACCTATGTATAAACAAAATAATTTTTCATATTTTTTCTTCAGTCTTTGCTCAATGATCTATTTGATCTTTGTATCTAACTAAATATATCTGCATTTACCACTAGTTGTGATTTGCCACATAGGGGACTTGCAGCAATTTTCTAACAAAAATTTTGATTGGCTCAATTGGAAAGATCCTACTAGCATCTGGTGAGTAGAGGCCAGGGATGCTGCTAAACATCCTGCAATTAACAAGACACATCCTCACAAAGGAGAATCTCTCAGCCCAAAATATCAATAGTGGTGAGGCTGAGAAACGCTGCCACAGACTAAAACCTCTAGAATGGGTCCCATTTTAGTGTGTTCGATTGTATACATTACCTATCATAATACTCTGTAGTAAAAGACATTTGACACATGATTTAACACATTTGCTTTTTAGAAGTAGATAAGGTATATAGTATCTATTAATATACACAGATACTCCTCAACTTACAATGGGGTTATATCCTGATAACCCATCATAATTGATGTGACATTTTCCACCTATGCTGGGTTTATCAGATGTAACCCCAATGTAAGTTGAGGAGTGTACCGAATGCATATTGCTTCTGCATCATTGTAAAGTAGAAAAATTGTGGCATTGTAAGTCATAGATTATCTGTAGAAATAGAACAAAAATGTGCAAAGTGTTAGGAGAATGTGTATGAGTCAAAAGGAATCTCAGAGGTCATCTAATTTAAATTTCTCAGAAACTTGATACCCAAAGACATCAGGTAACTTGCCCAGTAGTACTCAGCTAACCAGTGTCAAATCCTGGAGTAAAGCTGGTATATGAATTCTAAATTTATTCCTTGTTTTGCATTATCACATATATATCACATTTAGGAGAATAATAGTGTATGTGTTAAGCAGTATAAGTAAGGCCCACCCCCACAAAAGATGCCCAAATGCTAAACCCTGGAACGGTGAATATGTTGTGTTACATGGCAAAAGGCACTTTGCAGATGGAATTAAGATTATAAACTATAAACAGAGATCAAAACTGGATTATCCTGGTAGTCCCGATCTAATCATAACAGCCCATAAAAGTAAAAGAGGAAGTCAGAAGAGTCATATATGATGGGGGGAAAGGGGAGCTTTGAAGCCCGAGTGGCACTCAACCCTCCTTTATTGGGTGTAGGAAGAGGATCACAAGTCGAGGAATGAGCCATCCTCTAAAATCTGGAAACAACTGTCAGCTGACAGCCACCATGGAAATAATGACCTCAGTTCTGCAACCACAAGGAACTGAATTCTGCAAACTACTTGAATGAGCAAGGAACTTATTCTCTCCTAGAATCTCCAAAAAGGAACACAGCCCTACGAGAACCTTGATTCAACCAGAGAGAAGTATGTTGGACTTATGACCTACAGAACTATGAGATAACACATTTGAGTTATTTTAAGCCACTATCTTGTGATAATTTGCTACAGTAAAAATAAGAAACTAAGAAAGTGTTGACAGCCAAATAATAATTACCCATACCCTGAATTACCACCATATGTCTGGGACCTTCGGGTCGGTTGTCCAATCCATAGCTTTCAAGATCACTTAAGAGTAATTCTCATGTGTTACTCTTGCAATCTTGTTCTTTTTTGAAAAATTTAAAATATTCATAGGCTTCACAGCTTCCTTTGGATTTAAAAATTACTCTCTAAATTACTCAGGATAGGATTTTATTCTCTTTATATATTAAAAAACAACAAAATATTTCAATATTGAATTGCTTATAGTTCCACAAATACAGCATATTCATTTACACCTCCATAGTTTTGCATGGGCTGTTCCCTACCTCTGGGAGTCCTCCTTTTCACACACTCCATATGCTCTCTAGTCTGATTAGCAAATTCCTAATCCTTTTACAGACATTACCAGCCCCAAAGAGCTTTCTCTATTGCGTTTGTAGGGCTAATCTTTCCCTCTTCTGTGCAACTACAATAAGTTTGGACATACTTCCATTGCTTCGCCTGTTGCACTGACTTATACTACATGTGTTTCCATACTTGTATTCTTTACTATGCTGTGGATATCATAAGACTATGCTTTTTCATGTGTATAACACATATTAGGATGTCAAAGACAAAGAACACATTTTTAGGAGAATAGATGATCCCAAATATACCACATAATTCCACTGGCTAGATCTCTAATTCGGTGTGAAACTGAATATAATATTAACCTCATTTATTGATCACTGTGTGTCAAATAATGTTTTATTCAATTTATATTTCACATGTTATGTCGAAAATCTGCAGAACAGGCCACGCGCAGTGGTTCATGCCTGTAATCCCAGCACTTTGGGAGGCCAAGGTGGGTGGATCACCTGAGGTCAGGAGTTTGAGACCAGCCTGACCAACATGGTGAAACCCCGTCTCTCCTAAAAATACAAAAATTAGCCAGGTGTGGTAGTGTGTGCCTGTAATCTAGCTACTCAGGAGCCTGAGGCAGGAGAATTGCTTGAATCCGGGAGGCAGAAGTTGCAGTGAGCCGAGATCGCGTCATTGCACTCCAGCCTGGGCAACAAGAGCAAAACTCTGTCTTATTAAAAAAAAAAAAAAATCTGCAGAACAGCCCACTAAAATGAGCATTTTCATCCTCTCAAATAGTCTATAGACTGTAAGTTTTCAAATTTCAAAAAATTCTATTGAAATTTTATCTTGAACAATACAATATATAACAGAAATGTGAATTTCTTAAATATCAAAGAGAATTTGCACACCTGCAACAACCCTGGTAAACATGCCACATCCTCCAAGGTTGCCTCTTATTCTGTGTACCATGATGTTATATATTACACCAGGAGTCACATCTGTAACTGTGTGCTCAGTCACCACTTCCCAAATAAGACAGTCTTTTGCAAATGTTCTATTTGATATATAAATCTTATAATGGGTGAAATTGATCTCTGTTGTATTCCACATTAAATTT
This sequence comes from Homo sapiens, assembly GCF_000001405.40. NCBI lineage: Eukaryota > Metazoa > Chordata > Mammalia > Primates > Hominidae > Homo > Homo sapiens. The sequence continues at coordinate 80,436,173 of NC_000012.12, read as the reverse complement.
GAAGAAATATTCACAGCTTTCAAAATTAAGCCACAAATCCTAGATGGTTCTAATGAAAAGGTAAATTATATATAAATAGAAATTACACATATATTAGTAAAAATAAAGCAATTATGAATATTATAATTTAAATATCTATGTAACAGTCCTTTAATTTACTCATGTATAATGTTCTATATGTTTATCTCTGCAAATAGAAAAATAAGACATTACATATGGGTTTTAATTTAAGTGACACAACAATATTCTCTCTAGTTCCCAAATATCTTTCCTTCATCAGTCATAAATCATTCGTGATAAAGGCATTCCTTTAGCTTTGTGCCTCTTGAGTGCTTGTAGCCATACATATCCTTATATGACATAATCAGAATTTTGTTAGCTACCACCAAGCACATAGCTAGATGCCGAATGAAGATGAAAGAGAATAAGTTAGAGAGGGAGCGAGGGCTAGGAGTAAGGGCATTTCCAAATGTCTTCTTGTTACATCAAAGCTTTTAGCATTCCTATATTGCTGCATTTTTAATCTGTTCATCGATACAACTAATGTTGCTACTTGCATTATCATTTAGTCTCCACTGAGAGGCAACCTCACAAATTTTCATGAGAACTGTTGATAACTAATACTATTATTCCACCTCACCCAAAAACATTACAAACCAATTTATAATAAATTTACAAACTTCAGGAAAGAGAAACAGAATTACTCTGTTTATCAACCCTCAGGTCAGTAGAAAATGAATTGTGCTTATATTATTATGGCATAATATATATACATGTGTATACATATGTATTCCATGTATCTAACATATATAACAATATATACATACACACATATATGCATACTTTTGGCTTCAGATTATTTTTAAAAACTCTGTGTGTAGCTCTCAATATATCTAGACATACAAATAATTTTTTAAATTCACATGTTTTTTGAGTTCTCTTAATCATATTCTTAAGATCATCATTACTTATCAGCTTTTATGTCTTAAAACAACCATAATCATGCTTAGCCAAAATATTTTCAAGTGTTACAGAACTATAAAACTAAATACTACCTATGATCTTTCCTTACTTATAGGCACTTTTTTCATTACAGATACACTGTAACCTTTGCCTTTAACTTTCTTCACTTGAAACATGTAGTCCATGCCCAGAGTCAATTTTTTTACTTTGGCTTTGTTGCCATAAACAATCACTTTAATCAGCTTTTCCTGTCTGGATGGCATGCAGTATGATATCTAGAGAAAGAGAAAAGTAAATTTATATTTTCCAAAGTTTAAAAAGCACTAATTCCGTAATAATCATATTTATAGTAATTACTACTACAAGGTAGAGGTTGTGATCCTTCCTATGTTCACTAAGGAATAATTTTAGGCTAGTAGAGGCAGAATAACTCAGTGAAGTTCACAGAGTGATAAGCATAGTGGATTGTCTTAGAAGTTTATGTAATAAAAGACCAATAGACTCCATGTGTTTTTAAATTTCACATGTATATATACGCATACAAACACAAATACTGATTTTTAAGTGTATATGCATATAATAGATACATTACATAAAGAGTAGGCCTTACTCTTCTGCACACCTGAAACAAAAAAATGTAAAAATGTATTTTAGAGATAGCTAATCATTATGGATAGTACCTACGACCTACTCTCTCAACTCCATGTAAACAGAAGACTATAGGAAGGGAAAGAAGAAAATCAATGGGGTCCCAAGTTTCTGGCCTAGCAGAGAATATCATGGCTTTTCCTTGGCTGCCCACAGAATGGGAAATAAGGTGCTTCTGCACACATTCTGACTCCAGCTAAATGAGGAGGGGCCCATGTGTATCACTACCATACATCTAGAGTGCCTGCTAGAAGGATTGACATCTCTCAATTGGACAGGTACTTAGGCAGCAGACTTCCTGCTCTGCCCCTATTCCTTACTGAGCAGAGCAAAGGGAAACTAGAAACAGAAAGCAGAACAAATAAAGTGTTGCTGTGGAGCAATTTGTACACCCACCTTTGCCTGAACAAAAATGCCAGAGTCTCCCATGGGTCAAGTATGACAACAGAGAGTGATCAGTCTTGGATCATCTTACCATTACCCAACCCAAGATCACTGTCACTGTGCAAGAAGACCTAGCAGCAAAAACCAGTGAGATATGATGCCAGATGAAGGAGCTAATAGGAGTTACAAATGTTGAACCAGAGCTGGGTCTGCCAAGTCAAGGAAATAGGCAATGGAAATAACCTCCAAGGTCCTCCAGAAAACTCACATATGTGCCTCAGGAGACAGCCAGTGTTTGAAGAACTGTTAATCAGATATCAGTGAAAGCCAGTCAGTATAGTCAGGGGAGTAGTAAAAAGCAACGAGAGAGAACTACAATAATAGACACCTGAAATAGAAAAGGCACTCCCAGTTCTTGTTGCATAAATTAGTGAATAAATGATAAATTCACATTTCATTCTGGTCCATCTTTCATCATAACCTAGGCCAAGTCTATGTATTATTCATTAAAGCTCTGAGAGTGAGCATTGCCTTTAGAAATTTTCAGTGGAGTAATCTGATATTTCCAATAACCTGGAGCTTTTTTTAATCCATTAAAAGCTACTTATAACAATCTTTATTCTTCTTCATTCCATACTTCATGTTTGTAGAATGGAAAGAAAGATACGTCAATTTTATAAGTTATTTAAACTTTGTTATGCTTTGAAAAACAGCTATTATATGGTAGAAGTCAAACAAATTTCCTAAGCAGACATAGTTATCACTGTCTTGTGGGAAAAGTGCTTCATTAATGAAGAAGATAATCCTGAGGTCTAGAAGCATACCATTGCTTATTGATTCATAAGGTGTCACTGATAATTACCTTACTTGTCTGACATATGGAGTGAGTAGAATGCTAAGAACTTCTGGTATGAAAAAGGATGGTAGGAGAAAATATCATGCAATTATAGTAGAATATAATCTTAATGAAGTGCTAAGTTCAGGCATAGTCACATTAAGACATTACCGAAGGGTAGAAGGAAAAGAAACTGTAGTGATCTAATGATAATAGTGTTTGACTAATTTTTTAATATGTAATTCAAAAAATAGAGGATTATCCCCTCCAAAAATTATGTAGAATACACATGCCTAATAGAAATGTAATTTGTGTTTTATTTCCACTTTTAAATCATACTTTGGAGGCATGTGATGATTAATTTTAAATGATTAGAGAAATGATCCCAATTATCCAAGTGCGCTTTGCTAAGCAACCAGGATACTGTTACCTAATTCATTAAAATTTAACAAATAATCTAACTGGCCAAGAAAGACTCAGATAACCATTAGTGATATAATGTGGTCAGTAATATTCTGAACCTTAAAGATTAATATGTTTCCTTAAAATCAGTTTCACTTAATAACATACATAATTTATATCGCTGAAAAAATGTGCTCAAATAGAGTAAAAAGTAATCGTATATATATTTAACTGACAAAAAATGGTTTTATGGCCTCAGTTAACCCCATAGAAGATCATTCCATTTGACATTTGCCTTAAGATGTAAGAATTAGAACAAACAGAAAAGGTTAAGAAACATAAATCTTTTACAATTAATATTAAAAATGTGTAAGGTTTTCACTACAGAATACCTATAGTGAATATAGGAATGAATTGAATCATTCTGGAAAGGATGGAATTTTTCATGAGTGATTTATTATTCAGGATGCCCCTATCACTGAATGACATTTACAAATGACAAATAGAATACTAATTCCTGACTTTGTGACCTTGTTAGTGTAGAATATCCTCACCTCTTTTCCATGAGCATGAATCACATCTTTTGGTATGATTTGGTAATCAGGGAAGGGTATAGGGAGATTATATTCGAGCTGAGAACTCAGTGACAGAAAAAGGTTAACCAAAACTGGAGGGAAGATGCACGTACAATGGGAATGTCAAGCATTAAAACCATGTAGGGTGGGTGTGCTTGGCATGTTTGAGGAGGAGAGAGATACATATGATTGAGACATAGTAACTGAGTGAGCTGGATAGTTAGATAAAAATCCAATCAGGTGAGATCTTGGAAACTATGACAAGCATAGATTTTATTTGAAGAGCAATGAAAATCCACTAGAGGATGTTCAACCAATGTTATATGAATTGTAAGGAAATCACAAACGGAAACAGAGAAACCAGTTAAGAGGAGAAATGCTATCATCCATCATCTAGGCTGCTGGTCTTGGTAAGAAAGGATAGTGACTATGGGCCGGGCTTGGTGGCTCATGCCTGTAATCCCAGCACTTTGGGAGGCCAGGGCGGGCGGATCATGAGGTCAGGATTTCGAGACCAGCCTGGCCAACATAGTGAAACCCCATCTCTACTAAAAACACAAAAAATTAGCCGGGTGTGGTGGCACATGCTTGTAGTCCCAGGTACCCGGGAGGCTGAGGCAGGAGAATCACTTGAACCTGGGAGGTGGAGGTTGCAGTGAGCCAAGATGGCACCACTGCACTCCAGCCTGGGTGACAGAGCAAGACTCTGTCTCAAAAAAAAAAAAAAAAAGAAAAAGAAAAAAAAGAAAGGATAGTGACTATGACAAGAGGAATGCAGAGGAGACATAGAAAAGTGAACACATTCAGAAGCTGTTTCAGAGGTAGAAATGGCCAAAATAGCTGAGACATTGATGAATAAGTGAATATGAGGAATCAAAGACAGCTGAGCAAGTGATTGAAGAACAAAGGAAAACTAAAAATTCAACCTATCGTGCACCAAAATATTTATTGACTCCTGCTATGCATCACACATTGGTCTCAGGAATAGTATATAACAATGACCAAAGTACACAAAACATCTGACTACAGCAAATTCGCATGTCAGAGCATTTGCCAAGTGCATTATCTTATGGAATTCTCACAGCAATTTTATAGAGTAATAAAAATAATCTTCATTTGTCAGATGAAGGAATAGAACCAAAGAGGATAAAGATTTGCCCAAGGTCTCAGAGTAGGGAATGAAGTCAGAATTCAAAGCAAGGAATCGCAGGGCCATTGTACTATACTGCCTACCACAACTTGTAAAATTACAGATAAACTGAACGTACACATGTATATAAGATTGCATAGCATTAGAAGGCTACCACATGAGGTCTGGAAGGAAGAAACTGTGGACAAATAAAAGGAAATACTGCTTTATTCAGTACATAGTAACTTTGGAACTCCACTCTTAGGGAAAACTAAAAGATTCCTCGATGAAATGGCATAGGGATGTTAGCACTTGTGCATCATTAATAACAATCAAAGACAGTATGTTAAAAGTAACACAGAAAAAGTTAAAGGGAGGTTTCATAAAAAGCTCTGTGTAAGAAAATGTCATTCCCTGCAGATGGGATCAGAGAGGCATCTAGGAAGAAGTGGGATTTGAGCCGGACACCGATGGGCCAATTTTTGCCATTCTTCCACTTTATCATTTAATCCAGATGACAATAGTCACTCTCTGTAACTATGCTGTCCAATATGATAGCCACTTGCCACCTGTCTCTATTATTTATTTTTTTATTATACTTTAAGTTCTAGGGTACATGTGCACAATGTGCAGGTTTGTTACATATGTATACATGTGCCATGTTGGTGTGCTGCACCCATTAACTCATCATTTACATTAGGTATATCTCCTAATGCTATCCCTCCCCATATTTAAAATGTGTTTAGTCTCAACTGAGATGTGTTCTAAGTATAAAACAGACACTAGATTTTGGAGAATTTGTATGAAAAAGTGATATAAAAATATCTCATTAATGCTTCTTATACTGGTTACATGTTAACATTTTGAATATATTGAGGTAAATAAAATATATTACTAAAATTAATTTCACTTTTTTACTTTTTAAAATATTTCTACTAGAAATTTTAAATTGTACACATATGCTTCACTTTTGTGGTTCCCTTAATACTGTATTTCTATTGGACAGTGCTGCCTATAATAAAAATATACTCAAGGCTCATAAAAAACAGCTGAAAGGTATAAGAAAGAAAATGGCAAACTTTCATAAATATTCTATGTCAACTACCTTATGTTTTCTAAATTCACAATGAATTCTTTTGGGTCTGAAATATGCAAGCCAATGTTTATTTTCATGCTTGGACTAGACTATGCCTTCAGTTCCATTACAATTCTGAGATTCCTTTTTTTTTTTTTTTTTTTTGAAGCGGAGTTTTGCTCTTGTTTCCCAGGCCAAGACTGGAGTGCAGTGGCATGATCTAGGCTCACTGCAAACTCCTCCTCCCAGGTTCAAGCGATTCTCCTGCCTCAGCTTCCTGAGTAGCTGGGATTACAGGCACGTGCTACCATGCCCGGCTTTTTTTTTTTTTTTTTTTTTTTTTTTGCATTTCTGTAGAGATGGGGTTTCACCATGTTAGCCAGGCTGGTCTCGAATTCCTGACCTCAGGTGATCTGCCCACCTCGGCCTCCCAAAGTGTAGGGATTGCAGGCATGAGCTACCACACTCAGCCAGTTCTGAGATTCTTTTAAAGGATATAAATCTCTTGGCACGCGCCTGTAGTCCCAGCTACTCGGGAGGCTGAGGCAGGAGAATGGCGTGAATCCGGGAGGCGGAGCTTACAGTGAGCCGAGATCGCGCCACTGCACTTCAGCCTGGGCGACAGAGCGAGACTCCGTCTCATAAAAAAAAAAAAAAAAAAAAAATCTCCGCACTCCCATCACTCATGAAAAGAAAGCCAGCAATCTAATACTTTCAGGGAATTAATCACTAGAACACATATTTGGTGTTCAAATGAATTTCACATTTGTCCATACTAATAAATGTTCCTTATCTTTTGAACTCTCAGAATGCTGGGCAAAACAAAATAGGATATCTGTTTTGTAAAGAAACTTGTATTATCAAATTTATTACCAGAATATTACATGCAAGTATATCACTAAGAGCTAAATTATTCTCCTGAAAAAAATTGAATTTTTCTTCTCCTGAAAAAACAAAACTGATTGAAGTTAATATATGTGAATCTAGTAAAAATTTAAGATATGTGTGTCCTTATGTTCTCTATAATATAGACTTTAATGACCTTACATGCTGCACAGATGCCATTATTTTACATTGTTAGAGAATTTTTAGAGAGTTTGGTGTTCTGAGGACCCTGCAGAGCCAAATGGAATTTACATTGCAATAGTAGAATTGATAATACTTGGTGACTGAAGAAGGTATTCGTTTAAGATTGTTCCCTTTTGAAATTTACATTGATGAATCAACCAGATCTTTAACAAATAGTACTCCTTCCTTTTGGTTTTAGGGAAAGAGAGTTATCTGCTCTTCCCAAGGATAAAGATATTAAGAGGCTTGATCTAACTTCCTCTAGTTCTTTAGAATATAAGCACAATGAGAACAAGAAATTGTTGAAGGAATGAATTTTTTGAATTTGAATGTTGAATTTTTCAAATGAATAAAACTGTTTTTGTTCTCAAAATCATTCAACTAAGTCTATAGGCATACATAATGCCCTCATTCATTAAAAAAAAATTTCCTGTTGCTTATTTCTTCAAATCTTAAATGGTAAGCATGATAATAGAGGCCAACTCCATTTGTTTTGTTTCACTGGATCTGGATTGGCTTTCTATTCCAACCTGGGATAATTACATTCCCTTCTTTGGGAATTTAGGGAGAAATTATCTTTCTTGGTGCCCATTTGTGCTTGGAAGTTGTGTATGGCATTCTTCTACTCACCACATGGATTGCTCAGCAGACAAAGTTGGTCTTCAGAAAAAAAAAATAATAATAAGGCCAATAAGCAGAAAGAAGTAGCCAGACAAAAAGAAAATAATCCCTGGGTTCTCAATGACCTTGAAATAGCTGATTCCAATTCTTTCCAACATCCGGTTCTATTGGTCTTCATAAGGGACTCTTGTATTAATATTTTTTTCTTTATTGCTTAAACTATTTTAGGTTGTTTTATGTTATTTGCAACTAAAGTTACCATCTCCTACCACTGGAAATGTTTATTGCTCCCACAGACTACCACTGGAAATGTTTATTGCTCCCACAGACTACCAAGCAATAATGCTGTACTAGAAGCATTTCCATTTGCAAACCATAAGATGTAGAGCGAGTATAATTTGTCCTCATGCCCACTGCCAGATTACATTATTAACAAAAAGGCAATGAAAATGTACATATTTACCTGATGAATAACAGACACAGTTGGAAAGTGCTATTTAGGCTAAAAGTCTCCACCCAATTAAATCTCTAGGATGGGACTGAAAGAGCATGTGGCACATCACGTGGCTGTGACTACTGGAGTCTTTTTGCCAGCCAGTGCTGTTACAGGAGCATTATCCTCCAGCACCACCACTCCTTTATTCACTTCCTTGGTACTACATATGTACTTGTTTATGTCCACCAAAAAAACCAACTCATCGAAAATCAGATATCAGTTTTACACATATTTAAATACTTTCCATAACAACTATGTACTTTTAAAGAAGTAAATACAAGAAATACTTGGGGGAGAAATCCTACATTAACAAAGTGGCACAATAATTTCTAAAACCATTAATGTAAAATGAAGGACAAAAAAAAAGGAGTGAAATAAAGACCTGGATAAACATCAAGATGGTATGAGAGCAGCAGTGTTCTTTACCTGAAACTTTTCAAACCCTCCTTCTGATAGTTTCCAAGACAAACATATCGTGTTTTCTTCTTGCCCCCAGATTAGCAAATCTGATGGATCTGGATCTAAAGAAATGAAATAAGACACTGGGACATCTTTTAAAAGACATTTCTACCACTAAGTTATCTAGGCTGAACCAATAACCTTGACTTTGAAGAGTACTAGATATGAGACATAAAACCTAGGCTTATCCAGTCAATTTTAGCACTGTGTGACCATGTGCAAGCTATTTACCCCAAGTCTAGGCTCTCTATATCTACAATGAAAAAGAAAAAAGAATTTCTGGAAAGCCTTTTCCAATAATAAAATTATGGATTTTCACATTTATTTTTCTCACAGCAGAATCCAACTTCAAGTTCTTACAATTGGTATTGTTTACTTGTAATTTATATACTGCATAAAGAAAGAAATATATCTCCCCTCCTTAAGTTCACAAATTCCTTTTCTCTGTAACCACTTTACCTGAGATGGTTCTAGAAGCTTATTTTCCAAATTGGTAACATGCCTCTATTTCAAACCTATATTGCAAATTAAACTATTGTATTGCTTTCCTTTGCTAGAAGAAATGTAATATTAACATTTTATTAAAATAATTTCACCTTAAAAATTCAAATTTTGAATGGGATTTTTTTGCCTCTACTTACATTTACTGATTTAAGTTTATTAGAATTCATCTCTGTGGTAGATTTAACCTGAATCACTGACTCATACTCTTTTATATTCTATTTTTCTATAATGCACATTCCCTTACAACTAGAATTAATTTATTATCCCATAATATATTTTAACTCTATTTTGTACATTTATTAATATTCCATCTACTTCCAAATTGACTTGAGGGGACTTGCAAATAAATGAAGGTAACTAAAAAGATAAAAATATCAATAATATACAATAGAAGACAAAAGACAGATTGCAATATGGAAGACATTAAAAAAAGGTTACCAGTCTTGTTTAAGAAAACACAATCAAAAAGGCAACAACATCACGAACTATGGAAAGCATTATTATTAACCCCAGGTTAGAAATAAGGAACTTGCAGTGCAAACAGAAGACGATTTTCACAAAGTCGCAGAGCTAGAATGGGTAGAGTTAGTCTTTCCTATAACACAGTGGCCTTTCCACTGAAGCACAAGGGTTACAAGGTCAGAATTTGATGTCAGAGAAATGTGAATTCAAATTTCTGTCATCTAGTATAAGTGACTGAAATTCTCTAAGGCTCTGTTGTTTCTTCATTTGAAAAACGTGTAAAAAAATGTACATCTTATTATGATTGGTAGAATAAAGGTTGTCATTCATAATGAAGCAATATAAAGCATAGAAAATGCTTAGCAGAGTACCTGATGAAGGCTCTCAATGTGATGCAATCAATGTGATGATGACAATGGTGATGATGATGGTGACAATGAGAACAACAACACCCAAATCTAAGCAGCAACTAAGCTTTCACTGATATATAATAATGAGCTATCTTTTTTAAAAAATTGAAAACTTTTCTCATCTATTTCTGATATTTCTTCTAATGGTCTTTATGAGAGGCAGCAGGGTCATATCAGCTTTAGATACCCGGGATAAAATCTCACCTTCAACAATGAGTTATGAACACCTCTAAGCCTTAACCTACATTTTGAGTAGCCTGCAGAGAGTTGATGCAGTGACTAAAGCACATAATATCACGCTGGAGTATAATCATACCTCAATTTGTTTAGTTTATTTCAAAGAATTGATTTGACCATTGCTGCATTTTAAGTGCTTCCCTTCCTTTGCACTGCAACTTCTGAGATCAAGCCTCTTCTCATAACTAAGAGAACCTTGGTACTTGAGCACACTTTCATAGGACTGGGCCCCACAAGTGAAAGGACTCTGAAATAGCTACACATGTTCAGAGCAAGCATATATGTCAAGTTACGCTAATAAGGTCAGAAGAGGCAAACAGAACCCAAATAATTCAATCAAAAAGACAGTATTTTTAAATAAAAAAGTCTATTTTTTTCATACCCCAAGTTTATTTTCATAAAATGTTAATATAGCCCAAGTACTAGAGAAATATTATTTCATGACAATAATACCTTAGGGTTTTAGAGTACTTTACACTTTCAGGAAGAGTTTCACATTTCACTTTAGTAACAGGTTATTTTACCTAGGCAGGAATAATTATTCTCATTTCCTAGGTGAGAACACAGTTGTTTTGCCTAAGGTCACATAATTAATAAGTGACAGAGGCAGGAATATATCTCAGACATTCTCCCTGTAAATGCAATGCTCCTTCTCTTCCAGCATATCACAAACCACTTCCTAGTCATTCATTTCTAATTAGGCATTGTCCTTAAATACAACCATTTCTCTCTTCTTTTTACCCATGAAAAGTTAATTAAATATAAAATGAACTTACAAGTGCTAACCATGAGGACAGTAGGATGGCTTCTTTTCAGTCCCTTGTTAGTCATAATACTAATTAAAAAGTCAGTCCCTGGAGAAAGGCTATTAAATGTGAATGTCCTACAGGTTAAACAAAAGTGACACATTAAAACATTTAGCTCAGACACATTTGGAGAACTCCATTTTCTCACCTGCAGAAAAATTTTTATATGCTTCATTTTTAAAGTAACTATCATGGAAATAATTTGCTGCACTTAAGCACAAATGGTCAATTAAAAATCATATCTTCTTACACAGAGACATTTTAAGTCAAAAAAGAATATATCATACATATGATAACATTCTGAATTCATTATTATTTATTTTCAGAAATAATTTGTTACAATATGTCAGACTTAGTTATTCTGATCACACTGTAGTCCAGAAATTATCTTGCAAAATTTTCTCATTTCTGTTTATATTTTCCCATTAAGACAGCTTTCTAAAAACATATATAAAACATTAATTTTGTGTTCCATGTAACTTGACATAATTTCTTTTCAATATTTTCATACCTTTTAGTGGAGGGCAGAATTTCTTCTCTCATTAAGCTTTCACTGGATATTGAAATAATATATCCATCCAGAAGACTTCTAGCTGAAGGCCAGCTAACAGTTACTGCATTTGGGTCTCTGCTATGTTTCATAAATTCAGCTGCACTTGGGGCTATATCATTTAAGACAGACAGTAAGATAACATTTTCCATAGCACAAAGCACCTGCCAGCCCTGAACCGCCCTCAGGAATTGACTCTATGCAAACCCTGAGGGTAACCAAGGCACTCCTTTTTCTTAAAATTTAATTTGATTTAATTTAATTTTAAGTTCCAGGATACAGGGGCAGGACGTGCAGGTTTGTTACATAGGTAAACATGTGTCATGGTGGTTTGCTGCACGTATCAACCCATCACCTAAGTATCAAGCCCCACAAGTATTATTTATCCTGATGCTCTCCCTCCCCGACCTCCGTGACAGGCCCCAGTGTGTGTTGTTCCCCTCCCTGTCTCCATGTGTGCTGATTATTCAGCTCCCACTTATAAGTGAGAACATTCACTGTTTGGTTTTCTGTTGCTGTGTTAGTTTGCTGAGGATAATCGCTTCCTTTTATTCTACCTGCTAGATATGAGAAGTTAAAAGTATTGTTTAAAAACAGCCAGAATTATTTTAAACTTTGAAATAAAATACATGTGTGCTTTAAGTGTACAAAATGTGTCCCAGTAGCATTGTACTCAAAATGTCCCTGGCCTCTAAAATGCAGGAAGTAGATCATACCTTAGTCTTGTGTAACCACTGACTTCAGAAATATTTAATTATTTTTAGGACTCATCCTAATTAAATACCAAGGAGTGCCAAGTCTAATTAGCAGGAAAGTTAATTGCAATCTGAATATGAAATGCCTCCCTTCTTTCCTGAGGAAAAAAAGTTAAATTAAATAGTGTATAATGGGCATATTGTTTTCTCTTTAAAATTCTCCCATATATGAGAAAGGAATCAAATTGTGAAGATATTCTCTCAATCTCATTCTTTCTTATTACATTAAAAGAATACCAGACATGGCCAGGTTCTAAATATATAAATCAATGTACCCATTGCATCAACGTCAAGAATAACTAAAATAGTTTAGTAGAATAGTTGACAATTTTACTTTACTAGATACGACAGCTTATACAGTTGCATGCATCCTTCCCAGTCATCCTTTATTTCATATGATTACCATGGGATATATCACCATCTGCCTTTGGGAATAAAATGTTTACACTGGCAAGGTGGCACTTCATTGGAAAATGGGGTAATTAAATCACAAATGGAAACTCTGGCCAGACCATAAGCAGTTAGCAATGCTACCATCTGACAATACATACTTAAAAGGATGTTGTGATAACCCATACCAAGGAAAAAGAAAAAGATACAAGAGACAATGCCCATAAAGAAAACCTGGGAGGAATGAAGTACTTACTAATCTTCCCTTAAAGGACCAAGGAAATATCTGAACATGAAAGAAACTCCTAAGGTGCCTACATAGGCGGTAACCTGTCTGTATTTCTTTTATGTTAGCAGTAATGTCTTTAAAACCTTCTTTTTCAGCCCGAATAGAAAAGGTGTACACTGTGGCAGGATCCAGGTTAGAGAATATTGCTGTTTCTTGAACTACCTTCTGAACCTATCAATCCAAAAGAATACATTATCAAGTATGTGTTTAAGAAAAGCTCCACAACTGAATACAATTGGGAATTATTTAGTTTCACTACTATCCAATGTAAGAATGCAGTAATGTTGGTTTCAGCATGAAACATTCAAGTTTAATTCCTCTAAGAGCCCTTTATAACGTACCATGAAAGCAGCAGCATAGTTTATGCATGTGATTTCATAATGCTGGAAATTCCCATCAACTCGATTCCAGAGAATGTCTATAGAAGAATCTGTAACTTTGCCTTCATGGATATTCAGTGGTGCTTCCAGACCTATCCAAACACACAACAAACTTAAATTCCTCTTGGAAATTTCCTAATTGTTTTTTTTAACTTATCCCTTAAAAGGGAATAAAAAACATAATAATGTCAAAAAGAACAATAGTTTATTAATTAATCTATGCCTCTATCCTAATTAAAAATAGTTGTTTACACATTCAATGACAGTTTATAAAATACGGTAATCAGTTCCAATACTGAAAGCCATTGCAAACACCATCACATACAGCTAATTTTGGTGCTGCAGCAAAAAACCACACAGGAACAAATTCACTGAAGAAAATACACAATATTCAAGGAAACAAAAAGATTAAAACTATTAGCATAAGCTGAAAAGACAACAGAGAAAGAAATATGAATTTTAGACAAGTAAGTGAAAGAATCCCCTTTGTATCAAATATTTGCTGAAGCTAAAAATAAATTGTATCTGATGAGTGTTAATGTTTCTTTTTCCCATTTTGAAGATTTAATCTAGCATAAGAAAAAATTATTTCAGAAAATGGGGAAAATGGCAGCTTTAAACTATCATCTTATATATTGATTTATTTTGCTGATTGATATCACAATATTGATGTATTTAGATAATCATGTAGTAATTTTGTTTAAAGACAATAACTGCCAAATATAAAGACTGTAGCCCATAATGATTTATAAAGTAATGAAGACAGGCAGAGAATACAGATATAAAAAGTACATAGAAATTGAAAGCAAAAATAAAATATAAATAGGTATTGAAATGATTATAAATATGCTAAAATGCTGTCAAAGTAATGTGATTTCTGACATCAGTTTGAGAGTATTTTATAGACAAGTTGAATTTCAACGGAAATGGAAATGTTACAATTTGTGAGGGAAAAGATACATGGTAGCCTAATGACCTAGGTGGATATATATAGAGACAGGAAGAGCAAATAATGAGGGCACTGGACATGTTATAAGTCAGAATTACGTTTTTAGGACTCCATGTGATTTTGGTTTGTATGGCATTTATTACTCTTCATCATTAATTTCGACATATACTGGATGGATATTTTAGGTAAATTGTATGTGTTCCACATGTTCAATATTAATATATGCAGAATTTTTAAGTGATTTAAAGAGAATATAAAACAATATGAATCTAAAAATGCAACTATTTATATAAACAAACACACAGCACATATATATAATAACAAAAATTAATTTTAAATATTCAAAAAGCTTAGGAAAATATGCACTTTTTTCCAGACAAATGTCAGTATGGGAATAGCAAGCACAGTCTTAGATCACGTGCTCTAAGATATTATCAGGTCTCCTAGGCTCAAAAATAAAATTTTTTTCTCATAATTGGCTTAAAATTAGTCACATTCCTTGCTCTTTGATTAAGTCATTCAAAGTTCTGGTTAAAATGCAAGCATTTCTTTTTGTGAAAGGACAGATAAAAAAAATTCTTCACAGAGTTTCAGCTTCACATAGATTTAGCTCTACCTATACACAGGTAATTAAAGATCTGGCTCAATAGTGAGGCATTTAAAATTACCTTAAAAGATTCTTGAAAATGGTTACATTAAACTAAGTGTGGACACTTATTTGAAATGGTACACAAAATTAAAATCAAGAAAAAGCTTTGCAAGTCTTAAAATACATGTTTTTACTGCAGGCACATAATACCTATCACTTAATTTAGTCCCACTGATAATGGAAACAAAGAAATTATATTCTGTGTCTGGAGCTAAATTGTCAACAGTTATTTTATTACCATGGTGTAAAGCCATGGTCACATTTGCCCCTCCTTCAATTACAATATGTAGTCCATCAAACACTTCAACATTGGGCATTTGAACAAATAAGATTACAGAGGTACTATGACTTTCATAGGGGATAACAATCCAGACTGGTTTGGGTTCTGAAAGATAAAAACAAGATTTATAATTAGTACCTTTTAAAGGTCAATCATATTTCTCTGCATTTTATCTAGCATGTTCCAGAATTTGTGAGAATATAAATGTTTATGCATTAAACTTATGTCTACTGTGTTAGCAATAGACAGAGAAAAAAGGTAGATATTCTGACAGGCTATACATACATATATACTGAAAGTACATAATTAACTTTCATTTATTCATTATCAATAACAATCGCAAGAAACACAAATCTGAGATTTTTTCATTATTTTTTACCTTTTAATCTATTTATTAAGTAAATGTTTTTGAGAACCTATATACAAGGATTAGTGCTCAAATAAAGTAAATAAGGCCAGGTTCTTGCTTTCAAAGAGTTCTCAATCTCAGGAAAGAGATTTATAGATTATTAACTAGAATCTCAAATAGACCTGAGCTAGTGACATGAAAAAAACTTGCTTAGAACAGAGGAGGAAATCACCAATGTCAGCAGAAATAATTGGGGAAGGCTTTCCAGAGTTAAAGATGTTTTATCTGAGTCTTGAAAGAGTACAAGTTTACCAGAAACAGTACATGTGAAGGGGAAAAGGGAGTAATGAAGGAATTCCAGGAAAAAAAGAAAATCAGGGGCAAGGCATAGAAACCAAAAAGCACATTGTCATGTGTTCAAGGAATACCAAGTTCTTTTAGCCCTTTAATAGCAGGGTATTCTTTGGCAAGTTACTTAGCCACTCTGCCTTGGTCTTCTTCTCTAAAATGGGAAGGAGACTAGCATCTACATTGCAGAGTCACTGTGCTGATTACATAAGAAATTGCATTCATATATAAAGTACTTAGAGTAGTGTCAGGCATGCAGCAGGCACTCTGGGTGGTTAAAAGACAGGCTGCATGAGAGGAATGAGACTGGGCATACAAGGGCCACCTCTGAGGCTGAATGTGTCTGTAAGGGGCTTTGCATGCCATGCTATGGAGGTCAGACTGTATCCTGGAGGCAACAGGGATTTTGAGCAGGCATGTAATTTCATTTTTAGAAACACATTTTTGGCAACAGTTTGGAGGAAGGATTCATTTACATTTTACACTCTCCTTGAACTCTGCTAAAGATTTTGATTGTACCTCAATTCTCTACTGTGCTATTTAAAGCAGATTTAAAATTTGAGATGATTTCTAGTAACATTATTTCTTTCTCAGGTCAATTTTAATTTCAATTCGATTTGTGGGTTATGGGGATAGCATCCAATATTTCCTTAAGCCTGCATTTCTCCCAAGCAGATATCTTTTCCTAAAATATACAATCTGAAAATGAATTTTTTCCCTCCAGAGCATAATTAGATGGCCTTTCCTTTTCAGTTTTATTTGTGACATCTGGTTTGATACAATGGAAGTTGTTCCAAGTTACTGTTAAATATTTGATAATGTTATTCTGCTACTTTACCCAGAGCCAGTACTTTAGGAAAGAATGTCCACACACACCTATAATGAGAATTTCAGAACATAAAATCAGTGCATTAGCTCCACAAATTTTTGTGAGCTGGAACTTGCAAACTTTTTGCCTTTTCAATTCTTGCTGGTGATGAGGAAATGTTCAATAAATGAACCATAACCAGTTCCATATGGTGTACTACTGGGTTTCGAGGCAGTTTTATCATAGTTTTCCTTCTCCAGTTATATTATGTTAACTTTTATTTTTCCGTCATCACTAATATTTTCTGTGGGTTTTCTCTTTAAATTCTGCATAGCCCCCTTCAGTTATAAAAGTCCTACAGTAACTATGAGTTTCCCAAGACAAGAGTAACATCCCACACATATCTAATACATCTGAATCTGTGGACAATGATCTATGAAAGCTTCCAAGTATGGCTTAAGCAGGAATTAAAAGATCTTGGGATGGTAAATGAGTGACAAGTATAATCATAGAACCAATTCACTTCCATGTTCTTGGGCACTGAAGACATTTTCTAAAAAGAGAGGTGACTTTAAATAGGCATGGTCTAATGTAGGTTCTAAAAGTATGTAAAAATCAATGTCATCCCCTCTAGTGAGTAAGCATGGGATTTTCGATCATTTCCACCTGTCCTAGAAAATAAGCCAAGCTGTGTCATGCATGACACTATAATCACCAAGGCTGGAAAGGTGTAGAATAGGACAGAGTTCTGTCTTGTCTTAAAAATTATATCCTGATCTGGAAAAATCATATGAGAAAAGATTTCACAAAAAAAAGAATAAAAGAAACATATTGCCACATACTGGCGACTTTCGTCAAGTTTCTACCTCGGACTGTGATTTCTATCCTTATCCGCTCTCCTGTAAAAGCTTTATCAAAAGAAGTGGTAAGATCAGGGGCTATACAAGATTTTTTTTTCAGTATGAGGTGAACTGAACTAGGCCAATTTCAAAGCCTTTTATTATAGGCAAGGTAGAACAAAGTCTGAGGGATGCTCCTATCATAAAATGTATTCTCCTGTGTCAAGAGGGGAAAAAAGGAAATTCAAACACCAACTCTCCAATAGTTCTTTTTCCCTCAAGAAAACCTGGGTATAGTTAATTCCTCCAACAAAGAGAGATCACACAGACTGCTGAAATGGCTTTACTTCCCACTATGCATGGCCATAGCTCCCCAAGGCCACCACTCCACTCCTATTGAGAAATAAAAATCACAACACACACTGTCATAGCACTTATTTGGTGCCAGGCACCAAGTCCTTAAATTACATTACTTTCATAAAACAGATAAGATTATGATTATTATTCCCATTTTAGAGAGAAAGAAGCTGAGGACCCAAAGGGCCTGAGTGACTTTGCAAAGGATGTAAGAAGCTGCTAAATCATGGAGCTGGAATACAAACCCAGGCAATTTGTTTCCATGGTCTGTGCTCATAAGCACTGCCTTCTTCCTAAGGGCACATTTTATGGTTCAGGTGCACAATCATAGCTAGAGATCAAGTTCTGCTGGTTATGTTCAGGACAAATTAGAGAGAGGCACAGACAGATAAGTTTCAAAGGGGAAAGGGAAAAAAAAGTATGTGTAAATTATATTTTCTTCTACATGCCCATAAAAGGCAAATGCCTCTCTTGCTTGACTATTTCAAAGTATATGGCAGAGAGAGAAATACAATGTGGTAAATTATATGTATCAATAAATATCTGTTGAATGAATGCATGCAAAAAAACTTGTTCCTATGCACCTTGGGACAGGTTACTATTTGCTTTAGGATTTTTGAGGCAATACAAATGATGCCTGATAAATAATCTGGTGATGCTAAATCTGATAGCAAGCCTACGAACTGGATAGAACACCCACGAGAAATAGTGGAGTGCTTGAAGGAATTAAAGATAATTACCCACAGGGAAAGAAAATATAGGAACCAGGGACACCATATGAATGTCTCTAAACATTTGCAGCCTGTCGTGTGAACCATAGATTGGGTTTGCTTTGTGATGTTCTAGAGAGTAGACTAGGTCCATGATGGGGAAAATTTTGGAAATGAATTACAGAAGCCCTGAATGACCAGAGACACTGTCCTGGGAATTATATATCATATGAGAGCATTGGCAAGATCTCTGTCCTAACTTCAAACCCCAGAATGCTATTCTTCTTAGGATTTGCATGTTAATATGTGTTTCTGCATCCATGTTGAATACCAGTTTGACAAACAATTGAATTACATAGAGCTAGGAACTCTATTTAGGCTGGAGATACGCAGCTGAACAAGATTTCACAAGAGCTCTAGAAACAGAGGCAAAACAAGTTTACATTTTAGATGGCAGATGGATGAAATATGCTAAGTACCCTGGAGGCAAAGAATTATGAGGCTTTTGATTTTGACCTGGAAGGAAATTTAGAAATAATATATTAAATGTCTCAAGTTTTTGAGAAAGAAAACAGACCCTGGGATAACATGGGGACATTCTCTAACCTCAGACTGCTAAAACATGAACTAAGGAGAAAAATCATTTTCCAACTTCACAGTTTACTCCTACTGCTATGCCAATAATTATTTAGTGGGTTGTTTTATAGGCATTAAATAATTCTTCTTGGTAATATCTCTTTCTTAGTTTTCTCTTTTATAACTACTTCTTATTATAATTATCTTTAGGTAGTTTTCTTAGAAATTTAAGCATGGAAGTTCCAGACATAAATTTAGTTTTAGTCTTTGGATGATAAAATAGGAAGATCTAGCACTGGTTGAGTGTGGACATTATCATTGCATAATTTTTTGGACCAATTTTTTTTTTCAGCTAGAATCACTGTAAGGTCCAATAATTTTCTCTTCTTCAGTGTCATCACCAAGCACCCAAATTACTCAAGTTAAAAGCCTAAGTTTCTCCCTTTCTTCATTCATCGCAAGCAGCCCATCTTGGACTTCCTACTTCCAGGGATTAAATTATCAATCTTGAATCTATTCATGACTTCACTTGGATCTGATATGGATTTAATCTGAATGTAGATCTCATGGCCATCTTGTGAAGGTTCCCACTGAAGAATTATATGGTCTTCTCCCACATCTTCAGGTTTTACATAAACTTTCTGAGGTGGATTAATACCTTAAGTAAACAAATAAATACATACACACATCTTAGCTTATTAGTTAGCATTATTCATGCTATTGAGTGAAAATAATTCAATATTAATGTTCAAAGTAAATTTTACAGTTTGTTATGTCAACATGTCTTGAAAAGCACTCAAGTTTTGAGAAAAGTGTATTCTTATTACTATGCAAAATTTATTAAAATGGTTAAATGTAAAAATTACAAGTCAAGGGGAAACAAATATAATCCTCAAGTGTTTGGCAAATTCTTCATACTTTCAAGAGTGCCATCAGAGTAATGTTCCCATTATTGAGATTATTCATGTTTTAATCAAATATATATGGGCACCTACCAAGTGCCAGGCACTCTTCTAGGCAGGTAGAGTACATCAGTAAAAACTAAAGATCCTTGTCCTTATGGAGTTCATATTCTAATAGGTGGAATAGATAATAGCAATACATAAAATAAGTACGTATGTTATATAGAACTTCAGAGGTGATAAGTGCTGCAGAAAAAGTAAAAAGTAACCAGGGTGAGGGAGATGAAGAGTGTGGTGGCTTTAAGGAGGAAGTTGTGGTATGAAGTAGGGATTTCAGGGCAGATGTTTTTCAAAAGATAGGGTTTTCAGCAAAAAGGTGAAGGAGATTGGAGAGTTAGACATATGGATTTCTGGAAGAAGAGTATTAAAGCTGAAGAAACAGCTAGTAAAATCCCTAAAGTGGGAGCTTATCTGGTGTGTTCAAGGGTGGAAGGAAAGCTAGAATGAATGAAGGAGAGAATAAGATGAGGTCAGAGGCAAATAGAAAGCCAGTTCATGCAAGTTCTCAAAGGCGTTTGCTCCAAGTCAAATGGGTAGCAACTACTGAGTTATATGCAGATGCATGATCATTCCTATTTTTAAAGACTCACTTGGGCCGTGACATTAATAACAGACCACATGGAGGGCCAGTGGTAGAAATAGGGAGCCAGCCCAATAATCCAGGTGAGGTGGAATGGTTGCCTGGATGAAAACAGCACTCAGGGAGGTGGGGAGATATAGTGTGACTCTGGATTTATTTTGAAGACAGAACAAACAAGATTTCTTGACAGGTTGGGAATGGGTTGTGAGAGAAACAGAAGAGTCAAGAACAACTTCAAGGCTTTTGACTAAACAACTGGATGAATAAAATTACCATGAACTGAGAAGGGCTGTGGATAAAGCAGATTTGGGTAGAAACACCTGGAGTTCAGTTTTGGGCATGTTAAATTTAAAACATCTCATAGATAACCAAATGAGCAATAATGCATACGCAGTTAGATGTTTGAATGTGGAGTTTGGGACAAAAGTCTAGGCTTTATATAAAGTTATATAGAGATATAACTTTATGAGTCATTGACATATAGATGTCTTTAAAGTTTCAGAGCTGGTATTTATTATAAAACAGTTGTAACTTTATACTACTTTTCTGATTTTTGAAAGGTGTGATATTTATTAGAAATATAGAGGAAATTAGCAGGTTATGCTCACTGTTCATGCATAATATCATTGGAGAATCTTCTTGATACTTTATAATAATAACTGAAGATGATACTTCAGCCTATTTCCTTGCACCGTTTCCTTGAATACCAAGCCTTCTGATTTTTTTCCTATCATACAGTTTTCTGGAAATTGTAAATGTTTTCCTTATAGTATTGTTTATCCTATAGTATGTTTTTCCTGATCTTTTAATAGTTCTCAGCTACAATAATCATTAGTTCATATCTCTAAGGATAATTATGCAATTTTAAACTTTTTAGTAGTTTTACTTTAAAAATCTTTAAAGAATTCTCTATGATTTTTATAGTTTGCCGAAACTATTATTTGAACTTTTATCCGTTTTAAAGTTGACTTCTTTATCAGTACAATTTAATATCACATTTTAACTTCTCAGGAAAATATTCTGGGTGGAACCCTTAGTCTGCATCCCATATCTTAATTTCACAAAACTGTAGCTGATGTTTAAGTTAATTATTTATGTAAAATTATCAGAAAATGCCAGAGTAATCCAATTAGAAACACTATCCAATAAGATTCCAGGGTGAAACAACTTCAGAAAATTATTCTTATATTCTTGCAAAACCTAAAAATCTATTTAAACATTTACTGCAGTGGAGGACTTAGATGTAATCTACCGAATGCCACATATAAGCAGAGATTGAGGAAACGCTGGGATTTGGTGGGTCTGTGATAGCGCTGAATTTGCTTACAAAATTGTCTGTGCATGTATTTGCATTTTCATAAGAGTTAATTTTTTTTAAATTCTCAAGAGGCTCCATGACCCCAAAAAGGTTCAGTGTTACTAAATAAAATATACTCCAGAGTATGTATCAAGGGTGTTCACATTCTGTGCCTAGCTTACATTTTCTAGACTCTCCCTACGTGCCCCTCTGTTCTCTAGCCATTCCTAATGTTCAAATGTTAGTGTCTTCAAAAAGGCTTCTCTAGCTTTCCTAGGTCAGCTTTGTTGAATGTCTTTTCTCTGTCCTTTGCCTAGGCACATGCTGCTTGCTCTACCTGCAGCATCTTTCTGCCTCCCTACTGTCACCTGCTGGCTAATTTCTACTCCTTCATGATTAAGCCCATCACTTACCCATGACCATCGGCACCCTGAGTTTGGGCTAACTGATCCTTCTCTATGTTCCCATAGTATCCACAGCATAACTACTCTAATGGCAATTATAATGCGGCACTATCACTGTTAACTTATTTGTCTCATTCTTACTGAGACTAGGTCTTCTTCATCTTTGTATCTCTAGTGCCTAGCTCAGTTCCTGATACTGAAAAATAATTCATTGAGTGAATAATGAATGAAAAAAAGAATAATTCCTCAAGCTTTAGAGAGTAAAGGAACACTGGATTACTAAATCCTGGACATGCACTGGTATATCAGCTTACAGTAAAAATACACAGCAAATGACTCCCCAAAAAATTAAAAGTGCTGATTCACATTGTACCTTTTATGAAATAAATAGGTATATTTCCTAGAAGATTTTAAGTCGACTTCAAAATTAATAAATCTGTGAGAAATCCTCCTAGTCCATCTGTCAATTAAAAATGAAAGCACCTTCCTAAAGTGTAAAGGACCCAACAAACCAAGCATTTGCCAATGGAAGGATACTTAGTCTGAGTTTGGAGAAGAGAAAACACCTGCTACTATCCAATTGGAAAAATATTTTTATTAGGATTTGCAATACTGAATACTTGTATGTTAAGCATTGGTTTTTAGTAAGCATTAAATTGTATCTATTATTGTTATTATTTTCAAAGAATCTTAAATATTCCCAATAAGTATAGGAAGGTTAATTAATCTATATCTGTGCACATGCAGGTTTTCCATTCCACCTACTTCAGCTCTAGGGTGTTTAAATTTTAGCTGTTGAAATTCCAAAGAACTTTGCACACTGCATGTCAAATACACAACACACACTACACTTATAAGAATATATTGCCAAAATGTGCTTAATTATGCATTGTTTTGTAAGATAATGTTTTATCTTTTTAAAAATACGTCCTTATATTTTATGGAATAAATAGAATTATTAATTAAAACAATCGATTACTTTAATGATTATGTTCTGGACAAGGATTCAAAAACTGCTATGTGGAGGTTAAGAGGAGGGTAGAAATGCATTTGCCAAAAATGCTAGTATGAGACTGCCCCCTAGAGGTCAATACATTACACAGTGTGAGAAAATAAAGAACCAAGTAAAACTGATTAAAATATGCAGACCTGTTCGTTGGGTCTAGTGTTACTAAAAAAAACTGGGTGAACTAATATTCATGTGATAATTTGTTTATCTTATGATAAATAAAGATAAATTTATTTTCCACCCAAGGCTATGACAAAAAAAGATGTCTTCTAGGGACTTTGGTAGAAAAAAATGCAGATTGGAATAATGTTTAAAGAGCTCATGTAAATCTAAATAAATTTAGTATTTTTGAATACATGCTTAGAATTGTGATTCAACATTCAAAAACATGTTCAACTTATTTGTACTTATGAAGAATCAACATAATTAAATATCAGCAAAATAATATTTTGAAATATGCAGTTAACTATTTCTTTTTATTATTTTAGATTTTGGGATAAGTGTACAGGTTACATTGATATATTGCATAACGGTGAAATTGCACAGAAACAGAAACTATCAGTTTAGAATTTTTTAGTAGAAGGCAATACGCAGCCATGCTTACCTGTAATGACTGAAAGTGGTTTCTCCAAGCAACTTAAAGTTCCTCTTTCTGCTACACTGAATAGATATACCAGATAATGATGAAAAGACTTGAGGTCTCCAACTATGGTTGCTGTGTTGCGTTTTTCAACAAGCACCTCTTCTGATGTATTGTTTTCAACATCCAAAATAGTGATAAGGTAATGATGAAAAAATACAGGATCTGGAGGATCCCAGTGTAAAAATACTTCTGTTATGGTAACATGTGTAACTCTGAAATTTTGGGCTGACAAAGGGCCTGGGAGATAAAGACAACCAAAAAATATGTTGCTTAGTAACATGATTTGGCAGAATACTCTCTCACTTCTCAATATTTCCAAATACTCTAGCTTGGAAAAGAAACAAAAACTGGGGGTGAGTCCTGGCTCTTCCACTTTATAGTTTCACTCCCTGAGAAAATTACCTACCCCCTCTGACTGCAAAATGGGAATTACATTAGTAGGTACCTCATAAAGCTTTTGTGAAGATTAAATGAGATGAAGAACGTAAAACACTTGGCACAGTGTTTGCCACACGCTATTGTTCAATAATTATTTTACTATTCTCACTACCAAAACAGTGTGCATGGCATTTAATGGTCATACATTATATATGTCTCTTACCTCTTCTGCCTTGTCAGACTAGAGGGCAGAGACTTTGTTATTCACTCTTCGTTCTTATTATCACTGCAACACAGGCACTCATCCTTTTACAGAACTGTTTCCCTACTCTAACCATTTCATCCAGTGCCAGTGATTGTCCTAATTAATGCTTCCAGATTAATTTTCTTATTATAGTACCTTGCACATGGCGTCGAAACTATATCCATCCCCCACTCCTCAATATACATGTGCTAACACATTCTTGATTCTTTCTCTAGGAGCAACAGCTCAGGAGTTACAATAAGACCATCTGGGTTCTTGTGTGGCTTGGTTGCTTAACAAAGCATGTTACTCTAGTCAGTTTACTTAACATTCCAGAAGTTCAGTTTTCTCATTTCTATATAGCTACTCCCAGGGTTGAGGCAAGGACCGAATGAGATAATGCATTGAAAGTGCTTTGTAAAATGTAAAACAAGTGCTAGAAACTATAGTCTTAATGGATTTCCATTGCTTCTAAGGTCAAGTCCAAGCATCTGAGACAGATACCCCTGCCACTCCCAAGTCTGGCACCATCTACCTCCCACACTGATTTTACCCTCATGCCCAAGGAAATTATCTTCTCTAGTCAATCTGCACAAGTCTTCTTACACAAATTCTTATGTCTGCACTGCTGCTCCCAACATGCTTTTTCTTCATTCAAATTTCAGTCTAAGCCTCTCCTTTCCATGAGTCTTCTCCTGTCATCTACTGTATGAATTCAAGTTAGCATTTATTAAATGCACCACTGGTTGGATATTTAGGTTATTCTTTTGCTGTATAGTTTTGTTTGCTTTTATTTTTATTCTTTACTAATTGTCTCCAGTGTGAGCCTATTAAAGGCAGGGATGCATAGCTGTCCCTTTCCTGCTCTCAGCACATATCGGAAATACAGCTCCACAAAAATTTATTGATCATCCCCTATGAGGTAGGCACTACTCTAGCTGGTACTGTAAGACAAATAAGACATAGTTCATGTCTTCATGAGGTTTGTAGTTTAACAGAAAAACCAACGCATAAACAGATTGATTACAAAATTATTACTCTTATTATTATTATTATTATTTGAGACAGAGTCTTGCTCTGTCATCCAGGCTGGAGTGCAGTGGCATGATCTCAGCCCACTGCAACTTCTACCTCCTGGGTTCAAGTGATTCTCCTGCCTCAGCCTACCAAGTAGCTGGGACTACAGTTGTGCACCACCATGCCTGGCTAATTTTTGTATTTTTAGTACAGACAGGGTTTCACGGTGTTAGCCAGGCTGGTCTCAAACTCCTGACCTCAGGCAATCCACCCGCCTAGGACTCCCGAAGTGCTGGGCTGACAGGCGTGAGCCACTGCACCCAGCCTAAAATGATTAAATACAGAGGTATCTCCAGAGTTATATGAGAAAATACCAGACCCTCATAAAATATCTGCCAATGACAGTATTAAAAATTTTTTAAATTATATTTTCAGGTGTCTTGTAACTTACGTGTTTCTACAGTGAATATTGGACTTAAAGTAGTTTTTGCCTCCCATTCATTTATTGCGAAGAGTAAAAATCTATAAATATGACCAGGAAACAGTTGGGTAATTGCTTTTTCTGTAGTATTTGGGGGCATGCTTTCAAAATATTGTTCTTCTGTATAATCTAAAGAATATTTAATGATAATCTTATATCCCAATTTCACCCACTTATTCAAATTATTCCAAAAATTCAAATTATTCCAAATAATACAACTTCAGTTGTTCCAACATCCTTTATGTAAAGCAAAAAGCTTTCCTGCAGAGAAGGTACTGAAAAAATAGAAAAGATAATTATTTTTAATTACAAATTATAATTCCATAATGAAATAAATAAATTAAAATTAAATAATAAAAAGCTGCATGAATATAAGAAAGAATAATAAAAATAATTACATTCATATTCGCAAACATATGGCAATGGAACGTAACAGAAAAATCTTGTAAAGAAATAGTTTGATCCAGTTGCATTTTGCTGTAAAATGTAGCAATGTGTTTCATTCTTGGATAGCAATGAAAAAGAAAATATTTCATTTTTCTTAAGGCCAAAAGATGATCCATCTGCCCATGTAAGAAGACCTTCTTTCTGTAATAAGATGAACAAATTAAGCCAATTAAAAGGAAAAGTGTGATATCTTCAGTCACTGCATTTCAAATATGTGTATTTGAAAATTTTAATAATCATAACTTCATTATAAAATTTTCTAAGATTTTAAAATTATCAACCAGTTTAATATTTTTATGTAGATTTCCTTCATGATAAAGCAGCTGGAGCCAGGCCAGTGGCTCATGCCTGTAATCCCAGCTACTTGGAAGGCTGAGGCAGAAGAATCGCTTAAGCCCAGGAGTTTAAGGCTGCAGTGATCTCTGCTTCAGCCACTGCACTTCAGCCTAGGTGACAGAGGAAGACTTATGTCAAAAAAGAAAAAAGAGAAGGAGAAGGAGGAGAAGGAGGAGAAGGTGGAGGAGGAGGTGGAAGAGGAGGAAGGGGAGGAGGAAGAAGAGGAGGAGGAGGAGGAGAAGGAGGAGGCGGTGGAAGAGGAGGAAGAGGAGGAGGAGGAGAAGGAGGAGGAGGAGGAAGCGGAAGAGGAGGAAGAGGAGGAGGAGGAAGAGGAGGAGGAGGAGGAGCAGGAGGAGGAGAAGGAGGAGGAGGAGAAGGAGGAGGAGGAGAAGGAGGAGGAGGAGAAGGAGGAGGAGGAGAAGAGGAGGAGGAGAAGGAAGCAGCAGCAGCAGCAGCAAGAGACAGAGTTGACTTTCATTAACTCATTAGCCATATGTCTTCAGGCGAATTGCAAATCTCGCAATAAGCCTCTATTTTCTCATCTGTAAAATGAGTATAATAATAGAAACTACATCTTAAGGTTGTTGTAATGATTAAAGAGGCAGTACATTCAAAGGCTCAACACAATGAGGCTCAGAGAAAATATTCATTAAATGTTAGTTATTTCATTTGAAATCATCAAATAAATTGCATGCGTCAGGAGAGGTTGTTGATACCTTCCTTCTAAAGGATGTCCTTGGTGAATGTCACCAACCCAATTTTCACAAGTAATAAATATCTGTCATATATCTATCCTTCTTGAAAGGGGTAGTTGAAAAAAAGTATAAGCTTTGACAAAATACTCCTGCATACTAATTATATTTCTGACACTTAACTATCTACTCTTGGGCAACTACTAATCTTAGAAACTAAATGTTCTTGCCTGTGCAATGGAAATAATCATGACTACTTTGCATAGTTGTCAATAGTTTTAGAGAGTATGTTTATAATACAGCGAATACATAACACCTCCTTAAAAAATAAATGTAATACTTACAGAGATAATTAACACTATGAAAACAGATACTATGTCTATATTTTGGTCATCAGACCATCCCCAAAATCAAGCACAGCACCAACCAAGCTGCATGGGTAAGAATTAAAGAGACCTGTTTCCTCTGGACATTTTAAAAAGATTTTAAAACAATGCATTCAAATTCCACCTAACAGAATGAAGAAATACTATTTCCTCAAAAAGTCTGCTTTATTACATATGTATTGTTGTAGTTTTAAAAATAGGCATATGATCAGTGATAGTATTTCAAGTGATTAGGGCATGAGAGTTGGTCAGACAGATATAAATTCAAGGCCTGGAATGGGCATTGATAAGTTATGTGCCCCAGGATCTCTCTAAGATCTATTTTCCTGTATAAAATGGGAATAATGATAGCACCTACTACAACTATAAGGTGAAAACTAAATGAAGGTTACCTATGCAAGCATCCCAAAAGGAAAGAAAGAGACTATTAATCTTTCATTCATTACGTTCCTGTTGAGTACCAAACCCCAGTTTGAAGCCAGGAATGGAATGCTGAATAAGACACACTCTCCATCCTTGAAGTCCAGTAACAATTTTGCACTTATTCAGCACAGATTTACTTAAAGGAGTAATTACTTTCTGAACCTACCATGGGGATTATGATGTAGCAGGTAACTTTGATGTCAACCTCAAAATATCATGGTTAAGGGTAGCATCTGATGCATGTCCATATGGGCAAGTGAATCTCCCTGTGCCCCAATTTCCTAATATATCATGCTAACAGTAGGAAACAACTGTATGTGTGTGTGTGTGTGTGTGTGTGTATATATATATGTGTGTGTGTGTGTATGTATATATATGTGTGTATATGTGTATATATATACACAAATATATACACACACAACTATATATGTATACATATATAGTTGTGTATATACATATATATATATATATACACACACACACATTAACTGGTCTACTTGCTAAGAAGAGACTGGCATGCTGGGAGAGGGAGTCTGAGATGTCTAAGATGAATTGTGATTTAAGGAATCTTTATTAGAATTTCATTCATTGCCTATTAAAAGATAAAGAAAACTCAATAAAATAATAATTTTTAAAATGCAATTAAGGATTCCTAGAGGTTTTCCCAAGCTTATGCAAAGCTCCACAGGAAAGTTGGCATCAAATTGGTAGGATCTGCCTTAGTTCACTATAGATAAGGATATCTCAAGGAGAACATATTTATCTTTGAGTGCCAGGAAATAAAAGTCAGTGGATCATCAAGAAGAAAACACAGACAGACAGAGATGACTATGTTAGGTCTTGAGTTTCTCTACAAAATGCTGACCAAATGAAGTTTCATGAGACTTTCCAAAGTGTTAGGAATGTTGAAGAAAAATGTTACACACTCCTGATTTCACTAGTGTTAAATAAAATCTCCAGATCTTTCTGTATTGCTTTTAGTAAAATTGAGCTTCACAAGACTGATGTGTGGAGTGAAAAGAAGAAAATGGAAAAACACTTTTCATGTTTTGGGGTTCATATTATTGCACTGTTTGCAGAGATGAGGAATAAAGGAAGTGAAACAGGTTTGATTAGAGGGAGAAGGCAAGTTCAGTCTTGGCAATGTTACAGTGTCTGCAAGAAGTGCCAGAGGGATAATCAGAAGAAAATTAGATATATGTCTGGACTCATAAGAGGAAAGTAGACTAGATAAAGAATTTAGGAATAATTGGTGGTTCAGGTGATAAATTGAGTGAAGAAATGGATGAAATCACTCAAATGAACTTAGAAATGGTCTGGGGAATACCAAAATTAAAGGAAAATTAGGTTTTAAAAAAGATGCCTAAAAATATATTAAACTGGGTATCTATAGAAAGAGAAACTGTATTGAATTAATGAAGGAAGAAATCAATGAATAAAGAATGCATGAATGAATATAGATAATAAAGTTTCATTTATCACAATATATGTATTTCTTTACATTTACTGACCTTCATATCATTAAGACCAGTCCATATTATTATTTGATTGTTTGACCTGAGATACGAAAATACAAAACTTTTTTCCTCTTCATTTTTTATATCCACAAGGTGTGCAGAACTTAAGGATAACTTACAATGTTGCTGGGCTATATTCCATGGCTTACTGTCATTGTTAATTCTATAACAGTTATTTTTTAATGCTGCCCATCCTTGTGAACACGATCCTACCAAAAGAAAAATCCCCTGTTAAAGATGAATTCAGTAATATAACATTTCATAATTATATTTCTTAATATGTATACAAGTTAATTATGAAAACCTCATAGTATTAAGTGTGCACCTTCCCTATACTACTTTCAAACCAATAAAAATATTAAAGCTTTGTTTATTAATCAAGGAGCAAATAAACTACCACCAATTAACATGGTTTTTTAAATAGCTGTAAGAATTAGTTATGCAGAATTATTGTCCAATTATAACTTTATTAAAATAAAAAACGATGTTTTTCTTTCTAAAGAAAACCTTACTTTAGATTGCCTTTCTTTTCCCTTACTTTTGTATTGGTAGCAAACTTTTTATCACATTTCAGGTTTCTTTTTATTTTGGAGTACTAGACACAATGCTTGCTAAAAATTTTGCTCTCAGTCACTTGACTTCAAAAGTGTTTACCTTCCAGAAAAAAAGCAGGAATGGCTGCTTAGCGTTATTCTCCAAGATTATGTACCACAGAAAGACTGGAGAAAATAGCAGCCTGTTCAGAGAAAATATTGCACATCAGTTCATGTTAATATTCTACCAGTGCCTCAACTCAACACAGTAGGAATATGTGAGAAAGTTCTGAAGATCTTTTGTCTTTTTTTTTCCCCACAGGAGAAAGGACGCTTAATTACCTTATTTTATTTTTTCTTCCTATTTGAGTGTTTCTATACTTCACTTGTACAATACATGTGTTGTATCTTTTTTATTATTCCTGTAGGGGATATTAAAATGACACTCTCAGACCGTCACAAAGAGTGTCCTGCCCTCATCAGCTATCTATGATTCTGTCCCCTTCTACCTGTTCCCACCTTGTGGAGGAAAGACATGAAACTAGGAAGACCCTAAAATTGAACACATTCACCTTTCCCCTAAACTTTTCCTAATTGTGGTCAGGTCTGATCATAGATGAGTAACAGAGAAGCTTTAAATAGGATGAAAGATCAGTGTGTTTGTAATATATTGTAATGGATCTTGTAATACCTGAAAATGAGACTGTTTGTTGACTCATTAAAGTAACCTAAAACGCTATGGAATTTGTATGACTCTTTGTCAGAGTAAAGAAAAAGAGAACCCACTTGGGTTTAAAGGAAGTGCTGGGAAGAAAATAAAGTTATTAGGTTGGTTTCTACCATTACTCCGCTAAGTCCAGCTTGTTCAATAATCAGTCAGATACCAGAATGATATAGTCAAAAAAGGAGACTATGCTAATTTGATTACAAGCAGCCTGCAGTGATTAATACTTGGCCAGATCACTTTCTTTTGAAATACAATATAACTGCTACATTATCTACAAAATATATAATAAATATATAATGAATGATGAACCAAATGTCTATATACCTGTTTCAACTTGAACATCCAGTCTCTGAAATATATTTATGAAATCCAAGTGTAACTGTTTAAATTCAAATGTGAAAGCATAAAAAGCTGCAGGTTTTAAATTACCCCACTCATAAACCATAACATTATTTTGCATAATTTGTGAATAATTATTGAAAGATATTGACACTGATATATCTTTGGAAGAGGGCACACTCCAGTTAAAAGAAATACTTGTACTTGTTGCTATTGTTTTAATATTGCTAGTTGAGATTCCACCTAAAAAATCAGGGAGAATAATTAGCACAGATTCAAATAAAATTGAATGAAACACAAAGGATATTGAGTTACATGATTCACCATGATGAGAAAACATTATCTACCCATAAAATATTTTCTAGACTATATGGGAGTTTCTTCTATTCTACATAGAATGAATGAATTAGATTACAGAACCACATTATATTTTTTACATAATCTGGATAACACGTAAAATCTCCACTCTACCTATCCATTCACACTAGTACACATAAAATGCCAAAATTTAAAACTATATTCTTACCTCAGTTTATAATTTTCTTTAAATTCTGAGATTTACATTATGTAAAAAATAATACTATTATAATTTTACAGTACCATTTTATACCTGTTAATCATTGTAAAATTTAAATTATCTGGTAATGAAAGTTTACATAGTTGATCAACATATACATTACTTACGAATTTGAAATGACTTTTCACTTAAAATTTGTCCATATCTCATGGACTGTAAAATGATGTGATAATCTTCATTTTCCTTTAGTGTTATTATTAATTTCTGACATCTTTGTGGGTCTGCGAGAATACTTTTTACATTCTGCAAATAATTATATTCATCTGCTTAAGAAATGTTTATTGAACATTATCTCTAAGCCAGGCACATTAATTAAAAATTTGACTTTTGTATATCTCCTTCATAAAAGTAGTTTTTCAATGTGGAATATAAATATATATATGAAATGTTTATTTCTACATAAAAGACATTTTTTAAAGAATTATTCTCCTTTGGTATATAAATTCTAAAAAGACAAATAGTCATTCCTATGAAAAAGTTAAATATTATTTGATCATCTACTTATTAAAGATATTTCAAAAAATGCTAACATTTTATATATTAATAAAATAAGAAACCCTGATAACTATTAGGTTCCTATTTACAATGTGGCACTTGGTAACACCAGATTTACACTATGCTTACTTTTTATCAGAACCAAGAAAAGATTCCTTACTCTTTGAGCAAAATCATTAACAAGTTGATATTTTAAAAAATAAAATTCAGGATTTCCTCCCTTAGGAAATTCATCCCATTCAATAAAAACTTCTGTTGTTTGTTTATTCATTGGTATATAATGAAAATGTTTTGAGATCTAAAATGGAAAAGCGAAGAAACTGTAAAAAACAGTAAAAATGCATTCTTGATTGTTATTTTATAAGCAGATTTATTAAAATGACACCTAAAATACATGAAATTATAATTTTTAAACATTTCAGCAGTATCAGTGTCTACACATGAATTACTCTGTCAGTTACTCTATTTATAAATATAATTTTGAAAATGACTTCAGTAAAGCAAGTAAAATAAGAGCATGGAAATTTAAGATCCATGTCTCTCTAACTAGGAAACATTGTATCCCTGGGGTAAGGGACGAGGCAGAGACTCAAAATCTCAGAGAAAACATGGCAAACCCTCCTGGAGTGCCAATTGTGAACCTTGGGGATAATGTCTACAAAACTGAATTATTTTGCAGACATTCTTGACAACACGTTTGCAAAGAAAATACATTTGGGTACAAAATGTTTGACACTGAGTCATTTTAGACCCTTATTTCATCTATGCATAATGAAAATATTAGCAAACAAAGTAAGATAGACCACAGAATCAGAGACCCTTGATGTTCCCTCAATGACAAAAAAATTTCAACTTTCAAAAGAATATATGTATCAAAATTCCTACCAAAAACAACTCTGAAATGCCTTATTATACTCTGTCTTCTTCCCAAATTCTGATTTATCTCCATGATTATCTCCAACACAATTTTTAAGCTATAAAAATACATATGTGAGTGACACCTAGCAAAGAAAATTTTTTTTCTTAGGTACTAAACCTGATATTTAGCATTATTTCCCTTCAGTATACTCCTTATTTTCCAGAATGATAGATTCAATGCAATCACATCTTGCCCATTAGCTAATTATTCCAAAGAGGGTGCACTCAAAAATGTCTTACCTTAACAACATACTGTAACCAGAGCAGCAGAATAATTAATTTCTCCATCTGCAAAGTAAAGTGTATTCAGTTCAATTAAACATGTATTTTTTAGCTTCAAAACTAAACTATTGGACATCCTTTAAATGGAGTGTGTGTATATCATTTTAATGTCATGAATTTTCAATTTAGAATGACTGCTCATCCAATTGAATGTTAAGGCATTAATAGGTGAGTGCTGCATAATTTTTCCACTAAATAAAATTGGAAACATTAGTACTTTCCAACAAATAACAAAATAACGTATTTCTAGAAACTGCTTTAATTAAGTTTAAAAGAGGTGTTAGAAATAAAATGAATTATCAGGCAATTACACAAAATTACATTGTGTTGTGTGAAATTATTTAACCTCAATTAATGGAAATCTAGAACACCTATGCAACTGCTGCTTCTTTGGAACTAATTCCTCACATTTTAAAATTACACCATCATCATGAAAAATATTTCAAAATACATGAAACTGAAACTTAAATAGAAACAACGTTCAATAGTCGTTTCAACTCAATTTATTTTTAAAATATATTCATCTAAAAAGCTTGCCTAGCCTTTCATAGGAACGTGGAGCCCCCAAGGACCTAAAAACTTTTGTATTCAACTTAAGATACAAAGAAAAAAAACCTGTATTTTGTATATGTTTTTAAAACTGAAAATACCATTTTAATAGTAAACAGTTCCCCAGGATCAAATTTAAAGCTCCTGAAAGCTCACTGTAAAGCAAGTTTATTCCTACAGAATCCTCTTTAGGTCTTCTTAAGCAGGAGTTTAGCTCAGATAAAATGCAACCCAGTCAAAAAGAAATGCCTAATAGTTAAATCCAGACCCTTCCACAAAACTGCAAAGCTTTAACTTTGCCCATTTTCCCAAGCAACCTGATGTAAGTGTTCTAGGGCTATGGTATTAATTTCCCCCCTAAATCTAAGCGTAAACTATAATTTTGAAGGCTGTGTACCATAATACAAATGCGAAAGTGGAAAGCTCCAGGATGCCCGCTCTTTAAGTCCAAACCCCCACTCAAATTCAATTCTGTGAGTCACTGTGTTTGCCCTGGGAGTGTGTAAAGAGCCCCTGTCCTAATGCACACTATTTTAGAGTCAAAAAGCACCAACTTTTGAAACAGGGAGAGAGAGGCAGAGTATAAACGAAAAGATTGAGGTTTAAAGAATGGTTAGACTGGTGGAGAAAGAAGGAAAGAGCTGAGACCTGGAAGACAGTCAAAGTGCAGAGGATGCAAGGCTGAGAAGTCGCAGGAGCCACGGCACCCCTGCAATCCGCCCTGACCCCCATCTGGACCCGGACCCGGACCTGCAGCCGCGCGGCGCCTGTGCTTTGCAAGTTTCGGGTGCCAGGGCAACTGGCCCGGAGGTGCTGGCACTGCTCTGGGTGCGGCGGCCCAAGCTGCCCACGATTCCTGGGTCACAGCCCACCTCGCAGCCTGCCTCCCTTTAGTCTCCTTCTCTCGCTCTGCTCCAGCTCTTGCTGCAGCTGCTCTGGCGGCTTTCATTTGGGCCAGCGATGCCCTCTCCCTGCGTTGGGTTAATTAAGCGAATGTTTCCATGGAGACAGGAAGCCTTGGGAAGGGAGAGGAGTGGGAGGCAAGTCCCAAAACATTGAAATGTGGAGGAGAATTGCATTCTGCATAGAAGAAGGGAGGAAAGGGAAGGGCGATGAAGGAGAACGCGAGGTGGGACACATTGGTATCTCATTTAAAAACAAAACAAAACAAAAAGCAGAAGTCGACTATATGGCTGTGAATAGCCCAGTTTTGGCTTAAGATCAAATATGTGGCTTTGTATGAAGCCACACTCCTTGTTAACGTGTGTGTGTGCCTGTGTGTGTGTGTGTGTTCTCTGCGGCATTTGAGAATGTTGATTGAACCCCGAGATCTCAGCTTCCCTGACATCTCCCTCCCCTCTTGCTTCCATTTGCTTAGTCTGCGTCACTGTGTCCTCCAACACTGCCAACTCAAAAACTGAGTTGACCCGTTGTGCCTTCCTTGACTGTGGAATACTTCATTCACTCTTGTGATTCTACCATATTCAAGATCTTCGATCACTCCATCTTGAATTTCATGTCTTTCCAGGGCTTCAGAGAAGTATTTATAGCTCCAAAATGGGCATCTCCATCTGGATGTCCCTATAAACGATTCAAAACCATATTTTCAAACCTAAATTTATAAACTCCTTTTCCAGCTCTTCCTGAGGAAAAGATCCTTCACCCAAACAACC
This sequence comes from Homo sapiens, assembly GCF_000001405.40. Classification (NCBI taxonomy): domain Eukaryota; kingdom Metazoa; phylum Chordata; class Mammalia; order Primates; family Hominidae; genus Homo; species Homo sapiens. The sequence goes on along the minus strand of NC_000012.12, from coordinate 80,399,961 downwards.
AAAGGAAAATCACTACCTCTTCATCCTCAGATCCTTTTCTCACCATCCAGTGCCACTTTATCCTGCAAATCCCTTTGATTCCATTCCTAAACTGCCTCTTAAGCTGATTAATTCTTCATTATTACCACTGTTACAGACTTAATTGAAAACTTTAAATCTCTCTCTCTCACACACACACACACACACACACGTGCGCGATCTCACTTTTGCTCTGTCTGGAAAACATGTATCATGTTAAGACTTTGTACCTCAGTGCAGATCCTGTGGCTCCCTTTACTAGCTAAGCAGCTCTTTGAAAATTTGGCTGTGGTGAAGAGTAAGCTTGAAGAGTGCTTAGTAGAGTGTAAAAACTTAATTGAAAGACAACCAACATTAGTTCACTGCAGCTACTGCTAATACACTAACACTTGGATTATGTCTCCATGTTTGATACTCCCAATCTCTCTTACATACTACTAGCCAGTGTGATCTTTCTGAAATACACACATGATACTATATAATCATGCATGGAGGGTACTTAAAAGCCTGTTGTGACTTTTTGTTGTCTATAATGTACCTCTCACCAAATTCACTTTTCAACCTCATCTCTCTCCTCTCCTCCTTGGCACCCTGACTTATATGTACCCTCAATGAAGTAACAGGCCATAAACATTTACATGTCTGTTTTCCTGTAGATCTTTGTTTATACTGTAGCACGAAAATTTACTTTTTATACATTTATGTACTCAGCTAGATTAGGAACTCCATGATGGCAAGGATTCAAGCACAGTTATAGGTGTGAACTATATTTGTTTTGTTTTAATTCCTGGGGATTCTGCATATCTTTTGAGTCTTTAAAAGTAGAAGGTATTGGCCAAGCATGGTGGCTCATGCCTGTAATCCCAGCGCTTTAAGAGGCCAAGAGAGGTGGATTGCTTGAGCCCAGGAGTTGAAGACCAACTTGGGTAACATGGAGAAACTCCGTCTCTACAAACCCATCTCTGTAATTTTAAAACATAAACTTGTGGCATGTGCTTGTGGTCCCAACTACTTGGGAGGCTGAGAGGGGAGGATCACTTGAGCTCAGGAGGTTGAGGCTGCAGTGAGCCATGATCACGCCACTGCACTCCAGCTTGGGTGACAGAGTGAGTTCCTGTCTCAAAAAAATAAATAAAAATAAAATTAGAAGGTGTCAAGGCAATTATACCACAAAATGATCTTATCACCATTGAATTAGCTTCTAGGCTTTGAGAAATATGATCAAATTCAAAATCCATTAAGTAAATTGAATAATGGGTACGTATTTTCAATATGGCCTTCTGACTCCCATTTGCTGTGTAAACAATGTCATTTTAAATAAGTAGCCTTCATAATATTACCATCACCTGTGTTTTACATCAGTCTCTCCATTAGGTCAATAAAGTAGGTAGCAAGCTAATCAATAGGGTTTCCCTAACCAGCAAGCAAAATGTTTTCCTTGCTGAAGGATGTCCTTTGAAATAGTGTGGTTTTGTTCCTGCCTTACCCTTTTATTAGGCCCTAACAAATTAAGTATAGAGAAATTAAGTGAAAGATTTAAGAGAATTATGGGTTTTCACTTTCAAGAGAAAAAAAAGTATAGCTTTAATGATATTTCAACATGATTCCTAAAGAAAATAACTTATTTTTCAGATGGAGAAGCATAGATAAAAGCCATTTAGGCAATGGAGGCAACTACTAACCTATGATGTGATTCTTTCCAATATCCATAGGGATTTTTCTTTCTTGATGCTTTACTCTTTAGAGAAGCCAAAATCCATCACATTCCAGAGTGTGGAAAACTGAACTTTTGTAAGATTAAAATGAAATCATGCTTAAGAATTTAAGACTAGGCCGGGCGCGGTGGCTCACGCCTGTAATCCCAGCACTTTGGGAGGCCGAGACGGGCGGATCACGAGGTCAGGAGATCGAGACCATCTTGGCTAACACGGTGAAACCCCGTTTCTACTAAAAATACAAAAAATTAGCCGGGCGTAGTGGCGGGCGCCTGTAGTCCAAGCTACTTGGGAGGCTGAGGCAGGAGAATGGCGTGAACCCGGGAGGCGGAGCTTGCAGTGAGCCGAGATCGCGCCACCGCACTCCAACCTGGGAGACACAGTGAGACTCCGTCTCAAAAAAAAAAAAAAAAAAAAAAGAATTTAAGACTAATATTAAAACATCCTTCCTTAAACCTGGAAAAAAAAATGACAGTACAGCTTTTTGTTTTTCCTGGTCTCGTTATGTTTCCTGTTCTTTCAAGTCTTTATTACTGTCCTCCTTTAAAGAAGATATTTTACTCAAAATTTGCCACAAAACATTTTCATAAGCTGTAATGTATTTCAAAATTAGCCATATTTCTATCACTATTTAAGGGAAAGCCATTGTTGCTATAAAATTCATAAGCTTTATTTTGGTGGCATGAATTATAAGAGAAAGAAAATAAAAGATGGGTTAGCAGCATTTTTCATCCATTTTGGTTTCTTAAGTGTGATGCCAAAAGGTTTATTTTTTATTATTTTTTTAGTTTTATAACTAGGCTTGGCCTTTTCTACAATGTAAAATTTCCTAAAAATTTGTGGTATTATTTTTCTAGCATGTTCATTTACACAGTATAAAAATAGTTATTGCAACAGTTCTTATATGAAAAGAGATTCAATCAACCAAATTAATCCAAATTAATTTACTTTGAGTGAATATGGCATATTTAATAAAGTGGCTTCACTTCAAAATCCAAGATAAATATTTGGACTTATTGTTGTGGGTTAAAATTCAAATATCATGTTGAAAATTGGGACTAAACAAAAAGAGTTTTTATGTCTGAGTTGGTGGTGGTTGTGAAGTAATTCAGAGCTCTGGTCCGTTTATAGCTTTCCTAATAGATGTTTTTAAGGTGGATGCCAGGACAGGTGGGAATTTATTTCTCAAAGAGATTATCAGCACATTTAACATATTTAATTAATGAATTCAGTTCAGCAAACATTTACTGAGAAATTCTGATGATGAAAGTATCTGGGATTCAGGAACAGGAAAGAAAAGACAGCAAAACCCTGACTGACTGCAAAGGCTTTATATCCAGAGAATAAGATTCATTATCCTTACACTTTGAAATGTCAGAAAAAAAGAAGCAAAGAGTAGAGGATAAGTTAGCTCTGTGAGCTCATAGGAATGGGCTATGACTCTGGCTGGTCCAAGTGCAAATCTCTAGTCCCTACGATAGGCAAAATTCTAGGATGACACCTAAGATTCCCACTCCCTGGTACTTACACTCTATATTATTCTCTTCCTATTGGGGGGGGCGGTGAGACCAGTGAATGTGATGGGATAGTCATTTCCATGATTATATAAGACTTTATTGCAGCAGAACAAGAGAGGGGTTCTCCTGCTGGCTTTGGAGAAGTCAGCTGCCAGGATGTCAGAAGGCCAAGTGGTTAGGACATGAGCATGGCCTTTAGTAGCTGAGAATGCACCCACTCACAAAAAAATGGGGACAAAAAATGGGGATCTCAGTCCTACAATCACAAGGAACTTAATTCTGCCAACAACGTGAATGAGCCTGGAAGAGAAGGACTCCAAACCTCAGATGAAACTACAGAACCAGCCAACAATTCAGTTTCAGGCTGTAAGACATGAGCAGAGAACCCAGCTAACCTACATCCAAACTCCTAAGCCACAGAAACTGAGATCATAAATGTATTTTGTTTAAAGCAACTAAATTTGTGGTATTTGGTTTCACAGCAATGGAAAAGTAATACACGCTCACAGTTACCGTGATTGGCCAGTCATTGCACTGGATTTTATGAAATAAAGCTCAGAGACAGATGTTCTCTCCTTTTTGTTGGCAAATACATAAAGGTTGTTGCCTCAAAGGTAAAGGGCCATGTGCAAAGTTGCAGTTGCCCATGGAGCACCCTGCAATGCAGTAGGAAAGAATGAAACTGGCAGAGCAAGAGAAGCAGAGATTAATGCACTCAAGTCCTGACATTTCATTCTCTCCTGACTATGTTAAGTTTGGTTATTGTTAGAAGGAAATATTTATCTCAAACTCTTTGAAGTACATCTCTTGGAGTGAATTCATACCACAACCACTACCTCCCCTGGGTAAGTAAGTATAATAACATCATTGGGATTTGAACTCAGTCTAGTTCTGGAGGCTGGTCTCCTTACCATTAATCACATAAAGAGCTATAGAATCTCCTTACTGATTAATTAATTTCCTCTTCTTTGATGTAATTAAACCAGCTGCTGTTAGAGCAAGGAAATGAATATAACTATAACTAGATGTATTCTGGCACTACTTTTGGCATATATCTTAATATGTGTATATAGCCTATGTACTTATTCTACAGGTAGAAATCATTTCCTAAACATTGATTTTGCCAGGCATGGTGGCTCACACCTGTAGTCCCAAAACTTTTGGAGTCTGAGGTGGGCAGTTTCCTTGAGTTTGAGATCAGCCTGGGCAATATGGCAAAACCTCATCTCTACAAAAAATACAAAACAATTAGCTGGGCGTGGTAGCATGTGCCTGTGGTCCCAGCTGCTCAGGAGGCTGAGGTGGGAGGATTGCTTGAGCCCAAGAGGTCAAGGCTGCAGTGAGCCATGCAGGCTGCATTCCAGCCTGGGTTATGAAGTAAGACCTTGCCTCAAAAAAAAAGTATAATATATATATATATATATATATATATATATATATATATATATATACACACTTGTGTATGTATATATATGTACACATACACACATATATATACATATATATACACACAAATATGTTGATTTTAATAGACTGATTTTAACAGCAAATAATTCTCATGTATTTGATTACACATTTATTATCTTAATATTACAGTCAGATTATTTCCTTAAGACTCCGTTGCACAATTTTATGGATCTTTTGTACAATGTTGATATTTGATTCTCAAAATTTGTGCTGTTCTAAAATAAAACAAGTGATAAGACTTGGGGCGCAAAAAAAAGTATACTATATGAATTACAATAGTTCTTCTCTTGAAAATAAAATCTACAAAATAAATGTTCATCACAGCTGAGGAGAAAGCACAATATTCCATTTCAATTTGGTATGCCACATAGACATGCAGCACATGCATGTTATTTTAGCCAAAATCAAGCTGCTGAATATGGTCAGGTTTTTACCATGACAGATATAAGCAGTGACCTTTTTCAATATTTTCTAATTCTTAAGTGAAGCAAAACCATTATGATGTTGGCAGATTTTAAAGTGCCAGTGGGAGTTTCTCTTTTAAATACAAACAAACATTATTGTCTTCAAATACGAGTTACAAATTCCACATAAATTACAATGCAGCCTCCTTTGCTCAGCTAGCCAATGTTTTTCTCTTCTGCAAAATGTTAGCAATACTTGTTTGAAGTTAGTATTACTCAAAATGGCTAATACTAAAAAAAAAAATTAAATGAGAATTGTTTACATATTGCTTAAATAGTAAAATTTATGCCTTGGAGTAATTTTGGTTTTTTAACCTTCTGCCAAAATCACTATTTTCTAAGAACCTTGCTATCTCTTTAAAAATAAAACAAAGCAAAACAAAATAAACACTTGCTTATTGAAGGTAACTTCGAATATACATACAAGTAAAAAAAATAGAAATTCACTCAAAATACCACCAGCCCAAGATAACCAATGTTGAATATATACATGTGTTTCTTCCCAAGATATTTTCTGTGCAATGTATATATATATATATATATATATATATATATATATATCTTTTTTTAGCAAGACAGGAATAATCCAGTTATATATGTATCTTGTTTTTTCACAAAATATTTTGTGTCAGTAAAGAATTTTTTAAAATATGATTTTGAATTATGCATAATAATCCAAGTTATGTCACAATTTATATAATAATCAAAAAATAGAATTATAGAATATTTAAGTTGTTTCCAAATTTTTGATATCAGAAAAATGTTCAAATGCATCTTCAAGTGTGCATGACAGTACTCCTTAATGTAAAACTGACTGTTTCTCTAAACATTGAAGAAAAATAGAAAAAACAAAAACAAAAACAAAATCACAACTAAAATTGTGTAACAGTAAAATTGAGTTCAGAAGAAAATCTGTAAAATAGAAAACAAGTCAACCAAGAAAAGTGAAAGGAGATATCTATCATATCTTACATTTCCAGTTCTTCAACTCAGAGTTTTGGGATCTACACCTAACAGGAACTGGTCAGAGACCACATTATTATACAACCGTATATCTAAAAGTAGCTAAAGTTTCTCTCACTCCAACTATCTCCCTGGCTTTCTATTTTTATTCAGAGATAATAGCTCCCAGGAAACAACACATTCTAGCCCACTGTATTTTATTAGTTGGTCACCATGAGGCAAACATGGTAGATTTAGAAAGAGTCAGGAAAAACAAAAACCCAAAACAGTAGTTGTGCATGAAGGGAACTGGAACTTCCCTTATATTTGGACAATTCAGGATATTAGAGAAGCATGAATAGAGTTTGGAAAAGTGGCCACCTCTGCATAATTGAGAATATTAGGAAATGCTAGCTAAAATACGGAAAATGAAATGGGAATCAACTTTATTATCATGCCCTATAGTTGGAAATATGAGAATAAAAAGTTGACAATTCCTCAAGTGGTAATAGAGTATAACCAAGAGTAAACCATATACACTAATCACTAATAAACAGCCAAAATGACATGAAAATAAGCCATAAAACCTATGGAATATTACTACAAAGAAACGGAGAGAGAATAGGATCCTAAAACATCAGAGGAATAACAAATTAATATAAGCACCGTGTTGGGAAATTTGGGAACAAAGTAGAGGAGAGTTTGGTTTTTCTCTAAAGGGTGCAAAAGACATGTAGAAAAATATTTAGAGGAAAAAACAGTCTGGCATAGATATAAAACAACTTGAGGTTAAAAAAATTGGATGATATAAAAATGACATTAGATAAAAAATTAATGCAAGGAAACTAAAAATTCTGCATTCACAGAATTATAATCTACACTGATTGAAGTAAGTAAATTGGTACCGTGGAAGGAAAACTTGAAAACCTCTATAATTATACAGAACAAAAAGATGAAATATGAGAGAAAATGTCAAAAGTATGAAAGATAAACAACATAAATATAATTATAATGTTCCTGTGTATAAAACAAGATTAACTGAAATGAAAGCATACCAAATAAAACATACTAGTAATAGAATACATTTTATGTATTTAGAAAATGACCATGTGAAGATTGAAAGACTTAAAACGTCTTAAGGAATATCAATGGATAGAGAACCATAACCATACACATTTTCACAATATTGTTGAATTCAAACCTTGAAGGAAAATTTCAATAAGCAATAATTTAGGAAACAAAAATAATATATCTATAATGGAAAAAAATATAAGCTAGAACCACTTTTCTTTTGGAATACTAAATATCCAAACACAGTGAAGCAATGTCTGCTTTTTTGAAAGTAACTATGACCTCAAATTTTTATACCCAGCTATTTTATATATATTATATTATATTATATTATATATATGTACGTATCTCAAGTCCTTTCCATGTGCTTAAAGTTCTACTAACTGCTTTACATATGTTATTCTCATTAGCTTGACACTATTTCTATAGGACATTTGAAAAAATATGAAGTGTAAAATTGTTCAATTTACTTAGAGTCACAAATAATTGCATAAAGATTTGACGTTGTACCTACTTGATCTGAGAACTTGAGACCTTAGCTGTCATGCTATGCTATGAATAAAACCTTAGAATATACAATCCATGTGCCTTTCCAGAGAAAAATTACTTGACATTACATGTCAAGCAACCAAGAAATAAAGCAAACAACAATTCAGTAATGGAGACATTAGGCCTGGCAGTAAGGGTTACAGCTAATTCACATATAGAACTATTAGGTTGGGTTACAAAACTGAGCTTATTTATGTCTTTGTGTGTTTATGTGCGTGCATATATGGCTTTTGATAGAAAATATTAATATAGACAGATATAATTAAAAATAATTTTTTATTACACTTTAAGTTCTAGGGTACATGTGCACAACGTGCAGGTTTGTTACATATGTATACATGTACCATGTTGCTGTGCTGCACCCACTAACTCATCATTTACATTAAGTATATCTCCTAATGCTATCCCTCCCCACTCCCCCCACCCCACGACAGGCCCCAGTGTGTGATGTCCCCCTTCCTGTGTACAAGTGTTCTCATTGTCCAATTCCCACCTATGAGTGAGAACATGCGGTGTTTGGTTTTCTCTCCTTGCGATAGTTTGCTCAGAATGATGGTTACCAGCTTCATCCATGTCTCTACAAAGGACATGAACTCATTCTTTTTTGTGGCTGCATAGTATTCCGTGGTGTATATGTGCCACATTTTCTTAATCCAGTCTATCATTGATGGGCATTTGGGTTGGTTTCAAGTTTTTGCTATTGTGAATAGTGCCACAATAAACATACCTGTGCATGTGTCTTTATAGCAGCATGATTTATAATCCTTTGGGTATATACCCAACAATGGGATGGCTGGGTCAAATGGTATTTCTAGTTCTAGATCCTTGAGGAATCGCCACACTGTCTTCCACAATGGTTGAACTAGTTTACAGTCCCACTAACAGTGTAAAAGTGTTCCTATTTCTCCACATCCTCTACAGCACCTGTTATTTCCTGACTTTTTAATGATCACCATTCTAACTGGTGTGAGATGGTATCTCACTGTGGTTTTGATTTGCATTTCTCTGATGGCCAGTGATGATGAGCCGTTTTTCATGTGTCTGTTGGCTGCATAAATGTCTTCTTTTCAGAAGTGTCTGTTCATATCCTTTGCCCACTTTTTGATGGAGTTGTTTGGTTTTTTCTTGTAAATTTGTTTAAGTTCTTTGTAGATTCTGGATATTAGCCCTTTGTCAGATGGGTAGATTGCAAAAATTTTCTCCCATTCTATAGGTTACCTGTTCACTCTGATGGTAGTTTCTTTTGCTGTGCAGAAGCTCTTTAGTTTAATTAGATCCCATTTGTCAATTTTGGCTTTGGTTGCCATTGCTTTTGGTGTTTTAGACATGAAGTCCTTGCCCATGCCTATGTCCTGAATGGTATTGCTTAGGTTTTCTTCTAGGGTTTTTATGGTTTTAGGTCTAACATTTAAGTCTTTAATCCATCTTGAATTAATTTTTGTATAAGGTGTAAGGAAGGGATCCAGTTTCAGCTTTCTACATATGGCTAGCCAGTTTTCCCAGCACCATTTGTTAAATAGGGAATCCTTTCCTCATTTCTTGTTTTTGTCAGGTTTGTCAAAGATCAGATAGTTGTAGATGTGTGGTATTATTTCTGAGGGCTCTGTTCTGTTTCATTGGTCTATATCTCTGTTTTAGTATCAGTACCATGCTGTTTTGGTTACTGTAGCCTTGTAGTATAGTTTGAAGTCAGGTAGCGTGATGCCTCCAGCTTTGTTCTTTTGGCTTAGGATTGCCTTGGCAATGTGAGCTCTTTTTTTGGTTCCATATGAACTTTAAAATAGTTTTTTCCACTTCTGTGAAGAAAGTCATTGCTAGCTTAATGGGGGTGGCATTGAATCTATAAATCACCTTGGGCAGTATGGCCATTTTCACAATATTGATTCTTCCTATCCATGAGCATGGAATGTTCTTCCATTTGTTTGTGTCCTCTTTTATTTCGTTGAGCAGTGGTTTGTAGTTCTCCTTGAAGAGGTCCTTCACATCCCTTGTAAGTTGGATTCCTAGGTATTTTATTCTCTTTGAAGCAATTGTGAATGGGAGTTCACTCATGATTTTGCTCTCTGTTTGTCTGTTATTGGTGTATAAGAATGCTTGTGATTTTTGCACAACAATCTTGTATCCTGACACTTTGCTGAAGTTGCTTATCAGCTTAAGGAGATTTTGGGCTGAGACAATGGGGTTTTCTAAATATACAATCATGTCATCTGCAAACACGGATAATTTGACTTCCTCTTTTCCTAATTGAATACACTTTATTTCTTTCTCCTGCCTGATTGCCTTGGCCAGAACTTCCAACACTATGTTGAATAGAAGTAGTGAGATAGGGCATCCCTGCCTTGTGCCAGTTTTCAAAGGGAATGCTTGCAGTTTTTGCCCATTCAGTATGATATTGACTGTGGGTTTGTCATAAATAGCTCTTATTATTTTGAGATAAGTCCCATCAATACCTAATTTATTGAGAGATTTTAGCATGAAGGCCATTGAATTTTGTCAAAGGCCTTTTCTGCATCTATTGAGATAATCATGTGGTTTTTGTCTTTGGTCCTGTTTATATGATGGATTATGTTTATTGATTTGTGTATGTTGAACCAGCCTTGCATCCTAGGGATGAAGCCCACTTGATCATGTTGGATAAGCTTTTTGATGTGCTGCTGGATTCGGTTTGCCAGTAATTTATTGAGGATTTTTGCATAGATGTTCATCAGGGATATTGGTCTAAAATTCTCTTTTTTTGTTGTGTCTCTGCCAGGCTTTGGTATCAGGATGATGCTGGCCTCATAAAATGAGTTAGGATTCTCTCTTTTTCTATTGATTGGAATAGCTTCAGAAGGAATGGTACCAGCTCCTCCTTGTACCTCTGGTAGAATTTGGCTGTGAATCCATCTGGTCCTGGAGTTTTTTTGGTTGCTAGGCTATTAATTATTGCCTCAATTTCAGAGCCTGTTATTGGTCTATTCAGGGATTCAACTTCTTGCTGATTTAGTCTTGGGAGGGTGTATGTGTCCAGGAATTTATCCATTTCTTCTAGATTTTCTAGTTTATTTGCATAGAGGTGTTTATAGTATTCTCTGATGGTAGTATGTATTTCTGTGGGATCGGTGGTGATATCCCCTTTATCATTTTTTATTGCATCTATTTGATTCTTCTCTCTAGCAGTCTATCAATTTTGTTGATCTTTTCAAAAAACCAGCTCCTGGATTCATTGATTTTTTGAAGGGTTTTTTGTGTCTCTATCTCCTTCAGTTCTGCTCTGATCTTAGTTATTTCTTGCCTTCTGCTAGCTTTTGAATGTGTTTGCTCTTGCTTCTCTAGTTCTTTTAATTGTGATGTTAGGGTGTCAATTTTAGATCTTTCCTGCTTTCTCTTGTGGACATTTAGTGCTATAAATTTCCCTCTACACACTGTTTTAAATGTGTCCCAGAGATTCTGGTATGTTGTGTCTTTGTTCTCATTGGTTTCAAAGAACATCTTTATTTCTGCCTTCATTTTGTTACGTACCCAGTAGTCATTCAGGAGCAGGTTGTTCAGTTTCCATGTAGTTGAGCGGTTTTGAGTGAGTTTCTTAATCCTGAGTTCTAATTTGATTGCACTGTGGTCTGAGAGACAGTTTGTTGTAATTTCTGTTCTTTTACATTGGCTGAGGAGTGCTTTACTTCCAGCTATGTGGTCAATTTTGGAATAGGTGTGGTGTGGTGCTGAAAAGAATGTATATTCTGTTGGAGTGGAGAGTTCTGTAGATGTCTGTTAGGTCCTCATGGTGCAGAGCTGAGTTCCATTCCTGGATATCCTTGTTAACTTTCTGTCTCCTTGATCTACCTAATGTTGACAGAGGGGTGTTAAAATCTCCCATTATTACTGTGTGGGAGTCTAAGTCTCTGTAGGTCTCTAAGGACTTGCTTTATGAATTTGGGTGCTCCTGTATTGGGTGCATATATATTTAGGATAGTTAGCTCTTCTTGTTGAATTGATCCCTTTACCATTTTGTAATGGCCTTCTTTGTCTCTTTTGATCTTTGTTAGTTTAAAGTCTGTTTTATCAGAGACTAGGATTGCAACCCCTGCTTTTTTTGTTTTCCATTTGCTTGGTAGATCTTCCTCCATCCCCTTATTTTGAACCTATGTGTGTCTCTGCATGTGAGATGGGTCTCCTGAATACAGAACACTGATGTGTCTTGATTCTTTATCCAATTTACCAGTCTGCGTCTTTTAATTGAAGCACTTAGCCCATTTACATTTAAGGTTAATATTGTTATGTGTGAATTTGATCCTGTCATTATGATGTTAGCTGGCTATTTTGTTCATTAGTTGGTGCAGTTTCTTCTTAGCATCAATGGTCTTTACAATTTGGCATTCTTTGCAGTGGCTGATACCAGTTGTCCCTTTCCATGTTTAGTGCTTCCTTCAGGAGCTCTTGTAAGGCAGGCCTGGTGGTGACAAAATCTCTCAGCATTTGCTTGTCTATAACGGATTTTATTTCTCCTTCACTTATGAAGCTTAGTTTGGCTGGATATGAAATTCTGGGTTGAAAATCTTTTCTTTAAGAATGTTGAATACTGGCCCCCACTCTCTTCTGGCTTGTAGAGTTTCTGCCATGAGATCCGCTGTTAGCCTGATGGGCTTCCCTTTGTGGGTAACCCGACCTTTCTCTCTGGCTGCCCTTAACATTTTTTCCTTCATTTCAACTTTGGTGAATCTGACAATTATGTGTCTTGAAGTTGCTCTTCTCAAGGTATATCTTTGTGGCGTTCTCTATATTTCCTGAATTTGAATGTTGGCCTGCCTTGGTAGGTTGGGGAACTTCTCCTGGATAATATCCTGAAGAGTGTTTTCCAACTTGGTTCCATTCTCCCCTTCACTTTCAGGTACACCAATCAGACGTCGATTTGGTCTTTTCACATAGTCCCTTATTTCTTGGAGGCTTTGTTCGTTTCTTTTTACTCTTTTTTCTCTAAACTTCTCTTCTTGCTTCATTTCATTCATTTGATCTTCAATCACTGATACCCTTCTTCCAGTTGATCAAATCAGCTACTGAAGCTTGCGCATGCATCACGTAGCTCTCGTGCCATGGTTTTCAGCTCCATCAAGTCATTTAAGGACTTCTCTACACTGTTTATTCTAGTTAGCCATTCGTCTAGTCTTTTTTCAAGGTTTTTAGCTTCTCTGCGATGGGTTCGAACATCCTCCTTTAGCTCAGGTAAGTTTGATCATCTGAAGCCTTCTTCTCTCAACTCATCAAAGTCATTCTCTGTCCAGCTTTGTTCCATTACTGGCAAGGAGCTGCATTCCTTTGGAGGAGAAGAGGCGCTCTGAGTTTTAGAATATTCAGCTTTTCTGCTCTGGTTTCTCCCCATCTTTGTGGTTTTATCTACCTTTCGTCTTTGATGATGGTGACGTACAGATGGGGTTTTGGTGTGGATGTCCTTTCTGTTTGTTAGTTTTCTTTCTAACAGTCAGGACCCTCAGCTGCAGGTCTGTTGGAGTTTGCTGGAGGTCCACTCCAGACGCTGTTTGCCTGGGTATCACCAGCGGAGGCTGCAGAACAGTGAATATTGCAGAACAGCAAATGTTGCTGCCTGATCGTTCCTCTGGAAGCTTCGTCTCAGAGGGGTGCCCGGCCATGTGAGGTGTCAGTCGGCCCCTACTGGGAGGTGCTTCCCAGTTAGGCTACTCGGGGACCCACTTGAGGAGGCAGTCTGTCCGTTTTCGGATCTCAAAGTCCGTGCTGGGAGAACCACTACTCTCTTCACAGCTCAGTTGAAAATTGAGAAATCACCTGTCTTCTGCATCACTCACGCTGGGAGCTGTAGACTGGAGCTGTTCCTATTCAGCCATCTTGGAACCTCAGTGGTATTCTTAATAATAAGGAAGTTGAAAAATAATCCTTATATTTAAAAGAAATATTTGGCAAAATATTTTGAAAATTACTTACTTCAGTGACTTTAATGCTGAGGTTTATTACTTTGCAAAAGAAAAAACTCTTGGGAGGCCAAGGCAGGTGGATCACAAGGTCAGGAGATTGATACCACCCTGGCTAACACGGTGAAACCCTGTCTCTACCAAAAATACAAAAAATTAGCTTAAATATAATTTTGATACAAAATACATATTGTTATGAATGCAGAAAAATTTAAATTACATATTCTTTCATAAAAAACATAGTTTTCTATTTTTTATCCATCCCTAGATTTCTGTAATTGTATTTTTTAAATAGATGATATTTTTATAGCAATATAATTTTGTCTTTAGCTAGACATTTAAAACTTTCTCATTAGCAGCTGTTAGTGAATAAACTCTGAGAAGTTTTTTTCCCTCCGCAAGGATGCAATGAAAATGGAAGTTTCCAAGCACTACATCCATTTATAAGAATTTATTAGAAAAAAAATGAAGGCTAGTAACACAACAGTAGGTAACTTTTGTACAAATTACCACATGGTGTGTCCTTAGATATATTAGGAAAACGCATAATGTCTGGTGGGTGAATTGGAACAAGGCTTCCGCTTCTAACCTCAGGAGTTACAGGAAACAGGCTCCTCCCTCTGGGAAGACGCAGCCCCAAACTTGGGTGTTTGGCTTGATAAGAGGACAGTGCCTTCATCTTCATGCAAAGAAAAAAAGGCATTCCTTCCTCTAGGTAGAAACAGCCCCTTGTCAAGTTACACGTCTTGGCTTGAAGAGCCTGACCTACAATTCAGCACTACCTTTCTTATATAAGATAAGCACTTTTATACAATGCCCAGACTGTACAACCATTCACAGCAACCCTGTCTGGGAATATTAGCACAAATATAAATCCTAACCCACTTGAGCTACAGGCCCTCTGATCAATGATACTTATTATGTATTTTGAAATTATCTGAATCTATATGTTGTAAAACAAAAATAAAATCCTAAGCCACCCCTAAACCAACTAAACAGACCCCCTCTGGGCCAAGAGGACCCCAGAGAAACCTGAAAAACTGAATTCCTGGCACAAGGTGAAAGGAGGTCATACGAGTCTCATTATGTCTCCTCCCTTTTGGACTTTAGGTACAACTGACTAGTATTAACATTGAAATGAAGACCATAAGACTGATAAAACAGACTCTGTGTGGCAATAAGATACCAAATTCCAACCTAAGTCTGGTATAGCATCACATGACAGATAGCAGACCCTAAAGGAAATAAAAGTAAATTTTACCCCAAAATATATCTCTTGGACATATTGTGAAATGGTCCTGCAAATTCTTCTCTTGTGGGGTAAATCTGCATCTATAGAGAATCTCTTTCCCTTTCTAGGTCTTTCCCAGATCTAGGAGACATTAAATGAGAGTATGACGCTTTTTTATTTTATTTTTTGAGTTGGAATCTTGCTCTGTCGCCCAGGCTGGAGTGCAGTGGTGCAATCTTGGCTCACTGCAACCTCTGCCTCCCGGGTTCAAGAGATTCTCCTGCCTCTACAGGCGTGACACCACACCCAGCTAAGTTTTGTATTTTTAGTAGAGACGGGTTTTCAACATATTGGCCAGGATGTTCTCGATCTCTTGACCTTGTGATCTGCCTGCCTCAGCCTCCCAAAGTGCTGGGATTACAGGTGTGAGCCGCTGCACCCAGCCCTGACACTTTTTTAAGGTCTGAAAGAAGACATTTACCATCTACTCTCTCTGAAGGCTATAATCTGGAGGTTTCATCTACCTATCAAGGAGTTGGTCTCTACAACTGCCAATGTATTAACTCAAGCATTTCTTTCTACTGACTTCAAATCTTTAGATAGAACTTAACTCTTTCAACCAACTGCCAATCAGGAAATTTTTGAATCTATCTATGATTTGTAAGCCCCTACCTTCAATTTATCCTGCCTCTGTAGGCCAAACTGACATATACATCCCATATGTTAATTTATGTCTTTGCTTGTAAGTACTATTTCCCTAAAATGTATCACCTCAAACTGTAACCTGACCACCTTAGGCACACTTTCTAAGGACCTCTTGAGACTGTTCCTTGGGCCATAGTCAATTGGCCCAGAACAAACTGAATAAACCTCTTTAAATATTTCACAGTTTTACTGTTTTTGGTCAACAATATAACCACAAATCTTCTCAATATATCAATTTTAATTAGTTGAAATATCTGGATTTCAAAAATTTAGTGTTATTTTCTATGCAACGTGAACATTAAGCTAAAACTTTGCATGGTAATTAATTGCCTGAAAAAAAAACTCAAAAACATTTCAGTTCCTATTAAGAGCCTCTTTTCTGCTGGTAGGCATAGCAACTTAAGAGACTGTCTGTCTCTTCTCCTTTTCAGCTTCACTGAATTGATAAATTAGTAATTAATTTGATTCACCTCTTAAAACTAACATGAATGACAGGTTTTATTTTGTTAATAATTCAACTTTTAAAAACAGGATCAAAATTGCTAGATTACATTCATTGTAATATAACCTTTAAAAGGTAGTGTTAGGTAAGTTAAAGTTTGTAAAATTGTTTGTCCTTATAGGGCATAGTTTGAAATTACCAAGGAAGAAAATAGACACAGGAAAAATAGACAAAAGAACTACAGTAAGTATGTAAAAAGGTTTGAATTCAGTGGCAAGCTCAGATACATATACTAGTATCATATGAGCTGGTGTTTTTTGCTTATTATATCAATTAGTTTATCTGTTACTACATAATATTGATGATGATAAAGGAAACAAACTCATAAATAGTGTTTGTGGGAGCAAACTGGTTGATTCACCAGTTGTGGAAGACAAATTTGGCAATAGGAAAAGAAATTCTTCACATGTTGATACCACTTGATCTTTCAATTCCACTTCATGCTTAAGGATTTATTTAGATAAAAAAAATAGCAATAAATATCCATTAATAGACTGGCTAAGTCAATTGTGATATTCACTTAATGGACTACTATATAGCATATAAAATCTCTGCTGCAGAAAAAATGCATAAGAATATAATAATTTTTACGAACTTAAAAATTACAGAAATATATGTTTAAGATCAGGAGAGGCAGAAAGAAAGGCAAAAATAAATAAACAAATATTCGAAATAAATTATTTGTGTGGCTATTTTGTTTTTACTTTCTACAATCAACACGAGAGTCTGTTTTTTACTCTTCTCCCTCCCAACATGACAGAGTATACAGTTAAAAGTCTTTACTGATTTAATAACAAAACAATTGCATCTTGTAGTTTTAATGTTTATTTCTGAGCCTATCAGGAAGTATATACGTATGTGTATGTATACACAACGTAAACACACACACACACGCAGCATTGAGATCTGTGAACCGCCAAGGAAGGGGACTGACAAAGAATGGCCATAGAGGTTGAAGTAGAGCCTGAGGTGGGGAAGACTGGGAGGAAGTAACTTAAGGAAAGTGAGATGACATAGGAGAGGATCAAAAGCAAGTACAAGGCAGATTGTTGGACAGCAGGACACAACTCACAGAGACGTACCTGGAAAGGCCAAATGGAACGCCTACATCTTGGAAAGATCACTGGGAGTGAGGAGCAACGGTGAGCAATTTACTGGCTGACTCCTGGGCCTGTTACTCCTTGGTCAGAGTTCACCCCATAGGATATTAACTCCTCTGCTCTTTCCAGGTGTATTACTCAGCTCATCAAGGCATTCATGAGGGCACGTGCTTCTTTCCAGAAGTGGTGGTGGAAGCTACAGCTCCCATGGCAGGCACTGGGCAGGGATGGAGTCCTTCCTCCACAGAAGCAGACTGAGCAGTGATCAGAGGAAGGGAAGGAGGCCCATGGTGGGGACTGGGTCGGCTGCGCATGCGCGGTGCTTTTCCAGTGTCCATAGCCTGGTAGGAAGAATCCACCATGAAGGTGCAAGCAGAAGCAGGTCCAGCACCACCAGCTGCAGAACTATGAGCATGTGCCTAAGCGAATCTCTGCATGAGCAGAAGTGGAGTGGTGCATGTATCGAGAAAGATTGATCACCTACCAATCCGCTTTCAACCCACTTCACTATGCTTTTGTCCATAAGAAACACCAATTCTTCTTTCTATACATTCAGTGACTCTTCATCATTTGATAGACCGTAACTCCAGTCCCTTGTATAGCCTTGTATTGCCTTGGTTCTATGACCTCCTTCAAGGTTCCAGGCTTTACTTCAACCTCTATGGCCATTCTTTCTCAGTCCTTTTCCCTGGCCATTCTTTTTCTATACAATCCCTTAGATGTACAAGGTCTTCAAGACTCAGTGTTGGATCCTGTTTTCCTCTCACTATATACTCTTGCCCTAGATAACTTCATTCATTCTCATAGTTTCATACAATTTATATATTAACAAATCCTAAAAATACTTCAACAAAGATTTTTTTGAGCACCAAACCAATAGAGATAGCCACGTTCTGATAACTTCACTCAGTTGTCTAATCAACCATATCAACATGCTCAGAAATGGATTCTAAACGTTGCCATCTCACAGCTAAAATTCACCTTTCTGTCCAAGGTTTCTATCCTCCATTCATCCAGCTGCTGATCAAACTCAGAGGCATTCTCAAAACACTTTTCTGTGTCATAATGATTACCAAGTCCTCGACTTTACCTCTGAAATATATCTTATATATGACAATTTCTCCTATCTGCACTGTCACTGCCATTTCTCACCTGTTCTATAGCAATAGCATCATAACAGCCTTTTTGTTTATTGCTTGGCTTCCCAGTTCATCTCACCAGCCTCATTCTATACCACACTCCCCATTACTCAAAACAAAGAAACAAACAAACAAAATTCTGTTTATCATTTCCCTGGTCAGCCTTTGTCCTTTCCTCTCAAAAGACCTTGATGCATGTTGTTCCCTTCTCTTGGAAATGCTTTATTGTTTGACTCACACTCATCCTTCAGGTCTCAGCTTACACATCATTTTCCCAGAGGCCTCCCTTTACTTTTCACCCAATGCAAATTAGATTTTGCTATGTCACTGTCTCAGCAACCTCTACTCTTCCCTTGCAGCATGTATCATAACTTAGAATTGTTCATTTATTTATATTAGTATATATATATAAAATTTAAATATTTGAAATGCAATACATTCATAATTCAAAACTCAAAATGTATATTAAGATATACATGGAGAAGTCTTGTTTGCATCCCAATCTTCATCTACCCTGATCCACCTCCACCATTGGTTTTTGCCATTTTATTACCTCATTGTTTACTTCCTATGTAAATATGATTATATTTTCTTATTTAGGCCTTTTTAATTTACAACACCTAGAAATCTAATATGCTGTTCTAGATTTCAATACATTATTCAATTTAAAAATGTGTTAGAAATCATCCCACACCAATATATACTTTTCATTCTATTTTCACAGATGTATAGTATTACACATGTGGATTAACGTAGTTTATTCAACTATTGTTGGTTTTTTTCTATTACAAACAATGCTGCAATTAATAACCTTCACAAATACCACTTTGTATTTGTACAGGCGTTTGTACGGCATATATATTCTAGGCAGTTTGGTCAAACCAAAAATCACTTCTAATATTAGTATACATTTCTAGGTTTTCCCTAGGATTTCTACAATTTTGTGTTACCATCAATGACATGTGAGAGTGCTTATCTTCCCAGAGCCTTAAAAAATAAAAGTATCATTAAACTTCTGGTTTTTTACCAGTCTGGTAGGTGAGAAATTGAATTTCTGTAGATTGAATGTGAAATATTTTTTATTAGCTAGAAGTGTGCTCAGTTATCTTTTTTGTTAAAGGATCCACTAGTCTTACTTATTTTTCTTTCAACTATCAGTTTATATCTTTGGCTCATTTTTCTATCAGGTTGTTAATTTTTTCCTTTTGTTATTTTTTTCAAGAGTTCTTTACATACAGGAGGATTAGACTGTGTCACTGATATGTCACAAATATTGTTTCTTTGCTTTTATCTTTTTTTGACTTTTTTCTACCAAGCAGAATTTGTCTGTTTTCAGTTTTCTAACTGTTAAATCTATGAATCATTTATTTGGGGTATCTGGATACTGAGTCACAATTAGAATGGCTCTCCCCAATCTAAGATTTCTTCCCTATTTTCTTTTGTAACTCCTATCTTCTTTTGTTTTTTAACATTTAAATCTCTGATTCATTTGGAGGTTATCCTAATGTCAATGGATGTATGAATTCAAATTTTTCTTTATCTACGTAACCATTCAGTTGTCCCAACACCATTTATTAAGAGCTAATTTGCACTCTTCCACTGATTTCAGAGTCATCTTTATGATATGCCACATTCTAATAAGTTTTGGGATCTCTTTCTGGACATTCTCATATCATATGTATGGCTATTTAAGGCCTGCTTTCTTGCTAGACTCTAAGAATTAAGGGAGTTAGGACTGTGTCTGTTTAGTTTTGCCTGTGTCCCAAGAGTTTATAATAGTGCCTGGCACATGTAGGCCCTAAATGCTTATTTGCTGTATTTGTTGAATGTTTATAAAGTTCTAGGAGAATGTTTCCCATTTCTCCACAAATAGGTTTAAAGATTACTTAATATTTTTAATAATGAATATTTTACAGAAAATGGAAATAAAAATGGGCAATAGATAATATACAACATTAGTTACTTCTATTTGAAATACATAACATTTTCTCTTAAGTGAAATATTAATATATTTTAACCAAAAACATTTAATTTTATATATCTATATGTTAATAGGAATCAGAGAATATTGAAATGTTAACATCTCAGGAACACTTATATTAAGCACAAACAGGATAAATCAATTGCATATACAGTAAACACTGGGATTTGCAGATGCAATGTTGATTTTTTCACACATATTTAAGTAACCCAAGAGATCTAAAATATTCAGTAAGTTGCAATATTTTGGGGACACATGATTTTGAAATGAAAACATTAGTATATGAAAGCAGATAATCTAGTTTAAGCCTAAGCCCACCCTTGAGGCCCAGTATCTGCTTTGCAATGAGACTTTACTGTTCTTTTGTTGATGTTTGACTTCACTTGATACAATTACACTAAGTAGGGCATTCACTCCTTTATACTGAGGAGAAAATTCAGACAATTTTTAATTATAGGTGGCAAAGAATTTGGGCATTTCCAAAGACCTCAATACATTCTTCTTGCAAATGTCAATAATCTACCATATTTTAAAAGTGCAGCATTCCATTTTAAAGTTATTGATACATTCAGATAAATTTATTTCATTCTTCATTGGCAAAGCAGCAGCATTAACAGCAAAACAGCACTCAACTTCAACAGTATGCAAGTACATCCTCAAAATTAAATATTAATGAGACAGTAACTAAATGTTAAATACTGACAACACATTTAATAGCAGTTTTAATTATATAAAAAATAACAGTTCAAGATCTATCTCCTCTATTTAGCAAATGATGCTATATTTCCCTGCTCCTTACTATTGGAATAACAATGTATGGGGGGCATTTTTCAAATATGTTAAACTTAAAATACTTAATTCTATCCAATGCAAACTCTTTAAGAATGAAAGATTCTGTGATATACTCTTACTACATACTGCTCAGGATTTTAAAAGTGATATAGTACTGGAATAAGAGAGAGCTAGGATTTAATCCAACTGTTAACATGAATTTACTATATTATTACACTGAATAAATTTGTACGAGTCACACAGCTTCTCTGGTTATCTGTTACACCTGCAAAATGAGGGGAATTTATAATGACTTCTCTATAAACCATTCAGGTTTTAAATAATCCATTATCTATCTCTAAGCATATCACTCTTTATTGCTATCTAGATGACAATTTTAACTGATCACATTTACCAGATTAAGGAGTACATATTAAAGGGTACCTTAATTTGGATAGCTATAGCAGACTTTGCAAATTAAGAAAAAAAGAGCTACTGAGTGAAATTGAAGGAATTTTGCAAAATAACCTTCCAGTTGATGAGAATATACTGTATCTGCACCAAGTTGTAATTAAATACATAACAGCATTTCAGCTGAACAACTTACAGTCATTTGATTTTCTAAAATAGAGTAAAGCAATAAATTTAATTTTGCTATTGAAACTGTATATATTTTGTACAAATTGCTAAATTTCCACATTCCAAGTCTGAAAAATACAGTATTGTTAAACAGCATAAATCTGCCACATGCCTAAGTAATAGCAATAAAAGTTAATTCTATCTGACGTTATGATGTTGTATAGAGCTCTTGGAACCCAAGGGTTTAATTCCACTGGCACGTACAGTCTATGGGTTCCTGGAGAGTGTACATAATTTCAGTGCCATTTCCTGAGCAATACAGAGGCACAGACAAGTTTCGTACTCCATTTTCACGACAACACTTGCAGAATCTTAGGTGACTTTCAATATTGATGTTATATATGGTAGCTGATGGGCATTTGCCGTCACAAGATGCAACATTTATCTGTAAGAAGTGACAATGAGAAAAAAAGTCTTAAACTTTTAAAAGTACTGGTTATTATTTGATTCCACTAAGAAAATCTGATGAAAATCTTTCTTCCTCATCACTCCAACCCTCAAGCTTCTGCATGTTGCAAGATCGTAAAAAACAATAAATGAAACATCAGTCACATAAGTCAAAGGGACGTTTCATGGCAATGCTCAACATAGCATTCAAAGCATTAAATGTGCACACATAACTCAACATAAATCTATATGGAATATGTTAATCACAATATAGTTAATCTATTGTAACCTGTGTCATATCATGGCTCAAGCACACTGCAGGTCATATTAAAAGGGACAAAGTTAGAAGCAGAACTCTTTTTGCTGAGTAAAATTGCATAGTGAAGACAACATGTAGTCAAATACATTTAGATTCAATTTCTATCCCTCTGGATTGCAACCATCATTCAGAACTGCTGATTATGCTAAGAATAATTCATACTTCTTCACAAACAGAATATTGCAACATTAGAATGTAGGAATAATCTCAGTTAAATATTGTTAAGCGTTGGCAGTTTGTTGGCTTACAAACTTCTTTCTGTAACACACATACTTTCTAAAAAGATGTGTGCATTTATGTAGCAAATGACATTTTTCCACTTACAGGGCTTTGGCTCATACAGTCCTGTTTCCTTATGACCGATTTAATGATCACTTTCTGGCATATTCTTTCTTCTCGTTTGCCTGATAAAATATAAAATGTATTTATTCATCAAAGGCCTACGTTAAATTGTTTCTTAAATTAAATATATGAATATATTTACAGTTGAAAATTGGTGTATTTATATAAAATATATTCCAGTATTGAAAGATATTTAAAACTTCTCTCTTACATTTTTATGTGCAATATTTATTTTCACCTTCTAAATAGATTTTCTTATATTTTCTGGCTTTACACTTATTGATTTCCACTTTATATCTTATTGTCTTAGAATAATTATCACAATCAGAAATCAGAAATATTCCACACATGTAATAATGCTAACATCAACCTGTGTGTGGCATATATGTGTTTAAAATAATTTTTGGAATAAACCATAAAGTGTATAAGTAGATATATGCATATGTAATTAATGCATAACTACATATATACATCAATTTTAAAATAAAAATTGAGAGATTTAAAACCACATTATCTTAATGGACATTAATATAAAATAATGCAAAATTTTAATAGAATCACTTATCAACCATATTGAAGTGTATGGATGAGTCATACTTGATTTTATGGCTCTGAAATGGTCTTTTATAATTTCAAATGAAAACACTTTGTATGCATTCATGATATCTTAATATGTGTCTGTGTGTGTAATGGATTATCACGTGCTATTACATGCAAGCATCTATATTTAATGATGTATAATAGTGGATGTAATCCCTGAATCAAGATACAAAAACCAAGGTTCTCTCTATTCCAACTTGCTTTGTTACTTTAGGAAAATCACTGAATTATCCTGCTGAGTTTCCTTACTTACAAAAGAGTGAACTTATATCCCAATTTTAAAATACATTTAGCCATGAAATCCTAATTTAAAACAATCTCAACATGTAAAATAGATAAAGATTAAGCTACTCTGCTTGAAGGAGAGATGGGTAGCTAAGATTGACTGAAGGGTTACTGTCCTCAAGGTCACTCATGACCTCCAAATTGCTAAATTTCAAGATCATCTCTCAGTTCTCACCCTATCTGACTTCTCAGCAGTATTTGACCCAGTCCATCACTCTGTCCTCTTTTTTTTAAATTTTATTATTATTATACTTTAAGTTTTAGGGTACATGTGCACAACACACTCTTTAATGCACCCTCCATACTTGGCTTCCTGAGCTCACCTGGTTTGGTTTTCATCCTATCTCACTCATGGCTCCTCCTCAGTCTCCTATGCTGGTTCTATCTCTTTTCACTAACCTCTTGCTCATGGTGTGACTCGAGGCTCAGTGCTGTTGGTTGAGTGCAGGCTGTTCTGCCCCTTATGGTGCTTTCACTCAGTGATTATTTCCTTAGCCCTTCCATTCTTACGTAAGTTCAAGAATAAAGAATAGTCAATGAAAAAAATCATCTTTACCATGACCTATAAGATGCCTCACCCTCTTCTTTCTATCACCTTCCTCCTCTCACTTTCCGTGCAATAGCCACATTTTGCTATTTCCTCCACTTTGAACACTCTTCACCATGTGGGTGGCTTCCCAAGGACACTCAGTCTCTACTCAAATGACGCCTCATCACCAAGGCATTTTCTAAGCCCCCGCTTAAGTTAGCAACCCAGCTCCTCTCATTCTCCATTCCTTTTATTCTACATTATTTTTCTTTATACCACTCATCACTAAATGACATATTAGAATATATTTATGGGTTCAGTGTTTCTTCCCCTTCTTGATAATGAGCACACTCCATGCAGACATTGCTTCATTCACTATTATGGTCCCAGTGGCTAAAAAGATGTTTGTCATGTAGGCACCCAGTAAAAACCCAACGAGTTAATTCATTCAGTAAATGAAACCAGGGCAGCAATAATTTATCATTAGCTGAGTTTGTTTGTACCAAGAGTCATTTCTAATTCATTCCTCAAAAACTTTATTGTAACAGATTTTATTCAACACAGAGCCTGCAATAGTATCCAACCTCCACAATCTCTTCAACACAGCCTAGTCTTCAGAAAGCAAAGGCGGCAGGAAAGGGTTTTCTAATATGCCAGCAGAAACTACATTACGAGTCCTTTCACGTCAGATGAGAGAAACTGAAGTGGCTTGTTATTATTCTGCAACTTCAAAGAACTTAGCAGAGTTGAAAGATCCTGGGCCCAGATACTGGACAGGCCTAAATTTATTATTTACTACTATGATCAGCTTCTCTCTGAACCTTCTATTTCTCATCTGTAGGGAAAACATACCTGCCTTCCAGAACTGTTGTGAGGATTAGGTGTGGTCCTGTCAGCAATGTGCTTAATAGAGTGTCAGTGTGTGGCAGGCCATAGTGGTCATTCATATGATTAGTCACAGAGATATTCCCCTGTCTGCCCTGAGATAACATAATTGTACTCACTTCCCTAATAATTAACATGGGGATATAGAAGCCAGGGCCTTAACATTGCCATGTGACTCTATTCCTGCATCTCATACCTAAGGAAGAGTCTAGAATCTGAAGAAGAAGATGGAAAAAAAAAAGTGAAATCTTAAATTTCCTCATATTCTAAAGCTAAATTTCATTCCTTGAGCCCCTGATACAATGACTATTTGATTCATATTAGTTTATATTTGATTTAGAGAATTCTGAATGAAAACGTGCTTATTTCTAATGAACAGAATGTTTTTAATCAGTGTGTATCTAATTAAAGCCTTAGTAATTAAAAATATATAGGTTATATTATACTATCCCTAAAAGTCTTTGCAATATAATTATCATGGGTTGAATTGTGTCTTAAAATGCCTGTGTATCTTAGAATGTGATCTTATTTGGACACAAGATCTTTGCAGGGATAACTGAGCAAAAATGAGATCATTAGGAGGTGCTAATTCAATATTACTGGTGTTCATGTAAAAAGTGGAAATCTGGAGTTAGACACACATACAGGAAAAACAACATGTGAGCATGAAGATGGCCATCTACATGCCAAGGAAAGAGGTTTGGAGCAGATCTCTCTCTCATAATACCTCCAAGGAATGAGCCCTGCTGACATCTTGGTTTTGGAGTCCTAATCTCCATAAATTTCTATTTCCAACCACTTTTTGGTTTGTTACAGCAGCCCTGCAAACTAATATCATAACAAATTAGATGTCAGGCCATCCTGTTGGACTTTTTTGCTTGTTGTCGGTGTGTATGTGTGCATTGAGTTTGGCTTTTTAGACATTATGTAAATAAAAATTCAGTCATTCTAGCCCTGCCACTTCAGCAGAGCTTATCATTCAGCCTCTGCCCTCTCCTAAAACTTGTCCTGGCAATGTTCCAGAATACCATGAAGAGTTAAGAAGCAGGACGGGAAATGAGACCCGCAGTAGATTCCTAGCATTATCACTTACAAGAGGTATGACTTGGACAAATTATTTAACGCCACTAAGTGGAAAATCAAGCTAATGTCAGAACCTATTTCATTGGATTTTGGTGGTAATAAATTATAATATATTACATATTATATATTGTATATAGATAGTATATATTACATAGTATTTGTATTAATATTTTAATACATTCTAATATTCTGTTCAGTATGACTCTACATATCTAAAAATATAAGACTACTCTTACATATTTATGGGATTTAGTCTTTCATGAAAGAAATTCAGAAATCTTCCTCAAGATGTATGTCAGTTCATATCTAAGAATCTGGCCCTATACCACAGTTTGTTTGTTTGTTTGTTTGTTTGTTTGTTTGTTTGTTTTGGAGACAGAGTCTAGCTCTGTCACCAGGCTGGAGTGCAGTGGCGTGATCTTGGCTCACTGTAACCTCCGCCTCTCGGGTTCAAGTGATTCTCCTGCCTCAGCCTCCCAAGTAGCTGGGATCACAGGCACATGCTGCTATGTCCAGCTAATTTTTGTATTTTTAGTAGAGACGGGGTTTCACCATGTTGGCCAGGATGGTCTCGATCTTCTGACCTTGTGATCCACCCAACTTGGCCTCCCAAAGTGCTGTGATTACAGCATGGTATTATTAAACTGAACTTTGTTGTGCCCCTTTCCTAAAAGCTTCTTTAAATTTTAAAATTACTGTCTATGCTAATTTTCTCAAAATTTCTATTTTTATATTGAGATAAATTCACAAACACTTTAAAAAGAAAAAATAAATGTGGTTTCATGGAAAACACTCTATTCTATTTCAGTCCTTAAAATTATTCAAAATTAGTATGAAATAGTAATCCCAGCACTTTGGGAGGCCGAAGTGGGCAGATCACTTGAGGCCAGGAGTTTGAGGCCAACCTGGCCAACACTGAAACCCCATCTCTACTAAAAATATAAAAATTAGCCGGACGTGATGGCGCATGCGTGTAATCCCAGCTACTCAGGAGGCTGAGGCATGAGAATTGCTTGGACCCGGCAGGAAGAGGTTGCAGTGAGCTAAGATCATGCCACTACGCCCCGGCCTGGGCAATAGAGCAAAACTCCGTCTCACTAAAAAAAAAACAATTACTATGAAATAAACCTTATAATCCAAGCTAATAAAAAATATATTGCATTCAGATAGCTTTAATTATGAAAATAATTATGAGAACTTTTATGAAAAGGATATAAATATTATTTACTAAAATATTATCCAAATTTATTGTACAAAACTATATACTTACTCAAACAGGTTTGAAAAATACTGCACCCATATGTTGTTTTTGGAGTCACAATGCCATTCTAACTGTAATCTACTTGTTTAAGTTCAGCATGGTTCAAACAAATATGATCACAAAACATTTTTAAATTTTAAATATACTGAAATCTTATGAAATACCTTTTGTAATATGCCACAATAAAAAAATATTTAAATTAAAATTAATCTAAATGCAAACACTTTCTTTACACTCCAGAAGTTAAAGACTAATTTACAAAATTATTAACCATATGATACAAAAACCTTTAAGTTAAAGACTAAATTACAAAATTATTAACCATATGATACAAAAAACATACGATACAAAAATATTTTATAAAATTTGTTTCTCTCTTTGCATCATAGGAATTGAATTTTGTGAGAAAAACCATAATCACTATGAGCAATTAAAACTAATCTATCAAGTAAATGCATGGAATATGCTCTCACTTACAGATCTTGCAACAGCCTTCATTATAAAGCTTCACAATCCCTTCATTCTAGAAAGAGAAAAAAGCAATAAAGTCAAAGAATATGGTGTTCTTCCATGTTCTCTTGTACTAGAAAAAGAAAACTAACTTTTCTAAAACTTTTATCAAATACCACAAAGCCTTCATAGAAAAATAGTTGGAATTTAACTATTACTAAAAAGAACTTGTTTTTAAAATCTGGAGTAGATATTTTGTTTAAAATTACATTATTTATACATTGGTACTATGGAAAAGAGTGTAAAAGGATTATTCTACTTAAAAGGACACTTTAAATGCCACAAAATATTCTTACTAAAACAAAATAATAACAGCTATTCTAAATAATGACCATTATATATTTTCAACTCCTTGAAATAACCTAAACTACTTCCATTTGACTTGAGTTTCTGAATATAACTGAATGTTAAAATTGTACATCTTTTTCTTTGATAGTTTTTATGAAAAAATATTTCCTTCCTTGGAAGGACTCTTGTCTAAGACTAAATTTTTACAAGAATTACTAATTGCTTTAGCAACCTACTAACTGCAATTGAAATAAGAGAATGATTTACGCTATAAATATTAGTCTGTGAAACAAGATGATGCCCAAGTTTTTTCCAGAGCTGAAATTCTGTGACTTTAGTACGTGTTATATCTAGCTAGCCAGCCAGCCGTCATCATTGAAAAGGTACATCCTGAAAAAAAATCAATGAGACTAGACTGTACTATTTCTCTATACAACGGAACAAAGCCTAGTTTTCATTAGGAATTATTATTGTCTAAATAAATAAAGCTACAAAAATCTTGCAAAATAAAAATTATATTATGTTCACAAATCTACTTTTCCAGTAAACTCTTCTCTGAAAGAATAGGGAAATTGATAGAGCAAAACATAAGAATAGGCAATCCTGTGACTTGTACTAAATTTTTCAGTGACCTGTGACCAGAAAAGCTAGGGCAAACATCATACAGGCCAGCATGCATTACAGTTGAATGACATCAAAAATCTCACTGTTTGTTTAAGAAAGAAAATTGGCCAAGCTCTGATTCCTTAGCTTATTAATCCATATTAAAGGGAAGGCCAAGTCTGCTGACCAAATGATTTTTCTATAATCTTTGGATCTACAGATAAAAACCCAACGATTGCACAGTATCTATTCAAGACAGAATTACCTGGAACGCCGTATATAACTCAAAATTTCAAATGGGAAAAATAGAACAGAGCTTTTATTCATTCATGAAAATAACACATTCGCCATTATGTATAAGCCACAATGAAAGTATGACCTTAGAAAATATCAATGTGTATTTTCTAAATTATATAATAATAAATTTTCTTAGATACAACAAAGTACAAACCATTTTGCATTCAGTCTCATTAAAAGGGGGACAGACCATTGTGTAGTTCAGAATTATTGCTCCTTCATCAGTTTTAACACATTCATATGTGGTGCAATTGTAGTGCCAGGTACTCCCTACCTAAAAATCAAAAAGAAAGTTACTATTTAGCATATTAAAATCTGCTGTATTTATTAAGTACAATATTATTCTATTGAATAAAAAGTCAAATCAAGATGCAAAGGCTTCTTGTGACACAAAATGTTCCATCTGAAAATGACCCTAAGTTTATCTAAAATGATTAAAAATACATACACGTGTATAGTGTATACTTATCTAAAATGATAAAAATACATACATATGTATAGTGTGTTTGTATATGCTAGGTTTCATACTAGAACTGAGAGGTAAATGTGAAATAAAACAATAGAGAGTGAAGAAGCAAATAGGTATCTGTTTCTACTACAAAATTATCTAATTTAACCAAGTGTCAAAGGTCTTGCTCTAATATTTCCTCACTAATTATAAAACAACAAATCATATTACTTATATACCTCCTTCCTTGAGACGTGTTTATTCTTCCTTCTACTCCCTTATTGCCAAAAAGTTTAAAGAAATATTTAAATAACAGTGTTTATTGGCTTGTGATTCTAATTGTGTATACCCTACATTATTTTAAAATTTATCCCTATTCTTTCAAGAAATATTTAAATATAATAACCATTTCATTCCTGATTTCAGAATTTCTATTTAAAAGTCAGTTGAAATAATTGTTAATCTATATTTTTATTTTATAACTCACATTTAAAAAATAAAAGTAGTTAATGTCAGCATTACTTCATCATTTAGGCAAAAAGGAAAATTCATAAAAGAGATGGAAAATTCGTCTCTTTTTCATTTTATTCTACTTTATTTCAAGACGGTTGGCCATGGTGGGGGCATGTTGTTCTAGGCCTTCTCAATTTCTCATAGATTTTACTTTAAATTAATTAAGGCCATTCTCTTAATAAATTTGTACATCAGCCCAGGCCGCAAGCTATGGTGCAGAAGGCTACATTTTTGAATCTCAAGTTACTTTTCGTGCTGCTGGACAAATTGACTTAATTCTGTGCAAGCAAACACTTTGTATCATAAGGCTTTTTATTGCCACTCTATTCTTACTACTATTCATGATTCAAACATCTACCCCTGTTCTGAATCAGGATGTTGACACTTTATGGTTATTTTCAGATGAACAGTAACTGCTACACTCTTAAAAGCACTTAAGGAAAGTGTAAGCATGTCCTAAATAGTCAACCATTTAACCTGGGAAAACACAGGCTTTCCTGTTTAATCAAGTATCAGGCCAATCTATAGATATAATCTTAAAGGATTTTCAGCAGTAATGAAGACAGTTTGGGAAAGGAGAAGGCACTTTAAAGACATGAAACCTTACATTACACGCTCTTAGATATTTTTAAACATAATAAGCTCATTGGATTCAGGTATTTTTGTCTTTGCATTTAAAAAAATATGTGTTTCTAATTTGTTTGCATATTTAATTATGTCAAAGCTGAGAAATTCATGAGTTAAATTTATAAATGTCATTTGCAACCAAATGAAGTATTTATTTTTGAAAAGAAAGGGTGAAGGAACAAATACTGATTTGTACATAATAAAAATATATGTGTGTATTATACATATATATATTTTTTTCCTCCTTGACACTACTTTCTCACCATATCAAGTGTATTTTTGTACTTTATATATAGGTTAGAAAAATGTCAATTGTCTATTCCAAAGAATTCTATCTCTGTAATAGATTATATTTATGCTAATCTGTTGATACCTCTGTTAATTTGCTTTAAGAGATAGAATTATATTTTTGTAAGTTGCAAAAAAAAAAAAAAAATAGTAGTTGTCAAACTTTGGCTTGAAGATTCCTTACAGATCAGTAAAGAATTCTGATGAACCTGACTATTTTCTTGTCTCTAGATTCTAATTTTATGTGTGGCTTAAGGTCTTCCATGAACCTCAATTAGAAAAGATCTGTAAATATTCAAATTCAAGAAACAGTAATATCTAATTTATCTGAAATCAAAAATCAGCTGTCACATAAAAATATTAATTGTTCCTTTCTTTCACGATCAGCATTTCCCAAAGCCTATTTCTTACATCTAGAAAAAAGGAGTGAAGATCTATGATAAAATAAGTTTGAGTCACAAGTTAAGCATTTTTCTTTACAACATAAATTATCAGATACTTCAAAATGTAACAAATGTAACTGTGTCTTGTGTGCTGTAGGTGTACTGTGTTTATTGTATGCAGTGCAGTGTGTGTGGGGGGGGACATTTTCCAAACTTTGACTCAAGAACTCCTCCTTCAGAAAATAGCACAGAGCATTACTCTCCATGAAACATACCGCGTATACAACTGATGTTCCATTTTCCATGTGAAATTTGCAGGATACATTTTTGCAGGTACCACAACAACCATAATCACTTGGGGATGGAGTATATACCTGGTGCTGCATATAATGATATTAGATTAGCGACACCATATCAATATTTTTAATGAATTACTTCTGGAGAGTTATTTCTTCCAAACATAACTACAAGCTCTTTCCAGACAACTGTAAGGATTTCTAAGGTTGAATATGAGAAGCTTCCAATAATAATTGACTTTATATGGTTATATTAGAAGTGAGATAGATGTTAACCTTTACTTCTAACAGCCAAATTCATCAAGCAGGTTTAACAACCTCAGGTAAGGCAACCTGGCAAGCTGTAGATAATAAGACTCCTGAAGTTCAAGGTTATGCACAGGAAAGTGAAAGTCTGTGTTTTATTGATATATTACAAAATAGTAGACTATTGAAGAACTATATAATATATATTTTAAACTAATGGAGTATTCACCATTTCAAATTCTATAACTCTGCCATTTTTGAATGCATTAACTCTCACCAGAATAAATTACAAGGAATACTTACAACATCACATTTTTTTGAACAATTCACCAGTGTAAAATTCAGAGTGTGAAAGCCCGTATGGTTATCTTTTTCTTCCAGACACTCTATAGCATAACAAAAGTCTTCTTCCAAATACTTTATCATGGATTGTCCAGGATTCAATACTGATACTTCTTGAAATACACACACATCATCCTTTTCTAAGAACAGAAAACATAGTCAATAAGAAAATATACTGTTGAGTTTTGTACTAATCCATCGTTGGAACTTATATTTGAGTCTATGTTTTCATTGCGATGTGCCAATTTTTCAAAACTAATGAAGATCTTCATATTTACGTATTTTAATGGCCCAATATTTACTTAAAAATGTAGTACACTATTCCTTAACATAAAATAAAAATTCATCTATAAAATCAACTGCTGTTTAATGATTGAACTTCCTCCAAAAGCTATACTTTATAGCAAGTTTAGAATATGAGCTCTTGGCCAGGCACAGTGGCTCATGCCTATAATCCCAGTACTTTGTGAGGCCAAAGTGAGAGGATTGCTAGAGACCAGAAGTTTGAGACCAGCCTGGGAAACATAGCAAGACCCCATTTCCAAAAAAAAAAAAAAAAAGCTGGGTATGGTGGTGCATGTCTGTAGTACAAGCTACTCAGGCAGTTAAGGTGGAAGGATTGCCTGAGCCCAGAAGTTTGAGGCTGCAGTGGGCTAGGATGGGGCCACTATATTCCAGCCTGGGTAACAGAGCAACTCTGTCTTAATAAAAATACATTAATAATAATAATACTAATATAATGGGCATAACATCATACTTTTTAGATGCCTATATTTTTAAATTAAATGTAGACATATTAAAAAGAGCCTAATGCCCACTGTAAAATTCTCTGAGGCCTCTGAAAAAATATTTATATTTCTGTTCTGTTATTCAGTTCTCAGAACATTTAGAGATATTACAAAAGAAGAAATTGAAACATAATAACACATTTTTATACTCAAATACTGGCAAATGGCTTAAAATGTATGTGTCTCAAAAATGAGATTTTTAACTTATTAATAGTGAAAAAACAGATACTAATGATATTCATTTATAATTTAAAAGTTACAAAAGACATAGTTACCACAGAGATACTGTATGCATCCACAATCACTCTGGAAGTTATGGTCTATTGCAGTAAATTCTCCCTATTGAAAATATACTACTATTACTTATCATTTAGCTTATTTTATATATATATATATATATAACCTATATATATAAAACAATTGATATATATATATACACACACACACACATACTCAGTGATAACATCTAATAAGTCCCTTATCACACAGCCAGACACTTTAAAATCATATTGTTTGATTCTGAGCTTCTGTAGGGCAATCAAAGACAACATTTGCCAACCTTAGGAACTTTGCTTCATGGAAATGTTCTTGATCTGCTCTACCAAGGCAGCCTAGGGTTCTGATGTCTGCATCTGCACAAGGCTGCTATAGTATACACATCAGCAACACAATGAGTATAGTACAGTGGTTAATAGCACAGTCTTAGGAATGGAACTGCCTTTGCACCAATCCTGGCTCCATAACTTACTAACTTTTTGATTTAGGGCACATTACTTAATCAATCTGCTCCTCACTTCCCTTATCTGCAATATGGGGATAATAATACAGCCTGCCTCTTAGGATTGTTGAGAGAAATAAATGGATCAATATATGTAAAGAGTTCAGAATAGGACTGACACACAGAAAGTCCTGTAGAGCATTTTGCTGTTAGTACATTGTTACTATGACAGATGCTCAAACTTTGCCCTATCAGGACTGACAAAGATTCTTCCCACCAAATACAGGACCAGGCTTAAAGTTTCAAGAATTGTGTCTAAAGCATCAACTTTTCCTGGATGCATTTAGTTTTCATATGACATCAGTAATAAAATGAATTTTATTCTTGACATAAATAAATGATTCCAATACATTCACATAAAAGGCATTTTTCCTCATAAGCTAATAATGTCTTGCTTTTTATAGTGCCTTGTAAGTTGTAAAGTAGTCTTATGGACACTAATTCATTTGATATTTCAGGACTTTAGTCATTAGACAATTCCAATGGGACTGGAAATAAATGTTAGAATAATGGAGCTAAAAATAATAATAAATCGAATTCTTCCAGTGCATGACTACTCCAAATACTTTAAAAAGATGGCATTAGGCTTACACTAACTCTTTTAGGTAACATATGTACCTGTTTTTTAATAGTTAAAGCCATAATGTTAACTCTGTTTCCTTGAGCTTAGGCTTAAATCTTCTATCCTTCTCTTCTATGCTCATTTCCTTTCAGATCTTATCCACGTATTCAATTATGCTTTTATTCTAAGTTGCAAATTTGACCAAAAGGAAATACCTCTTTAATTGCTCTACCAATTCTAAATATTTACCTGAAAAAATATGGTAATTTTTACTCCCAAATGAACATCCCTCTCCTGTAAAGTCTGCAACAAAATCACTTTAGGCTGCTTCCACTTTGGGTTATTATGAAGAGTGCTGCTATGAACATTCGAGTATAAGTTTTTATGTGGACATATGTTTTCATTTCTCATCAGTACATATTTAGGAGTGAAATTGTTGTGTTATATAATAACTCCATGTTTACCTTTCTGAGTAATAGCCAAGGTGTTTTCCAAAGCAGCTGCACAATTTTACACTGCCACCAGTAGTGTATAAGGGTTTCCATTTCTCCACAGCCTTGTAAATGTGTTATTTTTTGTCTTTTTAGTGAGTTAATATAATGGGTTAATATACATGGAGGGTTATTTATATTCAGGCAAGATGTGAAGTGGTATCTCACTATAGTTCTGATTTGTATTTAAATGATACTTAACGATGTTAAGCATCTTCTCATGTGCTGTTGGTCATCTTGGATAAATGTCCAAGATAAATATCCAAATGTTGACATTTGGATAAATGTCAAGGTATATCCATACAATGGAATATTATTAACAACAAAGGACTGAAGTAGTGACACATGCAGCAACACGGATTAACCTTCAAAATATTATGCTAAGTAAAAAGAGCCAGACACAAAGACCACATATTATACAATTCTCTTTATAGGAAATACCAAGAACAGAAATACATGGAGAGACAGAAAGTAGAGTAGAGATTTCTGAGGGCTGGAGAGTTTGGAGAGAAATGAGGAACGACTGCAATAGGTACAGGGTTTCTTTTTGGATTGATGAAATTCTTCTAAAATTGATTGTGTTGATGGTTGTGCAACTCAGTGAATATACTAAAAGCCATTGAACTGTACACTTTAAATGGATGTATTGTATGTTATGTGAATTTAATTCAATAAAGTTATTATTTTAAAAAAATGCAAAGGCCTAACATACATTTTTCAGGTTGAAACACATTCGTCTATGTGAACAAACTAATGTGATATTTTTTAAAATCACCTTAGTCACTGAAACAAACATTAGCCACTATTCAGAGTGAGTACTCAGGAACAATGAGTCAGATAAATGCTTGTGTAAAGCCACGAATGTTAAAACTAGATCATCATGGATGAAGGGTTATGTATATTTGGGTAAGATGTTCAAGGATATTAAAGCTACTAGTTACGTTCTGTGTGTCTAGCACAATGCTAATAATATAAAAGTCATTTTAAAATTCTTGGAATACTGAATATCAAAATATGATTCATAATTAATATTCAGACATTGAGGGTTGAGTTGGAAATAAGCTAGATGGGCCAGCATCTAGCACAAATGCTGGGGAGGGAAAACACAAGAAAAGAGAAAGTAGAGACTGGTAGAAATCCACTTGGGAAAAAATAAATAAATAAATAAAAAACAGAGCTAAGGTCACAACCAGACCAAGGTTAATGTATGAACATAGAGACTGCTACTCCAAAAAGCTTCAAAGCATCTAGAACACAGGAAGTATAAAATCCCATAGGAGGAAAGGCTAGGTTTTTCTTGTTACATTGGAAGTTGTTGAAATGACTCAAGATGCTATTTTGCTTTTTCCAGGCCAAAAAAATAAGAGGAGCTCTGAATGAGGCTGGTTACAAGTCAAATACCAGGACCTCTACTCTCAGCTGCTCCACTGGCCATTGTAATGTTTGTCCAAGGACCTAGTAATCTTGGATTCTTGGTGTGCAAGACTTGAAACCTTCAAGTTTTTAAATCAATTTCTCTCTCTCTCTTTCTCTCTCTCTTCCCACTCCCCAACCCCCAACACATTTGTTCAACTTGTTACAAAAGGCCAGTCTTTCATTTTGCCCTCCTAAATTCACACCAACCTCACAATAGTGAAGATGTTCATTCGTAAATGGCTATACCAGTCTCTTTGCTGATCTCCTGCCCTCTAATGTTTTAGTGCTCATATCCTGCTATGCACAAATAGAAACATCTCCCTCAAACACCATTTTCATCATGATTTTCATCCTATACAGGACTCTTTCCATCTCCTATCATATAAAATTTGCACAGAGCTCCTCAGGGTAGGATTGTGTTTTTTCAAGTGTCTGGCATGATGACTGCCCATAACTTATCTTCAACAAATGTTGGTTGAAGAAATAAATGAAAATAATAATTGAATAAATAAAATCTGAATTCCTCAGCCTTGCCTTTAAAGCCCTCTTGGCCAGGTGCAGTGGCTCACACCTCTAATGCTAGCACTTTGGGAGGCCAAGGCGGGAGGATCACTTGAGCCTAGGAGTTCAATGATGCTATGATTGTGCCACTGCATTTCAGTCTAAGCAACAGAGACAGACTCTGTCTCTAGAAAATAAAAATAAAAAATAAAACCCTCCCCAAATATACCAATTTGTATAGATTTTTATATCTCATTCTTCCTTCAGTTAGCTATTTCTCTAGGTGAGAGAGAGGGTTTTATGGTCATTATTTTTCAGCATACATCTATTACCTCATAGCTTTGTGAATTTACTTCCGTTTCTATTAGCCCCTGTCCGAAATAGTTCAACTGCTTTCATCCATTATTGTTAACCTATCACATTCTTCCAAGCTTTTCTTGATGGTTGCCATCTCTGGAAACTTCTTCATAATGATCTCTATAATGTGATTAACATTCTGAGCATCATGTTTAATTTGTAATCAAATATAACAAAATAATTTAAGAAATTAAGTTTTAATGTGCTCCCCAAATTTTATTGTTAAGATATCTATACTACTCAAATTGCTCTACAGATTCAATGCAACCTTGTCAAAATTCCAGTGACATTTTTTACAGAGATAGATAAAACAATCCTCAAATTTGCTTAAAACCACAAAAGACACCAAATAGCCAAAGCAATCTTGAGCAAAAAGAACACAGCTGGCAGCATCATGTTACCTGACTTCAAAATGTACTACAAAGCTGCAGTAATCAAAACAGCATGGTACCAGCATAAAAACAGACACATAGACCAATAAAACAGAATAGAGAATCCAGAAATCAATCCATGAATTATGGCCAATTAATTTTTGACAAAGTTACCAAGAACAAACAACAGGAAAAGGATAGTCTATTCAATAAATGATGTTGGAACAATTGCATTTCCGCATGCAGACAAATTATATTAGACCATTATCTCACACAACATACAAAAATTAACTCCAAGGGGATTAAAGACTTAACTGTAATTCTTGAAACTATAAAACCACTAGAAGAAAATATAGAGGAAAAGCTCCAGGATATTGGTCTCAGCAATGATTTTTTTGGCTGTGAACCCAAATGTAGAGACAACAAAAGAAAAATGGACAAATGGGAGTATAGCAAGCTAATAAGCTTCTGCACAGCAAAGGAAACAATCAACAGAGTGAAGAGACAACCTATAGAGTGAGAGAATATATTTGAAAACTATACATCAAATAATGGGTTAATATCCAAAATATGTAAAGAACTCAAACAACTCAATATCAAGAAAAACAAATAAGCTGATTTTTAAAATGGGCAAAGGGCCTGAATAGGCATTTTACAAAAGAAAACATATAAATGGCCAAGAAGTATATTTTAAAATGCTTAATATTAGTAATCAGGGAAATGCAAATTAAATCCATAATGAAATATCACCTCATACCTGTTAGAATGGTCATTATCAAGAAGACAAAAGATAGCAAGTGTTTGTGAAGATGCAGAAAAAGAAACCCTGCATGCTGTTGGTGGGAATGTAAATTAGCATAGTCATTATGAAAAACAGTATATATGTTCCTCAAAAAATTAAAAATAGAATTACTATATGATCCAGCAATTCCACTACTGGGTATATATCCAAAAGAAATAAAATCACTATATCGTAGAGATATCTGCACTCCCATGTTTACTGCAGCACTATTCACAATAGCCAAGATATGGAATCAACCCAAGTGTCCACCAAAGGATGAATGGATAAAGAAAATGTGGTATATATACACAATGCAATACCATACAGCCTTGAAAAAGAAGAAAGTCCTGTCATTTGAGACAACATGGATGAACCTGGAGGACATTATGTTAAATGGAATAAGCCAAGCCCAGAAAGACAAATACCACATAATCTCATTTATATGCAGAATCTAAAAAAGTTGAACTCACAGAAGGTAGGGAGTATAATGGTGGTTACCAGGGCTGAGGGTGGGGGAGCAGGGTTTGAGGACATGTTGGCCAAAGGATGCAAAATTTCAGTTAGATAGGAGAAATAAGTTCAAGAGATCTATTATAAAACATAATGACAATCATTAGTAACAATGTATTGTATTTTTAAAAATTGTTAAGATAATAGATTCTGTGTTCTCATCACAAAAAAATGATGTCGTGAGGTAATGCATGTGTTAATTAACTCAATTTAGCTATTCCATAATGTATATATATTTTGAATTAACATGTACATAATAAATATATACAATATTTGTCCATTTTAAAAATAAATAAATAAAAAATAAAATTAAACACAAAGATTGTATACTGGTTCTAGTTTGCCTTTAGAAAACCTGTGTGTCCCAGCCAGGCGCGGTGGCTCACACCTGTAATCCCAGCATTTTGGGAGTCCAAGGCGAGCAGATCACGAGGTAAGGAGATTGAAACCATCCTGGCCAACATGGTGAAACCCCGTCTCTACTAAAACACAAAAAATTAGCTGGGCGTGGTGGCACACGCCTGCAGTCCCAGCTACTCAGGAGGCTGAGGCAGGGGAATCACTTGAAGCCGGGAGGCAGAGGTTGCGGTGAGCAGAGATCACACCACTGCACTCCAGCCTGGTGACAGAGCAAGACAAGAAAGAAAGGAGAGTGAGAGGGAGAGAGGGAGAGAGAGGAGAGAGAGGGAAAGAGCGAGGGGGGGGAGGGGGAGAGAGGGGGAGAAAAGGGGAGCGGGGAGAGACAGGGAGAGAGGGGGAGAGAGAGGGGGAGAGAGGGGGAGTGAGAGGGAGAGAGG
The DNA here is from genome assembly GCF_000001405.40 of Homo sapiens. NCBI lineage: Eukaryota > Metazoa > Chordata > Mammalia > Primates > Hominidae > Homo > Homo sapiens. The sequence continues at coordinate 80,360,348 of NC_000012.12, read as the reverse complement.
GAGTGAGAGAAACAAACCAACCTATGTGTCCCAGAAAAAAGATAGAAAGTAGAAAAGGGCTAGGTCAGACTTGTAAAGGGAAAAAAAATTAAGAAATTTACGTTTTAATGTGTCAAAAAAACTAATACTTATAACTAATACTGATTGAGCCCTTTCTATATGTCAGACACTAAGCATTTAAATTATATTAATTTATTTACTGCCTAAGTGAGCCACAGCTAGAGAAAGGTAGAAACAAGGCAGTCTCACATTCTCTTTCATTCTTGTTTCAAGTTGTGCCTTGGCTACATTTTCTAAGGGAAATAAAGAGTTAAGGCAAAGTAGAAAGAATAAGGAATATGCAAACATACACACACAAAAAGCAATCCTTGGTTAGAACCCTGAAAAGCTTAGCCAATAATTTATTCCCTTAGACCTCATCTTTCTCACTTATAAAATGAGCTAAAGTGCTGACTTGGTAAAGATTCAATAAGATAGTATACTGAATATGTTATGTAACTGTGAAGGACTAGAGAAATACATGGCATCATAATTCTACTCTTGTGTAGATGTATATACAGTGTACACACAAAATAATCAAATGACAGAATTATTATGAAAGTTATTTGTAAAGTTTAAACATTCTCTGTAAACCATAGATGAAAGCATCATTAAAGCAAATGTTGGATTAATGCTTTTTAAATAAAACAGTGTCATCCTAGGAAGGGTTCTTTTACTTTAAAAAGTACCTCATTCATTCTTCATAATATAGCTTTGAACTGGAGATTCTGAAAGAATTCTCTAAGTGTACACATTGTTTGAGAAGGAAAAGAAAAGTAAAATGTCTTTGTGAAATAAAACGTTGTCTTCTCTAATAAATAGCGCCAGGAATATATTGTCTTTCTCAAGCCTTATCGGCATATCATGAAGATAGTTAAAGAAAACAAAGACTTGTAAAGTACCACGGGATACATTTAAGGATTAAATAAGTGACACCAGAGTTATCCTAGTTATTTCTAAAAATTAAATATTTGAAATTTCTATAAGGTTTACATGTTCGCAGATAACGCTTAAGAAGAAACAGGCTGTTCCATGTTTATACCCCCTTCTCCTCTACAACAGAGGCATTATTAGCTCACTTTCTTAAAGAATCATTAGCAACACCACTCAATATTAAGATAATTTTTTTCAATATTTTGCTTCATTTTAATACAGGGAACTGAAGTAGATATAAGATTAGCAGATTCTATCAGCAGTTAAAAAATAATGTATTGTACTTTCCTATCTCAACTAAAATATAACTTATTGACTATTTCCTAATATCAGAGCACATTATTTTAATCTACTTTAGTACAATTTAATGTGGGTAATTTTATTAACTCTAAGAAGAATTTAGAAATGAGAGAGATAAAGGAAGAATAAACAGATTTAAATAAATATGACAAGTCAATCAAAATATGTGTTCTTACCACTTCACAAGTTGGCATAATAAGGTTTTCACAGTTACATTCTAAAAGGCAAAAATCAACATATTTACATTGATCAAAATAATTAACTTATTATAATGAAACCTTAAAATATGAAAATTAGTTACCACAGTGCCATGTTGGGCAACATTGACCAGATACATTTTCTTTCACAAGATTCATATCTTCTGCACAGTTGAGTAATGGCATAGGACAAAGGTTTGGTTCACATACTAAAAAGAAAAATTACATGGGTAAAGATGAATTTTATAGAGTTGCCATTTCTCATTACCTACCATTTAGTTCACTGCCATTACAATAATGCATGGATTCATATTTCCCAAGTGCTACCTCTCCCACCGTCAGATTGCCATGTGTTGGTGAAGATAAAACAATTGACATATAAACAGGTACAAAAAGAGTACTGGTGCTAGGATAGCTCATCAAATGAAAAACTTTGAAAAAGGGTCTGATGTAACAGCCAACTAAGATGCACTGGGCTTCTTAAACATTGGACACATCTAAATATTTTAGAATAGTTAATATACACTTACCACAGTAATACTGAGGACAACAGAAGTGTGTGCTATTAAGATCTACTGTGAGAAATTCCCCATCATGACATAGTGGAACAGGTTTGGTGCAAGATTCACAAACTAAGGTAAAACAAGAAGCCAAAAATCACAGCTGAGCTAAAAACCATGAATTATAATATGAGTTTAAATTACCATACACAAATCAAATCAATTTTGTTTAAGAAAATAGTAAAAGAAACATGAGGTATATTTCCTTATTTGGCCATAAAAACAATAATACTGTCTGAGTATATTGCCTTATGCTTTCCAAGCACAGTGACATATAGAACACCATCTTACCAGAAAGGTAGAACATTCAGATTTCCTAGGTAATTTGTTCTCATTAGAATCAAAATGTCACTTGTTTATTTATTATATTTATGTTTTCTTAATTCACTATCATTGATTACTCTCATTTAGGGATGAAAATGTAGTAGGCGTTTGTTCTTTTGGGCTGCTTCAACATGCCGTCCCACCTTTGATAACTAGTCTCTGAATGACCTTGAGGAAATGCACCACCCACACCTTTTTGAGTGACTATCTTTAAAGGTGCCTCAACCAGGCCACTCTGTAGAAACAACCCACATAGGAGTAATCGGAATCCCTTTGGATGGAATTTGAGTCATATATAGAGACATATCAACTGAAGAAAAAAATAAAGTTGGCTCAATCATTAGTGACTTCTACCTAGAACAGCTGGTTTCTCTTCTTCCTAGGGCTTGACTGTTCTGCTTCATTTTGGTCCTACTTCCCCAGATTCTTCCAATAACAGGTTGTGCTAAAGCTAGCCAGAATCCATCAGTTTTGCCACTTGCAGTCAATGAATCTTAACTGATGCAAAGAAATTGTTTTGATTACTTCTGAAACCTACATTAATCACCAAGCAATCTTGGATATAATGATTCATTTGAAAAAAAAAATTAGAGAATTCTTTATATTTCAATATTCAGTTCACCAGGCAGAATATTTAGCTCCAGTCATTTTCCAGTCACTCTTTCTTTCTGCCATTCTTTTTTGAGATCATCATACCTCAAACATGATATACAGGACATGAAGTTTTAAAGACGTCCTATGAAGTCTTAGCAGAGCCCATTATTCAAGTTGGTTCTTCAAGGAAAGCCAGTGCTAAATTTTTCTTCGAAAAAAGGTATTGGCCTTATTTAAAAAGCTTGATTTAAATATCTTGGTCATATTTGGACTGATGTATGTAGTTTTTGTTGATGGGGGAAGGTATTTATTATTATTGTCTAGTCATTTAAAATGTCATACTTTCTTTACAAGAGTTCTCATTCAGTTGAATTCTTATAACATCAGAATATTGCTTGCCATCAGTCTCATAAAATTCACATCAAATAAGAGATTTTTTTCCTAGATCCTTTCTCTTCTTCCAAGAAATTATCTCTACAATACTCACCACAAAAAGGGGAAAAACAACAAGGTTCTTCCTGTCGAACTTGAATCATGAATTGATCTTCTCTGCATTCTGGTGTTGAAATACTGGGGCATTTCAATGGGTCACATTCTGCAGAAACAAAATTACATTAGAAAATTTGTATAGCATAATAAAAAAATGACATAGTGTTTACCTCTCTTTGAATTTAGTAATAAATAACTTATTTTAAAGTTCTTAATCATATATATATATACATATATATGAAAGATATATACCAGGTTTAAAAAATTAGCAAGACAAGTCCGCAATCTTTTATAATAAATCATTCTCTTGGAGACACAATGAATGAGAATCTAATTCACTGTTCTGAATGAACAATGAACCTCACTCTTAATTTTCTATATTGATTACTTACCACATTTGTACTGTGGACAGCAAGAAAGAGGACTGTGGCCAACAATCAATTTTTGACTATTTGTACATGTTGGAATGCTAGTTTCACACAAAGTCGTGTCACATCCTATAAATAAGAAAAACTGTTAAAATATTAGTGAACACAACTAAAATCTGCCAACTCAAAGCAGGGAAATGACTGCCAACTCAAGACAGGAAACTCAAAGACGGGAAATGACTCTCATTATGCATGTTTTTACACTGCAGTTAACCCACTCATCTAACAAAGTGGGCCATATATGAAAATGCAGCAGCTTTGACATTTTTCTATTATTGTCTTTCACCCTTGATTCATACATCAAAGATTTCCAGATCTTTCCTCTTCTCATGTTTTGTTGAGTGTTATTAACTGTGAATAGCCAGAGTTTTTCATGTGTATTCAACAGAATTGTAATGAAACAAAACTTGCTTTGAGAAAATGACATTTATGGCCCTTTTTTAAAAATACAAAGCATTATATATGCTCTGCTTTTTCACAAAGAATATCAACATATTTTGTGGAATCAATTGACTATAAGGCTTCTGCATACATACCACAAACTTCCTTTGAACAGCAGGTCCATTTATCAATGATGCCCATGACAACTTCAGCTTCTCGTTCACAAACTGGCGTGGGCTCTTCATCACAGTCAGGTTCTATAGGGATAATGCTTCCATTCTCCAAACATTTGTATAGAGTGCATTCATCAATGCCCCCATTCCAAATCTCCCCAGCAGTGCGGGGTTGGTCTTCACTATCAGTGCATGCTTAAAAAGATCAACAGTATTATAACACTCAAAACCTGGGCACTAAAATAAATCATGCCACCATGTTTTGGTTTCAGACTGTGACATGGCCCAGTGACATAATGATGTGTCACAAGTCTATTGTTTTTCTCAGATTTCTCTTTCATCACCACTAACTTACATTTTTCTTTAATGAAAGTTTATACTTAGTCCACAGAAAATATTTTTTTCCTGGTCAGATGCAGTGGCTCGTGCCTATAATCCCAGCAGTTTGGGAGGCTGAGGAGGGAGGACTGCTTCAGGCCAGGAGTTTGAGACTAGCCTGGGCAACAGAGTAAGACCTTGTCTCTACCAAAAAGAAAAATAATTAGCGAAGTGTAGTGGCATGCCTGTAGTCCCAGCTACTCAGGAAGCTAAGGTGGGAGGATCACTGGAGGCCCAGAGTTTGAGGTCTCAGTGAGCTATGACCACTGTACTCAAGCCTGTGCAACAGAGTAGATCCTGTCTCAAAAAAAAAAAAAAAAAAAGAAAAGAAAGAAAGAAAGAAAAGAAAAAAGTAAAAGAAAAATTTCTTTCCTTTTACAACCATCTGTAAATCTGTATGTCTTCTTCTATAAATGAAATGATCTATTATTTTTGACACATTTTAAGTCCTGTTAATATAATTTATTTAGCCTAATCAAATTCAATAATATAAATTTAAATTAGTTTGAAAACAGTAACTGTTAAAAATGAGTGGGATGAGAAAACAAGGTAGTCCCTACCTCATATAACATTTACATCATATGAAAATTCAAAATATTTCTGCTTTAAAATCTAAAAGTAAAAAGTAGGCAATCAGGCAAAATATTATGTAGTGACTATTACTTTTAAGTAAAAGTTTTATTTTATGATAAATATGACCATCTAGTAGTTCTTTTAAGGAATAATAATGATAAATGTATTTATCAACCATATCCCCAGCCTCCAGTGAACTCTTATCCTATTTGCTATCAAACCAAATCTCATAGATCTCTAAAGAACAAATATAAGCACATGTGTATATTCTCAAAGTCTTCCACAGATACTTTCTATATTGGCAAACACTGGCTTGTTTCTGAAACTATATATGCATTTCACTTCTCCTTGCCTTTTTCTTTAATTATTAGTCAATTCATTTTCTTTTGATCGTAATGAAGAGGCCTATGACTGACAATTCCTGTGTTGCAATCATCTCAATTTTGCACTTTTTCATCTGCCACCACCATGGAGACAATGCATCAAAATAACATTGTTCGAAAATATAATTACAAATACTAGATGTGTTCCTCCAGTATCTTAGTCCATTTTGTGTTGCTCTAAGAGAATACCTGAAAATGGATAGTTTATAAAGAAAAGAGGTTCATTTAATCACACTTCTGCTGGCTGGGAAGTTCAAGGGGCATGGCGCCAGCATCTACTGAGCTTCCAGTGAGGGTTTTTCTCCTGCCTTGTACTATGGCAGAAGGTCAAAGAAGTGGACAGATGTGAAGAGGAATAAAATATGAAGAGGAAACTCCCTTTATAACAATCTGTACTTTAGGGAAAGATTCCATTTCTGCTAGAACTAATCTAGTCTCACAAGAGCAATAACTCACTCACAACCTTGAGAAGGCATTATCTATTGATGAGGGCAGTGGCCCCATGATCCAGACACCTCCCACTAGGCCACACCTCCCAGCACTGCCACACGGAGGATCGAACCTCAACATGAGTTTTGGTGGGAACAAATCACATCCAAATCATAGTACCCAGATAATAGTACCATCTGCCATTTCTTACATGCTTACTTTCTCAAGGCACCATGTCAAATGCAAAATGCTTTCTACTAAATTATGTAGCCCCACACTAACCTTATAAGTACTATTATTTTCCTCACTTTCCAGATGCATAACCTGAGACTCATAGGAGTAAAAATGAACAACTAATACATGAATTAAGTTGATTTTGAGTTCAGTCCATAATCCACACTCTTAATTCTTGATTTCCCATGCTTTTTCTCAGTTACTATGGGCAGATATAAAGATTAAAACATATTACCACTGAAGCTTTTGTAACAATTAACTTCTCTTGAAATCATATTAAAATCAAACTACAAACAAACTCATTTCCTTTCCAACAGAGGCTGTCTTTGATAAACCTTTGTTAGCACATCTCTGCAATATCTAAAAAATGTTTTTGTTTGTTTGCCGGATTCCTGAGAAGTCATTTTGTACTTTGTGTCTTACCACACTCTTTCTCTGGAATGCACTGGGCTGAATGTGGCCTGTGAAGAATAGTTCCAACTTTGCACACACAGTCTTCTCTTAGATTCAAACAGGAAGTGTGTCCATAGAACCATTGGTTCAGGCATGTTCTTGCTTCACAAGGTCGCACACAGGGTTGATATTCCTTCCCCTCTGGGCAACTCAGGGCTTTGAAGAATAGGAGACAAAATTTGCTAATGATAAAAGTAACTTATTTAAATTCTAGTAAAAGAAAGAAATGTCAGATTTCTTTTAGAAAATATATTTTGCAAATTTTAGTCTCTTCAAAGTCCATTTTTCACTTACTCTGTAACCATAAATCAGAAACAAAGGCATCAATGTGTTTGTTTTTTGCATTTTTTGTAATTTTTAAACATTTTCTAAGGGTCTGCTAGGATTAGCTGTTATGGTAGGAAACGCTTATCAGATGTATAACAAATAAATATCACCAACAGGCAGCCCAAGTCTGGTTGGCATAAATATACAATCAACTATTATGATAACAGTCTACTCAGAATTATAACCAAAATACACTTTCAGTATATAACTCAACCAAATCATAAAAAAGAAAAATGTTGTATATTTAGGTTTGATCCTTCACTGTCAAAAGAAATTACTATTGGTGAGCAGTTTATAAATGATGTTTTAGAAAATCCTTGTGGATTGTCAATGAATGTAAAAAGTCATACTATTAAAAATTAAATGCTCAGATGGTGGGGTTATAAATGGTATAATCTCAGTGGAGAACAATTTGACAGTGTCTAGTGAAATTGGAGATGACACACATTCCCGATGAATCAGCAATGCCCCTCTTGAATAGTGATTACCTCTCAGGGAAAAGAGAAAGGGAAGGGCTGGAGAAGGCACAAAGGGAGCTTCATGTGTGACTGTTTTATTTCTGAAATCAAGTGATGTAACTTGTGTTTGTCATAGCTTCTTCTGTGCATTTTATGCTTACTAAATTAGTTCATGATAAAAAAGAAAAAGAAGGAAAGAAGTGATTGCAAAAGTGAAATTTATTTATGATGGAAAAATATTCAGTTAACAGTTACTCACAGCAGTAATCAGGTGTTCTCCACTGAATACAGATATCAAACTTGTTGCACAGAGCCACATATGCAGAAAGTGCATCACATTCATAGTTCCAAAAATAGGTATAATTGATCCACATCTTTTCACAAAAGTCTTCCGGTGAAACCTAGAGAAACATTTTGCCTTGAAATAAGTTATATTGTTTTATTTCTCTGAAAGCCCTAAGCTAGACTAAGATTATTTGGAGAATCAAAGGGTAGCAAGTTAATATTCATTATACTTCATCATAGACTTTACATTTTCAAAAATTCTTAATATTAAACATCACTCTAAACACACTTAAATAAGACAAATACCATCTGCACTAATCTACACAAATCTTTCTTATAAAGATGGAAAAGAAAACAGAGTATGTGGAGCCAAGCAAAAATTTATTTCTAATATCCACTGTGGGCTACAATTGCCTTTTCCATATACTGAATAAGAGTTTGAAAAATTATAGATTAAATTGGAAGCTCACAAAGCATTCTCTAATGGTATACAGCATTGCTTATTAAGTAAAGTTACAAATGCTTCTCAAAACTTTTATTAATATTCAATATTAGTTACATAATTTATAAACATTTGGCACACCTCAATTTAATTACTCATTTTTTTCCTATAGAATATGTTCCATTTTGATCTAGAGACACCTGAAATATAAATAATGCAGCATGTGACAATATTTATTCCATTTTTCTCTCAACTCATTATTCAACAGGCTCATACTAAGTATCTAAATTCAGATGCCAAATTCTGACACAGGCCAAAGTATCCGATAAAAATAGTATTTTTTCATAGTCCATCTATTTTTCTTCAGGGTCTGTATCTATAAAAACCAATGGCTTGGGAGGCTGAGGCAGGTGGATCACGAGGTCAAGAGATTGACACCATCCTGGCCAACATGGTGAAACTCCGTCTCTACTAAAAATACAAAAATTAGCCAGGTGTGGTGGCGCGTGCCTGTAATCCCAGCTACTCCAGAGGCTGAGGCAGGAGAATCTCTTGAACCCGGGAGGCAGAGCTTGCAGTGAGCCGAGATCGCACCACTGTGCTCCAGCCTGGCAACAGAGTGAGACTGTATCTCAAACACAAACAAACAAAACAACAACAACAAAAAAAAAAAAAAAACACAATGGCAAGAAAACAGACATTTAGGCCTATGGGACACAGAACAGAGACCCAGAAATAAATCCACACATTTACAGCCAGCCAACTGATTTTTGACAAAGGTGCCAAGAGTACACAATGGGGAAAGAAAAGTATCTCCAATAAATAGTGCTGAGAAAACTGAATATCCACTAGCAGTTGAATGACATTAGATCCTTAATTCACATCATATACAAAAAATCAACTCAAAAGAGACTATAAGACTTAACTGTAGGACCTGAAACTACAAAACCACTAGACAAAAACAGAGGAAAAGCTCTAGGACACTGGTTTGAGCAGTAATTTTCTGCCTATGAACCCCAAAGTACAGAAAACAAAAGAAAAAATCGACACATGGGATTGCATCAAAATAAAAGTTTCTGCACAGCAAAGTAAACAATCAATGTAGTAAAGAGACGACCTATAGAATGCGAGAAAATATTTGCAAACTATACATCTAATAATGGGTTAATATCCAAAATACATAAGGAATTCAAACAACTCAATAACAAGGAAACAAATAACCCAATTTAAAAATGGTCAAAGGAACTGAATAGATACTTCTCAAAAAAAGATGTGCAAATGTCCAACAAGTACATGAGAAATGTTTATTATCATTAATCATCAGAAAAGTACAAATTAAAACCACAATGTGATATTTCCTCCCACTCGTTAGAATGGGTATTATCAAAAAGACAGAAAATAACGATCATTGGCGAGGATGTAGGGAAAAGATAACCCTTGCACACTGTTGGTGGAATGTAAATTAGTACAGCCATTGTGGAAAACAATATGGAGGTTTCTCAAAAAATTAAAGATTGTAATATTATATAACTGAGCTACCCTACTACTACGTACATATCCAAAGGAAATGAAATCAGTATGTCACAGAGATGTCTGCACATCCATGTTTACTGCAGCATTATTCACAATAGCCAAAATATAGAATCAACCTACAGGTCTGCCAATGAATGAATGAAGAAAGAAAATTTGGTAAATATACACAATGGAATATTATTTATACTTTAAAAAGAATGAAATCCTGTAATTTGTGACAACATGAATGAACCCAGAGAACATGATGTTAAGTGAAATAAGCCAGGCACAGGAAAACAAATACTACATGATCTCACTCACATGTGAAAACTAAAAAAGTTGATCTTATAGAATTGAGCAAGGAATTATGGTTACCAGGGACTGAAGTGATGGGAAGATGTTGTTAAAGGGTACAGAATTTCAGTTTGATGGGCAGAAGTCCAAGAGATCTATTGTACAGCATGTTGACTATAATATTATATTATTGAAAAATGCTGAGAGTGGATGTAAAGTGTTATCATCACACAAGTGATAATCACATGAGGTAATGCATTTGTTGATTAGCTAGATTTCATCATTCCACAATGTATAGACACTTCAAAACACCACGTTGTACACAGTAAACACATACAATTTTATCTGTCAATATAAAAATAAAATTAAATATTTTTGAAGATGCAGAAAAAAACCCTAAGATTTGACTTTCTTTTCAATGTCTTTGGGAAATCCTCCCAGTTTCCAACCACCTTACTTTGCACAGAATACTTGCTTTAGTCATTAATAGCCTTCTTTTAATCAAATGCAATGAAATTGATATTCTAAACCCTCCGCGATCTCTCAGAAGCCTATATTGCCATTAGCACGTCCACTTGCTTAAAATGTTCTCTCCTTGAACTTCAAAGGTACCGCGCTCCATTGCCTTTCTATCTACTTGGTCATTGTTTCTTCTACCTGCCTCTCATTCTGTTTTACTAGATCCCATCCTCAATGGTCATGTTCTCTCACTGAAAATGCTCTCCCCAAGCTCATCCATTCCCATGGTTTCTATCACCATCTGGGGCATTTAAACCTTCTTTGTCTTGGTTTCTTCATATGTGAAATAGCGTTAATAGTAACAACTACTACTACTTAAGACTGCTGTGAAAATTAAATGAGCTAATATATGGAAAATGTACAGAAAAAAACCTGGCACATCATAAATTATCATTATTTTAAAAATCCATATACTAATAACTCTTCCAACCTGATCTCTGGCCTCAACTTATCTCCTCTGAGCTCCCGAATTACACTCCAGAGTTTCTGCTCGATGTTTTTACTCTGATGATGCACACGATTTAATCTGTCCAAAATAAAAAAAAAAGTATCCCTTCTCTACTTAGCCCACAAAAGCTGATTCTTCTGTATCCTCTACTTACTTATTAACTGATGAACACTTTTATCATTTATTGGGAACCTAACTACATATCAGGCACTGTACTATGCATAAGAATAAAGACAAATAAAACAGACCTGTTCTCTGCTTGTGGATCTCAACAACTACAAAAACAAAGCCTTTGAGTAAGATGAAGAGAAGCCACCATGCTAAAAAGGATTGAAAGAAAAAAGTATTCCAGCTGGGGAAACAGCAAGAAGAAGAGCATTTTGGCAGAAAAAACTCTTGGAATATTAAGAGAGCTTGTAATATTAAGGGAGGCAACAATGGTTGGAGCTTAGCAAACAAGAAGAGTGTAGCACAAGACGTGGCTGGAGAAATAGGTGGGCCAGATTATAGAGGACATTGACAGCCCTGGTAAGAACTTTGGAATGTACTCTAAGTGAAATACAGTGAAGGATTTTAGGTAGAGAAATCACACATTCTGTTTATAATTTTAAGATACTATTCTGCCTGCTTTGTAGAGATTTGCAAACAAGGATGAAGCTCAGTGGTAGAAGACTACAGTAACCAAAACAGCATGGTACTGGTACCAAAACAGACATATAGACCAATGGAACAGAACAGAGGACTCAGGAATAATGCCACACAATCACAACTATCTGATCTTTCACAAACCTGACAAAAACAAGCAATGGGGAAATGATTCCCTATTTAATAAATAGTGTTGGGAAAACTGGCTAGCCATATGCAGAAAACTGAAACTGGATCCCCTCCTTACACCTTATATAAAAATTAACTCAAGATAGATTAAAGAACTTAAATGTAAGACCTAAAACCATAAAAACCCTAGAGGAAAACCTAGGCAATATCATTCAGGACAGTCATGGGCAAAGACTTCATGACCAAAACACCAAAAACAATGGCAACAAAAGCCAAAGTTGACAAATGGGATCTAATTAAACTAAACAGCTTCTGCACAGCAAAAGAAACTATCGTCAGAGTGAACAGGCAACCTATAGAATGGGAGAAAATTTTTGCAATCTATCCATCTGACAAAGGGCTAATATCCAGACTCTACAAAGAACTTCAACAAATTTACAAGAAAAAAACAAACAACCCCATCAAAAAGTGGGTGAAGGATAGGAACAGACACTTCTCAAAAGAAGACATTTATGCGGCCAACAAACATATGAAAAAAAGGTTCAGCACCACTGGTCATTAGAGAAATGCAAAACAAAATCACAATGAGATACCATCTCACACCAGTTAGAATGGCAATCATTAAAAAGTCAGGAAACAGATGCTGGAGAGGATGTGGAGAAAGAGGAACATGTTTACACTGTCGGTGGGAGTGTAAATTAGTTCAATAATTATGGAAGACAGTGTGGCAATTCCTCAAGGATCTAGAACCAGAAATACCATTTGACCCAGCAATCCCATTACTGGGTATCTACCCAAAGGATTATAAATCATTCTACATATGTTTATTGCAGCACTGTTCATAATAGCAAAGACTTGGAACCAACCCAAATGCCCATCAATAATAGACTAGATAAAGAAAATGTGGCACATATACACCATGGAATACTATGCAGCCATAAAAAAGGATGAATTCATGTCTTTGCAGGGACATGGATGAAGCTGGAAACAATCATTCTCAGCAAACTAACACAGGAACGGAAAACCAAACACCGCATGTTCTCACTCATAAGTGGGAGTTAAACAATAAGAACACATGGACACAGGGAGGGGAACATCATACAACCCGTCGGGGGGTGGGGGACTAGGGGAGGGAGAGCATTAGGAGAAATACCCAATGTAGATGACGGGTTGATGGGTTGTTGGGTGCAGCAAACCACCGTGGCGCTTGTATACCTATATAACAAACCTGCACGTTCTGCACATGTGTCCCTGAATATAAATTATAATTTAAAAAAAAAAGATGTAAGTCAAGAGAAGCATCTATTAAACTGTCTGATGTTCTGTTAAAAAAATTCAAATTATAAAGCTTTGTCATTGGACCAGGCAAGAGATGATGGTTGTCTGGATTCAAATGGTGGTGGGAAGAAATGCATGGATATTGAATATATTTTGGAAGTGGAATCAACATGACTTAGTGATAGCTTGGATGGAACAGATTGAGTATCAACAAGCCATCAAGAATTTCTTTATCTCGATATGTTACCCTGTTTAAGCTAGAAAGTTGAAGTCATCTACAAATGCTCACCCTCCCTTAGCACTAACATCTAATTGGTCCTTAAATCCTACCCCTTCCACATCCCAAATGTCTCCCAAATGCCATCTTTCTTTTCTGAACGTGCTGCTGTCCTCACTTGCTTCCCACTGACCAGCAGAATCCATCATCATTTTCCCAAAGTAGATTTGCTTTAAAATAATTCAACAGGGGCGGGGTGTGGGCAGAAGGAGTGAAAAAGATAGGCAGAAAAAAAGAGGCAATTTTTAAATGGTTTTTTAATCTGGATGACGGACACTGAAAGGTTCTTATACTGTTCCCACCACTTTTGTGAATATGTAAACATTACCACAATAAAAGGTTAAAACAAGCAAATAAATAAAAACTACTCAGAGACCTTTTAATTAGCTACCTTACTATACCTGCCTAGCCTATCTTCTTCAGACCTTCATACAGATCTATTGAGCAAATTGTCATGACCCTCCCTTTTTTTTTAGTTCTTAACTTTCTTTTTTTTCTTGCAACAGGACTTTAATCAAAGTAACTTTTAGAAGCAGAAGGTAGAGAAAGGGAAACTTTATCTCAAGGTTGATTAGAGTTCAGCCCAAAGAAGTCACTATAAACTCAAAATTTCTTTGAAGTATTTTTTTGAGGTCATGCAAGTTTTACATTCTGGTGCTTAATAGTCTGTGTCTTTTAAATAAAAATAATGTCTTAAGACTTGAGGCTTTGAGAGAAAAAGAAATACACCCTGCCTATCTCATGGATTAATGGGCACTTTGGTATTGCATTCATTCCCTTAATATCCACGTAAGAAATCTGCAGTGAATTGAGGAGGTTCGATGCCAAATATCGAGTTCAGCATGATGGTAATACTGTGTCTTCTCTACCTCCGTTTTGCAATATCCAAGAACTATGTGGGTAAAAAGAAAATGCATTTTCCACTATTGTATGGACTGTGCCAGAGTTATCACTGAATCATCATGACCAGAATGCAGCTAAAGATGTTGTCTGAAGACACAGGCTACTGTGTATAGAATCCTCATAAGCTTTGTAAGGGTCTCTTTTAGTTTCTCAAGGAAACACATCTAGAGGCTTTGAGTACTTGAGAGTCTGAAAGTACTAGTAGGTCCTACAGTCAATTATCTCTATCTTATTCTCAAACTTTTTTATAGTATTTTTAATTCGTCACTCTTGAAAAAAATCTGCAAAATAAGCCAATTTTGTGAGTTCTTCTTGACCATTACTGTTAAAATAATCCATTTACATTATTTAGGTTTTACTTTTTATCTTTTCTTTCCATGATGAAAAATTATATTTTCAACTCTGACTGTAAAAATATTATAGCCATGGTCAGGTGTGATGGCTCACACCTGTAATCCCAACACTTTGGGAGGCCAAGGCAGGTGGATCACTTGAGGTCAGGAGTGTGAGACCAGCCTGGCCAACGTGGTGAAACTCCATCTCTATTAAAAATACAAAAAATTAGCCAGACCTGGTGGCACATGCCTGTAATCCCAGCTACTCAGGAGGCTGAGGCAGGAGAATCACTTGAATCTGAGAGGTGGAGGCTTCAGTGAGCCGAGATCATGCCACTGTACTGGATGACATCAGTGCCTGGATGACAGAGCAAGACTCTTCAAAAAAATATATATATATAATATATATATATTTTATACATAATATATAATATACATTATAAATATAAAATATATTATATATCATAATATATAATATAACATATAATATATATTATAATATATAACATAATAATATATATTATAATATATAAAATATAACATATAATAATATATATTATAATATATAAAATATAACATATAATAATATATGTTATAATATATAAAATATAATATATAATAATATATAAAATATAATATATAATATATAGCCAATGCCTTCTTTAAATTGATTTATATCTATGTAGCAGATAAAATGGCAAATTAACTTTCTTTTGTTGAAAGATATTCAAACTATAACACTTAAAAAAATTATAAAAATTTATCCCATCATTGAACAGCCTAAGAAAATATAAAAGCAAGATGTTCCTTGTGAAGAGAGTGATGGGTTTAATGAGGATCTTGATGGACAAGCCTGACTTTCCAAATGATTCTAAAACTAGTTCTGAAGAAACCTCTTGAGCCAAGATTACTTGTTATTTATAAAAATAAACAATAAAGCAAAATATTCTAGTAATTATCCTTAAATTCTGCATGATTGGTTTTTAGATGTTACCATAGGAATAGTTTTATGTGGTTGTTGATTTAGATTTTCCAGCATAAGACACAACATAATTTGATGCCCATTTACGTTTCTACAATAAACAAAACCCACACACTTTAAGTAAGCATTAAGGCTGGAGTGCAATGGCGCGATCTCGGCTCACTGCAGCCTCCACCTCCCAGGTTCAAGCAATTCTCCTGCCTCAGCCTCCCGAATAACTGGGATTACAGATGTGTGCCACCACACCCAGCTGATTTTTGTATACTGGAAGATTATAAGGGAAAAGTGGAAGCTATCACAGACTAAATGGTATCCTGTATTGCTTCATTATGCCTTGAATAGTCAAGCTGAAAGTTTCCTGATATAACCAACCTTTCAAGTTCCCAGTTAAAAACGCAATTTTAAAAAATCATGATGCTTTAAAAAGACAGACTAAAGTGGTACTGAATGAGTTTTAAAGTGTTTGCTATTTCTTCATGTTTATGTGCATGCATTTTAAAAATGTGAACATTTAAAACTTATTTTTATCCAAATCTCCATGTAAAACTGAAGTTCCACAAAGATATGTCATTTTTATCCCATGACTTCATACTTTCGTCTTTTCCCTCAGGGAACGCGTAGGGCAGCATCAAAAGTCATTCACAGTGAGCTCCTTCCTGACTTGACAATTCCCTTGCTTTCCTTCCCTGACTCTTCCCTTCATAGATGTTGCACCAAACTCTTTTAATGTTTTCCTCACATGGCCTTTAAACCAAACTTTCTCTTGCATATACAGTCAGCCCCCCTTACCCAGGGTTTCCGGTTTCCACATCCATAGATTCAACCAACCACGGATGAAAAATATTCAGAAAAACCGATGTGAGAGAGATCTCGCTGTGACATCTGTCATCCTACTGACGGCCAGGGTTGATTCGGCTGATCTGGCTCGCTAAGCAAGTGTCCCTTCCTCCCTCATTGCTCCATTTACGTCCCTCCTGAAGGTGTACATTTGGTTGAAAGGACGACTATCCACGACAGAGGACCGGCCTTTGGTCAAGGGTATACGAGTAGCAGCACTCCCCTGCTAGAACCTCCAAAGAAGCTCTCAAAAATATTCAGGAAAAGAAAGTTAAAAAAAAAAAAAAAAAAAAAAAAAAACAAGAATAAAAAATAATAAAAATGTAAAAAATAATAAAAATGTAAAAAATAATACAGTGTAAAAACTATTCATATAGCATTTACCTTGCATTAGGTATTATAAGTAATCTAGAGATGATTTAACATATATGGGAGAATTGTGTAGGTTATATGCAAATACTATACTATATTTTATAAAGGGACTTGGGCATCCAAGGATTTTGATATCTGTGAAGGTCCTGGAACTAACCTCCCACTGAGGGACCATTGCATTGTTATCTCTGCCTGGAACTCCATCCCTCCCTCTTCTCTCCTAGCAAACTCATACTTTTAAACAATTCAAAGATCTAAAACTCTGGGCCGGGCACGGTGGCTCACTCCTGTAATCCCAGCACTTTGGGAGGCTGAGGTGGGTGATCACGAGGTCAGGAGATCGAGACCATCCTGGCTAACACGGTGAAATCCCGCCTGTACTAAAAATATCAGCTGGGCGTGGTCGCCGGCACCTGCAGTCCCAGCTACTCGGGAGGCTGAGGCAGGAGAATCACTTGAACCTGGGAGGCAGAGGTTGCAGTGAGCCGAGATCGTGCCACTACACTCCAGCCTAGGCGACCAAGTGAGACTGTCTCAAAGAAAAGAAAAGAAAAGAAAAATCTAAAACTCCATAAAGTCTTCTCCAAACCTGGGATCCTGTGTACCTCTATAATGTACACTTTAATGTATCTGCTCGCAGACTTCCCTTCCTACTAGGCTCCTTGAGGGCAAGGAGAGCGCCCTATTCATTTTCTATCACAGGAATCTAACACAGTGATTTCTATGTACTAGATGCTCACTAAATTATAGTTAAGTGATCATGAAATACTGTATTTGTCATTTGTCTTTAATAATGGATTTTTTAAACAATATAGATTATTTAAAATGCCTACTAATCACTTAAACTCAGAAAGTTAGAGACTAATAAAGACCAAGTAAATTGAGTAAGTGACAGATTCTATTACAAGTATGTGCCTAAGAAGCCAGGATCATAAGGAATTGATTAAAGCCTCACTGTCTTGGTCTTAATACTGGGTTATCAAATGTCATTGATCTCTGTCTCCTGGAGACATTTATTCATAGGACAAACTTTCATTTTTTTTCTGAAAGCTGTAGATATAATTCTAACGAAGCATAAAGAAAAGAAATAAAATTATCCTTCTTGTGTTTGTAAGCCTGTAAACAATAAGTGATTCTGAATTCCAAAGCATACTGACAGAAGGTTGGGGGTTTTGTTCTCAGTAGAAGAACATTATAGCAAGAACAGTAACGTATTGGCTTTTACTCTCAACATATCTAACATGAAAGTATTATTTATGGTTGCTTCCAACTTACTTTATCATGACATGGAATGAAAATTCTTCTATTTAATAAATCAATGCACTGGCTGCAATCATGCTCAGTACAATTCCTAACAGGTCTTCTCATTGTTACTTCAAATGATTTCTCAATTTCCCAGCTCTCAATAAATAATCCTATGTCTTCCATATTTGTAATAATTGTGCCATTTTGCATCCTTAGATCATCATCCGGATCTTCATTGCAAATTCCTTGAAAGAATATATGACAGTTAGAAGAAAAAAACTTAAACTAATGTAGACAGCACAACTAAATCAGTTAAATAATTGATTTTAAATGAACAAATGATTTACCATATAAGGTACCAAGTTTATGTATCCTTGAACTTTTACATTGAAATAACTTTTTAAATTATGTTCTAATTTTTTGATAAAATAGTGTAGAACTAACTGCCTTAACCCAGTAAGAAAGAAATCAAAAGCCTAGAAGTCAAGATACATGAAGAGATCAGAGAAGATTAAGAAAGAAGACATTAATTCTGTTCCTATACTCTTCCATTACTACCACCATCTTCTAACTTAGTAACTAGTGGCCTGGCAAGGTACTTTCCACAGTAATGGACATTTGGTGACTGGCTCCCAGGCTTCCACTTCCCTGTGAAAACTCTGCCTGAAAATATTAAATATTTTTCTTTCAGGAACTATCACTACTCCATCACCTAGTGCATGACATCATTCCAGGTGAGGGCTCTGATTGGCATAAAGGTAATCTTCATTCCCTTGCATTAGCAACTGTTCCAGGTAATCCAGGCATAAACCAGCAAGCATGTAGCAGTCACCTAGGCACATGAATTTATTCAACATAGGGACAACTATTGTCAAGCTCAAGACTTGAACTGGGAATTCTAGGACACAGGCAATTTCCCTTCCTTGGGATGCCTTGACCTGCTGCAGCCTCTATTTACCTTGAGAAAAGCCAAACTGAGGATGAGCTTACTCTTCACCAAATGCAGTGCAGAGCCAAGGAAAGTAATGAGACCAGGCCTACAATCATACCTTACCCAAATCCCACCCGACTTTAAGACATATTTTTTCTTAATTCCCAAGACTCTGGGCTATAAAATATATGAATAAAAATTTTCTTCAAACATCAAATCTTAATTCCCAAGGAGATATATCAGGATGAATAAAGGTTGCAATGCCTCACCTTTGTAAATACACAGGGTACTACGTGCAATTAAACATTAAAAAAAAAAAAAAAAACCTAAGTGGACTACATTGTAAAGGAGCTACTATTTTTTAAGTCTAAACTTTTCTAGAGAAAGGTAATTTCTAGTAAAAATATGTTTGCACTGCAACTTCAGTCACCACTCCAGACTTCATAGTGCTGTGTAGAATAAGATGTCAATATAAGCCTCTCATTCCAGTGTTCAGACCCTGTTTGGATAACAGTCTTACTCACTAGAAGCTTTTCAGCCAGCACCTAGTCTAGTGATCCTGACAGTACCCAGATTTCCCTTTAATGAAGTATACTTCTCTCATTGTGGAGGTCAAGGAATTTAGGGCATGAGCCCTGGTTAGCATAAAGGTGATCCTAGCCCTCTCTCTGCAGCGCTTAGTTAAGAATCCAGCTAGCAGAGTGGCTGTCTACATGAAAGCAAGAGCTAATAGTAGAGAAGGATAAAAAACATAAAAATAAAACTGAAATAATACCCTTCAAAAGTGATAAGTTATAGGAGAAAATATGCATTTCCAGTCTCAGTTATTACTCAATAATAACTATTGATTTAGTACATATACTCAATAATGCCTATTTCCAAATCATAACCTTAAGTCACCATAGAAATTTATGCTATGTTTAGCATACTCTAAACAAGTGAGGAACCATGAAAACCATTTTAGCAAAAATTTCCAAAAATGTTCAAATTTTTAAACAGGAAATTTGGATATTTTGTGTAATTTATTGAGGGCAAGGACTTAGCCACTCATTTTTGAGTTGTCAGCCTCAAGCATAATGTCAGACACACAATAGGTGATCCATAAACTTTTATTTAATTAATATTTACTGAGATTAAAAATAGATATATTTGTACTAAACCAACATTTATTGACTGTGTGTATTTATGTGTTGTGTTTACATTAACTTTCACATGTAATCCAAACAATCTTGAAAATGGATATTACTGTCCACTTTTAAAGATGAGGAAACTGACATTCTCTTCAGAGCACACAACTGTAAAGAGAATAACCTGTGTTCAAATTTCTAGCAGACACCAGAGCCAGTATTCTTTTTATTTCATTATGTACCTACAGATATTTCTAATTTGTTTTCTTTGACTTAAAACTCTTCATATATCTGTGTAATACATTGCAATATTAAACCTAGATGTAATGGTATATCTAAGCTTTACATTTCATAATAAAACTAGGACAAATATCCTGAATGGTATGTTCTTTCAAGATGACTTAAACAAGTTTTCCCTGATTTCAAGCTTTTAAAAAAATTAAGAGGAAACAAAGATATGTAAGCCTTTAAACTTTCTATGCCTCATTTGTATCACTTATAAATTGAGATAACACTATTATCTACTTACTAGATCTTAAAATTAAGTGAATTAAAATGTGTAAAATAATGCCTGATGCTTCATTAATGCCTAATAAAGATGAGCTAGTGGAAATACAAACAGCATCGTAGTAACAGCAGTAAGCATATATTTTCATAAAATACCCAAATTGAAGTGTTATTTCCTGCTTCTTAGCACATTTATGGAAAAATCATTGCTTCCTTCCGTATTTACATGGGAACTGAAAGTTAATATCACATCTCAAATCTGAAAAATGGGGCAACAGGGTCCAAAATGGCATAGCGTGAATAGAAAAAAAAAAAAAAAAAAAAAAAAACAGACGAAATCAAGATTTGAAGGGCAGCGCTCACCACAGAGTCCTTCTGTGTAGGATGACAAGTTAAATCGGAAGCCAAAATGAATGTCTATGATTCCTGTAAGATGAGACCACTTTATGATTAGTCCAGCTGGAGTAGTAATTACATACATTGAACCAGAATCCTCTATGGACAGTTCCTGACTTGAAAAGGGCAAAGGCACAACAATGGAATCCACTTCTACCTAGAATAACATAAATACACCTGTTAAGAAATATTTACTTAAATATACAAATTAGGAGAATACAGATTATTCCTTTATTCTGATTTAATGTAAACTATTTTTTAATTTTTTTAAGAAATGTATTTCTTACTGCTGCCACAGCTTCTCAGAACCTTTAAGCTATTTTATTGTTCCTTTGCTGTGCCTTGCTCTAGTCAATATGTGTTCTAACGTCATTGCCTTTCATTTTCCTCAAAATTTAACTTTCTTCTATGTTATGTACACTTCTATGTCTGTTTCCTTCAATCTATGTTTATATTGATAACACAATCCTTCTAATATGAATTTAAGATAATAATGTTATTTTCTGGATGTTTTCCTTAATCTGGATTCTTTCCTTGATCTTCTAAATCATTGTTTGCTTAACTGCAATGTTCATAACAATCATCTGTCAGGCTTGTTAAAGATCAAGATTCCCAGTGATTCTACTTTGCAGGTTTGCATTGGATTATAGACTGTATTTTTAGCATGTACTAAATAAATATATACAGTCTATACAGGTATTTGGTAATACTAATGTAGGCAATCCAAGGATTGTACTTTGAAAAACGGTGCTTTAAATAATGGCAATGACATGAAGCCATGAGCTGTAACTAGCAGCAAATTTCTCGAAGTTATGCCTCACCAACCATTCAATGTCTCATTTTTATATCTTGTTCATAAATGCTGTCCTTGAGCTGAAACATACTTTCTCTTTCTCTTCCTTCTTTCTACTTATTCTTTAAGATTCATCTTAAGTGTGACCTCCCCCAGAAAAGACCTGTTTGATCCGACTACAAACTATAAGACATTAAGTTACTCTTCTCTTTATTTCTATGATATCTTGGTCATAATTCTATCACTGTTCCTCCTATTGCTTTCTAATCAGCAGGTAATTACATTATGCAAATCATGCACAAGTATAAGTTACTTGAGATCAGGACCTATGTTGTTTTATCATGTTAAACTCTCACTAAGTCATTTTACAAAATAACTTGTTATTAGCTGAATACAGTGCCTGACCAGTGAATGATCAGTGATGAGTTCATCTGGGGCCAAAAATAAGTCCTTCCACCCAAATGCTCCAAATAATGACACTGACCAGCTTTGTGTTTACTTCTCACCCACTTCCTGTAAGTATATCAACCTCATCGAACTCAAAGGTATATGCAAATGCTATCATTCAAAAAAAGTACCTCTTTTATATATTTTGTTTTACTTAATTAAACCTTTTAAATATCTTCTTACATTTTTAGGCTCATTTTAATATTCTTTTCAGTCTAGAATCTATGGACCTATGCTAACAAATGGAGTTATTTCCAGAAAGTACATAGTACTTCAGCCATTTTAAGAAAAAATCTTTACACATTTTTTTTTCATATTTTACAGAGAATAACTTAGAACTGAGTGAAGCACTGAGTTCATAAGGCACTCCTGTTTGGCAAACACATATTCCTTGGGATAAGAGTTTTTCCTGTAAAACCAAAAGGCTCCTTTCATTTTTTATAATGCATTGCTTTTTTATAATACATTGCGCTTCTTCAATTTATTTCAAAAAAGTTAAATATTTTTTCATATTTTTCTTATGTTAGCTATCATTTATTCACCAAAAACTTAATTATGTCAACACTTCAAACCCACTCCTTCTATCTGTTCTTCTCTTAACGGTCTTTATTCCGGTGTTCTTGGCTACTATGCTTTTCCACATCATCATCCCTCTCCTTCATAGCATTTCCACTCTGTCTGATTTGGAACGTGATATTAACTCTGACACAAAGAAGACTGGCCAATCACACTATCTCAGAGGTCGCTAGTGTATTTAACATGGTCCCTGCAGTTAACCTCACAGGGGAAAATATTTGCAATAATTGGCACATTATTGAGAGACAAATATAATATTAAGAAACACATTTTATATTGTCTATGAAATGATTACTATATATAACAATTAAATTCCATTGATATGCTTAATTTTCCCTCTTATTGGAAATAACTGTTTGTATAATTTATTTTCATCTAATGTGAGAAAAAATTTTAACTTTGTATTCTTACCTTTCTTGCCAACCGATTGACAATTATTTTATGTATGGGTGTTGTCACATTTAACTTCTTAAAACAAAGTCCAGAGATTCTTCCAGAGGGAGCCTTAATTTGAAAAAAATTAAAACTTTACGGAGTTAAACACAATTGTAGTGATAAACAGAATGAATGTACTAAACACTTTGCAAATACTCACTAGCTTTTTTAAGGAGTTTCCATTCTGGAAAAAAAAAAAGAAATACTTTTAAATGCATTATTTGACTTTTTAAAACATTATTCGGATTTATATGCCTCTAAATAGATTGATAAGAAAGGTTTTCAGAAATGTTTCTGAAACATTATCAGAAGACCGATCTCAGTGAGTTCTTGAGCTCCCTCCTCCTGTGAGAATCCCTGATGTTGCAATAGACATTAGCTATAGATTTATGATGAAATGACTGCAAAAATAAATTATGACCCACCTGATTCATGGAACATTTTTCGATATGAGCAACTATAATTTCACCAGGAATTCTTACTAAGATATAAGAAGCCATGCTATATAATGCTGCGTTGTTTCCATCAAATGTAATAATGCTCAGTTCTGACAACATGGAACACCGACCTATAAAAATGGTGGAAAGTGGATTTAGTCTATTAACTATCTGCATTTTCAGTAATAATTGCTCTTTTAAAAAAATCTGTTAAATTAGCCTTATTATGTCTGACAAGAAGCAACTCTAAAAGTTATATACTGTGAGCCAAAATCATAAATCAAATCATGAAAACTCAAAAACAGTAACTTTGGCTTGATGAGGTGAAAGGTTCAAAAAAGTAACAATCTCTCCAGATTAAAAAAAAAAAAAAAAGATCACCGCTTAAGAAATGCAAACTTACAAGGACATTCCCACTCAGGGCAGCAGATATCACTGTTCACTTGAACTGGCCTTCCTCGGAAACCACAGTCAGGCATTTCCACGTCCTTTGGGCAATTAAGGGACCAGTTGTATAACTGCCATTCCATATTAAGGCATATGTATTGGCTACAATCATAAACAGGATCAAATTTCTGAGGCTGTTAATAAAAAAAGATTAGTGGGTTTTTTCATTCTCAGCTAATGTTTTTAATTGATTTTTAAATTCCACATTCATATTGCCCATGGTGTACATTTATTGAATACAAAAACTTTTGAAAGATAAAGAATTAAAATTATGCTGCAACTTTTTATTGATGTACCCTTTCTATAATATTCAATGTATATTTAATTTAAGCTTTAACTTAATATTGATTGGACATTAGATTGCCCATATATTCAAACATCTGAAGAAAACAGTGTTCTCCTGAATTCCCTAGTTTTTTTGCAAGCAAATTTATAAAATGACAGCTGACCCTTCACATTATATTGTGCAAAGCTAGTATATCAATATAACTTCATGTGTCATAATGTCAACTTAAAAATCACAACTTAATGCTATTTAAATACTTTATTAAAATTTTATATATAACATCAGTTTCACAGCACCTAGAGTGTATAATCATAAATTAATTTTATATGTAACTCACAATGTCTAGGTAAACAAATAATAAATAAATAAGTGGTAGATTTTTCAAAATTTATAAATCACATTCCATTTAAATTATGGTAATAATTATAGCAATGCTAAACTAGACATTTTCTAATTAACCCATTTCATTCTCTTAACCCTCTAAGGTAGATACTATTATTTCATATTTATTTTATAGATAAGTAAACAGTGTGGGGGTTAAAGTAATTTGCCCAAGGTCCCACAGATAGAAGATAGTAGAGTCAGCATCTAAGTCCAGGCACTGTTACTCGGGAATCTATGCTCTTGACCACTACTCTCTACTGCATGTCTAGGGATTTCAGAATAAAAATTAACAACTATTTAGCACCTATTACATACCATACACTAATAAAGTATCTTTTTTCATTTGTTTCTCCCTAAATCTTTTGGATCAGTTTCTATCATTCCAATATAATATATGATTTTTAAAATAAGGTTTAGAGAAATTACTAATTTTCTAAATAGTAAGACTCTTAAGTGAGCACTTCAAAATTTAAGAGTCCAATTTTCCAAAATTTTCTGTGTAAAAGTTGTACCACTTCTCAGGTATTGACCTTGCTTTTCATTTAGCCAGAAAAATGAAAGCAATTACAAGAGAACTATAGACCTCACAGACATCTGAACCACCCAGAGGATTTTAGACCTACCACTCTACTGAAACTCTTTTTAACAAGGTCACCAGCAACTCACATTGCTAAATCCAGTGATCAATTCTCAGACCTCATCTCAGACCTATTAATATATTCAGTATAGCTTATTACTCCACATTCCTTATAATATTCTTTTCCTTAGATTTCAGATCACCTGCAGCCTCCTACATTTTCTCCTATTTCTCTGGTTAACATTATTTGCATGTCTGTCATCTTCTCTCAACCTATGAAAGTTGTAGTGGCCCTTTTCACTTCTCTATCTGTACTCACTCCCTTTACTATCTCACCCAGTCTCATACCATTTATCCGCTGAGAATTCCCAAATTTTTTCTTAGCATGACCTATATATACTCCATGTATGTCTGCCAAATCTATATGTCCACAGCTTTTTGCTGTCTGTGAGGAATCTCAAGCTTCACATGGCAAAACTGAACTCATGATTATACCCATCCCAGACATGCACTCCCCAAGATTTCTCCATCCTGGTTGACACCAGCCCTTTAGTTGCTGAAGGCAAAAGTTTTAGAATCTTTGTTGCTTCCCTTTTACTCACACTTCACATGTAATCTTTCTACCTTCAAAATATATCCAGGATCCAGGTACTTTTCACCATCTTCACTGCTATCACCTGAACCAGGTGATAGATCATCATCTCTGGCCTAAATTCCTACAATAGCCTCCTAAACAGTTCTATTCCCTCCTTACACCTTACCCACAATATACCAGCCAAAATGATCTTGAAGCTACTCAGATGGTGTAATTCCTTGACTCAAAAATACACAGCACCTTCCCAAGTCATTTAGAACAGAAGCCACAGTCTTTACAACACAAGGTCTAACATAATCTACTTTATTGTCTACTATTTTATTCCTTTATTACTTACAGGTCTCCTTGTCATTCTTTTAATACATTAGGTACATTCTTGCCTCAAGGCCTTTGCACTTGCTGGTCCCTCTGCCTGGAACTTTGTTGACCCAGTCCTCTACATTGGTTCACTCTCTTAACATTTGCAGATCATTTGCTTAGAGGTTGCCTTATCAGTGAAGATTTTCAAATCATCTTATTAAAAACAGTATTATTTTTCTCCTGACCAGCACCTCTGACATTTTATATAACTTCATTTATTTTGCTTATTGGCTATCTCAGAAACTCCAATAGAACGTAAACTCTGGAAAGGCAGAAATATTTGCCTACTTTTATATTTTTTCCATAGGATCTGAATAGTGCCTGGCCAGAAATGGTGCTAAATAAATATTGGTTGAATAAATAGTTTATCAGAGCAAATGGTATATTTGATATAAGAAGATCTCTGCCCAACTCTTAGGAGAGAAAACTACTAGTTCTAGGAGACAATGACTTTTATCTTTTTTGCTTCCAGTGTATGTTTAACATCTTACACAGTGGCTGACATCAAGTAGATGCTTAATAATATTTTATGAATGCCTGATTCACAGATAAATCCATACTAGATAACTCTTTATTAAGGAATCACACTTAAGATCTTATTTCAATTTTGTTTTTCTTAGTGTGACTAGAAGCTAATTAATAAGAAATATCAGTTACAATTGTTCCAATGAAATGCATATTTCTTAATATCTTTTAGCAAGGCTAGACTAGAGAACATATCAAAAAAAGTTTAGTAGCATTTGGATATTGACACAGAAATTTGAATGGATGATATATGGAAATGACAAAGAGCTGGAAGATATTGCTCAGTCATACCTCACATTCCAAGCCTGTAGTTGGTGTTAGCATATCAAACACAGTGATGTCTGATGGAGTAATCATTTCCCAAACTGTCAGAAATGAAAAAGTAATCCTCATTAGTGGAATGCATTTATCTTGCATGGAATTGATATGTGACAGAAACTGTGCTAAGAAATTTTGTATAGATTATTTCACATATTCCTTCCTAGAATCCTGTGATGTTGGTAATAATAGTATCGACATTTTACAGAAGATGAGGAAACTAAGCTGTAGAGAAGTAAGGCTGTTAAGTGGCAGAGGCAGAATTTGAACTTGGAAATGAATTCTGATTCCAGAAATTTGGCTTTTAATCACCATTCTTTAAACACCTTCACTTTCTTAATGGTGTCAACACAATTGCGTGAACAGGTAAAAAAAATATTAATAGTATCACTAACCATTCCTCAGAAGTTAAAAATCTTCTTACATTTTGAAAATAAGTAATAAGGCTGACCCCTTGATTTTGGTGAACCTTGAGAATGTGTTCCTTGTGAGCAGAATAAATGTTGATGTGGACCATGTGGAAGCCCTAGTTGATGGGTGTGGTTTAGGAGTGACCCATAGAAAAGGGAGATGTGATTGGTAAACACATCTGTGAGGCACCTTCTAAAGGTGTCAATATTGGAGGTATCTCTAAAATATTCAGTCTGAAAGATTACAGAAGAGCCACAATAAATGGCTGAAATTATTCTCAGCCATAATCGCAGTGCCCGTAGTTGACAGTGTTTAAAAATAACCTCATTAGTTTCCTATTGCTGCTGTAATGAATTACCACAAATTTAGTGGCTTAAAACAACACCAGTGTATTAGCTGTTTTGGAGCTCAATGTAGCCATTTCACAATGTACACATATTTCAAAACAACATGTATACAATAAATATATACAATTTTTCTTTGTCAATTTTCAAAATTAATTAATTAATTTTTAAACAAAAGAAGCCCTAAAATCAAGCTATTAGTAGGACTGCATTCCTTCTGGAGGCTCTAAGGGAGACTCTGTTTCCTGGTCTCTTCCAGCTTCTATGAACTATCTGGACTTGGCTCATGGTCCCTTCCTTTAACTTCGGAACCACAGCACGAAATCTTCAAATCAATCTCTCTCTCTTCCCCTTCTTCCTTCCCTTCCTTTTCCCTTCTTTCCTCTGATTCTATTGTCACATCACCTTCCCTGACTCCAACTCTCTTGCCTCTCTCTTTTAAGGAAATTTGTGATTACATTGGTGCCACATGAATATTCCAGGATAATTTCCCCATCTCATGATCCAGGCATAAGCCAGTCATCATCTTAATTTAGTCACATGAATGGCCATATAAGGTCATATATTCATAAATTCTGGGGACTTAAGACAGTGACATCTTTGGAGGACCATTATTCAGCATACCACAACGACATTTTAAAAACTTTTAATATTTCTGGCCGGGCACGGTGGCTGTCATCTGTAATCCCAGCACTTTGGGAGGCCGAGGAGAGAAGATCATTTGAGGCCCGGAGTTCAAGACCAGCCTGGCCAACATGGCGAAACCCCGCCTCTACTAAAAATACAAAAATTAGCCGGGCATGTGGTGCATGCCTGTAGTTCCAGCTACTTGGGAGGATGAGGCAGGAGAGTTGCTTGAACTTGGGAGTTGGAGGTTGCAGTGAGCCAAGATCATGCCACTGCACTCCAGCCTGAGTGACAGAGCAAGACTCCACCTCAAAAAAAAAAAAAAAAAAAAAAAAATTCTAATGACTGGGAAGTTCAGTGGTCTTAACAGTTCACTGTTATCTAAAATCATCAAAGGCTTATAAACATTATCTGGGTGTGGATTTACAATGGCCAAACTGTCTTGATAACTACAGCTTTGTGATATGTCTTGAAACTGAGAAGTATGAGTACTCCAAATTAGTTATTTTTCAAGACTGTTTTGGCTATTCTAGGTTCCTTGTACTTCCATATGAATTTAGGGTTAACTTATCAATTTCTGCAAAGCAGTAGCTGGGATTTTGATAGGGATTGTATTGTGTCTATAAATACAATTTGGGAGTATTGCTATCTTAACAACTCTACCAATCCATGAATATGGAATTTCTTCAGCTTCTTAATTCTATCAACAATGTTTCATAGCTTTTATGGTACAAATTTTACACTTCTTTTGCTACATATATTCTAAGCATTTTATTCTTTTTTGATACTACTATAAATGCAATTGTTTTCTTTATTTCATTTTCAGATTGTTCATGGCTAGTATACAGAAATACAATCGATTTTTGTGTATTGCTCTTGCATTCTGCAACCTTGCTGAACTCATATGATATTGCTAATAGGTTTCAGTAGATCCCTTAGAATAACCTAAGATCATGACATCTGCAAATAGAAATAGAAATAGCTTTATTTTTTTATCTTTGAGAGTAATGAAATATAGTTTGTATTCTCTGCAAAGAGATTATGGTTGTTTAAATCATTTTACACATTTGAGATAATGTTGAATATTAATTTGGGGGATATAAGAGAACTCAAAGTAGAGAGCAATACTTAGAATAATTAACAGTCTATGCCCCAGATGTTAAAACATGCAATCTTATTTCATAGACTTATTCCCCTTATAAATTGAATGATGTAGGCGAAGTACCTCCACCTTCTCCCAAAGCATGCTTTAAACTATACTAAATTCACTGATGCCTAAAATTTCACAACAGTATAGTAATTCCTCATCTCTAGAAGGGTAAACCTCTCTCGTAGGGCTCTTATTAAGATTAAAAGTATGACAAATGCTTAATCCTATACCTGGCATATAATTAGTACTCAAATGGTAGCTAACCAGAGAAGCAGTCTTACTAGTGATGGTTTTAGTGAAGCTATTAATGCCTTTTTAAAAATCCTGTTTCTTACCATGAGTCCTTTGTGACCTGCCCCCGATAATCTCTTCCACTCCACCTTTCGGCACAATTCCCCTCAAACTGCACATTCAAGATACACTGACCTGCTTAAGATTCCTTCATGTGACATATTCTCTCTCACTTCCAGACTTTGCACATGCTGTCCTTCTAATAGGAACATATTTCCCTCTTCTCTTAGCCTACCCAACTTCTGTCTTCGATTAACCTCTGACACCACACCTCCAAAATAAATATGATGGTCCTAGTGTGGGCTGCTTGTATTTACCCCTGTTGTAAGATTGCAACAGCCTCTGGTCTATCAGCAGTTTTAGGGTAGGGGCTGTGACTTGTTTATCATATCTCCTCACTGAGGGCAAGGACAGTACCAGGTAGAGTTGGTGCTCAATTAAAGCTTGTCAAATAAATGGAAAGAATAAATATCTGAACTTGACCTACATTATACTACCTTGAGGAATAATGCCTTAAGTTTGTTGAGCCTCACTGTGAGTGGATTTATTAAATCCTTCCCTGAGGCAAGCTTCACAGGGCGGGAGGAAAGCAAGGGTAGGAGCCCAGAATGCCTCCTCCAGAGCCAGAGACAGAATGCAAACATGGAAATGGAAGCAATAAAGAAAACCCTGATTTATGTCTGTTTCATTAGAGCCAATTTAATCACTGTGAAAATCTAAGTGGGATTTAATCAAACCTAAAAGTAGAATTTAGGTTTTTAGATGTGAGGGAAGTCCAAGGAATCTACACGAACTGAAATGAAGAACGAGGTGGACCAAATGCAGAAGCCACTCAGAAAATGAGGCACGTAGCCCAGTGCAGTGTGGCTCATGCCTGTAATCTCAGCACTTGGGGGTCTCAGGCAGAAGAATCCTTTGAGGCCAGAAGTTCTAGAAAACATGGCATGTTGAGCCAATGGACAAGCTTAATGAAGCAAAAGTGACTGCTGGGTTTCCTAGCCCATAGGTAGTATTAATGATAGCAGCTATAGTAACACCTAAATTACATAAATTAAGCCAACACTTAAACTACATAGTGCTACTTTTGTTGTCTAAAATTATAACAATACCTGTAAACATGGGCACAGTTGGCTTAGCTGGTGGCATTAATGTTGGTTCTGTGGGAATCACAGGTATACCTACAAAGAAACAAAGGTGCTCTTTATAAAACTGTATTTGCATAAAATTAGACCCACATATTTCATAGAGGACTCTTTAGCTTCAAGGAAAATGTTTTGGGAAAAAGAATGCAGGAGAGATGTTAGTGGAAGATCTACATGATTTAAAAAGTAATTAGGGAAAAAAAGCTATGTAAGAGACATTGAAGAATAATCTTATGAGAGTTGATTGTCTGTTTAAAACTTCTGTTTACAACCACTTGCCTCGGAAAAAACATATGCAAGCGTATAATTTTTCAGAGTAAATTAAGCAACGTTCACACTTACAGTCTCGTGGATAAACACACTTGAGGGTGACCTCATCAAGGATCATATTTTTAGGGCAGTAGGGCAAGCATCCTTCAACCCTTTACATGGAAAAAAGAGTAAATCAAAGTGAAGAAAAGTTTGAAATACAAAAAAAAAAGGACTACATTTAACATATGCGACTAAGATATATTCTTCCTAAAATGCTTCTATATACCCTTGTCAAGCACTAACAACTGCTCCATCTGCTACTTCGTTTTATAAAATCACAAGCTAGAGGATGATAAGAGAATAGGATTAAAATTAAGGCAGAACTTGGACACAGAATATTAGAACCATACACTTATATTTGGGGCACACTAAGTCCCTGTTCCATAAGTCAGTGGAAATGTGGAAGAATAATTTATTAAGGTGTTGTTGTTGTTGTTGTTGTTGTTGTTGTTGTTTGTGACAGGGTCTCACTCTGTCACCCAGGCTGCAGTGTAGTGACGCGACCTTGGTTCACTGCAGCCTCATCCTCCTGGACCCAGGTGGTCTTCCCACCTCAGCCTCCTGAGTAGCTTGGACTACAGGCATGTGTCATCATGCCTGGCTAATTTTTTCTATTTTTTTGTAGAGATGAGGTTTCGTCATGTTGCCCAGGCTGATCTTGAATTCCTGGGCTCAAGCAATCAGCCCACCTCAGCCTCCCAAAGCTCTGGGATTACAGGCATTAGCCCTGGCACCTGGCCAATTTATTGAGATTTTAATCTGTATTGATTGTACTGTTGCTTTCCACTCTTTTTTTTTTTTTTTTTTTTTTTTTTTGAGACAGAGTCTCGCTCTGTCACCCAGGCTGGAGTGCAGTGGCGCGATCTCGGCTCACTGCAATCTCCGCCTCCCGGATTCATGCCATTCTCCTGCCTCAGCCTCCCAAGTAGCTGGGACTACAGGCACCCGCCACCACACCCGGCTAATTTTTTGTATTTTTAGTAGAGATGGGGTTTCACCATGTTAGCCAGGATGGTCTCGATCTCCTGACCTCATGATCCACCCGTCTCAGCTTCCCAAAGTGCTGGGATTACAGGCGTGAACCACCGTGCCCGGCCCGCTTTCCACTCTTATACTCC
The DNA here is from genome assembly GCF_000001405.40 of Homo sapiens. NCBI lineage: Eukaryota > Metazoa > Chordata > Mammalia > Primates > Hominidae > Homo > Homo sapiens. The sequence continues at coordinate 80,327,656 of NC_000012.12, read as the reverse complement.
CCTCACATCCAAGCAGATTGGCATGCTCTTTGACACTATCATTGCCTTGACGGTGTTTGTAGAACAAATACAGAATCTTCAGTGGCTCTCCCTGCCTGTTATTAATCCTAAACTCACTGAAAAGATATTAGTGATCTCTAGGTGGAAGGGATGATCATGGTTGCAGTTCTTTTGAGAACAGGGAGAGGAAGGAGCAGAAGCTATCGTTTTCAAGAAAATTAGGACCTGTGCCCAAATCTGGGGCAGTGCCCTGGAAGGACATGGTTGTATGACAGCCTGAAAAGATTCTATTTCAAGCCCTAGGATGTCTGGACTTGGTAAGAATCCCTGGTCCTTGTTTGGAGCACAGAAGACAAGGGAAAGTCTCAAATTTCAAGAGGCCATGTTGTGGGCCAAAGACAGGAGGGAACATGAGAATGCTTTTCTTCTAAAGGAATGGAGACAAAATAATGACTGAGAGTACATTTTTCTATGTCCATTTAAGGCTCAGAGTTCAATTTATTCTAAATCAAAGGAAAAAAATATAATCCTTCAGGTGCAACCAACTCTAATTATTATATTACTACATACTACAGAGAATTCATGCAGATATTGTTATAAAAAGGCTTGCTCATCTGCCTCTAGAATATACTAGCAGTTTTAAATAATATATTTACAAATTTTAAAAACATTTCCATTGCCTCATCTGTAAAGAATTTGAATTAAAGTGTTGAAGGCCTCGTTTCATTCCAGATGGAAACAAACTAACTCGGCACTAAAGGTAAATGCTGCTCAGAAGACCCTTGTTCTTGGAGGCAAATCCAGGCAACACTTTTTAAAGACAAGAAAAGTTAACTTCTGTCTTAATGAGGTTTAATGAAACACATTTAGCCATCTCTTGGATACCTCCTTCACAATTGATTTTTTAAAAACATAAACAACTTAGCTTATATAACTAATTATTTATTTCATAAAATGAAGTTGAGTAATAAAACTTTAACTAGCATATGACATTCTTATTTTAAACTTTGTGAAGTGGAAGAAAAAAGAAAAAGGAAAGTTACTGGATCACTGACAGACAAGGGCTAGTTAGTTATTATTTAATTGGGTCAAAATCAATTTTTATGCAAACAATTATTTTGCAGTTGTTTTATGCAAGTCAAAACCACAGCCATCCTTGTACAATACTTTTTAAAAAACTATTAACCTGTTCCTTAAAATGTCTTTATCATCAACATAGCAGGTTTGCTTTCTTTTATCATACAATTGGTATTCTACTCAACTTCTAACTGATAAGTTTAATGCCTCAGATGCAGAATGGTTCTCATAATAGGCATATTAGATAATAGGAATAACAGTATTTACATATGTGCTCTATGGTATGTTACTTGGCAGCTTTTCTCGTAAAAGCTCTAATTTTCATGAAACATTTTTATCTAAACACTTGCTATGTGCCAGAAACTGCAATCACCTAGAACAAGAGTGCTGGTTATGTCGCGGACTTGGAGGAGGGGGCACAGGGGCATACTGAAACCCCAGCTCAGTATTTGAGTCCTTCCTCAAGTACTGCAGGTATAAGGAGCAATAATTAGCCACTTTGGCACAACGAAAGCAAAAAGGAGAAAGAAATGGAGGTAGAGATGAGAATCAGTTTGGCAGGGGCGAAGTTTCATCGTGAGTCTCTTCTCTGCATCCCAAACATACAGAAAGAGAAACTTATGGACAGCTACAGCCCAATACACTGGAAGCATTAAGGATCTGGGTTCCACCACCCCAGAGACTGATCATCCCACGTCATCCCATAAGAAGTCATAAACTAGCCAAATGCCATTTCAAAATATGGCTCAATGTCCTCCCCAGTGCCCTGCCAGCTGTGCCTGCTGCTGTCTTCCTTCCTTCCCCACATGCCCTTCGCATTGCTTAGCCTCACTCCAGGGCCACTGTTACATGCTGTCATCCTGATGGCTACCAGAAGAGGCAGGAAATAGATTTGTGAGTGGGAGAAGCTCAAATGAATGAAGACTTCTTTTCAGAAGAAAATGAGTGATTGTTTTTATTTTTAAGACACTAAACAGTAATATCATTTTCTTCCCTCTGATCTCACAGCACTTGACAAACAACAGGGTGTAGCAGTCCAAACCCTGGCACTAATGCTTACAAACTGTGTGACCAGGGCAAACTGTGTAGCTTCTCTGTGCCTCGGTTGGTTTTCTCCTCTGGGAATAGGAATACTGAGATTAACCATTTTACAGCACTTGGCACAGTTCATGTTTATTGTAAATACTTAAATGTGTTAGCTGTTGTTTTTACCCCTCAAGGCCTCCCTAGGCCATTTCCCAATGTATTAAGATTGTTTTCTTTTGTTTCTGTTTCCTTCCAAAGACTGTGCACTCCTCGAGAGAGGGGCTGGATCTTACAGAGGGGCTGGATCTTACCTATTGGCAACATTTGCCATAGATCTCACAGATCTTACAGAGGGGCTGGATCTTACAGAGGGGCTGGATCTTACCTATTGGCAACATTTGCCATAGAATAGAACCTCATAATTGTTCAATCAATTGTAAAATGATTCTCATAAAAATATTCTCTCCTACTATTGATCCATATCTCCTTTATGGAAAATTCTTATATTATTAAAAAAAAAAAGCTGTTTATACTCTCTGTCTCTGTTTTGTCTCTTCCTATTTTCTGACTTGCTAAATCCAATGAACAATTTTCCATATCAAACTCCAGATCCTGAAAACCAAATTCCTGACCTTTCCTCCGAACTGTTTCTTCTAACATCTTCCTTATCTCATTAAATGCAGTTCTATTAGATCAAATCATTTGAAATTACTGCTATTTGACCAATTTGGCTACCAAAAATGGCAAAACTTCATAGTATTTCACCTAATAACTGCTGAGGCCAAAACTTGATTCTTTAACTCTTCCTTCTCTCATAAATGATATTAAATCTGTTTGTTCCTCATAACCTCTCGGGCCACCAACCTGGTCAAATCCCCTTCATTTCTTGTCTGTATCACCGATCAAGTCTGCCCTGTCCTCCTCTCCTCCAACAGCCCATTCTCAATACAACAGGCAAAGTACACCTTTTAAAACATAAATCAGATCATGCCACTCAGCTGCCTAAAATGCAGCCAGGTCTCCTATCTTACAGTAAAAGACAAAGTCCTTACAACAGGCTACAAAGCCTTATATGATTTGCCCACTAATATGATTCTCTGGTCTCATCTCCCACTTCTCTCCATTTTGCTCACTTTGTTCTAACTTATGACCTCCTTGCTGATCCTCGAACACACCAAACACATTCCCACTCCAAGACCTTTGCACTGTTCTCAAATTAAAGATTCTTCCCCAGATATCCACCTGGCCAGTGCCTTCACTACATTTAGATCTCTGACCAGATGTCACCTTGTCAGGGTGCTCTTCACTGACCACCAACATTAATTGGCAAACACACACACATGCCTTATGCTCTCTGTCTCCCTTACCTTCCTTTATTTTTCTCTGTAACACATATCCGCCATAACAATATGTTGCATTATATATTTACATTTTTGTTTGGTTATTTTCTGCTCAATCCAACAATATGTAAGCTTCATGAGGGCAAGTACTTGTCTATTTTGTTCAGTACTGTCTCCCCAGCAGCAAGAAGATTGCCTGCCACATAGTAGGCTCTCAATAACTACTTCTTGATTTAAGCGAAATTAATATCATGAAAGAATATATAGCATATACAACTTGAGAATGGCTGTTTTTAAAATCTTGAAAAAAATCAACTGAAAACAGAATTTGCTAAGGCTGGACTTTGATCACTTATTGGTAAACGTTACTTACGGTGGAAGAAATTTACATGCTAGTGCTTCAGGGTCACTACATGTTTTAAAACAGGGTGTAGCACAAGGTTCATATCTCCATTCACACATCTTCCTGTAAGGCACTGCTGCCTGGATTTCTGGGAAAAAATAAAGTTTAGATTGTGTGCATATTTAATACATAGCTTGAAAACTAACAATTCCCTTTTCTTTCTTGAGACAGTCTCGCTCTGTCACTCAGGCTCGAGCGCAGTGGCACTATTTCGATTCACCACAACCTCTGCCTCCTGGGTTCAAGTGACTGTCGTGCCTCAGCCTCCCAAGTAGGTGATACTACAAGCACATGCCACCACACCCAGTTAATTTTTATATTTTTAATAGAGACGGGGTTTTGCCTTGTTGACCAGAATGGTCTCGAATTCCTAACCTCAGGTGATCCACCCGCTTTAGTCTCCCAAAGTGCTGGGATTACAGGTGTGAGCCACTGCACCTGGCCAAAAACTAACAGTTTCTTATATGAACCCTCCTAGGGTTTGACCCTTCTTTGACTACAATGCTACAGGAAAGACAGAACTGAAGAAAAAACACTGTAATTGCTTGGTGACCAAAGCATTTCATGCTCAGATTAAATATCTACATGTACACCTATCTTCCAAAGATTTAAAAAAGCAAGTGGTTGGAGGAGGCTGAGGAAAATTCAAAATATTTTATATATGTGTGTGTGTGTGTGTGTGTGTGTGTGTGTGTGTGTGTGTGTGTGTGTGTAGTGGGTTTTCATCTGTCTTCACATCATAATACCAAACACTTGTTTAGAATTTTACTTTCTGCAAAGTAATTGTCCATCCATTATTCTATTTTATCCTGCAACAACCCTATTAAGTAGATATTATTTCTAATTTATAAATGAGGAAATTGAGACTCACAGCAGCCAAGAAACTTGCCAAGTTCAAACAATTAGAAAAATGGCAAGACCAAATACATTTCATGAACTCAAATCTAGGAAGAATATTCTGTTGCTGTTCTCAGAAAACTTAGCACGTTGCCTTGTACCAGATAAGTATTGTTTGAATACAACAAAATATATGGGCGGATTTGAAAAATACATGCATACAGTTCTAAAACCTCCCTTGATTGAAGTTTTTCTCCTGCAAGGTCTGCTAATACTCTCACCTTCCCACAGCATAGAGAAGTCCTTTTGTAGCAGTTCAAAGCTATCTCTGAACAAGAGAACCTCTTAAGAAAGAAAATTCAGGAAGCAGGTATGTTTCTTGGACTCTGGACACAGAATTCAATTCCAAATTACAGCAAGGAAAATAAGTCTTTTTGGAAAGCATCTATACATCTAAAGACTTAAGTAATTGCTGAACTTGAGTTACTCGTCTCACGCATCCTGAAAGAGGACTGGTTCCAAGACTACAATAGGCTCCTGGAGTTTCCTAGGTTTCAGAAGCCCACAAAGATCAGCTTCTGATATTCTGATGATGCCATGTGCTGCAGTTCTCTAAGCCTCAAATGGGGCTACTAGGTCTGGTTCTAAGGGCACAGATTTCTAGAGCAGAGGGGAAATAGAGGCCTGTAAAGGTCAACGGTAGGTAAACTGAAGTAAGCAAATCACATCCACTGTATGGAATGCTATATAGATATGTCAGTGGTTCCTTTTCTCAAGAGCACAGTGTAGGAGGACAGCTCTCCCCTTGGTTCTCCTTGCTTTCTCTCTCCCACTTGCAGATCTCAAAACAACTGCAAAATGTTCTGAGGGTTATCCTGAGGTAAGGAGGAATCTTCTGAAACAATCCAGGCTCTGTTGCCATTCCCAACAGGATGTCCTGCAAAGTGTGTGCTCGGTGATTCCAGTTGCACCTGAAGTATCAAATCCAGGGCAGAGTGCTTTCAGGGTCCCTCAGCTGCAGTGCAACCTGGAGCATGTGCAGACAAGATTCAGTTCACCCTGGGCTTTTCTGAGCCTAGAGGACTGGCTCACCATGAATCCTAGGCTTCTGTTGATTCTTGCTGCCTGTCTGTTAAGTAATAAAATTCCTTTGCCTGACTTGTTTTGTGAGTATGTCACCACACTAAAGAATGTATGTCACCACACCTAAGAATGCAAATGGTAGAGATATTAGAGCTTCTTTTTCTTTGTTCTGAGCTCGTTGCCAGAGTAAGAACCCTTGCAGAATTCTGGCATCTGGGTTTGCACAAAACCTCCTGCCAGACTTAGGAATCTTTGCATAGAAGAACTGTATTCAATAGGTAAAATTTTTTTTTATTTTTTATTTTTTTATTTTTTATTATACTTTCAGTTTTAGGGTACATGTGCACAACGTGCATATTTGTTACATATGTATACATGTGCGATGTTGGTGTGCTGCACCCATTAACTTGTCATTTAACATTAGGTATTTTGAAGCTCAATTTGTACTGTTTAAAATCTATTATTAGAAGGGCTTGCAGAAATATATTCTCAACAGAAAAGGCAAATTAGTTGCTGTCTTGAACTCCTTTAGGAGGGTTCACAAGGATGAAACGATTTCTTGAGGAGACTCAAGATAGATATCAAGCTTCTGGATTTTGAAAAGAAAGCATGACTTTTAAACACTGCATAAAGGAGTGAAGCTTGCTGCAGAAAATTCAATAGCTATAGACCTCAAAGGCTCTCTAGAAGTAAGATTAGGTTTCTGCTGAACTAGAGAAATCTTCTAGAGGTCAATGGAAACAGACACCTTGTATTCAAATGACAGAAGTAAATATATTGTCCTTATCACTAAGAATCAGATAAATTAGAGTTGCCTTCTAGGAAAGAAAAAGGAGATATAAACATTAGACAACTAAGCCACATGAGTGAGCCCTGATTCCAATGTCCAGACAGCACTGGTAGTAATAATTGGGGTAATAATAATAAAAAATCAGGTTATTTAGGATTGTTCTAAGTAATTTACATCAACTTATTCAATACTCACCATAACCCGATAAAGTACATATTATTATTTCTCCAATACGTATATTGGAGATATAGAGGGGTATAGAGGTTAAGACACTTACTTAAGGTCATAAAAGTCTATCTGCTTATATGCAGTAAGAATGGTTTTTAAATTAAAGACATAAATATTCTGCCTAATATAAATTACCTATTTGTTCTCTTTTTGGAGATCTCAGGAAACATACCTTCTATGCTGAAGCTACTTGAATGTTTAAATTCTTCAGAATCATCATATTTTGATGCTTTGACACTAGAATCTGTGAATATGATGAAAAAGCCTTTCTTGCTGTATAACTCAAATGCACTGTAACCAGGAATCCAGAGGCCCTGATGGTGGAAAAATGTTGCTCTCCGATGAAAGGCTGAATTCGCCTCCCACAGCTCCAAGCTAAGAGTATCATTGTCATGGACATAGAGAAAGTAGTTTGGCCTTTCAGCAGATTCCAAGGAAACAAGTGCTAATGCTGTAAAATATAGAGCAGTGTGGATTCTCAGGAGAAGGAAGATCATCAACATTGGCATCACAAAATGTACTTATAAAGTAAACAAAATAGTACTGCACAATTGCCAAACATAATTAGTGCCAATAACTAAGATTTCACAAATAAACTAGGAGATGCTTGAAAGAAGAAAAAAAAAAGTAGTACTTTAAATTCAGTGAATAACAGTGATATCACTAAAAAAAAAAATCAGTCTTTGGTAACTTCTATTTTTTTAATAATTTATTTTGTCCTTGGGGGAAAAAAGGAAATGTCAATGAGGACTCCAGAATGTACAATTTCATACAAGAAATTGAATGATTAATTGGACATATATTTGCGTTTGCAAGCTTTAACATTTACAAATGTACAAAACCTACTAATGGCTAAACTTGATGATAGAAAAGAGAATACAGAAATAGATCAATTTAGGGATGTAACTGCATTTCAGTATCACAGGGCTCTTTTAATGAGCAAATGTTCTTGAAAGAGATCTTACTGCACCAAGAAGAGACTATTTATCCAACATTATTGTCCATTTCCCAAAAGATGACCAAATGGCTAATGAGCTTTACAAAGCATTGAAAAATTATCACCCTTTTTCAGCTAGAGCTTTTAACATTTACCTTATATTTGTAAAACTCATGAAATAAAAGTTTTTAAATTGAGATTATTTTAGGTTGATTTTCTTCAATAAACATTATTTGGATTTTTTCTAGTAAAATCATTAGTTATTACTAATCGTAAAATCAAGAGCTCTCCCAAATTCAATATTATTTCAAAGGCATTTATCATGTTGTAAAATTTAAGTTCTTCTGCTGAGCACCAAAAGATGCCAAGAATAATAAATTTTTACATGAGAAAAAAATGTAACCAGCGTAATTTAGAACTTGATGGTGATAGGTGTTTTCAGAACTAAGAGAGTTCTTTTTACAGGAAATATATAATTTATTCTAACTGGAGAATTGTGAGCATTCTCAGAATAAGCGAAAGTTAAGTCTGATTGATTCATCCAACAAATAAATTCCTAAGCTTATACAACATGTCATGCATGGTTCCAGGTAGACTTATGTAGACATGAGGTAGCCTGAACATCACTGGATCAGAAGGGAAACTACCACCAATCAGAACAGGTGCCAGGTGGATACAACCAGTACAGACCTGCAGGTGCAAACCAGTAAATGTAGAGCTAGGTTCAGGGCACTGAGGACATGTCCAGGAACTAGGACAGACAAGGCAGGTAAGGATAACAGAATAACAGACTGTCACAATGACTGTCTACACTCTGATTTATGCTCTTCATGTAGAACTTCTTTGGTATCAATTCACAATTTGCTTTTACTTTTGGGGGCATAAAACCTTTCAAATATTAAGAATCAGTGGATGGTTTTTCAAAAACATCAAATTAAGTTCTGTGATTAATACTATGAAAATTTTAGCTATATTTTATTTAAAACCAAAAACTCAAACATTTGCAATTCTAATATATATATGCCAATAAATAAACAAAGAAATGATTTTGTATACAAAAGAGAAAGCTGGCTGATATGCCAATGTTATATTTTATTTCATATGCTTTAGAGCACTTTTAAAAAATACCATAAACATATTAGATTCTCAATTAATATTTACTGAGTGGCTAAATTTTAAAATGTAATTGGAAAGCTAAACTCTTATTTTCAATTATACTTACATGATACCTTCTCTTTGAAAAGGCCTGGAGTGATCATAAAATAAAAAAATAAACTGGTATGAACACTGCTTCTCGGCAAACAGAAAACGCTTCTGCTGGTCATATTGGCCCCCAGAACAAGGCCACTCTGCCCATAGCTTGCCAGCATATATGGTCCTTCTCCAAGTCCTAGTTAAATATAAATATTAGAATTATAAATTGGCATAGATTTTTAAAATTTCAATCTGTCATTTCAAAGAAATGTTTTAATAACAAAATACTTCAAAAATTGAGCAATTAAAAATTTATCACTAATAAAATAACTGAATTCTTCAAAAATAATGATTTATATATATAATGATGTATATGTAGATGTTCGTGTTGTAGGTTATGCAAAATGTTGATATACACGTGATCAGTTGTTTCATAAAGGTTTAATCTTACTGCACTCAGTGTATTTTACTTTCCCTCTTCTCCCAGTTTTACCTCAAAGCCAATTTAACTCAATACATGCTGAAGAAGGAGAAAAAAGATTCAAAGAATATAAGGGCAAGACTTTTTTCCCCTTAAGGACTTAAGACCGGGCCTAAATAAAGGGGAAAGGATAATTGGATTGGAGGGATAAGAAGTCTTCCAATTAGGAAAGGGGAAGGAGAACCAAAATTTCCATCACAAGGACAAGGAGAAGAACAAAAAGACTGAGAGGATACATTATTTTCAAGTGTAATCTCCTCACTGACCCATCATCTGGGACACAGCACCATTGAGCAGCTGGGGACCCTTATAAACTATGAGAAAAAGAGCTTCACTAGGGACTTTGGTACCCTGTAGAGAGATAGAAACCTGAAACAGCTTTGCCCCCACATCAAGGTGGAGCTGAGCAGAAACAGTGGACAATTTTTCTTAGCCTGGCTGCAGGAGACTCACCACCATGGTTACAAATGTTACAAATGCAGTGTTTCTCCATGAGCCAAAATACAGGAGGACCAAAGAAAATTATAGCAATAGTCTCTACCTGGTAATGGCTAATTTTCTAGCATGGACAAGAGGAAAGTGACAAAAACCTCCAAGATGCAAATATACTTCAAAGTATAAATATGTAGATTTGTACAAATATGTGAATAATATACAAATAATAAGTGAATTATAATGAGATACAATTCAGAATGGAGAAGATGTGTATGCAACTACAACTTGAGGACTTGAAGCACCCTCATGAATATTCAACATAAGAATGAGAAAGGAGACAGAGAAACAAAATCTCTCCCCTGCTGCACACACCCCTTAATACAGCAACCTGAAGAGACAATTGCCAACAAGAAATCTGTTTGTATAAAAACCTAAAGCTTTTGAATTGACTCTCAGTTAATTGGTAGCTTGATTCTGGACTATTTTCACCAGCAACTGGGAGACAAAAGTCATTGATCTTATCATTAATTTTCTGCATGGAGAAGTATAATTTCACCATCTACTGAAAGCAATCATTTCCTGCAGTGATTCTTTAAAAACAGAAATAAGCATATCCTATCTAATAAAATTACCCTGAACTTAAAACTCACATAACAATTTTTAGTAGGAAACTGAAGTTCTCCCTCACCTACAGAAATAGCATTTCAAATGCAAGCTTTACATTTTTAGTAAAAGTCATATAAATGAACACAAACATATTATATAGAATCATTGTGCTAAAGATTATTGAAATAATCTCAGCAATAACCTTTGAATTCTTCTACTACTTTTTAAAATTCTTCCTACAGAATCACAATTACTTATTTATGTATGTGCTTTAAATATTATAAGTATCTTAATAACATAGTGTCTGGCATGTAACAAATAAAGACAGGTAGAAATATGCCAGCTATAAATGCCCAAAAAGGACTAGGTAAATTTATGATAGCTGTGAAATTTATTTGGGATGAAACAAATTAAGAATAACCATTTAGAATTATTTTCTATTTATTATCACTTTCCACAATCATCACAGTTTTATATTCCCCTTCAACGTCTATCACTGTTGCATTGCTTTTACAAATTCTGACGCCCCTTGGCACATTGATGCGTTTCTCCATTACTTTGATCATAGTAAATTTATTTGCCTGCCACTCCATGGAGCCAAACAGTGTCTCACAAAGGCCAAATGCCCCATGTTCATGCTCTGATATTATCAATACGGTATTACAAATGAAACTAGAAGAACAGGTTTGAAGGATTCTGTAACACATTAGAAGAATGAACCATCACTAGAAGCTCAGCAGACTTGTTAACAGAGAGCAAAATGTAGCAAGTAGCAAGAGGTAGAGAGATTCAATATGCATAGAAAATTCTGCTTCTGGGTCCACAAGTCTGCAGGAGAAATGCCAGAAAATACAAAGGCACAGATGGAGATTGTCATAACAGAACTGGGTGTGACAGGAATTTTTGAGTGAGGAAGTTATTGGAGCATTTTCTCAGATTGTTGTCTGTGCACATTATGTAGAACCTGTGATGACAATGTGCGGTGATCATCCCTACACTAGGATGTATTAACCATACAGTAGGCCACGTAGCATGGAGGTCATGCTCACTGGCCCTGAAGCCAAATTGTTCACAAATCCCAGTTTGCCACATTTTGGCCAAGTGAATTTGGCAAAGCTATTTAATCTCTCTCTGCTTCAATTTCCTCTGAAAGTGTTGATAATAGCAAAATGCAGATAATAAAATAAAATAATGACATATTTTGAAGTTTAAATTATATGATCTAGAGAAAGCAGTTAACACAACAAAAGCTACTGTTGTTATTATTAGACAATAAATCACATTTTAATTATGGAATCCAAAGATTGATGTGAAGTGTGTGTTTGTGTGTGCGTGTATGCATGCACGTGTGTGGCAGTCTCTTTAAAATCTTGAACAGGACATAATTTTAGTTCGATTTTCTTTAACTACCACAGATATTTTTTAATGTTGAATTTTCCTCCTCTATCAAACTTCTATAAATGTAACAAATACAACTAAAATCAAAAATGCCCATTTTCTTTTTAATTCATTATCTCTTTTTCTCTAAAATTATCTAGCTGACAAATTTCTCCAACAAGCCACCTGAAGTGCCTCAGATTGGTTGCTTGGCCAAGATTTCCTGTAACTATTATTCTAACTGACACATCCATCATGGATCCAGAGTTCACCCATTTACTGACAAAATGGATACTTCCCTAGATCACCTTACTTGTCTGAATTAGGTTTTGAGGCCTGCGCCTTCCTCATTAAATAGATTTGCAAAAAGACTCCAATTCTGCTATCTTCAAGTAATTTCACTAAAAATGTAATTCTCTGTCTCTTCTTACATCTATACCTTAGTTTTAGACAGCAGCACCTCTCAGATTTCTTATTGCAAATCTGGATGTTTGCTGAGATTAGAAGATTTTCATTATTATTGTATCAATAAGTTCTTATCCTGGTAATATGTAAGAATGACTTTTGCCTACAATGATGGCAAAATAAATTCCTTACATTATTTCTTATGTCACTGCATTTATACTTTGTTTCTTTGATTTCCACAACATAAGAAAATTGTGAATATAGTCACCACGCTGTGTAATAGATACCAGAACTTATTCCTCCTACCTAGCTGAAACTTTGTGCCCTTTGACCAACATCTGCCCTTTCCCTGCCCACTTCCCAACCACTAGCCTCCAGTAACCACCATTCTATTCTCTACTTCTAAAAATTCAACTTTTTTGGATTTTGCAAATAAGTGAAATCATATGGTATTTGTCTCACTGTGCCTGACTTACTTCACTTAGCATAATGTTCTCTAGGTTCATCCGTGTTGTTGCAAATGATAGAATTTCTTGGTTTTTAAAGAATGAATAGCTAAAAGAAAGAATTTCAAATGTTCTTACCACAAAGCAATGGTAAATATTTGAGGTGATGGATATGCTAATTGGCCTGATTTGATCATTCCACAATGTGTACATGTATCAAAACACTACATTGTACCCCATAAATATATACAATTATATTTGTCAATTTAAAAATAAGATAAAATTTTAAAAAACATTTGAACAATGTTTACATTTATAAATAATGGTAAAGGTATGCATTTGTTATAGATCTTTCATCCTTTTTATCTAAAAAATTAACTAACTTCACCCACCCATTCATTCATGTCATTCCAAAACTGTACTGAGGGCCTCTTAAATTCTGAGAACTTAAGTTACACACTATTTTAGTTTTCAGGAAATAAATCTTAACACAAATACTGAGAAATTTTTGAAAATTTTAAAAATTAAAAGCTTTTATGGAGTTATATAGTTATGAACTATTTATAGTTTGTTCACAGCATAAGTTGTTCAAAAATTTTTAATATGAAAATACACCTAATAGAATACTATAGTGATATTTTTAATTTGAATGTCACATACCTTCATTGTAGTATTCACAATCAAGTGCTAAAAGAAAAAAAGAATAAATATTAAACTATGTAAGAAGTCAATCACTTATCTGAATGTGGGCAAGATATGGCCACATATTTATCAATAACTATGTGAAAGAATATAAAATGGTATTATTTAGGAACTTTTTCTGAGCAAAGAAGATTCTTTAAGCGATATGCTGTAATTAATTAAATTTCATATAATTGTTTTAAAGTAGGAAAATATATTGCCAATTTAGAAACCTCAGCTGAAAGTGTTCAAATTGTAAGTTTGTTCAGATATCTTACCACCTACACAAGTAAATTAAAAGCTTAAAGAGTCAAATCTGAAAGCAAATTCAAGGTGATTTTTTTAAAATATATTTATCATCAGAACGATGAAACTTCATAGGCATAAAAGAAATAAAGTCATAAACAATTTCTCTAAGGATGGTATTTAAATAATTTATATTTCAAATGGTACAATGACAGCAATAAAACACAGAACAAAATATTATCTCACAATTTATTTTTATAAGTCCTTTCGGTATTCTATAATTTATGATTGTCAAAGGAATATAAAATTTAGTCATTTTAATTTAATTCTATTCCCATGAGTCTCCTGGCATTATTTCTAAGCTAAATCAACAATTAATATGTATCTCTTTATCAGTTCTCTACATAATGATGTTCTAAGTAGGGTACTTACAACAAACAGTAGATGATCTCCAATGAATTGATATTCCTTCCTGACAACACTTGTATGCATATGCAGCTATACTAGTGCACAAACACTCACAGTCGCCACCAAGATTGCAGTTACATGTATCTTCATGACAATTTTTGGCAAAAGAAGTAACGTCAATCTGAAAAATGAGGTGAAAGATTACTTAATTTCAATAGATACTGATTATGATTTAAAGTCAACCGTCTAAAAAACTATGTGTTTTCAAAGTTTGATATTATCAGCTTAACACTGCCACCTAGAGAGTTCTCTTTATTTAAAGCCTCTTTATTGCCCAAAGGAGAAAGAAATGTATTAGGAAAATGTCACATCAAAGAACTAGCAAAAGAAATAATAAGATTAATAAATATATATGACTTCAACATCTGCAATATAACAGATTAATTTTTGGAAGCTTCTGTCATTATTGATGTAATCACATGACATTAAAATAAGGGCACCTTCTGCTTCCAATTGTAATTTTATATAATTTCGTATCTTTCTTCCTTCTTTCCTTTCTTTTTTGCCCCTGCTCATGCAACATCCTAATGGCTATTAATGGTAATAGCAATCTTTAAAAACAACTTATTCTATTTACTTAATTTATTTATTTGCATTACATTTAAGTAGCTGACAAAATTTAATATATTGACAGTGCATTAAAAAAGGAGCAAGGGACTCAAGAGGCTGAGGCAGGAGAATCACTTGAACCCGGGAGGCGGAGGTTGCAGTGAGCTGAGATCGCACCACTGCACTCCAGCCTGAGCGACAGAGACTCTGTCTCAAATAAAAAAAAAGAAGAAGAAGAAGAAAAGAAGCAGGATTTGCTGTCACTGAGCTGTATTTTATTTTTTAGGTCAGTTCATGGGTTAATTTTTCTTTTCAAGTGGAAAAGAACCAGCAGGCTCTGTGGTTCAGGACTCCAGACTTGACACAATATTCCTTGTCAAGCAGGTGTGGTCCTTGGAAACTCTGAAAAGTCTCAAAAGCAACCCTTTTTATAAACAAGACTTTAGTCTACCTATGTGGCTCTAATATGGCAGTCCTCAAACTTTTCTGTCTCAGAATCCCTTTACACTCTTAAAAAATCACTGAGATCCCCAAAGAGGTTTTGTTTATGGGATTATATCTACCAATATTTACTCTATTAGACATTAAAAATGAGACATTTAAAAATAACAATAAACCCTATATGTTTACATGAATAACATGATTTTATTGAAAAATATTTATATATGCTAAGAAATAGTGAAAAGAGTGCACTGTTTTACATTTTTGCAAATCTCTTTAATGTGTGGCTTAATAGCACACTGGGGGATTCTCATATCTGCTTCTTCATCCGGTCTATCGTAATGTTTTTGTCTTGTTTGGGTTTGGATTGACATAGATGAAGAAAATTCGGTTCCATGCATATATTTAGTTGGAAAGGAAGGAGTACTTTAATATCTTTTTCAGGTAATTGTGATATTCTTTGACACTATATCAAAACTCAAAAAATATCATTTTTTAAAAAGTTCTTTGCAATGTGAAATCTAAAAACACATCAATTAACTTTATATTTTGCTATATTAAAATTGTTTTTTATTTCGCCCTTTGAATGAATTTTTTACTTCTGCATGATTTTGTAACATCATGCATTGGTCATGTGGAAAATTTATGGACCCGTGCAGATCTTCGAAATGTTGACACACTTGATTATATACAATAGCTACAAGTCACATTTGTTAATATCACCATCTAGATCAACAAAAAACTCATTAAGTATCAAAAACCTTATAAGCTCGCAGGGGTGGATCTAACTTTTACAAAACTCTAATTTTCCCTTGAAAGTAAATTTTATCAAAGACAACAGACACCATCAGGTGTTTCCTTAAAGACACGGACTCATTTCACACATTTTAATAAAATATCTGCCGGGCGCAGTGGTTCACGCCTGTAATCCCAGCCTTTTGGGAGGCAGAGGTGGGCAGATCATCTGAGGTCAGGAGTTCCAGACCAGCCTGGCCAACATGGCGAGACCCGGTCTCTACTAAAAATAGAAAAATTTGCCGTCTACAATCCCAGCTACTCGGGAGGCTGAGGCAGGAGAATCGCTTGAATCCAGGAGGCAGAGGTTGTAGTGAGCCAACATCATGCCACTGCACTCCAGCCTGGATGACAGAGCAAGACTCCATCTCATAAAAAGAAAGAAAGAAAGAAAATATCTGCCAAATATCCCTGTCTGAATGTCTGAATAACCATATATCATTTGTTCTTTGAAACAGAATGGTATTCCAAGAGAAAAACAACATCTTAGCTCACAAGTCAAACAATCATACAAGTGAGTTCCCTCAAGACCACTGGCATAGCTTTGTATGCAGCAGAAATATTACTTAATTCTTACCAATACATTGAAATATTGCTTAAACTTCTATTGGGACCTAAAATAATCATGCTAGGAAGGAATTTTGAAAACGAAATTTCTAAATAAGTACATTCCATCTTGGGATGTGCTTCTAAAAACATTTCAAATGTGCTACAAGCAATACTTTTAAACTGCACTTTGAGTTGAGAAGAATACCCATTTGACAATGTTCTCTAAAGAAAAGTAAACATTTATGCTCTTAATCATAAAATGATGTATGTAAATAATGTTCCATAAACTAGAACAAATTATTACAAATACGTACAAAGGTACACTGTTAAATTAGATGTAGTAAGGGAGAAAGTAAATCAACTAAATGTGCCACTTCTACAGAAAAACAAACTAACACATATGCCCCCCTAACAATAGTTAGGTGGTATATCTAAAAAGCCAGTGGATCACCCAGTTACGTGTCGTGTTCACCTCAGTATTATAGACACAGTAGAACATATTGAAACTCGAGAGTTCATTAAAGTATTCATTTACCACATTGCGACAAGAAGCAAAAATATCACTGTACAAAATGGAGCATTCTTTCTTGGCATAAGGAAATTTGTTTTGATGTGCCTCACAGGGTTTAATTGTTTCATCTGGACTTTCACACTGTTGAAAAAATTTAAGAGAGAAAAGAAGTTTTCAAAGGGACAATTTCTCAAACAGAGTAACCTACCCAACTTCACTCATTACAATTGCGCCTAATATATTCTCATCCTTTTAGATAGGATTTGCGTAAAGCACCTGCTCACATCCTATTCAATGTTAATTGCATATATTATTTTTGAAAGCAACTAAACAGAATATTAAAATCATAGCAATATTAGAGATAGAGTGGTGATGAATGATTTTTAAATTGTCTTAAACACAGCATTTGCATGACTTAAAAAATTACATGAGCATGACCTGTTTCTTTCATCTTCATCTTCTTCATTTCTGTCACAAATCATCTGAGAGGTTATATGCACCCAAGTCTCTGCAGACTCAATTCCCACACATGCAGCAATTTGGCCTCTTCCTCCCCTAATACCCTTCCCTGAAACTGCCCTGAAAAATGTCATCCATGACCTCTTCATTGTTAAATATAAAGGCAATTTTTCAGTCTTCCATTTTGCTTGACTTTTGCTGCCTCTGATTCTATTTAATACTTTACCCTTCTTAAATGTCTCTCCTCATTTGGTTTTGGTGACACAATTTTCTGCTGGGTTTCCTCTTGCTACATTGGCTGCTGTTCCCTAATCTCGTTCTCCCTCCTCTCTTTGCAAAGCTTAATCCTCAAACCTCTATTTTTCTCATTCGGTACACGCGTCCTGGCTTCAACGCCCTGAATATACTAGTCACTGCCATATCCCTATGTCCATCCCACATCTCCTTCCTGAATTTCAGAACTAACATTTCCACCTAAATATATCTGTCATTTCTCTCTCAGCAGATCCTAATCATCCCTACCTCTACACCATTGTCCTTCCCCGACTATCCACATTCATTTCCTCCTCTTTGCCCTGCCTCAGGAAGGAACACCAGTATCCACCCAGGAAGCCAGGAAAGTAGGAGACCTTCTTGGAACCTCCAAATTCATCCTTCCTAATACAGTCTTAAATCTCTACTGACTTAATATTTCTAGCTGGATTATAAGAGCCTCTTGGCCCTTGTATCTTGCAGATCTATACTTTGCACTTCAGCTATTCTGTATTTCAGACCTTACACCACAACCAAAATTAACTTTTTGAAATTCACTTTGTGCACCACACTCTCTCCAGCCTCTTGACATCTTCTAGGTGGCTGCTCCCTCCTTTCCCTGTTAAATTCTTTCCCATAAATTTCACTTTCTTAGCTCCTATAAATCTTATAAGATTCACCTGCAGGGTACCTTCTCCAGGAACCTTTCTTGGACCATCACAATCCCCACTTTGTGTGCACTTCTATCAAAGCAACTATCTTACTATGTTCCGACTGTTAATTTTTCCACCTCGAAATTTTCCACCTCTAGACTCTAAATTCCTTAAAGGCAAAGACTGTGATTTATCCATATTATGTGTCTGTATGTAATGGAAAACATTAAGTGCTAAATAAAAATTAGTGAATTTTTTAAATGACCTGAATTTTAGCCTTGTCTATCAGGTATGAATAAAAAATTTATTTTGAGGCGGTTTAAAATTATTTGACTACTCCAGATATTTAAGTACCATTAGAAATAGTTACTTCTTCTCTCCCTCTCCCTCTCCCTCTCCCTCTCCCCACGGTCTCCCTCTCCCTCTCTTTCCACGGTCTCCCTCTGATGCCGAGCCGAAGCTGGACGGTACTGCTGCCATCTCGGCTCACTGCAACCTCCCTGCCTGATTCTCCTGCCTCAGCTTGCCGAGTGCCTGCGATTGCAGGCGCGCGCCGCCACACCTGACTGGTTTTTGTATTTTTTTGGTGGAGACGGGGATTCGCTGTGTTGGCCGGGCTGGTCTCCAGCTCCTAACCGCGAGTGATCCGCCAGCCTCGGCCTCCCAAGGTGCCGGGATTGCAGACGGAGTCTCGTTCACTCAGTGCTCAATGGTGCCCAGGCTGGAGTGCAGTGGCCTGATCTCGGCTCGCTACAACCTCCACCTCCCAGCAGCCTGCCTTGGCCTCCCAAAGTGCCGAGATTGCAGCCTCTGCCCGGCCGCCACCCCGTCTGGGAAGTGAGGAGCGTCTCCGCCTGGCCGCCCATCGTCTGGGATGTGAGGAGCCCCTCTGCCTGGCTGCCCAGTCTGGAAAGTGAGGAGCGTCTCTTCCCGGCCGCCATCACATCTGGGAAGTGAGGAGCATCTCTGCCCGGCCGCCCATCGTCTGAGATGTGGGGAGCACCTCTGCCCTGCCGCCCCGTCCGGGATGTGAGGAGCGTCTCTGCCCGGACGCCCCGTCTGAGAAGTGAGGAGACCCTCTGCCTGGCAACCGCCCGGTCTGAGAAGTGAGGAGCCCCTCCGCCCGGCAGCCGCCCCGTCTGAGAAGTGAGGAGCCCCTCCACCCAGCAGCCACCCCGTCTGGGAAGTGAGGAGTGTCTCCGCCCGGCAGCCACCTCGTCCGGGAGGGAGGTGGGGGTGTCAGCCCCCCGCCCGGCCAGCCGCCCCGTCCGGGAGGGAGGTGGGGGGGTCAGCCCCCCACCCGGCCAGCCGCCCCGTCCGGGAGGGAGGTGGGGGGATCAGCCCCCCGCGCGGCCAGCCGCCCCGTCCGGCAGGTGAGGGGCGCCTCTGCCCGGCCGCCCCTACTGGGAACTGAGGAGCCCCTCTGCCCGGCCAGCCGCTCCGTCCGGGAGGGAGGTGGGGGGGTCAGCCCCCGCCCGGCCAGCCGCCCCGTCCGGGAGGGAGGGAGGTGGGGGGGTCAGCCCCCCGCCCGGCCAGCCGCCCTGTCCGGGAGGTGAGGGGTGCCTCTGCCCGGCCGCCCCTACTGGGAAGTGAGGAGCCCCTCTGCCCGGCCAGCCACCCCGTCCGGGAGGGAGGTGGCGGGGTCTGCCCCCCGCTCGGCCAGCCGCCCCGTCCGGGAAGTGAGGGGCGCCTCTGCCTGGCCGCCCCTACTGGGAAGTGAGGAGCCACTCTGCCCGGCCAGCCGTCCCATCCAGGAGGGAGGTGGGGGGGTCAGCCCCCCGCCCAGCCAGCCGCCCCGTCCAGGAGGGAGGTTGGGGGGTCAGCCCCCCACCCGGCCAGCTGCCCCGTCCCGGAGGTGAGGGGCGCCTCCGCCCGGCCGCCCCTACTGGGAAGTGAGGAGCCCCTCTGCCCGGCCAGCCACCCCGTCCAGGAGGGAGGTGGGGGGGGTCAGCCCCCCGTCTGGCCAGCCGCCCCGTCCGGGAGGTGAGGGGTGCCTCTGCCCGGCCGCGCCTACTGGGAAGTGAGGAGCCCCTCTGCCCGGCCACCACCCCGTCTGGGAGGTGTACCCAACAGCTCATTGAGAACGGGCCATGATGACAATGGCGGTTTTGTAGAATAGAAAGGGGGGAAAGGTGGGGAAAAGATTGAGAAATCGGATGGTTGCCGTGTCTGTGTAGAAAGAGGTAGACATGGGAGACTTTTCATTTTGTTCTGTACTAAGAAAAATTCTTCTGCCTTGGGATCCTGTTGATCGGTGACCTTACCCCCAACCCTGTGCTCTCTGAAACATGTGCTGTATCCACTCAGGGTTGAATGGATTAAGGGCGGTGCAAGATGTGCTTTGTTAAACAGATGCTTGAAGGCAGCATGCTCGTTAAGAGTCATCACCACTCCCTAATCTCAAGTAATCAGGGACACAAACACTGCGGAAAGGCCGCAGGGTCCTCTGCCTAGGAAAACCAGAGACCTTTGTTCACTTGTTTATCTGCTGACCTTCCCTCCACTATTGTCCTGTGATCCTGCCAAATCCCCCTCTGCGAGAAACACCCAAGAATGATCAATTAAAAAATAATAATAATAATAATAATAATAAAATAAAATTTAAAAAAAAAAAAGAAATAGTTACTTCTTAATTCATTTGCAGAGAGAAGAATGTAAAACGATTTTTTTCAAAACTTCTAAAGGTAACAAGATGTAAGATAGCCACAGTTAAAAGGATTTTGTCTCTCTCAATATAGTGGATATTTTAGATATTAAAAGGTACACTTTCATACTCTTAAGCTTAGACCACACTCAAAAATTACTGACTGGAATAAATGTTTTACCCCATCCCTTCTTTATTCTTTAAAGAGATTTAGACATATTAGTAAACTAGGCAAAGTAGAGAAGTAACTAACCAAATGGTAACCAATCAGGAAATTGTGGTTTCAAACACTCTTATCAATTGAAAAGAACAACAGGCTAAAAAGAAAGTAGAGGAAAGAATAGAACCAATTTCCAATTTGACTCTGTTTTCTGAGTTCAGCATTTTTCAAAATGTGTTTCATATAACACTACTTCCTTGAGAATTAATAAATAAAAATATATATTATGTCAGTAAGTTTGGAAAATCCTTCAGACATGTCCCTTCTTTATAGGCTTATAATGCCTCAAGAAACCTTTGAAAGAGAAATATGCAAAAATTAATTTAGCCAACTGCTGCCAAAGGTAGTTGACCACAATCCACCCACCCACACACATATACACGTGTCTCCCTTTATTTCATGTAATACAGTAACATGGCTGTTAAGAAATTTTGTCTTCATTTATTTATTGCTTTGAACTGGCAAAAGTTCCATCATCCTTCGAAATGCAGATACATTGATTGGCATTTTGCTATGGTGAGGAAAACATGAGGGTGAAGAGATGAATTTGAATGTCACCTCTGCTACTTTCTAACCATATAATATTAGACAACTCATTTAACCTCCCTGAGCCTCAATTTCTTCATCTATACTAAGGAGAAAACATCCTTTATATGATAAGGTAATCAGAAAAATTACATGAGAAGATAAATATGAATGTTTATCAGCTATAAATTACTATGAAAATAGTATGTAAAATAATATTACCTAAATAAGAATAAAATGTTCTAGTGAAAAAATATTCTTAAAAATTTTTGTTGACTTCTAAAATACATTTATGTAACTTACCTGTCCTAATGCCCAACTATCTCCAAATACCCGAGCATTTCTCACTTCCAAGTTATTAGATGTGGTCATATCATTTGAAGTGCATTTGTCAAAGTTTCCACACAATCCTGATAGCTTGTTCTAAAGTAAGAGAAAATCACCAGGAAATATTCTGTTTTCACTTTAACATTTAAAGACTCATATTCATTAAAACTTTTGAGACATTTCAAATATATATTTAAGCATTTTCACAGCAATCATTTTTAAAAATTAACTTGAAGAAAGTGGATTTTCTCATACCAATTTAATTATATTTTGTGATTATTTTAAATTTGCAAAAATATTTTACCTGATTTCAAGTCCTATTTATCCACACTTACCAGTGTCTTAGCATTAATACAACTAATAACATAAATAACTTTGAAAAGTATAATTCAAACAAGACAGTACATATGAGAGTGTATGTGTATGCAAATGTATATGTGTGTATACACAGAATTCATGTGTATATATATATACATATGTAATTCATAATTATATATATTCCCATCCTTGTTAGAAACAAGGATATGGATGAAGAATGGCAGATATATTCCCTACTTGTTGGAATATATCATATTGCCTGCCTGTTAGAAACAAGTTAACCATTTGTTTTTCCACATCCCCCTTCCTGATGCCTCAGCTTTAGGATAACTACTGTTAGTAGTGGCCTCTGTCTGAACAGATATGATTTCTGAAAACAGAGGTCCCATGGTAATAAGTGGCTATGGCAGATGTAATTCTAAGGTTATTGTCTGCTTTGCCAGAGACATAGGCAGCCTACTTCTCCATTAAGGGATAGATTCCATTCTTCAATATTGAAGAGAGCATTCAGCATGTCTAAATTCAAGGTTTTAAGGAGTAGTTCTACTGCTTCTAGAAAATCATCACTGCAAGTTCTCCCCCTTCATCTAGTAGTAAAATATATTGCTATTCTTGCTGGAAACAAGGATATCAGATGAAGAATGGCAGAGAATATTCATTGAAGAAAGACAGCAATGACTGAAGGTTATTTTGGATTCATCAGAGAAATTCAAGATGCCAACAAACCTAAGAATAGATCTTTGGGCTTTATCCTCCTTAAGACTGAAAGACTATAACTTCAATATACAATCATATTTCACATTTATGACATATTAAAATCTTTTTTAAAAATGTATCTTTTCTGTATTTTTGAGAAGATATTGTTGCTATTCCAATTTTTCTTTGACAAAAATTATATCCATGAGTCTCAGTCTCAATTTCAGGTAAACTAAATTTTAAAAAAATACATCAATGTTTTTGCAAACAACTTTAAAACATGAATTTAAAATGTTCAAATAAATATTCAAAATAATCAAATTTTAAATATTTTAAATAGTAAACTAACAATATTTAATAAAAATATTTAGCAGGGAATAGTATATAAAATAATTTATAATTGCCAAAAATTATAAACAACTCAGATTGGATATTCAACCATGAATGGATAAATAAATTGTGTGGTACATCCACACAACAGAATACTACTCAACAGTATAGAATTCACACAACAATTTGTATGAATCTTAAATATACTTTGCCAAGTCAAAGAAGCCAGACCCAAAAGACTACAGATTGTACAATTCCATTTATATGATATCTGAGAAAGACAAAACTATAGCAGTGGAAAATATAATCAGTGGTTGTCTGAGGTTAGGAGGTAAAGGTAGGGGTTGACAATAAAGAAGCAACATGAAGTATATTTGGAGGTTGACAGGTATGTTCTATGTAGAACTGTTGTGATGGATACAAGGCTCCATGCATAACATGGCTTGGCTCTGTGTCCCCACCCAAATCTCACCTCGAATTACAATCCCCATATGTTGAGGGAAGGACCTGGTGAGAGGTGATTGGATCATGGGGGTGGTTTCTCCCAAGCTGTTCTTGTGATAGTGAGGGAGTTCTCATGACACCTGATGGTTAAAAAGTGTGGCATTTCCCCCTCATTCTTTCTGTCTTTCCAGCCACCTTTTGAAGAAGTTGATTGCTTCCCCTTTGCCTTCCACAATGATTGTACATTCCCTGAGGCCTTCCCAGGCATGCAGAACTGTGAGTCAATTAAACCTCTTTTCTTTATAAATTACCCAGTGTCAGGTAGTTCTTTATAGCAGTGTGAAAATGGACTAATACAATGCATTTGTCAAAATCTATAGACCTAGACACAATAAGAGTAACATTTTTTACATTTAAAAAATAATTTTAGGCTGGGCACAATGGCTCACGCCTGTAATCCCAGCACTTTGGGAGGCCGAGGCGGGTGGATCATGAGGTCAGGAGATCAAGACCACCCTGGCTAACACGGTGAAACCTGTTCTCTACTAAAAATACAAAAAATTAGCCCTGCATAGTGGCTGGCGCCTGTAGTCCCAGCTACTCCGGAGGCTGAGGCAGGAGAATGGCGTGAACCCGGGAGGCGGAGCTTGCAGTGAGCTGAGATTGCGCCACTGCACTCCAGCCTGGGCGACAGAGCCAGACTCCGTCTCAAAAAAAAAAAATAATAATAATTTTACTGCATGTAAACTTAAAAATATATATATCCAGAATGTGGAGGAAAACATGGAACGCAGTTTGTAAGAACTGAATCTAATTGCATTATGAACAGATCACATAATTAAGCTGAAGAAAAAGAGAAGAAGAAAGCTGGCTTAAGTAATCTTGGAAAACTGGATACTGCAAGGTTAAAGTCAAAAAGAACTGTACACAAACACTGTACTTAGTTGGTGAAGTTCTTTTTCACAAGGGTATGAGTTAGTAATTCTGGAAATATAACCTAGTTCTTAAAGGAAAACATTAATCATTTTATTTTCATCAAACATCAAAAACTAAATGTGATTTTATTCATTACATCTCATTTGGAGCTTAGGTTGACCTACCTTCCACTGTGGCCCAACTTTGATATGAATAGTTGTCTTCCTATCCCAAAGAATAGTGATATCTTTCTCTGGAAAGTATACTACTATATAGTAACCAGCCTTCCAAAGCTGGTAGGTAGATTTGTTTTCCAGAAAAAAACCTGATTGTTTCTTAAAAACAAAAAAGAAAATAAACAAAGTGAGTAGTAAGTTCTCTAACCAAAATATATCAAATTAGTTTAGTTAACATTTACCAACAACTATTTATGTACTAATATTGTTGCATGGTCATGCCTTTTCTGAATTCTGTAAGAAAAGACAAAACAATTGCACAAAATAGGAAATACATAAATATTGATTACCAGACACGAACTAGCAGATGGACCCCACATGGATAAATGGGAAAAGGGAAAAGATATTTCAGTTACATGTGGGGAAGAGCAAAACAAGGGAATGGACACAGAAGACATTAAGTGATATCCCTGCCAAATCAGAAATTTTACATCTGTGATGAATAAATATGACAGAACTAAAAAAGGTATGGCCTTGCCCGCAAAAGAGAGAAATTTGTTCCTGCGCATGTTTCTGAGTAGTTTATGATAGCATGGAAATAGTCTACTGACTTCATTAAATATGTCTTGAAAATCAGAATCATTAAGTTTGGTAGGAGACATTGCCTTTCCAATTCAGGCAAAAAGAAGCTGTGAAGTACTTCCTTTAAGTGAAAAGGGGAAAGTTCTCAACTTAACAAGAAAGAAAAAAAAAATTGTATGCTGCAGTTGCTAAGATCTATGGTAAGAAGGAATCTTCTATCTGTGAAATTGTGAAGAAGGGAAAAGAAATTCAGCTAGTTTTGCTGCTGCACATTAAACTGCAAAACTGACAGCCACAGCACATGGTAAGTGCTTAGTTAAGACGGAAAAGGCATTAAATTTGTGAGTAAAAGGCATGAACAGAAATATGTTCTGATTGATGGCAATTGGGTCTGCTACTATCTATGGTTTCAGGCTTCCACTGGAGGTCTTGGGACCTAACCCTCATGGATAAGGGGGAACTACTGTATGTGTGTAGGGGGGCAGGAAGCAGTGAATTACCATCAAAGGTACTCCATAAGGCTTCTTGCAAGGGGTGGGTGTGAACTGATCTGCAAGAGGTTATGCACAGCAAGGTATAGGGTTTGGGAATGAGAATGGAGAAGAAATCCTTCCAAACAAAAGAAATGGCTTGAATCAAGACTTAGGGACAAGAAAGTCAAAGATTTATTCAGAACTAAGGAGAGTACCAAAAGGCTAGAGCATGAATTACATGATGGATCATAGCCTGAGACGTTTGCAACCAAGTTATCCAGAGTAATTATCACATGTGCAAAATGTAGTCAATAAAAGCTTTCAAACAGGGAAGTATTAGACCATGGTTGTATAGTAAAAGAAGATAATTTAGGCAGGAGAAAGGATAAAGCAGAGAGAAATGAGAGATGGAACTTTATTGTAAAGTAGGAATATACAATATTCTTTATAAGCAAGGGCAACACATGGCTATATTGAATCTGACCTTGAAATTAACTCATATAATAACTTCAAAAATGCACAGTTAACATCAAAGTAAGTAAGACAAATTTAGCCAGAGGCAAAATAAAATTATGAAGGAGATATGAAATTCTTTGGTTACTTTTCTCCTTCAAGTAATAACAAAAGCGTAGTTTGAAAATACTATACTACAGTAGACTTTTTAATCAATATTTCAAAGGGGAAATGAAATAAATTTAGTCATATCCATAAGGAGTTTTCAGTCTCCTAGACCAAGGTCATACTTAAAACAGGTGCACAATATATTGTATAGAACAGTATATATTGTATATAACCATATGTGTTGTTAACTGGCTCTCTCTGATCTCATATCCTTCCACTTCCCAATCCCCACCCTCACTGACTAAGCTTCAGCTATGCTGGCTCTCTTTCTGTTCTTCAAATTTAACTAAGCTTTTACCCATCTCAAGTCCTGTGCGCTTGGTGTTCCTCCTGCTAGGAACTCTGTTCTCCAGATCTTGGCGTAATGGCCTCATTCCCATCAATTGTGACCCATATGCTCCCTCCTCTGTGAGGCCTTCCCTGATTGCCCCAGTAGAACTTTCATCCTCAAGATGGGCCAGATTGGTAGGCATTTAAGACAGCACAATGCTCTTCTGAGCAAGGACGGTTCCTTGCTCAGAAGTGGGCCCCCTCTTGGGGTTTAATGCTCTGTAATTGCCATCTTGAAATTCTAATTTTACCTGTGAATTCGTGTTTTGTCAGTGAAGTTCAATGAGACAAAGAATCATGTGTCTGGGCCTTGAAGCCTTGGCTCACATCTCCTGCTGTCCGCCCAATCTCCCTGGATTGATTCTCAGATGCCTGCTTCTCTGCAGCCACCCAGAGACCACTGCTACGCTCCACTTGCAGCACACAGGCAGGATGAGTTGGACTTAGGCAAGCATACCCAAGTGCCAAGTTGGAGTTATGAGGCAAGGAAGGCCCTCAGCACTGACAGGGTGTGCTCTCACCCCAGGACTATCCCTATGCTTGAGTCAGCATAGCATTAAATGATGATTAAAAAAAAAAAAAACCACGACACATCGAGACAGAACATGAAACAAGAAAATGAAACTTTTTCCCTGTTTTGACCAAATTACGTAGCTTGCCCTGCCCCCAAGTCAGTCTCTGCCACAGAAACTAATTCTATTGTTTTCACTGCACTTTTTAGCATCTTTCTATCACCTTGTTTGTCTTTGACTTGTTTCTCTTTTGCTCAGTTTGGTTTTGCATCAGTTATCCTGATACAAAAGCACATCTTTTCTACTTGTCTTTAGACATAAAATCCTTCATTTTCATTAGATAGGGCAGTTTACTACAAGAAAATCCTCTATGGTCAAAGGGAGTTGCCATACGCCTTACTTTTCAGATTCTTAAATAATGCTTCTCATTAGAACAGTGAGGTATTACAAATTGTCCAAAATAGAGATCTCCACTTCAGATGAGAATTAGAGCACTTTAAACAAACTCTAGTGATGTTAGCAAGATATGTTAGAACTATGGAGAATTAAAATATTTAAAGTACAGCTTAAATAAATTAATAAAATATTTATATCTTATACATTTGATAAAATTAGAATTGTGCATTTACATATAAAAATAACAGAGGTGGTTTTTTTTTTTTTTCTTCCCCTGGATGGATGGTCCATCTACCATAAAATAAATAGTGCTTATTTTTCACTTTCAATGTTTGAGAAAAAATATTGCAGGGGATTTCTTTAGGGTCAAACTATTTTTATGACTTTTCTTAATCTTATGTCATACAGTTTATATAAAGGAGATTCATTAACACCTACATACAAGTGAAAATTGGAAGTCGAAAGTTATGTGGAGTTGCAATCACCACTTCAAAGATGTGTCATACTGTCTTTATAAGACCATTTACTATTTTCTCTTGTTTCTTTTTTAACATCCTTGTTCTTAGAAATAACCTTCACCTATAAATGAATATCTGGTTGGTGCTTATGACAAACTGCTGTAATTACTTTAAAAACATGTCAACATGATTGTAGAAACTCTGTTTTGCCCAAAGGTTGATTGCTACCCAGTTAGTTTCAATGTTTCTGACTGAAACATAGTTATGTTTTAAGGTAACTGTTCTCAAACTTTAGTGTGCACAAGAATTTCAAGTACCATTGAAAATGTCAATTTTGTTTTCAGCATCAGCCGTTCCAATTACTGAAGTAGGGCCCAGAAACCAGCACTTACAAGAAAAATTCCACATGATTTTAATGAATGTTTGGAGACCAAACTGAGAGAAACACTGCTCTAAAAATCTCAGAATATAGGTCAGTTTTTAAAGCCCATTTGTCAAATTAGTACTTTCTAACTCTAAAATTTCTTGCCTGTAAAATGAGGTTCAAATATCTTGTACCATTCAAGAGCCTCCATAGTCTGGACTCAGCCCCCTCATCTATTGCCTTTACCCCATGCTCCCTGAATGGCAGCTGATCAGGACACTCCTCCCTGAGTCACTTTGCCACTCCCTCCATCCACTGTCCCATATATTGTGCTTCCACCAATCTAAACCACCTGCAGTTATACAAACATGCCATTTCATCTCTCAGCTCTGCTCTACTGAGTGGGTTTATTCGTCTGTACTGATTGCCACCCTACTCCCTCTCTTCACCTGGCTAATGCCTACTCATCCTTTAAGACTCAGTGCAAATCATTTCCTCCAGAGCATGTCTTCTGAGCCTTCAGAAATAGGGAGGGTAAGAAGAATCATTTCTTCAAATCCATTAATTTATATTTGCATTTCAATCCTCACACAAACTAAAGAAGTAGGTTCTAAAATCTTCCCAAATTTACAGATGTAAAAGCTGCAGCTTGGAGAGGTTAAGTAAACCTGCCCAAAGTTACAGAGCAAGCAGGTAATGGAACAGAGGTTCCGAGTTAGTACTGAGTGACTCTAAAGTCTATGCTCTTAACAATCACCCTAAGCACCCCAGGTTTCTTTAGGTGCTCTTCCCAGGAGTTCCCATATTATCCTACATAAATTCCTACCATAGGACACCATGCTTCCTTATTTACCATGTGCATCCTTATTTACCTGAATGTATCCCTCACCTGAGCAGAAACTTCTTAAAGGCAAGCACAGTGTTATTTCACTGTTGTAGCCCCAATAATTAGCACATTTTGATATTCAGTAAACATTATTTAAAAAGTATGAGATGAATGAATGAATGAAATGTATTCATTCTTTTAAATTGGGCAGGCTCCAAGGATACAATAAACAAGAACTTGGAGACAATTGGGGAAGACAAGCTCACAAGTAGTTTCATTAAACTTTGATACACATTCTAACAGGGTGCTTAAGGGTATGAGGAGGAGCTCCCTGGAGGAAGTATGATAAGACATATTGCATAAGAATAAGTTAAATTGAAAGACAGATCCAGGAAGAAGCGATAATAGTAATGAAGGACTAATAAGATGCTCCACCTTCTGGAATGTGGGCTTGAAGCAGAAAGTAATGAAAGAGCAGGCAGCAGAGGTGGGTAACAGCCAGACTGGCAAGGCCTTGGGGGAGCAGTGGGAAGGCATCTCAAAGTCTTGAAGAACCAGAGTGACATATTAGATTTCCATCAAAAATGTACATATACAAGGCTGGACACGGTGGCTCATGCCTGTAATCCCAGCACTTTGGGAGGCCAAGACAGGTGGATCACCTGAGGTCAGGAGTTTGAGACCAGCCTAACCAAGATGGTGAAATCCCGTCTCTACTGAAAATACAAAAATTAGCCAGGCGTGGTGGCGTGCATATGTTAATCCCAGTTACTCAGGAGGCTGAGGCAAGAGAATCGCTGGAACCCAGGAGGCGGAGGTTGAGGTGAGCCGAGATCGTGCCACTGCACTCCAGCCTGGGCAACAGAGTGAGACTCTGTCTCAAAAAAAAAAAAAAAAAAGACATATACAAATAAAACTACCTATGCTGCAGTATGTGAGGATGAATAAGAGGGGAAAGACTAAAACTAGAAGCCAAGAGTCTAGCCTGGAAGCCACTGAAGTAATTAAGGCAATAGGTGGGGGTTGCAAGGGCCCAAATGGCAACTATGGGAATGAAAGCAAGAGGAGCGAATTGGAAGATGGAGAAGGGAAGTAAGAAGTAAGAAGAGAGAAGTCAAGCACAATGTACTGAAGCCACGCAAAATGAAAACAAAACACAACATAGATCTCATGACCATTTACAGAGAGGAGTAGACCAAATCATTTCTATTCTATTTTCAGTATCCTCAGGACAAGTTCAAATGATCCTGAAAGAAATAATTCACTAACCTGTTTGTAAGGAGTATCATTCAGGTAAATTTCAGTGTCCCCAACTGAAATCAAAACACTTTTAGAACAAACAATATCGTTGTCAAAGCATTTCTTGTTCTGGGCAATGACAGATATATCTGAATCATCTGCACTCTGAAATGTCACAAATATTTTATTAATACAAATATATACAACCTATATTATTTTTAGTTATTTTTATTAAGAAATCTTAAATATTGACAATGGATTGCATTAGAACTGAAAAACAACTTACCTCTAAAATAAAAAGTCATTTTTAACTAACAATGTGAAGAAGTCTATAGAAATATAGTAGGATAGCTCAATCTTTAAACACCTATAATATCTGTTAAAATTTTGTTCCAGCCAAGTTTACCATTTTATTTCTATAGCTCAAATGTACCAACCATTATCATTTTATTTATCAATAAATAATCAACAAAACAATATGTCACTTAGGGAAATCTTTAAAAAATATTCATTTGAGATATGTCTTTTGTTTTATTTAAACGATATTTCTGGCTGAATAATTATTTGTCTATAAGTTAGAATTCAAATAGATACAAAACTTTGGTATTTGTTAGTAAATAAAATAATGTGTATTATTTGAGAGCTTGGTTTGAATTTTACATGTATTATCCAATTTAGTTCTCATGAAAACTTTTTGAATTGGGTATTATTTCCATTTTACAGATGAGGAAACTGAGATTAAGAGGAATTAACTGATTATCTAAGGTCGCTTTGTTAATTAAGAGGAGGATCAGAGTTCAAATTCCTAATCTGTTTTGTTTGTCTTGATGCCACTTGTAAAGAAATTAGGAAGGGTCTAGAAATGGTTGAGGAGAAAAGACAACTTTAGATGATAGGGAATCCCTAAATTCAAGGAACACTATTTAGTCTCTCTACTCTAAATGACACACTTCCACCTCCAGGTAGACCCCTTTCCTTGGCAACTCCCCACTGCATCCACTAAGTCACTCTTTAGAATCAAAGTTTCTAACTTTCTCCCCCAGTTTAATGGATAGGTTTCTTCAGTTGTACTGACTCTGGAAATTTCATTATAAAATATTGTTTACATCTGGTTCCTTAAAAGTTTTAATTGGCAAGTTATAATTGCATATATTTATGAGATACAATGGGATGTTATATGTATATAATGTGAAATAATTAAATAAAACGAACATACTCATCAACTCATATACTTACCATTTTTCTAGGAAGAAAGTACATGGCTTCTTGTCAAATTCTCAAAGTGGTCCTAATCTCCCCCAAAGTTAAAAGCTACTGCTCTAAGAGCCCATTCACTGATTGTGGACAGTAGAGACTTCATTAAAAGGAAAGGAAGAACTGTGACATTTCTCTTTGGATTCAATGTTCAATTTTCAAAGGCCCACACACACTTCCTGAATCTTTTCCATTTTGAGACACATGGGTCAGCATTTATTTTCATAGTAAGAAAAAGTCATTAAATGTTTGGCAATCATAGGCCAGACGCGGTGGCTCACGCCTGTAATCCCAGCACTTTGGGAGGCCGAGGCAGGCAGATCACTTGAGATCAGGAGTTCAAGACCAGCCTGGCCAACATGGCAAAACCCAGTCTCTACTAAAAATGCAAAAATTAGCCAGGCATGGTGGCACGCACCTGTAGTCCCAGCTACTCGGGAGGCTGAGGCAAGAGAATTGCTTGAACCTGGGAGGCTGAAGTTGCAGTAAGCTGAGACCACGCCACTGCACTCCAGCACTCCAGTCTGGGTGACAGATTGAGACTCTGTCTTAAAAAAAAAAAAAAAAAAAAAAAAAAAAAGTTCGGCAATCATACAGTTTGTGTTTTGTTTTTTTGGTGGTGGTGTTGTTGTTGTTTTTCAGATGGGGTCTTGCCCTGTCACCCAGGCTGCTGGAGCGCAGTGGCATGATCATGAGTCACTGCAGCCTCAACTTTCCAGGCTCAAACAGTTCTTCCACCTTGGCCTCCTGAGTAGCTGGGAGAGAGACTACAGCTGTGTGCCACCACACCTGACCAATTTTTAAAATTTTTTTGTAGAGGCAGGGTGTCACTATGTTTACCCAGGCCGGTCTCAAACTACTGGGCTCAAGCGAGCCATTCATTTTAGCCTCCCAAAGTGCTGGGATTAGAGGTGTAAGCCACCTTGCCTAATGATCATAGAGGTCTTGATGTAAATTCTTCACACTTAGTTTTTCACAACACTGGCAATATGAAAACTAACTCATTTCATCTCTTACTTTGGCTAAATTCTTTCTGCCTTGTTAATAAGTATTATAGTGTCTAGAGGATAGGTTTTTAATGAATGGTATAGATGGAGTAATTAATATATCCCTCTGTAACCCATTTTTCCTTCATAGATGCTGGGAGCTTTTGCTGCTTTTTAAACAATCCTTTTGAGAAATAATAAGGGTCATTAAGATGATTATGGCATTGTACTACTCAAAAAATTAATGTCATACTTTTCTGCCTTTCAGCATAATTTTCAAAGAGAAAAATACATAATTTAGGGTTTTGTTTTGCTCTTCATCTTGGGAAAAGTTATTTAGACTAAGGGATGTGAAAAGCTGATTGAAAGGCTTTTTATTGCCATTATATTTTATTGCTATTAATTAAAATGCCTCAATGTTAGTTTCATCCTTTATATTAAATCTGAAATGTCAAGAAATATTCTATCTTGTATGCTTTGTCTTACAATTTCATGCTATGCTCACAGTAATTTGTAACAATAGCAATA
This sequence comes from Homo sapiens, assembly GCF_000001405.40. Classification (NCBI taxonomy): domain Eukaryota; kingdom Metazoa; phylum Chordata; class Mammalia; order Primates; family Hominidae; genus Homo; species Homo sapiens. Next base: position 80,294,223 of record NC_000012.12, on the reverse strand, counting down.
CACCTAAAAGTCACATTTCTATACTTTCCATTTCTAATGTATTTCAAGTTAATATTAGGTTTAAAAATAATGCCACAGAGTTGTTAAGCAACATAGTAATAATGACAACAAAGCTGGAGGAAAAAGGTCAACATCAATGTGTCACCTGGGCTCCTCAAAACCCTTTATTCTCAGGTACTAAAAGCTTTAATACAGAATATGCCCCAAAATGACTCTGAAACAGAAACTGTCAGCACCTTTCAAGGAAGTATATAATTATACTTTACATGTCAGTCTCAGCACCTGTCATAGCCCCAGCCCCTTTTAAGGGTAATTATCCCACACAAAATCTCTGCTGATACCATAGCCTTAGGCAGCCATGGTTTCTGCCCCAAAGCAGTGCATTCATTTATGGGCAAAGGGACTTCAATGTTGCAGAAAAAACGAACTATATTCTAGTCAATTCTCTCTCAAATTTGAACCAGAAAATACTGATTTTTTTTAATGTTTTGCAGGAAGATCTGAGGGTGAATAAACATGTAAAGGATATAAGGAAGAGTAGGAGCTGACCAGGTAAAAAAAAAAAAGCTGAACATATGAGGAAGTAGAAATGATGACTGAACTGACGAAAAAGTAGAGAAAAGACAGAGAAAAGAAAGTTAGACATGCTAGCCTGAGTAGCAGAAAATAGAGCAGTCACACAGAGATTGTCCAAGTTACAAGAATGACATCAGGTCATCCATGACTCTGCTGCCTGGGGCCAAAACCACCCTTCAGTTGACACCTTCATAAGGTTCTTGTAAGAAGACATAAAAAGTTGGGAAAAAGAATGGTAAATATTGTAAAAGGTTACAAAAAGTTTATGAAGATCTTATCTTGTGATCAAACTAATTAAAATTGGATGTATTTCTTAAAATTAACTTTAGTGTTAATAATGCACAATGCAAAGGTAAAATTTGGTTTTCTCTTTTGAACAAGCTTTTTGTGTAATATTAAGAGATAGTAAAAGATTTTTATTTACCTTTTGAGTATACGGCAAGAAAAAAAGGGAAGAGAGAGACAGATTAAATTTACCTTTTTAGCTATCTTTATTAAGTTTTAAGATTATTTGGGAAACTGAGTCTCCTGTCTACCAAAGAGTAAAGGTTTTAGCTTTTTAAAATATTTGAATTATCACTTTGATTAAATGACTAATTTTGCAGTTACCTGTGACTCTTATTTTGCAATATCAAGTGTTTTAAGCCTTTGATATTTGATAACCTTTCCAAATTCTAAATTCAGTCTTTTGGCCTCAAACTAACTTTTTGGGTATTAGGGCTCCTGAAGTCCGAGACAGACATATTCATCTTCGTTGGTATGTTAAAATTACACCAGAATCATTGTCAAATATGAAATGGTGTTTAACTTTCTTTGAGTTATTTTTATATGAATGTGTCATTAATATATGTTCCAAAATTATATAAGATTCATATAGTTCTGGTATGTCTTAATCTATGTTATCAGGAATAATTATGACTATTACATTAAATTATTGTATGCCACAGAAATAATCAAATTTCCTTGTCTATTGTGTCTTTAACCGTGGCTAGTCTAAGACTTTTGTCATGCACAGACAATTATTGTTTTACTTTTATTCTTCTCAAAAAGCACTTTATAATCAGCTGCAGTCCACAACTTGCTTCCTTAAGGAAGTTTGTGGAAAGGACTCTGACAGGTGCTCTTGAAGGCAGGTTTCTGATTACTTTGGAGATTGTGCCATCAGACTAGAGAGAAAACTTCTGGGATTCTCACTGGAGGGCAGATGTGTTCATGAGGATTGCTGGCCCAATACTGGGCAGAACAAGAGTTAACTGCATGGGACTGAACTAACAGAAGGCTGAAATGTTTTCTTATGACTTGTTTGTTTGAAACATTGGGCTTCTTTACGTTTTGTTTTCTAAAGTCAAGAAAACATTTCTGCTGGGCGTAGTGGCTCATGCCTGTAATCTCAGCAATTTGGGAGGCCGAGGCAGGCTGATCTCCTGAGGTCAGGAATTCAAGACCAGCCTGACCAACATGGAGAAACCCCGTCTCTACTAAAAATACAAAATTAGCCAGGTGTGGTGGCGCATGCCTGTAATCCCAGCTACTTGGGAGGTTGAAGCAGGATAATTGCTTGAACCTAGAAGGTGGAGGTTGTGGTGAGCCAAGATTGCACCACTGCACTCCAGCCTGGGCAATAAGAGTGAAACTCCATCTCAAAAAAACAAAAAAAGAAAAAGAAAAGAAAAGAAAAAGAAAAAAAAGAAAAGAAAATATTTCTTTCTTTTGAGCTATTTATAGCTTACAACAAATTGAGTAAAGTATGCTCTTGTGAGCAAAATTTGAGGCATATTTCTTTCTATCTGATTTCTCCAGAATTTAAAAATCATTTGTGAGTATTCTTAAATTATGGCAATATAGCTATTTGCATAAGTTCAATAAGAATCTATTTTCTGTTGTAACAGGAAACAGTTGGAGACGCTGGTTATTTTACCACAGCTTTGACTAGGATGGAATATTTACAGATATGACTGGACTGCTTTGGGGAATTTAAGTTGACATTATAGAGCTGACCAAAGCCTCTCGTACAGACTGGCCTGACACCTTGTTTATGCAATTCCTTTACAATGTTTGTGACCTGTAGTAAGTAAAGCACATCACTTTCTGACAGGCTTAGGAACCCCAAGTTATTTTAGAACCTCAAGAAGAGAGAAATTAACCCAATTCATATAGGTATTTGCAGGCACATATAAATCCTTAGCTGGCTAACCTCAAGAGGCTTTTAAAAGGTCTAATCTGAGATTATGAAAAAGTTACAACAAAGCCAACGTAAAAGAGCCTATATGAACAATAATTATTCTTGCTGCATTTTATGCAAATAATCAAGCCAAATATACTACGATTAAAACTTATTTTGCAAGTACATTGGTCCTGTTATGATTTGTCTTTCATAGAAATGAGGAACTGAGAGAGAGAAAAATATCATTTGAAAAGAAACTATGGTACGTCTTTTATTAGTTTCTGGCCTTGTCCATTATTTATTAGTTGATATTATTTCTCTACAATTAAACATAAACACAAGATTATAGTTTCCTCTTGCCAGGACTCAGAGTTAAGACAAATACTCTACTTGAAATATTTTCTGCACAATCAGTATTTGAAATGACAATGATAAATGCTACATTTTCTCTACTAAAAAAAGAAAATGAGAGTAACAGGAGAAAATACTAACAAGTAGTTATTGAGTTCACCAAATGCCCAGCATTCTGCAAAATGACTTAGAAAGAATAACAAGAAATATAAGGCATTGTCCCCACCATCAAAACCTTAGAATTTTCTTAGAGAAATCTGTCTTAATATGGAGTATAAATAGTAGATATGTCTTTACTGGCATGCTTTACATTTAATAGGCCCCTAAAATTGTTTTATTAAATGAATGAAATAATAATGTGAACAAAGATCACCACCATACATTGGAAAATATTTGTAGAGATGCTGAAACATGAACAAGATTTTTAATGCTTTTGGTAGAAATGTGCAAATATTTTTTCCATATACAAAATGAAAAATAAAGCTTCACAGAATCTTTGTGTTACTACTTAAAATGATACCATAAACAAACATCTTTAACAGTAATGATATATCCAATGGGAACATGTCATGTTTGACATTATATTGTCAGCAAAACTTTCTTTTTTCTGAATGTAACTTAAATTTGACTATGCAGAAGAAGAGAAATAATTTCAAAAATAATTAAAATCAGGTTGTTAAAGAAAGTAAAATGTTCTACATCCTTACTACTCAAAATATGGTCCATAGACATGGAGCATCAGCACTATCTAGTAGCTTATTGAAAAGGCAGAACCTGGGGGACTTGGCAAGATGGCCGAATAGGAACAGTTCTGGTCTGCAGCTCCCACCGAGACCAATGCAGAAGGTGGGTGATTTCTGCATTTCCAACTGAGTTACCCAGTTCATCTCTCTAGGACTGGTTAGAGAGTGGGTGCAGCCCAAGGAGGGTGAGCAGAAGCAGGGCGGGGTGTCACCTCACCCACGAAGTGCAAGGGGCCAGGGAACCAGGGAAACCCCTCCCCTAGCCAAGGGAAGCCATGAAGGGCTGTGCTATCCAGCCCAGATACTACGATTTTCTCATGGTTTTTGCAACCCACAAACCAGGAGATTCCCTTGTGTGCCTACGACACCAGGGCCCCAGGTTTCAAGCACAAAACTGGGCAGCTGTTTGGGCAGACTCCAAGCTAGCTGCAGAAGTTTTTTTTTTCATACCCCAGAGGCACCTGGAACCCCAGCAAGACAAAACCGTTCACTTCTCTGGAAAGGGGGTTGAAGCCAGGAAGCCAAGTGGTCTCACTCAGCGGGTCCCACCCCCATGGAGCCCAGCAAGCTAAGAACCACTGGCTTGAAATTCTCGCTGCCAGCACAGCAGTCTGAAGTTAACCTGGGACGATTGACCTTGGTTGGGGGAGGGGCGTCCGCCATTACTGAGGCTTGAGTAGATGGTTTTCCCCTCACAGTGTTAAAGAAGCCACTGGGAAGTTTGGACTGGGCGGAACACATCACAGCGTGGCAAAGTGGCTGTGGCCAGACTACCTCTCTGGATTCCTCCTCACTGGGCAGGACATCTCTGAAAGAAATGCAGCAGCCACAGTCAGGGGCTTATAGACAAAACTCCCATCTCCCTGGACAGAGCACCTGCGGGAAGGGTCAGCTGTGGGCACAGCTTCAGCAGACTTCAATGTTTGTGCCTGCTGGCTCTGACGAGAGCAGCGGATCTCACAGCAGAATGCTCAAGCTCCACTAAGGGACAGACTGCCTCCTCAAGTGGGTCCCTGACCCCTGTGCCTCCTGACTGGGAGACACTTCCTAGTAGGGGTCGACAGACACTTCATACAGGAGAGCTCTGGCTGGCATCAGATGCGTGCCCCTCTGGGATGAAGCTTCCAGAGGAAGGAGCAGGCAGCAATCTTTGCTGTTCTGCAGCCTCCGCAGGTAACACCCAGGCAAGCAGGGTTTGGAGTAAACCTCCAGCAAATGCCAACAGACCTGCAGAAGAGAGCCCTGACTGTTAGAAGGAAAACTAACAAAAAGAAAGTGATAACATCAACAAAAAAGACTTCCATACAAAATCCCCATCCAAAGGCCATCAGCATCAAAGATCAAAGGTAGATAAATCCACGAAGAAGAGCAAAAACGGCACAAAAATGCTGAAAATTCCAAAAACCAGAATGCCTCTTCTCCTCCAAATGATCACAGCTCCTTTCAGGCAAGGGCACAAAACTGGACAGAGAATGAGTTTGATGAATTGACAGAAGTAGGCTTCAGGAAGTGGGTAGTAACAAACTCTTCAGAGCTAAAAGAGTATGTTCTAACCCAATCAATGCAAAGAAGCTAAGAACCTTGATAAAAGGTTACAGGAACTGCTAACTAAAATAACCAGTTTAGAGAAGAACATAAATGACCTGGTGGAGTTGAAAGACACAACATGAGAACTTCGTGAAGCATACAAAAGGATCAATAGCCAAATGAATCAAGCAGAAGAAAGGATATCAGAGACTGATTATCAACTTAATGAAACAAAGTGTGAAGACAAGATCAGAGAAAACAGAATGAAAAGGAACAAAGCCTACAAGAAATATGGGACTATGTGAAAAGACCAAGCCTATGATTGATTGGTGTAGCTGAAAGTGACAGGGAGAATGGAACCATGCTGGAAAACACACCTCAGGATATTATCCAGGAGAACTTCCCCAACCTAGCAGGACAGGTCAACATTCAAATTCAGGAAATACGAGAACACCACTAAGATACTCTTCGAGAAGAGTAACCCCAAGACACATAATCCTCAGATTCTCCAAGGTTGAAATGAAAGAAAAAATATTAAGGGCAGCCAGAGAGAAAGGTCAGGTTACCTACAAACGGAAACTCATCAGAATAACAGCAGATCTTCCTGCAGAAACCCTATAAGCCAGAAGACAGTGGGGGCCAATATTCAACATTCTTAAAGAAAAGAATTTTCAATCCAGAATTTCATATCCAGCCAAACTAGGCTTCATAAGCAAAGGAGAATTAAAATCCTTTACAGACAAGCAAATTCTGAGGGATTTTGTCACCACCAGGCCTGTCATACATGAGCTCCTGAAGGAAGCACTAAATATGGAAAGGAAAAACAAGTACCAGCCACTGCAAAAACATATCAAAATATAAAGACCAATGACACGATGAAGAAACTGCATCAACTAATGTGCAGAATAACCAGCTAGCATCATGATGACAGGATCAAATTCACACCTAAAAATATTAACCTTAAATGGAAATGCACTAAATGCCCCAATTAAGATACACAGACTGGCAAATTGGACAAGGAGTCAAGACCCATTGCTGTGCTATATTCAGGAGACCCATCTCATGTGTAAAGACACACATAGGCTCAAAATAAAGGAATGGAAGAATATTTATCAAGCAAATGGAAAGCAAAAAAAAAGCAGAAGTTGTAATCCTAATCTCTGATAAAACAGACTCTAAACCAACAAAGATCAAAAAAGACAAAGAAAGATATACTTAATGGTAAAGGGATCAATGCAACAAGAAGAGCTAATGATCCTAAATACATACGCACCCAATACTGGAGCACTCAGATTCATAAAGCAAGTTCTTAGAGACGAACAAAGAGACTTAGACTCTCACACAATAATAGTGGGAGACTTTAACACCCCACTGTCAATATGAGACATATCAACAAGACAGAAAATTAACAAGGATATTCAGGACTGGAACTCAGCTCTGGACCAGGCAGACCTAATAGACACTTACAGAACTCTCCACCCCAAATCAACAGAATATACATTCTTCTTAGCACCACATCACACTTATTCTAAAATTGACCACGTAATTGGAAGTAAAACACTCCTCAGCAAATGCAAAAGAATGGAATTCATAACAAACAGTCTCTCAGACCACACTGCAATCAAATTAGAACTCAGGATTAAGAAACCCACTCAAAACTGCACAACTACATGGAAACTGAACAACGTGCTCCTGAATGACTACTAGGTAAATAACTAAATTAAGACAGAAATAAATAAGTTCTTTGAAACCAGTGAGAACAAAGACACAACGTACCAGAATCTCTGGGACACAGCTAAAGCAGTGTTTAGAGGCAAATTTATAAATGTCCCTATAAATCTAAATGCCCACATCAGAAGGCGGGAATGATCTACAATTGATACCCTAACATCACAATTGAGAGAACTAGAGAAGCAAGCGCAAACAAATTCAAAAGCTAGCAGAAGACAAGAAATAACTAAGAACAGAGCAGAACTCAGGGAGATAGAGACACGAAAAATCCTTCAAAAAATCAATGAATCCAGGAGCTGGTTTTTTGAAAAGATTAACAAAACAGACCACTAGCCAGACTAATAAAGAAGAAAAGAGAGAAGATTTTCTAGTTTATTTGCATAGAGACACAATAAAAAAAATGACAAAGGGGAGATCACCACTGATCACACAGAAATACAAACTACCTTCAGAGAATACTTTAAACACTTCTACCAAATAAACTAGAAAATCTAGAATAAATGGATAAATTCCTGGACACATACACCCTCCCAAGACTAAGGCAGGAAGAAGTCAAATCCCTGAATAGACCAATAACAAGTTCTGAAATTGAGGCAGTAATTAATAGCCTACCAACCAAAAAAAGCCCAGGACCAGATGGATTCACAGCCAAATTCTACCAGAGTTACAAAAAGGAGCTGGTACCATTCCTTCTGAAACTATTCCAAACAACAGAAGAAGAGGGACTACTCCCTAACTCATTTTATGTGGACAGCATCATCCTGATACCAAAACCCGGCAGAAACACAACAAAATAAGAAAATTTCAAGCCAACATCCCCGATGTACATCAATGCGAAAATCCTCAGTAGAATACTGGCAAACTGAACCCAGCAGCATATCAAAAAGCTTATCCACCACGATCAAGGTGGCTTCATCCCTGAGATGCAAAGCTGGTTCAACATACACAAATCAATAAATCTAATCCATCACAGAAAACAGAACCAATGACAAAAACCACATGATTATTTCAATAGATGCAGAAAAGGCCTTCAATAAAATTAAACATCCCTTTATGCTAAAAACACTCAATAAATCAGGTATTGATGGAACATATGTTAAAATAATAAATGCTATTTATGACAAACCCATAGCCAATATCATACTGAATGGGCAAAAACTGGAAGCATTCCCTTTGAAAACCGGCACAAGACAAGGATGCCCCCTCTTACCACTCTTATTCAACATAGTGTTGGAAGTTCTGGCCAGGGCAATTAGGCAAGAGAAAGAAATAAAGGTATTCAAATAGGAAGAGAGAACATCAAATTGTCTCGGTTTGCAGATGACATAATTGTATATTTAGAAAATCCCATCATCTCAGCCCAAAAACTCCTTAAGCTGATAAGCAACTTCAGCAAAGTCTCAGGATGCAAAATCAATGTGCAAAAATCACAAGCATTCTTATACACCAAAAATAAACAGAGAACCAAATTATGAGTGGACTCCCATTCATAATTGCTATAAAGAAAATAAAATACCTAGGAATACAACTTACAATGTATGTGAAGGATCTCTTCAAGAACTACAAACCATTGCTCAAAGAAATAAGAGAGGACACAAGCAAATGGAAAAAAGATTCTATGCTCACAGATACAGTGAATCAATATCGTGAAAATGGCCATACTGCCCAAAGTAATTTATAGATTCAATGCTATTCCCATCAAGCTACCATTAACTTTCTTCGCAGAATTAGAAAAAACTACTTTAAATTTCATATGGAATCAAAAAAGAGCCCATATAGCCAAGATAATACTAAGCAAAAGGAACAAAGCTGGAGACATCATGCTACCTGACTGCAAACTATACTACAAGGCTATAGTAACCAAAACAGCAAGCTACTGGTATCAAAACAGGTATATAGACCAATGGAACCTAACAGAGGCCTCGGAAATAATGCCACATATCTACAACCACCTGATCTTTGACAAATCTGACAAAAACAAGCAATAGGGAAAGGATTCCCTATTAAATAAATGGTATTGGGAAAACAAGTTAACCATATGCGGAAAACTGAAACTGGACCCCTTCCTTACACCTTATACAAAAATTAATTCAAGATGGATTAAAGACTTAAGCATAAGACCTAAAACCATAAAAACCCTAGAAAAAAACCTAGGTAATACCATTCAGGACATGGGCATGAGCAAAGCCTTCATGACTAAAACACCAAAAGCAATTGCAACAAAAGCCAAAATTGACAAATGGGATCTAATTAAACTAAAGAGTTCTGCACAGTAAAAGAAACTAGCATCAGAGTGAACAGGCATCCTACCAAATGGGAAAAATTTTTGCAATCTATCCATCTGACAAAGGTCTAATATCCAGAATCTACAAGGAACTTAAACAAATTTACTAGGAAAAGACAAACAACCCCATCAAAAAGTGGCCAAAGGATATGAACAGACACTTCTCAAAAGAAGACATTTATACAGCCAACAAACATATGAAAAAAAGCTCATCATCGCTGGTCATTAGAGAAATGCAAATCAAAACCACAATGAGATATCATCTCACACCAGTTAGAATGGTGATCATTAAAAAGTCAGAAAACAACAGATGCTGGAGAGGATGTGGAGAAATAGGAACACTTTTACACTGCTGGTGGGAGTGTAAATTAGTTCAACCATTGTGGAAGACAGTGTAGCAATTCCTCAAGGATCTAGAACCAGAAATACCACTTGACCCAGCAATCTCATTACTGAGTATATACCCAAAGATTTATAAATTATTCTACTATAAACACACATGCACACGTATGTTTATTGCAGCACTATTCACAATAGAAAAGACTTGGAGCCAACCCAAATGCCCATCAATGACAGACTGGACAAGGAAAATGTGGCACATATACACCATCGGATACTATGTAGCCATAAAAAAGAATGAGTTCATGTGCTTTGCAGGGACATGGATGAAGCTGGATACCATCATTCTCAGCAAACTAATGCAGGAACAGAAAACCAAACACCACATGTTCTCGCTCATAAGTGGGAGTTGAACAATGAGAACACATGGACACAGGGAGGGGAACATCATACACTGGGGTCTGTCAGGGGATGGGGAAGCAAAGGGAGGGAGAGCATTAGGACAAATACCTAATGTGTGGGGGGATTAAAACCTAGATGACAGGTTGATGGGTGTAGCAAACCACCATGGCACACGTATACCTATGTAACAAACCTGCACGTTCTGCACATGTACCCCAGAACTTAAAGTATAATTTAAAAAAAGAAAAGGCAGAGCCCAAAACCCTACTACAGTCCTATGAAAACAGAATTCATATTTTAACAATATTCCTAGGTGATCTGCATGCACACTAAGGTTTAAGAAGTGCTGCTCTAAAAACTTCACATTGAAAGCTCGTGTATGCATTTATCACAAGTGTTAGATTGCTAGAACTAAAAATTCATGTTTAAGCTTGTGGTCTCTATTCTCAAGTGGAGACTGTTGAAAAAAGTCAAACAAGTAATTTTTTAGCTTCATAATTCAGCCATAATTGTGCTAGCTCCCATGAGGAACCCAGAAGAAGTGTACCAAATAGTTCTGACATAAAATGATACACAATCTAGATGAGTATATAAAAATAATCAGAATATAATGAGCTGCTTAATTTTGATGTTATGACTATAAACACAATAGGATATAAGAACAGGACAGATAACTGTGAGCTGAACACATGACTTTGAGGGAGCAGAGGAAATCAGACACAGAAAGTACACTGAGAAAAGACATAGATGAGGGATGGAGCTGACAGAACCCTTGGAAAGACTGGAGTAGGAGGTTTGACTTTATGACGCTATTGGAAGCCACTGGAGGCCATTGGAAGTCACTGTAGTTCTTAAGAAGCAATTACATGATAACAATATGAGTCTCAGAAAGATAAATAGAAAGAAATAGTATATTATTGTAAGGATGAACTTGAGTCAGAAATATAGTCAAGAAATTGAGTGTCAGAGCTCTACACATCAATTTGGAACTCATCAGTGTGTAGCTGTAGCTAAGATTTTAGAAGTGGATGAACACACCAAGCACTAGGAAAAAGGGGTAAAGAACCACAAACAGATGTCCACTTCAATAAACATTCAGTGAGAAACTATGTTCCCAGCATGGTGCTCCTCCCTTGTGAAACAATGATGAGCAAGACTTGGTCCTTGCTCTGAAGGAACCAAATCAGTCATCTCTGAGTGGGGGCTTATGTAAGAGGAAAAGGCAACACAAGACAAAGAAGAAACCAGAGAGAAAGAATCATAATATCCAGAAAGTCAAGGGTGGAGGTAACTTAAAGGAGTGTCAGAGGCACCTAAATATCAAGGAAAGTGAGGATTTTATATAAAATCAACCTGAAAAGTATATTTGTTTATGTGTTCAAATTTCTAAACTGTTATCTACTTTTCTAAGCCTCTAAATTTATACTCTAAACCTCAGGGGATGAAAGGATTCTAATATAAAATTGTTTGCTAAAACAGGCTTGTTCAAAGAAGATACTTAGAGAATGTATTCTTTAGTGTGCCTTCCGTAGGCTCCGAAAATAATCCAAACAACACAAGACAAAAAAAAAAATACCCTATAGGCAACTTACCATCCGTTATAATTATATGACTGCCAAATCCATTCCTAGGTATTTATTCTTTAAGAAACTTAAAACCATTCATAAAGGAAGACAAGACAAGTACCAACAGGAAAATCCAATGACGTAAAACATAAGCAAGAACCTTCCTTAAGTTTAAAAGGCTATAGATTTTACTATTCATTTTTTATGTAACAGAACTAATATAAAATAGAAGATAGTCTGTTTTCTTGACTTAGGCTTAAATAACAGAATCACACACAAACCTCTAATAATATAAAAGTCACATCCAGAAAAAAATGCATTAATCATAGGTTAGTTTGCTGGAGGAAAAGATGTTATTTTGTTTATTCTTGTGTGACTTCTTTCTAAAGCTCACATTTTTCATTTAGAAATGTAAATCTGTGATCAGTAATGCCTAAAATTTGAGTATACAGGTAATTCAAATGCATTCAATGTAAGAAATTTTAAGGATTTTATCAGATATATAAAGCCTGGAGTTTACCAAAGCATATCATCAAAATAGCATTTCTAGAATTGAGCATAATATCTTTTTATTGTCATAACCATAAAAAATGTATAACCCAATTATGGTTTAATGTGTTATATTTATATTCACCAAACCAAGTTAATAACAATAAAAATGGCTAACATTTATTGAACTCTCACTTTATATCAAATACTATCTAAGCCTTTTATATATATTTATCTATTCAATCCTCAGAACTTCTTTCACAATTATTTTTCTCATTTTATAGATGAGGAAACAGAGGCACAGAATGTTTAAGAACTAGCCCATTACCTATAAATAATAAAAGTTAAGAATGAATTAAAGAAATACCAAAACCTGGCAGAGATACAATGAAAAAAGAAAACTTCAGGCCAATATCCCTGATTAACATAGACACAGAAATCCTCAACAAAATACTAGCAAACTGAATCTAGCAGCACATCAAAAAGCTAATCCACCACAATCAAGTAGACTTTATTCCTGGAATGACAGTTTGGTGCAACATACACAAATCAATAAATGTGATTCATCACACAAACAGAACTAAAAACAAAAACCACATGATCATCTTAACAGATGCAGGAAAAAGCTTTGGATAAAATTCAACATCCTTCATATTAAAAATCCTCTAAAAACTAGGCATTAGAGGAACATACCTCAAAATATTAACAGCCTTCTATGACAAACCCACAACCAACATCATTCCAAATGGGCAAAAGCTGGACCCAATTCCACTGAGAAGTGGAACAAGACAAGGATGCCCACTCTCATCACTCTCATTCAACATAGTACTGGAAGTCCTAGCCAAAGCAATCAGGCAAAAGAAATAAATAAAAGGCATCCAAATAGGAAGAGGAAGTCAAAGTATCTCTCTTCACAGACAATATGATTCTACACCTGGAAAACCTCATAGCCTCTGCCCAAAGGCTCCTAGAACTGATAAACAACTTCAGTAAAGTTTCAGGATACAAAACCAATGTAGAAAAATCAGCAGCATTTCTATACACCAATAGTGTTCAAGCTGAGAGCAAAATCCAGAATGTAATTCCATTCACAATAGCCATACACACAAAAAAAAAATACCTAGGTATACAGCTAACCAGGAAAATGAAAGATCTCTACAACAAGAATTACAAAACACTGCTGAAAGAAATCAAGACGACACAAACAAATGGAAATACATTTTATGCTCATGAGTAGGAAGAATCGATATTGTTAAAATGGCCATACTTCCCAAAGCTATCTACAAATTCAATGCCATTCCTAAGCAGAAAGAACAAAGCTGGAAGCATCAAACTACCCAACTCCAAACTATACTACAAGACTACAACAACCAAAACAGCATGGTACTGGCACAAAAACAGACACAATGGAACAGGTTAGAGAACCCAAAAACATAGCCACATACCTACAACCATCTGATCTTTGACAAAGCTGACAATAATAAGCAATGAGGAAAGGATTCTCCATTCAATAAATGCTGCTGGGATAACCAGCTAGCCATATGCAGAAGGTTGAAACTGGAACATTTCCTTGCATTAAATACAAAAATCAACCAAAGATGGATTAAAGACTTAAAAGTAAGACCTAAGATCATAAAAAACCTAGAAGAAAACCTAGGGAATGCTATTCTGGATGTAGGCCTTGTCAAAGATTTCATAACAAAGACACCTAAAGCAATTGCAACAAAAACAAAAATTGACAAGTGGGGCCTAATTAAACTAAAGAGCTTCAGCACACCCAAAGAAATGTCCACAAAATAAACAGAAAACCTACAGAATGGGAGAAAATATTTGCAAATTATGCACCCTACAAAGGCCTAATAACCAGAATCTACAAGGAACTTAAACAAGTCAATAAGTACAAAACAACCCCATTAGAAATGGGCAAAGGACATGAACAGACACATCTCAAAAGAATACATACATGCAGCCAACAAGCATATGAAAAAATGCTCAACATCATTAATTATTAGAGAAATGCAAATCAAAACCATAATAAGATATCATCTCACAGCAGTCAAAATGGCTATTATTAAAAAGTCAAAAAAAAACAGATGTTGGCAAGGTTGCGAAGAACAGGGAATGCTTATACACTGCTATATGCTGCTGGTGAGAATGTAAATTAGTTTAGCCACTGTAGAAAGCAGTGTGGCAATTTCTTAAAAAACTTAAAACAGAATTACCAGTCAACCCAGCAATCCCATTATTGTGTATATACCCAAAGGAATATAAATCATTCTACCGTAAAGACACATGTATGCATACATTCATTGCAGCACTACTCACAATAGCAAAGACATGGAATCAACCTAAATGCCCATCAACAGTGGAAAGGATAAAGAAAATGTGGTACATATACACCATGGAATATTACATGGCCATAAGAAAGAAATGTCTTTTGCAGCAACATGGATGCAGCTGGAGACCATTATCATAAGTGAATTAACACAGGAACAGAAAACCAAATACCGCATGTTCTCACTTATAAGTGGGAGCTAAACATTGGGTATATATGGAAACAAAGAGGGGAATAATAGACATTGGGGCCTACTACTTAAGGGTGAAGGATGGGAGGAGGGTAAGGGTCAAAAAACTATCTATTGGGTACTATGCTACTACCTGCATGATGAAATTCTTTGTACACCAAACCCCAGCAACATGTAATATACCCACATTAACAGACCTTCCCAAGTACCCCCGAACCTGAAATAAAAGTTGAAAATATATATAATTGTTTTATAGGTTTTATAAATAACACATGAATTTGATATATCAGGGACCAGCATACTTGTTTTTTACATTAAATCTTTACACGAATGCAAATAAAAATGTGTAACTGTGACCTACCTTTATCAAAAACACCTGGCAATCACTGATATAGTCATATTCTAGTCCATCAAAAGAATAATAATGTCGGTCCCCGTATATTGTGCACACTGCTGGGCATGGATAATATGTGCAATTGAACATTCCTCGTCGACAAACGCTATTAAAAAATAACAAAAGTTACCTTTCTAAAGAAACGACTCTAACTAGTGATTTCAAGTGACAGCAACATTGGAATGTCTGTATTCAAGAGAATTCATGAGTCAATATCCCTTACGAATATTGCCAGTTCATTCTGATACCACCTATTACATTGACAAATTAGGCATACGTTTTTCACTTCCTTTAAATAAATTATCAGACACCAAAACCGAGCCTAGGAATTGTGCATAGGTCACACAGAAAGTAGATGATAGAATGAAAAACTGAACACAGGTCTGCTGGTAGCTGAAAAAGCACAATGCCATCTCCCATATTTGAGTAAATTTAAATGCATTAGACATGACATTGCTCATGAGTTTAGAATCTTTGTCCATATTTTAGGGAAATTATATTTCAAATTTTATTTTATGGTATTCTTTTGACTTACCTTGAAACAGAAAACCTTCCATTAAATACGGTCTTTTCTTTGTAACATTTAGCACTTTCTTATAAACATGAGATATTTTTTCCTATTAAAATTTTAGATTGTTGTGTTTCACAGTTTTCTTCTGGGCTGAACAAATATGCATAAAAATAATGATATAGTCCCCTGCAGATAGTAACTGTCCACCAACTCCTGCAGGCCTTTAAATTATTTGCTGAGGCTTGATTTACTTTTTGCTGATGTCAGTCTCATTAAATAAATAAAAGATGATTGAAATTTACACAATTACTTAGGAAAATATTTGTGAAATAAATGGATCTCCTTACCAGGTGTAACACGGTGTAGCAATCACTTCTCCTGAGAGATACTCCCAATCTTTCCAAATACATGGGCAGCTTTCAGGAACATAACACTTTCCTCTGTGCTCTGCCATTCTTCCAAATGAAGAATAAAATGCTATTTAGTATGAACTACAGTTTTCAGTTTTAAAATATCAGTAATCTTAGCATATTAACACTGTCATCTATATTTATTAGAGCTGTCTAAGGCACTCTATCTAACCTACTGAGGAGATGAATCCAGTCTTTCTCCTCGCTTTTTCCACATAGTACCTTACATATCGCAGTACTAAATGCCAGGCAAATGACTAGATGTGATATGTTGACCTTTTTGCTATTCACTAAGTGCATGAAAGGAAGACAGAAGCCTAAATTTCTAATAAAGTGAGTCATCCCGAAAAAAAATTTATAGAGGAAATGAGAGTCCCGTTCTTCAATATCTGCTACTTAAAAGAGTCTATAGGGCCTACAATTTTCTGATGAAATAGTAAATTATTAAATGGTTAACATTTTTGTTACAAGATATAGAGAGTAATCAAAAGCTTCTTTCTGAGTGTTTAAAGTTGAAAGCAGGAGAGTTTAACTTAGGTGTGTGTGGAACTAAAAAACATATTAAGTGTTTCACATTGTTTCTTATTTATTTAATGTGATAACTTTTGAATGTTGGTTTTCCTTCAAGTGTTATTTTCTTCTTGAAAGATTATACGCTGAAAGTGTCTAAAAATGTCTATGGCTATAAAAGTTAAACACATACAAATGTTATATATTAATATATCATTTAAATATATATAATTAAGTATAAAGTTTTAATATAAAAATTGAACTAATCTCGGGTAAGAATTAATTTTGGTGTGTTATCTAAATATTTGATATGAAGATTAAATATATATTACATATAACATCAAATCATTTAATATAAATATATATTTCAATATTCTTACAATTTTTTCTAAAAGTTTTAATAAAGATTTTTTTCTAGAAGTGTTAACAAAATAATAATAGAACAATAATTTTGTAATTAATTATAAATATAATAAATATATAAAATAAAGATAAAAACATTAAATTTGAAAATTAGTTGTCATTATTTAAATAATTTTTTATTATGAATTAATCTATAATTTAATTTACTTAAATAACAAATAATAAATAATAAATAAATAAAAATTAAAAGCTCCTAAAATAGATAAGGTATAAAACTTTTTTTACATTTTGCTTTAAAATATAAAAATTCAAGATTATAAAAATTCAAGATTATAAAAATTAACATGGAATTCAGGAACCCTGAATTCTTGCCTCTTCTCTAAAACAGAAATAATTTCTCATGTTGTTTTAGCTCTCTGCTTTCTCTCTCATGGCTGTTCGTACACAGTACTGTAATTCCTTATTCAGTGTATATGCTGTCCACTAGACTTTCAGCTTCACTTGAGAGGACCATAAATATCTTGTTTATGTTCATGTCACACAATATGTAGCGCATAGAAGACAACTGAAGAAACGTATTTATATAAATGATGCATTATCTCACTTAGATTTCTTTCTTTCCGACCAACAATGACCTCGATTCTACAGTCTGTCACCTTGGCCCTCCCAAACTTCTAGCTATGCATCCTGAGCTTTGAATTTTTCTTCTTCCTAGAAAATTTTTCTCCTATGTTCTCTCTGGCAAACTTATCACTTACAACTCAATTCGATGCAATCTTTTATGTCCCCAGCTCCTTCACATACTCCCTATACTTAGCAACTTTATAAACTTTTATTGGAGGATTTATCACAATGAACTGTTAAGTACTTCATTAAATAGCTTATAGTGACAATAACTATAAGAACAATAAGAACTATAAGAACAATAACAAAACTAATATTCTTGACTGCTTACTATGGCAAGGCACTATTCTAACCATTTTAACTATGCCCCTAACTGATCTTATCCTAGTGACAGTCCCCTAAGGTAGATTCTATTATTATCTAATAAATGTATTTTAGTACCCCCCATTCCTATAGCTTAACACAATGCCTCAAACATTAGACTCTTCATAAACTTTAATTGTTCAGTTGTTTAAGTGAGGGAAACCTCACCAAAATGAACCACAATTCTTATATCCCCAGCCAAAGTCATGGTTTTAACTGGCATTGCTAATTAATGACTGATGAGTTTTTCATAACTACTCAAAACTGGAAGAAGGAAAAGGAAAACTTTAAATCACTGTAAATTATAGGTGTATTTCAGAGATATTGTTAATTTGGTTCTAGACCACAGCAATAAAGTTAATATCACAATAAAGCAAGTCAATAAAGCAGATTTTTTGGTTCCTAGTACACATAAAAGTTAT
This sequence comes from Homo sapiens, assembly GCF_000001405.40. Classification (NCBI taxonomy): domain Eukaryota; kingdom Metazoa; phylum Chordata; class Mammalia; order Primates; family Hominidae; genus Homo; species Homo sapiens. The sequence continues at coordinate 80,275,930 of NC_000012.12, read as the reverse complement.
ATTTACAGCATAGTCTATTAAATGCATAATAGCATTATATCTAAAAAATATACATACCTTAATTTAAAAATACTTTATTGCAAAAAAAAAAAGTTAATGATCATCTGAGCCTTCAAGGAGCCATAATCTTTTTGCTGAAGGAGGGTTTTGCTTCAATGTTGATGGCTGCTGACTAATCAGGGTGGTGGTTGCTGAAGGCTGGGATATCTGTGGCAATTTCTTGAAATAAGACACAGTGAAGTTTGCCACATTGATTGACTCCCCCTTTCACAAAAGATTTCTCTGTAGTGTTCAATGCATTTGATAGTGTTTTACCTAAAATTTTCTTTCAAAATTGCAGTCAGTCGTCTTAAACCCTACCACTGCTTTATCAACTAAGTTTATGCAATATTCTAAATCTTTTATTATCATTCTGACAATGTTCACAGCATCTTCACCAAGTATAGATCACATCTCAAGAAACCACTTTTTTTGCTCATCTATAAGAAGCAACTCCTCGTCCATTCAAGTTTTATCATGAGATTGAAGCAAATCAGTCATATCTTCAGGCTTCACTTCTAATTCTAGTTCTCTTGCTATTTCCTTTGCATCTGCAGTTACTTCCTCCACTGACATCTTAAAACCCTCAAAGTTATCCGTGAGGGTTAGAATAAACTTTTTTCAAACTCCTGTTCGTGTTGATATTTTGACCTCTACCCATGAATCACTAATGTTCTTAATGGTATTTAGAATAGTGAATACTCTCCAAAATATTTTCAATTTTCTTTTCCCAGATCCATCAGAGAAATCACTATCTATGGCAGGTATAGCCCTGTGAAATGTATTTCCTAAATAATAAGACTTTAAAGTTGAAATTACTACTTGATCAATGGCTGCAAAATAAATGTGTTAGCAAGCATGAAAACAACATTAATATATCCTTCTGCATCTCCACTGGAACTCCTAGGTGCCAGGTGCACTGCCAATAGGTAGTAATATTTTAAAAGGAATTTTTTTTCTAGGCATCAGGTCTCAACAGTGGGCTGAAAATATTCAGTAAACCATGCTGTAAACAGACGTGCTGCCACCCAGGCTTTGTTGTTCCATTTACAGAGCACAGGTAGAGTAGACTTAGCATAATTCTTAAGGGCCCTAGGATTTTTTGAATGGTAAATGAGCATTGGCTTCAACTTAAAGTCACAAGCTGCCTTAGCCCCTAACAAGAGAGTCAGCCTGTCCGTGGAAACTTTGAAGCCAAGCATTGTCTTCTCTCTAGCTAAGAAAGTCCTAGATGGCACTTTATTCCTATATAAATCTGTTTCATCTACATTGAAAATCTATTGTTTAGTGTAGCCACCTTCATCAATTATCTTAGTTGCATTTTCTGGATAACTTGCTGCAGCTTCTCCATCAGCACTTGCACTTTTATGTTATGGAGATAGTTTCTTTTCTTAAACTCCATAAGCCAACCTCTGCTGGCTTCAAACTTTTCTTCTGCAGCTTTGTCACCTCCCTCAGCCATTATAGAATTGAAAAGAGTTAAAGCCTTGCTATGGATTAAGCCTTTGCAGAAGTGAATGTTGCAGCTGATTTGATCTATCCAGACTACTAAAACTTTCTCCATAACAGCTAGCTGCTTTGCTTTCTTACCACTTGTGGGTTCACTGGAGTAGTAGCACTTTTCATTTCTTTCATGAACTTTTCCTTTGCATTCACAATTTGGCTAACTGTTGCAAAAGGACTAGCTTGTAGCCCATCTCAGCTTTCAATATGCCTTCCTCACTAAATCTAATCATTTCTAGCTTTTGATTTAAGGTGACAGATGTGTGACTCTTCCTTTCCCTTGAACTTTTGGTGACTATTGTAGAGTTATTAATTGGCCTAATTTCAGTATTGTGTCTCAGGGAATAGAGAGACCTGAGAAGAGCAAGAGAGATGGTGGAATGGCCTATACATGGAGAAATCGGAACACACACAACATTCATCAATTAATTTTTCCATCTTATATGGGCACCATTTGTGGAACCCTGAAATAATTACATAATAATCAAAGTTCACTGTTTACAGATTACCATAACAGATATAATGATAATGAAAAAGTTCTGAAATATTGCAAAAATTACCAAAATGCAACACAGAGACACCAAGTAAGCACATGCTGTTGGAAAATGGCACCAACAGACTTGCTTGATGCAGGGTTGCCACACACCTTCAATTTGTAAAAAATGCAACACCTGTGAAGTGCAATAAAGCAAAACACACAATGAAACAAAGTATGCTTGTATCTGCTTTAAGCAAGTTTGGGCAGTGGGATAAGAAATAAACATTTGCTGAGCTCTTACTATATAACTGGTGTGCAGCATATACTCAATCATCCAAGAAGTAAATATAGTGTTATATCCATTATTAAAAGAGAAACTTGAGATTTCAAGTGGTTAAGTAACTTGCCATGAGGTACTTCGGCTTATAAGGAGGGCCAGCATAGAAGCCATTTCCATCTGACTTTTCCTCTATACTATTCTCCATTTCTTCAATCCACAGTGATTTCTCAATTAGGGTTATGTGGTCCTTTTACAGTCAATAAACTGCTGGCACTGTTAGGAGCCACATGAAACAAGTCACACTGGACTATTTTGCCAAAATGAGCCAGACAAGGTCACATAGAAGACAGGGCAAATCACATTACCATAAACAATATTGTAGGAGAAGGCTATCTTAATAAAATATTTCCAAATCTGTCAGAGGCCTCTAAGTCAATTCCACCCACATTTATTTCAATACAGTCAGAGAAGGTAGGAGGAAATCTCCTTAACGTTTTGTAATGAGATTTAGCCAGTAAATAAATCACTGTCCAACTAAATATCAAAGGTGACAGTAAATATATTTTAAAAGATAATAGCTCAAGCACAGCATATAAAACAAAATTAGGATATGGCTTTAATTAGCCATGCATTCCTAAGAGTCACAATCAAATCAAATAAATCAAGCAATGTTGTGGGTTTTAATTATTCTATTTCCCTTCTCCTTTTTACTAAAATGTCTTTCTTGCTTATCTGCTCTATGGCCTTATTTCTACCTGTCTTTATTTTCCCAGCCACAGGCACTTGTTCTTTTGTGACCTTCTTGTCTCTGCCTCCTATGTCCTTTCTTTCTAAAGAGATTAATGCCAGTTCCAAGTTACTTGGCTCTTCAACCTATTCCAGATGGGGGCCATTTAGACAAATGCGATTCTCCTGGGAAACAAACCACAAGACCTCGCTCTTCTTTGCCCCTGGTTTATATGAGCTGATCCCAGGAATCCCTTTGTGTGAACATGTTCATTGAGGAAGAATGGGTGACCTGTTTGCCTTAGATGGCACTCCCTCTGCACAGCCTCTATTTCATTACCAGAAGAGGGAGGGCCAGGGAGGCCAGATTATATGTGTGCCTGTGAGGAAGCCAATAGCCACAAGATTCTGTGTTTGTCTTTCACGTGCACTAGGCATTTCTGCAATGGAAGAATATTTATGAAGATAGGAGTAGAATATATGCTGCCACAAAATAGTGGCTCATATTTTTAAATACACACACACACACACACACACACACACACACACACACACACACACATCACAATGCCTAATTGAGGCTTAAAAAGAACTTGCAGAAAAATCACTCCACTAACAGTGTCAGGGCTGGGATTTGAGCAGTGGTGTGTCTGATGCCAGAGCTCCCACTCTTACCCACTGCCCTTTGTAGCCTCAATACACTATTTTCTTTAAGATAAAACAGTTGGCATCACTATTACAACTTCACATCAATACCAGTAACTGCACAACAGAATATTTAAAAATGCACTTGAAGAGTGTTTTGAATGAAGAGTGATTAATTGTGTCACTTTCTCAAAATTGCAGTTTCATCAGGGGAGAAATTCCAGCTTCATCCAGAAATGAGTTTTCTCCTCAATTCAGTGTATTACATTAATAATATTTCACAATGTCACATGAGCCAAGCAAAACAATCACAATAGTCTTCTAGCTACCAACCCAGTTAACCACTAGTCAGAACAACAATTCTGGCTATTTCTATAAAGAATGTTTTCAGGAGATATTGTGCTTTCAGGCAAATCCTGAATGTTCTGTATTATGAAGAAGAGGCTTACCCTGGAGCACAAACACAGCCACTTATACAGGGTGAGGATGGGGTGCAGGTGAAGTTCATGGCTAGGTTTGCACATGTAGTCTCACAATTAACACCACCAGCTGGTAATTCAGGGTCAGGAAACCTGCAGTCGAAATACTCTTTTCCCTCTGGGCAGATGTGAACTTCAGATATAAGCACAGACAAAATGTCCTTAACTTTTTGTCATGGCATGGGAGATATGAACACCAAAATTCATAAAATAGGTTTATTCTAAACCTATTTTGAGTTTGAGAATGTTAGCTGCCTTCCATAAGACAGTAACTAACTAGAATATAATTTTCTGAAGTCAAAAAACAAGATATTTTTATTAATTCATACATATATTATCAATTTTTCAGCATATGTTATCAATTTTTAAGCATAATGTAAAAGCATTGTGGCTTTTACAAAGCTACAATGAACACACGATTATTCTAAATCTTGCTTCACCTCAAGTCATTGTTTATATCAGTTCTCACTATACCACAGAAGTGCAGAAGTAGACATAACTATAGTCAGGACAGGGGCTCCATATTCTTCCAGAAAGCTTTTGGGCTCTTAGAGATCAAATAAATTGCCTCAAGTGGGGCCAAAGGGATAAAATCCCGTGGGTTCCTCTGTGAGAAGGCTAGCCACCTGGGCTTCCCTTCATTGAATCAAATGGGGGCGAGTCACCCTGAAAGAAATGGGGCAGAGTCAGGATGGCCCTGTAGCTACCGAATGTGTGTGGTCCATAAACATGTCTTGTAAAGAAGCCCTAGGCTTGTCTGAATCCTTGTAAAGTAAATTCAGGGCATGTAATTCAAAGCTCTTTAATAATAATATATACCAGGCCATTCAAATACATAACAAAGCAATAATAGCTTACAATTACTTTTATTAGCCTACACTCTTCCTGCCCATTAAAATCTATGAAAGCAAGTATTGTTTATTATGTGCCTAGAATTTGCCCATAGTAACTGAGAATTTGAGGCTCTTTATATGATGAAAATAAATAATATATATGGTCCTAATACATAAGATCTTAGGAAAGGTATTTAAAATGACATTCTGAAGGGATAACAGTGGATGTCATTTTACATGCATTGTTAAATTTATTGCTACTAGTCCCAGAGCCATGCTACTCATAATGCAGCCCAGGAACCAGAAGTATTAATGTTATCTTGGTCACTGATAGAAATGTAGAATTTCAGGTATCACCCCTGACCTAATGAATCAGAATCTGCATTTTAACAAGATCCCCATATGTGCACACTAAAATCTGAGAAGTGAAGGTCTAAAATAGATTTTCCCAATTTCTGTCCCACAAATGGGTTACAACACTTGCCTAGATACATATCCCTAAAGTCCTTGGGATGCCTGAGGTGGTCCTGTGGTAGGCAGCATCTAGGCAGCATCCCTGGGTTGACCTGCTCCGCCCCTGAGCTGACTTATATGTTCAACCCAGACTGTCCTAAAAATATTATAATTTTCAATGTGGAAAAAGTTAAGAAGCACTGGAACACCATGTTGAAGAACATTCCCAAGGCTATAGCCATGCACATTGGGAAGAAGAGGTGATTGATGACTTCTGCCAGGAGTGGAGGTGGTATCAGAGCTGAACCCTCATTCAGGAAAACATCTTTTAAGATCTTACCAGCAGAGGGCGTTGCTAATTCATCACATTTCACAGTCCCATTTGAACACTGGCTAGAAGTAAATAAATAGTTAATTTATGGAACCAAATCTGTTGTTTTTTTTTTTTTCCCTGAATTTCGACAACAATCTAACGTACAAGAATTGATTGAGTACATTATACAAATGTTATTTTTCCCACAGAAGTTTTTACAAGCTGTTGGGTTAGGTCCAATTTCAGGAACGCTATTTCAACACAACACTTTTTATCAAACACCTATAAGTGTGGAGCATTGGGATAGGCATGGGAGACATGAACATCAAAATTCATAGTTCTTACCATAATTTGTCTCACAGAAGGGGAAGACACACAAATAAATAATGTATGCAGTGTGACACATGCAACATAGAAATATGTTAAGAGATAGAAGTAAAACAAAGAAAAAATGTTTTTAAAATCTGTTGGCAACCAACATCAGGGAATCAAAGGAAGTAAAGTCTGAACAGTTTTGAAGAGTGGATGGAGGTTATGGCACACCTAAGGTAGGAAGGCTATAACACTCAGTGGAAACACATAAACCATGAAGAAGTAAAGCAGCATTCTACATAGCAAAGTGCAATGCAGGAAGGGACAGGCTGTGAGAATGCCAAAAGAGGCAGAGGCTAGCTCCTAGAAGATGCTAAGATTTTACCCCTGAGGTGAGCCATTGAAGACCTAAGCAGAAAAGTGATATGGTTGCTTTGAATCATTTTGGCAGCAGCATTGAAGATAGGGTGGAGTCACAGCTTCCTTGCAACTTACATTCTAAAGTCAGAGTATAAGGCAAGAGCCACATATAGGAAAAATTAGCCTTGAAAATCCCTGAAGAAGATAACATGATGGAAAACAACACATTAGTTCTCAATAACTCCAATACAGTTTTTCTTTCAGCTTTGGACCAGATCATATGTTCTATATTTAAGCCCAGATGAAGAAGCTGAATCACATATACAGTCCACATCACATAAAAAATATGCAATGCATAGTTGAACACTAGAATAACACTCAGAGGTGTGATTCACCACTGAGTGAGTCACTTCTGATTGAATTTGCTCACACTTTGAATAGCACAGAGGAACTGAGACAGACAGGTCTCAGATCACATATCCAGGTCTTCCATATCATACTTATTCTGGGACAAAGGCTTTTAAAAAGGAATGGCTAACAAAGTCACTATATTAAGTGAATTTTGATTTTTTTTCATTGAGGAGGGATGGTTACTTTTTTTTTTTTTTGCTAAGTTTACATACATTAATCATGTTAAATCCAAAAAGACAGGACACCTCGGCAGAATGAAAGAGGGGAAAAACTAGAGGCAAGAACACCAGAGAGGAAGGTCCAGGGAAGAGAAAATGAGACACACTGATTGCTAAAGCAGTGATGATGGAAAGGAAGAAATGGCTTTTGACTACGCGTAGAAAGTAAAATCAAGTAAAATCCAAAGTTGCTGGGTATTTACTGATTAGGTGTTTTGAGCAAGAGGAAAGAGTCGAAAATGATTCCTGGAGCTCTGGCTTGGGAAACTGTGTGAATAATAGTACTGCGTACCACAGAAAGATCCAAGAGCTAGTTGCCACTGTGTCTTGATGTGGATAGGAAAAAAGGTGGAGATAAAGACAAAGGTAAATTGAGCATAATCAATATTCTGCTGTGAATACAAAAATCAGCTGCAGAGCAAAGTAGGCAGGAGACAAGCACTGCCGAGCCAGGTTGCCTGGGACTAACTCCCAGCTTTAGTATCAGGTTCCTTAGCCACCTGTATCCCATTTTCCTCACCTGTAAATCAGGATAAAACAACATTGCCTATCTCTTAGGGTTATGGTGATGAGTAAGTATTTTAATAATAGATATTAAACACTTAGAATGGTGCCAGCACAAAACAAGGTACACAGTAATGGTTAGAAATGATTATTATTGTTATTATCTACTGTCTATTATTATCTGTTGGTACCTATGGGGCAACTAAAAAGGGGAGGTTAGGAATTATATGTAAGTATGGACTGCTGCATGGACGTGCCTAGATTTTCAACAGAAAATTTATAACCAGAATGAGTGTTATCCTATGATTAAGTGTTATCTTTCTAGTATTGATGGGCCTGGGGAGGAGGCACACTTACTACTGTGCAGGACATTTTTCAAATCTATTTTGAAATTGCTTTTTTTTTTGAGCCTATTCAGTAATACTGTTGTATTTAAACACGTACTTCACCCCTAACTTCTATCTAATAACAAAAAATGATCAAAGGACTTTCATTTCACTGTGAGGTACTTAAATTCATAACTCCTTTCTGCAGTTATGAGTACAAAACTTGGTTATTTCACTTTGAAATGTCATATATGCATGTATTATGTATATATGTGTTTGTACATATATATACAATCACATGATTATAATATATTTAAAGATTACATTGTTATCTTTATTTTTTAATTACAGAAGTCATATTTCAACTTACAGTTTGGGTTAAAAAAACCAAACACTGCATGTTCTCACTCATAAGTGGGAATTGAACAATGAGAACACTTGGACACAGGAAGGGGAACATCATACACCGGGGCCTGTTGTGGGGTGGGGGGAGGGGGGAGGGATAGCATTAGGAGATATACTCAATGTAATGTAAATGACGAGTTAATGGGTGCAGCACACCAACATGGCACACATGTATACATACGTAACAAACCTGCACGTTGTACACATATACCCTAGAACTTAAAGTATAATAAAAAAATATATATATATATATAAAAGAAAGAATTATATTAGAACATACATCATTTGTCAAACACAATCCCCATCATTGAAACCTACCATAAGCCCGAGGGTGTGGGGATGAGCTCTCCAGGTTGATAAACACTGCCCCTATAATGACAACGGCAGTGGAATCTATACGAAGAAAAAGTAAAGTAAATAGGATACAATTTTTTTCAAAAACCACTAAAATTCAAGCTGACCTTGTGCTCTCCATTGGTCATTGTAAGGTACACTCTAAGGTCTGCATTATTCTACAAGACTGCATGCAATCCTATTACACAAATGGCAAAAGCTGCTTAGACATGAAGTTTTGCATAGCTCCAAATTTTGTTTTCTAAAATACAACTCACAAACTGTGTTGTTTTAGTCACAAGAAAAATCACTGAATGCAATTCAGAGAAACATAACTGATATATCATTTAACACTATATATAAGACAAAGGGCTTTACTTCGTGTGTAAATTGAGAAATTTGTGAGTGCTGAGATATTAAAGTCCTGCTACTAAAGTTTGCCATGTGACAGTGAAGCACAAACCTTGTTATTGATTTGACTATGGTAAAAGCAAGCAGGAATACACTTCAAGATCAACCATCAGAGATTCCTTAGCTATTTCTGTAACTGTTGATGAACATTTGCAGGGTTTTTTAAAAAAAAAAGTAAAGACAATAAGAAATATTTTTTTCAAAAACTTCCATGAAAGCTCATTTAGCCCGTAAGGAGAAAAAGAGATTAAAACAGGATGCTGCCAACCTGTTTCTACGACTTACATGGGTACACAAAAGTTAAGAGTGTCTTCATAGAATTTGCCTTCCGGACAATTACAGCCTTCAGCACAGTCATCACTGCACTGCTCCGGGGAAGAGAGAGAAATGCAGGAATGGAGGCAGAACGAGGAACAGTGATGGTACAGCATGCCCTTCTGGCACACCACAGCTAAGGACAAAGAAGTATCACTTGAGAAAGATTGCCATGGCACATAGAAACATTTTATGCCTCCTTAGAGGTCTATGATAGAAAATGAAAGCTGGCCTGTTACAAGGCAAGGAATTGGGAGACCCTTAACTTGGATGCTCAAAGAGCAACATCCTCAGTGGAAATGAAGGACTAAAGCAAGGGTTGGAAACCTTTTTCTGCAAAGGGCCAAATGGTAAGTATTTTCAGCTTCGCAAATGGTAAATATTTTCAGCTTTGCAGAACTATATATGTTGAATTGAGTGACAACTACTCAATTCTGCCCTTGTAGTATAGAAGCAGCCATAGACAACACACAGACAAATGGGCATGACTATATTTCAATAAATTTTATTCACAAAAATGCAGGAGACCCAGTGGTTGTAACTTGTCAACCCCCAGACTAGAAGAAACTGGCTCATAGTATAGAAAGGTGATAGAAAAGCTTCTCTAACTGCTGGGTCTGTGATTAAAAAGTTACCTCTAAGAAATTAAAATCCTAGGTTGATATCTTAAACAAATTTGGTATATGAATTTACATTACTTTTATATTTACACTATTTTTGTCTTAGAAAGCCAAAATTGAGCAATTAACGTCAACACCAGCCAATGATACCCCTGGAATAACTGGAAAAATCCAATGAAGGAATGAAGAGGTGGAGAGAGTGGTACCCCCAAAACCTAAGTCACAAAAGATTCTAATGGGTCTGGAGGGGTGCTGGTAAAAATAAGCTGATTAAAAAAAATTATAAAACACACAAGGAAACAATCTACCATGAATGAAAATGGCAGACAACATAAGTGTGAAAATTAGAGCCCCAATAACTTGATAATAATTGCCTGTTGCATAACATCTATTTAAATACAAATCAACTGCGTCACTGTATTACATAATCTGTTCCATACTTTCCAATATTTAGATATGATATTTCCACGATAAGAATTTTTCAAATGTTTTAAATTATTTCTGTTGCGTATTTCAAAACATAGTTACAATAATTTCGTTTATTACAAAACTAGTCAAAAGTTATTGGTCTTATCCAACATATCTCCAATCTTAAGATATTATTTCATTTGCTTTTCATGTTTGTACATTATGAGAATATTTCAAATAACTTACATGCAATATTGACATTTCATTTAAAAAATAAAAGCAGTCATTACAAACATAGAGGTCTCTAAGGTATTATCTGATAGTCTTTATCTGTGCCATTGTACTCACCACAGAAAGAAATCTGAGTTCTGAAATCAATGGGAACACCGTGCTGGCCGCAGAGGTAGGCATAGTGGGCAAGAGCATTGCACAGGCAGGAGCTTCCACACTTGCATGCATCGTGGCGGCATAGCTGATAGTACAGCCCAGGGCTAATATAGATGTGGCAAGGAGCAAAGAGCTCCTGGTGGATGACATCACAGTGTGCTGCATACCCAACTAACAAAGAGCCCAATTAGCATCTTATTTAACAGTTCAGATCTTACCCCAGAATTATCCAAGCATTTCACGTTCTTAGAAATACACTGTAGTGCATATTACTTTTAATACAAGAGTGAACAATTTCAGCTTATACAGTTTTTGTTTTTTTTATATAATATTGGTAACAGCACTTAATCCACATTCAACAGACTTTTAGGAAAAAAAATAGTGTATTGTACCTGAATAACATGAGTAATAGAAGGGTTGAGAGAAGCAGTGGCCTCAACCATCCCATTGCATGAGGATCATCTTAGGAAACCTACTATAAAGAATTGGAGAGTATTGGGAGGCTTATTTCCAGACATCCACATATAACAAAGTGGTTCCAGATTGTGGATATTATGGCAACCCTGTGTAATACACAATTGTCTAGGAAGAATTGGGAATGATCTCATTTCAATGGAGTCTCTGAAATGAATGGTAATGTGTCAGATGCCACATAGTTGTTGAACTCAATGTCTGCACAATGCACAGTGTACAATGTCTGGCAGATATTAGGAGCTCAATAATGTTTGATAAATAAATCTATAAATGCATGAATAAGTGAATAATGAGTAGAAATTGGGGATTAGGGTATATGCTGAAGGCCATGAGATGTAACTATAAAATCACCTGGGGAGGGGAGGACATCTGTGTAATCATTTCCTGAAATCTGTTGATTTTTCCCTTGAGAATGACTGATCAGATATAATTCTTTATAGAAGTAACCAAGTTTGACAAAACAATTCAGATTCCATCTTTCTGAAAGAGGGTAGGTTTGTGGTTTCTTGATATCGTGGACCTAGTTTTCCTTGGTTTCCTAACAGATAAAATTAATCAATCTTTTCATTGTCATTGTCTTTTACAGACCAGATAAGCTGTTGGAGATCAGTTTTTTCACTACTAAGGAATTATACTGAACTTATTTTGTTGAGTATATTACATATATTTATTATTGGTAAGAAAACATGATAATTGCTCAAGTATGATATTTTTGCATTCAGAATGTATATGTATATAAAAACAAATGACTTAAACTATAGCAGTATACTGTTTACATATATATTCTTAATGCCAAGGATCCTGAAAGAGCAAAGTAATACACCAAAGAGGCTAACAATTTGTAGATCAAAGTATATTCCCACTGACATTAAGTTAAGGATAACTAAAGAAGATCCTCATGAAAAAAAATCCTTTAGAATCTAGATCAGAGTTATTGACTTTTGTCTACTTATTTTCCTTTCTTTGAGGATCTTCCTGAATTTACCTATTTGAATTTTTTTAAAAAAAAATCACAGTTCATGGCAAAGCTAAAAAAAAGTTAATATCAAATATATGTATGCATGTACATAGCATGTGTGTGGTTTAGGGTCCATGTGGGGAAATTAATGTGGGTAGTTCACAGGCTTATTTTCAAAGACAAGGCAAATATCTCAAAATATAAATAGTTTATATATCCAGTTTAATATTTCAATTTCGTGTATGTATATATTTAAAAGACATGGGATATGGGAAGAAAAGTGATAGAAAATAGAGCAAAATAGCATATAATAAAGGAGGTAACTAAAGAAATGACCACAGGGAAACTGAATTTATCAATTGAACTCTACTTCAACTTTAACATGTTATTAAAAAATAAAAAGTAAAGTTGCTACAATATCCAGGAGGAAACCAAGAAAGAAACAAACCAAACAAGAGTAGTTGAAGGAGGAGGAGTAGATTAGTTGAAAGTTGGGGACAGAATGGAGGAAGGTATTGTTAAATGGGAGTGAGATTAAAAGTAGTCATTCATGAAACTAAAAAACTCTAGTCTAGCCGTGTTATTATAGATAAGAAAAATGATCAAAGAGGTTAAGAAACGTTTTCAAGTTTAAAAGCTGGCTTAGATTTAAAAAAGACAGAAAGCACAAAGAGCAAAAGTATCTTCTGCTCTTTCCAGCATACCAGAATCCTATGTTAATAATAAAAACAATATGGCAATCAACAGAATCCTCCCAACAACCACCGCATGATCCGTAAACTGTGCTGGCTTCTTATGAAAGCTCAACCAATATGAGTAATGTATTTTTAAAAACTACATCCAAATAGTGAACTAGCCAAGATGATTAAAGGAAAAAATAAACTTATAAGAATATTTAAGCATGTACATTAATTTTTTCACAATTATATATATACATGTGTATGTCTTGTATATATCTTCTATCTGAATATATACATGTGTATCTTCTATCTGAATATATACATGTATATCTTTTTTATTGCAAAGTGAACTGGACTTTAACATGGTTTGCTGGGGCTTTAGTTTTAAAAAATGCAGCCAAAAATTCTTAGCATGTGAGTTGTCCTGTCATTGCAAATTGGAACTCTGGAGCATGACCATCTCAAATTGTTGCCCACTCAATGGCACAAAGCCTCTTTGGATCACTGGCTTCCTGCTTATAAAGCCATAATATATGCTATGAGTAGGGCTCATGAGCAATGAGTAATGAGATGGTAATAACTGACATCGAACATCCCTGGACTATCACAGCATTCTCAGAGGATTCCTAGAGGCTTTTCTTTAGTATTTAAAGACTCTGAAAACTCCCAAATGCTAGTCCACATCTGCAAACAAGGGATTTCTAAACATCTAAAATAAGAAAATTTATGAAATAAAAATAGGAAATAAAAGCCACTGTCAGGTTTTTAAAAAACAACCTAGATTACATGAAAAGACATATGTAAAGGCATAATATTAAGCAAAAAAAAAATACACGAGGAATGGCATTGATTTTACCATAATGGAGAAAATTAGAATTTAAACTATCTAATTTTATAAAATTATAGTAATACATAGAACTTTTCCCTAAGTTTACAGCAGAAAGGAAGTTTACATGCAAAACTTACTGTTTTGTTGATTGATGTTACAGGGGTCCACCACTGGGACATGAACAGGTGCAAAACAGGTAGAAGAAACTCTCCACGCATTTGCGTGAAGTTGTGGTGTACCTTCTATCATGCCTGATGGAGAACTAGAAAGCAAAGACAATGCTCATCTTCATGTATCTCTCATTCATTTGTTCATAACCTTCAGATATTTAAATAAGAGAATACTATTTTTCATAATGTACAAGGAAATCTTACAGCTTGAAATTTTCTACCAGTTTAAAAAAAAGTACAACGATATTAAGCTCCATATTACTGACATTTTGCAATGTGCCAAATTGTAGACATACATGATTTTATTTAATCTTCATCTCAAACTTATAAGAAAAACATCTTTTATCCCCATTTTACAGAGAAAGCAAAGCAGAATCTCCGAGAAATATTAAATTACACTAAGCTGCTAAGTATCAAAGCCACGATTCACAGTTCTCCCTGACTTAACCACATACACTCACACAACCAAAACTTTAGCATGTGTGTGGTTGAGGGTGCATGTGGGGAAGTTAGTATGGGCATTTCACATGATTTTTTTCAAAGTAAAGACAAATATCTCAAAATATAAATAGTCTATATATCCAGTTCAATATTTCAATTTCCATTATGAGATCCGAAATATCAAGATTCCATTATGAAGTGGGCAAACCAAATGAAAAACATCTATCTTAAAACTACAACAGTGTTTAGGAAACAAACACTGCAATTCCACCCCCAGCAGCCATTCAGATGTATTCATTCATCAACCAACATTTATTAAGTGACAACCCCTATTGGACAATGTGCCAGACACTATCAAAACTTCTTAGGAATCAGGTTGAACTAGATCTCCTGCAGGAAGTTTTTGACCACACCACAATCCTGACTGTGTTAACTCCTCCAATATGGCTAAGTAGAAGAGTAGGCATTATCTCAGCTTTCTCTAGTGTCCTTATAGATTAACTATTTTCACTGGAGCTGCTCAGCAGAGTGACCGAGAGAGGACAAAAAAAGGGAGCAACGCAAGCCATTTCCTTGTCCCCACCCTTTCGTCCTTCTCTCCTTTTCCTATTCCTCAAAATCAAACTAGCCCATAACTGTAAAGAACTGCAACAAACACCCTAGTACAAAATCTCATTTTGTTTATTTAAGAACAGTGAGACTCAAAGTAATTGCATGGTTTGTGCTACTTCATTTCTTCTCATTCTTTCCCCTTCCTTCTCTCTTCACTCCTCTGAAGGATAATAAAATAGGTCAGGGTGACAGGTCAAGGTTTCCAGGTGGAACTGACTTAGAGCTTGGCTCTCTTATTTCATTTAGTTTACCTTAAAACAATAAATTTTAAAAATAGAGCTAAAATGTGGACTTATTTATTGTCTTTCATTTTATAAAATAACGTTTCAGCTCACCATAGTCAACTTATTATAATAAGGCATACAAAATATGTTTTCAAGTAATTAATATTTTCTATTCCGCAATGTCTGCATATTCACATTAACCTTTGTGAAGAAAGAGTTTTAACTACTTAAGTTGGAAAGCTAAACACTGTTCACAAGTTATCTCTGACTCTGAAGTATCATCTTGCACTCTTATCACACCTAAATGTTTACACGTGGCGGGGACTGGTGCCTTAGAAAGAGGCAGACAGATCTGCCGACTCTTAAACATTGACTGCTGACCCATTGTGACAAACAAAGAAGAGAAAACAGGATTAATGTCTTTTCTGAACATCATAGCCAAGCCACTTAATGTAATTTCTGCTTCTCAAGTGTGGTGAAGATATCAATATTTTGACCTACAAATAAATAAAACAAAAAACTGAATTACCTAAAAACAAGGTACAGGAAGACAAGGAGACAAGATAGAAGAAATTAAAATTTTTTAAATTTTAAATGCCAGTTCCCCTTGCCCATTCAAACTATCTTCCTGATGCCCCACTAAACATTCTACCTCAGTTCAATTAACTGTCCACTATATGTGAGGTTCTATGCTAGTTCCTAAGAATACAAAGACCAAGGACACAACTCTTAGTCTCAAAGCCCTAACAGATAAACAAGACAAGAAACCAGACAGATAAACAATAAATTTTCATAGATAATGCATTGTCAGATTTAACTTTGAATGCTCAGCTTTTTGAGGCAAATAATGTCTGAATTGGGGTGAACAATAAATGGGAGGTCACAAGAAAGATGAGGAGCAGGAGAGAACCCAAGCAGGAAGGAGGGTATGGGCAAGAATGTTTTTTAAAAAGCACATATATTTTATTACAGCACTATTTACAATAGCAAAGACTTGGAACCAACGCAAATGCCCATCAATGATAGACTGGATAAAGAAAATGTGGTACTATGCAGCCATGAAAAAGAATGAGTTCCTGTCTTTTGCAGGGACGTAGATGAAGCTGGAAACCATCATCCTCAGCAAACTATAACAGGAACGGAAAACCAATCACCGCATGTTCTCACTCATAAGTGGGAGTTGAGCAATGAGTACACATGGACACAGAGAGGGGAGTATCACACACTGGGGCCTGTCTGGGGGTGTGGGGCTAGGGGAGGAAGAGCATTAAGACAAATACCTAATGCATGCGGGGCTTAAAACCTAGATGACGGGTTGATAGGTGCAGCAAACCACCATGGCACATGTATGTCTATGTAACAAACCTGCACATTCAGCATATGTATCCTAGAACTTAATATAAAATAAAAATAATAATAATAAATTAAATAAAATGTTTTAAAAAAGAAATGAAACAGTATTTGGAGAGTAGCTTCTCCATGAAATGTCCCCTGGCTGCCCAGCCCACAGTGAACCCCCTATTGTTCTTCTAGCCATAATCACAAAGCCCAACACTTAATTTTTAGAATCACCTCAGCATTTATATATATAGTTGATTTTTATATATAATAGTTGATTTATTTATATATATATATAGTTGATTGATCCTTGCCTAACACTAAATATTCATTTTTTATTTTTAAAATTAAGGTATAGCTAAAAAAAATTATATACATTTACAGAGTACAACATGATGTTCCGAGGTATACATTGTGAAATGGTTAAATCAAGCTAATGAACATGTGCATCACCTCACATTCTTATTTTTTGCTGTGAGAACTTTTAATATCTACTCTCTTAGCAATTTTCAAGTACACATTAATTATAGTCATTATATAATTAATTGATCTCAAAACATCTCCCAAGCTTATGCACCCTGTCTAGCTGAAACTTTGTACCCTTTGACCAACATCTTCCCACACTCCCACCCCGACCCTTATCCTCTGGCAAACACCATTCTATAATACTTTGCTTCTGTGATTTCAACTATTTTAGATTCCAGATATATTTCTTAAAGGTTGTTATCCTCTCCTGATCTGCAACACAAAGCTCCATGAGGATGAGAACCATGGTCTACTGCTTAAATTGCTCCCATTGTGCTTTTAGCATGATAACAAGTGCACAAAGCATTTACACTAAATTATAAACTGCTTCTTTTCACACGTAGGTGAAAAGTACCTGGTCAATACAAGGGGTACAAATATGTGTTATTGCTTCTTTTCCAATGAAACACCAACAATCACAGTATCTAGCAAGATAATAAAATGTTGCTTTTTAGGTATTAATAATACCAAATGATATCAATATTTATAGAGTATTTACTACCACTAATGCATACTGATATTGAGGGTTTTTTGTTTGTTTATTTGTTTGGTTTTTTTAGGCAGCTATGTTTCAAAAATAAAATACTGTTAAGGTTGGTAGATGGCAGAGAAGAGAATAGCTGGAACAGTGAGCATAGCTGAGCCACACTGTCTAAATCCAAAGCCTAGCTCCACTACATGTGAGCTAAGTGACCTTGAATGATTTATTTGCCACTTTGAGGACTTGATTAGTTTCCTTATCTACAAAATAAACATATTTATCAGAGATTGCTATACATTTTAAATACGATGATCCATGTAAATCTCTTGGGATAATGACAGCTAAGCAATTATTAGTTAAGTAAACATTTTTAATGAATTTATATCCTTTAAATGACCAGTCATTAAGTATGTTAACTATGCAGAAATCATACTTACAGAAAATCATCCCTTATGTTGCCATTAAAAGTGCCACACAGACCTAATGTTCTTCTTTTCCATGCGCTAGTAAGCTGAATATAAATTCTTTCCCCATCTATAGCAAACAGAATCTTTAAACCAAATGTGGTTTTTAGAAGTATAAATAAGGATGACAGAGTTTGAATTTCAACAATACCTGCAGGAAAAGAACATACGTAAATCAGCTTTGACATTCATAGACGGTGTTCTGAAATGCTAGGGTACACCACCAGGACTCTCTTCCCCAGATACCAGGGAAGGAGGAGAGGCAGGCTAGTGGTTCCTGTCTGTGCTTCAGGGCCAAATTTTTGCCACCTATGGCTGCCTTTTTTCCCTCCTATTCCTCTCCTTTTCTCCCTCCTTCCTGGTCTTCAGCAGCCATTTTTAGTAGTTGTTCAGGTCAATACATACTTTCAGTTTGCAAGCATCTCACAAGGAAGGAGGAAGTCCTTAGACATTTGAAATCCATTACCAAGTTCAGACTTTTGTCCTAAATGTTTTTTCAATCTGTCTTCTTCTCTCCATCTCTATCATCACTGCCTTAGATGACCTCCTCCTCATTCCTCACATGCCCTACTTTTATAACATCCTAACTCTTGTCCATATTTCCTGTCTAGCAACTCTCAAAGTCACTTCTACACTGTTGTCATAGTCATGTACCAAAAAAAAAAAAACTTCACCTTAAAACCTCCTTAAAAACTCACCATTTATTTGGTTGAACCGTGAGATTGCCCTCTTTGTACATAAAAATGGTCAAAAATGATAATTTCATATTTGATTCGTATCAAGTTCAACTTCCCTAGCCTGACACCTGTGTAGCGTGAGCATGTGATTTGTAAGATAAATCAAGACATTTTTGAGAGTGAGAGTGTTATTAACAGCTATGCTGGAATGCAGGCATGAACAGGACCTGCCCCAGAAATCCACAATGTAAAATGCCTCCTACATAAGCCCTTCTCATCCTTACCTACATCCAGACATTCTCCTTTACCCTCTCTCTGCTGTAGCAAAACCAATTTAGTTCTGGTTCCCCCTAAATATGCTGCAAAATTCGACACCTCCTTGATCTGCATGAAACACTTTCCCCATCCCCTTCAACCCAGCAATTCCTCATCCTTAAATGCTCAATGAGACAATCATTGTATAATCACCCACCTCTTTCAGAAAACACTCCTGACCATTTCAGTACACCCCTCTCCAGAGCTGAGTGAGCTGCACCTCATTTAGACTCCCCAAAGTCTTTATGTATGTCTTTGAGTCTATCACATTTTATTGTAAGTGGCTGCTTGCTTGTCTCTCTTCCCTTCCAAAGTCTAGATCACTTGAGGTAATCACTAGGTCCCATAAACATAATCATCATCACTATCTGTAGCTGATGGCCTGATGACACATACAAACTCTATAAATGCTAGGTAGTCAGCCTAACATTAGGAAAAGATCCCATTTTGTTTGCGTGTGTTGTTTGTTTGTTTGTTTGTTTGTTTGATGTAAAGAAAGTACACCATTAGCACTGTTTCTTACCATTCAGGTTGAAGCCTTGGTTAGGACTAGTGAGAATTTGTCCTCCCCTACCAAGGGTCACTTGTTTGTTAAAATCATCCTCCAGAATCAGAGTTATAGACTGAAGGCAGACCAAGCCAAGATTCTGCGTAAAAATCAAATTATCAATGCAAGGAATGGGAGAGAGAGAGAGCCATAGAAAGAGACAGGAAGGTGGAGATGGGAGAAAGGGAGAAGGGGAGAAAGAGAGAGGAGAGAACAAAAAAGAAAGAGAGTGCATATAAATTAGAATTTCTAATATATAAAAGCCTTGAGTATAAGTAATGTAATAAAGTAGCTGATATATAACCCATTTTATGTAGCCCCATTCCTAATAAAATATAACTTTATATAGTACATTAAATATATCAGATGTATACATACATTTTACTTAGAACATTAAAGTCTTTCAGTAAAGTACCAATAGTTATGTTTTCCATGGCATATAAAGTACCTCTCTAAATTCATTTAACTGGCGTATTAGACAAAAAAAGTCAATAAAGCAAAGAACCAAGAGAATTAGACTTCTACACAGAAAGTTAATTCAGACTCTAATATATTACATAGAAAAAATAAAACTGGAAAAAAAACAAATAAAGCAGTTCAGAATTTTTGTTGGAAATAATTATTTTCTATTAGAATAGAACTAAAAAATTAAATATTTTGGCAAAATTTTGACTACCTGCTTTAGAGAGATGAATGAAAGACCTAGATTTCTTTATTTAGAAATTATTGATGAGTTTACTATTTCAAGAAAAGATCTAAATAAATATTCCAATATGTTAAGAAATTCATCATATCTGTTTAGAATGCTATGAAACCAGTTCAAAACTGTCAAAAATAGTCTCTTTAAAATAGCTAGGTTGAAGCAAACAAAAAACTTAGATCCATTGTACAATCATGCATAAAATGTTCAAAAAACTATACGTACAAAACTATATGTACAAAAAACTATACGTACTACTTTTTAAAAAAGAAAATGCAATTAAATATATAGTATTTAATCTAAGACATACTTGTTTTCACAGCTTAATATCTCTGAGATCAAGATGCGTCATGTAACCAATGGTATGTCATAGAATAATTATCAACACTTCTTTCTAATATGTAGAATAATGATGTATCTTAATAATCAATGTCATCTTAGTGTTAAGGAAAATAGCTATATCCACTCATGTTATCATTCTTAGTCTGAAATGAAGTTTAAGCAAAAATCAGTGAATCCATATTCCTCTGGTCATTTTGAAATGTTCTTACCTGCTCACAGGGAGCTTTCTGTAAAGTAATCGTGAATTTATCTTTTCCAGTTCCTTTCACGAGGATGTATTGGCACATGCCAATAAAAGAATAATGTCGACCATCAAAAGTTGTAAAGTGAGAATCACCTACAACTGAGCATTGAACTGCCAAAAAAAAAAAGAAAACAAAGAAAAAGAAAAGGAGGTGGAGATAGAGGAGGAGAGAGAGGAGGATGATACCATTAGGTTAATCCTTTAAAAGCAGATCAACTTAGGGTAAATAATCATGCATCAAAACTTTGAAAATCTACTGTGTTGTATTTAAAATTTACTGGTTTGACAAACTTACTAGACTAAATTATATTATCCCATTTAATTTAATGTTTATAAAATGATATTTATTCCACATTTTTTAGGTTTTATAACATTTACACTATTTTAATAAAGTTTTACCAAAGTTGCCCACTCAATGCTATCACTTGTTCAATTTTCCATGTATCCTCTGAGTAATTGCATTTACAGATTATTGTAGCCCTTGGTATATATGAGATGTCTTCATAAAGATCAGTGCTATCTTTCTCCCCAGTCTAAAGAAATTTGAAACATTCTCTATAAAAACATTTTAAAAAATTACCTGGACAGTCTTGCTCAGTGCAGTTCCAAACTCCACCAACACACACACTAAAAGAAATTATAAAAATATTAATCTATTGGCATAGAGAAACTGTATTAATGTTTGCATCAATGTATTGATTAATGGACCAAAATATATCATGTTTATAGGTTCAGAATAATCTGACTTAAAAAAATCTCTGCAAAAAATAAAATAAAATAAATAAAATCAATAAATAATAATAAAAAAATCATCTCTGCATAAGTTCAATTGACTGGTAATTTTGAGCTGGCTGGCACCTAAATTATTATCTCTTGTGTGTCATATGTAAAAATCACTGACTATGATGAAGATCAACAGGTATTAAAAAGAGAGAAGAGATCTCCTCTTATGTCAGATAAATTCTACCTTCCACCCTGACAAAGGTGTGAGTTTTAGAGGACAAAAGCAGAGTACCTGTAAAACGGAAACAGAATCAGCATCTGAGAATGTGGTTAGTTATCCTATTACATTTCAATTATATACACAGACACCAAAGGGAAAAGTATCCGACAACATTTAGACCTCTGTTTCTTTTTAGGACTGTCCTGCAGGGATTTCATATTTGACAACAGTGTTAGTTAGCAAATTTAATATGGAATTCTAAATGTTTCTAATCATGGACCAAAAATTGGTGATCTGGAGAGGCATGTTTTATAGTATGTAACAGAGAAGCCCAGAAGCACCATCAAGTTCTAACAGTATGTGCAAATTAGTGATTACAAACGATAAGAAAATGCAACAGACTCATTATGTGGATATAAGATGTTATAGAATTACCAAGGTAAGTGATAAGAATTACATCATAAAAGGAAATACAGATGTCCCTTCCCCCAAGGAGTTTAAATAAAATGCAAGTTTTGTGTTGGAATTTGGGAAGTAAATTAGTAATGAGTATATTCCTTTAAACATCTGTCATGGTAAAGTTGTCAACTAGCCAAGTACCCAGAAATAATTGGCTGCACACTGATCACATACCATTCAGTACATTCTTGTTCAATTTTTGAACCAACTGAATAAGCTAATCCATGAAAACCGCATGGGCAATTTTCCAAGGAGATGCAAGTCCCATTGTCCATTACGAGGCCTAATTGAGAAGAAATACACATCAAAATTTCAAAAGAAATAATAAAGATTGTATTTCTGGAATATAATAATTCAACCAACTTCTGTTGAATACCTACGCATGATGCTGGAAATACAAATTTCTTTACTTTCAGTGGGATTACTGACAACCTGACTCTCAGGCAGTAGCTACCTTAAAGGATCTATTTCAGTAGTTTTCAATTTTCTTATCCCATGACTTGCCATCAAAAACTCAAGGTTCACCATACAGAATAAAGGAAACAAAACAATGTTTCCTTGCATTTGAGGGAGGAAGGGAGAGAAGGAGGGAGAAAGTACATTTTTAGTTTAGTTTCTGTTCATTCCAAGATGAGAAAGATTTACACTGTCACACAGAATCATAAAGAGCTAGGTACTGCTACTCAAATGTCCAAGACCATGCGACTGCATTTGTTACTGCTGTCTGACAGGTAAAGGAGGTTGAGCCAGAATTTAAATCAGCCATGTTACTAAGCACAGTGTTTCATTCAGCTGACCTTTTCATGGTAAGACTGTAGGAGAAAGCACTGACTTTATTTTGGTGCTTGGGCTTACATTCTGGTGCAAATGCCTTATCTTGTCATTGACAGGTCACAAACAGCTCAGACTAGCACTGGTCCGCCATACTTTGAGTAGCACTAACAGAACAATGAGCAGAGGCCAAACAGATCTGGTTCCAAGTAATCCTCACTCAGTTAATGAGGATATTGGGAAAATCACTTATCTCTGTGATTCTATTTTTTTAATCTGTAAAAATAAAAAGGGTTTGAGTAAATCCTCAGTGTTCTTTAGAAACAGCTATCAGTATAGCAGATTCATTCCTAATTTTAAATCCTACCTCTCTCACTTGCTAAGTTACTTTTAATTTCAAATATTAAAACTACATCAGTACTAGATTGTGCCAGAAAAATGTGAAACCTTTCTCTCAAACTTCCTTTCCTTTTTTAAAAAGTGAAGATATATAAATTGTTAAATACCATTAAATATTGATCGAACAAAAGATTTCTCATGGGTAACTTCAGGACTATAGATTCCAAATTTCCTGGAAACTTTACAAAGTAATGAGCCTTTTATCAATGAAAAGTAGCCATTCCTCCTTGTCACTTCAAGGACCAACTTCTACAAGAACAGAAAATTGCAATAGGTCCAATGTACTGGGAAAGGACAGCAAAACGAAGATGTGATCCTTAGATCACTGGGTACTAGTTTCCATGAGTGCAGACATGGTTTCTTCATGAAGCACTTACCATCTGGGCAGTAACATCCATCAAGACAATGGAGATTGCTCCCAAGACATTGCTTCTCAAATGTGCAGGTTGGTGGACAACAACTGATACAGTCCCGATGGACAAAGCTATCATCACATTTATCAGCTAAAACAGACAAACAGGGGAGCTTAAGTCAATTTTATTAGCCTCTATTTCTTTTTTAAAATTATAATTTTATTTTTTACAAAAAATAATTTGCAAAAAATAACTTTTAATTGCAAAAAAATTGCATACTTGTTTCAAAAAGTATGCAAGTTCATGGATATCTCAATAACAAATCCTTGCAATTCATTAGTATTGAGTAGTACAGTAAGTTTTGAGTTCTAGGTTTAACCCAAAATTGGCAAAAGTACACAGGGCTTGGAAAATAAAAAAACATACTGCATGCTGGAAAGTCATCTCTCCAGTCTTGAATAGGGTAGCCAGCATGAGAGCAGGCTCTAGCATACTCAGTGGCTGCTCGGCAATAGGTTTCATCATCATCAGTTCTAGAAAGTGAAAAGACAGAGCCAGAATCACATAGGAAATATTGACAGAAACCATACCATTGAGGTCCTGATCCCTAGAAATGCTGAGTGCATGATGAATACTCCGATGTTAATTGATGTCAGCATATGTGTCACTCATAATATATCTTATTAAGTACAACAATGCAGAAAACACATGAGCATGGGTCCCCAGCTAATTAGGCCTAGATAAATAATCTTCATCAAAGCATTTTAATAATTTTATCACTTTTCTTTTGAGTCAAAGGAATACTATAATGAAAAAGATTTATATTTTAATTATAACATTTTCCCCATAATCCGTGTATTTTTTCACTCACACACAAAACATTCCAGGCCTTTTAGAATTTAATAAGTCCTGTTAAAACAGATAAAATTCTATCACCACAAAAACAATAAATATGAAAGCTGTTTCCAAAAGATCATACTCTTGATTATCCACATACTGGAATAAAACCAATACCAATAATCTATAGTAATCAAAAGTATTTTAATGGTTCCTCAGCAGTTCTTGCAATAAGAATCCAAAACGTAGTTATTCCATGATGTATATGTGCCACATTTTCTTTATCCAGTCTATCACTGATGGGCAATTGGGTTGTTTGAAAGATTGAATAAATGGCATTTAAGATTTAAAAGAGGATTTTGAATTCTTTCAAGTTTAAATTACTAAAGCTAATTATTTTTATAACATTGCCAAGACTAAATAATCTTTAATTATTTTCTTATAATCACTTCAGGAGCTTCCCCCCAAAATAATTTCCTATTAGAGCTCTGAAAATTCCCAAAGCAGATTAACAAGGCACTTATCAAGTAAGCAGATTTACACCAAGGTAGAGGGCTTGTTTTTCAACCTAATCCAAACTCAAAATTGAATAGTTAAATATCTTAGGAGATAATGGTCTTAAGAATGCTGCATTTTGTGAGGCTTAACATTTTCAGTGTCACTATTGTAAAAGCCACCATCTCAAATTGCCCTTATCCTGTGCTACTGTAATGGGAGTCCTGCAGCTTATCTAGTCCAATCAACTGAACTTTAGAACGAAAAAAGGACTGAGCATATAAACTCTAGAGGCTCAGAAAATATTCTAAACCTACAAATAAGAAAAGTCTTTTCAAAACAGTTTAGGCTAAAATTGCTAAATTCCTGGAAAGACATTACATTTATGATTTACCTTCTAATATGTGCATTCTTTCCTACATTAACGGTGGTTTTAAAAGTTAGCAAAGCAACTGAATATTGGTTTTCCAGCCCAATGCAACTATTACTATAATACTCACCATTTGTTGTTTATGTTATTCTAGGAACCATGACAGGCACATTAATATGTGACACCTCATGAAAACTCACAATAATTGGGCAAGAAAGAAATTATTATCAAGAAAAAAATTATAATTTACTAAGGGGAAAATAAGTTTATTTTTTCCATTTTGAATGATAACTTTAATAGGAAAAATGGGTATTAAAGAATCTTGGTTTTCAGACTCTCGAGCCAAGATGGCCGAATAGGAACAGCTCCGGTCTACAGCTCCCAGCGTGAGCGACACAGAAGACAGGTGATTTCTGCATTTCCATCTGAGGTACCGGGTTCATCTCACTAGGGAGTGCCAGACAGTGGGCGCAGGTCAGTGGGTGCGCGCACCGTGCGCGAGCCGAAGCAGGGCGAGGCATTGCCTCACCTGGGAAGCGCAAGGGGTCAGGGAGTTCCCTTTCCGAGTCAAAGAAAGGGCTGACGGACGCACCTGGAAAATCGGGTCACTCCCACCCGAATATTGCGCATTTCAGACCGGCTTAAAAAACGGCGCACCACGAGACTATATCCCACACCTGCCTCGGAGGGTCCTACGCCCACGGAGTCTCACTGATTGCTAGTACAGCAGTCTGAGATCAAACTGCAAGGCGGCAGCGAGGCTGGGGGAGGGGCGCCCGCCATCGCCCAGGCTTCCTTAGGTAAACAAAGCAGCCGGGAAGCTCGAACTGGGTGGAGCCCACCACAGCTCAAGGAGGCCTACCTGCCTCTGTAGGCTCCACCTATGGTGGCAGGGCACAGACAAACAAAAAGACAGCAGTAACCTCTGCAGACTTAAATGTCCCTGTCTGACAGCTTTGAAGAGAGCAGTGGTTCTCCCAGCACGCAGCTGGAGATCTGAGAACAGGCAGACTGCCTCCTCAAGTGGGTCCCTGACCCCTGACCCCCGAGCAGCCTAACTGGGAGGCACCCCCCAGCAGGGGCACACTGACACCTCACACGGCAGGGTATTCCAACAGACCTTCAGCTGAGGGTCCTGTCTGTTAGAAGGGAAACTAACAAACAGAAAGGACATCCACACCGAAAACCCATCTGTATATCACCATCATCAAAGACCAAAAGTAGATAAAACCACAAAGATGGGGAAAAAACACAACAGAAAAACTGGAAACTCTAAAACGCAGAGCGCCTCTCCTCCTCCAAAGGAACGCAGTTCCTCACCAGCAACGGAACAAAGCTGGATGGAGAATGATTTTGACGAGCTGAGAGAAGAAGGCTTCAGACGATCAAATTACTCTGAGCTACGGGAGGACATTCAAACCAAAGGCAAACAAGTTGAAAACTTTGAAAAAAATTTAGAAGAATGTATAACTAGAATAACCAATACAGAGAAGTGCTTAAAGGAGCTGATGGAGCTGAAAACCAAGGCTCGAGAACTACGTGAAGAATGCAGAAGCCTCAGGAGCCGATGCGATCAAATGGAAGAAAGGGTATCAGCAATGGAAGATGAAATGAATGAAATGAAGTGAGAAGGGAAGTTTAGAGAAAAAAGAATAAAAAGAAATGAGCAAAGCCTCCAAGAAATATGGGACTATGTGAAAAGACCAAATCTACATCTGATTCGTGTACCTGAAAGTGATGGGGAGAATGGAACCAAGTTGGAAAACACTCTGCAGGATATTATCCAGGAGAACTTCCCCAATCTAGCAAGGCAGGCCAACGTTCAGATTCAGGAAATACAGAGAACACCACAAAGATACTCCTCGAGAAGAGCAACTCCAAGACACATAATTGTCAGATTCACCAAAGTTGAAATGAAGGAAAAAATGTTAAGGGCAGCCAGAGAGAAAGGTCGGGTTACCCTCAAAGGGAAGCCCATCAGACTAACAGCGGATCTCTCGGCAGAAACCCTACAAGCCAGAAGAGAGTGGGGGCCAATATTCAACATTCTTAAAGAAAAGAATTTGCAACCCAGAATTTCATATCCAGCCAAACTAAGCTTCATAAGTGAAGGAGAAATAAAATACTTTATAGACAAGCAAATGCTGAGAGATTTTGTCACCACCAGGCCTGCCCTAAAAGAGCTCCTGAAGGAAGCACTAAACATGGAAAGGAACAACTGGTACCAGCCGCTGCAAAATCATGCCAAAATGTAAAGACCATCGAGACTAGGAAGAAACTGCATCAACTAACGAGCAAAATGACCAGCTAACATCATAATGACAGGATCAAATTCACACATAACAATATTAACTTTAAATGTAAATGGACTAAATGCTCCAATTAAAAGACACAGACTGGCAAGTTGGATAAAGAGTCAAGACCCATCAGTGTGCTGTATTCAGGAAACCCATCTCACGTGCAGAGACACACATAGGCTCAAAATAAAAGGATGGAGGAAGATCTACCAAGCAAATGGAAAACAAAAAAAGGCAGGGGTTGCAATCCTAGTCTCTGATAAAACAGACTTTAAACCAACAAAGATCAAAAGAGACAAACAAGGCCATTACATAATGGTAAAGGGATCAATTCAACAAGAGGAGCTAACTATCCTAAATATATATGCACCCAATACAGGAGCACCCAGATTCATAAAGCAAGTCCTGAGTGACCTACAAAGAGACTTAGACTCCCACACATTAATAATGGGAGACTTTAACACCCCACTGTCAACATTACACAGATCAACGAGACAGAAAGTCAACAAGGATACCCAGGAATTGAACTCAGCTCTGCACCAAGCAGACCTAATAGACATCTACAGAACTCTCCACCCCAAATCAACAGAATATACATTTTTTTCAGCACCACACCACACCTATTCCAAAATTGACCACATAGTTGGAAGTAAAGCACTCCTCAGCAAATGTAAAAGAACAGAAATTATAACAAACTATCTCTCAGACCACAGTGCAATCAAACTAGAACTCAGGATTAAGAATCTCACTCAAAGCCGCTCAACTACATGGAAACTGAACAACCTGCTCCTGAATGACTACTGGGTACATAACGAAATGAAGGCAGAAATAAAGATGTTCTTTGAAACCAACGAGAACAAAGACACAACATACCAGAATCTCTGGGACGCATTCAAAGCAGTGTGTAGAGGGAAATTTATAGCACTAAATGTCCACAAGAGAAAGCAGGAAAGATCCAAAATTGACAGCCTAACATCACAATTAAAAGAACTAGAAAAGCAAGAGCAAACACATTCAAAAGCTAACAGAAGGCAAGAAATAACTAAAATCAGAGCAGAACTGAAGGAAACAGAGACACAAAAAACCCTTCAAAAAATCAATGAATCCAGGAGCTGGTTTTTTGAAAGGATCAACAAAATTGATAGACTGCTAGCAAGACTAATAAAGAAAAAAAGAGAGAAGAATCAAATAGACACAATAAAAAATGATAAAGGGGATATCACCACCGATCCCACAGAAATACAAACTACCATCAGAGAATACTACAAACACCTCTACGCAAATAAACTAGAAAATCTAGAAGAAATGGATACATTCCTCGACACATACACTCTCCCAAGACTAAACCAGGAAGAAGTTGAATCTCTGAATAGACCAATAACAGGATCTGAAATTGTGGCAATAATCAATAGTTTACCAACCAAAAAGAGTCCAGGACCAGATGGATTCACAGCCGAATTCTACCAGAGGTACAAGGAGGAACTGGTACCATTCCTTCTGAAACTATTCCAATCAATAGAAAAAGAGGGAATCCTCCCTAACTCATTTTATGAGGCCAGCATCATTCTGATACCAAAGCCGGGAAGAGACACAACCAAAAAAGAGAATTTTAGACCAATATCCTTGATGAACATTGATGCAAAAATCCTCAATAAAATACTGGCAAACCGAATCCAGCAGCACATCAAAAAGCTTATCCACCATGATCAAGTGGGCTTCATCCCTGGGATGCAAGGCTGGTTCAATATACGCAAATCAATAAATGTAATCCAGCATATAAGCAGAGCCAAAGACAAAAACCACATGATTATCTCAATAGATGCAGAAAAAGCCTTTGACAAAATTCAACAACCCTTCATGCTAAAAACTCTCAATAAATTAGGTATTGATGGGACGTATTTCAAAATAATAAGAGCTATCTATGACAAACCCACAGCCAATATCATTCTGAATGGGCAAGAACTGGAAGCATTCCCTTTGAAAACCGGCACAAGACAGGGATGCTCTCTCTCACCGCTCCTATTCAACATAGTGTTGGAAGTTCTGGCCAGGGCAATCAGGCAGGAGAAGGAAATAAAGGGTATTCAATTAGGAAAAGAGGAAGTAAAATTGTCCCTGTTTGCAGATGACATGATTGTGTATCTAGAAAACCCCATTGTCTCAGCCCAAAATCTCCTTAAGCTGGTAAGCAACTTCAGCAAAGTCTCAGGATACAAAATCAATGTACAAAAATCACAAGCATTCTTATACACCAACAACAGACAAACAGAGAGCCAAATCATGAGTGAACTCCCATTCACAATTGCTTCAAAGAGAATAAAATACCTAGGAATCCAACTTACAAGGGATGTGAAGGACCTCTTCAAGGAGAACTACAAACCACTGCTCAAGGAAATAAAAGAGGATACAAACAAATGGAAGAACATTCCATGCTCATGGGTAGGAAGAATCAATATCGTGAAAATGGCCATACTGCCCAAGGTAATTTACAGATTCAATGCCATCCCCATCAAGCTACCAATGACTTTCTTCACAGAATTGGAAAAAACTACTTTAAAGTTCATATGGAACCAAAAAAGAGCCCGCATCGCCAAGTCAATCCTAAGCCAAAAGAACAAAGCTGGAGGCATCACACTACCTGACTTCAAACTATACTACAAGGCTACAGTAACCAAAACAGCATGGTACTGGTACCAAAACAGAGATATAGATCAATGGAACAGAACAGAGCCCTCAGAAATAACGCCGCATACCTACAACTATCTGATCTTTGACAAACCTGAGAAAAACAAGCAATGGGGAAAGGATTCCCTATTTAATAAATGGTGCTGGGAAAACTGGCTAGCCATATGTAGAAAGCTGAAACTGGATCCCTTCCTTACACCTTATACAAAAATCAATTCAAGATGGATTACAGATTTAAACGTTAGACCTAAAACCATAAAAACCCTAGAAGAAAACCTAGGCATTACCATTCAGGACATAGGCGTGGGCAAGGACTTCATGTCCAAAACACCAAAAGCAATGGCAACAAAAGCCAAAATTGACAAATGGGATCTAATTAAACTAAAGAGCTTCTGCACAGCAAAAGAAACTACCATCAGAGTGAACAGGCAACCTACAACATGGGAGAAAATTTTTGCAACCTACTCATCTGACAAAGGGCTAATATCCAGAATCTACAATGAACTCAAACAAATTTACAAGAAAAAAACAAACAACCCCATCAAAAAGTGGGCAAAGAACAGACACTTCTCAAAAGAAGACATTTATGCAGCCAAAAAACACATGAAAAAATGCTCATCATCACTGGCCATCAGAGAAATGCAAATCAAAACCACTATGAGATATCATCTCACACCAGTTAGAATGGCAATCATTAAAAAGTCAGGAAACAACAGGTGCTGGAGAGGATGTGGAGAAATAGGAACACTTTTACACTGTTGGTGGGACTGTAAACTAGTTCAACCATTGTGGAAGTCATTGTGGTGATTCCTCAGGGATCTAGAACTAGAAATACCATTGGACCCAGCCATCCCATTACTGGGTATATACCCAAAGGTATATCATGCTGCTATAAAGACACATGCACACATATGTTTATTGCAGCATTATTCACAATAGCAAAGACTTGGAACCAACCCAAATGTCCAACAATGATAGACTGGATTAAGAAAATGTGGCACATATACACCATGGAATACTATGCAGCCATAAAGAATGATGAGTTCATGTCCTTTGTAGGGACATGGATGAAATTGGAAATCATCATTCTCAGTAAACTATCGCAAGAACAAAAAACCAAACACGGCATATTCTCACTCATAGGTGGGAATTGAACAATGAGATCACATGGACACAGGAAGGGGAATATCACACTCTGGGGACTGTGGTGGGGTGGGGGGAGGGGGGAGGGATAGCATTGGGAGATATACCTAATGCTAGATGATGAGTTAGTGGGTGCAGCGCACCAGCACAGCACATGTATACATATGTAACTAACCTGCACAATGTGCACATGTACCCTAAAACTTAAAGTATAAAAAAAAAAAAAGAAAAAAAGAAAAAATAGGACTTTCGTCCTTCTTCCATAGCTTCTTAGATACCATCATTAGTGGCACAGACTAGCATGGAGAAACTGCACAGGAATGAATTCCATGCTCAATGTTGTGGTTTTAGCCAAGATATTCTGAGTTGGAATTCTCTTCCTGGGTGCCATGATGAAGAAGGGAGGATTTCTGCGCCTAGTTTGTACTGGTGGAATGTTGAAGCCTTTAGACTAAAGGAAATGTAAACCGGCTCCATCTCAGAGAAGGAGGATCAAATTTCTGCAATGCAGAAATCAATAATGGAATCGTATATATATATATATATGTATATATGATTATATTATATATAGAATTGCATTATATATGGAAATATATATTTTATATATAAAATGTGTTTATTATATATTTGTTATATATATAATTCTATAGTCTAAGGGCTTCGACATTTTGTCATTTCAAATTAGGTGTAGAAACTTTCCTTTATTTAGCATATTTTTTATCCTTTCCAGTTTATGATTATATCAATTATTTTCTCAACATACATTGAGAACAATATCAGAGTGTCAGAATTTTTGCTCCAATATCACACGTAATTTGGAAAACTCAAGAGGAGGAGGAAATTCTATTGTATTCACCATATTTTTACTCTCCCCATTCACCTTTTTTTTAATGTTTCAAGATTTCTTATTTTTATCATATCCTTTATATTGAGAGAATGTCCGTTACCCATACTTTTAGGGTAGGAGTATTGGTAAAAATTTTGCTTAGTTTTTACTTCATCTGAGAATGATGATTTCTGAAATTCATCTGAGAATGATTGATTTTCCTTTCATCCCCATAAAATATTTTCATTGGATACTGAATGCTTATTGGTAGGGTTTCTTTTCCCAGTACTTTAAAGAAAATTTAAGCCACTTCCTTCTGGTCTCCATGGTTTCTGATGAGATATTATCTTTCATTTAAATGACTTTTCCTCTGTAGGTTAAGGTGTCATTCTCTCACACTGCTTTCAAGAATTTTTCTTTGTTTAGGTTCTAGAAATTTGACTACAATGTGTCTTGGTATGGATTTTTTAGATTTGTTCTATTTGGATTTGCTCAATAATTTCCACTCTTTCATTTTTAATAAACAATTAAAGAGCAAAAAAAAAAATCTTGGTTTTCACATCAATTGGCTTTGGCATCGCAAAATTAAAATCATTTCCTTGCTGCTGGGTTTGGCATTCTTAGAAGCAGAAACAGGACGGCATAATTCAAGGATTGGTGGAGTATCACACAAGTTCCAAGTCAAATGTTATCTCTTCCGTGGAGCCTGTGTAGGCACTCTCTGATAAAGTTAATAGTTCTGTCCTCTACATTTAAAGCACTTTGAATTTAGGGCGTTGTGTCATTGTTAGAGACCTGTTTCTCTGCCCTATTAGAATATGAGTTCCTAGGACAGAGATCATGTCTAAATTTTTTCTCTTTCTCCAAGGAGTGACAAAATACTCAGCTCAGAATAGATACTCAAAAGATGTGTGTTGAATTGAATTCAATACACTATCATAACCCAAGCAGGAAATTAATCTGTGTTCAACCAATTCACATTTTCATTCTCATAGTATGGGACCCTTGTGATGCAGTCCCCTAATACAGGAAATGAAGAGAATCACTCATTTCCTACAGAATGGAAGAAAGAATGTAAATAGGTCTAGCCCTGAATGAAATATTGAGGGGAGTGAAAGGCTGGCTCTGGCAGCTTCTCACTTCCATTTTATCAACGTCCACTTAATTATAATGTCCTTCCTTTGTTATTACATGCCTGCTTTGTCCCTAAACCCAGCCTCTCTACCACAAAGGTATCTCTTAAGGTGTCAGCTGATTTCAGCCAGCACAAGTTGCTTCTCTATCCTGCTATTTTTGTTTTCCCTGGAGAAAGCATCAAAGTTTCAAAAGTCAAAGTCTAAAAACTATCAACATTTCAAAAGACAAAAATGTTAATTTCTCAATGATGAAATTTCAGATGAAGTGGGTGTAGCAGAGACTGATTTTTATCTCCAGTTCCCCCTTCTCCTTTTTAGTATCAGAACATCCAAGTTTTTGCCAGGTAGATGGCTGCCAGCCAAAGACAACATGTTTCGGCTTCTCTTGCACCTAGGTGTGGCCATGTATCCAAGTTCTGGCCAAAAGGTTAAAAGTGGAAGCATGCATGAAACTTCCAGATCAAAAGATGCCAGTCCTTTTGGTTTTTTTTCTCCCTTTTTAAGGGCTAAAATGTGGACATGATAGTGGTGATGCAGTTTGGGCCATGAAATTGAAAATAATAACCTCGACAAAAGGAAAAATGTAGCAACAAGATCATTCAGTCACTGGAAAACTCATGGAGCAGAGCCACGATGCCAATCCAAGACCACTAACCGGCATGGATTTTTATGTAAGAGAAATATAAACATTCCATTTAATTTAAGTCACAGTCATTTTAGCTGTTGAAGCGGCTAAACAACATCCTGAACTAAAAAATGCAGAATGATTTTCCTGGACCTACAAAACAATATTTTATCTCAGACTACTTGACAAATGGGTGCTAAAGATATTAAAGATAAGGCAATTGAAAAGATGACTGGAGAATAGTCCAAGACTGAGACACTGTGGAATAAGAACAATTTTAATTCCATATATGTGACTAAATAAGGACTATGGCCTACCTACAGCCATCCTTAAAAAAGAGAAAAAAAACAACAACAAAGAGCTATAGCAAGTAGCTCTTAAATTAAAAATGAAACCAAATAGGGAATAGAATTTTAAAAAATATATAGTAAGGTCACTAGCCAATATTTTAGGCAGAGTGGGGGTTCTTTCAAGGCTCCTGCATTAGTTCAGGAATCCTTGCAATTTAGAGACTATACATATAAATCTAGGTATAACTGCACTCTATTCAAAAGTAAGAGATGTCACAAATAAGCTTATTTTAGTATCTGGAAAATATTACATTTGTTATTTTTGTAATAATTTCAATTTAATTAGAGAGGAGTAGTTATAAACAACACAATTTCATACTACCTCAACCTTTCCTCTTTGTTCTCACCTTTGATAAACCTCTTAATGAGCTACTCAAGACGTCATTTAAGTGGTTTTACTAAACTAAAAACTAGTCTGGTTTTTTATTTTAAAAGTTTCTATGTATCACTTATACTTCTTGGGATTCATAAAATATACAGACATATTAAAATTTCTTTAGCTACTCTTGAAGGTTCAAGATGAGTAATCACATATACTTGGTGATGTTTTGAAAGAAAAATAATTTTAAAAAACTTTAATTATGAGTAATTTATGGTAGGTTCTACAATGAACTACCATTCATGAACATAGTATGATGAGTCTCACTAAATTTGTTGCTTATGCAACCACCTATCCTAGATGTTCACAACCTGAGATAGAATGCAGGAATCTGTGACCTTAGGTAGAAGAAAATTACATGTTTATTTTCATTAATTTCCAATGGAAACTTAGCATTTCCTTCAATTGTGCCTATAGGCAACACATCACAATATTCTTAGTGATATCAGTGACTTTGTCACATGTCTCATATGTCCTTTTTTCATATTTTTATATTTTCATTTTCCATTGTTACAGACTCACAAAGCACTGTTTACACTAATCACTATGTCAAACTGCAGTAGTTATTAGATTTGAAATGCGTGTTAAAAGCATATATATCAGAAATTCATTTTTTAATTATTTTGATAACTACTTTATTAGAATTAGTTTTGTTTGGTATCTTATGTGTTTTATTTTGTGCATTTCAAACATTGTTTTTGAAAAGGGTCTATGAATTTCTCTAGACTCCCAAAAGGGATTCACGGCATAAAAATGCTTAAGAGCCACAGTATTTGTTCATGCTAGTTAGGTAAAACATTTATAACTACCATTCATATATAATCTAGCAATCCACTAAGGAGTATATATCCCCCAAAAAACAAAATCAACATATGGAAGAGATATTTGCACTCCTGTGTTTATTGTAGAAGTATTCACAATAGACAAAATATGGAATCAACCTGTGTCCATCAGTGGATGAATGGATAAAAAAAATTGTGGTATATATACACAATGGAATATTATTCAGCCATAAAAAAGAATGAAATCCTGTAATTTGCAACAACATGGATGAAACTGGAGGTCACTATGTTAAGTGAAATAAGCCAAACAGAAAGACAAATATCACACATTCTCACTCATATGTGGGAACTAAAACAGTGAATCTCATGAAGATAGAGTGTAGATTGGTGGTTACCAGAGTCCAGGAAGGGTAGGAGAGAGGTGGGGGTGAAGAAAGATTACTTATGGGTACAATGTACATGTAGAAGAAATAAGACCTGGTGTTGGATAGAAAAGTAGGGGGGACTATAGCTAACATTAATCAATTGTATATTTCAGAATAGCAAGAAGATAATAATTTGAATGTTCCTAGCATAAAGAAAACTGTTTAAGGTGACAGGTACCCAATTCCCTTTATTTGATTACACGAATGTATTAAATTATCACACATACCCTGAAAATATGTACATCTACTATGTATCAATAAAAAAAATTAGACGGTGACTGTTATATAGCAAACTTTTAATAGCTGTTTGCAGTTTATATTTTACATTTCCCATAATATTTTGTGAACAGCTGAAATGGTTAAGTAACAGAAGTAGTTGTGGGTCTTCTTTTTGCATAAAGAAAATTTTATTACAACTACAAGTCATTTCACTTACTTGCAAAGATCATTAACACAGCTGGCAATATATAAGTATGGATCGATATACTCATGGCAGCTCAGAAAAGGAAACTGCAACAGTATCTGACACTTGAAGAAGATTGCCTGTGCAAAAAAAGATGGCAGTCACTAGACTATGTTTCATGGTATGTGTATAGTCTTCTATTATTTTTACAGATCTATTTGCAAGATTTTCAGTTCTCACAAGGAAAAAGATGGTAACTTATACATTTTAACTAACATTTTTCTGACTACATTATTTTCATGAGTACTGCATTTATGAAATTCACTACATTCACTATTTCTAAAATTAAGGTGATTTCCTATTGCAATTACATTTCCTGGATATAATATTTTTAAATTATGTTGTGTTTACACTAAAAAATGCTTAGTTAATTATACAAATAAGATATATGTGTATTCTGTCTGACATGCCCACATTTCTCACATCAAATTTACCTCAAATGCTGGCATTCCACTGGAGCACGGATTTGGAAAATCTGAGGGTGTGAGTACACATTTGGTGTCATCTGGAGTTTGCACCGACCAACTATTTGCAAACATAGCGATGTCTTCTGTATAGTCCTCTATTTCACACAGGCACACACACACACACACACAAATAGGTGTAATCATATCATTTTCCACAAACAGACATGGTTCTTCAACACAAACTTCCTGGTCAAAACATTAAACTCAGTAACATTATAATTACCAATGTGATATTAGATAATAACATTACTTTATCATAATAAAAACAAATTGAACAAAATGTGGGTACCAAATAAAAGTTAGTTCCATTGGAAAGAAAAAGCAAACTGCATTCAAACAACATGGGGAAGGATTGAAGGTGAGTGAGTACAACGTACACACCAGTGAAGCATTTATCGCCAATGTTCAATCAGTGCTGTTGAAAGGAGAAAAAATATGCGTAAAACGAAAAAATATAAACGTTTAGTGTAAAAATTATCAGGCAGCTCTCTCATTATATTTAATATTAGTAAGAACCTTATTAAAATTGCAGTTATATTTGGTGGACAGGGTCCACACAAAAAAAAACTTGTCAAATTCTTTGGGACATTTCAGAGGACAGTCACATAGGCAATGAAAGACTGGAAAACACATCAATAGAAGAGAAGACTAAGAAGTGTATCTATTTCATCTAAATATGATGAACAGTGTTTTGAAACATGCTCAGGAAAGACATCCCTACTGAGAACCCTAAAGCTAATCCAGCATTAATCTCAGGCAAGATTCAGGAGTTAATGTGTGGGCAACAACAAACAGATATTTGGTAGTGAGTGCTCTGACTCAACAGAGTGCTCTCTGTTCTAAATCAAGTTTTTAAGTTGTCTCTCTACCTGATCTGAGAACAAGTTCAGGGAATGATGCAAAAATTAATCCTTCCCCTCCTCCATTCAGACAAAGGCTGAATCTCAAAGCTCAAAGACTTGGCAAAATCAAACAAGATGACATCTCAAAGTTCCATGTAAGACAGACTTCAGATTTGAGGTTGGAGTTCTCCACCACCCAGATTTGCATGGTCAGAAGTCAACAACTGATGACAATCTATTGCACCACTAGAGTCAGAAATCTCCAGCCAAATGTTTGCCACTCTCTCTGAATATCTTCAAAGTAGAAAAATAATGTGTGCATTCCACTATCAAACGCCGGGAAGATGAGAGACTTTATTATCTGTAAGAATGCTTTGCTCTCTTGGAGTAAAATCCTAAACTTTACCATAGCCTAGCAGACTTTGCATGAGCTGGGCCCTGTTCTCCCCTTACTCCCAACCCGCTCTGCCCCTCATATATCTTCTGCACCTTTTCTTGCTCAACCTACTCCAGTCATATTAACTTTGTGCTGTTCTTCAAACACTCAAACTCATTCCCACCTCAGAACACTTGCTCTTGTTCTTCCTCCTTCAAAACCACTCTTTCCTAAAATCTTCTCACTGTTGCCTCCCTTACTTCATATAGGCCTGTTTAATGTATGCCTCAGAGAGCCCTTCTCTGACATGTGATCTAGACTAGCACCAATCACACACTTGCTCCATCACTCTTTACCTTCTTTCTCTACCTTTTTCTTTAATGGCTGCTATTGCTCACAAAAATTATATTTTGCTCTGTTTATTTTATTTTCCATTACAATACATACTATATGAAGGCAGAGAGCTTGTTTCAGCTGTTCTATTGCTGTATCCCTAGTGTAGTATCTGGCATATAGTAGGTACTCAAAATATATTTGCTAAATAAGTGAATGAATACATATAGGGGAATTTGTGAAATTTATTAAAGAGATTATTAGAATCCCAGGGCTTTCAGGCTGGGTGCGGTGACTCACGCCTGTAATCCCAGCACTCTGGGAGGCTGAGGTGGGTGGATCACAGGAGGCCAGGAGTACGAGACTGGCCTGGCCAACACGGTGAAACCCCATCTCTAATAAGAATACAAAAATTAGCCAGGCATGGTGGTGCACGCCTGTAATCCCAGCTACTCAGGAGGCTGAGGCACGAGACTTGTTTGAACCCGGGAGGAGGAGGTTACAGTGAGCCAAGATCGCGCCACTGCACTCCAGCCTGTGCGACAGAGAAAGACCCTGTCTCAAACAAAAAAAAAAAAGAAAAGAAAAAGAAAAAAAGAAAAACAAAAACAAAAACGAAAAGAATCCTAGGGCTTTCTAATTTGTCTGGCCTGCTGCTTTGTCTCTGATATCACTGAAATGTTGCACACTGAGGAAAGTATGGGCCTGCTGTAATATACTTTTTAAAAATGGAAAAACTGATGTCCTTTTTAAGTACACTTATAGTTACATTTCCTTTCAAAACATTTTTTAGAGGTCTAAAGAAACAAAAACATTTTCTAGAAACCCACTTATTTCAATACTTACACACGAATTTTAATGTGACTAAACAACCTGGCCAATCCCTTAGAGTTCACTTTAATTGCAGCTTTTGAACCAAGTATTTAGCTATTTTATACTGCATCAAGGGTCCTAAAAGTTGTTTATCAGGAGATTTTTCAATCCATATCTAATGGTGGTGTGGGAGCCTGCTAAACTAAAATTAAAATGCTTTGTATAAAATATGCTCTAAGTAGAGTAATTTACTGTCCATATTGGGACATTTTTGAGAGAGAAAGGCAGGCATTATTAATTATTATGCTGGGAAAAAAATGAAAGTAGACCAGGACTTCTATGTTGTCACATAGCTAGATGTAGACATGAATTATGGAAACAGAATTCTCAACTAGACAACAAATTATATTTCTTCCTATGTGTACAGAAATTCTGACAAGTCTAATTTCTTTGTGAAGTCATCCCTGAAGGATGAGTTGGAATGCAGAGAGAAATGCAATTTTAATCACCATTAAGAAACTATGCATTCACTGGCATTCAATCAAACTCACTCTCTCTAAAGATTTTTCTAATCAGCAAAATACAGGTTGAGTTTCAAGAAAATATCAGGCTTCTTAAAGCTAAAGGTAATACTGCTCATCTATAGACATTTTCTTGCATTATTATACTATGGGAGGAAATAGAAAGGCAGTTTC
Organism: Homo sapiens; assembly: GCF_000001405.40. Classification (NCBI taxonomy): domain Eukaryota; kingdom Metazoa; phylum Chordata; class Mammalia; order Primates; family Hominidae; genus Homo; species Homo sapiens. The sequence goes on along the minus strand of NC_000012.12, from coordinate 80,235,886 downwards.
TTGTCAAAGTTGTTTTAAGTTAGGTTTTTTTAAAAAATTACTCTGCCTTATACTGTGAAGCAAATAACATTGTGAAGAAGCTGAAATATTTCCTTAGGTCTTTCCCATATACTTTCCGGAATCCTTCTTGCCTTCTGCCAGTTCAGCTATAATTCCGTTCAATTGCCTTCTGCCAGTCTTCCTCTGGCAGACTGACACCCTTGTGCATGCTGCCCCAGTTGGCTCACTATGAACAACCATTTTATGTTCCAGGTTATCTGGAACATATAAGTCTGTCTGGCCCTTAACTCAAATCTAAGTCTTCCTGCCTCTAACTAGAGCAGATGTTATTTTCTATCCTGACCTCCATACCATGTTCCCTGGGCATCCCAGGAGAAGTTGCCCAAAGCAGTCTTTCTTTTTTTTTTTTTTTTTTTTTTGAGACAGAGTCTTGCTCTGTTGTCCAGGCTGGAGTGCAGTGGCATGATGGTCTCTGCTCACTGCAGCCTCCACCTCCCATGTTCAAGCAATTCTCCTGCCTCAGCATCCTAAGTAGCTGGGATTATAGGTGTCTGCCACCACGCCTGGCTAATTTTTGTATTTTTAGTAGAGACAGGGTTTCACCATGTTGGCTGGGCTGGTCTTGAACTCCTGACCTCAGGTGATCCACCTGCCTCGGCCTTCCAAAGTGCTGGGATTACAGAAGTGAGCCACCACACCTGGCCTACCCCAAAGCAGTCTTTTCTAACTCTACCACAGAGAACTGGACTAAGGATTATTTTTTTTTCGTGAAGCTTTGATACAGAAGAAAAATAAATCAGCAATTACCATCTGACTCATTCTGCCTGCATCCAAAACCCTGCTTCCTAATACAGTCTCAAGATTCCAGATTTGTGACCCCTCTCATTGCAAATGCCAACTGGGTGCAAAACACCATTTCGAGATGATCCCAGTACTATACATTTGTATTGTGCTCAGAAACTTTTAAACACTTTCATTTACATTTTCTCATTCAATATTCACTGGCTGGGAAGCTCCCAGAGTCATTATCATTATCTCTATTTTACATATGAGGAAATTGACTTTTTGGAGCCCTGCTCTCTACTCTAGCTACTAGTAAACTAATCCTGACGATGCATTATCTATCTTGAGCAAAACATTTGCATTTTAATAAAGGCTTCTCAAAGCAATGTAGAGACATTTTCACACGTTTTTATTTCAGCCCCATTATAGGCTTATGGAGAAATACTTGGAGATGACTATAAATTAAATTAAATGTATTGAGTATTACTATGTGCCAGGTACTGTACTGTTTTACACGAATTGTCTCATTTAATCCTTGCAACCCTTATGAAGTATATGCTCTTATTATATCTTTAAACTTATAAAATTTAATAATTGATAAAGCTGAATTTGAATCACACAGTCTGACTCCAGAGCCCATGCTCTAAGTAGTCCTTTCACCATCCTTTAAAACATAACATAGGGGCAAATCATCTCTATTAATTTTATAATATAAAACGGAAGTATTATATAGCACTTTACAGCTTCAATGGCAATTACTCAAACACTTATCTAAGCACAGGGAGCCTGTCAGGTCTGTAATCCAACCCTGACAGTATCAGTTACAAGCTGTGTTACATTGGACACATCACCTTGTGCTCTCATCATAAAATTCAGAAAATAATACTGGCTGAGTGCAAGGGTGCACCTGTAGTCCCAGCTACTTGAGAGGCTGAGACCAGAGGATGACTTGAGCCCAGGAGTTCAAGACCAGCCTGGGCAACATAGCAAGACCCCATCTTAATGAAAAGAAATAGCAAGACCTCATCTTGAACAGAAGAAAAGAAAAGAAAGGAGAGGAAAGGAGAGGAAAGAAAAGACTACTCACCTTACAGGATGTTGTGAGGATTGGGAATAACATAGCTATGTGCTCAAACTATTGTTATAAATATTATCAAAGTATATTATTATTATTACTGACTACTCTGTGAGTTCCAAATTAGCATAGCCCCATTTTACAGCTGAAGAAACTAAGCATAAAAGTGATTAAATGAGTTTCCTCAAATTACAGAACTTATAAAAGTTGAAAGGAGATTCAAACCCAAGTTCACTGGTACTAAGAACAGTATTCTCTTCTTATTGCACTTCCTTGTATGGACCTAAGTCATGATTATGGTTTGTGATTCTCTTATTCTATCACCATTGCACACTAGTATCTGAATTGATACAAAACCTATTTCTTATAACTCACTTTTAGTTTCATAACTTAGATTTAATACATGATCTGGTAGGTATATAAAACCTTTCCAAGTTACTATTCAACTTTCCTGCTCACAGTTGATTATTTTTGCAAAACTATTATTTGTCAATTATTCAACTTATTCCTATCAAGAAGGGATACAAAAATAGTTTTTGACCTAACATAGACATATCTGACCCAAATGGGTTTGAACCACTAGAATATAAACTTGAAGATGTGAAAGGCTTTGTTCACTGATGTATTCCAGGTTCCTAAAGCAGTGGATACAGAGGTATCCCGACCTTCTGACCCAAAGCAAATGCTCTATTAAAATGTGTTATGTGAGTAAGTGCTTCATGCTAATTTAGCAAAGGTAAACTAGTTCATGGTTTTCAAGAATTACACCAAAATATTTTCCTATTCAACCTTTACTTAAAATCACTAAAGCAGGCAAGTGACAGCCACAAATTTTCCCAAAGCTATGACAAGTCTTCTGGGTACAAACAACTTGGTCAGGGGAAGAAGAAGGCTTTAGAAGGTACCCACACATTTATTCTGCTTCACTTACCTTGCAGAATTATGAAATCATCAGATTGAATGTCATTGTAGTTTCCACATAGGCCACATGATTTCCCCTTATGGTCCTCAGACAGCTTGAGGTAGATCCCAGATATCCCGTCCCAAGCCAATGAAAAGCCAAAGGTTGTTTTCACAAGAATGTAGTCAGCTAGTTTCTCAATGAAAATCTGTCCAATTGTCTGAGGCAATGTTAAACTTGAAAAACAGAACAAAAGCTATCTAAGAATGATGATAAAGTCTCAATTACAGATGACATATTTTTAAGTGACTGAGATACAATTAAAAGAAAATGATTACTTGAAATTATTGAATAAGCTGTGCAGCAAGAGCTCCAAAGCAACCATCCTCTGGAAAATCTCAACATTTTTGAAAACTTCAGTATTGAAATAAAGACACAACAAAAATGATGCTGCTTTCTTATACTGATTTAGATTTTGTACTTACAATTAGATGCTTCTTTGAACCAACCAAAAACACACAGCTGCTAAATACTGGTGATTTGTTAAACCTGGAAAATAACCTTGCCTATTTAGTATACTTAGAGCTTAAACATGTTTATTATTTTTTATCTAGAGAGTTAAAGTGATCTAAAAATGCTGCTCAACAATTTTGAAGCAAAGACAATCATCAAAATATACAAACATGATGCTTGAGTTTTCTGATTTTGTTTAATTTTATTTTAAACGTGGCTATAAGGAAATATGAGTTTCTATCTTTAAAATGACACCTTGACATAAGTCATTGTTTTCTAAAAAAAATCAAAGGATGACGTATTATAACTTACATATTTAATGCCACAAAGTACAATATTAGGGATATAATGTACTTTGTCATACAGTATTGCATAGAGGTGATACTCAAAATTTTTAAATTGGATACCTTTTGGGCTATTTAAACAAGGGTCACATAAAATATTTAAGCTCCTGATACAAAGTCTAATTTTTCCATTTTTCACAAGCATATGCACATATAAAGGAAGTGGGTGACATAAGGTAACTGAAGAGAACTAAACAATTGAATATTTTAAAAGCACCTAGAATACTTTTGAAAGAACACAATTATCCTTTCATCCATCAGTACTGCCAAAAAGAGTAAGTACTAATAATTACAGAAATTGGAAAAAACTCATTTCTATTAAGATAGTCATGTCAGCTGGGCTCGGTGGCTCACGCCTGTAATTCCAGTGCTTTGGGAGGCCAAGGTGGGTGGATCACAAGGTCAGGAGTTCGAGACCAGACTGGCCAACACAGTGAAACCCCGTCTCTACTTCAAAAAAAAAAAAAAAATTAGTTGGTCATGGTGCACGTGCCTGTAGTCCCAGCTCCTTGGGAGGCTGAGGCAGGAGAATCGCTTGAACCTGGGAGGCAGAGGTTGTGGTGAGCTGAAATCATGTCGCTGCACTCCAGACTGGGCAACAGAGTGAGACTCTGTTTAAAAATAATAAAAATAAAAATATTTTTTAAAAAGGTAGCCATGTCAAATAAAAATTATATACCATAATGTGAATAATATGGGTAGTTAATAGGTATATTCATACATTTCTCTCAAAAATTGCAAATTAGTGAGTTCCTTTCCAGGAAGAGCATGGCTTAATGGACCAAAAACTACAAAACTGAGCATACTAATTAACAAAGGGATAATCCCCAAAGAAACAATTCAAAATATCTGTAGCCATTTGCACAAAAAATTTTTTACAGATACTTATTTACAGAAAATTATTTACAAAACTAGAAAAATAGCTAAATGTTTAAATTGGAGAATACATAAAAAAGACTCTAGCTAACTACTGCCATAATGCATTCTTATTAAAAATTATAAATATGAGGAATTCATAGTAAAAGTCAATATGAAATAACATTAAAGAAATACCAATTGTTTTAAGTTTCTAAGTTTATAAAAACTATACTTAAAAGAAGTGAATCTTGTTTATAAATATATTTCAGAGTAATGGAAAGCTAATCTTATGGAAGTATAGTTGTACTATTATGCGTATTTTTTGCTTGGTCATTTGACACTTGGTCATTTGGTCTCTTTAACAGTAAATTTAATTAAATACTCAGTTTTTGAAAATAAAGGTGGAAAACTGTGATTATCCTGAAGTTTATAACACAGAAGGATGCCAGTGGAGATGGGAAATAATAGTTTAAACTAGACAATATTCAATAGGTCAAAGAAAAGCATGCAACCTAGGCAGGAAACATTAAAATGTAAACCTAAATGAATGCAGAACTGAATGCTGAAAAGTATTCAGGGATTCATTTGTACTGAAACCCCTTATTTCACAGGTGAAAGAACTGAAATCCAGAGAAGTAAAGCTTCATGCACAGAGCCACATGTTTGATTTTATTATGGCAAATATTTCTGTAGCATTTGCTATGAGTTAGGCCCCAAGCCAGGAACAGCATTTGTGTAAGCAATATTGCTGAATAAGAAGACCACCCTTTTTCTATCACACAATCTGAAATCCTCATAGAAATGCTTTCTCTGAGTTAAAATTAAATATTATGTTTCTCCTTTAATAAAGAAATAATATTCTTGAAAATCAATCTGAATGGCAAGTCTGTTTTACAAAACATGATAATTTTTTAAATGCCCATTGTATTACCCAAAATTCCATATAGAGAATCCTAAATGACTATCTAAATTCAGCTCTAGGAAATACACGTGTAACTGCATTATCTTCTTACTCAAATGCCTAAACTTTCTTTTATGGGAAAATGAGAAGTACAGAACCCAACTGACCAAGAAAATAAGCCTCAGACAAGGGGAGAAGCTGCTCTGGGTTGTCTGGCTGTTTCAAGGCTCCCCTGGTGCTCTTTCCACTGCCCTTTCTGCTACCACCTGCTGCCTTTTGAGGAATCTAAGCCCAGAAAAAGCAACACGGGTTGATAAAGCCATTGCGCTGGAAAGAATTCCTATGGTTCAAACACTTGTTAGTGAATTCTGAATGAATAGAATTGTTCCAGCCCACAATTTACTTGTTCTGGCATAATCCAGCCAGGAAATAATAAAAACTGAGTCTCTCTATAATTATTTAGATTGGAAGGTAGATTATTCCACAGTATTTCTAGGTTAAAACATAAAAAAAAAAAAACCTTCCACCAAATACGAAAACATCCCCTGCCCCAAAATTCTCATGTCATATTTTTGGCAGATAGGAAACTAGAAGTTGACTTCTCTCTGATCTATTCGAGGCCAGGCAGTTGTTGGCTCTCAGTCTGTCAGAACTTCCGTGGAAAATCTCAAGTGACACCCAAAACCCATTCACACAAACTTGGAAAGAACTTCCAGAATCCTTTCCAAATAAAAGAAAATAGATTTTTAAGTTTCTGCTTCAAAGAAAGAAGAAAATATTTAAGAAAGAGGGCAAAAAGAATCAAGAGTTGAACTCTTAAGATACTCTTAAGGTATCTCTTGAATCTCTCAGAAAAAAAAAAAGAGAGAGAGAGACTCTCATCTCCACCCATGTAAACATACTATGTTTATATTCTGCACACAAGCATTAGGAAGGGTAAACTTACTGTACTCTTGACCACCTGGCTGGCCTCAGAGCCTACCGAAGTTTTGATGTCTGTATGTTATAGCTTTAAGAGTATTGTTGAAGAAATCCTCTCTTCCTACTCTCCACAGTTCACTTCCAGCATGTGATGTTTGGAAATTCTATTAATTTGTGGTGTTACTGACATTTCACTGTTTCCCATATCCTACCTGATTCCATTCTTTTTTATTTCATGACCATAAATTCGAATTTCCTCTTGGTTTGAAAAGAACAAGCTGATTGACCGATAACAAGAATACACCGAACCAAGGCATTTAGGGCTGTTATGAACCTTAAAGGGAGAAAAACAAAAAGAAAGCATAGGAACAAACAATAAATCTGAGTTATTAAAACCACAATGTATGTTTACAATCATATAGTTTCATTAGTCCCATGACACTTTACAACGTTATAACTACATTTGGGATTTCTGAGAGAAAAGAAATATTTACCTCAGAAATTGGGCAACAAAATTAACTTCCTAAAATACAAGTTAATCAGCATATTTTTGAACGATTTGAATCTTCGCATGTTGGATGTTAATATTCTCAAGGTACATGGTATGCTTTGGGAGAAATTAGTTCTAATAGTAAAACTCTGGAGTGCCACAAAGAAGCACATTTGTCATCCGTATTTTTTACCTATTAGAGAATCATAAAACAGAGCTTTGAATGGAGCACTACACAAAGCAATATTTAAAGGTTGAAAAGTGACCATGAACTCACTAAAAATAAAATTGATTTTATTTTTATTTATTGCCAGACACATTAGGGAAGAGAGAGATTATTTTTCAAAAAATTAATAGGAAAATTAGTTTAAAAAAAAAGAATGAAAGGAAGAAAAGAAGAAAGGAAGAAAAGAGAAGAGGAAGCTTAGATTATTTTACCCTATACCAAAATTAATTTCAAAAGGTCCAAAAAGTAAAGTATAAATGTCTAAACCATGACATAACTGAAAGAAAACAGAGATTACAACTATAGAGGTGGAAAAGAACTTTCTAAGCCTAAAAGTGACTTTTAAAATTGTCAATAATATACGGGTTTTTTGTTTGGTTTGGTTTTGTTTTGGGGTTTTTTTTGTTTGTTTTTGTTTGTTTGTTTGTTTTTTGAGATAGAGCCTCTCTCTGTCACCCACGCTGGAGTGCAGTGGTGTGATTGCAGCTCCCTGAAACCTCTGCCTCCTAGGTTCAAGTGATTCTCGTGCCTCAGCCTCCCAAGTAGCTGGGGCTATAGGCGTGTACCACCAAACCGGCTAATTTTTCTATTTTTTTGGTAGAGATGGGGTTTCACTATGTTAGCCAGGCTGGTCTCAAACTCCTGACCTCAAGTGATCCAACCACCTCAGCCTCCCAAAGTGCTGGGATTACAGGTGTGAGTCACTACGCCCAGCCTCAATAATATAGTTTTAATATTGTAGTAATTTAATGTATATTAGTTTTATGCTTAATCAGCAAATTGTATTGATCATTTATTATGTACCAGGCACTGTTCTAGGTACTGGGGATAGAGCAGTCAACAGAGCGGACAAAACTATCTGCCCTCATGAAACTTGTATTCTATTAGAGGAAAACGGCTAATAGAAAATATAGCTATGTGAAGCTAAAATATATACTATGTTAAATGATATTAAGGAGAAATATTAAGCAGGGAAAGGGGATAGGGTATGTGTCAAGGTCTGGGGGCAATTTCAGAGTGAGTGGTCAAAGAAGGCCTTGCTGAAAAGATGAACTTCTAGTAAAGATGGAGCGTGAGAGAGAGAAAGCCATATGGGATATCTGGAATACCATTCTAGGCAAAGGAAATAGCAAGTATAAAAGTCTGAGGGAAGAGTAGGCCTAAAATGTTCTCAGGATCCATGAATCCAAGCGTCTGATGCCAGACTAGATGTTGGAGGATTCTTCTTTCGGGAAACAAAATGGAAAAAAAGACATATAGATCCTAATATTTGGGGGTTTATCTAATGAAACAAGCAGATCCTTGCTCACTCTCACAGTAGTCCAACAAGCTCCCATGCATATATCCAGAGTTTCCAATTCGCTTTTAGAGCCTTATTCTCTAATGTGAACAAATATTCATGAATCATTAGTCATTTGATGAAAGTCTGCGACATGAAAGACATCAAATAAACAAAAGAAAGGGAATCAAAGAAATAAAAAACAATTTAGAAAAACCCAAAAACTTTAAAAATACATAGTTGATATCTTCTGAGAGAAAAATTATATATGCCATCCTTGACCTGAGAATAAAATGTTGCTGAAAACGAAATTCAAAGAATAAAAACAAATAATTGAATACTGACAATATAAAAGGAGAAATGTATAACTGAAGTAGAAAGGTGAGAAGATAAACATCTCAGAATTGGACAGAAATATCCCGAAATGTAGAACAAAAAAGGAAAAAAGTGGAAAATAGGCAAGAATCAGTGAGAAAATTAAGGGATCACTCCACCCCAGAGCTCCAATATATTAGCTCCAATATAAAAGCCCATCAAGTGCCCAGCACAAAAGAATGGGAAAGGAAATTCACATAATTACAAAATCTCAGAACTCTGGGAATTAAAAGATCTAAAAACTTCTGGAGGTTGAGTAAGGTTATATGTAAAATGATCAGAAATGAGAGTGAATTGAAATTTAAAATTCTGAAAGTGATTTTTAAATTAAAATCAAGGCTTCAAAAATTCTCTTCCCATGCACACTTTCCAGGAAAGTATCTTCCCTTTCCAGGAACCAACTTAGTCAATTAAAATAAGTGACTAAACAAAGAGGAAATGGGTTCTTGCTTAATCACCACTACAAACACTGGCCACACATTCAGAGCATCCAATAAGCTTTTCAGAACCTATCTCTCTAGTATGAACAAAGTTAAAGGACCACTAGACATCGGTGGGAACCAAGAAAGAGGAAAACTGGTGAGAGAGAAGAATAAAATTCTCCAGTAGGATGACAAAAAGAAAACCCAAGTGATAGGTGTACAGTAGACTTCAAAAGCAACTAGTCTGGATTGAAAGATGGGAAGGAAAACTGAGGAAGGATTGTCTCATGAGGGAAAAGAGAAGCTGATAACTTGCTTAATGCATCTGACCATATTGAAGAGTTTTATAGAGGTAGAGAGTTAGGAAAAATATTAGTGACTGGAGTAAAGAGAATACAGCAAAGAAAAAATGGGATAACTGTTTACTCTAGAAAAATATACAAGTAGAGACAGAAAATCATCATAACCTATTGGGATCAGCTCTAAACAATATTTACATAGTGACAATAATATAAAAAATATAAATTATTTAACCAAAAATGGTGACATAACTCTATTAGGAGGAGTGAAGGGAAGTGTGTGTGTGTGTGTGTGTGTGTGTGTGTGTGTGTGTGTGTGTGTTAGGAGCAGGAAGGGTGGCATAACTAAGATAATTTCTCATTTTCCGTAACAGGAAGTGAAGGAATAAGGCCTAACTTTGAAAAATAAAGAGATAATGGCATATTTTGATGTGTAAGATAAAAACCAGAAGAAACAGCTAAATTAGTTGAAGTAATTGTCTCTTGTGAGCCAGGCTTCTGCTAGGGTGGAGGATGAAGGAAGGCAGAGGCTATTTTTTGCCATATATTCTGGGATGAAATCTTTCACCATACACATATATTATTTTCATAAAAATAAAATAGAATTTAAAGATGGAAAAAATAGTCGGGGGTATAGATAAGGATATCTGTATGATAATGTTTATCAACATATCCTTTGAAATTCTATTTTAAAAAAATCTAAATTTCCAATATAGGACATCATTAACTTATTTGAGTATTACAGAAGTTGGAAAAAATACAGCTAACTGTATTTGGATGTATCAAGAATATTTAACATTGAAGGAAGTTGAAGACATAATATTAATTGAAAGTGTAGGACAGAAAACTATAATTTAAATTTTATAAGTATGTATAAAATTCAGAGCAAAATGTTGAGAAGGAAATAGGTGAAGCTGTTAACCAATGGTAACTCTTAAGTGATAATTTTAACATTTTTCAGACTTCTCTGAATTTTCCAAATTTTCTACAAAAGAAATGAACTGCTTTTATAATCAAGGGGAAAGTGACATTTCAAGTAAATTGATGTATTTATTTGAAAGAAAATTTTACTACTCAAAACAAGGCCAAGTAGAAACAATATCTACTAACTCCAGAGGCATAGTTCAGCATTGTGTGTTACTAACAAAGGACAGGTTATCTCGTTGACACCTCAGTCCTCAAAAGAGTGGGACACTGAACAAGAACATTTTAAAGAGAAGGTCAAAGGGTATTCAAGTGAGAAAACAAGTGAGGGGTGGGGGAGTAGTAGACAATGAGAGAACTGAGAACAGGAGACCTGCAAGCACAGAAGATGCATTTCACCAACTGCCCTATCTAAAGAGACCTCTAAATTTTTATTCTTATGCCCCATAAGTGAACTTTCAATATATCTCATTTCTTTTTTTTTACTTTAAATACATTTGTTATTTTGTTTAGTTTTTTATTTTTGATTTTTGTGGTTACATAGTAGGTGTATATACATATATATATGGGGTACAGGAGATGTTTTGATATAGGCATGCAATGTTACATAATCACATCATGGAGAAAGACATATGCATCCCCTCAAACATTTATCCTTTGTGTTACAAACAATCCAATTACACTTTTTAAGTTATTTAAAAATGTACAATTAAGATATTATTGACTATAGTCACCCAGTTGTGCTTCTTCTCTGGGTCACGAAGATTTGTAGCCTTAAAAAGTTTCAGGGTCTAAAAGTTTCAGGATACAAAATTAATCTACACAAATCAGTAGCCCTACTATACACCAACAGTGGCCAAGCTGAGAATCAAATCAAGAACTCAACCCCTTTTACAATAGCTGCAAAAAACATTAAAATACTTAAGAATATATTTAATCAAGGAGGTGAAAGACCTCTACAAGGAAAACTACAAAACACTGCTGAAAGAAATCATAGACAACACAAACAAATAGAAACACATCCCATGCTCGTTGATGGGTAGAATCAATATTGTGAAAATGACCACACTGCCAAAAGCAATCTACAAATTCAATGCAATTCCCATGAAAATACCACCATCATTCTTCACAGAACTAGAAAAAACAATCATAAAATTCATATGGAACCAAAAAAGCCACATAGCCAAAGCAAGACTAAGCAAAAAGAACAAAGTTTGAGGCATTACATTACCCGACTTCAAACTATAGTATAAGGCCATAGTCACCAAAACAGCATGGTACTGGTATTAAAACAGTCATATAGAACAACAGAGAATCCAGAAATAAAGCCAGATGCTTACAGCCAACTAATTTTTGACAAAGTAAACAAAAACATAAAGTGGGGAAAGGACATCCTATTCAACAAATGGTGCTGGGATAATTGGCTAGCCACATGCAGAAGAATGAAACTGGATCCTCATCTCTCACTTTATACAAAAATCAACTCAAGATGGATAAAATACTTAAATCTAGACGTGAAACCATACAAATTCTAGAATATAACATTGGAAAAGCTTTCTAGACATTGGCTTAGGCAAAGCATTCATGACCAAGAACCCAAAAGCAAATACAGCAGAAACAAATATAAACAGACAAGACTTAATTAAACTAAAAAGCTTTTATGCAGCAAAAGAAATAATCAACAGAGTAAACAGACAAGTCACAGAGTGGAAGAAAATCTTTGCAATCTATACATCCAACAATGGACTAATATACAGAATCTACAAGGAACTCAAACAAATTAGCAAGAAAAAAACAAACAATTCCATCAAAAAGTGAGCTAAGGACATGAATAGACAATTCTCAAAAGAAGGTATACAAATGGCCAACAAACATGAAAAAATTATCAACATCACTAATTATCAGAGAAAAACAAATGAAAACCACAATACAATACCACTTTATTCCTGCAAGAATTACCATAATTTAAAAATCAAAAAATAATAGATGTTGGTATGGATGTGGTGAAAAGGGAACACTTTCACACGGTTGTTGGTAATTTAAACTAGTACAACTACTATGAAAAAGAGTATAGAGATTCCTGAAAGAACTAAAAGTAGATCTACCATTTGACCCAGCAATCCTACTCCTAGGTATCTCCCCAGAAGAAAAGAAGTCATTATACAAAAAAAGATACCTGCATACACATGTTTATAGCAGTACAATTCACAATTGCAAAAACATGGAACCAGCCCAAATGCCCATCAATCAATGAGTGGATAAAGAAAATATGATATATATACATATATGCCATATATATATACATATATATACATACACACACACACACCATGGAATACTACTCAGCCATAAAAAGGAACAAAATAATGGCATTTCCAGCAACCTGGGTGGAATTGGAAAGCATTAGCCTAAGTGAAGTAACTTGGGAATAGAAAACCAAACATCATATGTTCTCACTCGTAAGTGGGAACTAAGCTATGAGAATGCAAAGGGATAAGAATTACACAATGGACTTTGGGGACCAAGGGGAAAGGCTGGGGGGTGATGAGGGGTAAAAGACTACACATTGGGTACAATGTACACTGCTCAGGGGATAGTGGACTAAAATCTCAGAAATCAACATGTAACCAAACACCATCTCTTCCCCCAAAAACCTATGAAAAAAAAGAAGTTTCAGGGCCTACTTTTAATATTTGCATCACCTTAGAAAGGAGGAGAATGTAGGCAGCCCCAACGTAAGTAAAAAGGGAAAGCATAACAGAGATTCAAATATGTTTTGACTATGGAGAGTTGTAGCTTTTAAATCCAACAACATAGCAGTTTCCTGGTAGTGATTGAAATACCTAGAAATTCAGAAGATAGTAGGCAAAGAAAGAGGTCCCTGACATCCTTATTCAACTAGAGCCACTCTGAAGCTTATATTTTCGAGAGGTCTCCTAAGAATTCATTTGAATCAAGAATTCTGCAACTAAGAATTAATTCTCTGAGTTCAGTCATATAGTATCAAACTACCTAGCAATTAGCTGTCAGTCTTCACATCCGATAGCCTGTGCTTATGTAACTCATACACTCCATTTTATAAATGTTAGCCTCTGGTTCATACTGAGGGTGTCATTTCAAAAAACTAAACCAGCTGGACATATCTCACTGGAAGTATCAGGAAGGAAGGAAGTGTGAGTAATATGGTTCGTAACTGAACCCAGACCCTCTTCAAAATAAGTATTCATTCTATTATTAGTATATATTTTGCATCATTTTCCCAGTACTTTAAAAATACATACTTTTCCAGAGATAATATTTTTAAGTTAATCATGTCCTACAATCACCTACCCATACAGTGTACCGAGGCTCCAAATCACCACAGTCCTTTGCAAAAATGTAAGAACAGTTTCCTGGGAAGTAATAGTAGATGCCATCGAATGTTTCAAAATGATACTGTCCCCAGGTTTTACAAATCCCATCTCTGCCGTTGCCCATGTTTGGGACTGAAAAGAAACAGGATAATATTTTGTAGGCAAAATAAATTACACGTTTCTAGCAATGTTCAGTCAGTCATGGTAAATGATTCTAATTTTCATTCAAATTTCCTTCCTTGGTCTATAACACAGGAAGAAATAACTAACATAAAATTAACAGTTGCTCTCAAAACTATCAAACTCCCCTGAAGAAAAACAGGGTCTCCAAGTAGTTATGAAGAAAAGATTTATGTTAGAAAGTTTCTTAACTTTTGTTTTCAAAGAAAGATTCTAGAAGAAAAAAAGGAGTATGGAAAATAATTCAGTAAAAGGTGATAGTAATAAAGCAAGTAAGATGGCTCAGAAAAAAGAGAAATGTCACCACTGAGTGTCCTAAAGATTAGCATATACAGCATCAGAGTGTTCTAGTCTTTCAAAAACGTCTTTTTATGGTATCCACAGAGAAAAATAACTATTGACCAAAAAAAGTCATATTTACGTGTCTGGGACCTGGATGTGGGGAGCATTAGTCATTCAAAGTATGCTGGAATTTGGCTGGTGTGGTGGCTTGTACCTGTAATCCTAGCAATTTGGTAGGCCAAGGTGGGCAGGTTACCTGAGCTCAAGAGTTTGAGACCAGCCTGGGTAACATGGTGAAACTCCGTCTCTACTAAAATACAAAAAATTAGCCAGCATGGTGGGGTGGCACGCATCTGTAATCCCAGCTACCCAGGAGGCTGAGACACAAGAATTGCTTGAACCCAGGAGGCGGAGGTTGCAGTGAGCCAAGATTGCGCCACTGTACTCCAGCCTTGGTGACAGTAAGACTCTGTCTCCAAAAAAAAAAAAAAAGGTATGCTGGAATTTAATAATTCATGACCTCAAACTGGCCAAATTTCAAGCAATATTTATCTTAAATCATGCAACTGTATCTCCTATTGTCATGCCTACCTTTTTTTCTTACCCTTGTAGATAATCTTCTATTCAATTTTTGTTTTCTAAATTCTTCTCTTTAGAATAATATGAAAACCAGTAACATTCACTGAGCACTCAATACATGTAAAACATTTTGATACACTCTGGGTGGGGGGCATAAAGGTAAGGGTGACTCTTTACATCTTGTATTTTTGTGATTCCCACCTAAATTTATTAGCCTTGGACAACTGTGGCCTTTTCAGGAAAAAACATAGAATTATTCATTATTCAGGCAGTCTTCCCTGACAGTATGCCCCACCTCTGCTTCATTTTTTCATAGCATCTTGTACTTTACAGCACCTGTAACAAGTTTAATTATTGTGTATCTGTTGTGTATTTATCACCTTCTCTAGACTGCAGCCTCCAAGAGGACAGGAACATGTTTCTATTATTCACCGTTGCATCCCCAATGCCTAGCCTGGGATCTAGATGCCAGTAAACATCGATTAAACAAATGAATATTTATTGATTATTATTGACATAGAATCCTATCTTAGACACTGTGGATAAAAGATTTAAAAAAAAAAAAAAAAGCCCTTGCCCTCGAAGAAGTCTCAGTACTATTTTTTTACATACAAAGTGTCCAGTTAATTAAAGGTCCAAAAGAATGACTGGCTCCAAATAATAAATCTGTTTTATAAAGCAAAAGAGAGATGAATGAGAACCTGGTTTTAATAGGCTATTACTGGCCAGGCACAGTGGCTCATGCCTGTAATCCCAGCACTTTGGGAGGTCAAGATGGGAGGATCACCTGAGTTCAGGAGTTCAAGAGCATCCTGGCCAACATGGTGAAACCCCATCTCCACAAAAATACCAAAATTAGCCAGACATGATGGTGGGTACCTGTAGTCCCAGCTACTAGGGAGGCTGAGGTGGGAGAATCGCTTGAGGTTGGGAGGCAGAGATTGCAGTCAGCCAAGATCGTGCCATTGCACTCCAGCCTGAGTGACAGAGTGAGACTCTGTCTCAAAAAATAATAATAATAATAATAGGCTATTACTATAGAAAGTAGAAAAAATACTTGAAGCAATAAGAGAGCTCAATGAGAAGGGAAAGTGGCCCTATCTACTTTTGTTTTACTTTGTTTCTAAATTACATCAAATTACTGAGAATGAATTGTGGGCTCTCTAGTTAATATACAACTCCCAATGGATGAACATTATTATAGCAAATTATGCCTTAATTTTCTCCTTGGTATCTCATAATTATCTCACAAGCATCCCTGAAACTTACTGATCTGGCATCTTGTCCCAAGAGCCTGAAATATTTGACAGTCACATGTTCCAGTCTTAGAACAGAAAGCTCCATTAAGGCATTCATAAGGACAAGAACCTGAGGGGGAAAAAAAAAAAAAAGTTATCTTCTGGCATCCATTTGTTCTTTTAAGCATAATATGTCAAGATATAGCTTGGACAAATTGTAATCACTATTAACTTAAACAGAACTCTCAGCCTCTTGCCTTGCTAAGCTAAAGAACTAAACCCAACAAGTCTCTATCTAGTTCATTTTATTATGTGTGCTGTGAAGCAAGAAAGGCAGGCTTTCACATCTCAGACTACCCTGAGAGCAAAGGTTAGCTCCTTTCAAGCAATTCAAAGGTCAAGTTCCCATGTAAGGAATCTCTGTCCCAGATGATGAGAACCAGAAATACACAAGCTGCAGATGATTCCGTTGACAGAGTTTGGCGCTGGCTGCACATCCCATCAGCTCCTCTTCCAGGAGCAAACACTCTATTAAAGAATAGGGTCTCTCATGCCTGTAATCCCAGCACTCTGGGAAGCCAAGGCAGGCAGATCATTTGAGGTCAGGAGTTCGAGACCAGCCTGGCCAACGTGGTGAAACTCCATCTCTACTAAAAACACAAAAATTAGCTGGGTGTGGTGGTGCATGCCTGTAGTCCCAGCTACATGGGAGGCTGAGGCAGGAGAATCACTTGAACCCGGGCAGTGGTGGTTGCAGTGAGCCGAGATCACGCCATTGCACTCCAGGCTGGGTAACAGAGCTAGACTCTGTCTCAACAACAACAAAAAAAGAATCGGGTCAATCATTAACTTGAGGGATCAGGCAAAGCATAAAACTCAAAGGGAGACTCCTGCTTTTGAAGAGAATGATTAAACATTTCATTTGAGGTTTGTATATTAATCCTCAGGCTCAATTACAAATGACACATTCTTTGAAACCTTTGCTGCCAGGCATGGTGGTAGACACCTGTAATCCCTGCTACTCAGGAGGCTGAGGCAGGAGAATCGCTTGAATCCAGGAGGCAGAAGTTGCAGTGAGCCGAGATCGCGCCACTGCACTCCAGCCTGGGTGACAGAGCAAGACTGTCTCAAAAAAAAAAAAAAAAAAAGAAAGAAAAAGAAAAAAAAAGAAATCTATACTTAAATTTTGATGAAGCAGAAGCCAAAGTCACTGCTGTCACCAAAAATATTCTTTCTTTCATAGAAAGAAAAGTTATAAAATTGTTCCAACAGATTATGTTAAAAAGAGAAAGCAAGTAACTGTGAGCTCTAACCCTAATTTTACCATCATCTCCTGAGTGAGTTTTAAAAATGCAAATGAATCAGTGAAAAAATTTCCTCTAATAAGGAGAGGACAAGAGGCAACTGGCAAAACTCAAGCAGGAAGAATTTAACACATGAGGAGAACCACAGAACATCTTAATTCCCAGAAGATAGTTATATAATTGATCATTTGACCACAGTTCTGCCGAAGGCAAGAATTCAAAAACCTTTATGATTCCTCTCCACCTTAAGATCCACTGATCTAAAATGTCTCTTTACTTTTCAAAATGCACAAATCTCCAACTATATCTTCAGTGAGGAAAAAATATGCTGTTTTAACTTAGTCCATAAATACGGGTAGAAAAAAAATGATGTTTTTCATAAATTTAAATGCAGTTTTTTCCACTAGGTGCACATCTGTATTTGCACTTTATCTTAGATCAACAGTCTTGCATTTTTCTGATGAAGAGATGTTAAATATTTAGATAAACAAATGTATTGCCTTTAAAAATGTATTTACAGTCCTGCTTATTCTCCTGAAAACAAATATCAAATGAAAACTAGTGAGGATCATTGTTATTTTAAACACAACAGTGATAGTTTCTATTTCATAGTTACCACTCAAATTAAATTTCAAACTACCATCAGCATTCTGCTTAATGGAAATGGGGAATTGGTAACAAAAAACAGGGATCAAAGAGCAAGTAATTTATTCACAAAAAAATAGTTTCTTACATCCAGTGACATCTTCCCTGGTCATGCAGTTATCAGGTTTGTCTAAATGTTTGGCCCTGGTTATTCTCAGAAACAATTCAAATTTCTCTAAGAAGTGAACTTAAATTATTACTAAGTATTACTACCATCCTGGCTCACTTTCCTTCATGTGGTATACGGAAACAATAAATACTTGATTCAATATATCCCCCAAAGGGATTTTCTGAGAAAGCAAATATGAAAACCTAAGTATAAACACTGACCTTTTATTTTGCTCTCACCCCAATTAATAGCATCATGGAAAAAGTATCTCGGAGAAGTAGCTTCAAACTTTGAAAGAAAGAAATGAGAATGCAATACAGTTAAATTATTTAATTCAAGCCAAACATGCAAATTGGCAAATCTAGAAAATAACTACAAATACAGAAATGATAAAGTGCTGACTTTATATTTTCTGGGGTTATTGAGGCTTATCATCTCCATGAGGCAGAAAGGGTTCCTCTGAGGTTGTGGTTAGAAGACCTGATTCAAGTCTTGGTTTTGCCTCTTACATGACTTTGACAAGTCTATATTTACTTTGTCTGCTCTCTGTTCTGTTCTCACTTCCCATCCTCCCTCCCCTTCCCATCATCCAGTCTTCCCCCCAGCCCCCGATCCCTCCACCCACCTCGCAACCTCATGAAAGGAGCCTGGTTGGAGTCTAACCTTTGGAATAATTGACTGCTTTGCCTGCAGAAATAGCAATTCTCTGACACTTCCAGGCGCAGATAGGTTTGGAAAAAAAAAATGCATGGGGCTGACAGACCAACAGATGGTGATGTCCTGCCTGCCTGCACACCAATCGGTAAAGAAAACATCCACAGAAGCATCTGCTGTTTCGGTGCCAGTGTGTCACCTTCAGGCTCCAAAGAGCTGACTGACACTGTAAAGTTCATAGAACATTTTTTTTTCTTTCTTTCTTTTTCTTTTCTTTTATTATTATTATACTTTAAGTTTTAGGGTACATGTGCACAACGTGCAGGTTTGTTACATATGTATACATGTGCCATGTTGGTGTGCTGCACCCATTAACTCGTCATTTAGCATTTAAATATATCTTTTTATAGAGCCCAAGGTAGTTCAGAGTAGTGGTAAACAGCATGAATTTTGAATCAAACAAAGCTGGATTAGAATCCTGACTCCGTAATTACTTACCCTTAGGCAAGTTTCCTAACCTCTTAGTGCCTCTATTTACTCATCTGTAAAAGGGGAACAACAATGGCACTTCCCTCGTTGTATAGTTAGGATAATGAATTAAAGCCATGTACGTGAAGCTTACATACATAGTGCCTCACACAGAAAATTAGCAAAAAAGAGATTTATGTCAATCAATCTAAGCAATCCAGATGAAATTTTAAGGTTTTTAAAAGATCTATATGGCTAAGTAGCAAATAGTTGTGGCTTACTAAAACTAATCAATTGTGGATTATTATTCCAACTCCATACCAATTGAGTGTATGGGCTGGGGCAATATTCTTTCCAATAGCACTTATATTTCACCAGAATAAACACACCCAAACTTGCCAAATAATTGTCAAATTAAGTAGCAGATGATATTAGAAAAACTGAAGAAGGGGGAAAGATAAGAAGGATGGGAAAATGAGCCATGTGACTTCAGGAACAGAGTTGTTTCTCAGCAGATTCTAGTCTCCCTTACGTGAAGTTTTATTTTGACATTTTCCATCTCAGCACTTTTTACTTCAACAGGAAAATCTACCCGTGCTATATCATTTTTTTTAAGAGATGGGGTCTCGCTGTGTTTCCTGGGCTGGGCTTAACTCCTGGACTCAAAGTGATCCTCCTGCCTCGGCCTCCTGAGTAGCTGGGACTGCAGGCGCATGCCATCATGTCAGCCCATGCTATATAAAAGACACACTCTCTCACTATTTGAAGATTTCTTTCTAATCTCTTTGCCCCACACAATGGTTTCAAGTTCATTGTCTCCTGTTCTCAATACTCCCAGGTCTTATCCTCACTGTTCAATCTCCCCTTTTTGTTCTTGCCTCTGCCTTCAAACTAAATTAGATGCAACAACAGTCTATGACCTCAATTCCCTCAAGATGGCAAGTCTTATTCTCTCTTCAGCCACATTGCTTCTGGCTGCCTAAATCTAACACAGCCCTGGATATTACTGGACACCAAAACCTTCTTCCTTTGGCTCCAAAATGATTTATGTCTATCCCTTTAATGGAAGCCAATCATCTCTGATACTCACTAAAAGTGTATAATGACTTCTACTCTATAATGACTTCTACCTTATAGGGCCTATCGCCTTGAACAAATTATTCAACCCGCTCAGGTTCAGTTTCCCAATCTATAAAATAAAAGTTCCTGCCTCACAGAATCGTGAGGATTCAGTGAAATTATGTGAGTGACACACCAAGAATAGTGCCAGGCACATAATAAGAGTTGTAAACATGCAGGCCGGGCGCGGTGGCTCACACCTATAATCCCAGCACTTTGGGAGGCCGTGGTGGGTGGATCTCCTGAGGTCAGGAGTTCAAGACCAGCCTGACCAACATGGTGAAACCCCATCTCTACTAAAAATACAGAAAATTAGCCAGGGTTTGTGGTATGTGCCTATAATCCCAGTACTCAGGAGGCTAAGGCAGGAGAATAGCTTGAACCCAGGAGGCAGAGGTTGCAGTGAGCGGAGATCAGGCCATTCACTCCAGCCTGGGCAAGAAGAGCAAAACTCTCTCTCAAAAAAAAAAAAAAAAAAGACTTGTAAACATGCTACCTGTTTTTATTGTTAGGCAAAAACTGAAAACATTGGATAACACAAGCAAGATAAAAATATATAATTTGTTTCTTGCTCCATATCCTTTGACCTAACTCAATCCACATCTCCTTTATGGAAATTAGAATGACTCCCTAGCACACCACCTCTCTGGCTACAACAACATCCTATTTATCCAGCATCCCATACATCATAATACATTTCACCAAGGCTAAGGTGTGACATGCAGATTTTATTTATTTATTTATTGACATATTTGAACTCAGAATGGCATCTTACATTTATAATTGGAGCATATTTATTTTTTATGTCATATAAATAATGGTAAATGATTGAGGTTGTCTTGGATTCAATGAACCAATTGCACAGAAATGACTTCTTCATAAGCCTACCTCCGTAACAGATGGAGTTTCTAGATAACAGGCACTGCTATTCTTGTTTATATCTCACTGTCCTTGGTATGTCATCAACAAATACCAACTGAACTGAAAAAAGAGACATGGTTCAAATGGGAATCTGTCTCCCAAGGGTGTTTAGAGCCACGACTGCAGCAGACTTTGTTGATGCCTCTCCCCACATCCTCTCAGCCCACCTCTGAATTCACCTTGGAATTCATCTGGATTTCTGTGCACACTGAAAGCCTGCAACTTCAGCACTAGCTTCTTTCTGTCTTTGCCTGAGGGCAGAGTCCAAGCAGAAAAGACTATAGAAAGTGCCTTCCTGGAGATTTTAGGCTCTCCAGAGGTTTCCCTCAACCTAGAAATTATTCTAGGACGCATTCTACATGGTTCTTCAGAAAGTCTCCAATAAGACTGAGCTCCAGCTGCCTACAGCAGAAAGCCCCTCATTAATGCACCCCATATTTTATTTTCTCCCTTCTTCACATCATTTTCCTTTCTCCTTTATTTGTACACTTTCCAAATAAATGACCTGCACCTAAGTCTATGTCTTAGGGCCTGCTTTCAGGAAAGGAACTTTTGGAATGTAATGCCAATGCAAAAAAGTCCCAGGCAGTAGGTGCATGTATTCACATGACTGATAAGAGGACAGCCCACCCTTCCTCCTTCCTGATTACATCTCCACAGGACGGAGAGAGGCCCAGGGAAATACAGTCTTTAGATGGGAAATCACTGCAGCACACAAATACACTATTTACAGAAGTCTGCGTTTACCCTTTCTTGCTCACCTCATTGCCAACATATTTCTGAGTCCTTATTTGCGCACTTATCTACCCATTGGTGCTCTGTTTTCCTAGAGCAGAAGAGTGAATGTATGGATAAGAATGGCCTTGTAACACATGAAATTCCAATTCTAAACAGCTCAGTGCAAGATTATGACCTCATTGCCCGCTCTTCTTTTAAAAATTGTTCAGAAAATAAGTGATTTTGACACATGTTTTCTAGCCTTAGGAAGTAGTACAAGTCTCCTGCTCTTCATTCTCACTAAAAGGGAGTAAAGTATACAAATGCTGAAAACATCTAAATGGACAACAGTATAACCCCAATTTGACACTTAAGTATATCAGTACACAAAACACTCTTTTTAAGAAAAATAAAATGTATTTCCATTCCATAGACAACCCTTTGCCTATTCTGGCGTCAGAGGTGCTCCAACCAGAGTGGTTCCACCTTGAATAGGGGCTGGGTAAAATGAGTCTGAGATCTGCTGGGCTGCATTCCCAAGAGGTTAGGCATTCTTCGTCACAGGATGAGATAAGAGGTCAGCAGGACTGGCATCACAAGATACAGGTCATAAAGACCCTGCAGTAAAGAAACCGGCCCAATCCTGCCAAAACCAAGATGGCAATGAAAGTAACCTCTGGTTGTCCTCACTGCTCATTATACTCTAGTTATAATGCATTAACATGCTAAAAGACACTCCCACCAACGCCATGACAGTTTACAAATGCCCTG
Organism: Homo sapiens; assembly: GCF_000001405.40. Classification (NCBI taxonomy): domain Eukaryota; kingdom Metazoa; phylum Chordata; class Mammalia; order Primates; family Hominidae; genus Homo; species Homo sapiens. The sequence continues at coordinate 80,213,235 of NC_000012.12, read as the reverse complement.
GCAACATCCAGAAGTTACCCTATATAGTCTAAAAGAAGAGGAACTCTTATTTCTGGGAAATTCCTGTCCCTTTCCTGGAAAACTCATGAATAATTCACCTCTTGTTTAGCATATGGTCAGAAATAACTACAAGTATACTCAGTCAAGCAGCTTATGCTGCTGCTCTGCCTATGGAGTAGCCATTCTTTCATTCCTTTACCTTCTTAATAAACTTGCTTTCACTTTACTCTGTGGACTTGCCCCAAATTCTTTCTTGCATGAGAACCAAGAACCCTCTCTTGGGATCTGGGTCAGGACCCCTTTCCAGTAACAATGGAACAAAAAAAAGGTCTCTACTCTTGATAAGAATAAATCAGTTCTGTCTTCTAACCAGACACAACAGCATATCAGATCTGTCTTCTATTTAACTACTAATTATCTTCAATTAACACTATAAAATACACAAATTCAGACATCTATCACAAAACGCTAATAAAAACTATTTGCAATTCAACATTTAACAAAGGCTTCCTTGAATATTCAAGCTGTCTGCTACATAAATACTCAAATCATATTCCTTTTCAAAGAAATGCCTTTACTAAGTTAGGATTCTGTATTTTACCATCCATCTTTTATAGAGAAATATTTTTAAACCCATCCATTTGAGCATTCCAACCAGTTTGAAGAAATTGCAATTATCCTTCATATAAAGGCACCCGGGCAAGAAGGTCTCCTCAAATGCAGTGCTACGCTGCCCCTCCAAAAAAAAGTTACCTATTCAGAGACACCCACAATTTAGATTTATCAGACATTATAAAAACTTTCTGTCAGGACATTAGGACATATCTGATGCCCTTTTGCAGTATTTAACTCATATTATTTACACATTTTTCGGCCCCTTTTTCCATGTACATTATACTGTTGTCATTGTCCTAACTGATATTGTGCTTAATTTTTAAACTACTTCTAATTTTCTGGCAAGTGCATGGAATTAAATGCCTCAAGCCTATTAGTAGGTAACTGAGCTGAATAGCAAAAAAAAAATGTGTATTTTATTCCAAACAAGTCGATGTGACCTAAGCATGAATTCGATGGTCGTAGAAAAGCAATAGAGGTTACTTTGCTTCTTCCTCCTCCTTCCTGTCTTGTTCTTAGCATTTTATTCCCCTCCACAAAGGTCTCATTGTTGAAGTGACAGCAGAGTCCAAAACAGAATGGATTATTTCTCTGCCTCTCTCTCCACCTGAAGCATAACCTACCTGTGCTGCTAAAAGAGCTCTTTTCTGTCGATTTTCATTAAACCCGTTTCTGGAAGAAAACAAAAAGAACTTGTACAGTCAAAGGCCCCTAGGCAACCTGAACAAGCCTTTCCCAAGAGAGAGCTGGTGTTTTCCTCCTGATTTCCATCACTTTATCAAAGAGGTCTTTCTTGGTTTAACATTTAAAAAGTCCTCCCTCCCCTTTCTGGAGGGGTTAGATTTGGGTGGTGGTGCTGTCTCATTTTACAAAATTCAGAAGTGTCCCCAAATTTCTCCAGTCTTTGATGTGAACTGAATATTAGGAAGGAACTTTGAGATGGAAAAATAAACAAAATAGTGTAACATTGTAGCACCAACCCTTGCAATATTTTCCCCACATGACTTTGCAAATCTAGTGAGGTCAGTATTTGTACCTTCCCTTTGTTCAAACAGTACTTAATTCTCTCCTGTGCTATGTCATAAAGGGCAAGTTAACATTAATGTAAGTAAAAACATCAAATTGCAATTTATCAAAATCAAATGGCTAATAATTCACTAAGGCATATATTTGCTTTATAATGTTTTCTGTTTTTGTGTTATATTTATCAATAAACATTTTATTTTTAAAAAATCAAATGGTGAATAGAATTCTGCTTTTCATTAAGCAGATCAGTTTAGTCCAAAAAATGATTTTCTTTATTTACTGCTAAAACAATTTTTTATTTTTATCATTAAAAAATGTTACTCTGCTAAAAATGAACATAATACATTTGTTATCAATAATGTATATTAATAATAATGTAAAGGATAATATTATGGAATATAACTTATTTTACAAACTTTTGAAATGAAAGTAATATCTTTTTAGTACCAACAGTCATCAAAGACTCCTTTTATAATTAAAAGGAAAAGAAATACTTTGTAATTAAAAGGAAAGGAAATATTTTCATAAATAAGGAAATGAATGCTAGATCATTTTTAATCTGCAGAAATGTTTTTTAAAGTATATTTCATGCTTTTTTGTAAAACATTTCACTTATTTTTTTCAAAAGCAGATATAGTTGCCTGCTGAGGTTTGCTCATTCCCATTAACTTTATGTTTTAGAGGACACGAAGAACAAGAAATACTCACTTTGATGTTCCCATCAATATAGACGATGCACAAATATATTCTGCCAGAGACAAATATATAAGAATGAAAAAAAATTATCCAAATATATTGGCTACATGTTCCAGTTGTTTAAAAGAACATTTTAACCTAAATTCTAAAATTCTGATTGAAGTTTGCTGTTAGTTTTGCATTTTTTAGAGGGATTTGACCAGCAAATTTCCTGTGAGACACTGAATGACTGATAAGCTAAAAAGAAAGGGCAGTGTACATGGATTTACACAGAGACACCATGCAACTGAACAGACACTAGCCTTGGAATCAGAGTTCCAAGTTTTAGTTCTAGTCCTACCACTTACTATATGCCAAGCTTAAACAAAATGCCAAGCACACCATAAAATGATGGTGTTGGACAAGTTATCTGCAAAGTCTCCTCAGCTCTCAAGATTCTGTGACATCGTTCTCCTTGGGGTTTCAGTCACAACTGGAATTGGAAAATAGCACCTTTGACCTCTGTGGTCTTTTATACTTAAGCAATTTCTCCAATTTCCCCTACAAGCTCCAAAGCATACAGACCTTTACAGGGATTAAAAATCAACAACTGAAAATAAATCAATTCTTTGCCCATTTTGTTAGGTGTGATAAAGTGCTTATCTATTAAAAATATATAATATGTATTTCATGAATTTAAAATACTCCAAGAAAAAATGTGTAACAGGGTAAAACTAGTTCCACAAAATGCTGATAGTTATGGAACTGGGTGAAGGCACGTGAAGGTGTGTTATGTCATTTTAATTTTGTGTGTGTTTATAAGCTTTCCATAATAAAAAAAATCAAATAGCAAGAAAATTTATTAATAAAATTACCATAAAAATAATTAAAATCAATTTTTAGCCCCAGATGTTAGTTATTTTTAAACATTTTTTTACTATTCTTTGGGTTGATGGCATGAAGAAAGTTTAAGTACTCAATTGCTGTTTATTATAAAATTTCAAATGTTTAAATTGCAAATAGACAATTATTTTAAATCATCTTTTAGAAGAAAAAAGTTAGAATCACAGCTTCTTCTAATACAATTGCATATCATGATAAAAGCATGATTTTTAACCAGTCATTTAAAAAAGATTCAAGAAATGAAAACTAAAAGGTTCTAGTACAATTGCATATCATAATAAAAGCATGATTTTTAACTAGCCATTTTGCAAAGAGTCAAAAAATGAAAACCAAAAGGTCCAAATTATCTACATTATTAAGAATTTTTTAAAAGGTGATCTGAGTATCATTTAGTACAATTCATTCTAATGACTTCAAAGTGCTTTATAAGGGAAAACTATTTGTATAAATTGTAAGAGAAACAAAAATACAATAAATTAACATAAAAATTTAATCTGAGTTCTTACCTTGTAATGAAAACAGCAGTACATGAAGCAAGAATATACTCCAAGGTATCATTAAATTGAGTTTTCTTACAATGTTCATTTCAGTGTAGCCTTTCCCCCTGAAATGTAACCAAATTGATGGTCTTTATTATGATGGCATCTTAGAAGTATGCATATTTGTAGGGTACTCAAATTCTAATAAATATAGCTATGTAATAAAGTAATTCAAAAAGGAATTCCAGGCTTTCCAACTACATACAGCATCTGAAGCTTTAGAACTTGCAGACAACCCTTTGGCTGAGTCTCTCATTAGTGATGCATGGCAGCTTCTTACCTGAGCCCGTATTAGTTACACCCACACCTGCACATCATAGGCCTTTTTAGCCTATATCAACCTTTTACCTTCTCAAGACAGCAGCATTAAAATAAAAAGAAATATCTCTTGATATCTCCTGAAGCCACAAGAGATAACCATTATTCCTAATGGTTGATCTAATCTTTGCATTTTAGAATTTTATTCATAAAATAATTACTGTCCTTTGAAAAAGGGTGAAATAAAACCCTGTCAATCTTTCCTAGGATGTCTACATGTTCTTGAATAATTAAAAGTTTTCTTTAGGAATTAAAAAGTACACTAAAACTATGTGCATCTATTTTTAAGTCCCATTACAGTATAGTTTAACTTGACATGTTCATGGGCCCACAGATATTTCTGTTAAACATCCTGCAACAAAAGTAGCAATTTTTAAAAAAAGATAATATTCTATACTTGACTTTGAAAAGAAAATAAAGTAACTCACCCAGCCCTGAAAACTTTCCCTTCACACCCTGTTTTTCCATCCTCTGTGACAAATACCCAATTAAACAACAGACTTATTACTTCAGCAATAGGGGCACTATTCTTTAACAGGGATTGACTGCTTACATTGGCATGAGAAAAGAGCTCTAATATGTCATAATGAAATTTATAGATCTGAGCCCCACACCTTAGTGAAAACCATGCTTATATAGTGGGTGCACATTTCTACAGCAGATCCCATGAGTTAACTGCACTATTATCAAAGTCATTTAACAGACCAGTGTGCAGTAGTAAGGAATGTCTAGCCACACAGAAGTACTTTATGAAACAAAAAGGCACAGCAGTTGTTAATATCCTGTTGTACCCAGACAACTCTTCTGCAATGACTTCTGAGTCTTTTCTATTAAGTATTCTTGACATCCTAACTAATGTTACATGGTCCAACATTCATTATATAAACAGTTTCCTGTTTGTGTTCCAAATCCAATAATCATTTACTCTTGCTCTAGATAACCATAATTCCTTTCCATTGCCGAAATAATAGCTAATTCCATGAGCCAACAGATGTTTGTCTATAAAGGAAAAAGCTTAAGCATGAAAATACATCCAAATTTCACTAAAATTATAAAGTAGTTATGTGACTGTCCCCCCTCCAGCACACACACATGTACACACACATTCACACTCATTTTGAATTTTTAATGAATAGGTTTAATTAATTGAAGTACAGTATGTGTTTAATATTATTTATTAAAAGGTTACTAGTCTCTTACTCTTGAACTAATTAGACAATCATATAAATCTAACATAATTAACTTATGTATAATTACATTCCAAATATTAGTTCAAAAATATATATTTACTCAACCACAGGCAAAACTATAAAATATTTTAGATTCTTAAGAATATGTGACTACAAAGTAAATTAAAAGACTAAGGTTGAAATCTGTTTAGAAGACAATACTTTTCCCCAACAAAATATTTTTAATTAAGGGAATTAGTTTATGCAGAATGTTTATTGACTTTTTCTGGAAAGAGTTGAAATGTATATAACCAATATGCATTACTAAGTCCACTCCTCATTTTACAATAGTTTCTCTTGCCTTCACAGTTTCCCATATAACTTAACCTACACTATGAAAAATCTATAAATCATACTTCAGGATTATTTTTCCTAATCTAGTAACTGTTTGACTTTTTGCTTGACTTAAAAATTTCCAAAAGTCAGGGCTGGGCGTGGTGGCTCAGGCCTGTAATCCCAGCACTTTGGGAGGCCGAGCCAGGGGGATCACCTGAGGTCGGGAGTTTGAGACCAGCCTGACCAACATGGAAAAACCCCGTCTCTACTAAAAATACAAAACAAAATAGCTGGGAGTGGTGGCGCATACCTGTAATACCAGCTACTTAGGAGGCTGAGGCAGGAGAATCACTTGAACCTGGGAGGCGGAGCTTGTGGTGAGCAGAGATCGTGCCATTGCACTCCAGCCTGGGCAACAAGAGTAAAACTCCATATCAAAGAAAAAAAAATTCCAAAAATAACAGCCATATGGAAAAATCTCAAGCATAAACCAAAGTTAAATTTTACAGTTCAATAAAATAAACATTTTATAATAGTTATTTCTAACACTACTAGAACTTGGTAAAAAAAGTTAGTAAGCAGCAATGTAAAGTCATGTGAAAATTATGTGTTTCTGATACAAACTTTGGTATTCGTATGTACTTAATTAAAATGTAGTAACTCTGAACTTTTCATCTCAAGTTTCATATAGTATCTTTAAAGTTTTTATTCAAAAGCATCACAGTCATTTTCACTGAATAAAGTTGAAAAGTTCAAGCCTGTATTATTTGATGTTTTTATGACTATTTTTCTATTTTGAACTATATGTATTTAAAAACTGTTAAGTGGTTTTGTCTGGTAGAATTTGACCAGGCACAGTGGCTCACGCCTGTAGTCCCAGCACTTTGGGAGGGAGCACTTCAGCTCAGAAGTTTAAGATTAGCCTGGACAACATGATGAAACTCTGCCTCTACAAAAAAAAAAAAAAATACAAAACAATTAGCTGGGCATGGTAGCATGCTCCTGTAGTCCCAGCTACTATGGAGGCTGAGGTGGAAGGATCGTTTGAGCCCAGGAGGTCAAGGTTGCCGTGAACTGAGGTCACACCACTGCACTCCAGCCTGGCAACAGAGCAAGACCCTGTCTCAAAAAATAAAGAAAAAAATAGTAGAATTTGTAAGAGGAAGCCTCAGGGTTGTTACTATTTTATAGATAGAGCAAGCTTTGGTGTATGTCTTCTCTCTGCTCCTCTTCCATCCAGGCTCATAGTAGGAAAAATGTTAGAAAAGGAGAATGAACAATGGCAAAGAGAACAATAACAAAAATCCCAAGTCCTTTTTCAACTAACTACATTATGAACTCGATATATGAAATGGTAGCCTGCATGAAAATAAGCAAAACAGACTTCCTTAAATAGCTGCAATAGAAGAGAGTTTAGATGAAAGATTAGACTCAGAGCCACAAAACACAGAATTTATGACTGTTGCTACATGTAATTATTACTGTCAAAATGTAATTGACAGCTTTTATATTTCATTCCACCCTGACAAAAGAACTTTGGCAAAAAGTAAGCCAGCCACCAGCTTGTGAAGTGATATTAAGTTCATAAGAAGTCTGAGACAACTACATAATACAAGCAATAAACAGTTCCCTTTCTGCTACAAAAGCACTGCACATTTTCCCACATGGAATATGATCTTTAGAAAGTGACACCTGACAGCCTATTGGCCTCAACCCAACACATTAAAACAACTGGCAAGAATGGGAAAATTTTTATTGAGGAGTATATATGTCAATGATAATAATGGGATATTTGTAATGAAGCTCATCATTTTTGAGGAAAGTTAATTTCTTTGGTGATTTACATAACACTCATTTTTCATCAATTGACAACAAATTTAAAGTAGATAACATTTGACTCCCGTAATATCACATTCTGCTAGTGAAATGCAAATACTCTTTACTTGTGTTACTAAACCTAACACATTTCAAGTTCATAGATTTTATCCAGAATTTATGTTATCATTTGAGCCAGCAAATAGAATCTTGTATCTTTAAAATGATGTTTGCCACTCTGAATGTAACTGTCTTATTACAAGATAGTTTGTAGTATTCTATTTGTGCTTTCTGGATGTGTGTTGCTTGGCAGTTTCTGGGATGTTTCATATAATTTTAGAAGTAGCATCTATCTTACCTTTTCTGAGTAAGGATATGATTATATTTCATAAGCAGTATCTGTGTTGGTCATGATTTCAATTTAACACTCATCCCCAGAAGTTAATGTGTTATGTTTTATAGCGACATTTGTTTTTCAACTTGCTGTGATGCCGTTGATTTGTAATATCTAATTGATACCTTGAAAGAAGTAATGTTTCTTCAACTAAAGTTTTCTCTTGTCAACATTTTAGCATCGAGTTCAGTTTCTGCAGCTATCTTCATTCTCTGAACTACTACAACACTTTGCACTTGTACCATATAGTGAAAATATTAATGTAAGGCACTATTTAATACCATAAAGTTGGTTTCTCATGCTTTGAATTCCTTTATATCTTCAATAATTTTTATGTACTTACTTTAGAGTTGTTGAGAAAGAATGTTATTTCAATTTTTTAGTGGCAGTAGGGGTGGTTCTAATCTTGTTGTTTGTTGTTCGTTTCTCTCACTTAGGATAGATGACTTCATGGATTTTGTAATTTTGAATTTGGGGTCCATGTCTGGCAGGGCATTTTATATGGGAATCCTTTACCACCAAAGTTGAGTATGTTCCCCTCCAAAAAAGATTTTGTACCAACTTCTGCCAAGTGCTCCAGGAAGCTTCATGTTAATTTCTCAGCTTAAGGGTTCACAGACCACAGAATATAAATTCAAATCCCAAACATAAAGTAAAGTAAACCAAGTCCAGTTTCTGTTTTGTTTCTGGTCTCTGGTAATATTCCTTACATTCTAGTGAACTTATTCAACCATTTACATGGTTGACTATTTTATTAAATTCCGTACTTCCAAGTACTTTATACTTGGAAGATTTTTATATCATGTAATCTGCCATATTATTAAAACCAAACCACCAAGCATCAAAAATTACACGCTTTTATTTTCTAGGTTACTTTATATATTTTCTTTCTTACTTTTTCAACTTAATTACAACTTACTTAGCTTACTTACAAACAAACGTTCTTCAAAATAAATAACTGTAAATTTGTAAAGAAAGCGTGCTATACTTGGATCCAATTATTTAAACTATAAAACAAAACCTGTCAAATCCCAAAATGTCGTGATTGGATGACTTCATACAACACCAAGGTTCCAAATCAGACACCTGGCAATCTGATTTATGACAAGAGCCACTGGAGTGTCAAACGTTAGCCTATCATCTTCTGCTTCCCCTATATTGGCAAGATTGATATGGAAAACTGCTTTTGGAGATATGGCATTACTGTGATATTCAACACAGCACAAATCAGTATGAAAACATAACTTAGAAGGAATTATGCCCTTCGTTTGAATTGAGAGTCAAAAAAAGCTTGATCAGCCCACAAAAAAGGTTTCCCCTTTATCTTGACATGACCTCTTCCCATACCCCCAGCGTGAATTAGAGTCTTACTGAGTTACATGCAAAATTGTTATCATTATCTCCCAAAAGCTGCAGTGAAAATATACTAGTTCCCTTGGAAGGTTTTCTTCAGTCTTCTCTTCTAACAAGATAAACTTATCAGCTTTACTGAGAATGCAGAGGTGATTCTTAAACTTTGGTGTGTGTAAGAATTACCTAGCGAACCTATTAGAAGCACAGATTCCCAAACCATCCTTCACGGCATCTCATATTTTCTCATCAAGTCTAAGGGGTTTAGGCATCTGCATTATGATAAAAAGAGAATCTAGCTTCTTGAGAAAATTAAATACTAGTTCATTCTAGTAAGAAAAAGAAGTCCAGGCAAATTACAAATGTGAGAGTGCTGACAGATTCCACTGGAGGGGAAAGAAACAGAGGATGGAAAAATCTCACTACCCGCTACTGAGCAGTTTGCTGTTCAGGAAAATGAAGTAGATGTGTTATTTAATTTTGGTACTCTTACCTCGCTCTTTATGCAAAGAAACTCCTCCCACTCACAGCTTCTGTTCCATTGGCAACACATCTTTATGACCCTCACTATGATTGGTGGAATAATGGTGCTGCCCTCCACCCCCTCAACAAAGATGTCTGTGTCTTAATTTCCAGAATCTGTGAATTTTACTTAACATAACAAAACAGCCTTTACAGATATGATTAAGGATTTCAAGATGGGGAGATTATCCTGGATTATAAGTGTGGGCCAGATAAAGGGTCCTTATAAGTGAAAAAAAAAAAATTTGAAGATGGAAAAAGCAGTCAGAAATGAGGCATACACCTTCTAGAAGCTAGAAAAGGCAAAAACAGATTCTCCACTACAGCTTCCAGACAAATACAGTCCTGCCAACCTCTTGATGTTAGCCCAGTGAAACCTATTTCAGCCTCCTGGTATCCAGATCTATAAGATAATTTTCCATTGTTTTAAGCTATTAAATTTGTGGTAATTTGTTACAGCAGTAAAGAAAATGAATGCATTCACACTCTGGCCACCAGGAATAGGCACTTGATGCTAAGCAAAATAACATATTAGTAGTCCTAACACTTATCTAATTCTCATTCTCAGGTATTGAAATGTAAATCACAGGGATAAAGGTCATGTGTTGACATAAGGTTGTGGGCCCTGGAGCTTTGTGGTCCAGCAGAAGTGGAGATGGCAACTATTTTTTAGTCATGTGCATGCTATTAAATAACCAAAAAAAGAGCTATTCTGCAGAAAGAAGTAGGAGAATGGAGCAGATGTTCAGAAGGAAGCAAAGACAAGCGGTGGTTCCCATGACTACCTCTATCCAGTAACTCTTGGTTCTGTTTCTCTGGAGAACCCTGACTAATAACATGTCCTTCTGCTGAGGGGTACTATGAATTAGATGGGGGTCTACTAATCCAAGGTTCCCAAATCATCCATTTAGACATAGAAAAAAATGGAGAATTGGAATGCATACATGCAAAAAAATAAAGGTACATTTTCCCAGAAAAACCTCCTTGAAAGATACCAGACAGGCTGGGCGCGGTGGCTCAGGCCTGTAATCCCAGCACTTTGGGAGGCCAAGGCAGGCGGATCACCTGTGGTCAGGAGTTTGAGACCTGTCTGGCCAACATGGTGAAACCCAGTCTCTACTAAAAATACAAAAAAATTAGCCAGGCGTGGTGTCGAGTGCCTGTAATCCCAGCTACTCGGGAGGCTGAGGCACGAGAATTGCTTGAACCTGGGAGGTGGAGGTTGCAGTGAGCTGAGATCACACCATTGCACTCCAGCCTGGGCAACAGAGTGAGACTCCTTCTCAAAAAAAAAAAAAAAAAATTAAAGAAAAGATACTAGACAAGAGGACAGATAAAGGTTGTAAGTGAAAACCCGAACGGGAACAGAAATGAAGTGCTGTGAAGTGATCTCAATACCACCAAGCCTTCTGCTGAGTCCAGCTCACTCTTCTGCTATGAGGAGTCAGAACTAAGAGAACCTGTGAGTTAGATTTCTATTAAGTGCTCTATTGGTGGGAGTCAGGGAAACTTCAATGACACAGGGAAGTTCTGACAGGATTGGAGATCTGTCAGGCTCTTTTTGGCACTGAGTGGCTTCAGGATAAAAGCATTCATTTAAGAATCAGATGGTAGAATGCAGACAGCAGCAGGCAGGAATGCTTTTGGATTGATTAGGTTATTATTCCCAGTTCTTCATTCATTGCCTCCCTGACATAGAATTATAGATATGCCTTTGCTCTTCTAGGTACCTTTATTATACCTCCTAGTGAGGTAGAAAAATTATATTTTCCCTGCTTGTTGATGTTTGAATTGGCCAACTGACTTTCTCTGGCCAGTGTAATGATAGCAGGCATAACTTCTGCAGAGGCTTGCTATGTGATTGAGAGTTTTGGATGGTTCTCTTTCATTTATGAAATCCATTAGAAGTATATGTCCTGGGTAGCCACTAGTCCAAGAGAATGAGGAAACATGTGGAGAGGACTCTAATGGGGTTTGGATGTTTGTCCCCTCCAAAATCATGTTTAAATGTGACCTCCAATGTTGGATGCAGGGCCTAGTCAGAATTGTTTGGGTCATGGGGAACAGACCCTTCATGAATCACTTTGTGCCCTCCCTGTGGTAATGAGTTACCATGAGATCTGGTTGCTAAAAGGTGTCTCGCATCTCCCCACCTCGCTCTCTTGCTCCCTCTCTCGCTATGTGACAGTCCTGCTCCCCCTACACCTTCCACCATGATTGGAAGCTTCCTGAGGCCCTCACCAGAAGCAGATACTGGCACCACACTTCTTGTACAGCCTGAAAAACCAAGAGCGAAATAAGCCTCTTTTCTTTGTAAATTGCCCAGTCTCAGGTATTCCTTTATAAAAATGCAAAACAGACCAACACAGACTCCAACCAGAAACAACCTCAAAGAGGTTTCTTTGGCAAGAAAAATAATTCCCCAGGCCTAGAAGAAAGCATCCAGTTCCACTTGCCTCCATAGGTTATGCCTAAGGGCTACTACCTCTGGGAAAACAGATGGGAGGTGCCACAGGGTTGTGGCATCTCTGTAGGCAAAGGGGCACCAATACCTACTGTATTTTTCCACCAGAGCAAAGCTATTTCTTGCTTCTCTTCTAGATTAAATTTAAACATTATCCTTTTGGTGTAGGCGTCCTCCATTGCCAAAGTGTTCAGCCTTCTCTGTGATGTAGATCATTCATACCACTGCCATTTTTCTCATCATAGTATATTATATATTTATTTCTGTATGAGTCCATCTTACCTGCTATGAATTTTTGAGGGCATGACACACATTATAATATCTTCTTTTCCTCATTACTGAACACAGTATTTCAAAAATATTTGTTGACTGAACAAATTAATGTATGCCTCTGCTGTAAGACCCTGGGGAAAGCAGAGTTACCAAAGCCTCTTCTTGCTCAGTGTTTTTGTGCATGTCCTCAATCCAATAGACGAAGCTAACTCCTCCATGTGGATGAATCTAAGCATTGCCCTCCACAGGTCAAGCTAATATATTTGAGCTTGTAAAATGACATCTCCCAAGTTCACAAGCCAAGGGCTCAAGGAGTCTTGGATGAGGGTTCTCAATCATTGAAAAATATCTATTCATTTGTATTATGAATTCAGGTTGCAGTTACAATAGCTTTGAAGATGAAGGAGAAGGGGAGTACAAAAGCAATGGACAAAATCACAGGAATTGCTTCATAGAGAAAAGTGGAACATTAAATATCCCCTCCTTACCTTTCCTTGTTTCTCCATAGTCACATTTATTTGTGGACACATAAACCTAAGGCAGAGCACTATTTCACATCTTAGGAAATTGTGCTCCCACTCTTAACTACTCCTTGGCACTTACAATTTAATTAATTTATATTCCTATTTATCTTTCATGTGTATACCTGTCACTTCTACTAGGTTTATAGGTGATTAAGAGCTGGGATCTTGATTTATGCATCTTTATATTTCCCCACAGGCTCACATGCAGTATTTGACCTAGATTAATGCTTAGTAAATATTGTTAGTGACAATGATGATAATGATGATGCCAATGGTCATCTCCTTTTCCTGATGTGCTTATAGAGCTCAGTGGGAAGGATTGGAACATGGGGTGAAGTGTAATGGGAAATGAGATTAGAAAGGGAGGAAAAGTTCAGATGATACAAAGCCCTATGTTTCAACTAATTTGTATGGACTTGATCCTGTAAGCAATTGAGATTCATTAAGTTTCCAGTGTCATTTTGTTTAAAGCTATCTGATAGTAATGTGCTGCAATTCAGCATCCAGCATCTGGCTTTCCTCCTGGTTTGAGCTACATTGCATGCAGCTGCACACAAATATCTCACAAAGATCTCTTTTCATATAGACAAGAGAGAACAGAGACTCCTAGAAGCAGGCAGAGAGAAAAAGACAAGTGATCATGAAAATTATTAATAATTATTAATATAAGTTCTGAGATATTTATTATGAGTAAAACCATACATTAGATGGTATGAATTCTATACAAATAAAACTTACACAAATCATCTATTAAACTAATTCAATGGGCACTATTATTCCATTGATAAGCAGAAGAAATAGCTCAATGAATAAGATGGCCTCTCTCTTCAAAGATTACAATTCAGTGAGGAAAACAACATTAAAATCATGATAAAAATAATCATTCAACTGCAATTGTGTGTTATTAAAGAAAAATACAAGATGCCCTGAAAGGGCCTTGCAGGAAAGGGGAGGATCTAGAAGGTCTTCTAGGAAAGGGTTTTAAACTGAGAACTGGAGTTAGCCAGAGAACCAAGATTCTACTAAGCAGAGAAAATAGCTTATGTCAATGTTTTAAGAAGGAAAAAGCATGGTAGGTTTGAGGAAATAGAAGACCTACTGTGACTGGAGCAAAGTAAGCTAGGGAGAGAATTGCACAAGGCTGGGATGTGGGTATAGCAAAGTGAGGTCATTCAAGTGCTTTGGGCCATTGTAAGATTTTGAACTTCATCCCAATAACAGAAGCTAAAGGCAAGTTTGAAGCAAAGGAGTAATATAAACAGGATTGTGTGCATGCATATATGTACACATATACAAATATATTGCACATAAATATGCACACGCATATTACAGGTTATGTATATTTTAATTTCAAGATCACTCAGTATTCAAGGAGAACAAGGCTAAATGGAGGAAAACAGCCACAGGAAACCACTGTAGTTCACAAGAGATGATAGCTATTTGGTCTAGGATGGAAGGTATGGAATTGAGAAAAGAAACTAATTCAAAACAGATTTCAGAAACAGAGTAATAGAATTTGCTAGTTAATCAGGCATGGGGCATGAGGTGAAAGAAGATGTAAAGGATAATGTTTTCTGGCACAACTAATTAAGTTGATGGTGATGTCATTTACTGAGATAGGAAACATCAGAGAAGATTCAGGTTTGGATAGATGTGAAGTCCATGGAGAGTTGTTTTGTTTATTTATTTAGAAGGATACAGGTTGTTATTATTATTATTATTATTATTTGGAGATGGAGTCTTGCTCTGTCGCCAAGCTGGAATGCAGTAGCATGATCTCGGCTCACTGCAGCCTCCAATTCCTGGGTTCAAGCCATTCTCCTGCCTCAGCCTCCCAGGTAGCTGGGATTACAGGCACGTGCCACCATGCCCAGCTAATTTTTGTATTTTATTAGAGATGGGGTTTCACCATGTTGGCCAGGATGGTCTCAATCTCCTGACCTCATGATCCGCCTGCCTCGGCCCCCCAAATGCTGGGATTACAGGCATGAGCCACCGCACCCAGCCAGGTAATTATTTTTAAACTGATAGGAAGCTTACCACAAATAGGGAGATATTGAAGACACAGATAAAAGAGGATACTCAAAAGAGAACCATTCTTGAACAGCAGAAGAGACTTCTCTGAAAAAGCTTCTACTCCAGGGGGTGAGAGAAGTTAAGCATATGTAACGGGGAGAATATTTTAAGTATATCAATATGTCCTTCTCTTTTGCAATTTCTTGTGGCCTGCTCCCACAAATCTTCCTTGGGGATTTAGATGATTTTGGCCAGAAAACAAAGAGGAAGAAAGGAATATATAATAATCAGCTTCAAACATACAAAATGAAGTATTTTACCTGTAAAAAAAAAATAGAAAGTTTGAAAGCCAAAGAAAGAAATTTTTATACTACTTATGTCCCCCTTGTACATATTAAGAGGAAAGATTGAGGGACTAGATCTTAGGGTTTCATACGATAGAGTCCCCAGTGAGGAAAGAGGAGAATGGAGTTCAACCCCATCGCTCACATCCAGAGGGACTGTGGGAAGGAGAAAGATGCCACCACACGCCTCTGCGGGCTGCCTTGGAGAGCTGAACTCGACTCATCTCTTTGCTTATCCATACTTTGTTTCTGCCATTAGAGTGCCTTTTGTGGAATCGGCTTTCCTGCCTCTGCTTCAGAGCTGTAAGAGGGCCTCTGAATTAAGAATCACCTCGGTAGCAGAAGTCTGCAGGCTGAATAGCATGGTCAGGGATTCATAGACAGATTTCAGTGGTGTTGACAAAAATAGCCGAACTCTATAAATTATTTAAAAAGATTTATTCTGGCCAGGCACGGTGGCTCATACCTGTAATCTCAGCACTTTGGGAGACTTGAGGTCGGGAGTTCAAGACCAGCCTGGCCAACATGGTGAAACCCTGTCTCTACTAAAATGCAAAAATTAGCCGGGCATGGTGGCAGGTGCCTGTAGTCCCAGCCACTTGGGAGGCTGGGCCAAATATGAGTGACCATGGCCATGACACAGCCCTCAGGAGACCCTGAGAACAGGTACACAAGGTGGTTGAGACAAAGCTTGGTTTTATACATTTTAGGGAGACATGAGCCATCAATCAAATACATTTAAGATATACATTGGTGCAGTCCAGAAAGGTGGGACAACTTGAAATGGCGGGCTACCAAGTTATAGGTAGATTTAAAATTTTTCTGATTGGCAATTGGCTGAAAGAGTTATTATCAATAGAAAGGAATGCCCAGATTACATAAGAGGTTGTGGACACCAAAGTTGTATCATGCCAATGAAGCCTCCAGGTAGCAGGCTTCAGAGAAAATAGATTGTAAATGTTTCTTATCAGACTTAAGGTGTGTATTGATGTTAAGTACTGGTTGGCTTTTCCTGAATTATAAAATGGAGGAGGGCATAATGAGGCATGTCCGACCACCCCCTTCCCCTCATGGCCTTAACCAGTCTCAGGTTAAATTTGGAAGGCCCTGGCCTAGAGGAGGAAATCCAGTTAGACTTCTCACAAAGCCAGTAAGAGCTGATATAGAGCCCTAAATCATCAGAGAAAATAACTGGAACAAAGCAGGGGTTACAGTGGCTTTCATCAGCAGCTGCAGATATCAGCAGAGCCCTAGGGAGAAGACCATTTGTATAGCAAAGGTCCTCAGCCTAAGGAGAAGCCCAGAGCAGACACCTGCAGCAGAGACCAACATGCCTCCGGGGAACGATGTCCAGGTGGAAGAACCAGTCTCCCTAAGACAGACAAGAACAAGTGAAACCCCCTCCACTTCCCACACCTAGGGGCCAGCAGGCAAAGGACTGGAATTCTGAAAGACATTTACCTAAGTCATCCAAACAGAGCAGTGAATGACAGTCATAAGGTCAACTACAGAAAAATAAAAATAAAAACCTAATTGTTCATTGTACATCTTAGTGTAGCGTTAATAAATCTGAGACCCCGTCTACATTTATAAATAACAATATTATCACATCAACAATGATAGATGTCATGTAAGGTGCATAGTTGAAAGGCTGTAGATAGGATAACTGTCCCTGGGAAAAATTGCATTGACTGCATTTTAAACAGAGGGTACAAATTAAGCAATGGAGAAAAGGAGGGGGACTGTAGCTCAATGTTCATGGATACACCAAGGCTCACAGACACACCAAGATGCTCCCCATCTCATCCACCTGCACAGCAAACACTAGTGGCTCCAGAATCCACCTCCAGACCCCACTCACTTATTAGTAGAGAAAGAGCCAGATTGAACTCCCAATATTTGAAAGATGAAATCAAACCTTCAAGGATGATTTTTTGCATACCAGCTGGGCTGGACAAGACAGGCATGAACAGGCATGAGAATGTATTCATGATTTTAGATGACACAGTTCTCAAGAAAATCCCCTTTTTTGTTATGTTCAGTGATATTCTGGTAACCGTTTAACAACCTCCACTGGGGAAAGGGGAGGACCCTACTTTGTAGTGTTTGCAGATGTCCATGGTATAAATACTCCCACTATGGCCAATTTTAAGCTACTAATGTGATTTCAACCGGCTCACAAAATTCCTCCAAATTTAATAATGGGCATTCAGGAGCCACCAGGAGCTGGCTCCAGCACACCACTGTGACCCTTAAAGAGCCATGATAGGGCATTGTCTATATCAAAATCTAACTTGAGTGGGCCCCACAGACTGATAAGTTTTTACCTGGACTTCTATCTGAGTAATACACATTGTGATCTTCAAAAAGATGGCTCATTAATAAGTCAAATATTAGGCTGAATTAAATCATATAAGCTTCATTCTACTAACCAGCCTATTTTAACTCCTTGTCTGCCTTCATTCTACTAACCAGCCTATTTTATTTTTATTTACCTTGTGTATAGGAAATTGATTTCCCTTTAGCATGACCTTATATTCCATAAAGTAATCATTCTTCAATTGAGCTAGGAATCTGCCATTAACAAGTTGCTTTTTGCAAGTACAGAAAAGCCCTCTGCTGGCTCACTACTGAACGTCAGTGTGCATGCTCTCAGGCTGTTAACCATTCTTTTCCCTGCCTTGCTAAGCTGAGCCAAACTGCAAATTCTGTCTTAAAATGCTATTAAGATAAGAATGGCCTGTTTCTAGTAGATTTCATTGTTGACATATGAGACTTTTCAGTTTATAAATCACATAATGTTGAATCATTCCAAAGATTAGTTATAATAGCCTAAAGAAACTTATAAACATCAAGCTCCCTTTTAAAAATTGTATTCTGAGATATTAAAAAGGGAGAGAGGGAGGGAGGGTCCACTTGCTGGGTACATTAAAAGGAATTACATTTTTTTAAAATGAGGCTTTTGCAACACTTTTTCTAAGTAATAGGGTTAAGTCAAATGCTTTTTGAGAAGGAATTTGAAAGGGAAAAAAATTGTAAAGAACTCATTATTCCACTGTTATTTTAGTCTGATTCAAATATCATATGGCTTGTGGCTTGTACAATGTTTCCAGTTTGGTATTTATTTGCCCCTTTTCTGATTTCTAATAGGAAAACAAGCGAAAGTTTATTTTTTTAAATTTTAATATTTAAGATAAATCTGGGCAAAATAAATCAGTATTACTTTTATAATCAGAAAAAATAAATGTAAGTGCTACATTAAATATATTTTAGAGCGCTCTCTAGTATAATGTTATATAATGGAAAACTTTTTCTCATTTAGTCAACAAATGTTTATTACAGCAGTATTGTCAGATTCTTCTTTCTATAATTGAAAATTTGTCATGACTCAAAAGAATTAGAGCATAATATTCTGATTATGTTTTTGGTTAT
Organism: Homo sapiens; assembly: GCF_000001405.40. Taxonomy (NCBI): domain Eukaryota; kingdom Metazoa; phylum Chordata; class Mammalia; order Primates; family Hominidae; genus Homo; species Homo sapiens. The sequence goes on along the minus strand of NC_000012.12, from coordinate 80,194,520 downwards.
GGGATTAGAGTGTGTTTATTTTCCCTATATGAATAAGTCTTATATTACTCTTGGTGACTTATGGTGATTCTGTTGGGTGATTTAAATTTGCAATTAGAAGGTCTTGCTTCATTGATGGGCTAGGGAGTTTCTCAAGGTTCTTTGGTTGCAAGTATCGGAAGAAACTAACTCTGCCCAAGCATTAAGCAAAAAGGGGAATTATTGGGTTATTGGAGATCCCACAGAACTAGCAGGAAGGTTGAAGAATCATACTTAGTAAAATGAATATTAGGCTATCATCTAAAATAAATGAATTCCAACTGTTTCATATTTCCTTATAAAAACTCTGCTGAAGATCTGAAGTCCCTCGAGTGCCTGACTAGGTCACATGCCTAACGTTTGGCTATACAGGAGTATCTAGGGACCCCTCGGCTTCCTTTATTAGCTTTCCAAGATTCCATACACTTGGAGGAGTATAATTCCCAAAAGAAAATCAGTGTTGTTAGTCAGAGGCAGCTAAAACAACAAAGGTCCACTACACTGCTTATCCAATTTTGTTCTGTGCCATCACTAACTCCACTGATACAACAGAATGACAGCTACTTCTCTGGGTCTTGGCATCTTCTTTTGTAAAATGAGGCGGATGTGTCAGATGACTTCAAGCTTTCTATATTTCACATTCACAAATCCAATTTAGGCAGACACTGAAACCATCTTTGGAAAATGTTTCTGTCTAAACAAAAGGACTTTCCTTAACCCTTGTCATTCTCAGTCCTCACCATTCCTCCCTCTCAGTTATACTCACATCTTTAAAGAACATCCATAGCTTCCTGGCTCTTGCACATGTACCGCAAGCCTCCAAAACTCAGTGAATCTCACTTGGAAAACTTTTAAATCAAATGCATTTTACTCCAGCATATATGAGGATAAGTTACATTGTCTGAAATATAACATTTCCTTCATCAAAGAATGGATATTCCCAATAATATATGCTAACCTTATTATTATTATTATTATTATTACTTTTAGATGAAGTCTCACTCTGACACCCAGGGTGGAGTGCAGTGGCACAATCTTGGCTCACTGCAACCTCCAACTCCCAGGTTCAAGTGATTCTCTTGCCTCAGCCTCCCGAGTAACTGGGACTACAGGCATGCACCACCATGCCCAGCTAACTTTTGTATTTTTAGTACAGATGGGGTTTCACCATGTTGGCCAGACTGGTCTCGAACTCCTGACCTTGTGATCTGCCCACCACAGCCTCCCAAAGTGCTGGGATTACAGGTGTGAGCCACTATACCTGGCCTGCTTACCTTATTCTTAAGAATAAGGTTCTTTAAATTATGTTCTGTTTAAAATGAAGTTCTGAAGTTCCTTTCACAAAAATAAGAATTCTTTGTCTTAAAGAAAAAGCCTGCTGCTCCATCTAGAGGACATTTTATATTGTCCAATTGAAGGGACTTAGGGAGCCTAATCTAGATGTTCAATGTTCCAAATCTTGCTAAAAAATTCCACAATTTTCTCAAATTCAACTGATTCGGTTTTTTTTTTAGTATTTTCAATGAGCCCATACTATGTAAGAATGAAGAGGATATTTCCCTCATCTCTTAGTTTCAGCCAAAGATTATCTGAGTAGTAACCTTTATTTTTTCATGAAATATTTGGGTACATACTATATACTCACGGTACTTACTTCTGGGATTTTTATGATTTAAAAAATGATTTCTAACAACCACTTACTAGGTCTTAATCATTTTCATCAATTATCAGAATTTTTTTAATTTGACGGTATTTCCCCTAAATATACGAAGACATTGGACAAAAATACTCATGTTCTTTTTCACTTAGAATTACACAGCATTTTTCTCCAAAAAGACTTGCCTGTTAAGAGAGCATGCTATTTTTATTTTTAGTGACCAGAGTGGCAGTTGGGTAATGCTTCACAGCATCTTGGAGAAAATTCCTTTTTTTATGTAAAATCTAGGACCTTATTTTAGTGAAGCAATGTTTCCAGCATGGAAATTCACTTTTAACCACATGGAGGGCAAACATAGCCTCTATTTTCCCACAAACTTCTGTGAGAAAGTCAGATCACACGGTGAGAGCAAAGAAAGGGGGCTAGGAATAAGAAGCTGGAAGAGAATTCCATGGGGAGGAGGGGTCCCTGCCTGATCTTAGGCTATGGCCATCTCAGTCAGGGCAGGGTAGTTGACCATGACCGGACCAGCAGGCGGGGCCCCTCCTAGAACTGCACTGGTTTTGTCAGAGTTAGAAAATCAACCACACAGCAAAGTGTATGAGAACAGAAACAACTGCTGAGCAGAAAGTTTTGCTCTGAGGTCTGACTTGTCCTACTGATCTCATCAAAAAGTTTGCCATATGTCCTGTAGGTATTCAAGAGTGACAAAACAATGTATCCAAACATGGAAGTTACACAAGTCAGGGAAAGAAGAGGAGGAAAACAACAACAGTGGTTAGGATCAGTCTTGATACCTCTTTCACAATGTTCTACATATTCTTGAGATGAAAATACGATTCTTCTAAGGGATAGCTAATGTAATAACTTATAAGTGAATATGGATTTCTTGAAAGCAAAATTGAATGAAATATCGCTTAGAATTCTAAGTGATATTTCAATAAAATATAAATCTCATCTAATGCACCACAGTATGTAAAGCTGGTACAGCAGTCTCTAGTTCCTCTCTTGCCATTCACAAGAGAGCGAGATGATTTGTCCAAAGTCAGAGAGCTAGTGAGCAGCAAAGCTGAGCCCAGGACTGCCTTACGCTTGCTGATCCCCAGCCATCATTCTTTCTGTTACAATGTAATTGGTATAACACTAGTTTAACACCACCTGTTGTCAATAAATTCTCAATATTCTGTCCCAGTAAGAGGCCAACTGTTTAAATATTGCATTCTTATTTTAAAGGACAAATAACAGAATAAAACTTTATAAAATGTAATCATATTTGGTTATTTTGAGTAAATGTGAATATATTAAGAAATACAGTATATGGTTTATAAAAATTCACTTAGCTCGTCTCTGCCTTGTTCCAAAACATTATCTGGACAGTATTCAATAATTTTATTTTTTTTATTTATTTATTTTGAGGCCTTGCTCTGTCACCCAGGCTGGAGTGCAGTGGCACGATCTTGGCTCACTGCAACCTCCGCCTCCTGGGTTCAAGCGATTCTCCTGTCTCAGCCTCCCGAGTAGCTGGGATTACAGCTGCCCACCCCCGCGCCTGGCTAATTTTTGTGTTTTTAGTAGAGACGGGGTTTGGCCATATTGGCCAGGCTGGTCTTGAACTCCTGACTTCAGGTGATCTGCCCGCCTCAGCCTCCCAAAATGCTGGGATTATAGGCATGAACCACTGCTCCCAGCCAGTATCCAATAATTTTAAAGTCACAATATGAAAAATAAATTTGAAGATGTCATATGGCCAGGTTTGATCTATCCTAGAAGGTAAAGAGAAGGTGGTCTAAGGCCTATGGGTTACACTACTCCTGTCTGTTCCCATCCCACTCCTCTGCAATAACAGAAAGCCTAATCAGTGAATTCGCCTGCCTGAGGTGGAAAGGTTGGCCTTTCCCTGTTAGCTGCAACATTATTTAAATTCCTCTGTACCACTCTGGGAAAAGCATGAACTACAAAGTAAAGGAAGAACTATTTTTAAAAAGAAACCACTAAGGATGCTAACATGAAACAAAACTTGGATTCACTCTTTTTTTTTTTTTTTTTTTTTTTTTTTTTTGAGACGGAGTCTCACTCTTTCGCCCAAGCTGGACTGCAGTGGCGCTATCCCGGCTCACTGCAAGCTCCGCCTCTTGGGTTCACGCCATTCTCCTGCCTCAGCCTTCCGAGTAGCTGGGATTACAGGCGCCCACCACCACGCCCGGCTAATTTTTTGTATTTTTAGTAGAGACGGGGTTTCACCGTGTTAGCCAGGATGGTCTCGATCTCCTGACCTCGTGATCCACCCGCCTCAGCCTCCCAAAGTGCTGGGATTACAGGCGTGAGCCACCGCGCCCGGCCTGGATTCACTCTTAAACTGAGATGTCAGTGTTCACTTTGCCCACGGTTTTGGCAAAAGATAAAGCTGTGAATAGGTTCTTCCCAAATGGCAAACAGTGATTTGATACCAGTGATATCTTGGTGTCCAAAAGAAAAGGTAGAACTCAGCTTTAATTATTTTGTTGTGCTTCTTTGAATTTATTTTATGGCTTCTAAGCATTAAAATATTTTAAAATTGTGCTAATTAAAATCTGCGTTTTACCGGACTGGGGAAGCTCTTTCATCTATCAGTTAAGATGCACAGCACATCCTGTTCCCAAACAAATGACTCAGCAAGTATCAGTGATAAGCATGCATAAAGCAGCCTAAAAGTCACATCCAAATACAATTTGCTATTAATGCCATCATGTGCCAAAATAAATCATAAAAACTACTGCATTGCTATGTATCCTAATTAAAATGCAATATCTGTAATATTTCAGCCGGCTACAAAAATGGGGCCGGAGATGCTGTGGTCAGGGTCAGGAGATCCTGTCAACCTATGTCTCCCACTTCCAGTCACCCAAGCTACCATGGAGGTCTAGTCAAGTCTGACAAAGTAGAAACCAGTTTGGAGTGAGTCTTCTTATTACATCCAGCTGTTTTCTGTCCCTCCAGAGCTTCCTCCCGTATAGCTAACTGATTTCTTGGTTTCACTTCAAATTACTCCTGCGCAAAGAAGACCACCCTAGGAGAAAGATGAGAATCTGTAGACCTGCTGTCCTTGTGAATGATATGCTCCAGGTGCATCAAATAGTCATTCTCAAACTTAGCCTGCATATTTCGATTTATCTTGGAGAGCCCCATCTAGGCCAATGAAATTCTACTTTCTAGGTATGGGGCTCAGGCATTAGTGTTAAACTGCCCCAACATTCAGTAATATGAGTTTTGCAATCTATCTCTTTTGGTCTTTCAGATAACTATATTGTCATTTCAGAAGCTTCCTAGAAATTCACTTCTTCCAAGAAATGAATTAGTACTAAACAATTTTTGCTAAAGGGGGCAGGAGAAGTTAAAGAAAAAAAAATCCAACCTCATTCTTATGAGACTTGACAAACTTCCCAGCTGCTTGGGTCTTGTTTGGTCAATTGGTCAAAGACTGGATTCTCTTTGTTTTACTCAGAGGCATGCTTGATATCCATGCCTAAAAGAAAATAAACATTAAGTTAAAGACAATGTTGAGTAAAAGATTATTCAACTGGGATTCACAAAATCTGGATTATGTTTAGCAGTTAATAGTTGTGGGACATGGGACCTTGAACTTAGCTCTCCATGTTTCATTTTCCCATCAGAAAAATGGAATCCTATACTTCCTTCTTCCAAACTCTATTAATCTGAGTATCTATTTATGATACATTAACCAAAAAGCCTTAAAGGATGCACTGTTCTTCACATTGCCAAAAAATGGTGGAGTAGACTTTCTCCCTATGCACTCACACAAAGACATTAAATTAGAGGGAAACATGGACAGGAAAATAATACAAGAGACATCTGAGAAGTAATGAAGATCTAAACCAAAGGGAGGACAGAGAGAACGGGAGGATGACACCTGAAGGGAGAGACATGGCTAATTATAAATTATAAAATCCTTAGAAGATTAAAAACAGATAAAATAATTAAAGCAGAGCTGTGGGAAACTTTACTCAAACAAAAATACTGAAAGGTCTGTGGAGGATCGATTGTTTATGATCCTATTCTCTAGAGACTGAAATTCTTTGGATATACCAGATGGCTTTATTTATATAACAAAAGCTCAGCTCTAGTGAGGTGCTGCTTGCAAATTCACATACAAATAAAAGAAACTGTGTTTATGTTTGTACATATCCTTGCACATAAGAGGGAGTTTCCTTTGTTTTTTATGGACATTTGAACAAATTTTATGCTTATAATGCTAAAGAGAAGGCTCACCTTTTTATATTTATTTATTATTATTATTATTATTTTTTTTTTGAGACAGAGTCTCACTCTGTCGCCCAGGCTGGAATGCAGTGGTGTGATCTCAGCTCACTGCAACCTCTGTCTCCCAGGTTCAAGTGATTATCCTGCCTCAGCCTCCTGAGTAGCTGGGATTACAGGCGCATGCCACCACACCCGGCTAATTTTTGTATTTTTAGTAGAGATGGGGTTTCACCATGTTGGTCAGGCTGGTCTCGAACTCCTGACCTCGTGATCTGCCCGCCTCGGCCTCTCAAAGTGCTGGGATTACAGGCATGAACCACCGCTCACCTCTTTTTAAAAGGAACAGCAGCCTCCCAGTATAGCCAAGTAATCCCCAGAACATAAAATTTAACACAGAAAATTTTCTGACCTTTGTGGATCTTCTCTATCCAAGTGCATGACAAATATTTATTTCACTCCTCAGTGTTCATATTCAATCCTATCTCTTCAAATAACATCATTGACAATTAAAAAGAAATCTCAACCCTCTCCCCAAGTGAATATTTCAAGCTGCATCCTGTGTCAACTCCTGGCACTGAGTCAGCCTTGTCAGCCCAATTTAGAGCACATGGCAGTAATCCAATTCATTGTGGCTGTTTGTGGTCCCCAGATCAGGTTTCAAAAACGAAGGGGCAGCAATCCGGTGACCTTCTCAAGATAGTAGAAAACAACTCTGGTCATGACTGACACTTGATCTTTCTGCTAACATTAGCTCCTAATCAAAGATGGTGCCAAGCTTGTATCTGACACCAGCCCACAAACCTTTCTGTCCTCCTCCAAGAGGTGTGGGCATCCTGTCACCCACTGAGTTTCAGTTTTGGAATGACTGTCCCTTTCAGATCCAAGGAAGTCTGATTTTATTGACACTTGAGATAAAGCTCAAGGCCTGTCTTAATTGAGCTTTCCAGTTATTTATAATGCATACATATTTACTATTCATTGTCTTTATACTTAGTGAGGTTCAATGTGATTAGTAATAAAGATGTGGTTATAACTTTATAAAATTAACAACCCCAGAATATTCATATTGTAATCAGGAGATGGCATCCACTCGGAAGCTTTTTTCTGTGCACCTCTCATCCTGTCGTCCTTTCTTAAAAATGTATTACTCTTCCTGGGCTTCGTGTCATCCTTCCTCCATATTTCTGCTGGATCTTCAGGACTGGCTCAGGTATGGCCACAGATTGGCCCCAGCAGGGTCTGCAGAAGTAAACTTTACCTCCTAGGCCAGGCCCTATTTTTCTTACTTCACCAAATACTAAGTATCGGTATAAAAAAAAAAAACAAAAACAACCTGGCCACTTGCCTAAGTCGTCCCTAAATCAGGAAGCTGTTCTTAATGTGAAGAGGCCTTTAGGGAACCCTGTTGTTTTCTCATCCCTTACCTCTTATATAAAAGTCCGTGTTGAGGCCTGAAGATTCTTGGAGCTCTGGATGTGTTCAAAGTAACTACTGGCTTTGCCCCAGCTCTGAGTTTACACATAATATATTATCTGAATTAGTCGAGTTCCAAGTTTTCTATACAGAATTTTATCTTCTTTCTATCTCCATAAACAAACAATCTTTGAAGCTAGATAATATGGGAAAAGAGGATGGAATCATTTCACCCTGCCTTGTTTGTTTCCATGAGGATTCTAACCCAAAGGAAAAGATGAGTCATTCAGCATCATTTCCTATGTGGTGCTTTGGACTCTGTGCTATCTTAGCCAAAAGAGGGCAGCACTCCATGGGTTTTGAATTCACAGGAAGCAAAACTTCAAACAGTTTTTAACTGAACTCTTAAGCAAGGCACTGTACTCTATTACATGGGATAACACAGATTAATAAGACCTCCCCAAACAAGCAGGAACAGGAAAGGAGAGAAGAGTTGGGGAGAGCAGTTAAAACATTGCCATGTGTTTGGGAGTGGTGAGCGATACGTCTGAAAATAAAGAATGGATGAGATCGTGAGGGTCCCTTGACGATTAGGCATTTATTCTTTATTTGAAATGCAGTGAGGAGCCTCTCAAAGTTTTTCAACAAGTGAATCATATGATTAGAACTCTGTTTGGGGAAGATACATGTGTTAGGGATGCATTAGAGAGATTGAAACAGGGAGACCAAAGAGCAGAGGGAAACATGGACAGGAAAATAATACAAGAGACATCCGAGAGGTAATGAAGATCTAAGCCAGAGGGATGGCAGAGAGAAAGGGAAGATGACACCTGATGGGAGAGACGCGGCTAAGTAGGAAAGATGGACTTTAATGGACTTGATATAGGGAGAAAGGGACCAAGATAAACCCAGAGTTTCACATCTCAGACCTGGGCATATGGTAGAGCCTTTAACCAAAATTAGGAAGAAAGAAAAAAACAACTGTTTTGAAGCAAACATAATGAATTTGGTTTTGAACACATTTTCCCTTCAGAGAGCGTGAGATGTGACTAAGTTGCCAAGATATAAGGGGTAAAAGATAAAAATATAGGAAGGGTATGACTTTAAGGACACCCTTGGAAAAGAAGCCCTAAATGCTTACCTGAAAGCCCAGTGCTGAATATATGGCCCACTTGCAGGTGCAGTGTTGGGCCTTAGTGGCCTGTGTTTCTATATCTTCTTGATCTCATCTAACTCTTCTTATTTGTCCCTTTTTTCTAATATTTTTATATTTGTATCTTATGTAGTGCCACCTCAAATCCTTTTGTGAATAAATTAGAATAAGCAGCAATTAATCAATCCTGATAATTACATTTTTCTATATAGACTTTAAGATACAGCCATCTTCAGTAAGCACATAGGACCCATGTGTAAAATGCAGATCACTAATATTTACTGAAAACTAATATGCTAGGCAGTAAAGTAAAAGTTTTATACACATCATTTCATTTTATATTATGATTAACAAAACAAGATTATGAAGCAATGCCATTATTATCCCTTTTTACAGATGAGGACACTGAAACACAATGACATTAACACTAATTTGGCCGGGTGCAGTGGCTCACACCTGTAATACCAGTACTTTCGGAGGCCAAGGTGAGTGGGTCACTTGAGATCAGGAGTTCAAGACCAGCCTGGCCAACATGGCAAAACCCTGTCTCTACTAAAAATATAAAAATTAGCCAGGCGTGGCAGTGCACACTTGTGATCCCAGCTACTTGGGAGGCTGAGGCAGGGGAATCGGAATCACTTGAACCCAGGAGGCAGAGGTTGCAGTGAGCCAAGATTGCACCACTGCACTCCAGACTGGGCAACAGAGGGAGACTCCTTCTCAAAAAAAAAATTAATTTATAATATAGCAGAACTTACATTATAACCCAGGCAGCCTGACCTCAGAGCCAGTGTACCTAACCACTATGCCTACTTCCTCTCTGTTCACATTGCCTGTCTCATTATACCAGCCCATTTTCCTGATTCCTCTCTATATGTCTCATGCTCCACTTTAGGATGCCATTTACATGTGTTAACAGAGCATTGGCATCCGGGGCAGTGTCTTGAATCAGGAAACTGTGTTGCCTCCATATATAGAGGATAAATTAGTAGGTTGAAGAAAAGATATACTACTTCGTTTTTCTAAAATTAAATTAAATCTATCTCTGAACCCCTACACATCAAGGCAGATGAGTAACAGTCCAATACTTGTCATATGGGAGATGCAGTTCCTCCTCCCATGACATCATACAAGAATACTGACTTATAAGATGCCAGAAAATAAATGGGAGGGAGAAGCCAAGGAGCCACGTTTATTTTTGACCCTTTTTGTCATCCAATTTGCCTGGTATTAGGCAGCCTCAAAGGGGCTCCTCCTTTTGTCTGTTCATGAACTCAACCAATGAAATCCTCAACACCGATTCAGTGGCACAGTTATTGGAGTCCAGCCTTCCTGGACACTCAACAATTACATGACTCCAGCACTATGGGCAACAGGGGCCCACTCAGATTATCTCAATTTTAGGAATGCTCATTACTCTCTCCCCTAAATAGGGCCATTATCTTCCTCCTCCCAGCCTTAAGAATCTTCCCTTTCCTAGAAAGTCTAGCTTCAGACTTTAGAAAACAATTTTTGTCTATTAAATTGTCAATGAGGCTAATGAAACCCAGATCTCTAAGACGTAAAACCTTCTCAGTATGGGAGAGAAAAAAATACGTCTTTTACTATCAACTCCTTTACATTAGCTAGAATGAAAAATATTAAGATATATATTATTCTGCCACTTAACTATAGTGGAAAAGGAAAAAATTAAAGTGATGTGTTAACACTAAAAGTGTCTTGTCTTCTTATATAGCCAGAAGTTAAGCCTGGTGTGGCTAATGTGTTTCATCTAGCCTGATAACTCATTGCTTAGTAGAATCTGCCTGAAGCAGAGCATTGAGAAATAGTTTAAGGTCATGACTGGGTTGAACAGAAAAGGGCTTGCCGTTAGTATAGGAAACGGAAATGCAAGGCCACATGCTACATATTTTCCATTCCTAGTTTAAACATAAACTACAGTTTTGCTTACTAAGCAAATTGATCTAGTCTCAAGTACCATAACTATGGGAAAAAGGGACCTATTTGAAGAGAGAACACTCTAATATACATAATAATCACCCATAAAGAGTTTCTATAAAAGAGTCCCACATCCAGATATTATAATTCAACAGCACTAGTAGCCAGGAATATATACTATTAATGAAATGTCCCTAGGGAATCACGATGCCACTTGTCCAATGACTACAATTTGAGAAACACTCCTATGGAGCAAGGGTCCTATTTGTTCATCTCCATCTGCCCTAATGCCTCCCAACAGCCAGCTGAAGACCTCCAACCTGCAGCCCTAACCTCATTCATCCCTCGGCCTATCCTAACCTATTTGGTAGGATGGTGCCAAGCATCAATCTTGATGCTCTAAAGCTCATGGAATCTTACACATTCCTGTGTCTTTTACAACTACCAATGTGTTGGTGACTATGAAGTCTATGGCTTTGGCCCATTCTCTTTCTTGAGCTCCAGATCAACACATTTAATTGCCTATAGGTAAGTCCACAAAGACTACAAACTTAGCATGTCAGAAACTAAATTGAACTCATCATTTCCTAATATACTCCTCCCAAAAACATCCTGATTCTATCTCTATTATCCATTTTAGTAGGTGATAGACGTAATTATCCACCTGATTTCTCAAGACCAAAAGAAACAAAAAGCCAAAAGAACTTGGAGTCATCTTAAGAGTCCTACTACTTCAAATCTTATATCTATTGTTTCAAATCTGAGGAAACATAAATCACAAGCCCTTGAATTATTGCTGCTATTTGCTGAGAGAGAGAGAAAGGGAGTGAGAGAGAGAACATACTACCTCAGTAGGACTGTCATCTCCAATCTAAGCTATTGCAGTAATTACCTAGTTGGTCTCCACAGTTCAGTGATACATGTTTATGCAGTGTGTGCTCTGCACAGTCCCTACACTTGACTGTTGATGAAGGCACCAATTGTATTGTAAGCATTATATATTTTTATAAAAATTTTCTCACTTTTCAGTAAAATGTCTGTTGTAAGGTAATTATTGATATAAACATTTTCCAAAAAATGAAGTAAAAAGTAACTTGAGAGAGGGTACTCTTTTCTAATTTGTACAAAAGTTCCACATGGGCTATCAGCAGCCTTGGGTTTCCCTGATTCTAGACTTTCTCTCTAAGCTATTCATGCATTTCTGCCGTGGTGATCTTTCCAAGTGCAAACTTTATTGTGGTTTTCCTTCAATAAAGTACAAACATCTACATATCTGCTTCAGCCTACCTGCTGATGTGTACTCCCTATGCTTCAGCCATCCTGAGCTTCTTACATTACTCAAATGTATCATTGCACATATTTCACATGTGCAATTCTCTCAGCTATTGATTCCAATCCACTCCATCCCTACTGCATTCTATCTGAAAAATTCATAATCTTCCTTCTAGACCAGCACAAGTGTTTCTTTCTTTGAAGGCTCTCTGCTACCTCCTTCTCTACCCTGGAAAAGCCACCTATTCTCATTTATGCCTTCAACCAACCTCTATGTCAATTGATCACACTGCATTACAATTATTTTTTTAATTCATCTCTTATAGTAAGCCAGGAGCTCCTTGGTTTAGTATAATCATGCACTATTTAACTTTTCATTTCCTATGGTGATGCAAATTGGTATAGATATTTTAAAGGAAACTTATTGGGTCAGTTGGATTTAACTGGCTCTATTGCCTGCTGTCTAGCATGCTGGCAAGTTTTCACTTTGAGCTGTGATGCTTTCTGCTGCATTTGCTGAGTCGTACCAAGCCTCTGTTATAGATTTCACTGACATGAGTAGGAAGTTTTGATAACATTTAGGGGCAAGAATATGTGATTGGAGCTCATTTAAAGTATACGTCTCTTTAATTTTTTTACCCCCTTTTTAAAAATTGCTTTTGAGACAAGGTTTCACTCTGTTGCCCAGACTGGAGTGCAGTGGCGTGATCATGGCTCACTGTAGTCTCAACCTCTGGGCTCAAGCAACCTCCTGAGTAGCTGGGACTACAGGTCTATGCCACCACACCTGGCTACTTGTTTTTTATCTTTTTGTAGAGGCAATGTTTCACTATGTTGCCTAGACTGGTCTTTACCTCCCGGACTCAAGCAATGCTCCTGCCTCAGCCTCCCAAAGTGCTAGGATTACAGATGTAAGCCACCATGCCCAGCCTATGTAAAGTATATGTCTCAATCAGGCATTGGCCCTAATTCTATAGAATGCTCAGGAGAAAGAGAACCTATGATATATACAAGCCTACTTACATTGTATACAAACCATTTATATTTGGTCAGTTATGCAAGGAAGAGTAGTCACCATGTGGCATGCTGCAGTCATACCCCTAAAGCAGATAGGCTCACTAGGACCCTACGAAATGCCTTTGCTGATGCTGTTGCCTATGACTTTACAGCCAAAAAAAAAAATCTTGATCCTCAGGGTTATGTAGAAAACACCTATGATACTCCAACGGTACAACCAGGGATTAATTCAAACCCAACTTAAACCTCGAGTCTCTAAACTCTATAAAGCAAACATTGCCATGCAGGAGGACCCTAATCCTGATGACAATGATTGGAGACTCCCTAGGGGAAGAAACTTACAATACCAGCATAATAGAAAAGAGAACACTTCACCCCCACCAAAGTATATTCAATAACCACCAAAGGGGGTGGGCCAGTCTGCTGTAAGGTAATTATTACAGAGAGAGAGAGAGAGAGAGAGAAGTAAATTTAAAAAGAAAAATCTAAATACAGGGGTAAGGGGAGGAAACAAAAAACTGAAACACAGGCCCACAATTGGACCCAATTGGAAATTGAAGCCCCAAACTAAAATAATTTATACAATAAATAAAAAAAAGTATGCTAATTGGTTTTTATGCTTCTACAACAAAGGATCTAAACTAATTGTAATATCTGCTGAAATGTACCAATTGACAAACCTTCATGCTCATAATAATGGAGCTCAAACTAGTTATACCTGGACATACTGCTAAATTTGAACAAGATAACCTCTTTGCCCTAAGGGAAGCTATTGAACATGGACTAGAGGTCAAACCCATATGCCTCACCTTAACCACCAGAACTACTGCCTTGTCTAAATTCCCCATAGTTACAGCATACTGATAACTCTTCCTCCAAGGGCATTCATTTGACACACTCATTCAGGAAATACAGATCCTCACAAAGAGGTTCACAAAAAGGGGATGGATCATTGACCCATACATAACCTTATACAAGCTCATGGCACCTTGGTTTAATTCCTGAAAATTATTTGGTAAACTACCCCCTCCTTGACACTGTCAGGGCCACTCCATCCTTGACACTGGCAAAAAAAACATTATTGGCCCTCTCAGTACCTACAACACTAAAACAAGCTGAACACCTTTTAGGTCTTTTGGATTTTGAAGGTAATATATTCCTCATTTTAAAATTTAAGCCCATTTACACGATTTCTCACAAACTGACCCACCTTAAATGGGGCTTCCACAACAAAAGGCTCCTTTCTCTGTTTAAGTACAATAGCACTGCCCTTAGTGTTCCCCCACAGACTCCTTCACTGCAGAGGCCTTTGCAAACTCCTCTCATACCTGTTAGAGTTTATGGACCACATATGACATGATGGCCAAAAGTTGCCCATGGGCTTTTGATATTAAAAATTGCTCTCCTCAGCTACATGCTAAATACCACTGGAGGGGAAGTCACTTGCCACATACTAGGTCATCCTAGGCCCAGAGCCTATGATCCTCCATATCCAGATGGCCATTATGCCTTGGAATATGAAAGTAGCAACCTGCAGATTCATCTAGGCCCAGAGCCTATGACCCTCCATATCCAGATGGCCATTATGCCTTGGAATATGAAAGTAGCAACCTGCAGATTCATCTAGGCCCAGAGCCTATGACCCTCCATATCCAGATGGCCATTATGCCTTGGAATATGAAAGTAGCAATCTGCAGGTTCATCGTGGCCACCAAGGCCTCCTTACTAAAATAGTAATAGCACTTGTAGGATAAAACCAAACCTTGATACAGCTTAGACTACATCTTCTGGCATATCCCACCTGCAGGATACAGTGGCTTCTTTTGTCTTCGATCTTTGTCAAACTCCATAGTTCTGGAGGAGGTCACTCCTCCTCTCACGGAGTGTTTGGCTACCTATGGGTCCCCTTGAGAACAACTGAGTGAACAGCAAAAGGAGTTTGTATATTTCATGGATAGCAGCACCACCAATACATGATGGATGCTCACTGTAGAGCTGCTGCTTCAACCAGGATGTCCCAAGTCAAGGACAGGCAAAATTGTCCAAGAGTGAGCAAAACTGGCCAAACTTCATGCAGTCATCTAAGCACTGAATGCCCTGGCCACATTTTTTCAGGCTCTCAAGCCAACACCAATGGTCTGTCCAACTAGTCCATCAATGATTCCTTATTCAAAGATGCCTCCATTAGGGTAAAGAACCCTGGGAATCTCTTGCCTTAAAGGTCTTACATGTCTCTGCACATACTAAAGCCATGACATAAGTCCTCATTATAACACTCTTTATCCCCTTTGGAGTTTGAAACATTACTTGAAGTGACCAAGGCGTTTAATTTTAGGTTCCTTATTTTTTTTAAAAGGTATTTAAGAAGTTTTCACCTCCATTAGTGCCCTCAGGCTACAGGCCTTATAGAAAGCCATAATGACTGATTTACATAAGATCAAATTCAGTTTAATGAAGCATGGCCCATTTTCTTTCATCAGTCAACATCAGGAGTGAGTTATAATTAAGAGCCTGACTCTATTTCTAATGTTTGTCTGCTGATGACTTTCAAGTGTCACCATTTGCCCTTCTCCTGTCCCACATGTGAGCACACTAATAAGAAAGCTCGAGTATTCCTTCCTTTGGCCCCAGCAGGAAGTTCAGACCACATAAGCCTGCTCCAGTGAGATGTCACTTTACCCCAGCCCCCACCGCCCCCATCACAATAAAAACCAAGCCAGTCTCCTTTCCCCTGCTTTCACAAACTATTTTCAGACCTGCCTGAGAGCCTGCCTTACTCTTCTTAGAAAGCTTCAATGTGTCAGTAATAAACCACAACAGTTTCAATATTATATTCCGATTCTCTACTGAGCTTGGAGTCTTACCTAAAACTTCTACCTCAAAAGCAATAATTAAAATGAAAGAGTCCTTAATTTCCACACTAGGCAGTGAGAAGTAGCTTTCAAAATACAAATGTACAAATGGCAAAAGATAAGGATAAAAGAACGATTTATAAAGTTAAATATTCCTTCTGGCTCTGGTAGTTAGGGTACCAGAGACCAGATTTAACTCCCCAGTTGGAACAACTAAAAACCTGTACAAAATATATGAAACATACTCAGATACTGTACATCAGGCAACACAGGACAGTGATAACTGAGAGAGGACAAACTGTGTGGTAAGCATTTTGATTGTCCCAGCTTACTGCTTGTGTAGGGAGAGAGCACCCAGGTATAGCCCGTAATCTCTCTAAGTTAAGGAGACAGGACTGAGAGGCAGGGAAGGCCAAGGCATCTAGAGTTTATATGGAAAAGTACTAAAAAATAGAGAACTACAGAAAGATCTGCAAAAGGTGCCTCTTGAGTATTCATTTGAGTATTGATTTGTGCATGTTTGGAAGTACATAATACCTGAGGTTGGCCAAAACAAAAGCAAAACCAAAAATACCATATAAAAGGCTGGGCACAGTGGCTCATGCCTGTAATCCCAGCACTTTGGGAGGTCGAGGCAGGCGGATCACTTGAGGTCAGGAGTTTGAGACCAGCCTAGCCAACATGGTGAAACCCCATCTCTACTAAAAATACAAAAATTAGCCGGGCATGGTGGTAGGTGTCTGTAATCCCAGCTACTTGGGTGGCTGAGGCAGGAGAATCACTTGAACCCAGGAGGCAGAGGCTGCAGCGAGCCGAGATCACACCACTGCACTCCAGCCTGGATGACAGAGACTCTGTCTCAAAAAAAAAAAAAAAAAAAAAGAAAGAAAGAAAGAAAGAAAAGAATAGAATAGAAAAAACAGAAAAAAACTAAAAGAATTGAGAGAACAATCTCCAAAACTCATATAAGGCTAGAAATAACTCATGTTTCTGTAAGACACAATGAAAAATCTTGTAATTCATAGGGCATCAGCTGGAATATTCAGAAGAGTATTACTGCAGTAGTGGAGAAAATTAGCCCTAGACTAAAGGTTGCTCTGATTCATCCTAACAAGCTTAAAAGCAACCTCAAAAGGACAAATATAATATGTGTAAGACCTGTACACTGAAAACTTCAAAACATTGTTGTAAAAAAATTAAAGACCTAAAGAAATGGAGGTATATACCATATTCTTGGATCAGAAGACTGAATATTGTTTAGATATAATTTCCCCCAAAATTGATCTATAGATTAAATGTCATCCCAAACACAATCTTACTGGCTTTTTTGTAGAAATGCAAAAGACATAAGATCACCAAAACAACTTTCATTTAAAAAAAAGGATAAAGTTAAAGATTTGCAATCTTGATTTCAAGATTTATTATAAAGTTAAAATCATTCACACAGTATGGTATTTGTGTTAAGGCAGACAATGAGATCAATAAAATGAAATAAAGAATCAAGAGATATATCATACATATATGGTCTATTAGTTTTCAAAAAAGGTGCTGAGGCAATTCAATGGGGCAAGGATAATCTCTTTAACAAATGGTGTTGTAGCAACTGGATAGCCATGTGATTAAGAAATGACAACCACCCCCTTACAACCTATACAAATGTTAACTTGAAACGGGTCGTGGACCTTAAATTAATAGCTAAAATTTCTAGAACACTTAGGAGAAAATCTTCATTCCCTTGGTTTTTGCAAAGATTTCTTAAATATAAAAAGACATGAACTATAAAATTATATTTTATTTCATCAAATTTTAATACTCTTTAACATTGAGAGGAAACATTTGAAAAACATTTCTGAAAAAGGCCTTTGATCTATATAAACAATATATATAAACAATTTTTACAACTCAATAAGATAAACAACCCAGTTTTTAAAATAGGAAAAACAAAAGAAGATAAATGGATGACAAGCACATGAACAGATGCTTAACATCATTAGTCATTAGAAAAATATGGGTTAAAATCAAAATTACCAATCATACGAATTGTTGGCAATGATGGAGAACAACAGGAATTTTCACACAGTGCTTATAAGAACGTAAAATGGTACAACCCCTTTGGAAAAGAGTTTGACAATTTTTTTAAAAAAAATTAAATATGCAGCTACTATATGACCCAATGATTCTATACCCAAGTTTTTACCCAAGAGAAATGAAAGCATCTAACTACACAAAATATATACATTGATGCTTACAGAAATTTACTGTAATAGCCAGAAACTGAAAACAACCCAAATGTCCAAATATGTGACTGGATCAACAAATTGAAGTATATCCATACAATGGAATACTACTTAGCAATAAAAAATAATTGGTACATGCAAGGATATGAATAGATCTCAAAAAAATATATTGAGTGAAAAAAGACAAAAAAGAGAACACACTGTATATATTCCATTTTTATAAAATCCTAGAAAATGCAAACTAATCTATAGACACAGAAAGTAGATCAGTGGTTGCCTAGGGAGGAGGAATGATTTTCTAAAGGGAATGGGAAAGAGAGATTACGAAGAGACACAAGGAAACATATGGAAATGATGGAAATGTTCATTATTTTGTTGTGGTGATGGCTTAATAAGTTGTACAGATGTTAAATTTGTACACCTTAAATACATGCAGTTTAACATATGTAAATTATATCTCAATAAAACTGTTTGAAAAATAAGACCAGAGTTTGGCAGAAAGTATCATATACGTGAAATGGACATCAGCAAATGCAGTAAAGCCTGAAAACTTCTGCGACTAGAACTCTTTGAATATTCCTATTAGAAGATGAATACTAGTTGTTCAACTTGGGCAAAAATTATAGCAGAGTAGAAAACTGAGACTCCTACTTCTTTGCTAGCCATCCATAGCTGAAATGGTTTTATCTCCTTTAACGAAGAGTAGTTAGTGATTAGATTTTATAATCAGTCACTGACATGCCTATATTTACTGTTTAAAATCCTATCTGTGCATCACTAATAGCTTTGTTTTCTGTCTTCAAGTCAACCTCAATTCTTCCAAAGTCTCATTTTAAAGAACTTCCTTCAACCATTGTTCAAATAGATATCTAAATCTAAGCAGTCACATTGAAACCTCAACCTTCATATTGGTATAGACAAGAGCTACTTCTAAGTGAATCAGGCAGGATGCCAGTAACCTTGATACTGGTTTCATCACCAGGCCCCAGACAAGAACCACACCTGAAGTGCATAGAGTTGCCAAGTCACTCAGTCTGACACAGGTTACTGGGGAAAAAAAAGAGCTCAGTGTGGGAAAAGCTTATATAGAACCTGAGGATGCATGAAAAGAAGAATTTGCTTTCCTAGATAAAAGAACACACATTCCCCTGTATAAAAATGCGAGTCATGCTTATTCCTTTTATGCTCTGTAATATCTAAGAGTCTTTATCTGCAAGTTTTCTCATAGAGCAAGGCAATGCTACAAGTGACTTCAGTAAATTCACTTGGACCAACACTGATTCACCCTTAGAAACACAGTTCAGCACATTTTTCTGAATAAGAAGTTTTTGCTTTATATTATGTAATTTCGAGTCATCTTAATATGCCACTATTATTTTCAATGTGTGTTCATCTGAGAGCTTCACACCTAAGGATGAGAAATTTGTATAGAACTCTTTGATGATAGGGATCATTTAAAAGCCTTAATTTTTATAAATAGATACTAAATTAAACACTACATTATTTAATTCTAAATAGATGACTCAGACACATCCTTGTTTTTATTTCCATTAAGAGTGTATTTAGCGAAGAGATGATAGACTTACCATCTCTGTGTCTCTGTGGAAAACTGTACTGTTGTGCCTTTGTGTGTTCTATGCTTTTGCAGCCAAATATGTGTTTTTGATAAGACACCCTTCTGCATTCTTTGCCTCTCAGATTGGCAAACACTCATTAAGTTTTTTTTTATTTTAAAAACTTTCCCAGGTATTTTACTCAGTTTTTTTTTGTTTGTTTACCATGTTTTAGCCCTCGCCACTTATTGAAGATAAATGAAATGTTCAGCACCTCGATGGTAATGAGAAGTGGGCAACACATGTATTAAAAAGATTAATTAAGCCACACCTTCAAGGAATATTCTAATCTACATGCATTAAATAATGTCATGTGTGGTGAGGTGCCTTTTCTTCTGCTCACTGGGGAGAAGAATAAAAAGCACAATTTTGGAAAGATGATTAGATATGATATCTTCCAAGATTAAGCTAATACTGTTGGGAGATACATAAAATAAAGCAATAATACCCCTCTGAACTTTAGCCAATATGTTCTCACACAGAATTTCTTTTACAATATTAAATTTTCACAAACCTTCCACAACTTGCTCAAACCTTCAGATTTATTCTAACTTAAAACAATCCTTTAACTCTCTAAACTAGTTCCATCAAAGCCAATTTAAAAAAGATCCTATGTCCCAAGTAATTGTTCTTGCTGCCCTTTATACAAATAATCAGGCCAAGTATAAGACTAAAGCTTGTTTTTGCAAACAAATCAGTCCCATTATGATTTGTCTTTAGTAAAAATGGGAGACTGGCGAGAGAAAAATTCTGTTTCGAAAACTATGGTACACCTGTTATTAGATTCTAGTCATCAGTTGTTTTTAAGGTTTCTTTCCTGTAATTTAGACTAACCCTGCTTATTCCTGTGAATCAACCAGTGAATCTCTGACTCCAGCTCAGAAGAAACAAGAGGGATGGGTAATGTAAAAATCTGGATCAGTATTCTAATTCTGGGCATATGTTGGAATCAGCTAGAGACTCCAAATCAGCATGGTTTAAACAATTGCCCAGTTCGTGGAAAGCCTTCTAATTTGTTTACTTGGGATAATTTTGCTTATTTTGCTTTACTGTTGTGGAATCTATTGCTGTTGTACTCTTCATATAGGAATACAGGATGAGCTTTCTCAATGTTTTCTTAAATTGAACAATTACTAATCTTCCAGATAACACCTTCTGTCAGAACTCAGAGTTATAAATGGCCCTCAGCATACTGACGCTTTCTGACTGAGCTCCTCTTTACCCTGGCTACAAGATGCCCTAATAGTTAGGCAGGAATATCACCGCCCCTATTCAGCGTGAAGAAATTACAGAAGATGGATCTTCATCCCTCTACAACCCTTAGGATTAAGGGTACCCTTGTGAAACAGAAATATGTCAAAGGCATTTGAACCAGAGCAACTCCATCTTGAATAGGGACTGGGAAAAATAAGGCTGAGACCTATTGGGCTGCATTCCCAGGAGGTCAGGCATTCTTAGCCATGGAATGAGATAGGATGTCAGCACAATTTACAAGTCACAAAGATCCTGCTGATAAAACAGCATGAGGTAAAGAACCTGGCCAAAACCTACCAAAACCAAGATGGCGATGAAAGTGACCTCCAGTCATCCTCACTGCTCATTATAAGCTAATTATTAATATAAGCATTAGCATGCTAAAAGACACTCCCACCACCACCACGGCAGTTTACAAATGCCATGGCAACATCAGGAAGTTACCCTATGTGATCTAAAAAAGGGAGGAACCCTCATTTCTGGGAATTGCCCACCCTTTTCCCAGAAAACTCATGAATAATCCATCCCTTGTTTATCATATAATCAAGAAATAACTATAAGTATATTCAGTAGAGCAGCCCAGGCCACTGCTCCGTCTGTGGAGTAGCCATTCCTTTATCTCCTTACTTTCTTAATAAACTTGCTCTCCCTTTATAAAAAAAAAAAAGGCATATGAATCTTATAAAGTAAATATTGATAGGAGCTTAATCAGGACAGTATAACATGACTGACTTTTTGTTCCCCAACTTTTAAGTTCAGGGGTACATGTTCCGAATGTGCAGGTTTGTTACATATGTAAACATGTGCCATGGTGGTTTGCTGCACAGAACATCCCATCACTCAGGTATTAAGCCCAGCATCTGTTAGCTATTCTTCCTGATGTGCTCCCTCCTCCCACACCCCCACAACAAGCCCCAGTGTGTGTTGTTCTCCACCATGTGTCCTTGTGTTTTCATCATTCAGCTCCCACTTATAAGTGAGAACATGCAGTGTTTGGTTTTTTGTTCCTGTGTTAGTTTGCTGAGGATAATGGCTTCCAGGTCCATTCATGGCAGGAGTATCGCTTGAACCCAAGAGGCAGAGGCTGCGGTGAGCCGAGATCGTGCCTGCAAAGGATATGATCTCGTTCTTTTTATGGCTGCAAAGTATTCCATGGTGTATATGTACCACATTTTCTTTATCCAGATGACACCTTTTTAAATACATAGAAAACATAAGATAGGAAAAAAAAAACATAGAAAAAAATCAGATAGAAAAAGGAAAGCAAGCCAATTGTAGGAGGCAATCCCGATGCTCTTCCCCATTGCCCTCCTGACCTGCAGGACTTACCACACCCACCTCTCCAGAACCAACCTATGAGAAGACCAATGACGCACATTACCAAACTTCACTCATGTGATTTACAAAATATAAGGCAAGGGCCTTGTTAACTGCTAGGAGAAGAGCTCTGACTTGGGGCAGGAGGGACATCAAGGACTTGGAGCTGGAACAATAGAAGGAATGAAATGACATAAGAGAAGTATAACATACTCTAGGGGCTCAAAGGAGGTATCACTTCCTATTATGGTGATCTAGGAAACCTTCACAAAGAATATGACATTTGAGGAGGGTCAGACTGATAAACTAGGAAGAAAGGCATTTCAAGTAAAGAAAACAGCCAAAGAAAAGGAACAAAAGCAGGAAATCATACAAGTATGGCTAGAACACAGGGTACATAAGGAAAGTCTTTAAAGATGAGATTGCAAAGGGAGATTGGATTAGAAAATATTTTTCACTAAATAAAAATAAAATATATCAAAATTTGTGAGAAGCAGTTAAAGCAGTACCTAGATAAAAACTTATAGCATTATATGTCTATCTTGGAAAAGAAGAAAGGTCTAATTTTCACCGTAAGATACTAGAAGAGCAAACTAAATCCAAAGCAAGCAGAAAAACAAAAATAATACAGATTAAAACAGAAAACAATGAAACTAAGAAGAATAATAGAGAATATTTATAGAATCAAAAGATAGTTAGTTGAAAAGATCTATAAAATTGAGAGATATCTAGTGTTCATGGACTAGAAACTGAATATTGTTAACAAATCAATTCTCCCCAAATTGATCTGTAGATTTAATCAACTCCCAATAAAAAACCCAGGAGAAGTTTGGTAGATATAAACAAGCTGATGGTAAAATTTATATGGAATAGCCAAAACAATTCAAAACCAAAGGAAGATGAAATTTGGAGGGTTCACAGAACCTGATTTTTCAGACTTACTATAAAACTACAGTGATCAAAACAGTATGGTATTAGTGAAAAGATAAATATCAATGAAACAAAATAAAAAATCAAAAAGAATACCAACACAAACATAGTCAATTGATATTTGGCAATGGTGCAAATGCTGTTCTTTTCAACAAATGGTGCTAGGACAATTGGACTTCCACGTGCAAAACAAAAAAACAAACAAAGAACCTCATCCAGGAGTGGTAGCTCATGTCTGTAATCCCAGAACTTTGGGAGGCTGAGGTGGGAGGATTGCTTGAGGCCAGGAGTTTGAGACCAGCCTGGGCAACATAGTGAGACTCCATCTCTACAAAAAAATACAAAAAAAAATTTAGATGGGCATGGTGGTGCATTCTTGTAAGTCCCATCTACTTGAGAGACTAAGGCGTGAGGATCACTTGAGCCAGGAGGTCAAGGCTGCAGTGAGCTCTGATCATGCCCTGCACTGCAGCCTGGGCAACAGGATGAGATTCTGACTCAAAAAACGAAATTAATCCTAACCTATGACTCACAGTTTATACACATACACATACAAACTCAAAATGGATTATAGACCTAAATGTAAGATGTGAAACTATAAAAATTGTGGAAGAAAACAAGAGAGAAAATCTCCATGCATTTGTATTAGACAAAGAAATCTGAGGTATGCCACCAAATGCATGATCCATAAAAGAAAAATTGATAAATTAAACTTCAGCTAAATTAAAATATTTTGTTCTATAAAAAACACTGTTCAGAGACTAAAAGGACAAGCTTTTGACTGGGAGAAAAATATATATAACTGACAGAGTATACAAAATAAAAAAGAAACTCTCAAAACTCAGTAATAAGAAAAGAAGGCTGGGCACAGTGGCTCACGCCTGTAATCCCTGCGCTTTGGGAGGCCGAGGCGGGAAGATCACCTGAGGTCAAGAGTTCAAGACCAGCCTGGGCAACATGGTGAAACCCCATCTCTTCTAAAAATACAAAAATTATACGGGCATGGTGGCAAGCACCTGTAATCTCAGATACTCAGGAGGCTGAGGCAGGAGAATCACTTGAACTCAGGAGACAGAGGTTGCAGTGAGCCAAGATCGCGCCACTGTACTCCAGCCTGGGCAACAGAGTGAGACTCCATCTCAAAAAAAAAGAAAAAGGAAAAGAAAAAACCAACAAACTATGAGTAGAAAATATCAAGACACTGCACCAAAAAAATATACCAATGGCACATAATCACATAAAAATATTTTCACCATCAATAGTCATTAGAGCCATGCAAATTAAAGTCACAAGGAGATATCAGTATACATGGACTGGAATAGCTAAAAAACAACACACATACACACACACATACATACATACACACACACACATACATACACACACACACACACACACACACACACACACACACCCCTGACAAAGTGAGCACTGGCAAGGATGCAGAGCAACTGGAATACCCATACATTCCTGTTGGAAATGTAATGGTATAACCACTCTGGAAAATTGTTTGACAGTTCCTTACAAAGATAAACATCCACTTACCATATGACCCACTCATTTACTCCTAGGTATTTACTCAAAAGAAATGAAAGGATATATTCACATAAAAATCTACATGTGAATGTTGATAGTAGCATTATTCATAATTTCCAAATTGCAAATAACTCAAATGTCCTTTAATGAATGGATAAGAAAATTTTGGTGATCCATACAATGGAATACTACTCAGCAATTACAAGGAATGAACTATCGATATATGCAATAAGGACAGATGTGTCCTGCTAAGTGATAGAATCTAGATCCAAATATTACATACTGTATGATTGCATGTAGGTCATGTTCTGGAAAAGGCAAAGCTATAAGGACAGAAAAAAGATCAATTATGGCCAAGGCTCAGGGACAGAAGAAGAGTTTGACTACAAAGGAACATCAAAAGGAAAGATTTGGGGGTGACAAAACCGATTTATTGTGATTGTGGTGATGGTGACATGACATTATTCATTCTCACAACTCATAAAACTGCATAGCAAAAAAAATTGTGTCACACTATGTAAATTTAAAAATAAAACAATAGCTAAATGCAATTAAATAGATAGGTTAGGACTATAGAATGTGTGACCTTAATTAGTAAACGAGAAGGAGCAAACAGTGAGTTTTGAGCAGGATGTGACACAATCAATCCCAAAGTTCAAATTCCCGGATTAAATTAGAATTTGGAGGAGAGGGGACAAGAATGCTAAACACAAAGGAAGGAAGACCAGGCAGCAGCTACTGCAATGGTCTAGTCATGTCATAATGAATGACATACTGTGAGGATGGAAATGGAGGGATGAAAGAGGAGGTGCTGAAAATATCAAGAAGATAAGGTTCTAGGAAAAGGAAAACATGAAAAAAATGAAAGGTTATTCACAGGTTTCAAATTGAGTTGACTAAGCCAATAGTAGTATCTTCTGCAAAGGCAGGGCAATCTGAAATATTACACTGTACACTGTTAGAAACTGAGCTATTCTAAGAAAAAAAAATCTAGAAGGCAAACAAGACTATAGCTCTAGATATCTGAAGTACAGAATGAGTTGAGGAGATTGAGCCACCAGTCTAGAGAAGATATGTGAAACTTTGGGGATGAATAAATGCCCAAGTTAGCAGAAAGAAAAGGAATGGAAATAACGGAGAAGCAAGGAAAGGGAAAGATGATTACAGAACCCTAATTAACATCTGCTACAGATACATACTCATTTTCCTAATTGCTTAGAGAAGGTTCTGTTCACCAAACTAGAAACTAGTTTCTCAACTCCTATTTCTCTGTCCCCTGAAAGAAGATATCATAACTTACAAGATAAGACACTTGGCATTGAGGTTCATGATGAAGATGCCCTATTAGGAAAACAGTCAGAAAAATCTATTAAACAATATCTTCCACGTCTGCCAACAATGACTGCCAAAATAAAGTTACTTATTACTTCACAAAGTAACTCATATTTTTCCAGGACAAACTTATTACAGCCTTTTCTTCATTCTTTTTAATTTCATACTTTCTTGCTGATGATACGGTGCAAAGTGATGAGGAACATGAAATCCATCAGCAGTTGACTTTTATCATTTTCATATCTTAATTCCCCAGTATGGTTATTCTGTGATCCCCCCAAAAAATAGCATGATTTAAATAATGAAATATGACATAACCCTGGTTGAACTATACGTGGACAAATTGTTCTCTTATAGGCTATATTTTTTAAAAATATCTTATAGAGTGAAAGAATGTTGCTAGGTAAACAAATGAAAAAACATTAGGATGAGTTGAGCATTTTGTAGTGGAGGAACTTTCTCCTTATTAGGGTTGAAAAAGTTTGTAGCCTGAAATCCCAGCACTTTGGGAGGCTGAGGCAGCCAGACCACTTTGAGCTCAGGAGTTCAAGACCAGCCTGGACAACATGGCAAAACATCATCTCTACAAAAAATACAAAAATAGCCAGGTGTGGTGGCGTGCGCCTGGAGTCTCAGCTACTTGGGAAGCTGAGATGGGAACATCTCTTGAGTCTGAGAGGTTGAGGCTGCAGTGAGCCGAGATCACTGCACTCCAAAAAAAAAGAAGAGAAGAGAAGAGAGGAGAAGAGAGGAGAGGAGAGGAGAGGCAAGGAGAGGAGAGGAGAAAAGAAAAAAGAAAAGAAGAGAAAAGAAAAGTTTGTAAAGGATTATGAGAGATAATTCTCAAGTGACTAGAGTGTACTTTCAATTTCTCAGGCTTTTTGCACTTATTTTCCATTTTTTTCCGCTATGTGGTAAGAGGCTAAACAAAATCAACTCTGAGGTTTCCTGCTGTTGATTTTCTTGAGAACGAGAAAAACAGTGTTTATCAGATAAATTAGATGTGTGAAGTTATGCTTCACCATTATTTTATAGCTTAACTAGAGACAAGTGAAATATTAAAAGGTAGAAAATCAGATGATGACATTTTCAAAATAATTTTTGGCCAGATGAACATTCCTAGAAGAAAAAAATTAAAATTCTATAATTAGCATAAAATATTTTAATTATAAGATTATATTACCCAAATTAATATCTATCTCACTTTTATTTAGGTTCTCAATAGTTCTTACTTTGTTTAATGAAACTAACTCAGTTTATTGCCTTGCTTCAAGTCTTGCACTGATTCACTCAGTCCTCTATAAAGGATTCTTCCAAAAATAAAATCTGATGATATTATTCTTGATTTTTAAAAAAGCCTTCCAATTACTCTTTTAAAAAATCAAAACCAAAATTTTTAGCCTATTACACAGTCGCCTCACAATTCAGCCCTCAACTGTCTTTGGAGAATCTCCACCTCCCCACCACTCCCACGGACTTGCACCCTTCACTCTACTAAGGCTGAATTGTTCGCCATTTGCTGGTAAATCTGTTTCTTTTCCAACTCCGTGACTGTTCCCAGGGAAAAGACTAGAGCTAGAAGAACAGGGCATTTGCTTCAGCACAAAGTTTAAAGGGATGCCAAAAAAACTCAGTCATCAAGGGAAATATTTTATGCAATATTTTAAAAAATCAATGCAAAAAAAGATAAAATATCAAAATTTAAAATAAAGGCAATATCAGTTATTCCTCCCCGAAATTCATTCTGCCTAGGAAAGTCTTACTTAAATATGATGACTTGACTTAAATATTTCTTCTCTGAGGAGTCTCTCCTACCTTCCCAGAGCACAGCATTTTTTTCTGCCCTCTGACTCTGTTGCCATAAGTCTCCAATTCGTGCTTTATTTATCTCACCATGTACTCCTCTGAACTGTGAGAATTTTTAAACCATCTCTGCATCCCAGTGATTGATATACATTAGGAATTCCACTACTATCTGCTATTATATATGAACAAATAATAGGTTACAGTAAATATAGTGAGATATATGGAATTTGGAATCAGAAACAGAAATTCCAATTCCTTATCTACAATTTATATATTTGTTAATTTTATGGAGCAGAGTAAATCTCTGAGCCTGTTTATCTTTGGAATGGAAATGAACTTACTTCTTTGGGGCTTTCAGAAGTTAGGTATTTATCAAATCTTTTGAAAGAGAGGCCAAATAGAATAGACATTTATTCATTCACGTGAATTCCAGTGAAGAAGGTGAAAAGAGAGAAAGGACAATATGGTTTACTTGGCAAAAAGAGCTACATCTTTGAAAATAAGAGCAAGACTTAGATTTATGACTTAGATTACACAAATGAAAATAATTTGTGAAAAATCAGCATTTAGAGGAAGAGCTTGTCTAATAATGTAGAAGGTGAATTTTAAATATGTATGCATGTGTGTATGTATATTGTCATATTTAAAATAAAATATGTAGAAACAAAGAAAGAATGAAAGAAAGGGAAGAGAGGGAGGAAAGGAGGGAGAGAGAGAGAGAGAGGAAGAAGGGAGGGAGAGAGGAAAGGAAAAGCTACTATACTACACTGTACATGCTATCTTTAATATCTCAGAGAAGACAAATAGCAACAATAAAAAGCATCTTGCAAACAAAAAGGAAAATGTATGAAAATATATATTTAAAAATTGGGTATCACTAATCCAGCAAATCTTGTACTCAGAAGGAAAGCACATTACCACCATCTGTCTCTCAATTCACATATTGGCTTTACAGCAGGAAGGTGTATCAGCCAGGGTCCTGACAGAACACAGATGGCACAATCAGAAGGAGTAACTGAAGAAGGATTAGTGAAGGGACTATGTACAAATGTATGGATGGGATTAAGGGAAACCAACAACTATTGATGAAGCACCTCAGGACTGGCAACAGTGGAAGCTATTACTACATTTAGGCCTAAAGGGGTAAGAGAAGGAGCAGTTACCAGAACTCAGGGCAGCTGTAGCTGTAGCTGTAGGAAAGGTCTGGGTGCTGGATGGGATCTGTGACTTGTATAAATCCAGCCACTGCCAAACCTCAGGCCCGCAGGGCAGGAATCAAACTCTCTTCCCCCTTACTGGTGCATCCAATCAACTAAACTCAAATGGAAGACAGAAGAAACAGAGCTCAGTTGATCCTTTTCATAGAGGTCAGCCTGAGATAAAAAGCAAAGTAGATAGTGCAAGAAAGAAGAATGTAAATTACTGCAGGTGGGTGGAAGGAACAACTTGAGAATATCCAGTTTCCAGACAGCAGAAACCTTTGTCATATATCTCTGTACACACATCCCACAACCACTAACTCATCACCTCAAATCAGATATAATACTTTGCACATAGTTGGCCCATGATAAATGCTTAATGAATAAAGAACACAATGGTATATATGTCCACAGCAAAGATTAGAATAAATGGAAAAGATCAGAAAATAGGAGAGAAGCAAAGCACATGTCATTTCAATCTCTTTAGATCTTCTTTCCAGTTTTACAAATCTCTAAAGAATCCTAGGAGAAGAAAAAGTACTGGACAGACATAAGACAAGAAATATCTTGCAAATTTTTTCAAGACCCATTTAGCACATGCCTCCTACTCTAGTATCCCACACAGGGAGAAAGCGCTATCATGAGACTATTTTCTGATTTTATTTATTTCAACACCATTTCCTCATTTTATTTTATGCCAGTCCCCTTCTATCCTTGGAATACCCTCTCTATTCCTGTCCATTCATCTTTGTTGAATATCCTCTTCATACCAAGAAATTTCCCCTTTTTTCCTCCTCTACATTAATGCACAATCAGTAATGCACAATAAATCATTATGTATATATTTGCAGAACCATGAGCCAATTAAACCTCTTTTCTTTATAAATTACCAAGCATCAGGTATGTCTTTATAGCAGTGTGAGAATGAACTAGTACACTGGGTCATCTCAGTGTCTCACAGATCAAAGACGCTGCCATGGGCTCATGAAGTGGTGTCACCCAGATACAGGAGCCAGCCTGACAGTCTCACTGAACAGGGATGCGTTAATACAACATCAACAAGGATAATGACTGCAATGGATTAGAAGACTCAGGGTACATCAAAAGCCATGAAACAGTCAGAAATGAACATGTGGCCATTATTACCTACCTTAGAGAAATAAAAGGATTATAAGACAATACTATGAGCAATTATATGTCAACAAATTCAGAAGCTTAGATGAAACAAATTCCTAGTAAAACACAAACTACAATAACTGACACAAGAAGAAATAGAACATTTGAACAGACTTATAACAAGGAAAGAGACTGAATTCTAATCAGAACCTCCCACCAAAGAAGACTAGAGGACAAGGTGGCTTCACTGGTAAACAGCACAAACATTTAAACAAACACCCAAAATTATTTGCTTTGTAATGGTCTTCTAGTTTTTTAGGTATGTATACCCTGAAATAGTACCTTGAAGGAGAAGAGGAAAGGAATCTAACAAATTCAAAATATACTACATGATGAAGTTTTATAACTAACATCTCCATATTCTTCACAATTATACAACAATATAGATATCGTTAATCTCTGCTTATAGGTGAAGAAACTGAAGCTAGATAGCCAATTTTCACAAAGTTACACAGTAGAGCCAAGATTTTGGGTACCCTATTCTTGAGGGGAAAAGCACACATCTTATAAATTCCCACCTTCTATCTCTCAGTCCCCATCTTTCATCATTTGTGGTAGATTATTGGCCTCAATTCTTCATAGCCTCCCCTTTTATCTGTGGCCTTTGTCATGTGACTTCATTGTTTCTCCCATTGAAGAATGAGAGTATATCCTTCTCCTTTACCTTGGGCTCAGCCCTTTGACTTTACCAATGGAATATTAGCAACATAGCATAACTAAAAGCTTGGAAAATGCTTGCAACAGTTGGGCTTGCTCTCTTGCTCCTCTGTCATTGCCATAAAAACATACCCAACTGGGCCCATTGATCCCAAAAGAAAAATGAAAGACATGAAGGACAAAGCCAAATCACCCCAGCCAAGGCCAGCCTAGATCAACTGAGAGGACACGAGAGAGCCTAGATGACATTAACAGTCACCCAGCTGAGCCCAGCTGAGATCAGCCAATCCTTAATTGACCTGCAGATCTAAATAATGCCTGTATAAAAAATGGCAGCAATAAAAACTCTGATTTCAAAGTGCCTCCACTATGCCATATTATTCCTAAGCCTGATACTAACTACCCCTATGATCTCAGAAACGTTGATCTGCTTGAACATCAATTCTCCATTGTGAAAAGGGAGACTGAATTTCTCCTACAATGGTCTCCAAATTCTGATATTCTATAATTTTTATTTTTATTTTATTTACAGAGAGGATTCTGTCATTCCACTATTTGTTTCCTCTTTCTCTTTCTTCTCTCCAAATGATAATGCAATGGTATACAACAGAATCTCATAAACTATTTGTTCATTATTTCACTTATTTAATAAACTTACAATATGTTGGGCATAAGAACAACTGTATGTTGGGCATAAGACAATGCCCTATCATCAGCAACTTATAATTAAGTTAAATAAAAGTTAATTATGACAAATAAATAAAATAAAAACTCTCCTGGAATTTTTTTTAAAAAGTTATTGCTTTTACTGACAGATAGATAATTATGATGTATCCAGGCTCCATTTTTTTGGAAAGAATATCTTTAGTCTAATAGTAAAGAGGACCCAGTGAACAAATCATCATCTTTCCATTGATTATTAATTTTCCTCCTTGAAAGAACTGTCTGTGTCAGCCTATCATCCAGGAGTTCCATCCCACATTCTCAGCAGTGGGGGCAAGGGGTGCATGAGTCATATGAACACACCTATAATGATTGTGTCCACCCCACCCCCCACAAGAAAAAACCCATATTGGAGTTCTACGCCAAGTACCTCAGAAAGTAACATTATTTGAAGGTATAGTCTTTACAGACCTGATTAAATTAAAATGGGACCAGGAGGGTGGGCCCTCATCCAATATGATTGTGTCCTCACAAAAGGGAAAATTTGGACAGAGACAGACATGTACCCAGGGATGACTATGTGAAGAGACAGGGGGAGATGACGGCCATCTACAAGCCAAGCAGAAAGGCCTGGAACAAATCCTACCCCCACAGCCCTCAAAAGGAACCCACCCTGCTGACACGTTGCTTTCAAGCTTCTAGCCTCCAAAACCCAGACAATAAATTTGTTTTTTTTAAAGTCACTCAGTTTGTGGTATTTTCTTAAGGCAGCCCTAGTGAACTAATACAGGTGTCCTTGTGTATACTTATGAGAGCTAACTTCACTCTAGCCACAGGAGACCCACTTAATAAAAAGGAACTAGTTGTACATTTGAAAACTGCATTTGCCTATAAACAAAGTCACCATCTCTATAATTAGAGAAGTGCATCTGTTTCTATGATACTGCAATTTCGATGGTACTTGAGCAATGACAAAAATATGACTGTGGTTTTGTGATTGCCATTTCTCAAAGGAAAAGGATAGATGTCTATTTAATAAACTACTTTTGAGGAATAAGAATTTTCAGATCACCTTAGAATGATAATTCCAAACTCACAAGGAATCAAAACCATAAAATCACTTTAGAATTTCTTTTCATAACTGTGTATTCATTCAATTTGTAATTCTGGAACTGTGGCATATGTGCTGGGGAAGTGAATTTGTTAATATGAAAATAGCAGTTTCTGTTCTTAGTTATAGGAATTTATTTAAATCCAAACATTGGCAAAGCTTTTGTTTTGAAGAGCTTTACCAAAGCAAACCTATCAGTTCTGAAGTCTGATTTCTATATGCTAATTTCAAATGAAGAACATACTTGGAAACGCTTTTCTCACAACCTTATGACTCCATAAATGACTGTAAGAAAGCAGATATTCACATGCTGTCTTCATAACATTCCATCATTTCCAGATGGCTTTAATATTTGAGCTCCCCCGTATGTCCTAGCTTAAAAATGTCCTCTTATCCCAAACCTTGCTCCTCCCACTATCTTGTATATTTCTACTAACGGTAGCACCGTTCTTTCAGTGCCATGAGAACTTAGTTATCTAAGATACCCTTCCCTTCCCCTATATTCAGTTAATTACCAAATACTATAGATTCTATATTTGTACTTTATTTGCCGTACCACCAACCCATTTCAATTTTATTTGCCCATTCTATTAAAGCAGCCTGTTGAATGTATCCCATCTCCAAAATTTGTCTTATCAAGCCAGCCTACTTAGTTTAATGTTCTTTTAGCACAATGTCATTTAAGTTACTCTTCTACTCAAAATTTATGAAAGGTTCTCAATTTCTTATCAATATTATTCAACATTAGGTAATTTTTTATAATTTATATCCTACTTATTCTCATTTATCTCCTCCTCCTAGTTACAGTTTTTCCACGTCTCTCATTTTTCCCTTTTTCTACATTTTTATTTATACCTTTCTCTTTTTAAAAATTTTTTTATTTCCACAGGTTTTGGGGGAACAAGTGGCATTTGGTTACATGACTAAGTTCTTTAGTGGTAATTTGTGAGATTCTGGTATACCCATCACCCAAGCAGTATACCCTGAACGCAATTTGTAGTCTTTTATCCCTCACCCCCTTCCCAGCCTTTCCCCCGAGTCCCCAAAGTCCATTATGTCATTCTTATGCCTTTGAATCTTCATAGCTTAACTCCCACTTATGAATAAGAGCACACAATGTTTGGTTTTTCATTCCTGAGTTACTTCACTTAGAATAATAGCCTCCAGTTCCATTCACGTTGCTGGGAATGCCATTAATTTGTTCCTTTTTGGGGCTGAGTAGTATTCCATTGTATATATACCACAATTTCTTTATCCACTAGTTGATTGATGGGCATTTGGCCTGGTTCCATACTTCTGCAATTGTGAACTGTGCTGCTGTAAACATGCATATGCAAATATCTTTTTCATATAATGACTTCTTTTCCTCTGGGTAAATATTCAGTAGTGGGATTGCTGGATCAAATGGTAGTTCTACTTTTAGTTCTTGAAAGAATCTCCACACGGTTTTTCATAGTGGCTGCACTACTTTACATTCCCACCAGCAGTGTAGAAGTGTTCCCTTTTCACCACATCCACACCAACACCTATGATTTTGGTTATTTTTTGATTATGGCTATTCATGCAGGAGTAAGGTGGTATTGCATTGTGGTTTTGATTTGCATTTCCATGTTAATTAGTGATGTTGAGCATTTTTTCATATGTTTGTTGGCCATTTGTATATCTTGAGAATTGCTTATTCATGTCCTTAGTCCACTTTTTGATGGGATTGTTTTTTTCTTGCTAATTTGTTTGAGTTCCTTGCAGATTCTGGATATTAGTCCTTTGTTGGATGTATAAATTGTGAAGATTTTCTTCCACTCTTTGGGTTGTCTATTTACTCTGCTGACTGTTCCTTTTGCTGTGAAGAAGCTTTTTAGTTTAATTAAGTCCCACCTATTTACTTTTGTTGCATTTGCTTTGGGTTCTTGGTCATAAAGTCTTTGCCGAAGCCAATGTCTAGAAGGGTTTTTCCTACGTTATCTTCTAGAATTTTTATATTTTCAGGTCTTAGATTTAAGTCCCAGATCCATCTCAGATTGATTTTTGTATAAAATGAGAGATGAGAATCCAGTTTCTTTCTCTTACATGTGACTTGCCAATTATCCCAGCACCATTTGTTGAATAGGGTGTCCTTTCCCCACTTTATGCCATTGGCTTTGTCAAAAATCATTTGGCTGTGAGTATGTGACTTTATTTCTGGGTTCTCTATTCTATTCCATTGGTTTATGTGCCTATTTTTATACAAGTACCACGCTGTTTTGGTGACTATGGCCTTATAGTATAGTTTGAAGTCAGGTAATGTGATGTCTGTAGATTTGTTCTTTTTGCTTAGTCTTGCTTTGGCTATGTGGGCTTTTGTTTGGTTCCATATGAATTTTAGGATTTTTTTTCTAGTTCTGTGAAGAATGATGTTGGCAATTTGATGGAAATTGCATTGAATTTGTAGATTGCTTTTGGTAGTACGGTCATTTTCACAATATTGATTCTACCCATCCAGGAGCATGGAATGTGTGTCCATTTGTTTGTGCCATCTATGATTTCTTTCAGCAGTGTTTTGTAGTTTTTCTTGTAGAGTTCTTTCACCTCCTTGGTTAGGTATATTCCTTGAACAATATAACAAGCAGTAAGATTGAAATGGTAATAAAAAAAAGACCAACCAAAAAAAGTCCAGGACTGGACATATTCACAGCTGAATTCTATCAGACATTCAAAGAGAATTTGTACCGTCCTATTGACACTATTCTGCAAGATAGAGAAAGAGGGAATCCTCCCTAAATGATTCTATGAAGCCAGTATCACTCTAATATCTAAACCAGCAAAGGACATAACAAAAAATCAAAACTACAGACCAGTATCCCTGATGAACATAGATGTAAAAATCCTTAACAAAATACTAGGCTAACTGAATCCAACAGCATATCAAAAAGATAATCCACCATGATCAAGTGAGTTTCATACTAGGGTTGCAGGGATGGTTTAACATACACAAGTCAATAAATGTGATACAGCACATAAACAGAATTAAAAACAAAAATACATGATCATCTCAATCATCACAGAAAAAGCATTTGACAAAATCCAGCATTGCTTTATGATTAAAACCCTCAGCAAAATCAGCATAAAAGAGACATACCTCAATGTAATAAAAGCTATCTATGACAAACCCACAGCTAACATAATACTGAACAGGGAAAAGTTTAAAGCATTCCCTCTGAGAACTGAAACAGGATAAGGATGCCCACTCTCACCCCGTCTATTCAACACAGTACTGGAAGTCCTAGCCAGAGCAATCAGACAAGAGAAAGAAATAAAGAGCATCCAAATCAGTAAAGAGGAAGTCAAACTCTCACTGTTTGCTGATGATATGATCGTATACTTAGAAAACCCTAAAGATTCCTCTGAAAAGCTCCTAGAACTGATAAATGAATTCAGAAAAGTTTCAGGATACAAAATTAATGTACACAAATCAGCAGCTCTGCAATACATTAACAGTGACCAAGCTGAGAATCAAATCAAGAACTCTACCCATTTTACAAAAGCTTATACATATATATGTATATATAATGTACATATAAATATGTACATATAAATATGACTTTATTTATACTCAGAATGCCTTTACCTCCTATCTCTGCCATTCTACCAATTCTGCAAGGCCATTTCAGAGATAACCTTTCCTTTTTCTGAAATCTGTATGACCACACAATCCCTTACTCTAAACCCTTGGGTGCAATGGATTTCTAAATTCAGAATCTTTTGGAATTTATATACACACATTTCATTTATGACATAACATCCCCAGTGGAGCCTGATAAGTCTCCTGGAGTTAAATATATTAAATTTTCTGCAAAGAAACTTATAAATAAAGTCACACAGAATAAGGTATATAAATGTTATAAATAGCTTCATGTCAGTTCAAGTCAGAATTTGCAATCAAACAAGTTTGCCACAAACTGTTTTTAAAACACTGTTGTTTTTTTAAAAACAAAACTCAGTTTTCTGAGCTTTATAGATTTTAGAGTTGTGAATAAAGGTTTATAAGCTTGTGGCATTTTTCTCATACTTAAAATGCTTAGGATTTACTAATTTCTACTTAGTTTATATTTATTTAAACCCACCATATAAGAAGAAATTATTACTAACCAGGTACTAGATTAAAAATTTTTTTCACATAAATCAATAAAGAACCCACCAGGAAAGTAGAAACCACTTCAGGAATTTACAACAGAAATTGATTCAAGGAATTAGTCACACGAGTGACTGGAAGAACTGAGAGCCAACATAGAAGAGTGAGATAAGCCAGAGAGCAGCAAGAAACCACTGTCACCCTTATGATACACAGACACACAGACCAATAGAACAGAATAGAGAACCCAGAAACAAATCCACACACCTACAGCGAACTGATTTTTCACAAAGGTGCCAAGAACAAGCACTGGGGTAAAAATGGTCTCTTCAATAAATGGTGCTGGGAAAACTGGATATCCATATGAAGAAAAATGAAACTAAACCCCTATCTCTCACCATATACAAAAATTAAACAAAATAGATGTAACACTTAAATCTAAGACCTCAAACTATGAAACTACTACAAGAAAACATTTGGAAAACTCTCCAGGACTTTGGTCTCGGCAAAAATGTCTTGAGTAGTACTCTATAAGTACAGGCGACCAAAGCAAAAGTGGACAAATGGGATCATCTCGAGTTAAAAAGCTTCTGCACAGCAAAGTGAAGAGACAACACATAGAATGGGAGAAAATATTTTCAAACCACCCATCTGACAAGGGATTAAAAACCAGAATATATAAGGATTTCAAACAAACTCTATGGGGAAAAAAATCTAATAATCTCATTAAAAACGGGCAAAAGATTTGAATAGACAGTTCTCAAAAGAAGACATACAAATGGCAAGCAGACATATGAAAAGGTGTTCAATATCATTGATCATCAGAGGAATGCAAATCAAAACTACAATGAGATATCACCTCACCTCAATTAAATGGCTTATATCCAAAAAACAAGCAATAACAAATGCTGGCGAGGATGTGGAGAAAAGGGAACCCTTGCACACTGTTGGTGAGAATGTAAATCAGTACAACCACTATGGAGAACAGTTTGGAGGTTCCTTGAAAAACTAAAAATTGAGCTACCCTATGATCCAGCAATTCCACTGCTGGGTATATACCCAAAAGAAAGGAAATCAGTATATGGAAGAGATACCTGCACTCCCATAATTTTTGCAGCACTCTTCACAATAGACAAGATTTGGATGCAATCTAAGTGTCTCTATGAGTCCATTTTCATGCTGCTGATAAAGACATACCCAAGACTGGGCAATTTACAGAAAAAAAGAGGTTTATTGGACTTAACAGTTCCACATGCCTGGGGAGGCCTTACAATCATGGAGGAAGGCAAGCAGGAGCAAGTCACTTCATACATGAATGGCAGCAGGCAAAGAGGGAATTTGTGCTGGGGAACTCCTCGTTATAAAATGATCAGATCTCATGAGACTTGTTCACTATCACTAGAACAGCATGGGAAAGACTTCTCCTCATGACTCAATTATCTCCCACCGGGTCCCTTCCACAACACATGGGAATTCAAGATGAGACCTGTATGGGGGACGCAGCCAAACCATATCAGTGTCCATCAACAGATGAATGGTGTATTAGTCAGGGTTCTCTAGAGGGACAGAACTAATAGGATAGATGTATATATAAACGGGAGTTTATTAAGGAGTATTGACTCACGTGACCACAAGGTGAGGTCCCACAATAGGCTGTCTGTAAGCTGAGAAGCAAGGAAGCCAGTCTGAGTTCCAAAGCTGAAGAACTTGGAGTCTGATGTTCAAGGGCAGGAAGCATTCAGCAAGGGAGAAAGATGTAGACGAGAAAACTAAACCATTCTAGTCATTTCACGTTCTTCTGCCTGCTTCCATTCTGGCCACGCTGGCAGCTAATTAGATTGTGCCCATCCAGATTGAGGATAGGGTCTGCCTTTCGCAGTCCACGGACTCAAATGTTAATCTCCTTTGGCAACACCTTCACAGGCACACCCAGGAAAAATATTTTGCATCCTTCAATCCAATCAAGTTGACACTCAGTATTAGCCATCACAAGTGGATAAAGAAAATATGGTACATATACATAATGGAGTACTATTCAGACATAAAAATGAATGAGATCCAGTCATTTGCCACAACGTGGACGTAACTGGAGGTCATCATGCTAAGTGAAATAAGCCAGGCACAGAAAGACAAATATCACACGTTCTCACTTATCTGTGGTATTTAAAAATCAACACAATTGAACTCATGGAGATAGAGAGTAGAAGGATGGTTACCAAAGGCTGAGAAAATGAGTGGAGAGGGTGGGAGGTGGGGATGATTAATGGGTATAAAAAATAGTCAGAAAGAATAAATAACACCTAGTATGTGATAGCACAACAGGGTGACTATAGTCAATAATAATTTAATTGTACATTTAAAAATAACTAAGATTATAATTAGATTGTTTGTAACACAAAGGATAAGTGTTTGAGGGGATGGATACCCCATATTACTTGATGTGATTATTATGCATTGCATGCCTGCATCAAAACATCTCATGTACCCTATCTCTTGCAATATGTAATATATACACCATGTACCCACAAAAATTAAAAATTAAAAAAATTAACTCAAAGTTGATAATAGACCTGATTGTAAAATGGGAAACCATAAAACCCCTAGAATATAACATATATAACATAGGAGAAAACCCAGATAGCCTTGAATAGGGTGATGACTTTTTTAGATACAACATCAAAGGCATGATCCATGCAAGAAAGAATTGATAAGCTGTACTTCATTAAAATTTAAAACTTCTACTCTGTGAAAGACAAGGTAAAGAGAATGAGAAGACAAACCACAGACTGAGAGGAAATCATTGCAAAAGATATATCTGATAAAGAATTGTTATCCAAAATATACAAAGAACTCTTAAAACTCAACAAGAAAACAAACAACTCAATTATAAATGCGCCAAAGACCTTAAGGAACACCTCACCAAAGAAGATATACAGATGGAAAATAAGCATATGAAAAAATGCTCCACATCTTACATCATCAGGAAAATGCCAATTAAAACAATAATGTGATACCACTACATATCTATTAAAATGGTCAAAATCCAGAACACTGACAATATCAAATGCTGGCAAGGATGTGTAGCAACAGGAACTTTCATTCACTGGTGGTGGGAATGCAAAATGGTACAGCCATTTGCAAGACAGTTTGGCAGTTTCTTACAAACAAAACATATTCTTACTATATGATCCAGCAATCACACTCCTTAGCACTTAACTATAGGAGCTGAAAACTGTCCACACAAAAACCTGTACACAGATGTTTATAGCAGCTTTATTTTTGCCAAAACCTGGAAGCAATTAAGATATCCTTCAGTAGGTGAATGAATTAATATAGTATATCCAGACAATGGAATATCACTCAACATTGTTAAAAGGTAAACTGAAGCACATTTAATTTTTTTTAATGTATTTGAGCAAACAATGATTCATTAAATGGTCAGCTCCAAACTACAACTAGTTTGGGGAGTTCAAAGAGGGAGTGCAAAGGGGAGGTTTTATAGGACGAACATGGAAGTAAAGCAAAGAAAATATTTGATTGATTGTGCAGCTGCCTTATTTGGTGCAGGCTCCTGGAAAGTCCCCAGTTACACAACTATAACAGTTGGTGGTTTCTGATTAGTTGAGCTTAAGTTTTCTTTTTCTTTCATATGGGCATTTACAAGAAATAGTCCAAGCTTTCTTTTTCCCCCCCTTTTTAACTGAGTCTTGCTCTGTTGC
Source organism: Homo sapiens (assembly GCF_000001405.40). Taxonomy (NCBI): domain Eukaryota; kingdom Metazoa; phylum Chordata; class Mammalia; order Primates; family Hominidae; genus Homo; species Homo sapiens. The sequence continues at coordinate 80,154,285 of NC_000012.12, read as the reverse complement.
CCAGGCTGGAGTGCAGTGGCATGATCTCAGCTCACTGCAACCTCCACCTCCCGGGTTCAAAAGATTCTCCTGCCCCAGTCTCCCGAGTAGCTGGGACTACAGGCGTGAGCCACCATGCCTGGCTAATTTTTGTATTTTTAGTAGAAACGGAATTTTGCCATGTTGGCCAGGCTGGTCTTGAACTCCTGACCTCAAGTGATCCACCCACCTCGGCCTCCCAAAGTGCTGGGATTACAGGCATGAGCCACTGTGTCCAGCTTCAAGTTAAGTTTTGATTATGTTTGCAAATAAAATAAGGTTAAAGTCATATATGAGACCTAACTGACTTTGTCCACTTACAGATTCTTCAAGCCTGGTCTCTATTTTATTTTAGTTTAACAGCATTAAGAAGAAATGATCTATCAAGACATGAAAAGATATGGAGGAAATTTAAATGCATATTACTAAGTGAAAAAAGCCAATCTGAAATGTCTACATATGTATGATTCCAACTATGTGACATTCTGGGAAAGGCAAAACTATGGAGACAATAAAAAATATCTGTGGTTGCCAGGATTTGGAGGGGTATAGAGGAGGGATGCAGAGGCGGAGCACAGAGGATTTTTAGGGCAGTGACAATACTCTATATGATACTACAATGGTGAAAATATATCATTATATATTTGTACAAACCCATAGAGTGTATAACACCAAGAATGAACTCTAATGTAAATTATGGACTTTGGGTGATTATGATGTGTCAATGTAGGTTCATCAGTTTTAACAAATGTGCCACTCTGGTGGGGGATGTTGATAATGAGAGAGGCTATACATGAGTGAAGACAGAGAAGGTATAGATTAAATGTGTCTCCCACAAATTCTTATGTTGAAAACTTAATCCCCAATGTGATGGTCTCAGGAGGTGGAGCCTTTGAGGGGGTGATTAGGTCATGAGGCTGGAACCCTTGTGGATGGGATTAATGCCCTTATAAAAGAGACTCCAAAGAACTCCCTTGCTCCTTCCACCATCTGAGGACATAATGAAAAGATGGCTGTCTATGAACCAGAAAACGTGCCCTCATCAGACACCAAATCTGCTGGTGTGTTACTCTTGAACTTCCCAACTTCCAGAATAAGAAATAAATTTCCATTGTTGATAAGGCCGTACTATAGGACTTTGCTACAGCAGTCCAAAAGGGTTAATACAGGGAATATATGGGAAATCTCTGTATCTTTCTCTCAATTTTGCTATGAAACTAAAATTGCTATTTAAAAAATAAAGTACTTATTTCATTTAAAAAATTGATGACACGGCCAGGGTGCGGTTGCTCATGCCTGTAATCCCAGCACTTTGGGAGGCCGAGGCAGGTGGACCACCTGAGGTTACGAAATTGGCACCTGCCTGGCCAACATGGTGAAACCCTGTCTCTACTAAAAATACAAAAATTAGCCAGGTGTGGTGGTGCATACCACCAGCTGGGTGGTAATCCCAGCTGAGGCTGAGGCAGGAGAATCTTTTAAACCCGGGAGGTGGAGGTTGCAGTGAGCTGAGATTGTGCCACGGCACTCCAGCCTTGGTGACAAAGTGACACTCTGTCTCAAAAAAATAAATAAATAAATAAAATTTAAAAATTGATGACAAAGGTTGGATTTTTGCAACAGGCGATTGGATTTGTTACCCATCCTCAAATTCTAGGAATACTCAAAGGTCATTGGTGACTATAAATTACCTTACATCCATAGACTGTTTTACTCTTGAGTTCCTACAGCACTGTGGGATGAGTGCCCTCCAAGTTATTATTTCCATCTATTTTGTCATTAGGTTTATAACATACCATGCTTCTGTCACTATTAGTTTTAGTACCTCTGACCTTTCAGCTTCGAGCTGAAATTTGGGAGGGAAGATCTCAGCATCTTCCTTAGCAAAGAATGAAGCATAAAACTGATTGGGCCTCTGCTTTCTCTTCTTATGCCTCAAGACCTCTTTCAACTCATTGAACAGTGCTACTCTGGATTGGGCTCCAACAGAACTGTGAAGTAGGAATCTGTTTTCTCTGTTCTTCACTATTAAACTCCCAACCACCAAGAGCCAGTATTTTATCACCCCTCCTTTCAGTGCTCCTCTCTGACACAGAGCCTAACATGCTCATGTGACCCCATTCCTTCTTGCCCTAGGAGACACCAGTCTAATTTCTCAAATTCTTGCTGATAGTGCCAGATGACTCTAAGATGGAATGTACTGTTCTCAATTGAGTAGAAAGAGGCCTCAGATCTATCATAACTTAAATTTGGGGGACAGTTATTTGACTTCTCTGACCTTAATTTCCTTGTCCGAAAAACAATAATGGTAAAAATAAATACCACCAACTGATAATACCTGTAAAGTGAACTGCAAAGCACAGACAAGTGAATGATTAGATATTCTTGTTAGATTCTATAGGCACAGAAGTCAATGCTGCTTTTGATTCATTGTAACTTTTAAATGTCTTCTAAGTTAAAGGGCCATTCACGTTCACAGTGACATTAGTTGACTAGTCTATTAGTGACTAGTGACTCTTCAGTAACTAGTTGACTCTTCCTTTGCCTCTCACCACCATCATTCCCTCTGTTCTAGAGTATTTACAAGCCACAAGGTGTCTATCTAAAGGAGACAGCTAATATCTAAAGGTATAATTCTATGCTCCAAAACAGCAATACTAATTCAAGTGTGAATAACATGACCCTATTCCCACAGATCCTTTTTTTGGATAGAACTCTGCTTTTAATGTCTCCAGATAAACTGATTATTTTATTTTATTTATTTTTTTTAGAGAGAGCTTACATTTTAATAGGGGAAGTTGACCATGAGCTTGTAAGTATGTGAATAAGCAAAATAATTTCAGAATGTTTTAAGTGCTAAGAAAGAAAGAAGCAGGTAATGGAGTGAAAAGTACTTTAGATTGTGTGGTTAAAGCATACCTGTTTGAGCTGTGACTCTGCGGCTAACCATGGGATACTTTAGGCTCGTCTTGCCTTTTCTAGTTTCTATCAAATCTTAGTTTGCCTCTTAGTCTCTGCTTCCTATCCTAAATCTTATTATTCCTTTGAATTTAGAGTTGCTTTTTGTACATGTTGGATTAACTATGTAGGATGGCTTATTCAATTAGAAACTCATCCTAAATTCCTAGCTCTAGGCATTTGGCCAAATTTCCTCCTAGGAAAATTTTTGACTGGGGAAATCCATCCATAAGCTGACATTTTAGACTTTAGAGAAATCTCAAAAAGGTTTTTTACCTACCCTTTCTCACAAGGATTTCAAAATTAATTTTATTGTGATTCCTATTATCTATAATTTCTTCCATGAACAAATTGCCAAAATCAAATATTATTTTGTCCTTTTTCCATTGTAATTTATTTAAACTATAAATACTAGCATAATTTTTCAGAAATTGCTTTTAAAAGTAAATAAAAAGCATCTATTTCTACTTGTTTTCTATGCCTTTCTTTTTCTAGACTTACAGTAGGGTACAGAAATGAGCTTCAGAGAATCTGCACACTACCATCAATTATATAAAACAGTTATGGGTGGATACATCTTCCTGGGGAAAGGGCTCTTGCCCTTCAGTCATGATCCATGACTCACCAAAGGTGAACAATAACTATAAGGCCCTTATTGAGACAATCACAATGAATGTCTGTGAATTTAAGACCTACTTTTGAGTTTTCTTTGCTCCACTAACAAGGCTGCAGGTCTTCCCTTCTCCAGTAATTGTAGATTTGTTCACTGTCTTAGAAACAGCAAAAATCCCATGATTGGTCCATCGCTCACTGCCTAGATAAAAGATAAATGCGATGGATGAGTCCTTAACATTCCCCTTTGATCTCCCAGACTACTGGGGTAACTCTCTGGAGTTTCCTTTCCAGGTCAGTTTGGAAGTTTCTTTTGAACAGCTTTATCTTTTCATTTTTATTGAATAAGAAATTACATTATGTTCAGCAAGAAACACATTATTCTGTTGTAGCTGCATAGAAAGAAAACCATTTTCAAAATGAATATCACATAGAGGACAAATATAATTCTTGAAAGAAGTTTGGCTCAATGAGGTAAAGAGAAAAAAAATATTCTAGAGAGATTTCCAGGGAACAGGACCTTTGGTCACACAGTACTCTATTTGAGAGAGAGCAAAGTCCTTTCTATAATTATTGGCATTCATTTTTTTGGTTTGCACCAGACACTATATAAAGAAAAGCGAGAAGCCAAGATGGCCGAATAGGAACAGCTCCGGTCTACAGCTCCCAGCGTGAGCGACGCAGAAGATGGGTGATTTCTGCATTTCCATCTGAGGTACCGGGTTCATCTCACTAGGGAGTGCCAGACAGTGGGCGCAGGTCAGTGGGTGCGCGCACCGTGCATGAGCCGAAGCAGGGTGAGGCATTGCCTCACTCGGGAAGTGCAAGGGGTCAGGGAGCTCCCTTTCCTAGTCAGCCGGCACCTGGAAAATCAGGTCACTCCCACCCGAATACTGCGCTTTTCCGACGGGCTTAAAAAACGGTGCACCACAAGATTATATCCCACACCTGGCTTGGAGGGTCCTACGCCCATGGAGTCTCGATGATTGCTAGCACAGCAGTCTGAGATCAAACTGCAAGGCGGCAGCGAGGCTGGGGGAGGGGCGCCCGCCATTGCCCAGGCTTGCTTAGGTAAACAAAGCAGCCAGGAAGCTCGAACTGGGTGGAGCCCACCACAGCTCAAGGAGGCCTGCCTGCCTCTGTAGGCTCCACCTCTGGGGGCAGGGCACAGACAAACAAAAAGACAGCAGTAACCTCTGCAGACTTAAATGTCCCTGTCTGACAGCTTTGAAGAGAGCAGTGGTTCTCCCAGTACGCAACTGGAGATCTGAGAACGGGCAGACTGCCTCCTCAAGTGGGTCCCTGACCCCTGACCCCTGGCCCCCGACCCCCGAGCAGCCTAACTGGGAGGCACCCCCCAGCAGGGGCACACTGACACCTCACACCGCAGGGTACTCCAACAGACCTGCAGCTGAGGGTCCTGTCTGTTAGAAGGAAAACTAACAAACAGAAAGGACATCCACACCAAAAACCCATCTGTACATCACCATTACCAAAGACCAAAAGTAGATAAAACCACAAAGATGGGGAAAAAACACAACAGAAAAACTGGAAACTCTAAAAAGCAGAGCGCCTCTCCTCCTCCAAAGGAACGCAGTTCCTCACCAGCAATGGAACAAAGCTGGACGGAGAACGACTTTGACGAGCTGAGAGAAGAAGGCTTCAGACGATCAAATTACTCTGAGCTACAGGAGGACATTCAAACCAAAGGCAAACAAGTTGAAAACTTTGAAAAAAAATTAGAATAATGTATAACTAGAATAATCAATACAGAGAAGTGCTTAAAGGAGCTGATGGAGCTGAAAACCAAGGCTCGAGAACTACGTGAAGAATGCAGAAGCCTCAGGAGCTGATGCGATCAACTGGAAGAAAGGGTATCAGCAACAGAAGATGAAATGAATGAAATGAAGTGAGAAGGGAAGTTTAGAGAAAACAGAATAAAAACAAATGAGCAAAGCCTCCAAGAAATATGGGACTATGTGAAAAAACCAAATCTACATCTGATTCGTGTACCTGAAAGTGACGAGGAGAATGGAACCAAGTTGAAAAACACTCTGCAGGATATTATGCAGGAGAATTTCCCCAATCTAGCAAGGCAGGCCAACATTCAGATTCAGGAAATACAGAGAACACCACAAAGATACTCCTCGAGAAGAGCAACTCCAAGACACATAATTGTCAGATTCACCAAAGTTGAAATGAAGGAAAAAATGTTAAGGGCAGCCAGAGAGAAAGGTCGGGTTACCCTCAAAGGGAAGCCCATCAGACTAACAGCGGATCTCTCGGCAGAAACCCTACAAGCCAGAAGAGAGTGGGGGCCAATATTCAACATTCTTAAAGAAAAGAATTTGCAACCCAGAATTTCATATCCAGCCAAACTAAGCTTCATAAGTGAAGGAGAAATAAAATACTTTACAGACAAGCAAATGCTGAGAGATTTTGTCACCACCGGACCTGCCCTACAAGAGCTCCTGAAGGAAGCACTAAATGTGGACAGGAACAACCGGTACCAGCCGCTGCAAAATCATGCCAAAATGTAAAGACCATCGAGACTAGGAAGAAACTGCATCAACTAACGAGCAAAATCACCAGCTAACATCATCATGACAGGATCAAATTCACACATAACAATATTAACTTTAAATGTAAATGGACTAAATGCTCCAATTAAGACACAGACTGGGAAATTGGATAAAGAGTCAAGACCCATCAGTGTGCTGTATTCAGGAAACCCATCTCACGTGCAGAGACACACATAGGCTCAAAATAAAAGGATGGAGGAAGATCTACCAAGCAAATGGAGAACAAAAAAAGGCAGGGGTTGCAATCCTAGTCTCTGATAAAACAGACTTTAAACCAATAAAGATCAAAAGAGACAAACAAGGCCATTATATAATGGTAAAGGGATCAATTCAACAAGAAGAGCTAACTATCCTAAATATATATGCACCCAATACAGGAGCACCCAGATTCATAAAGCAGGTCCTGAGTGACCTACAAAGAGACTTAGACTCCCACACATTAACAATGGGAGACTTTAACACCCCACTGTCAACATTAGACAGATCAAGGAGACAGAAAGTCAACAAGAATACCCAGGAATTAAACTCAGCTCTGCACCAAGCAGACCTAATAGACATCTACAGAACTCTCCACCCCAAATCACCAGAATATACATTTTTTTCAGCACCACACCACACCTATTCCAAAATTGACCACATACTTGGAAGTAAAGCTCTCCTCAGCAAATGTAAAAGAACAGAGATTATAACAAACTGTCTCTCAGACCACAGTGCAATCAAACTAGAACTCAGGATTAAGAGTCTCACTCAAAACCGCTCAACTACATGGAAACTGAACAACCTGCTCCTGAATGACTACTGGGTACATAACGAAATGAAGGCAGAAATAAAGATGTTCTTTGAAACCAACGAGAACAAAGACACAACATACCAGAATCTCTGGGACGCATTCAAAGCAGTGTGTAGAGGGAAATTTATAGCACTAAATGCCCACAGGAGAAAGCAGGAAAGATCCAAAATTGACATCCTAACATCACAATTAAAACAACTAGAAAAGCAAGAGCAAACACATTCAAAAGCTAGCAGAAGGCAAGAAATAACTAAAATCAGAGCAGAACTGAAGGAAATAGAGACACAAAAAACCCTTCAAAAAATTAATGAATCCAGGAGCTGGTTTTTTGAAAGGATCAACAAAATAGACAACTAGCAAGACTAATAAAGAAAAAAAGAGAGAAGAATCAAATAGATACAATAAAAAATGATAAAAGGGATATCACCACCAATCCCACAGAAATACAAACTACCATCAGAGAATACTACAAACACCTCTATGCAAATAAACTAGAAAATCTAGAAGAAATGGATAAATTCCTCGACACATACACTCTCCCAAGACTAAACCAGGAAGAAGTTGAATCTCTGAATAGACCAATAACAGGAGCTGAAATTGTGGCAATAATCAATAGCTTACCAACCAAAAAGAGTCCAGGACCAGATGGATTCACAGCTGAATTCTAGCAGAGGTACAAGGAGGAACTGATACCATTCCTTCTGAAACTATTCCAATCAATAGAAAAAGAGGGAATCCTCCCTAACTCATTTTATGAGGCCAGCATCATTCTGATACCAAAGCCTGGCAGAGACACAACCAAAAAAGAGAATTTTAGACCAATATCCTTGATGAATATTGATGCAAAAATCCTCAATAAAATACTGGCAAAACGAATCCAGCAGCACATCAAAAAGCTTATCCACCATGATCAAGAGGGCTTCATCCCTGGGATGCAAGGCTGGTTCAATATACGCAAATCAATAAATGTAATCCAGCATATAAACCGAGCCAAAGACAAAAACCACATGATTATCTCAATAGATGCAGAAAAAGCCTTTGACAAAATTCAACAACCCTTCATGCTAAAAACTCTCAATAAATTAGATATTGATGGGACATATCTCAAAATAATAAGAGCTATCTATGACAAACCCACAGCCAATATCATACTGAATGGGCAAAAACTGGAAGCATTCCCTTTGAAAACTGGCACAAGACAGGGATGCCCTCTCTCACCGCTCCTATTCAACAGGGTGTTGGAAGTTCTGGCCAGGGCAATTAGGCAGGAGAAGGAAATAAAGGGTATTCAAATAGGAAAAGAGGAAGTCAAATTGTCCCTGCTTACAGATGACATGATTGTATATCTAGAAAACCCCATTGTTCAGCCCAAAATCTCCTTCAGCTGATAAGCAATTTCAGCAAAGTCTCAGGATACAAAATCAATGTACAAAAATCACAAGCATTCTTATACACCAACAACAGACAAACAGAGAGCCAAATCATGAGTGAACTCCCATTCACAACTGCTTCAAAGAGAATAAAATACCTAGGAATCCAACTTACAAAGGATGTGAAGGACTTCTTCAAGGAGAACTACAAACCACTGCTCAATGAAATAAAAGAGGATACAAACAAATGGAAGAACATTCCATGCTCATGGGTAGGAAGAATCAATATCGTGAAAATGGCCATACTGCCCAAGGTAATTTATAGATTCAATGCCATCCCCATCAAGCTACCAATGCCTTTCTTCACGGAATTGGAAAAAACTACTTTAAAGTTCATATGGCACCAAAAAAGAGCCCGCATCGCCAAGTCAATCCTAAGCCAAAAGAACAAAGCTGGAGGCATCACACTACCTGACTTCAAACTATACTAGAAGGCTACAGTAACCAAAACAGCATGGTACTGGTACCAAAACAGAGATATAGATCAATGGAACAGAACAGAGCCCTCAGAAATAACGCCGCATATCTACAACTATCTGATCTTTGACAAACCTGAGAAAAAACAAGCAACGGGGAAAGGATTCCCTATTTAATAAATGGTGCTGGGAAAACTGGCTAGCCATATGTAGAAAGCTGATACTGGATCCCTTCCTTACACCTTACACAAAAGTCAATTCAAGATGGATTAAAGACTTAAACGTTAGACCTAAAACCATAAAAACCCTAGAAGAAAACCTAGGCAATACCATTCAGGACATAGGCATGGGCAAGGACTTCATGTCTAAAACACCAAAAGCAATGGCAACAAAAGACAAAATTGACAAATGGGATCTAATTAAACTAAAGAGCTTCTGTACAGCAAAAGAAACTACCATCAGAGTGAACAGGCAACCTACAACATGGGAGAAAATTTTTGCAACCTACTCATCTGACAAAGGGCTAATATCCAGAATCTACAATGAACTCAAACAAATTTACAAGAAAAAAACAAACAACCCCATCAAAAAGTGGGTGAAGGACATGAACAGACACTTCTCAAAAGAAGACATTTATGCAGCCAAAAAACATATGAAAAAATGCTCATCATCACTGGCCATCAGAGAAATGCAAATCAAAACCACAATGAGATACCATCTCACACTAGTTAGAATGGCAATCATTATAAAGTCAGGAAACAACAGGTGCTGGAGAGGATGTGGAGAAATAGGAACACTTTTACACTGTTGGTGGGACTGTAAACTAGTTCAACCATTGTGGAAGTCATTGTGGTGATTCCTCAGGGATCTAGAACTAGAAATACCATTTGACCCAGCCATCCCATTACTGGATATATACCCAAAGGACTATAAGTCATGCTGCTATAAAGACACATGCACACGTATGTTTATTGCGGCACTATTCACAATAGCAAAGACTTGGAACCAACCCAAATGTCCAACAATGATAGACCGGATTAAGAAAATGTGGCACATATACACCACGGAATACTATGCAGCCATAAAAAATGATGAGTTCATGTCCTTTGTAGGGACATGGATGAAATTGGAAATCATCATTCTCAGTAAACTATCGCAAGAACAAAAAACCAAACACCGCATATTCTCACTCATAGGTGGGAATTGAACAATGAGATCACATGGACACAGAAGGGGAACATCACACTCTGGGGACTGTTGTGGGGTGGGGGGAGTGGGAAGGGATAGCATTGGGAGATACACCTAATGCTAGATGACGAGTTAGTGGGTGCAGCGCACCAGCGTGGCACATGTTTACATATGTAACTAACCTGCACAATGTGCACAAGTACCCTAAAACTTAAAGTATAATAATAAAAGAAAAAAAAAAAAAGAAAAGCACAAAACGACAGAGCATTTTCAATGCCTTTGAATACATAGAAGAATATACATATATCTCTCTGGCCAAATAAGTTATTTTCTGAGTGTAAATTAGTCCCTTTTAGAATACCATTAACTCTTTTAGCATGGAAGAACTAGATATAAAAACAGTACACCTGAATAGCATACTACATGAGCAGTTTATCATTCCAATAAGATCAAAATCACTATTCTATAAATAAAATAGTGACTGACGCAACATTGAGCACATTATTTACTGTCCATGTTCTGTTAGTTACTCCTGATGGCCTCCTTTATGCCATCATGAGAAACTAACACACTCTATCAAATGTGACAGACCTGCGTCAAACGTCTTCTTCTGCTCCAAAACAAACACCTCTGAAATGAACCTCTGACTTGAGCACTCCACAGCCTGGGGCTCAAGTTTCTCAGCCCCAGCACTCAGCAATGCAAGAATTTTGTGCAGGGAACTATACACGACTCCACAGGGTTCCAGGAGGTAGAAAACAAACCATGAAAAATGGGAGAAATTAAGGCTGGTAAGGGAAAGAGAGGAAGAACACTTTCCAATTAATGGGAAAGAAGGTGTGTCTATCACCAGGGATCACTTTGAACACAGGCAGGTCAAGCAGTGACATTTAGGCTGTGATTTGAGGGGTTCAAAAAAAGCTTTTCCTATTCATCCCCATCCCCTAACCAAATTCAGATCCATAGTCCCTTATTGGAAACCCAAGAAGTCAATTTGGAATTCTAAACTTTAGGGACTTCAGAAAGTTAACAGGGTGCATCTACTTTATGTTATTATGTAACACTCTATAGTGGGGTATGGGGTAGCACCCTATTATCAAATACATTAATACTTCTGCTGCAAAATGTATATTTCCATTACATATGACAATGAAGACTATAAAAAGCCTCATGTCAATTCATGATAGGTTTGTACCTAATTAGGTCAGGTCAGCCTTTGCCACCCAACTATTTTCCCAGAGTGGAATACTGCTATGTTACTTCATCCCAGCCCATCTTTCCCACCTCTTGCACATATGCCTTCCCATAAAAATGCCAGTTGCCTGAGTGGTCCCAAGTCCTCCAGATTTAATTTTATATTTAAATCAAAATGAGTCCAGTTCCCATCCAATGTAGCATGGGAAAGCCCCTCTTCTGCCACCCCTGCTGTATCTCTACATCTTCCCTGACTCATCCTTTCTGCTGGATTCCCCTCCTCATTCACCTCTAGCTTCTGGTGCCTGTTTCATTTTCTCTGCCTCGTTTGGCCCAACCACAGAACACAATCCCTTTTCCTAAGACTATCTAATGCAACCAAAGCAGTGGGGATAGACAGAAGGGAACAGACACAGGCAGTGTTAAGGGGCCGTCAAATGAATGAGAGTTGGCTTTCCTAGGCTGCAAGCAGTGAGGGACAGACATTATCTCCTGGCCTTGGGATAGTGGTGAAGGAATAGTGGTTCCTGCCAATACAGATGCAAAGTAGTTCCACTGAAGATATCTTACATTAAACAACAGAATTTAACTGAAGATATAGAGAAAATGGGGAGGAGTTTATATCTTGGCACAACACAGAAAATGAATGAAAAGTTTTAATTGAAGAATTCACCTCCTTTCCCACCACTCAGAACTTTCACTATGTTTCTTCAAAGGACTCCAGATTCTGGCCATGATCCTGGGCTCCTTTCTATACATCTGTGCCACCCAGTACAATAACCGCTAGACACGTGGCCACTGAGTGCTTGAAATTTAGCTAATCCAAATTGGGATGTGCTGTCAATCTATGATATATTACTAAAAGTAATTTTACCTGTTTATATTTTGTTTTAGCTAGAAAACTTAAAATTATATATGACTCACATTGTGTTTTTATTGGACAATGCTGATCTAAGTTTTTCTCTAACCTTCTCCTTCACAGGAGTCTCTCTCCTCCTCTCTCTTTGTCTTCTTTCAGAAACTCAAAAGTTCTCCCATTTGGTACACTAAGCAAGCAATACAGCTCCCTCCTGATCTCAGACTATCCTATCTTGGCCAAGCCCAGGAGGACAAGAAAGGAAGGTTGAGGATGGAGTGTAGGGGCCAGTTTCTTTCTCATTTCATTCTCAGAGTGGCCATGAGGGTACTCTCTTAAATAGTCTTTCCTCTCCCAAAAACGAATTCTGCTGCTAATTTTAAAATATAAAAATACTCTTTCTACTACATACCTATATAGAAAATCATACTTATCAATCATGAACTTTGCAGACTCCCTGTAAAATATAAGCAACTTGAAATTCTTGACTTTTTGACTTTCTGTTGAACTAATACAAAAAGTCTTGAATGGTGGCTGATTCTTTATTTGAGTCTCAGAGATCCCAGGAACAAGACTGGGAAGGAAAGCAAAATGAGGCTGACACCCTTTAGGGAGATTTTAATCAAGGTACAGCAAGGGCTGATGAAACAAGTCTGCCTGTTGTTAGAGAACACCTTTTTATTTACTCATTGCATGTGTATTGAGCTCTTCTGGGATTGAGCAGTATGGTGCTGAACGATAAGTGCTCAGAATACTCAAGTTCTCTGGAGGCAGCATCCTCCTCCTGGACACCAGGCACCAAGAAATAAAAGTGCTTGCTTTTCTATATTCCATACCTAAAAATTGTCACCTTCTGGTGATATATCTTGATGGTTGAAAAATGATTCTTATTAATAGTCACCTTTCAATTAGGAGAGAAAAATAAAGATAAGACACTGCAGATATTAAAGTTACACAAATGAGGCTAAAAGATAAGAAAAACAGAAAGATAATGCCACGGCTTACTTTTATCTCTAGAGTTAATAAAAAAAATCTTGCCTTTTTCCCTTGAAACCACCACCCTACTTTACATAACTTAAGAACTCGGGGAATGTGACAGAGTATAATTACCAGCCCTTTCCTTTAAAAATAAAGGTACAAGAATAAAAAGATCACCATGCTTCAATAAACACCTGCAAGAGCTACAGAAATATCATTGTTTCTTTATAAGTCTTGTGGAGCAAACTATTTTTAACAATATCAGGATTTAATTTAATCTTTGTTCACTACTTTTCTGAAGGTATATTTGGTAAGTTAGTTGAACATAAAGAAGTTATTCTATGTACACTTATTTCATAAATGTGGGAAAAAATCACTTAATTACTAAAAATTACTGATGTCCGTATATATTTACAAAGATACCAGTTCTTCTCTCTTAGTCAGAAATTCACATTTAATACTTAAAATGATCAAGTTCACATTACATAAATAGTAATGATACTAACTGACAATACATATTTTCTATGAGCTAGGTGCCAATCTAAGGACTTTACATATGCTGACATTCAATTCTTACCACAATAGTAAGAGGTAGGTATACTTAGTAGGCACATTTTATATATGAGGAGACTGAAGCACAGAGAGATGAAGTAACTTGCCCAAGATCATCAGGTAGTTAATGGCAGAGCCATGGGGACATTAACCCAGTTACTCTAATTCCAGAGTCCTCACTTTTTAACACTGTGCTCTACTTCTTAAGAAAGTAATAAAGAAATTCATAACATTTGATGTGTTCCTTTATTTACTTAAGGATGGTAAGACTGTCTGAAATCTTATGTCACCTGACAAAGCTGAACACAAATAGTTAACAAAGCAGACATCAAAAGCAATCTGTTTCAAAAGTAAACTCCAGGCACAGTCCCAAATGACCCAAAGAAGCCAATAATTTACCTCTGAACATCACATGCAGTTGCATTGACCCTAAAGTTGAAATAAAGGCGGTTGTTGGTAAAACGAAAAACAACTCAAACCATGTGATAGAGACGCTCCCAGAAGACATCTGTGGTATGAAGGAGATCAGTGCTAGAATCCACATGAGAAATGAGGTAGACTCGAAATGTCATCAATAGAGAGAACAAAGTAAAGGGGAGAGGCAAGGCAGGTGGAACTGGAGTGAATGTGACTTGATTATTTGTTGAATGTAACAAGAGAAGAATACAGTAGTTGGGATTCTTGCCCAGGGCTTAAATAGCATGGTAAGAGAATGATGATGTCTTTAACATGCATTCATAGGAAACTGGAAAGGAAAATCTGAGGGTATAGGTCATGAAAATCAGTTTAGGGAATAGTCAGTGTAGGATGTTAGTAGAACATTCAGATGGAAATATTTTGGAAATGGTGGGAAGAGATTGAGCAGTTATCAACACGTATATGATAGTTTAAACTACAGCACACTACTCCTAGGCATAATGTTTCTAAAGGCAGCCTTCCTAAAGTGATTTTGTTGTATTCAAATTCCTCTAATATTCATTAAGCACCTACTGTCTTTAAGGCACTATGATAAGCACAGTGGGAATTCAAAAAGGCCTTTAAATATATTTTAATTTTATAATCCCTCAAAGAGCTTGAATTTGAATAAAGTAAGAGTAACTTGAAATCAAAGCAGAATATGACAAAAACCATCAAACAAACAAACAACAAAAACTTAGTGGATCAAAGAAAAGAGAGTGCACATTAGCTAGGGAAATCAGGAAATATTTAAGGAGGGAAGTGGCATGTGGCCAACACAAGATACAGAAAAGATGCAAAAAATGAAGTTGTGCCATGGAATTTCAACACTGAACGTTGTAACTGGGAGAAACCAATGTGTAAGTTAAGGCTCAGTTATAAAGGATAAAATTCATATTGACTTATTTAAATGAAAATGGATTGCTACAGTTCCCAGGTATTTAAAAAAGGCTTACAGAGTAATTAGGACAGCTAACTTAGTAAACTTTGCACAGAGGGTCCAGGAATAACTCCCAAGATCCTACCGCAGAAATGCACTTCCAAAGCAGCTGCTTCACCCGCCATGATCAAGGAGCTGCCATCTCCAAGGTCAGCCTTTATGCCATCCTCCTCACCAGCAATCTGCACCACCAAAACGGATATTTCTTATTCTTTCTCTCTTAACTGCATAATTCGAGTCCTATATGAATTCATCTGATTGGCCACATATAGGACCCTCGCTATAAGGGAGTGTGGGATACGTGAGTTTTAGCTTCCCAATCTCTGCAGTACAAAAGGACACAGTAAAAGGTAGTTGGAAGAGACGGTGAGAAAGATAGTCTAAATGTTTACCACACTGGACATGTTCAGAGACTTTTGCTTAGGATAGAAACCAACCATCCATCCACCAATTCATTTATTCATTCACTCAAAAAACATTTTAGTGTTAAAGATGTATCAGTAATCAATATTAATTTTACCCCTCTGACTTTAACTTCTATTCTCTGTGAACACATTGATTCACTATTCAGCTACAGTCTGTTATTATACTCTTGTCATTTTTTAATTAAAAAATTAGACTTTATATTTTCTTGACATTGGCCTTTTTTGCTTCAAAGTGCTAATGTAGCTATTGGCTTTCAGTGTTGGAATCATTTGACCACTAAAGTAATTGATGTTCTTATCTTGCAACTGGCAGTAAAAGCTCTCATAACTAGTCTTTGAAATATAGGGGATGAAAAAAATCCCTCACTCTCCCCATTCCTATTAACCTGGAGAACACATGTTCTCATCATCATTTACTAATGATAATAATATGACAGAGGAAGAAGAGTGATAACACTGATAGTTACGTTGTACTTACCATTTGCCAAGAACTGTGCTAAAATCAGCTTAGATTATTCCATTTAATTCTTACAACAGCTTTATTAGAGATATTATGATCACTATTTTATAGATGAGGAAACTAAGAATATGAAAGAATAAGAAAATTATCGTATCAACCAATTGGAACTTTTTACCAAGTATAATTATACTTCTAAGCCTTTCTTTCTAACAGAAAGAAAGGAGCCTTTGCCCTAAGGAAAGATTTAGTAAGAATCCCCTATACTCTGTTGGGAACTCGTTCATTCTGATTCAAAAGCTACTTCCCATCTGTATAATTGCATGTGTGATTGTCTAAAAAAAGACATCTAACTTAATTATACCATCTCTGAGAAGGAAAGTCTAACCCCAGATTTATTTATAAACCATAATACTTATTTGTACTAACATCAGAACATACAGTAATCTTAATTTTTCTGTTAAGTCTATTTTTTTAGCTCCTCTATCTAAAAGGCTAGGAGACTCCAAAGTGATACTTCTTCCCAAAGAACAGAAACACGGGTTAGAGCTCCATTTTTATCAACGTGAACCAGGTCTCATTTGCGTCCCTGATTTTTAATAGAGAAGTCTCCAGTCATCACAGCTGCATCCTAAAAGATCAATTATGTTCCCCAAGACTGGTTTCCAGTAATTACCCTGGCATCAGAACATGACACTAATAAACCTAGAAACATGAGGCAAGAGTGCCTTACATAGAGTTCCAGCTTGCTGTTAATTTGTGATGGGGCTTTAAATAAGCCATTTAACTTCTTCCCATTTGCTTCCTCATCTGTAAAATTAGGATTAAAAATAAATTCTTAGAATCTGGTAGGCATTAATTATTGTTTTGAAAGCATGTTAAGGTCTGGGCACTGAGCAGAAAAATGATAAAACATCCAAATTAGTGTCCTGATTTGTCTTGGGTCAAACATCTAATTTGGCAAGAGGTTTTGGTCAATTCCATTTCTCAGCAAGTTCATCAAAGTACTGTCTAGGCAGGTTAAAGTGATCCTTTTGAAACACCATACCAATGTCTTTTATTGTAAACAGAAAATAAGTGTTCACAATTGATTGTGCCAGAAGTTTAGACAACTAGATGACAACTGAATATTCACTAAAATAGCAATTCAGTGACATGGTTTTTTTCTTTGCTACCGAGATACTATTATATAACATGAAATTATAGTAACCACTGGCATTTTTGTATAAATACCACATAGAGCTTTTGGATAGCTACAACTGACTTAATAGAATAAAATTTGAGAGATTAAATATTTCCTGTTGATTATATTTTAAACAGCTCTGTCTTGTTGTTGGAGAGGAAAATAGTCCTTCTACATTAGTAAAATCTCGTTTCTGAAACCGATCAGAAAACAATGCACTTTTTTTTCTGTGACTGACAGCATTAATCCAGCCAACAAACACTTATTTAACACTATCATGTGCTAAGTAATATTCTAATTATGGGGAATACCATAGCAAACAAAATAGATAAAAACTTCTACCCATGTGGAGTTTACATTCTAATAGAATGGGAAGAGACACTGAAAAATAAGAAATAAATATAAATAAACAAAGTACATAATATATCAGATGCTGACAAATACTATTTTAAAAAAAATAGAGAAAAAAACAGAGAATGAAGAGATAGCTGGAAGGGTTGGAATAGGATGAAGATAGCAATTTTAGACAAGGTGGTCAGGAAAGCCCTCCCTGGTAGGAGACATTTGAAAAAGACCTATACCGTTGTTCACAGCTGCCTAGAGAAATTATGGTCCAGGTAGAAGGAAGAACAAGTCCAAAAGCCTGAGACTTTCCTGGAAGGTTTGAAAACCAGCAAAGAAGCTAGGGTGGTAAGAACAGAGAGAACTAGAAACAGAGTAGTACAAGAGGTGAAAATATATCATAAGGTGTACTTCACGAAGTCAAAAAAGGTATCCTACTACTACATGGACAGTAAATTCTATGAGGACCAGGGGATGGCAGGGAGACCTGGCAAGAGGCTATTTTACTATTGACATGAAAGGTGATGCTGGCTGTGACCAGAATAGCGGAGCAAAGGTGGTTGGACTCTCAATACAGTTTCAATCAGTAAAATGAGGACTAAGAATTGAAACATTGAATTTACCACTGGGTAGATCACTAGAGAACTTGAGAAGAGTGGTTTTGAGGAAATGGTGAGAGTGAAAGCCTGATTCTAGTGGGACCAAGAGAGAAAGAAGGGAGAGAAATTGAAGATAGTGAGTACAGACATTTCCACAAAAAAAGCAAGTCCAGAAACTGTGAGAATGAGAAGGATATTGTATTCATCAAGGTTTTCCAGAGAAACAAAACCAATAGGAAAAAGATAGACAGCTATAGACAGACATGAAGAGGTTTATTATAAGGAATCGGTTCACATGATTATGAAGGTTGGCGAGCTCAAAATCTGCACAGCCAATATCCCAGTTTGAGTCCAAAGACCAGCAGTCTGCTATAGAATCAGGAAGAACTAATGTCCCAGTTCAAAGGCCATCAGGCAGGAGAATTCTCTCTCACTCAGGTGAGAGTCGGCCTTTCTGTTCTACTCAGACCTTCAACTGATTGGATGAGACCCACCCACCTTATGGAAGGCAATCTGCTTTACTTAAGTTTACCAGTTTAAATATCAATCTCATCCAAGAATACCCTCACAAAAACACTCACAATGTTTGACCAGTTATCTAGATATCCCATGGCCTAGTCAAGTTGAGAAATAAAATTAACCATTACAGATATTGAAATAGAAAATATTAAAATCACCAAGACTTCTTATTAGTGCTAAAGAGTATGACTGTCATTCAGAAATGAAAGTATTCGATAGGCCAGGCATGATGGCTCATGCCTATAATCCCAGTGCTTTGGGAGGCCAAGGCAGGCAGATCACCTGAGGGCAGGAGTTCGAGACCAGCCTGACAAACGTGGTGAAACTCTGTTTCTACTAAAAATACAAAAATTAGCCAGGCATGGTGGTAGGCACCTGTAATCCCAGCTACTCAGGAGGCTGAGGCAGGATAACTGCTTGAACCTGGGAAGCAGAGGTTACAATGAGCTGAGATCATGCCACTGCACTGTAGCCTGGGTGATAGAGCAAGACTCCATCAAGGGAAGGGAAGGGGAGGGGAGGGGAGGGGAGGGGAGGGGAGGGGCTCAAGAAATAAAAAATGACCCAGAGATTTGTAATGGACTACAAGAAAGGGTAATAAGTAGTATAACCTAGTGATATGAGATGAAAGCAGGGACAGAGGGGAGGAAAACTGTGTTGAAAGAAGCAAGGAAGACTATGAGAGGTAACTACACCATCTGTGGTCCAAGTGATAACAGGAATGTGAGAAAAAAATAAAACAGAATCAGAGATGATGTAGAAGTGATGTCTTCATGGGAGAGCCATGTTTTAGCTAGAGAAAGGTCAACTGAACATTCAGAGATTAGAAGACGCCCAAGATATTGCTGAAGACTACCTGTAAATTCCAGAGACACATGAATAAGGTTTCAGGACTTGGAAAACTGTTGGGGATGCACCAGAAAAATCTGATATGCAGAGATATGAGGGGATGGAAAACAGCAGTGAGAATTGCCTATGGGTCCTGGGCTTCTTGTGATTACTGACATAAACATAGACAAAGAGCATAATGAGAATAATTTGATCTTAAGGCAGATAGCAGTGAAGATGCTGTAAGCTTTGGTGGGAAAGGGGGAGGATTGTTGCCAAGAAGCAGAATGCAGGTCCTCACTTCACTGCTGCCAATAATGATATGAAGACCCAGGGAATAGGAGTCTTATGTGGCATGAGAGTTTCATGAGTAGTGGACTACCAATTCAATTAAACAATATTTATTAGAAGACATATTTTGTGCAAAAACATAAAACTGTGAGTGGAGGATACCAAAATCACATGTCATTCCTTCAGAGAGGTAATCATATTCCAAAGTTTAGAATAAAATAGCCTACTTAAAAACCATAATTCAGGGCTGAATCTGACAAGTGTCATGAAATTTGTGGGTGTTATAGAAGTCCATAAGAAAAGGAAAGCCTCATCAGTTGGGAGAATGATAGCAGGTCCCTAAAGAAGTGCCCTTTAAGATAGACATCAAAGGATGCATAGAATTTTGCTAAATGGAAATAGAATTCTTATCCAGACTTCATTTGGAAAATAATACAAAATCATTAAATGTTTTAGAACAGGAAGATGAATCTGGTGTGGTGCATAAAATGGGGAGAGAGGAAAATAATCTAAAGGTTGAAAGACTTCTCAGCTGTCTAGCAATAGTCTAAATGAATAATAGGATGGTAACATTAAGAATGGAAAGGAAATGAAAACCTGATTGTATCATTCAGTCATTGCTGGAATAATGCTATTTAACAAACAATGCTGAAATTCAGTGACTCTACTTTTTTTTTTATTTTAGCTTTTAATTTTGTTTGTTTGGGTTTTTTGTTTTTGTTTTTGTTTTTGTTTTTGAGACAGAGTCTCACTATGTTGCCCAGGCCAGAGTGCAGTGGCACAGTCTCAGCTCACTGCACCCTCTACCTCCCATCTTAGCCTCCCGAGTAGCTGGACTACAGGTGTGCACCACAAAAGCCAGCTAATTTTTTGTATTTTTGTAGAGATAGGGTGTTGCCATGTTGCTTAAACTGGTCTCGAACTCCTGAGCTCAAGGAATCCACCCACCTCTGCCTACCAAAGTGCTGATATTACAGGCACGAGCCACCACACCCAGCCTTTTTTTTTTCTTGATCACACATTTGTGCATTGTCTAGGGGTTAGCTGACCTAGTCTGGGCTTGAATGAGTTTAGCTCTAAGCTGTAGGTTGTATCCTGGGCTGCTCCATGTTTCTCTTATCTTCCTTAGGCCAATGGATAAGAAAAAACACCAGAATGCTAAACATTTTACCCTGAGTAACAAAAAATAAAGAAGAAAGAAACATTTGAAAAGTTAATGAATGATTAGACTGTAGAGAGACCAAGTGCAGGTGATCAGAGTTTCTGTGCAGCTCCATTAATTTTCAAGTAAATTTCATATATAAGCATCTCTAATATATATCTCAAAAATTTTAAAGTTCAGGAGACATATAATAATAGTTCATTTATTTAGAAGACACTTTCAATCCCATATTCAATAATCATTGCCTAAAAAAACACTGCCTAAATAGGTGCTAGCATAGGCACTTAATATAACAAAATAATAAGGTAATGAGCCCTCTTTTTTTTCAAGGAAATTTTAAATACAGAAGAAAGATCCTAGTGATAAACATTCAGATTGTTTTCCTTAAAGATAACAAGAAGAAGTAACTAGACCTAATCTTGGCAATTAAAAATAATTAAATTTAGTTACTTCATTTGTATTTTAAACTTAAAATAAGTTAATGGAATTAAAGAGTTAAATAAAATGCACTTTTTAAACAAAAGTAACAGGAGAGATGCACAAAGAAGGAAAAGCTAAGTATTCATCTTGCCCTTCCCAACTCATGTCCCTGCTGAAAATGGGGGAAGACATTCATAAATTCTAGCATTATCTTCAAAACCACCTTCATAATGTTCAACCTGCTTGACATGCAGGTGAGAGGAACAGGGCAGAGAATCTTCGTTCATTTAGAATATTTACCTGGTCTTGAAAAGTGTTGTGGCCCAAGTGATCAGCAGACAATCTTTACATTTTAGAGCACAGATGATGAATATTTAATTTGTAAGTGGTCGAATCTTGATTACCTGGGCAGATTCTCAATGAATCCAAGGCAAATTTTGCAAAATATATAATCATAATTAATAGTTTAATACCTTCATTGAGACTCCAGCAAGAGATGAAAGAGAAGGTAATATAAAGTCACTGTCTAAAACATTTAGCTCCTCTAGGGAAGGGTATGAAGTAGCAGAGATGAGTCTTAGCTGCATGGATTAAGTTTCATTTCTCATTCTGTTTACCTCCCGGCAGATAAAACATTTTCAGAGAAAAAAAAGGAGAAAAATAGTTCAGTACACTAGGCAAATAGATATGAAGCCTATATGTACAGTCCACACATATTTTTATATTTTTGTCATATATGTGAGACTTCAGTAAGAGTAGCCTATAAGACTACATCTGATAAATAAATTAAAAATCAAAATTGGAAAATAAAAAATACAAATAAAGTTTAAATGATGGCATATAAAATAATACAATAATCAGACTATAAAGGTTCAGCACAACTTATATAGGTGTGGTGCCACATAAAGATACAAACAGTGAGAAGGGAGGTAGGTCAGTACTTCTCAAACCCTAGCATACATCAGACTCACCTGGAAAGTATGCCAAAAGACAGATTTCTGGGCCTGACCTCCAGAGTTTTTGATTCAGTAGGTCTGTTGAGGGGGCAGAGAATGTACATTCCAAGTAAGTTCCCGGTTGATACTAACTGGAGTAGTTAATGATGAAGGACATGAAACATTTATTGATATTGTATGTTCTTACAAACTCTATTCTTGCTACTTAAGCAATACAAAATATTAAAAGGGCTTTGGAATCAGACAGAAATAGTTTTGAGTTCCCACTCTATACTTATCTTCTGTAAAACTTCAGGAAAGTTACTAAACTTCTCTAGCCAATAGTACTCATATCTGCAAGAAAAGAAAAAAGACAATAAGATCTATCTTGAATGATTCTTACAGGGATTAAATGAACTAATGTATCTAAATCAATGAGTTTCATGCATAGGTTATAATAATAATAAAGCTAAATAAATGCCATTTGTTGTTATTATCATTATTATTACAAGAGAAAATTGTATGGTACCTAGCACACAGTAAATATGCAGTAAATGTCAGTCACCCTCCTTTGATTCATCCCATATTAAACTAAATAAAACATGCAGGTGATTCTCATAGGACATAATTCACTGAAAATGGAACAGTTGGTCAATATCATCTTTCATAAAAATTATTTTGTACAGGCTGTGTGCAAAGTCCTTTTTGGAGTATTAGAATACAAAAATAAAGTTCCTGCCCTCAGGGCCTCTGACTCTCCTCTTCCTAACAATATTCTATTCTCCCTTTTGGGAAAGCCTCCAGCATGTATACTCTTGGTTGGAGCTATTGTTCTCTATGCACTATGGAAGCAGAGATCTCTTCCACAAACTGGACCAGACAAGGGATGGACATGTGACTTAATCTGGGCTAACCAGATTTTCTATGGGTAGGACTTTGAATTCAAGGAGGATGCAAAGACAGGGGGTAGTTGGAGGTCAAGGTCATGGCAGCGGTAGTGGTAGTGACCAAGTCCTTACCAAGCTCTTCTTGCCGTGAGACTTGCTGTGCCTCCTACTTCTTAAGTTTCCAGAGCTTCCTTGGTTCCGACTGTCTCAACCCTGATCTTCCAGCCTTCTGGGGATTCCATGAATCCTTCCTGTAACCTCTGACTCCCCAAACCCTTTGGGGGGAATGAATAGGTAAAGGGGAATTAAGTTAGCCAGTGTTTGCTTCCATTGTTTTAAATCAAAAATTAAATGATACAGATAGAATATGAGCTGAATTTTAAAAGAAAGGTTGAACTCATGAAAGCAGAGAAGAAAGATCATAGCATGATAGGAAATATGGCAGATATGTGGGAATGGTTGAAGAAAAATTGTTAGATTCATGTGATGAAAACAACATGTTCATATAAATGAATTCAAAGAAGAACTGCTCTCTGGCAAATCAGCCTAGAAAATTATTTGCCCCCCTCTTTGGTGTTCATAAGCTCAGTCAGCATACCTTTATTCCTAAGGCAAAAATCACAGCATATACTGTAGAACTTAGCTTCGCCACTCCCTTCTCATCCCCACACCCTCTCTAGTTTATCAACCAAAATTGCTCACCCTAGTCCCCTGACTTCCATTTCCTTTGAGAACTTGTATAACATCTTCCCTTGTCTGTTCTCACACTGGCCTGCTCTTTCTGGTTTAGAGCCTCTTATATTCTTCAACACATTCTTTCATTGGCTCCATTCCAACCTCCAACTCTTCAAGTTGTCATTGAAAGCATAGTTCTGACCTTTAGCTCATGCAATCTAATCAACATTTCAGACTAAATTGGCCTCAGCATCTATATCCAAGACAAATGCTGATGTGTTTTCTCTGCATCTTTGCTGGAACAATTTGTCTGTCTAATTTAGGGGAAATATATTATCAGAAGAGATGCATTCCCAACTGGCTTGAATCCAGCCTCTTCCAAACACAGGGCATGATGGAATGACTTGTTCAATAAAAATTGTTTTGGGGAAAAAATTGGCAGTAGTTTTATAATGATTGGAATGAGGAAAAAACTGAATACAAAGAAACCAGTTAAGAACAAGTATGACATAGACTTGGACAAGGGTGGTAATAGGATATTTCAGAAGAAAAAAAAGGAGATAGAAAATTACAGAGGAAAAATAGGCAAGACTTGGAGGAAAAGAATGGAGATAAATCAAAAATAAGTTCATGGTTTTTAGCCATGACCAAAACAGAGAAATTGAAAGGATATGCTGCTGGTTGTAAGAATCAGTTTTATATGGGGTCATGGAAGTTAAGGGAACAAAGAAGAGTTTCAAAGCAATGAGGGCAGTCAATAAAGCAAATGCTATAAAGAGGTCAAAAAAATGACTGAGTTAAAAAAAAGTTTTTAGATTTGTTTTCTAAAAGGTCACAGGTGACTATGAATAAAATTTCAGGAAAGTGATGGGGCTGAATTCAGACCACAGGGAAATTAAGAATGAGTAGGCAGTGAAGAAACAGAGGTAACAAAGTATTTTAGGAAAGTTCAGAAGTGAAGAAAATGTAAAAGAAAAAAAAAATGAGATAGTGATTCAAGGTATCAAGAGGAAGGGTTGTACCACCCTCATTACAAAACAAAAAGTAAACTGTAAAATGGTGTTTCTTCTTAGTAGTATTAGTTGATATTTTTGACATTAAAAGCCAACTTATTGTAAAAGAGACTGGGACAATTTCCTTCTGTTAACACCTGTTGGCTTGACAAGTTATGACATAATAGTTGATTAGATAGATGCTGTCTCATAAACATAGAAAAATATGACTAAAACACAAAAAGGCCAAAGTATTGACAAGTCTTATTCACACCTTTCTACTCTCTAAAAGAAGTTGGTTTTGTTCAATATGGAAGCAAGACACAGAGAAAACGGTTTTTAATTCAAATCTTACACTCTCTCTTCCAAGAGCATATTTAAAACTAATTGCTTTATAAAATCCAGAGTGCAGGTGGGTGGAGCCAAGATGGCCGAATAGGAACAGCTCCGGTCTACAGCTCCCAGCATGAGCGACGCAGAAGTCGAATGACTTCTGCATTTCCAAGTGAGGTACTGGGTTCATCTCACTGGGGATTGTCAGACAGTGGGTGCAGGACAGTGGGTGCAGTGCACCGAGCGTGAGCCAAAGCAGGGCGAGGCATCACCTCACCCAGGAAGCACAAGGGGTCAGGGAATTCCCTTTCCTAGCCAAGGAAAGGGGTGACAGATGGCACCTGGAAAATCAGGTCACTCCCACCCTAATACTGTGCTTTTCCAATGGTCTTAGCAAACGGCACACCAGGAGATTGTATCCCGCACCTGGCTCAGAGGGTCCTATGCCTACGAAGCCTCGCTCATTGCTAGCACAGCAGTCTGAGATCAAACGGCAAGGCGGCAGCGAGGCTGGGGGACGGGTGCCCGACATTGCCAAAGCTTGACTAGGTAAACAAAGCAGCCAGGAAGCTCGAACTAGGTGGAGCCTACCACAGCTCATGGAGGCCTGCCTGCCTCTGTAGACTCCACCTCTGTGGGCAGGGCATAGCCAAACAAAAGACAGCAGAAACCTCTG
This sequence comes from Homo sapiens, assembly GCF_000001405.40. Taxonomy (NCBI): domain Eukaryota; kingdom Metazoa; phylum Chordata; class Mammalia; order Primates; family Hominidae; genus Homo; species Homo sapiens. Next base: position 80,128,591 of record NC_000012.12, on the reverse strand, counting down.
CAGACTTAAATGTCCCTGTCTGACAGCTTTGAAGAGAGTAGTGGTTCTCCCAGCACGCAGCTGGAGATCTGAGAACAGGCAGACTGCCTCCTCAAGTGGGTCCCTGACCCCCGAGTACCCTAACTGGGAGGCATCTCCCAGTAGGGGCAGACTGACACCTCACATAGCCGGGTACTCCTCTGAGACAAAACTTCCAGAGGAACGATCAGGCAGCAACATTTGCTGTTCACCAATATCCACTGTTCTGCAGCCTCCGCTGCTGAAACCCAGGCAAACAGGGTCTGGAGTGGACCTCCAGCAAACTCCAGCAGACCTGCAGCTGAGGGTCCTGACTGTTAGAAGGAAAACTAACAAACAGAAAGGACATCCACACCAAAACCCCATCTGTACATCACCATCATCAAAGACAAAAGGTAGATAAAACCACAAAGATGGGGAAAAAACAGAGCAGAAAAACTGAAAATTCTAAAAATCAGAGCTCCTCTCCTCCTCCAAAGGAACACAGGTCCTCACCAGCAACGGAACAAAGCTGGATGGAAAATGACTTTGACAAGTTGATAGAAGAAGGCTTCAGACGATCAAACTACTCCAAGCTAAAGGAGGAAGTTTGAACCCATGGCAAAGAAGTCAAAAACCTTGAAAAAAGATTAGATGAATGGCTAACTAGAATAACCAATGCAGAGAAGTCCTTAAAGGACCTGATGGAGCTAAAAACCATGGCACGAGAACTACGTGATGCATGCACAAGCCTCAGTAGCTGACTCTATCAACTGGAAGAAAGGGTATCAGTGATGGAAGATCAAATAAATGAAATGAAGCAAATAAAGAAGTTTAGAGAAAAAAGAATAAAAAGAAATGAGCAAAGCCTCCAAGAAATATGGGACTATGTGAAAAGACCAAATCTACATCTGATTGGTGTACCTGAAAATGACGGAGAGAATGGAACCAAGTTGGAAAACACTCTGCAGGATATTATGCAGGAGAACTTCCCCAATCTAGCAAGGCAGGCCAACATTCAGATTCAGGAAATACAGAGAATGCCACAAAGATACTCCTCGAGAAGAGCAACTCCAAGACACACAATTGTCAGATTCACCAAAGTTGAAATGAAGGAAAAATGTTAAGGGCAGCCAGAGAGAAAGGTGGGTTACCCACAAAGGGAAGCCCATCAGACTAACAGCGGATCTCTCGGCAGAAACTCTACAAGACAGAAGAGAGTGGGGGCCAATATTCAACATTCTTAAAGAAAAGAATTTGCAACCCAGAATTTCATATCCAGCCAAACTAAGCTTCATAAGTGAAGGAGAAATAAAATACTTTACAGACAAGCAAATGTTGAGAGATTTTGTCACCACCAGGCCTGCCCTAAAAGAGCTCCTGAAGGAAGCACTAAACATGGAAAGGAAAAACCGGTACCAGCCACTGCAAAAACATGCCAAATTGTAAAGACCATCAAGGCTAGGAAGAAACTGCATCAACTAACGTGCAAAATAACCAGCTAACATCACAATGACAGGATCAAATTCACACATAACAATATCAACCTTAAATGTAAATAGGCTAAATGCTCCAATTAAAAGACACGGACTGGCAAATTGGATAAAGAGTCAAGACCCATCAGTGTGCTGTATTCAGGAAACCCATCTCATGTGCAGAGACACACGTAGGCTCAAAATAAAAGGGTGGAGGAAGATCTACCAAGCAAATGGAAAACAAAAAAAGGCAGGGGTTGCAATCCTAGTTCTCTGATAAAACAGACTTTAAACCAACAAAGATCAAAAGAGACAAAGAAGGCCATTACATAATGGTAAAGGGATCAATTCAACAAGAAGAGCTAACTATCCTAAATATATATGCACCCAATACAAGAGCACCCAGATTCATAAAGCAAGTCCTTAGAGACCTACAAAGAGGCTTAGACTCCCACACAATAATAACGGGAGATGTTAACACCCCACTGTCAATATTAGACAGATCAATGAGACAGAAAGTTAACAAGGATACCCAGGAATTGAACTCAGCTCTGCACCAAGCGGACCCAATAGACATCTACAGAACTCTCCACCCCAAATCAACAGAATATACATTCTTTTCAGCACCACACCACACCTATTCCAAAATTGACCACATAGTTGGAAGTAAAGCACTCCTCAGCAAATGTAAAAGAAGAGAGATTATAACAAACTGTCTCTTAGACCACAGTGCAATCAAACTAGAATTCAGGATTAAGAAACTCACTCAAAACCGCTCAACTACATGGAAACTGAACAACCTGCTCCTGAATGACTACTGGGTACATAATGAAATGAAGGCAGAAATAAAGATGTTCTTTGAAACCAACGAGAACAAAGACACAATATACCAGAATCTCTAGGACACATTCAAAGCAGTGTGTAGAGGGAAATTTACAGCACTAAATGCCCACAAGAGAAAGCAGGAAAGATCTAAAACTGATAGCCTAACATCACAATTAAAAGAACTAGAGAAGCAAGAGCAAACACACTCAAAAGCTAGCAGAAGGCAAGAAATAACTAAGATCAGAGCAGAACTGAAGGAAATAGGGACACAAAAAACCCTTCAAAAAATCAATGATTCCAGGAGCTTGTTTTTTGAAAAGATCAACAAAATTGATAGACTGCTAGCAAGACTAATTAAGAAGAAAAGAGAGAAGAATCAAATAGATGTAATAAAAAAATGATAAAGGGGATATCACCACCGATCCCACAGAAATAAAAACTACCATCAGAGAATACTATAAACACCTTTACACAAATAAACTAGAAAATCTAGAAGAAACGGATAAATTCCTCAACACATACACCCTCCGAAGACTAAACCAGGAAGAAGTTGAATCTCTGAATAGACCAATAACAGGCTCTGAAATTGAGGCAATAATTAATAGCTTACCAACCAAAAAAAGTCCAGGACCAGATGGATTCACAGCCGAATTCTACCAGAGGTACAAGGAGGAGCTGGTACCATTCCTTCTGAAACTATTCCAAACAATAGAAAAAGAGAGAATCCTCCTTAACTCATTTTATGAGGCCAGCATCATCCTGATACCAAAGCCTGGCAGAGACACAATCAAAAAAGAGAATTTTAGACCAATATCCCTGATGAACATCGATGCAAAAATCCTCAATAAAATACTGGCAAACTGAATCCAGCAGCACATCAAAAAGCTTATCCACCATGATCAAGTGGGCTTCATCCCTGGGATGCAAGGCTGATTCAACATATGCAAATCAATAAACGTAATCCAGCATATAAACAGAACCAATGACAAAAGCCACATGATTATCTCAATAGATGCAGAAAAGGCCTTTGACAAAATTCAACAACCCTTCATGCTAAAAACTCTCAATAAATTAGGTATTGATGGGACATATCTCAAAATAATAAGAGCTATCTATGACAAACCCACAGCCAATATCATACTGAATGGGCAGAACCTGGAAGCATTCCCTTTGAAAACCAGCACAAGACAGGGATGCCCTCCCTCACCACTCCTATTCAATATACTATTGGAAGTCTGGCCAGGGCCATTAGGCAGGAGAAGGGAATAAAGGGTATTCAATTAGGAAAAGAGGAAGTCAAATTGTCCCTGTTTGCAGATGACATGATTGTGTATCTAGAAAACCCCATTGTCTCAGCCCAAAATCTCCTTCAGCTGATAAGCAACTTCAGCAAAGTCTCAGGATACAAAATCAATGTACGAAAATCACAAGCATTCTTATACACCAATAACAGACAAACAGAGAGCCAAATCATGAGTGAACTCCCATTCACAATTGCTTCAAAGAGAATAAAATACCTAGGAATCCAACTTACAAGGGATGTGAAGGACCTCTTCAAGGAGAACTACAAACCACTGCTCAAGGAAATAAAAGAGGATACAAACAAATGGAAGAACATTCTATGCTCATGGGTAGGGAGAATCAATATCATGAAAATGGCCGTATTGCCCAAGGTAATTTATAGATTCAATGCCATCCCCATCAAGCTACCAATGCCTTTCTTCACAGAATTGGAAAAAACTACTTTAAAGTTCATATAGAACCAAAAAAGAGCCCACATCACCAAGTCAATCCTAAGCCAAAAGAACAAAGCTGGAGGCATCATGCTACCTGACTTCAAACCATACTACAAGGCTACAGTAACCAAAACAGCATGGTACTGGTACCAAAACAGAGATATAGACCAATGGAACAGAACAGAGCCCTCAGAATTAATACCGCATATCTACAACTATCTGATCTTCGACAAACCTCACAAAAACAAGCAATGGGGAAAGGATTCCCTATTTAATAAATGGTGCTGGGAAAACTGGCTAGACATATGCAGAAAGCTGAAACTGGATCCCTTCCTTACACCTTATACAAAAATTAATTCAAGATGGATTAAAGACTTAAATGTTAGACATAAAACCATAAAAACCCTAGAAGAAAACCTAGGCAACACCATTCGGGACATAGGCATGGGCAAGGACTTCATGTCTAAAACACCAAAAGCGATGGCAATAAAAGCCAAATTGACAAATGGGATCTAGTTAAATGAAATAGCTTCTGCACAGCGAAAGAAACTACCATCAGAGGGAGCAGGCAACCTACAGAATGGGAGAAAATTTTTGCAATCTACTCATCTGACAAAGAGCTAATATCCAGAATCTACAATGAACTCAAACAAATTTACAAGAAAAAAACAAACAACCCCATCAAAAAGTGGGCGAAGGATATGAACAGATACTTCTCAAAAGAAGACATTTATGTAGCCAAAAGACACATGAAAAAATGCTCATCATCACTGGCCATCAGAGAAATGCAAATCAAAACCACAATGAGATACCATCTCACACCAGTTAGAATGGCAATCATTAAAAAGTCAGGAAACAACAGGTGCTGGAGAGGATGTGGAGAAATGGGAACACTTTTACACTGTTGGTGGGACTATAAACTAGTTCAACCATTGTGGAAGTCAGTGGGGCGATTCCTCAGGGATCTAGAACTAGAAATACCATTTGACCCAGCCATGCCATTACTGACTGGGTATATACCCAAAGGATTATAAATCATGCTGCTATAAAGGCACATGCACACGTATGTTTATTGCAGCACTATTCACAATAGCAAAGACTTGGAACCAACCCAAATGTCCAACAATGATAGACTGGATTAAGAAAATGTGGCACATATACACCATAGAATACTACACAGCCTTAAAAAATGATGAGTTCATGTCCTTTGTACAAACATGGATGATGCTGGAAACCATCATTCTCAGCAAACTATCGCAAGGACAAAAACCCAAACACCACATGTTCTCACTCATAGGTGGGAATTGAACAAGGAGAACACATGGACACAGGAAGGGGAATATCACACACTGGGGCCTGTTGTGGGGTGGGGGAAGGGGGAGGGATAGCATTAGGAGATATACCTAATGTTAAATGATGAGTTATTGGGTGCAGCACACCAGCATGGCACATGTATACATATGTAACAAATCTGCACGTTGTGCACATGTACCCTAAAACTTAAAGTATAATTAAAAAAAAAAAGAAAAGAAATCACCAGGTGAAGGAAAATGTTAATGAAACAAAAGGCATTCACTCTGTCCTCTTACCTGGAGCCTGGTTCAGGCTCTGGACTCCAGGGAAAGTGAGCAAGAGGGAGAAAAAATAAAAAATAAAAATAAAAAAATAAAAATAAAATCCAGAGTGCAAGCAAGGACTCAACTTGCAGAGCAACTGCATAGATTTCTGCATTTGGAAACTTGGTCTTTCCAAGTCATAGAAATGAAAACAAAGCATATATGAAAAATGACTATCCTGCTGTTATTTGAGTGTTTGCATACTGTTTCCATAAAGAAGCAGAAACCCAGTGTCAGACTCGTGCATACTCAGAAAGGTAAAAGACAGCATCTGGGGAATGACACTAGAGAAATGTGCCTCATTTCTTTTGCTTCTTGCCAAGCTTACCTTGACATTTACTTCTATAAACATAGTCAGTAAAGACTATGAAAAGAAATTATCTTCTGAATTTACATCTGGATTTTTTCTCAGCTGCCACAACTTAACCAGATAAGAGTTTTCCTCTTCATTTCTATAATAATACTAATAATTAATGATACAAAGTATCTTGTATTGCATCTTATTCCTAACTTCTTCCCTGACTGCTAGTCTCATTTTCTTTTTGCCATAGCACAGTTAAATGAAAAAGAACAATTATTTTTGTCTTTCATTGATTATTCCAGTATGTCATAATGGTTGCATAAAGGAAACACAGGGACACTTAAAATTATTTTGATCTTGATGTGACAGTGTATTTATTTCTTTTTTTGCTTATACATTGGAATTTTATCCTAGAACTAAGTTCAGAAGGTAGAGGTATATATGTATATTAATTCTAACTGTGATCTCAAGTACTTTTTTTTCTTTTTAGTTAGTTAAACAACTCAAAGTTTTGAAAAGGATGGATTTGGCAATTGTTCATTTTTTGTGGTATTTTTCTTAATCAAAAATGATTCAAATGAGACAGTTTGAGCCTCAGATGGATTTGGTGCTTGAATTATTTATATTGGCCATATGATGATTTTGCACTCATCTCTTTCTCGTGTTTACAACATCATGTTCTGAAATAAAGTACAAATTATAAGTGTGTGTCACTGTGCATTTCTCTGTGCATTTCTTGCATTCTTACTCCTCAGCAACTCAGGCACACCTCCAATTACTGGAACTCAATACAAATTGTTCCTGCTTAAGATTACTAAAGGATAAAAGGATTGGCCAGTAGTCCCACATAAACCCACGAAGAACCTCCCACTATGGGTTTAAATGATTCTACCATCCTCATAATGTCAGTTAAGCTGTGTTAGCCTAAATATTACATTTTAATTTTAGACAATCTACATGATACGAAGAGAAGTGTTTTAGTGTCAATTTTTCTATTTACTTGGCCAATTAGAAAACCAAACAAGATAATCAAAACTGCTATTATGGTTTGGTTTTTTATTTTGTTTTGTTTCGTGGGGTGGTTGATTTTGTCTAAACTGTATGAATCCAGTTTGTGTTATATAGACTCTCTGCTCTAGGGAGGGATTAGAGACTTCTATATAATGGTGTCTAAGGATGAGGAAGTTGTTGCAGATACTTAATGTCTATACTTGCAGTGTGTTAGAGTCAAAAGTTCTTGTGTTTTTTCTCCAAAATATCTGAAGGAGGAGCTGAGGAGGCAACGGTCTGCTTGAAAGGTAGCCTTTGTAGTCTTGTCTTAAGCTGCATACACATAGAAATCGTTCTGTTTTTATTTAGTGTTTCCTTGAGGTGGCTTTAGAGATTGTCATGAGTCTCCTTGTTCCTGAGCCAGATATTCACAAACAGGTGGTTTATTATGAAGTATTCTCAGCAATAATGCTTGTAAAGGAGTGAGGAAAGCAGGACAGGGCAGAGGGAGAGGTTGACCTCCAAGGCAGTTGTAACAGAGGCCTCAGCCCTTCTCACACAGTTCTCTGAAGCTTGAATATCCCCTCAGACCTGAGCTGAATTGAAGCAAGGAGCTCGGCCTTTGTCCCTCCACACACCCTACCCTAAATAACTAGTCATAGGAAATATGCTGCCTCCAAGAATGGGTTATAAACTTGCTCAGCCAAAAGAATTTCTTGGGGAAGGAATCAGTTGTGAACTCTCAGCACTGGACACTTCTGGTTCTCAGGGGAATAAGGGTCTTTGTTCTGAAAGCAGGATCTGGACTATGCTCCATAGTGTCTACTACAGGGGTAGAGATAGTCCCTGGGTTCTGTCACTGCCTATAAACCCAACTCTGCAGACAAATTCATGAAGAGGTGAGATTTGTATAGTTTGTGTTTTTATATCGAGGGAATCTTTTAACAAGTCAGCTTACCGCATTAAAAATCTAAAACTTCTCTTGTGTAGCAATATTCATATTGAAAGGCATTTCCATAGGTTAAAACTTTAATTTCTTAAATCAGTATTTCTCATACTTGGATTTTTGGAGAGATCCTCCAATGAGAGAGAATCCTTAGGATTTTTTTTCAAGAAGTTTGCACATTATTCAAGTATAGGAAATACTGGAAGTAGTGGAAAAATCTGGGCTCAAGAATCAGAGTTGAGTTTAAATCTTTTATGTGTTGCTGCTTGCTAATTATATAACAACAGGTATGTAACTTTTTTTTAATCCTTTATGCTGTCATTCACAAGGTGAATGTGATGAATATTAAATAAAATAACCCAGCTAGGATTCAGCATAGTGCCTGGCATACTTAGAAACTCTAATTAAATGATATTTGTTGTCATTATGTCAGTAAATCTTGCAGTTGCTTTGATATAACTTGGCACACATCTTTTTGCATTATCTGAAAAAAGATGTTAAGAAGAAGAAAATTAGAAATCTATCACCCCAGCTACCCCATCCTATGATTGGCCAAATGTTGTGGTGAAATAATCAAGCTAAAGACACAAGCTCAAAGATAACCAGCATATTCAAACTCTGCTACTCCAGAAAAAAAAAATGGTAAAAAGTCTAAAGAGCTTCATTTAATAAGATCAAAAGAATTGAACTATTGCTTTCTAAGAGAAGAGAAACTATTTTAAAAGGAAAACAAACACAAATCAACCTCAGTCTCTAAAGACAACTGATGAAAAAATTATTAATTCCATAAAATCATGAATCTAAGAAAGTTTTTGAAACATAAAAGGTATTCAGTAGTCCCTGAATTGAATTACATCATATGAGTAGAGTGAACATAATCTGGTTTACCATGTAGTATTTTAAAATTGAAGAATTTAATGAATACCTACCATGTACAAAAAAATTGTATTAAAGGATGAAAGCACACAGATAACTAAGACATAGTATCTGCCTTTATGAAACTCACTGGGTAAGTGTGAGAATGCCATGTCAACAAATCAGCATAATACAGTAACAGAGTACATGGGGGAAGGGGCCACTAACTCTGATGGGAAAGGTCAAGTTAAGGGCATTAGGCACTTTCCTATAAACAACAGCAAGACAACAAAGGTTTATAAGCAGAGGGTTCACATTATTGCACCCTGCGGTCTGCTGCTAGTGTTGTAATCACAACGGCCGACATTGTGATTATATTATATACAATCTCTATTATAGACAATCTCTGCCATTGCAATTATAACACTAGCAGCAGACTGCAGGGTGAACTGAAGCCAGGCTGAATTTAGGGGCAAGGAGACCAGCTAACAAGCTGTGCCATTTACCCTTCTGACTGTGAACTATTGACTGCTTCTGACTGCTTACAGAGTAAGAAGTAAGAGAAATGATAAAGAGAACAGGCTCAAGAGATAGTCAAGAGAGAGTCTTGCATTCTTCATAGAACTCAGAATCGTATTTCACTGGCCTTAGGAAGATGCACTCCCAATGCCCTGCAATTCTAATTCTAAAATCTTGGATTCAGTAGCTGTCAGCTGGGTCAAAAGGTCAGCCCCTTGATGCTGTTTCCTCTCTTCTTCCCACTGTCTTTTCTAGAATATAAACAATCATGCTCCTCAAATTCCCATCAGATAGGAAATTGTGATTCCAGGGAAATAGGCCAAAATTAGCCAGCTTCCTCTCTATGAGCAGGCCTCTTCTCGATAAATAAAATCCTATTTCCTTTGAAACCAGAAACCTTGCTTAATATCCAATATCAATATCAAAGAGCAATTCTTCTCCTTCTTATGACCAAAAAAAAAAAAAAACAGATCTAAGATTAAACATTTCTTAAGACAAGAGTTTTAGGACCTCTCTCAGTCAGAATATGCTTGATAAAATGACTTTTCCAGTATACTATTTTTAGCTTTCATCTTTTTCCTACCAAAATATGTTCTCACTGGTACAAAATGTTAGCTTACATGCAATAAGAGTCATTTTTCTCCAACTCTGTTATTAGTAGGAAAAAAACTCCACCCAAATAAAGCAAATGCTGTTTGAAATGGTGTCAATTAAACCATATTTCACATTACTCTAGAGGATAATTATGTCAAATGACTGGTAGAGATTTACTGATTGAGCTCTTGTTTACTACATTTTGTAAGTATATTGAATTTAGAGCTCATTTACAAGTAAACACTTTGGGCACATGAGAGTCAGGGTCCACTTCACCTTCCTAAGCCATCGGGGTTGGGAAGAAAACGTTACACTCCTTCTATCCCCCTCCTAGCGCTGTGAGATCATCCAAATCAGCAAATAATGTAGTTTACCCATCATTGCAAAATCAGCCAGCATCTATCTCAGGCACGCTTCACAGCCGATGGCAGCAGAGAAAGACCTTTCCATAGATTTGTATGATCAAAGAGCTCAATCTAGGAGCACAAAACATGGTTATCTTGGCAGCATAATTTCCTCCAATTTCCCTCATCAGAGGCTGCCAAACTCACCTCTTCCCTGCCTTGGGCCAATCTCCTAAATTAGACAGTGACTTGGGGTGTTCCTATAGTTCTGAGAATAGAGAAGCTGCATGATCCCCCACCTCTTTAAGGGAAGGTAAAAAATAGTCTACATTAGAAGTGAAGACACCCAGGCAAGAGACTCATCACTGGCAGTGATGAGACAACAGGCGTGATGGGACAGTCCAGGCTTCCTGAAGGAGATAGTTTTAAAGATGTGCTTTGAAGAAAGGAGAATATGTGTTTTTGATAAGGAAGCATGTGCAGGAAGGGCATTTTAAGATGTGCTTTTGAAGAAGAAAAAAGCAGTAGCAGGAAGGGCATTTTAAGATTGCAGGAAAATATGAACAAGAAATAAAGTTAAGAAAGCAAAGCTTGTATCCAAGGAAACCTGTGAAATCCAGTTTGGCTGCAATTAGGTATACGGATGCTAACAAAACAGAACTAGGTAGAAAAGGCAGGTTTAATTGATTTGAGGATTCTTCTAGGTCGTACATAATGAAGGTTGGATTTAATTTAATGGACTCTTGGAAGTGAATGATGTTTTGAAGAAGAAAAAATAGGATCAGATGCTTTAAGGAGATTATTCTGGCAAGAGAAAGGAGAGGCAGGAGGTACGGAAAACATCAGGTGGCTATTTCAGGCAAAATGTACTCAAAGCCTGAGTTAACGTGATGGTAATGGGAAAGAAATGAGTTAGAAGATTCAAGGGGCATTGTGGAGCTAGGTTCTACATGTCTAGGCTTCTGACTGTGATTGCAGAGTAAGAAATAGGAGTCAAAGTTTACTACAAGGTCTCTAACTTAAATGAATTGAATAATTACTGCCATTAATGGAAAAATAATTAATGACATTAATAAAAAAAGTCTTGTTTTAAAGAACACGATGAGTTCCATTTTATATATATATATTTTTTTAAGTCACCCAGAGATAGCTTATCGCCTCTATTTTATAGATGGTAGTTAACATGGTAACTAAGATTCAAAGGTAAAAGTGATTATGTCAGATATAACTTACATGACACCCCTGATACTCCAGGCCCCATTTGTCTCTTGAGCCATTATCCAATTGAGACAGTTGAATCTTCACTTTGATGACCAACTCCATATGGGCTCCAGTAGGCTTTCCCAACAGCACAGACTTCATGCCAATGGATCACCTTGCATCTCCTGTCCTATGGCTTTCCTGTTGCCACTGGAGCATAGAGCCCCACCTCACTTGCTCACAGTGTACAGAAGCACAAGGAAAACAAAACCAAAGTTCAGGGAAGCTGACACACTTTATGGAATTATTTGAGCAATGACAGATGAGAGTTCATTGATAAATTCTTTTTCCCAAGATGGGCCATCCAGAGATGTGGTAGTTTAATATGTTCTCTTGGAAGGAGAGGATTAAGAGTGAGTAATCAGTTGCATTTGATACCAGGTGGTAAAAGATTCACTCAGAATATATCCTCATTTGGCTTTCCTTTCTTCCTCGTCTCATTCTCCTTTTACCCACACCAGCTTTCCTGGGATTGCATTCCCTAATAAAAAATTTCATCTAAGCTTTTGCCTCACTTTTTGTTTTCTGGGGGACCTAGACTAAGAGAGTGATTAAAGCCTCAACAAAGGTTGGTTGTAAATTGTATAAGCATCATTGGTCATTAAGATTAATGCAGTGGATGACTGGGGCAAGATGGCTAAATAGGAACAGCTCCTATATGCAGTTCCCAGGGATACCAATGTAGAAGGCAGGTGATTTCTGCATTTCCAACTGAGGTACCCAGTTCATCTCACTGGGACTTGTTAGACAGTGGATGCAGCCCACAGAGGGCAAGCAGAAGCAGGATGGGGCACGACCTCACCTGGGAAGTACAAGGGGTCGGGGAACTCTCTCCCCTATCCAAGGGAAACTGTGAGGGACTGTGCCATGAGGGATGGTGCTATCCGGCCCAGATACTACACCTCTCCCACAGTCTTCGTAACCCACAGACCAGGAGATTCCCTCAGGTGCCTACACCACCAAGGCCTTGGGTTTCAAGCACAAAACTGGGCGGCCATTTGGGCAGATACCGAGCTAGCTGCAGGAGTTTCTTTGCACATCCCAGTGGCACCTGTAATGCCAGCAAGACAGAACCATTCACTCCCCTGGAAAGGGGGCAGAAGCCAGGGAACCAAGTGGTCTTCTCGTCAAATCCCAGTCCCACAGAGCCCAGGAAGCTAAGATCCACTGGCTTGAAATTCTCGCTGCCAGCACAGCAGTCTGAAGTCAACTTGGGACACTGAAGCTTGGTGGGGGGAGGGGTGTCCACCATTACTGAGGCTTGAGTAGGCAGTTTTCCCCTCACAGTGTAAACAAAGCCACCAGGAAGTTCAAACTGGGCAGAGCCCACCACTGCTCAGCAAAGGCCCGGTAGATAGATTGCCTCTCTAGATTCCTTTTCTCTGGGAAGGGCATCTCTGAAAAAGAAAGGCAGCAGCCCCAGTCAGGGGTTTATACATAAAACTCCCATCTCCCTGGGACAGAGCACCTGGGGGGAAGCAACGGCTGTAGGAACAGCTTCAGCAGACTTAAATGTTCTTGACTGCTGGCTCTGGAGAGAGCAATGGATTTCCCAGCACAGTGCTTGAGCTCTGCTAAGGGACAGACTGCCTCCTTAAGTGGGTCCCTGACCCCCATGCCTACTGATGGGGAGACACTTCCCAGACACTTCCTCTGCTCCAGAGGAAGCAGAGGAAAGAGGAGAGAGCAATCTTTGCTGTTATGCAGCCTCAGCGGGTGATACCCAGGCAAACAGGGTCTGGTGTGGACCTCCAGCAAACTCCAGCAGACCTGCAGAAGAGGGACCTGACTGTTAGAAGGAAAAATTACAAAGAGAAAGCAATAGCATCAACATCAACAAAAAGGAAGACCACACAAAAACTCCATCCAAAGTTCACCAAGAGCAAAGACCAAAGGTAGATAAAACCACGAAGATGAGGAAAAACCAGGGCAAAAAGGCTGAAAATTACAAAAACCAGAATGCCTCTTCTCCAAAGGATAACAACTCCTCACCATCAAGGGAACAAAACTGGACAGAGAATGAGTTTGACGAATTGACAGAAGTAGCCTTCAGAAGGTGGGTCATAAACTTCTCTGAGCTTGCATGTTCTAACCCAATGCAAGGAAGCTAAGAACCTTGATAAAAGGTTAGAGGAATTACTAACTTTAGAGAAGAACATAAATGACCTGATGGAGCTGAAAAACACAGCACAAGAACTTCATGAAGTATACACAAGTATCAATAGCTGAATTGATCAAGCAGAAGAAAGGATATAAGAGATTGAAGATCAACTTAATGAAATAAAGTGTAAAGACAAGATTAGAGAAAAAAAAATGAAAAGGAACAAACAAAGCCTCCAACAAATATGGGACTACGTGAAAAGACCAAACCTACATTTGATTGGTATACATGAAAGTGATGGGGAGAATGGAACCAAGTTGAAAAAACACACTTCAGGATATTATCCAGGAGAACTTCCCCAACCTAGCAATACCAGCCAACACTCAAATTCAGGAAATACAGAGAACACCACAAAGACACTCCTCGAGAAGAGCAACCCCAGGACACATAATTGTCAGATTCACCAAGGTTGAAATGGTGGAAAAAAACGTTAAGGGCAGCCAGAGAGAAAGGTCAGGTTACCCACAAAGGGAAGCCCATCAGACTAATGCAGATCTCTTGGCAGAAACCCTACAAGCCAGAAAAGTGTAGGGGCTAATATGCAACGTTCTTAAAGAAAAGAATTTTCAACCCAGAATTTCATATCCAGCCAAACTAAGCTTCATAAGAGAAGAAGAAATAAAATCCTTTACAGACAAGCAAATGCTGAGGGATTTTGTCACCACCAGACCTGCCTAACAAGAGCTCCTGAAGGAAGCACTAAATATGGAAAGGAAAAACTGGTACCAGCCACTGCAAAAACAAACCAAAATGTAAAGGCCATTGACACTATGAAGAAACTACATCAACTAACGGGCACAATAACCAGCTAACATCATAATCACAGGATCAAATTCACACATAACAATATTAAAATTAAAGGTAAATGGGTAAATTCCCCAATTAAAAGACATAGACTGGCAAATTGGATAAAGAGTCAAGACCCATCGGTGTGCTGTATTCAGGAGACCCATCTCACGTGCAAAGACACACATAGGCTCAAAATAAACAGATGGAGGAAGATTTACCAAGAAAGTGAAAGGAAAAAAAAAGCAGGTGTTGCAATCCTAGTCTCATAAAACAGACTTTAAACCAAAAAAGATGAAAAAAGGCAAAGGGCATCACATTGTGGTAAAGGAATCAATGCAACAAGAAGAGCTAACTATCCTAAATATATATATGCACCCAATACAGGAGCACCCAGATTCATAAAGCAAGTTCTTAGAGACCTACAAAGAGACTTAGACTCCCACACAATAATAGTACTCCCACACTGTCAATATTAGATCAGTGAGACAAAAAATTAACAAGGATATTCAGGACTTGAACTCAGCTCTGGACAAAACAACCTAATAGACATCTATGAAATCATAACAGTCTCTCAGACCACAGTGCAATCAAATTAGAACTCAGGATTAAGAAACTCAATCAAAACCACACAATTACATGGAAACTGAACAACCTGTTTCTGAATGACTACTGGGTAAATAATGAAATTAAGGCAGAAATAAATAAGTTACTTGAAACCAATGAGAAAAAAGACACAACGTACCAGAATCTCTGGAACACAGCTAAAGCAGTGTTTAGAGGGAAATTTATAGCACTAAATGCCCACAGGAGAAAGCAGGAAAGATCTAAAATTGACACCCTAACATCATAATTAAAAGAACTAAAGAAGCAAGAGCAAACAAATTCAAAAGCTAGAAGAAGACAAGAAATAACTAAAATCAGAGCAGAACTGAAGGAGATAGAGACATGAAAACCCTTCAAAAAAATCAATCGAATCCCAGAGATGGTTTTTTGAAAAGATTAACAAAATACATAGACCACTAGCCAGACTAATAAAGAAAGAAAGAAGAATCAAATAGACACAATAAAAAATGATAAAGGGGAGATCACCTCTGATCCCACAGAAATACAAACTACCATCAGGGAATACTATAGACACCTCTACACAAATAAACTGGAAAATCTACAAGAAGTGGATAAATTCCTGACACATACACCTTCCCAAGACTAAACCAGGAAGAAGTCAAATCCCTGAATAGACCAATAACAAGTTCTGAAATTGAGACAGTAATTAATAGCCTACCAACCAAAAAAAGTCCAGGACCAGACAGATTCACAGCTGAATTCCACCAGAGGTCCAAAGAGGAGCTGGTACCATTCCTTCTGAAACTATTCCAAACAATAGAAAAAGAGGAAATCCTCCATAACTCATGTTATGAGGCCAGCATCATCCTGATACCAAAGCCTGGCAGAGACACAACAAAAAAAAAAAAAAGAAAGAAAATTTCAGGCAAATATCCCTAATGAACATCAGTGCAAAAATCCTCAATAAAATACTGGCAAACTGAATCCAGCAACACATCAAAAAGCTTATCCACCACAATAAAGTTGGCTTCACCCCTGGGATACAAGGCTGGTTCAACATGCACAAATCAATAAACGTAATCCATCACATAAACAGAAACAATGATAAAAACCACATGATTATCTCGATAGATGCAGAAAAGGCCTTCAATAAAATTCAACACCCCTTCATGCTAAAAACACTCAATAAACTAGCTATTGATGGAAGACATCTGAACATAATAAAAGCTCTTTATGACAAACCCACAGCCAATACCATACCGAATGGGCAAAAGCTGGAAGCATTCTGTTTGAAAACTGGCACAAGACAAGAATGCCCTCTCTCACAACTTCTATTTCACATAGTACTGGAAGTTCTGGCTAGGGCAATCAGGCAACAGAAAATAAAAGGTATTCAAATAGGAAGAGATGACATCAAATTACCTCTGTTTTAGATGACATGATTGTATATTTAGAAAATCCCATAGTCTCAGCCCCAAAACTCCTTAAACTGATAAGGAACTTTAGTAAAGTCTCAGAATACAAAATCAATGTGCAAAAATCACAAGCATTCCTATACACCAATTATAGACAAACAGAGAGCCAAATAATGAGCAAACTCCCATTCACAATTGCTACATAGAGAATAAAATAACTAGGAATACAACTTACAAGGGATGTGAAGGACCTCTTCAAGGAGAACTACAAACCACTGCTCAAGGAAATAAGAGAGGACACAAACAAATGGAAAAACATTCCATGCTCATGGATAGAAAGAATCAATATAGTGAAAATGGCCATACTGCCCAGAGTAATTTATAGATTCAATGTTATCTCCATCAAGCTACCATTGACTATCTTCACAGAATTAGAAGCAACTACTTAAATTTCATATGGAACCAAAAAACAGCCTGTATAGCCAAGACAATCCTAAGCAAAAAGAACAAAGCTGGAGGCATCACGCTACCTGACTTCAAACTACACTACAAGGCTGCAGTAACCAAAACAGCATAGTACTGATACCAAAACAGATATATAGACCAATGGAACAGAACAGAGGCCTCACAAATAACACCACACATCTACATCCATCTGATCTTTGACAAACCTGACAAAAACAAGCAATGGGGAAAGGATTCTCTATTTAATAAATGGTGTTGGGAAAACTAGCCAGCCATATGCAGAAAACTGAAACTGGACCCCTTCCTTACACCTTATACAAAAATCAACTCAAGCCAGAAAAAAGATTTAAATGTAAGACCTAAAACCATAAAAACTTTAGAAGAAAACCTAAGCAATACCATTCAGGATACAGGCATGGGCAAAGACTTCATGACTAAAACACCAAAAGCAATGGCAACAAGAGCCAAGATTGACAAATGGGATCTAATTAAACTAGAGAGCTTCTGCAAAAGAAACTATCATTGGAGTGAACAGGCAACCTACAGAATGCGAGAAAATTTTTGCAATCTATCCATCTGACAAAAGTCTAATAACCAGAATCCACAAGGAACTTAAACAAATTTACAAGAAAAATAACCCCATCAAATAGTGGGCAAAGGATATGAAGAGACACTTCTCAAAAGCACACATTTATGCAGCCATGCAGCCAACAAACGTATGAAAAAAAGCTCATCATCACTGGTCATTAGAGAAATGTAAATTAAAACCACAATGAGATATCATTTCACACCAGTTAGAATGGCAATCATTAAAAAGCCTGGAAACAGATGCTGGAGAGGATGTGGAGAAATAGGAACACTTTTACACTGTTGGTGGGAGTGTAAATTAGTTCAACCATTGTGGAAGACAGTGTGGCGATTCCTCAAAGATCTAGAACTAGAAATACCATTTGACCCAGCAATCCCATTACTGGGGATATACCCAAAGGATTATAAATCATTCTACTATAAAGACACATGCACACGTATGTTTATCACAGCACTATTCACAATAGCAGAGACTTGGAACTAACCCAAATGTCCATCAATGATAGACTGGATAAAGAAAATGTGGCACAAATACACCATGGAATACTATGCAGCCATAAAAAAGAATGAATTCATGTCCTTTGCAGGGACATGGATGAAGCTGGAAACCATCATTCTCAGCAAACTAACACAGGAACAGAAAACCAAAAACCGCATGTTCTCACTCATAAGTGGGTGTCGAAAATGAGAACACATGGGCACAGGGAGGAGAACATCACACACCGGGGCCTTTCAGGTGATGGGGAGCAAGGGGAGGGATAGCATTAGGAGAAATACCTAATGTAGGCTGGATGCAGTGGCTGACACCCGTAATCCCAGCACTTTGGGAGGCCAAGGCAGGCGGAGCCTGAGGTCAGGAGATCGAGACCATCCTGGCTAACACGGTGAAACCCCATCTCGACTAAAAATACAAAAAATTAGCCGGGTGTGGTGGCGGGCGCCTGTAGTCCCAGCTACTCGGGAGGCTGAGGCAGGAGAATGGCGTGAACCTGGGAGACGAAGCTTGTAGTGAGCCGAGATGGTGCCACTGCACTCCAGCCTGGGCACAGAGTGAGACTCCGTCTCAAAAAAAAAAAAAAAAAAAGAAAGAAAGAAAAAAAAACTAATGTAGATGACAGGTTGATGGGTGCAGCAAACTACCATTGCACATGTATACCTATGTAACAAACCTGCATGTTCTGCACATGTATCCCAGAACTTAAGGTATAATTTAAAAAATTTAAGTATTATAAGAGTGTGTAAGGGAATTTACTAGATTTTGTGATGTTTGTGATAATTGTCAGCTTTAAAAAAATTTTATATTTTGTTGTAATTTCTTTTCTTATTCTAAATACATATTCACTTTCATATCTAAAAGAAAAAAAAGAATAAAGACTAATGTGGTGGTCATCAGTCATCAGTGCTATTCCAGTTATCCTTCTAGGCATGTGGTACATTTGCACTTCTCTCATCCTTTGATATTGGATCTGGCCAATCAGGTGTTACTCTGGCCAATAATGAAATAAATTGAAGAGACATGGATCCCTTTGAGCTCTAAAAGCTTTGAAAGCTAGTGTTAAAGTGTTCTGTGTCCCCCCTAAATAATGAAATCCTCTTTCATCCAAACCCGTATAAATATCCTTCAAACAAATCACATGGATCAACAACAATGGCAGAGAAAATTTCTGGCAATGCATAGATACAACATAACTCAGAGACAAAGTAAAATAAGATACTATGAGTTTCAAATGGCATGATAAAGTAAATGAGTAAAGATATTAATGTTTGGGAAACCACATTTCTCCCCGAATGAAAAAGAAGATACAATAACAAATAGAGAAAGAACCCTGTGTTGTTTGATTTAAAATAGAATTCATGTCAATACAAACTCATATTTTATTGTGATACATTTTGAGCTCTGACCTTAGCAAGGGCCTGGAAGTAACAATAGCTTCATAGCAATAAAAACATTTAGTTTCAGATTTTTGTTTCTAAATATCATTCCATACTCAGTCTTCTTAAAGAAATTAATGATTCTAAAGTTGGGGCATAAGAAGCACAAGATGAACCTAGAGCATATTTTTTCCATGTGTCATAAAAGAGAAAAGAGGTTAAAGACTGGAGACGAGTCAGAAAGATATAAGAGCTGTCTTAAAGCCAAATCTGGAATAATTTGAGCAAAGAATAATGATAACCGTAAATTATATATGTGTGTGTGTATATATATATATATATACACACACATATATATATACACATATATATACACATATATATACACATATATATACACATATATACACATATATATACACATATATATACACATATATATACAATATATATACATATATATACACATATATATATACATATATATATATACATATATATATATATACGTGTATATATATATATTTTTTTAAATACATGTGTCCAGAGTGTTACTAAAGAAAGGAGGTGGGGGAGAACGTCTTTATAGAAGAATGTCAGCTAACAAATGTTAGAATTAGAAAACCACCAATTTAATAATTGATTCAAGCAAAAGTCATCAATGGATGCTAAAAGCATTGGGTGAAAATTTAAGATACAGGATACTGACACATTCTCAAAGTATCTCCCACATAGATTGCCATAAATTGCAAAGAGAAAAAAAAGTAACAATGAAAAATATCTAGCAAGTGTCACTTTAGCCAACTAATCAAATTTCACGTCACCAATTTGGGACAAATGCCTCTTGATATGATTCAAGTGCTTAGCATCGTTTGTGTTTAAAAATAAAAAAACTAGAAATGTATTCCACCCACTTACCACTACAGAAAGAACAATTATTCAGAATTATAATTGTTATAATTATAACAATTATATTATAACAGAATAATTAATCAGAATTACTGCAAAATTCAAATGACATAATCCATTTGAAAAGGAAGCAAGTCAATATGACAAAAATCCAATGTTCTAAAGCCAGTTCACAGAAAATCAATTAGATTAATGACTAAATGTAAAAATAAATCTATTTGCCAACTTCCTGATATTAGCAACTTACAAAAGTCTTATTTCTTTTTAACTTTTATTTTAGTTTTGGGGTACATGTGCAGGTTTGTTAAATAGGTAAACTGCGTGTCATGGGGTTTGGTGTACAGATCATTTCATCATGTGGGTAATAAACATAGTACCCAATAGATAGTTTTTTGATCCTGTCCCTCCTCCCACCCTCCACTCTCAAATAGGCCCCAGTGTCTGTTATTTCCCTCTTCGTGTCCATGTATTCTTGTTACTTAGCTCCCATTTATAAATGAGAACATGTGGTATTTGGTTTTCTGTTCCTGCATTAGTTTACTTGGGATAATGGCCTCCAGCTCCATCATGTTGCTGCAAAGGTCATGATCTTCCTCTTTTATGGCTATGTAGTATTCCATGGTGTATATGTATCATATTTTCTTTATCTAGTCTACCACTGATGGGCCTTTAGGTTGATTCCATGTCTTTGTTTTTGTAAACAGCGCTGCAATGAACGTATGTGTACATGTGTCTTTATGGTAGAATGATTCATATTCTTTCGGGTGTATACCCAATAAGGGGCTTGCTAGGTCGAACGGTAATTCTGTTTTAAGTTCTTTGAGAAACCACCACACTGCTTTCTACAATGGCTAAACTAATTTACATCCCCACCAGCAGTGTATAAGCATTTCCTCTTCTCCGCAACCTCACTAGCATCTGTCATTTTTTCACTTTTTCACTTTAATTTTTTCACTTTAATAATAGCCAAAAATTCTGACTGATGTGAGATGGTATCCCATTGTGGTTTTGATTTGCATTTCTCTAATGATTAGTCATGTTGAGCATTTTTTCATATGCTTGTTAGCCACATGTATGCCTTCTTTTGAAAAATGTCCGTTATGTCCTTTGCCCACCTTTTAATGGGGTTGCTTTTTGCTTGTAAATTTAAGTTCCAAAAGGCTTGTTGCTTTTAACTCTTTGAATAACATTTCATGAAGTGTGAGATAATTTGTTACAGCAGAAATAGGAAACTAATATAGCCATTCTAGGCCAGTCAGTTTACAACTAATTTGCCAGCTGATCCTAGACACCTGAGCAAGCCCAGTCAATATCAGGCAGATGATAAATCATTCTATTCAATATAAATTACTATAAAATTTATAAATGGTTAGAAGACACACATTTTTGGTACATGTAAACTCTTTGTAAATTTGTCAAATTGGTAATTCATTAAAATTTTTAGCAAATTAACCAAAGTAAAAAAAAATGCTTCAAAAACATAGTACTAATTTAAAAAAAAAAGAAAAAAACATAGTACTAATAAATATTGTCATGCATTTCACTGCTGAATTGATAAAACTAAGTAGGATAGGCATAACAAATAAAAGAATTTAATGGCCACTGTTGCATTGCTTTCTATACAGTATGATTAATTAAATATAGCTGAAGCAGTTATAAAAGATGGAAGAATGCAATCCAGAGAATCATACATTACGAGTACTAGTAAGGCAAAGGATATAGGATTGTGTGCATGTGCACACACTTGTGTATGTGTGTGCGTATGTTTCATGAGATGGCTGCAAAAGTCTTCAACTCCTGTTATAATATGTGCCAGTTGCCTGAAAATCTAATAATCAGTTTAGGAAACATATGGAGAAGAACAGAAAAGGAATTACCAAAAAATATATCAAGAAAAAAAGAGGAACAGGAAAGAAGAAAAGTGGACATTCAATCTCTGGAGAGATAAAACAAATACACAGGTGATTGTCAAACCATTGAGAAATAACCCTAAAACAGATTACCAGTCTAGTGACTTGGGACCCTGGACATAGTCTGTGAAGACTGAAATATAACAGCATCAGCATGAGGTAGTTTCTGGTAGTGTGAAAGCCACCCTCTCCCAAATGAAGGCAGGAAAAAATGATTTCAAGAGAAGATAAATCTGCTAAGAGCTGACGAATCTTCCTTCATCATTTCATGCATAAATGTGTCCACGCACAAATACCAAATGGTAACATCTGAGTATAATATCCAAATGGGGCACAATGGCTTTGGAGTCAACAAATGTTTTAGTGGATATACTGCAGCAGTTGTGATTTGTGCCCACTCATCCTTGTAGATCTTGGAATTATTCCTTTTTGTTTTTAGTGATGTCATATGACATTTGGTCTCACAATTAAATCTGAACAGATCCAAAAAATAGTTTGCTCATGTTTTTATGGAAACGTTTTTATCCGTAAATGGTTGATGTTTTTTCCCAGTATCTGTTGGAATGAAGCCTTTGATGATTTCCAGTGGGTACACTGTCAGGTATTGACAGCAAAGTTCCAGTGCTTTGTAAACTTTTCCATAAAACAATCTTCAGATATAGTTATTTAAATGTAGTCATGCCGGGGATACCAATTTACCACTTCTTATCCAAAATCAAAAAGTCTGAATGGGTAAAGGGGAGTATGATGGGGAAAGGCAAGAGTTGGGAAGCAGAGAGGAAAAATGTTATTGTATTAACATTAAGGTTCATGATACTTATAATTCTTGATATATATTTAAACATTTATATAGACTGGGCTAAAAGCATCAATAATTTTCACTCTTCAGGTGAAAAGGGTCTTAATTAGAACAATTTAGATACTGCCCAAGAACAATAATAATATATGGTACAAAGATAAAAATCTGCAGGTTATCCTGAAATAACATCTTCTAAATTGATATTACTATTTCCTTTTATTTCAGAAATGTAGCTAGGATATGAGAAACTTTCTCAAAATAGCTAGCTGTGTGACCTTAGGCAGGCAATCTAACTTCTTTGGGCCTTAATTTTAAAATAAAGAATGAACCATAGGTTCCCTTCTACCCATACCATTTTATAATTGAGTGATGACTGAATTTATTTTGATGCGACTTTTTCTCCACATATGTTTTAAACTCACACTTACTGCTATTGTTTATGTTCTTAGAATAGTTTTAAATGAATTTTACCCAAAGATAGGAAATTGCTAATTTAGTCATGTTTTTTTTTCTCAGCATACTTTCTTAATTTCAGTTTTGTTCGTTTGTTTTGTTTTTGAGACGGAGTTTTGCTCTTGTTGCCCAGGCTGGAGTGCAGAGTGCAATGGTGCAATCTCGGCTCACTGCAACCCCCACCTCCCTGGTTCAAGCGATTCTCCTGCCTCAGCCTCCCAAGTAGCTGGGATTACAGGCATGCACCACCACGTCTGGCTAATCTGTTGAATTTTTAGTAGAGACAGGGTTTCTTCATGTTGGTCAGGCAGGTGTCGAACTCCCGAACTCAGGTGATCTGCCCGGCTCAGCCTTCCAAAGTGCTGTGATTACAGGCATGAGCCACCGTGCCAGGCCAGTTTTTATTTTCGAGTATGTTTTGGTTCATAATAAAAATTATGAATTTACCAGATTTCTTTAAAAGATTGATGATACACAATCCTTACTAAATCTTTTGTGTGACAATCTATAGATACCTACAATAATGCCTTGCACTTAAACTGTGCCCAACTAGGCAGCTCTCTCCCACCCCTACAACACTGCTCTCACCCCCCTGACATGCTCTCACCCCTCCAACGTATGCCTTCTTGAGAAAATAAGGAAGACAATGACGAACTAAGGCACTGTATCCACTCAATTATTAAGTGTATCCTTGGCACTAGCTAGCTAAGTGAGTTGGGTCCTTCCCCAAGTTAGGTAAGTGCTTGCTACCATACACAGGAAAGAACACGCCTCTCTTGGCAATTTAATTCGTCTGAGGCAGGGCCTAAGTATCCATTTTTTAAAGCTCCCCCAGTGATTCTAATGAGCAATAAGGGTTGAGAAATGGAAAAGCTTGAGGTATGTGGCTTTTCTAAGCATTCAATCTTCCCAGCAATCTGGATATGGGAGAGATGTGAGATTGGGATGTTTCTCACTGGATCCTGGCCCCATCACAAGTCTACTGCATTTTGGGTATTCAAATCCCAAAGTACTCCTATCTCCTGTACTAGCTTGTAAGCTGCTTTCAGAGTAGGTTCCTTGCCTCATACCTCACTGAATCCCTTACAGCATCTAGCACATGGCTTAACACCTTCATGCTTCATTAATCATCTTCAGGTTAAAATAGAAATGAATATTGGGAATTCTGATCTTTTCAGCCCAACTTCTGTAGGTGTTGGGATTAAGTCAACAGGGAAAAGATCAAGTTATTTTCTGTATGAAATAAATTATATTTTGACCCCTGGCCACAAAAGATCAATCACATTTTAAAAAGTACTGATGAATCTTCAGAAACAAGGCAAAAGTTATCAGTTCTCAGGTGTCTAGAATATATTATCTTAAAAACAATTACATCATTACAGGCCCATTTTTCTTTTTCAAATAGTTGTGTGAATGTTTGCAAAGGTATAGGCATTTTTAGAATAATACTAGCGGTATTTCCATATTATTCAGCTATTACTATGTTCCTAAATGGAGAAAGTCATGCAATAAATATTGAATGCCAACTATGTGCAAGGCACTCTGCTAGGTGGTACGTATACAGCAGTGACAGGACAGCTTTTATGGAACCTGCATTCTAACACACAACATAACTAATTATTCAATTACATTTTAAATGAGTGCTATGAAAGAGAAGTAGAGTGATTTGAATATATAACAGATCCAATTTAGCCATGGGGTCAAGAAAGTGATATTTGAGCTGACTGTTGAAGAATTCATAAGAATTAACTATGGGAAGAGAAGGGACAACATTCTGGCATAGGGACAGCAAGTGAGAAGATGCCACAGTCAAAAGGAATGTGAAGCCTGCAAGAAAAGAAAAGAAGATCGATCACCGAAGCGGGAGCGGCCAAAATGAAGTTTAATCCCTTTGTGACTTCCGACCGAAGCAAGAATCGCAAAAGGCATTTCAACGCACCTTCCCACATTCGAAGGAAGATTATGTCTTCCCTTCTTTCCAAAGAGCTGAGACAGAAGTACAACGAGCGATCCATGCCCATCCGAAAGGACGATGAAGTTCAGGTTGTACGAGGACACTACGAAGGTCAGCAAATTGGCAAAGTGGTCCAGGTTTACAGGAAGAAATATGTTATCTACATTGAATGGGTGCAGCGGGAAAAGGCTAATGGCACAACTGTCCACATAGGCATTCACTCCAGCAAGGTGGTTATCACTAGGCTAAAACTGGACAAAGACAGCAAAAAGATCCTTGAACGGAAAGCCAAATCTCGCCAAGTAGGAAAGGAAAAGGGCAAATACAAGGAAGAAACAATTGAGAAGATGGAGGAATAATCTTATATACAAGCTTTGATTAAAACTTGAAACAAAGGAGAAAAAAAAGAAGAGCCTTATGACTAGAGCTCCGAGAGTAAAGAGTTGGTAAGAGACAACTCTGGGAAACTAGTCCATCCATCAGTAGGACTTTATTAAAGTTTTAGGATATACCTCAAGAAATAACAGGAAACCTTAAAAGCTAAGGAAGAACACAGTCTGACATATTTTTCAAACACCCTGACTACAGTGAGGGGGATAGATACAATTGGGAGTGGGGGAAAATTGAAGGGAAGAGACCATCAGGAAGGATGTTTAAGTAATCAAGATAAAGAGATTGTATCTACAACTAGAGGGGTGACAGTGGAGATGTAGAGAAGTAGCCGGTTCAAGAAATACTTAAAGCTAAAATCAACGGGACTTGGTAATCAAGTGGACATAGGAGTGAAGGAGGAAAAGGAATAAAAGCTGATGCCCAGTCCCCTGGCTTGGACTACTAGGCAATTGCATGCTGGTGCAGTTCATACAAGGAACACATGAAAAGGTCTACCATTGAGGGAAAAGCCACAAGGACATTTAATTGATGATAATATATAGCAATGGCTCTGTTCCTGGCACTGTTCTAGGTGCAATGGATATATCAACGGTAAGTAAGATAGATAGATAAATAAGCTGATTGATAGATCGTAGCAAGTATGTGAGATAGATTCTATACATTCCCTAGTTTACTTAGGGTCCCAGGGAGTTAAGTAAGTTGCTCAGTCACACAGTTAGTAAGTGCACAGTCCCTCAACCACTGCATTCTGCATCCTACTTGTATTGAGTTTGAGTGGATTTATCAACTAGTGGATTCATAGGTCTGGAATTAATAGAAGCCTGGATTGGAAAAATTGTTGCATAAGAGAACATAAGGTTACATTTCAGAATTAAGAACATTTCTTGATTCAATTGATCCTTGGAGACCAAACACTCTTTCTCCGGAATAAAAAATGTGAAATGGAACAGATTAATATTGGAGCTCTTCCCAAAGTATTTTCCGTTTAATTACAATGAGGACATCAATACCACAACACTTCACCTACAGCAATTTCCCCCCTTTACAGGTATGGTGTGGGCTCAAGTAAACAGATCCCAATCTCAAGTTTCTCTTATAATTAGTTCTGTGCCCTTGGAAAAGTTGCTTTAGCAGTGTGAGACTCAGTTTCTTCATCTATTAAATGAGGATTTTTTTAAAAAAAACTGCTTTTACACTTACTGTGATGATTATATGATATAACATAGATACTGGACTAGGCACTATATTTAAAAACTGTTCCCTATTATGCTATTGCTCTACATGATGAATATGTTATAACAAGGCTATCATATAATTATTTGTCTTATTTTACATTAATTGAATTATAATGCAGTTGTGATAGAACATAGGCTGAAAAGAGATAAAACAGTCTCCACTCAACCTTCCATTTTTGGCACCTATCCAAGAGCCATAAAGCCAGAAAGGAGGATGTTCAGGAGAATGAGGAAGTGTGTGTGACTACCTTAATTCTTACACTCAAATATTAAGAGCATTTAAAATTCTTTGTACTAAAAAACTGGATACATATTCCACCCACTTACCACCACAAAAAGAACTTAGAGCCATGAGGCCTGTACTAACTTGTACCACACCATTGTATTTGAACTCTTGCGGAAACATCAACCTTTCACGTAGGAGGAGCAAGCAGGATTTGTTAAAGAGAAAAAGCAAGAGATTCTGCAGGAACATCTTAAGTGCTTTTAAAGCAAACATTTGAATCACAGCAACAGAAGCTCACTTTTTTAAATTGAGGCTTTTCATTTTACCTTTCATTGCATGGTTATTCACCAGCATGCTGGAATTACAAAATTTTCAAGTTCTTATTTAAATGCTTGATCAGTACTATGAACCCAGTGCTATAAGAATACAGGCTTTTAAAAAATAGAATAAATTCCTTAATATACTAAGCCTTGACAACTGCAAAGAATTTTGTTAAAATGTACTAGCATTTTCTCCATTTGAAATGGGAAACACATGGGAAAAAAAAAGTGAAAGTTGAGGAACTGGAAAAACAAAAGTAGGAAAGGATTTATTCATTAAGATGAATAAATCTTAGCACAATGTCTACAGCCAGTCTGAATCATTCTTCCTTTGCATAAACATTCTGGAGTTGTAATAATGTCTCCCACCCCCAATACCAGCTTGAAAGAAAAGGAAAAGAGGTTAACTTCTATAAAGTACTGACCTTGTGGCCAGTTTCTCGTAACACCTAAACACAGATTAACAGAGTGAATTCATGTAATACTTTCTAGCGGTTTGAAAAACAATGTGTTTTATAAAGTTGAAATCAATTATATGGGTTTATATGAGCCTCCACTATTAATAAGCTTTGTATAAACTACATTTTTAAAAATTTTTTAATTTTTGATTATTATGGATACATAATAGTTATACATATTTATGGGGTACATATGATATTTAGATAAAAAGATATAATGTATAATGATCAAATTGAAGTAGTTGGGGTATCCATCACTTCAAGCATTTATCATATTTTTGTTGTTGTTAGGAGAAGTAAGATCTAGTGTTCGGTGGCTTAATAGGGCAACCATAGTTAACAATAATTTACTGTATATTTTAAAATAACTAAAAGAGTAGAATTGGAATAAACTACACTTTAAAGTAACAATACTTGCCACTAGTTGGGCAACTGAAAGTCCTGAGTTCTTGAGCAAATTTCCATTGTCTGAAACCATAGGTTTCAACCTATAAAACCTGCCAATTATGGATAGAAGGGATTTCTGCCTTCCAGACCATGAGGAAGCGGGAGAACTTAGCCCAAGAGTAACAGAAAATGGGCAGGAGCCATGTGTGTAATTGATCCTTTTAGAGCTGACTTTCAGTTAATGAATTATTTCCATTAACGTGAAGCAACAGTAATAACAGCCACAGAACACGGGACCAGGAGTGGAACCATCCAAATCACCAGTTTCCTCTCTTCAAAGTGATTGGAACTAAACCATTGATTTTTCCAACTGAGTGAACATCCAGGGGTTCTTAGATTTATCAAAGGAAGCATTATGCTACAGAGAGAAAATACAGGTCATTCTTGAGCTGTTTAATTTTAATTATAATTTTTAAATGTTTTCTATGCCAACCTTGTATTGCAGGTTATATTGTAAATGCTTCATCACCTCTCATTTCCATTAAACCATTTTCAGTAGAACAGCCAACTGCCCTTACTTCTCGATTTGCTTTCTTATGACTGCTGCCACTTCCATCCCCCAAAACTTACCAGGGAAGCACTGGCTATGGCTTTATTCCTTATGGGTTGTATTTCGAGAGCTCCTTTATCTGAAGGTCTGAAAGCCCTACCAGAAAAACATCCTTATATACTTTCTACAGAAAAGGAAAAGAGCAGTGGTGAAGCACTTAAAATATCAAACAGTGGGTATAAATCACTCAGTACCTCATCCCCTTTTTGCTGATGTAAAGTCCATAACCATGGCAACAGGGATTAGAAATAGCAACCTATGAAAAACACTGGGTTTATTGGAGCACATGGAAGTTTTAGTTTGGTTTTCAGCTAAATCTTGAAAAAACAAATCTTTGACTAATACCTACATGCTATTTTTATCACTTTTGAGAAGTAATGTTTAAATTATGGATTAAGGGGAAGTCGTTTTTTTCCCCTTAATAAAGATAATCAAAAATATCATAAGCTAATATTGCAGGTAGGGAACGTTAAAAGGCTCTCCTTGTTTGTCCCCCAGTCTTCTAACTCTAGTCTCCCTAATGTAGGTGTTTGACAACAAAATAATATCAATTATCTGTCCTGATTTGTAGATTTAGTTGCAGGTTGAACTCTGGTTTTTTAATTGATATCTCTCTCCAACATAAAATTTTCAGACTTTTTTTATTCACAGACAAAAGAAGTTTTCCTTAGATATGAAGAGAGGCCTAATGATCATTTAATCTATAAATTAGATGCTTCCCTATGTTTATTAAGCTCCTTCTTTAATAAGCAGTAAATTGTAAAGCTCAAGGATTCAGCTTCAAAGATAGTATACTAGAGGAAGAAAGGGTCTGTGATCAGGAAGGTATGAGTGTGATGAGACTAGAACCCATTAGGGGCTGACATCTGTCCCCACTCATCATTCCCATCTTCATTTACTCATCCTTCAAGGCCTCACTCAAAACACATCTCTTCTATGAATCCCTCCAGGTTTACACTTTGCAGTTGATCCTCATCATTCACAGATTCAGTATGTGCGAATTCACCTAGCAGCTAACGTTCATTTGTAACCCCAAAATCAATACTCACTATGCTTCTGAGGTTATTCACAGAAATGTGCACAATGGCACGTTCTTAGCTGAAGTCAAACAAGGCAACATTGCCTTCTTGTTTTAGCTCTCATATTATAAACAAGTACCCTTTTTGTGATCTATGTAATGGCATGTTTTTTGCATGTTTGTCCTTTTCTTGGTGATTTTGTTGTTTAAAGGAAGCCCAAAGCACAGTGCAGAAGTGCTATCTAATGATCCTGAGCACAAGGAGGCTGTAATGTGCCTTACAGGGAAAATATGTGTTCGATAAACTCCAGACATGAGTTGCAGTGCTGCTGGCTGTGAGTGCAATGTTAACGAATCTACAATGTATATTAAATATGGTGTTTTTAAACAGAAATACACATAGAACAAGGTTATTAATTGATCAGTTGATCAGTTGACAAAAATGTTGTAATCAGAGGATCACAGGAACCTAACCCTGCATTTCCCCTAGGAGCAATGCTTAATTGCTGAAGCAATTAGCTTCAGTATTCCCTAATTCATTGATTCTGACAACTTTGTAGAACAGAACTACTGAAAATAACAAGACTCAACTGTGGCTTAAACTCAGATTGCTCTCATTTAAAACTTGTCTCTAACTCCTAATTAGCCCCTTATTATACACAGCTTTATATTCTAACTGTTGGTATTATACTGCCTAGGTCTTTGTTATGTGCTTTTTTTTTTTTTTTTTTTTTTTTTTTGGTGAAACAGAGTCTCGCTGTGTCACCCAGGCTGGAGTGCAGAGGTGCCATCACGGCTCACTGCAACCTCCGCCTCCCAGTTGAAGCGATTCTCCTGCCCCAGCCTCCTAAGTAGTGGGGATTACAGGCACCCACCACTATGCCCAGATAATTTTTGTATTTTTAGTATAGACGGTGTTTTGCCATGTTGGCCAGACTGTCTCAAACTCCTGACCTCAAATGATCCTCCTGCCTCGGCCTCCCAAAGCGCTGGGATTACAGGCATGAGCCCCCATGCTCAGCCTGTTATGTGCTTTTTTTATAAATAATAAAATAATAATAATACCAGCTCTTGATGATGGAGCTCCCACTATGTCAGGGTACTGACAGCTTTACAAACATGCCGTTTGTGGGTGATTCATCTCCCAAATTAAATGGCAAGCTCCTTTTCTTCAGGGACCTCATCATTTTTAATGCATAATATTGTTTAGCACAGAGGCAGGACCATAAAACTTGCTGAAAAATTGAGGTGGTTTTGTTTTCATTCTTGTCACACATTTCATTAGGTATTTTTGAAAAGTGACATTGTCCAAGTAAATTTTCTATCATGGTTAATGATGAAACTGATAATCGTATTTTTCATCCCTATTATGTATTGACCACTTATGATTTTTAAACAGTGTTTAGTGCTTTATATACAGAATCTCATTTTAATCATTAAAACCACACTATTAAAAAACTAATACACAGAAAATTTAAATAGCTTTCTAAAGTCATAGCTCCTGAGGGATAAAATTGGACTTCAATGCAGAGGTTCTTACCCGTTTCAGGTAAAGGCCCTTTTAAAATAAAAAATTTCTTAAATTTCCTGTAAAAGCCCAGTTATAATAATAATTAAAACTTAAAAGTGCTTACTCTGGGCCAAGTGCTATCTTAGCAACTTTCAGAGATCAATTTATTTAATCTTCACAACAGCTTATAAAATCAATATTATTATCTTCCTTTTACAGGTAAAGACCCTGAACCCTGAAAAATTGAAGTCTGCTCAAGGTCACACAGCTAGACAGTAAGTTGCCAAGCCAGGATTCAAACACAAAATACTCTGTCTCCAGAATCTGGCCCTTAACCATTTCACAACACTGCTTTCAACCCATGGATATACGTTCTGACTGTTACCATATAATGACAAAAATAAACTAAATTTATTAAACATATTAGGTAAATTTACATCTCATTTACCATAAAAGCAGCCATATATGTTTGAAATATCAGAGTAAGTGAATATGAGAGAGTTGTTTATTCTACAGACTATGGTCACTGAACCTGTGATTAAACACAGTTTGGGTCCCTCTACCATTGGCAGAGATGTACTTCCAACTGAAATAACTTCCCAGCATCAGAACCGCTGGCACGGTTATTGCCACTTTCATAATTCTGAGGTTAGAGAGGCCCAAACTGTACTCAACTCCATCATTTACTGCTATAGGATGCTAGGCAACTAGCTCACCTTCTGAAGTCTCATTTTTCCATCCCTCTCTTCAAAGTGATATAATACTATCCAGCTCATAGACTTGTTGTGAGAAATAAGATGAACTATATAAAGAACCCAGCACAACAAATAGTAAACAATCAATAAACATAAGTTCTGACCCCAAGAGACACTTACTCCTCCTCCACCAGATTAGGGCACTTGGAGATCAAGATTAACTCAAATCAAAGAGAAGCTCACCCTTTGAACCCTGAGATTTGGACTGCTAGCCACTGACGTATTTCCACAGGAACAGCTCCTGCCCGACTAGAGAAAGAAAGCACTACCCAGAAAACCAGGACCAATAACCCAATGAAGTAGCATATTGTGGTGGTTAACCATCTAATTTTGGAGTTGAAACAGCTGAGTTTTCATCCAAGCCATGATTCTAGCTGCTTTATGGCCTTCTGTAAATTACATAATTGATCTAATCCTTGTGTTGGTTTTTTTTTTGTCTGTAAAACAGAGTTCCTGTAATGATTATCAAGCTAATATTTCTACAATCCTGGAACATGGTAGGTGATCATGTTGAGGAACAGGGTCTGTGTGTCAGCCATTGTCTGTATTCTGTCCACTTTCACCTTCAACAGGGAGCTAGGTTCCCCCTTTGCACCTACAACCACATGCACCTGAATCCCCCACCTCTCTCAGGACTGTTGGATGATAGGATGTCCACAGGTGATCCAGGCTTGAGGAAATCAGCACTCTGTGTCCCTTCCCCATCTGTTCCTGGTCCTCACCTACCATGAGAACTTCTTCTTCCCCTTCCTATCTTTATAATTCCACTCCCTTCACACCTCCCTCTCTCCAGCTTCTTCTGCATGCCTCTACTCTCTTCCCCCCACCTCAAGTCTAATTTTTGGATGTGAAATTATGATCTTTAAAAAGGCAGCAAAATCTTTCTGTCCCACACTTAGGCTAGAGATTTCTTTGAGCATTTGTTTCTGCTTCCACTGCAAACTAAGGGTGTTCTTAGGGTACCAATAAGAAACTAAAGAAGATCAATTAACAGGAAACAAACATATATATCCCTACCTCCCACATATATGTATAGCTATAGGGTAAATGCGTCTAATAGCAATATCTTAAGCATACCCTGAGAATGACCATGTATGGCAGATGCACCTGAATGTGTTCTAAGCTAAGGGATCCGTGAGTGGCCAACCCAGAGATTCCTTCTTTGTCTGTGAGGAACATCTGAGCCCCATCCCATCCTGTAAAACACCAGCCATACAGCAATTCGAGGCCCGTGTTTTGGGTTGCATTAAGGTTGCCAGGTGAAGGTTGTTAGGGAAAGAGTGCTAAGTGAAAATGCTGTATGATCTGTAAGCAGTTGCAGTTCTTCTGCCCAGCCTGCCACCACTGGACTCTCTCCACTGTATGAAAGTCTCCAATAAAATCCCATGACTCATTTGCTGGCTCTGGGTCTCTTCTTCTGTCTGTTGAACCTGGTGCCATCTCCACTGGAGTCAATAGGATTTTGGCATGACAATATCTAATCACATATATTCTATAAGAGCCTGCTACATGCTGGCTGCAATTCTAAATGCTGGGATATAGTCCCCACCTTCAAAGAGCTTATATTCTCTTTTTTCTTTTTCTTTTTTTCTTTTTTAAGAGACAGGGTCCTATTCTGTTCACCCAGGCTGGAGTGCAGTGGTGTAATCACAGCTCACTGCAGCCTTGAATTTCTGGGCACAAGCGATCCTCCTGCCTCAGCCTTCCAAGTAGCTAGGACTACAGGCATGTGCCATCACACCCAGCTAATTAAAAAAAAAAAAAATTGTAGAGACGTGTTCTGGCGATGTTGCCTAGACTGGTCTTGAACTCCTGGCCTCAAGCAATCCTCCTTTGTCGGCCTCCCAAAGTGTTGGGATTAAAGGTATGAGTCACCAAACCCACAAAGAATAGACGGTAAACAAGGAAACAATTTAATGTATTTATTTACCTGTTTGTTGTTCCTCGTTCCTCTTCCCTACAAGAATAAATAATGTAATGTGTAGATAATATACAAGTTACTTTTATAGAGATTAATATGACCATTTTCCCTAACAAAAAAAAGCTAATATTTATATAGTGCTAACTGCAGTGCTCAGCACTGTTTTAAGTACTTTATATGCATTAATTAACTGAGGATTCACAATGACTCCCTGAAGTAGATATTCTCCCTAACTTACAGTTGAGTAAACTGAAGTATAGAGAGTTTATAAGACTTGCCCATGGGATGGAATAGATCATGTTCACTAGATCTATGGCTAGATACTCTGCACCTGGATTTGTGTTAATATGCTCCCATTGAGATACCACTTCCATCAAAGCTACAGAAACTGGAGCTACTTCTTGGTCGGGTTTGTGGGAATTCAGAATCATCTTCCAGGATCCATCTGATTTTTGTAGGGCTCAGACTGGTGATTTAAATGAAGACATGATGGAGACCATGATCTCTGCATCTTTTGAGTCTTTAAGAATGGCCTTTATCTCTGCCATCCTCTCCCCTTGATTCTTCAATATTATTTCATATTTATTATTTGGCTAGGGTGGAGGTGTGATTTCATAGGCTTTCAAGTGGCCTTCCTCATGATGATAGAGCTTACTGCACAGGTCAAGGATCAATGTGTGCCTTCTGCCAATTTTCAAGTATGTGCAATCCAGTTATACATTTAAGTATCAGGGAAATTACTAGCAAGTGGGTTTATGGATATAGCTGATTCATTGTGAGTTGAATCTGAGCCACAATTGCATTTATTACCTGCTCCCTATATACTCCACTCCAACAGGGAGCCCAGGATAATTCTTTAGGTCCTTAAGTATCAATGTCAATCAGACCCATATTTAATAATTCAGAAACCCTCAAAATGTTTTGAGTGTTCTCCTTTTACCAGTATAGAGTTATTACCCAACTACGTGGCCATAGGTCTTTTCAGGGATAAATTGGAAGAAACTTTACTGAATACACTTGCTATAGGGTATAGAATCCATTCTTGTAAAGGACCCTGACTCTCCTTCAGTCAACGGGTTGCAGATATGCAAACTGGGTCAGGTTCGGAAATCGACTTTTTGTTGGGGCAGCTGTTCTCTGTCCTTAGACCACTTATCCTTGATTGTATAGATCGGGAAATGCCCCTGTTGGATGTCTACCTGTCTTTCCCCTAAGGATGCCCTATCCTATTAGTCATCTCCGTAGTTCTTCATGAGCCTGGATCCCATGGTTGCCATTCCAAAAACTTGTTGCTCATTATGATAGTTAATCCTATCTTGCATCTGGCAGTTAAGTGATACCACCTGGCCTCTACTAGTTTGGTATTTTCTCATGCCAACTGCTATCAGTGAGATAGAACAGCATCTCCTGGAGTAAAGAAGAGAACCACCGGCCGGGCCCGGTGGCTCAAGCCTGTAATCCCAGCACTTTGGGAGGCTGAGGCGGGTGGATCACGAGGTCAGGAGATCGAGACCATCCTGGCTAACATGGTGAAACCTCGTCTCTACTAAATATACAAAAAAAAATTAGCCGGGCGTTGTGGCGGGCGCCTGTAGTCCCAGATACTCGGGAGGCTGAAACAGGAGAATGGCGTGAACCCAGGGGGCGGAGCTTGCAGTGAGCCAAGATCGCGCCATTTGCACTCCAGCCTGGGGGAGAGAGCGAGACTCCGTCTCAAAAAAAAAAAAAGAAGAGAACCACCAATGCGCTTCTCAATGGCGTGGGTGCCCCCTTCACTAGCACATTTCTCATCCCGTTGGTAAACACAAAGGTGTTTCTGCAGAAAAATGTCAGCTGGTGTGTTTTCCAGCCCTATTTAGTGTCATTCCCTATGATATGCTTACTTACCTAAGCCTTTTGATCTCCACTTCATGTTCTGCCATGGTAGTTCTGAGGTTTCTACTTCACTTGGTGTTGACCATCGCTTTTTCTAAGAAAACAGTGTTTGGCATAATCTCCTTGGGTTCTTGCCAAGGTATAAAATCCAGTATCACAGAAGGGTGATCCCATATAATAAAACCTTAAATGTTCTTTCCCTGCTTTTCTAGCATTTATGCACTACTGATGATCATGTGACTAGTGTTTGTCTCTTGCTACTTAGCTCTTTTCCTCCCTTAGCAGGCCCAGTACTTTCCCAGCTGCAATATGTTTTAAGTCGATTCTAGTTATCACTTTGGAGGTCAGGAGGGAGGTGAGGATTGACTGGGGGAGGCGAGGAGAGCTTAACATGTTACATGGGCAGAGACTTCATTATCGTCTAGTTGGGCAGGGGACAAAAGTCAGTGGGGAGGAGAACAGTTTCTAACAAAGAAAAGTGAGCCACTTCTGCAGGACCACAGGGTTCAAGATGATCCGGGGTTTCAAGAATTTCAAGTGCATCAACTCAAATGTCCCAATCGTGTGTCTCAGAGTCTCATTCCTTCCCAACCAGAGCCCTAACTTTGGCATCACAGACTTGCTGGAGGGAGTTTATGATGGAAATGTAGATTGTAACCATACTACTATTGGCCTTGTAGATCACAATCAAAACTTTTGACTCAGTTCTAAGAGCAATAGGAAACTCAAATGGTTTTATTTGGGGAGGGAGGGAGACTGTTTTCATTTTTCTTTAATTTTTACATATTTAGGGAGTACAAGTGCAGATTTCTTACATCCGTATATTGCATCATGGTGAAGTCTGGGCTTTTTTTTAATTTTTTTTTTTTGAGACGTAGTCTCACTTTGTCGCCCGGGCTGGAGTGCAGGGGCGTAATCTCGGCTCACTGCAACCTCTGCCTCCCGGGTTCAAACGATTCTCCTGCCTCAGCCTCCTGAGGAGCTGGTACTACAGGCGTGTGCCACCACGCTCGGCTAATTATTTGTATTTTGTTGTAGAGACGGGGTTTCACCGTGTTAGCCAGGATGGTCTCAATCTCCTGACCTCGTGATCTGCCCGCCTCGGCCTCCCAAAGTGCTGGGATTATAGGCGTGAGCCACCACGCACGGCAGAAGTCTGGGCTTTTGGCGTAACTATCACCTGAACAGTGAACATTGTACCCAATAAGTAATCCTTCAACCGTCACCCGCTTCCCACCCTCCTACCCTTTGTAGTCTCTAATGTCTATTATATTCTGTAAGTTCATGTGGAACCATTGTCTAGCTCGCACTTATAAGTGAGAATATGTGGTATTTGTCTGTCTCTGAGTTGTTTCACTTAAAATAATAGCCTCCAGTTCCATCCATATTGTTGCAAAAGATATGACTATTCTTTTTTTAAAATGGCTGAGTAGTATTTCATTGTATGTATATATATATGACATTTTCTTTATCCAATCATCCACTGATAGACACTTGAGTTGACTCCTTATCTTTGCTATTGTGAATAGTGCTGTAATAAGCATTATGAGTGCAGATATCTTTTTTATATAATGAATTATTTCCCTTTTGGTATATAACCAGTAGCGGGATTGCTATTTTTAGTTCTTTGAGAAATCTCCATACTGTTTTCCATAAAGGTTATACTAATTTACATCCCCAGCAACAGTATATAAGCATTACTTTCTCCAACATCTGGCTGGTTTTAGATATTTTAATAATAAAAAATAAAATCCTGACTAATATAAGATGATCTCATTGTGGTTTTCATTTCCATTTCTCTGATTAGCGATGTTGAGTATTCTTTCATATGATTGTTGGCTGTGTGTATGCCTTCTGAAAACTGTTAATGTCCTTTGCCCACTTTTTCCCCTGTCGAATTGATACTTGTAGATTCTGCATATTAGCTCTTTGTCAGATACATAGTTTCCAAATATTTTTTCTCATTCTGTAGTTGTCTGCTTACTCTGTTAATTGTTTCTTTTGCTGTGCAGAAGCTTTTTAGTTTAAGTCCCATTTGTCTATTTTTGTTTTTATCATGTTTACTTCTGAGAACTTGGTCATAAATTCTTTGCCTAAGCCAAAGTCCAGAAGAGTTTTTTCTTGGTTTTCCTCTAGTATTTTTATAGTTTCAGGTTTTATGTTTAGTTCTTTTATCCTTCTTGAGTTGATTTTTATATACGGTGAGAGATAGGGGACCAGTTTCATTCTCCTTCATATGGCAAATGAATTTTCCTAGCACCATTTATTGAAAAGGGAGTCCTTTCCCCAGTGTATATTCTTGTTGACTTTGCAGAGATGAATTGGCTCTAGATATGCATCTTTATTTCTGGGTTCTGTATTCCATTCCACTGATCTATATTTCTATTTTTATACCAGTACCGTGCTGTTCTGGTTATTATAGCCTTGTAGTATAATTTGAAGTCAGGAAATGTGATGTCTCCAGCTTTGTTCTTTTTGCTTAGGATTGCTTAGGCTATTCAGGCTCCTTTTTTATACCATGTGAATTTTAGAATTGTTTTTTCTAATTCTGTGAAAAATGACATTGGTATTTTGATAAAAATTGCATTGAATCTGTAGATTGCTTTTGGAAGCATGGTCATGTTAACAATATTAGTTCTTCCAATCCATAAGCATGGGATGTTTTTCCATTGGTTTGCATCATTTACAATTTATTTCATCAGTATTTTGTAGGGTTCCTTGTAGAGATCTTTTACCCTCCTGGTTAAATATATTCCTACATGTTTTTATTTATTTATTGTAGCTATTGCAATGGGATTTCCTTCTTGATTTGTCCTTGGCTAGATTGTTATTGACATATAGAAGCACTACTCATTTCTGTATGTTAATTTTGTATCCTGAAACTTTATTGAATTCATTTATCAAATCTAAGTTTTTTGGTGGAGTCTTTCAGGTTTCCTAGATATAAGATTATATCAGTGAACAGAGATAATTTGACATCCTTTTATTCAATTTGGATGACTTTTCTTTCTTTCTCTTGTCTGATTGCTCTGGCTAAGAATTCTAGTACTACGTTGAATAGGACTGGTGTAGGCACTCTTGTTCCAGTTCTTGGAATGCTTTCAACTTTTCCCCATTAAGTATGATGTTGGCTGTGAGTTTGTCACATATGGCCTTTATTATTTTGAGATATGTTCCTTATATGCCTACT
Organism: Homo sapiens; assembly: GCF_000001405.40. NCBI lineage: Eukaryota > Metazoa > Chordata > Mammalia > Primates > Hominidae > Homo > Homo sapiens. The sequence continues at coordinate 80,089,356 of NC_000012.12, read as the reverse complement.
TTGTTGAGAATTTTTATCATGAAGGAATGCTGAATTTTATTGAGGGCCTTTTTTCTATCTATTGAGATGATCATATGGTTTTTTAAAAATTCTATTTGTAATGTATCAAGTTTATTGATTTGCATGTATCAAACCATTCTTATATCCCTGGGATAAATTTCACCTGATTATGTTGTGTTATCTTTTTGCTGTGCCAATATTTTGTTGAGGATTTTTGCATCTATGTTTGTCAGGGATATTAGTCTATAATTTTCTCTTTTTGAAAACTGTTGAATAGTTTTAAACAAGGGATAGGAGTGGATCTTTCTAACTAGGGCTACAGTATGAGTAATAAATTGGAGACAGCCAGAGTAGCTGAAGATAGAGCAATTAAGAAAGCCTAACATAAACCCAGGATGTGGGTGATGCCAGCTTAAGCTAGGGTATTGACATTAATATAGAGAAAAAAATAACAGTTTTAAGAGATATTTAGCAGCTACGATTTGCAAGACTTGATGAGGACTGCTTGTAGGAAGTAAGGGAAGAGAAGTGAGCCAAGAATGATGCTGAGATTTCTGGCTTGCCCAACTGATGAAGGAGGTTGTCATTCCAAATATGAAACAATAGAAAAAGACTGATAGGAGAAAGGAGAGAGATTATGTGTTTATTCTTAGATTAATTTTAAGTTGTGTTTGAGAAGTAACAAATTGTCCATTAGATAAACATGTTTAGAGCACAGAGGACTGATCTGAGCTGGAAATGAAAATTTGAGCGCCATCTGCTTACTGATAGTAGTATAAGACATGGGCATTAAAACAAAATGTAGACTGAGAGGAGGAGAAAGCTGGGAGCAAGTCTTAAGGAACTCCACAACTTGTTAACCTATAGAACAAAACGAACTGCAAAGAGACAGAAATAACCAGAGGAAAAAAGAAGAAAACCAGGAATTTGTTCAGGCCTTGAAACTATGAAAATAAAATATTCTAGAAAGAAGAATCAACCGTATCAAATTTGCTAAAAGATCTAGTAAGGTAATAACTGAATATATCCTTTAGATTAGAGACATGTACCACACTGATAATTATAATGATTGCTGATTTTGGTGGAGTTACAGAATGGAAGCCAGATTAAAGTAGGTTAAGAAGTAGATGGACCACAAAGAAATGCCACTTCATATCCGCTAGGATGGCTAATATCAAAAGACAAACAATAATTTGTGTTGACAAAAATGCGGAGAAATTGGAACCCTTATGCATTGCTGGTGGGATTGTAAAACATTGCAACCGCTTTGAAAAACGGTTTCGTAGTTCTTCAAAATGTTAGTTTTCATGTGACTCAGCAATTTGGTAGTTCTTCAAAATTTTAGTTGTCATATGACTCAGCAATTCTACTCCTAGGAATATACCCAAGATAAATGAACATATATGTCCACACAAAAACTTGTACATGAATTTTCATAGAAAGATTATTATTAATAGCTGAAACCAACTCAAATATTCACCAACTGATAAGTAAACAAAATGTAGTATGTCCATACAATGGAATATTTTTCAGCCATAAAAAGAAATGAGTACTGATTCATACAACAATATGAATGAACTTGAAAACGTAATTCCAAGAAATCAGACACAAACGACTACATAGTATATGATTTCATTTCCTTAACATGTCCAGAATAGGCAAATTCATAGAGACAGAAAGTTTATTAGTGGTTTCCGGGGCCTAGTGGGTGAGGGGAATGACAGCTAATTGATACAGGGCTTCTTTCTGGGGTGATGAAAATGTTCTAAAATAGATTGTGGTGATGGCTGCACAGCTCTGTGAATATATGAAAAATATTGAATATCATTAAATGTGATTAATGTAATTAAATATCATTAAAATGTGAATCTTATGCCATATGAATTATCTCAGCAAATATGTTTAATTAAAATTAATTAAAAGCCCTACTTTCTAAATCAATAAATGGTTTAAAAATCTTCTTTGTAAAAAAGAGTCAAGAGGTAACAATTGCCTATGAAGAGTATGAGAGACAGGGTAACAGTTGAAGAGTAGTAAAAAGACAAGTGCCTCTTTAGCATTTTATTTTTTTAATTTTTTTGATGCATACTAGATGTACATAGTTTTGGGATCTCTATGGCATTTTAATATAGGAGATGACATTTAGGACAGTAAATGACTCTATTCAAACAGATCCTCAGTGTGAAAGTATACCTATGGATATGAGCAATACATGAGCATATAATGTTTTCAATTTTCCAAAGATACCTCCTTTTTAAAGGTAATATTCATCTTTAAATCTTTTCTAGCATTAGAAAGTGCACTAGATACACATAAATTTTGAGAACCAATGTACCAGTCTTGTTATATCCCCCAGAGGTATTGCATTTCTGATCCTGAATCCCATCCTGGCACCTTGAACCATTTCACTCTCCAAGGCCAATTTTAAGACTGAAATTCTAAGTGTCGTCAACTTTTTACTTCCATTCCTGATGTCCAACTACCTGTTGAGATAACAGGACTTTATATTCACCTTTTTGTTGCTGCAAGCTATTTGCCTACCTTATGACTGAAATTGCAGCTTCCCCTTCAAAATTACATTTTGTTCTCCAGACTAAAAATCTCTGACCACAGCAGGTAGTTGCTGAGGCAATTCTTCCAGTCCAGGAGCAGGTATAATTTCTGATCCCCATCTCTTCCCACATTCTGTGTTCTATCTTAGTTAACTGACCATTTCCAGATGAACCCTGGGATCTAATTAATGGCATTCCTATGCTCACTTACTTAAGTTCAAAAACTCTTTGATATCTTGGACTCCCATCTCACTGTCCACAATCAGTGAATCAATCACTATGGTAGTCATTTCGACTATTTGCTAGCATTCAAATCTCCTCTACTACATGCACATAGAACAGCCGCATTTCACAATTCTATGAGAGTGAGGCATGACCATATTAGTTCCTTAGGTTAATAATATGGTTGCAAAAGTGATTTTCCAAAAGGATTCAATTGCCAGTGCCTGACTTTCTAGTTCATTCTTCTCCTGTCACAGTAATCATAAAAGTACTTGTTGACTTGGATGAGTCACAAGATCAGAGCACCCCCTAATACTGAGCCAACACATGGAGGGCAACTTCTCTGAAGTGTCACCTAAACCCGCAGAGTGCTTTGCATAAACATGAAAGGCACTTACGTTGTCTCAAGCGTCTGAGACTTTAGGTCTGCTTGCTAATAAAGCATAACTTAGCCTATGCTGACTGATACAGTCACTAAGTTCTATCAAACTTAATATATACAAGTATATTTACTGCAGTTGTCATGATGGCAGAAAACTGGAAACAACCCCAATATCACCAGTAAAGGATTAGTTACACAGATTATGGTACAATGGAATAGTGCGCTGCCCCTGGGGGAAATCATGTAATGTCGCTGAAAGATGTCCAAGATATACTGTTACAATTTAAAAAAAGGTTGCAAAGAGCAAAAATAATCTCATTTTTGTTGCTAAAAAATGTATATGTAAATATAGAAGAGTATATTTACTTAAGATATTTACCTATAACTATGGATGTGGCATACATTCCATATTACTATCTGCAGAGGGAAAATCTAAGATTTTACAAACTAAAATAGAATTACAGGATATTTTTCCCTTTAAATATATTTCTGTATTGTTGAAATTTTTTTTCACAGTTTATTTTTATAATAAGGATATAAGGATCACAGTTTATTTTTATAAACAAAAAAATGTTATTAATATGACACAAATGTCTTGCCCTCCTTTCTATCTCGTGACCTTTAAGAGTTTACACATCTCCCATAGATTAAAAAAATAAAAATTACAAAGCTGAGTAAGTACAGTGCTATTGTTCATTTTTTTCTTTTTGTTTTGTTTAAAAATACATATTCACCAGGAGAGAACAGACATGATGTTCCACTTGCTTATTTCCATCCTGGAATTTAAGACAATTCAAAATTACTTTGTTGATATATTATATTCAATGTTTTCAATGCCACCTTATTTAGTTGTATGGTTGGTCTTGTTGACAATTCTTCTTTGCGAGACTACATGAAATATATGCATTCCATGTTTGCTTTCAGCATCCAAAACTGCACTGCTTCTGGTTAATGTTTTAAAGAAGAAACAATTTCAGACAAAGGACGAATTCATCACACAGTTGGTAGTTCGAGGTCCAAAGTTAATTTTTTATGTAAAATTTTAACAAAAAATTGATCTATAAAAGAATAACTGATTCATTTTAATTATCTGTGTAACTTTGATTTGCCAAATGTATGGAGTAGTTCCCTTTCATTAAGATTAGTACTAGCCAGGCACTATGGCTCACGCCTGTAATCCCAGCACTTTGGGAGGCCGAGGCGGGCAGATCACGAGGTCAGGAGACTGAGGCTATCCTGGCCAACATGGTGAAATCCTGTCTCTACTAAATACTAAAAAAATTAGCTGGGCATGGTGGTGGGCGCCTGTAATCCCAGCTGCTTGGGAGGCTGAGGCAGGGGAATTGCTTGAATCTGGGAGGCAGAGGTTGCAGTGAGCTGAGGTCACACCACAGCACTCCAGCCTGAAGACAGAGCAAGACTCCATCTCAAAAAAAAAAAAAAAAAAAAAGATTGGTACTCTTGGAATTTAGAGATTAGGCAAGATGGCCAAATAGGAACAGCTCCAGTCTGCAGCTCCCAGCAAGATCAACACAGAAGGTGGGTGATTTCTGCATTTCCAACTGAGGTACCCGGTTCATCTCATGGGACTGGTTAGGCAGTGGGTGCAGCCCATGGAGGGCGAACTGAAGCAGGGTGGGGAGCAGGTGGGAAGTGCAAGGGGTCAGGGAACTCCCTCCCCTAGCCAAAGGAAGCCTTGAGGGACTGTGCTTGAGGAATGGTGCACTCTGGCCCAGATACTATGCTTTTCCCATGGTCTTCACAATCTGCAAACCAGGAGATTCACTCGGGTGCCTACACCACCAGGGCCCTGGGTTTCAAGCACAAAACTGAGTGGCCATTTGTGCAGATACCAAGCTAGCTGCAGGAGTTTATTTTCATACCCAGCAGCACCTGGACTGCCAGCAGGACAGAACCGTTCACTCCCCTGGAAAGGGGGATGAAGCCAGGGAGCCAAGTGGTCTAGCTCAGTGGATCCCACCCCCACAGAGCCCAGCAAGCTAAGATCCACTGGCTTGAAATTCTTGCTGCCAGCACAGCAGTCTGAAGTCAACCTGAGACACTCGAGCTTGGTCGGGGGAGGGGTGTCTGCCACTACTGAGGTTTGCCTAGGCGGGTTTTCCCCTCACGATGTAAACAAAGCCACCAGGAAGTTCGAACTGGGTGGAGACCACTGCTGCTCCGCAAAGCCTCTGTAGCCAGACTGCCTCTCTAGATTCCTCCTCTCTGGGCAGGGCATCTCTGAAAGAAAGACAGCAGCCCCAGTCAGGGGCTTATAGATAAAACTCCCATCTCCCTGGGACAGAGCACCCGAAGGAACAGGCGGCTATGGGCACAGCTTCTGCAGATTTAAACGTTACTGCCTGGTGGCTCTGAAGAGAGCAGCAAAACTCCCAGCACAGTGCTCCAGCTCTGCTACGGGACAGGCTGCCTCCACAAGTGGGTCCCTGACCCCTGTGCCTCCTGGCTGGGAGACACCTCCCAGCAGGGGTCAATACACACCTCATACAGGTGAGCTCTGGCTGGCATCTGGCAGGTGCACCTCTGGGACGAAGCTTCCAGAGGAAAGAACAGGCAACAATCTTGGCTGTTCTGAAGACTCTGCTGGTGATACCCAGGAAAACAGGATCTGGAGTGGACCTCCAGCAAACTCCAGCAGACCTACAGAAGAGGGTTCTGACTGTTAGAAGGAAAAATTACAAACAGAAAGGAATAGCATCAACATCAACAAAAAGGACATCCACACAGAAACCCCATCCAAAGGTCACCAACATCGAAGACCAAAGGTAGATAAATTAATGAAGATGAGGAAAAACCACCACAAAAAGGTGGAAAATTCCAAAAACCAGAATGCCTCTTCTTCTCCAAAGGATCACAACTCCTCACCAGCAAGAGAACAAAACTGGACAGAGAATGAGTTTGATAAATTGACAGAAGTAGGCTTCAGAAGGTGAGTAATAACAAACTCCTCTCAGCTAAAGTAGCATGTTCTAACCCAATGCAAGAAAGCTAAGAACCTTGAAAAAAGGTTAGAGGAATTGCTAACTAGAATAACCAGTTTAGAGAAGAACATAAATGACCTGATGAAGCTGAAAAACACAGCACAAGAATTTCATGAAGCACACACAAGTATCAACATCTGAATCAATCAAGTGGAAGAAAGGATGTCAGACACTGAAAATCAACTTAATGAAATAAAGCATGAAGACAAGATTAGAGAAAAAAGAATAAAAAGGAACAAACAAAGCCTCCAACAAATGTGGGACTATGTGAAAAGACCAAACCTATGTTTGATTGGTGTACCTGAAAGTAACAGGGAGAATGGAAACAAGTTTGAAAACACTCTTTGGAATATTATCCAGGAGAACTTCCCTAACCTAGCAAAACAGGCCAACATTCAAATTCAGGAAATACAGAGAACACCACAAAGACACTCCTTGAGAAGAACAACCCCAAGACACATAATCATCAGATCCACCAAGGTTGAAATTAAGGAAAAATTGTTAAGGACAGCCACAGAGAAAGGTCGGGTTACCCACAAATGGAAGCCCATCAGACTAACAGTGGATCTCTATGCAGAAACCCTACAAGCCAGAAGAGAGTGGGGGCCAATATTCAACATTCTTAAAGAAAAGAAATTTCAACCCAGAATTTCATATCCAGCCAAACTAAGCTTCATAAACAAAGGAGAAATAAAATCCTTTACAGACAAGCAAATGCTGAGAGATTTTGTCACCACCAGGCCTGCCTTACAAGAGCTCCTGAAGGAAGCACTAAATATGGAAAGGAAAAACTGGCACCAGCCACGGCAAAAACAAACCAAAGTGTGAAGACCATTGAGACTATGAAGAAACTGCATCAACTAATGGGCAAAATAACCAACTAGCATCATAAAGATGAAATTCACATATAACAATATTAATCTTAATTGTAAACGGGTCAAATGCCCCAATTAAAAGACACATTGACAAATTGGATAAAGAGTCAGGACCCATCGGTGTGCTGTATTCAGGAGACCCATCTCACGTGCAAAGACACATATAGGCTCAAAACAAAGGGATGGAGGCAGATTTACCAAGCAAATGGAAAGCAAAAGAAAGGAGGACTTGCAATTCTATTCTCTGATAAAACAGACTTTCAACCAATAAAGATCAAAAAAGACAAAGAAGGGCACTACATAATGGTAAAGGAATCAATGCAACAAGAAGAGCTAACTATCCTAAATATATATGCACCCAATACAGGAGCACCCAGATTCATAAAGCAAGTTCTTAGAGACCTACAAAGAGACTTAGACTCCCACACAATAATAGTACTCACACACTGTCAATATTAGATCAGTGAGACAAAATATTAACAAGGATATTCAGGACTTGAACTCAGCTCTAGACAAAGCAGACCTAATAGACATCTACAGAATTCTCAACCCCAAATCAACAGAATATACACTCTTCTCAGCACCACATCACACTTATTCTAAAATTGACCACATAATTGGAAGTAAAACACTCCTCAGCAAATGCAAAAGAACAGAAATCATAACAAATAGTCTCTCACACCACATTGCAATCAAATTAGAACTCAGCATTAAGAAACTCAATCAAAACTGCACAGCTACACGGAAACTGAACAACCTGCTCCTGAATGACTACTGGGTAAATAATGAAATTAAGGCAGAAATAAATAAGTTCTTTGAACCCAATGAGAACAAAGACACAATGTACCAGAATTTCTGGAACACAGCTAAAGCAGTGTTTACAGGGAAATTTATAGCACTAAATGCCCACAGGAGAAAGCAGGAAAGATCTAAAATCGATACCCTAACATCACAATTAAAAGAACCAAAGAAGCAAGAGCAAACAAATGCAAAAGCCAGCAGAAGACAAGAAATAACTAAGATCAGAGAACTGAAGGAGATAAAGACATGAAAAACCCTTCGAAAAATCAATGAATCCTGGAGCTGTTTTTTTGAAAACATTAACAAAGTAGATGGACTGCTAGCCAGAATAACAAGGAAGAAAAGAGAGAAAATCAAATAGACACAATAAAAAATGATAAAGGGGATATCACCACTGATCCCACAGAAATACAAACTACCCTCAGAGAATACTATAAACACTTCTATGCAAAACACTAGAAAATCTAGAAGAAATGGATAAATTTTGGGACATATATACCCACCCAAGACTAAACATGGAAGTCAAATCCCTGAATAGACCAATAACAAGTTCTGAAATTGAGGCAGTAATTAATAGCCTACCAACCAAAAAAAGTCCAGGACCAGACAGATTCACAGCCGAATTCTACCAGAGGTCCAAAGAGGAGCTGGTACCATTTCTTCTGAAACTATTCCAATCAATAGAAAAAGGCGGGGGGGAGGAGCCAAGATGGCCAAATAGGAACAGCTCCAGTGTACAGCTCCCAGCGTGAGCGACGCAAAAGACGGGTGATTTCTGCATTTCCATCTCAGGTACTGGGTTCATCTCACTAGGAGTGCCAGACAGTGGGCGCAGGTCAGTGGGTGCAGCACACCATGCAGGAGCTGAAGCAGGGCAAGGCATTGCCTCACTCAGGAAGCACAAGGGGTCAGGGAGTTCCCTTTCCTAGATAAAGAAAGGGGTGACAGACAGCACCTGGAAAATCAGGTCACTCCCACCCGAATACTGCGCTTTTTCCGACGGGCTGAAAAAAAGGCGCACCAGGAGATTATATCCCACACCTGGCTCGGAGGGTCCTACGCCCACAGAGTCTCGCTGATTGCTAGCACAGCAGTCTGAGATCAAACTGCAAGGCGGCAGCCAGGCTGGGGGAGGGGCACCCGCCATTGCCCAGGCTTGCTTAGGTAAACAAAGCAGCCTGGAAGCTCCAACTGGGTGGAGCCCACCACAGCTCAAGGAGTCCTGCCTGCCTCTGTAGGCTCCACCTCTGGGGGCAGGGCACAGACAAACAAAAAGACAGCAGTAACCTCTGCAGACTTAAATGTCCCTGTCTGACAGCTTTGAAGAGAGCAGTGGTTCTCCCAGCACGCAGCTGGAGATCTGAGAACGGGCAGACTGCCTCCTCAAGTGGGTCCCTGACCCCTGACCCCTGAGCAGCCTAACTGGGAGACACCCCCCAGTAGGGGCAGATGGACACTTCACACGGCCTGGTACTCCTCTGAGACAAAACTTCCAGAGGAACAATCAGACAGCAGCATTCGCGGTTCACGAAAAACCACTGTTCTGCAAACACTGCTGCTGATACCCAGGCAAACAGGGTCTGGAGTGGACCTCTAGCAAACTCCAACAGACCTGCAGCTGAGGGTCCTGTCTGTTAGAAGGAAAACTAACAAACAGAAAGGACATTGACACCAAAAACCCATCTGTACATCACCATCATCAAAGACCAAAAGCAGATAAAACCACAAAGATGGGGAAAAAACAGAGCAGAAAAACTGGAAACTCTAAAAAGCAGAGCACCTCTCCTCCTCCAAAGGAATGCAGTTCCTCACCAGCAATGGAACAAAGCTGGATGGAGAACGCCTTTGACAAGTTGAGAGAAGAAGGCTTCAGACGATCAAACTACGAGCCACAGGAGGAAATTCAAACCAAAGGCAAAGAAGTTAAAAACTTGAAAAAAATTTACACAAATGTATAACTAGAATAACCAATACAGAGAAGTGCTTAAAGGAGCTGATGGAGCTGAAACCCAGGGCTCGAGAACTACGTGAAGAATGCAGAAGCCACAGGAGCTGATGCAATCAACTGGAAGAAAGGGTATCAGTGATGGAAGATGAAATGAATGAAATGAAGCGAGAAGGGAAGTTTAGAGAAAAAAGAATAAAAAGAAACAAACAAAGCCTCCAAGAAATATGGGACTATGTGAAAAGACCAAGTCGATGTCTGATTGGTGTACCTGAAACTGATGGGGAGAATGGAACCAAGTTGGAAAACACTCTGCAGGATATTATCCAGGAGAACTTCTCCAATCTAGCAAGGCAGGCCAACATTCAGATTCAGGAAATAAAGAGAACGCCACAAAGATACTCCTCGAGAAGAGCAACTCCAAGACACATAATTGTCAGATTCACCAAAGTTGAAATGAAGGAAAAAATGTTAAGGGCAGCCAGAGAGAAAGGTTGGGTTACCCACAAAGGGAAGCCCATCAGACTAACAGCGGATCTCTCGGCAGAAATTCTACAAGCCAGAAGAGAGTGGGGGCCAATATTCAACATTCTTAAAGAAAATAATTTTCAACTCAGAATTTCATATCCAGCCAAACTAAGCTTCATAAGTGAAGGAGAAATAAAATACTTTACAGACAAGCAAATGCTGAGAGATTTTGTCACCACCAGGCCTGCCCTAAAAGAGCTCCTGAAGGAAGCACTAAACATGGAAAGGAACAACCGGTACCAGCCACTGCAAAATTAGCCAAAAGGTAAAGACCATCGAGACTAGGAAGAAACTGCATCAACTAACGAGCAAAATCACCAGCTAACATCATAATGACGGGATCAAATTCACACAAACAATATTAACTTTAAATGTAAATGGACTAAATGCTCCAATTAAAAGACACAGGCTGACAAATTGGATAAAGAGTCAAGACCCATCAGTGTGCTGTATTCAGGAAACCCATCTCACATGCAGAGACACACATAGGCTCAAAATAAAAGGATGGAGGAAGATCTACCAAGCAAATGGAAAACAAAAAAAGGCAGGGGTTGCAATCCTAGTCTCTGATAAAACAGACTTTAAACCAATAAAGATCAAAAGAGACAAAGAAGGCCATTACATAATGGTAAAGGGATCAATTCAACAAGAAGAGCTAACTATCCTAAATATATATGCACCCAATACAGGAGCACCTAGATTCATAAAGCAAGTCCTGAGTGACCTACAAAGAGACTTAGACTCCCACACATTAATAATGGGAGACTTTAACTCCCCACTGTCAACATTAGACAGATCAAGGAGACAGAAAGTTAACAAGGATACCCAGGAATTGAACTCAGCTCTGCACCAAGCGGACCCAATAGACATCTACAGAACTCTCCACCCCAAATCAACAGAATATACATTTTTTTTCAGCACCACACCACACCTATTCCAAAATTGACCACATAGTTGGAAGTAAAGCTCTCCTCAGCAAATGTAAAAAAACAGAAATTATAACAAACTATCTCTCAGACCACAGTGCAATCAAACTAGAACTCAGCATTAAGAAACTCACTCAAAACTGCTCAACTACATCGAAACTGAACAATCTGCTCCTGAATGACTACTGGGGACATAACGAAATGAAGGCAGAAATAAAGATGTTCTTTGAAACCAATGAGAACAAAGACACAACATACCAGAATATCTGGGACACATTCAAAGCAGTGTGTAGAGGGAAATTTATAGCACTAAATGCCCACAAGAGAAAGCAGGAAAGATCCAAAATTGACACCCCAACATCACAATTAAAAGAACAAGAAAAGCAAGAGCAAACACATTCAAAAGCTAGCAGAAGGCAAGAAATAACAAAAATCAGAGCAGAACTGAAGGAAATAGAGACACAAAAAACCCTTCAAAAAATTAATGAATCCAGGAGCTGGTTTTTTGAAAGAATCAACAGAATTGATAGACCACTAGCAAGACTAATAAAGAAAAAAAGAGAGAAGAATCAAATAGATGCAATAAAAAATGATAAAGGGGGTATCACCACCGATCCCACAGAAATACAAACTACCATCAGAGATTACTACAAACACCTCTATGCAAATAAACTAGAAAATCTAGAAGAAATGGATAAATTCCTTGATACACACACTCTCCCAAGACTAAACCAGGAAGAAGTTGAATCTCTGAATAGACCAATAACAGGAGCTGAAATTGTGGCAATAATCAATAGCTTACCAACCAAAAAGAGTCCAGGACCAGATGGATTCACAGCTGAATTCTACCAGAGGTACAAGGAGGAACTGATACCATTCCTTCTGAAACTATTCCAATCAATAGAAAAAGAGGGAATCCTCCCTAACTCATTTTATGAGGCCAGCATCATCCTGATACCAAAGCCGGGCAGAGACACAACCAAAAAAGAGAATTTTAGACCAATATCCTTGATGAACATTGATGCAAAAATCCTCAATAAAATACTGGCAAACCGAATCCAGCAGCACATCAAAAAGCTTATCCACCATGATCAAGAGGGCTTCATCCCTGGGATGCAAGGCTGGTTCAATATACGCAAATCAATAAATGTAATCCAGCATATAAACCGAGCCAAAGACAAAAACCACATGATTATCTCAATAGATGCAGAAAAAGCCTTTGACAAAATTCAACAACCCTTCATGCTAAAAACTCTCAATAAATTAGATATTGATGGGACATATCTCAAAATAATAAGAGCTATCTATGACAAACCCACAGCCAATATCATACTGAATGGGCAAAAACTGGAAGCATTCCCTTTGAAAACTGGCACAAGACAGGGATGCCCTCTCTCACCACTCCTATTCAATATACTGTTGGAATTCTGGCCAGGGCCATTAGGCAGGAGAAGGAAATAAAGGGTATTCAATTAGGAAAAGAAGAACTCAAATTGTACCTGTTTGCAGACGACATGATTGTGTATCTAGAAAACCCCATTGTCTCAGCCCAAAATCTCCTTAAGCTGATAAGCAACTTCAGCAAAGTCTCAGGATACAAAATCAATGTACAAAAATGACAAGCATTCTTATACACCAACAACAGACAAACAGAGAGCCAAATCATGAGTGAACTCCCATTCACAATTGCTTCAAAGAGAGTAAAATACCTAGGAATCCACCTTACAAGGGACCTGAAGGACCTCTTCAAGGAGAACTACAAACCACTGCTCAATGAAACAAAAGAGGATACAAACAAATGGAAGAACATTCCATGCTCATGGGTAGGAAGAATCAATATCGTGAAAATGGCCATACTGCCCAAGGTAATTTACAGATTCAATGCCATCCCCATCAAGCTACCAATGCCTTTCTTCACAGAATTGGAAAAAACTACTTTAAAGTTCATATGGAACCAAAAAAGAGCCTGCATCGCCAAGTCAATCCTAAGCCAAAAGAACAAAGCTGGAGGCATCACACTACCTGACATCAAACTATACTACAAGGCTACAGTAAACAAAACAGCATGGTACTGGTACCAAAACAGAGATATAGATCAATGGAACAGAACAGAGCCCTCAGAAATAACGCCATATATCTACAGCTATCTGATCTTTGACAACCCTGAGAAAAACAAGCAATGGGGAAAGGATTCCCTATTTAATAAATGGTGCTGGGAAAACTGGCTAGCCATATGTAGAAAGCTGAAACTGGATCCCTTCCTTACACCTTATACAAAAATCAATTCAAGATGGATTAAAGACTTAAACATTAGATCTAAAACCATAAAAACCCTAGAAGAAAACCTAGGCATTACCATTCAGGACATAGGCATGGGCAAGGACTTCATGTCTAAAACACAAAAAGCAATGGCAACAAAAGCCAAAATTGACAAATGGGATCTAATTAAACTAAAAAGCTTCTGCACAGCAAAAGAAACTACCATCAGAGTGAACAGGCAACCTACAAAATGGGAGAAAATCTTCGCAACCTACTCATCTGACAAAGGGCTAATATCCAGAATCTACAATGAACTCAAACAAATTTACAAGAAAAAAACAAACAACCCCATCAAAAAGTGGGCGAAGGACATGAACAGACACTTCTCAAAAGAAGATATTTATGCAGCCAAAAAACATGAAAAAATGCTCATCATCACTGGCCATCAGAGAAATGCAAATCAAAACCACAATGAGATATCATCTCACACCAGTTAGAATGGCAATCATTATAAAGTCAGGAAACAACAGGTGCTGGAGAGGATGTGGAGAAATAGGAACACTTTTACACTGTTGGTGGGACTGTAAACTAGTTCAACCATTGTGGAAGTCAGTGTGGCGATTCCTCAGGGATCTAGAACTAGAAATACCATTTGACCCAGCCATGCCATTACTGGGTATATACCCAAAGGACTATAAATCATGCTGCTACAAAGACACATGCACACGTATGTTTATTGCAGCACTATTCACAATAGCAAAGACTTGGAACCAACCCAAATGTCCAACAATGATAGACCGGATTAAGAAAATGTGGCACATATACACCATGGAATACTATGCAGCCATAAAAATTGATGAGTTCATGTCCTTTGTAGGGACATGGATGAAATTGGAAATCATCATTCTCAGTAAACTATCGCAAGGACAAAAAAACAAACACCACATATTCTCATTCATAGGTGGGAATTGAACAATGAGAACACATGGACACAGGAAGGGGAACATCACACTCTGGGGACTGTTGTGGGGTGGGGGGAGGGGGGAGGGATAGCATTGGGAGATATACCTAATGCTAGATGACGAGTTAGTGGGTGCAGTACACCAGCATGGCACATGTATACATATGTAACTAACCTGCACGTTGTGCACATGTACCCTAAAACTTAAAGTATAATAATTAATAAATAAAAAAAAAGAAAAAGAGGGAATCCTCCCTAACTCATTTTATGAGGACAACATATCCTGATACCAAAGCCTGGCAGAGACACAACAGAAAAAGAAAATTTCAGGCCAATATCCCTGATGAACATCGATGCAAAAATCCTCAATAAAATACTGGCAAACCAAATCCAGCAGCACAACAAAAAGCTTATCCACCACCATCAAGTCAGCTTCACCCATGGGATGCAAGGCTGGTTCAATATATGCAAATCAATAAACGTAATCCATCACATAAACAGAAACAATGACAAAAGCCACATGATTATCTCAATAGATGCAGAAAAGGCCTTCGACAAAATTCAACACCCTTCATGCTAAAAACTCTCAATAAACTAGGTATTGATGGAACATATCTCAAAATAATAAGAGGTATTTATGACAAACCCACAGCCAATATCATAGTGAATGGGTAAAAGCTAGAAGCATTCCCTTTGAAAACCAGCACAAGGCAAGGATGCCCTCTCTCCCCACTACTATTCAAATTGTATTGGAAGTTCTGGCTATGGCAATCAGGCAAGAGGAAGAAATAAAGGATATTCGAATAGGAAGAGAGGAAGTCAAATTGTCTCTATTTGCAGATGTCATGATTGTACATTTAGAAAAGCCCATTGCCTCAGCCCCAAATCTCCTTAAACGGATAAGCAACTTCAGCAAAGTCTCAGGATACAAAACCAATATGCAAAAATCACAAGATTTCCTATACCCCAATAACAGAAAAACAGAGAGCCAAATCATGAGTGAACTCCCATTCACAATTGCTACACAGAGAATAAAATAACTAGGAATAAAACTTATAAGGTATGTGAAGGACCTCTTCAAGGAGAACTACAAAACACTGCTCAAGGAAATAAGAGAGGACACAAACAAATGGTAAAACATTCCATGCTCATGGATAGAAAGAATCAATATACTGAAAATGGCCATACTGCCCAAAGTAATTTATAGATTCAGTGCTATCCCCATCAAGTTACTACTGACTTTCTTCACAGAATTAGAAGCAACTACTTCAAATTTCATATGGAACCAAAAATGAGCCTGTATAGCTAAGACAATCCTAAGCAAAAAGAACAAAGCTGGAGGCATCACGCTACCTGACTTTGAACTATACTACAAGGCTACAGTAACCAAATCAGCATACTACTCGTACTAAAACAGATATACAGACCAATGGAACAGAACAGAGGCCTCAGAAGTAACACTACACATCTACAACCATCTGATCTTTGATAAACCTGACAAAAACAAGCAATGGGGAAAGGATTCCCTATTTAATAAATGGTGTTGGAAAACTGGCTAGCCGTATATAGAAAACTGAAACTGGACCCCTTCCTTACACCTTATACAAAAATTAACGCAAGATGGATTAAAGACTTAAACATAAGACCTAAATCCATAAAAATCCTAGAAGAAAACCTAGGCAATATCATTCAGGACATAGGCAAGCGCAAAGACTTCATGACTAAAACACCAAAAGCGATGGCAACAAAAGCCAAAATTGACAAATGGGATCTAACTCAACTAAAGAGCTTCTGCATAACAGAAAAAAACTATCCTCAGAGTGAACAGGCAATCTACAGAATGGGAGAAAATTTTTGCAAACTATCCATCTGACAAAGGTCTAATATCCAGAATCTACAAGGAACCTAAACAAATTTACAAGAAAAAAACAACCCCATCAAAAAGTGGCCAAAAGATATGAACAGATACCTCTCTAAAACATCTTTGCAGCTAACAAACATATGGAAAAGAGCTCATCATAACTTGTCATTAGAGAAATGCAAATTAAAACCACAATGAGATACCATCTCACACCAGTTACAATGGTGATCATTAAAAAGTCAGGAAACAACAGATGCTGGAGAGGATGTGGAGAAATAGAAACGCTTTTACACTGTTGGTGGGAGTGTAAATGGTGGAAGACAGTGTGGCAATTCCTCAAGGATCTAGAACCAGAAATAGCATTTGACCCAGCAATCCCATTACTGGCTCTATACCCAAAGGATTATAAATCATTCTACTATAAAGACACATGAACACGTATCTTTACTGGGGCGCTATTCACAATAGCAAAGACTTGGAACCAACCCAAATGCCCAACAATGATAGACTGGATAAAGAAAATGTGGCACATATACACCACGGAATACTATGCAGCCATAAAAAAGGATGAGTTCATGTCCTTTGCAGGGACATGGATGAAGCTGGAAAGCATCATTCTCAGCAACCTAACACAGGAGCAGAAAACCAAACACCACATGTTCTCATTCATAAGTGGGAGTTGAACAATGAGAATACATGGACACAGGGAGGGAATCATCACACACTGGGGCTTATCGGGGGGTGAGGAGCTAGGGGAGGGATAGCATTAGGAGAAATACCTAATATGGATGATGGATTGATGGGTGCAGCAAACTACCATGGCACATGTATACCTATGTAACAAACCTGCACATTCTGCACATGTATTCCAGAACTTAAGGATTAAAAAAAAAAAAAAAACTCTCAGCAAACTAGGAATGGGGGGAACTTCCTCAAGTTCATAAAGAGCATGTAAGACACACCAATAAAAGTTATATTTAATGGTGAGAATGAAAAAAATTAGTACTCTCAATAACTGCAAATTTATTAAATACGGGATATTAATGACTTTTTTATACTTTATTAGCAATGACATTCTCAATAGTTCAATCTAAATACTAATATATGGAGGCCTTATTTATGGTTTCAGCTAGTAACTGTGTAAGAAGTCCATATTGAGAAGGGGGTTATTAATGGGACAGAAAAAAATATTTTACTTGTACGTAGTGGTCCAATCAGTGAACTATTTTAGGAAACTTCTCATCCTAGGGTCACATAAACAGGCTCAGTAGTCACGTTGCCCAGGTTCAAATTTCACCTGTGCTATTCACTGGTCATGTAACTTCAGGCAGGCTACCCTACTTATTTAACAGCAAAATGGGTGTAATAGTACCTAATCGCAAGGTTATTGCGAGGATTCGATTAGAAAACCCAGATAGAGCAACTAGCATGTGTCTGTCATTTGGCAGAAAAGCGAATAAATGTTAGCTACTGTCATGATGCTATTGATAGTGACATTGATCATTGATATTGAAGTTACTTCTCATTTGTTTTGTTGTACGTGGAACTTTTTATTTTTATTTTTTTTATTTTTTTTGAGACAGGGTCTCATTCTGTCACCCAGGCTGGAGTGCAGTGGCTCGACCACAGTTCACTGCAGCCTTGACCTCCCGGGCTCAACTGATCCTCTCACCTCAGCCTCCCAAAGTTCTGGGATTACAGGCATCAGCCACTGCACCCGTCCTGTATGTGGAACTTTTTTTATTAGATGTTAGTAGAAATACTTCTCTTAATGGTAGCATCCATATAGCAATAAACTTTTTAAAATCAAAATTAAAAGCCTAATTTTCTGATCAAATTTTCATTTTTCCAGTTTTCCCACTTAGGTGAATAATGTCTACAATGATCTTAATGGAAAATCAGGACATTAATATCTTGCTGATTATTTGAAAGATAGTGCTAAAGATTCATTTTACTGAGTAAATTTGAGTTTACTCTCGGTTTACTGTAGAAATGCAACAATGTAGATCAAAATTGAATGACATGAGTCAGAACCTTAACATGTTTTTAAACTCTTAAGCACATATAGTGTTTGTGCGGCTGTGATATATCTGTCATCTCATTTTTATTGTTATTTATTGGTTTTTGTTTTGTTTTTTGTGGGTTTTTTTTTTTTTTGAGACAGTCTCCCTCTGTCACCCAGGCTAGAATGCCATGGTGCAATCTCAGCTCACTGCAACCTCCACTTCCCAGGCTCAGGTGATCCTCCTGCGTCAGCCTCCAAAATAGCTGGGACTAAGGCATACCCCACCACACCTGGCTAATTTTTGTATTTTTTGTAGAGACAAGGTTTCGCCATGTTTTCCAGGCTGGCCTCGAACTCCTGGGGTCAAGTCATCTGCCCCCCTCGGCCTCCCAAAGTGCTGGGATTACAGGTGTGAGCCACTGTGCCCAGGGCCATCTCATTTTTAAATTATTACAGTATTATTTCATTGGTTAAAAGGAATTCCTATGGGCCAGGTGTGGTGGCTCACAGCCGCAATCCCAGGCATTTGGGAGGCTGAGGCAAGAGGATTGCTTGAAGCCAGGAATTCAAAACCAGTCAGGCCAACTTAGTGAGAACCCATGCCTATAAAAATAAAAATTAAAAATTAAAAAAAAATTATGATTTAGAAAATTGCATTATTTATAAGGTGTAAATAATGCTCCATATAGCATTGTTTCCCAGAAATCCATTTAACACATTTTTTGTTCTTTAAAGTATTCATTCTTTACCTGCCTCATAATATCTTCATGACTATCAGATATGTTTTCACTAAAATTTTACTGAAGTTAGTTTAATGAATATCTACAGTCTCTGAGGGGAAAATTCTGTACTGTAAATCATTGTTTCTGAAACTGATCCTTGGAAGCTTTTCAGGGTCTGAGAGTTCTCTGTGGATTCTTTTTTAGTGTCATGTGTTTACTTAGATAAAAATAAGATAATTAAAAAAGAGATTGAGGATCATTTGAATGATCTTCTAACTGAATACTACCGCTCGGTTTTTCTGCTTGGGTTTGTGCTTGTATTTATGAGTACACTGTCAGCAAGAAGTACTGCTTTGTCATTGCCTAATGAGAAAGGAACGAAAATGTACTGAGTACCAAAATGATTAATCTGGGCCAAGTAAAGACAAAAACGGTATCATGGCAGGTTACACAAAGATTTCCTTATTATCCAAGCTTTTAAAAAGGTGGTAAAATTGAGCCATTATAAGATTTTATAGGTACATCAAACCCAAAGGATTCTATGCTATAATAGTATTCATAACAAGCAACAATTTCCTTTCAGCCACGTATCTATTACATTAAATATATGTCTCAAGTTCATATTCTATTGGTTTGTAGTTTTGTACATTTATGTTAGATTTATGGTCATATAGCAACCATTGGTCATATGTTAGATTTATGGTCATATAGCAAGCATTGGAAGTTTAAATCTAACTTAATATTTATACATATTTTAATAATACTGTAATAAAAAAGTCAACACTGAGCAATCTTTAGAACATTTTTTGAAATGCTATTATAAAACATTCTAATTTCTGTAGCTACATAATTTTTCATTATTTCATTTGGATTGGATTTTAAAATGTCTTTTTAAACCTATTTTTCCTACTGCTTATTACATGTCAAGCACTGTTCTAATTGCTTTTCGTGTGTTAATTTGTTTGTTTATCACAACACCATCCTTGGAGGGAAGTTATCCCATTGTGCAGACGAAGAAACTGAACTATTGTAAGAATAAGAATAAGAAATCTGCCCAAGGTAGGTCAACCAACAAGTAAGTGGCAGAGTAGGCATTCAAACCCAGGTATTCTGTCTCCAGGGCCCATATGCTTAACCTCTAAAGTATATTGCCTCTATCATTTATATGCCATTGATGATCTATAATTCCCCTGAAGTTATACAAATACTGAAAATGATTTTCTCAAAATCTTATCCTTCGTGGTTTTTAAGGTAAAAGAACGTTTGATTGTTCCTTTAAAAATTCCATTAGTCTCACTTTTCAGGAATTTGTCTCCAGCTTCCTAACATTTCCTAAAATTGTTCCCTGGAAGTAAAAGTACTGCTTCTTTTCGAAATGACCACTTATTTGAGTACTTCCTTGCTCCAACAATGTCCATCCGCAGTGTCCTCAGATGTCACCCAAACTATTCTGAAGACAAGGTTAATTTTAAGGGGATTTCAGAGTCAATCATATAAACAGTTTAAAAGTGGGATAGAATGGAGGGAAAGTGCAAGCACTGAGTGTATTAGATACCTAATATGTTACAGCTCTTTTAGAATTTGTCTAGCCAGCTTTCCGGTTTTTGCCCCCCAAAAAAGATACCTAATAAATACACACTTTTATACAGTTTCATTGGTTTGGAGGACTTTATGATGACAAGCAAATTCAAAATCATTACACTGAAGACTCACAGAGCCAAGTAGCTAATATGTCAACTGTGTCAGTCAGGATCACATTAGGAAACGGAAATCACACTCAAATTTGGCATTTGTCTCTTAAGGGATTCCTTCCAAAGGAGTGGGTGGGGTCTATGGAAATTGCACCCCTAGTACTAAGAGGACATCTTTACCATTCTAAGCCTGAAGGGGATGAAAAAGAACAGTCATGAGAAACAAAAGGATAGAGTCCTGTGGAGGGAGCCACCTGACTGAAGTCACAGCCTTTGGTAGAAAGAAGCAGCCAGCCAATGGCGACCCCCTCAGGGAGGTGGCAAGGGGATGAACACCTGCCCTCTCTCTCCTCCTTCCCTTCAGCTCTTGCTGGGACTCATATTGGCCAAACCAAACCAGCAGCCAAAGGCCAACATGGCTCATTGAAGTAGCACATACTTCTCAAACTCCTGGGGCACAGGGAGCATGAAGAACTGCAGACGGGGGATCCAGAGGAGCAAGCAAAAAATATCTAGGACCAGCACTGTGGTTGCTGTTAATATTTTATAATTAATCATCAACCCAAGCTGCTTTATCACCAAATAGTTTTTTTTTCCTAAAGGTCTCCATACCTAGAAATATTCCTTCATTTCACATAGCAGAGAAAGATCTTTTTCACTAATTCCTTATTTACCCCAGTCACCCTCCCAGTGAAAGTTTGCAGGCCACCCTATCTAAAATCGTAAACCCTCAATATGTTTTATTCCCTTCTATTCTATTCACTTCTGCATCCCTGCTGCTTAAGATAGGCCTGGCACAAAAAGGTTCCCCAAATGTTTTAGTAATTAATTGTAATTAATTAATAATTAATTGCTTACTAGCTGTGTCACCCTGGAAAAGCTCCTTAACCTCTGTGTGCATCAATTTCCTCATCTTAAAAATAGGAATAATTAATAACTACCCCATAAGTTTGTGATGAGGATTAAATTAGTTAAAATATGGAAAGCACTTAGAACAGTGCCTGGCAAATCAAAAACACATGAATGTTAGCAAATGTTTCACTGAAAACCCTTGAATTCTAATTTTTTATTTATGTTTGAGGATAAAGTACTAGTGGTTAATTTGTCTCAAAGAAAATAATAAAAACTTAAGTTGTATCAACTCTAATATTTTTCTTCCTGATAGTTTAGTTGTATCTAATTTTAAAATACACATACAAGGTATTCACAGCACATAAACCAATTTGATTGTTATACATGCATTTTTCCATGTGCATACAGATTTGTAATTTTTTTGTCAAGGCTGAAACTAATAAATAAAGCAAACAGGAAAAATTCCTGTCTTTTTCTTTACTGGCATACTGAAAGCAGAAATTTGTCAAGTAGAATCAGTCTATAGCAATTGTAATTGTTTAAGCAAATTTGACTTGTGATGACATTCTCTTCCACTATTTAAAAGCAAGTGATCATGACCATACTGTTACATATTTTCCTTAATTCATTTTTGTTTAGAATTAAACTTTCTTTATACCAAAAAAGGCATAAAATTTGGGGTGCAGTTCAGAAAATAGTTTTACAGAAATTAATGATCTAATTCTCTCATCAAAAAAAAAATAGCATTAGCCAAACTTATTACAGTCTAACATTCAAGAATTAAAAGTTTTAACCACCCCAGGACTTTTAAGAGATTTAATATTGAGACTATGCTTATTTTAATGCTGAGGTCTTACCTTTTTTTCTTCTGTATGAGCAACTTACAGATGACTAACACACATGAGCTAAGAAAAGCACAAATAAATTGTCTCTTTTTCAATAGTTCAATAATTTTTTCTGCTGAGTTACATGTACCTATAAAAGCTGACTTGTTATCCTGAACTATAAAAAATAAAATGCATTCTTTAATTAAATGAGGTATTTTATTATTATCAGCCAAGGAAAACAAAACAGCTATTAAACTAAAATTACTATTTTATAAAGCACTATTGCTCTTAGAAGTATTTGTGTGAATATATACACTTCAAAGGAGTGAATCTTCTCATAGAAAGAAGAATTGACAAAAAATTTTACGTTAGCATTATTTCTGATATTCATTCAACAAGTAATTGGAAATAGCTGCAGATTTACAAAATTTCTGAAGACAGAATAATCATCATTTTTTAAATCCAGGAACCCAAACCATGATCATTCTTTTGACTATGAGAAATTTACAGCTACTTAACATCTTATTGTGGGTTTCTTTTCCTGTCTTTTCTTTTCATTCTTTTTTAATCCCTTTTTTCTAGTAGACATAATTACAATTAATAAAACAAACTGACAAAATTATTATTATAGTAACGTTTTTAAGGACTTCTCTCATAGCCTATTTTTATTTCTCCTAATCCTACAACCCTTTCTCAACTTTATTGTCACTCTAGAAACATTAAGGACCATTAATTGAATCAGGACATTCATGATACTCTTAAAACACTTTGTACCCTTATATAGGGTTTCTATCAATTTTGTCCAGTTTAATGATGCCTTAAGATGACTCTTTATGCATGCATCATTCATCCATTTAAAGCACTGCTCTAGGTATGGGAGGGATATCTGCAATGAATATGACAGACATCTTACCTCCTATGCTCACCGACATGCCTTATTCCTTCCTTGCTGGCTCAATGAAAATAATAATAATCACCAATTATTGAGCACTTATTAGGTAAATTTACTGTTGTGATGTGTGTTTCACAGAATTATCTCTTTAATTCTCACAACCTAACCTGCTTAAGAGATAGTTTAGTGCGCTCCAGTTGATCTCCTAGCTCTGCCATTTACTAGCTGTGTTGCTTGGGCAAGTAATCTCACCTCCCTGGATCTCCATTCTTTATCCACAAAGTTGAGATAATAATAGTATTTTCTGTTTGTCTGTAAATCAGGGAGCAGAATCATACCTAGCACAGGGATTCCTGTAAATATTAAATTAGTTGATGTAAATAAAGTGCTTAGAATAGTTCCTGGCTTGGTAAATGTGAGCCATTATTACAGGTATTGTTTTATCAATTAAGAAACTGATACATTTTAGTAATTTTATCATAATGACACAGCAACCAAGAGATTGGGCTAGCATCTCTAAACCCTGGTCTCCCTCCATGAATGTCCAAGTGAGGTGTTAACTGTACCAGCTACCAATTTACAACAGATTTTGCCCTCTCGGGAAAATAAAAATATAAAAAGAAAAAATATTGCTCTCTGAATGAAGCTAATTAGAGGCTCTCTAAACAGTCGGCTTTGCTTGAATATAATAGTGAAGGGAAATATTAAAGATTTTCAAATAACTTATTGAAAGAAAAAGAGGGAAGAAAAATGGCAGAGCATTTAGAGTTAGAACAGACATGAACAATACAGTAGCAGGAAATTCCTCTTATTTGCTATTTAATCAACCTTCATAACGTAGGTATTATTAGACACCTATCACAACATGCAAAAGGAAAACAGCAGACTTCCTGGGATTGAACATCAGACACAAGTAATTCAAACTAGAGTAAAATAAACATCGTTAAAGCATAACTCTTGCTTTTTTGCCAGTTCTGGCTGTCTTGATCCAGTATTGTAACATTTAAAGAATATTAATCAGTCACACTTAAAATCAATTTAGGAGATTTTTTATTTCTTACCAGTTTGTGGATAACAGTAAATGTGGATAATTATGCTCAGTTTTAAAAGGTGGAAAGTGATTTCACTTCTAGTCATATTTTCCACATTACTTCTGTAGAAAAATAATTTCTGGAACTCTGAATGTCAGCCACCACTGTATTATACCACAATGCCCCTATATTAAATTAAAGCGTTCATTCTCAACAAAAGATTTTTTCCCTAATGCTTTGAAGATCATGAGCTATGTATTTCCAGAGTATGTACTAATAAACTGCTTAATATTACATATATTTAAAAAACAGGGTATTTCATGGAAGAAGAACAAAATATAGATTATTTTGTTCTCTTCGTTGATAAACATTAACAGTGGGAATGGATGACAGGGTAAGTGTTATCCCCAGCGGATAAAATGGTAGAAGAGATAGCTAGAGCATATGAGTGATGCAATCAAGAAGTAAATACAAGTCCGCCAAACACATGAGGACATTATTTGGAGACTTTTTGCTTGCATATGTTCACATAACATTTCAGCTGAGTAATGCAAGACTTTAACTTATGCATATCTGTGGGATAGAGGAATCTCTCAAAGAATGAAGAGAGACTTTATTCAAAAGTCTACAGTGGAAAATTAGTCTTCACAATGGGCTTCCTTTACAGAAAACTACTGGGTTGGCAGTATATATTCTATCACACATGGTTTTCTAGGGTTTGAGTCAGCTGGTCCAACTAGGAATAACAATTACAGCACTGTGCAACAGTAATTGCTTGCTGTGGCAATATTGAAGCAAAGTCGTGTGTCTCCCTCCCACCCCAGGAAAAAATTTTTAACAAAAGGGTATGACTATGACATCTTTGACTACCATGTCAATGTTCATGAACAATGTTTCAGCATACATAAATGAAAGGCAGCCACATGAAGAGCAACATTACAATGTAAGAACTCCTAACAAATGTGCCTGTGGCATCTGGATAAAGAAAGAAGAGAATAAAGCATACTTGAAAAGAATTTCACTCCGGTCAAGATTCTATTTTTGGAGTGAATGCAGTAAAGATTTTGATCAATGTAATAATACATGTTGAGTATGAAATGAATAAAAGTACCCTCCATACATATAAAAATAAATTTTGGATGAAGAGCACAGGTGGGAGATATAAGCAATAAAAAAGAGAAACCTTTTTATTCTACTGGGGAGATAACGGATTTATTCTGGGTATATAATATCTGAAATATTCAATCCTTAGGACAAAATCAATTATGAAAATCATTTGGCAGCACTTCTAAAACCAGTATAGGCATGACCCATGACCCAGCAACTCCACTCATACACTGTCCATCAGAAAATGTGTACAAGAATATTCATAGCACTATTTGCAGTAGAAAAAATACAGGAAACAACCCAAACATCAATTCAAGAACAGGACAGATAAATAGTGGTGTATCTACACAATGATGTTCTAAAATATAATAACAATAAATGAGCTTTTCTTTTCACCACTAAATAAATTAATCTTACATATATGCTGTATGATTCTATGATCCTATTTATATAAAGTTGAAAACAGGCAAAGCTAACCTGTAGTGTTAGACTCTGAATATTGATTGCTCTTTTGTGAAGTGCCGTGATGATATGAGGGGGTTTCTGGAGAGCTGAGAACATTCTGCTCTTCCATCTGCATACTGGCTACACAAGCATGTTTGCCTTGTGAAGGTTCATCAGGTTCTTTTCTAGCATTTGTCCACTTTTCTGTTGTGTATTATACTTTCATTACTTAAAGTCATATAAAGCAGACTCTGGATTCCAGCCTGACTCCATGTCTTACTAGCTGCATAGCCCTGAGCAAATTAAATAACCTTTCTTAGCCTCAACTTTCCAATTTGTAAACAAGGATAATTATAGCACCTACCTCAAAGAGTTATTATAATTTCATAAGCCAATGAGCCTGGCACAACATCAGCATTCAATAAATGTGAGTTATTATTATTAGTTAGTGCACGTCATGAGGCAGAATGAGTCTTCATCGGTGAGCTATAAAATAAAACAACCTGAAAGCTAGAGTAGAAAGGTCATCAGAGAGAAGGCTCATGGCAAATCATATAAGGAAGAAGACCACTTCAAAGCAAAAGCCCTTAACAATGTCAAGTGCTGAAGAGGGGTCAATGAAGATCAGAAAAAAGATCTGGCAATATAGAAGCCATTGGTGAGCTTTGCTGAGCAGATCAATTTGAGTTGGGGCAGAAGTCAAGTTGTAGCAAGTTAAGGTGTGAATGAAAGGTGAAGAAATTGAGATGTCTTTCAAGAGATTGATAATGCAGAAGAAAAGCAGATTGACAAAGCAAGGTCCAAAAGGAGGTGACGAAAAAAAAAACAAAACGCAACATAGAGTTATCTTGAGAAGGGAGAAGCACATGTCTTCTTGTGTGCCCAGAGGAAAAGAAGAAAGGATGAGTGCAGATGCTGAGCCAAGTAGGCAGGTAGAAAGGATGTTGCAGGGCATTCTTACCAGATGGTTTCAGTTTTCTCAGTGAAGAAAAAGGCAACCTCATACACTAAGAGTGAAGACAGAATTGGCAGGATAGAGGGCATAATGAGATTTTCACAAAATAGATAAATATTGAGGGAATGGGAGACACCCTAACCAGAAAACAAAAAATATTGCCAGTGTCTGCACTCTCATGTTCATTGCAGCGTTGTTCACAATGGCCAGGGTATGGAATCAATCTAGGTGTCCATCAATGGATGAATGGACAGAAAATGTGGTATGTATACACAATACAATTCAGCTTTAAAAAAGAAGGAAATCCTGGCATTTGCAACAGCACGGATGAACCTGAAGGACATGATGTCAAGTGAAATAGGCCAGGCACAAGAGGGACAAATGCCACATGATCTCCCTTATGTGTGGAATCTAAGAAACTTGAACTCACAGAAGTAGAGAAGTAGAGAATGGAATGGTGGTTGCCAGTGGCTTGGAAAGGTGGGGTGGCTGGCGAGATGCTGGTCAAAGAATAAAATTTCAGATAGGAAGAATACATTCAAGAAATCTATTGTACAACATAGTGACTATAGCTAATAACAATGTATTATATTCTTAAAAATTGCTGGGAGTACATTTTAAGTGTTCCCACAACAAAAAAAAGGATGTGAGGTAATGCATATGTTAATTAGCTTAATTAACCATTAGCATTAGGGTACTTATTTTAAAACAACATGTTGTACACAACAAATATGCACAATTTTTCTCTGTCAATTAAAAATATGTATGTAAATAAATAAATATTGCCAAGTAGTGTTGAGGTCCCAGCTGTGCTGTGAACCATGGCTGTCATAGCACCAACCCACAAGCTTATGTGATCTCTGGCAGAACTTTGCATCTCTGAGCTGTTCTTATAACACTTTTTATAAGTATTTTTAAGATCCCAGGTGTAGAGAGAAGACAGATGGTTAGACTGATCTGGGATAAGTTTTTTGCACCTTTGGTGCAAAGAAAGGATTCGTAACTTCAAATGATGGAAACTCAACTCAATCTAGCTTAAACACATAAGAAAATTGATTGGGCTACATAATAGGAAATTTCAATATGTAGCTGATTCCAGAAGGTTAACTTTTGTCATTGGCAATCTGTCTTCTTCTCCATTTCTTGACTCGGCTTTCCTTTCTATTGGCTTCTTTTTCAGGCAAGTTCTTCCTTATCAGTGGCAAAGGAGAACACTTGAATCTTAATCTATTGTTACAATAGCTATTCCTCACCCCACTCCTCCACCCCCAAAAAACAGAACACATCTTTCTCACTAGCTTCAAAAATTATTACAAGAATGACTCCTATGGTACCTTCTGGGATCACAGACTCCTCACTAAGTCAATCATTGTAGCCAGGAAATAGAGTACTCTGGTTGGCCACCCCTGGGTTGGTAGGCAGGGTCAGTCTCACTCAAATCACATGGAAGGACTAACAGTGCAGAAAGGATTCCGTCCAAAAGGAAAAGATGCAAAGCTGGCAAAATAGAAAAAAAAGAAAAGCTCAAAAACATATCATTTGTCCGCATTCATTTTGCTTTCCAAGTAGCTCCTTTGCATTCATTCAGATTAAACATTGTCATTTAATACTCACACCTGACTTTGTACTTTTTATATTTTTTAATACCAAAACTTAATCTTATATTTTTCACTTTCTTATCTACACATCCCCATCATTTTATTTCTGGCTTCACATCCTCTGTTCACCTAAACTGAAAATAGTTATTAGTCCTCACCTTTCTTAAATCTTTTAGTGATCAAGGTTGTTTCAATACTTAAAAAGCAAAGCTGTTTTAAGATTTCAATAAATTCAATTTAATTAATTTATTAATCATTCTCAAAATGGTGGCGAAGAGGGCATCAAACTTCCTTTTCAAAATACCTCAAATGTAAGATGTGACATAAAGTAAAATATGCAGTTATCCTGCATACAGGTTATTATTCCACACATGTTTTAGCAAATATATATTGACAATATAAATGGAATTGACATTAAACAGGAATTAATACACATTGGACCTTGGAAACTTCTGCTTAGAACTCTTTAATATTTTCCATTGCTCTGAAGGGAAAGACCAAACACCTTAACATGATACACAGAGCCCAGCCTGGTTTAGTCCCTGGTACCCCCTTTCATGTTATACCCTGCCATGAGCTCTCTCCACTGCAGCCTCGTTAGCCTTCCTTCACTTCTCCCTACATGCCAGACAACCTCCCTCCACAGAGATAGCACATAGGCTCTCATTTTTGCCAGGCAAGTTTTTTTATTCCCCATGCTGCTCAAAATTCCAATTTCTAGAGAAGCTCTCCCTGACCTGTCTGACCACATCAAACTAACCATTAGATTAATTTTTTATCTTCATAGCACTGTACTAAGTACTTCTCCTTGATATGCCTTGCCACTGCTGTGGCTTTACAGTTGTTTGTGTGATTACTTGATTATAGCCTGTCATACTCACTGCATTATAAATGCCAAGGCAGGGACTGTGTCTAAGTTTTGCTCACTGTTGTAGCCCTAACACCCAATACATTGCCTTGCACATTGTGGGTGCCCAATAAAATGATTATATATTGAACGAATCGATTTATTCTTGACATAAAAAAGAAACTCTTTTTAGTTGCTCCCTTTGCTTCCCAAGAAACAAAAATATAAGAGAAACTACAATAATTTTTTCACTGAAAGCTGAATTCAGGTTTCCACTTTGACAATAAGAAAAATTATAACTATATACTTATTAACATTTATTTTCTAAACATTGGCTGTTTGTAGATGTTTGACTGGATTTTTTTCCAAGCCATTTTTTGGGAGACAACATGCCAAGTGATGTTTATCTTCTATCCACTTTTGCCAGGGAGCTATTCACAACACAAAAATAAAAATTCATGCATAATGAAAATTCTAGACCTTGGCCACTGCTTAGCACTGCTTAATTATGTGCGGTATAGCTGTCTATTTGATAGCAGATGCTATATGTATCTTGGCATCAATATTATTGTTTCTGTATTACCGATTCTCCATGAAAAACATCTCTTCACTTTGTATCCTAGGGGACTCATTATCTCTCCAAGGACAGATGGAGATTTATATATAAAAATTGATAATGACCCTCTTTGCTAAATTAAAGATGTTGGCCAACTCTTTCTTTGGAAACTGTCCAATTTGCATAATTGCATATGCCTTTCTAAATTTCCCCTGAAGCTCCAGTTGAATAAGGTGTTCCTTTGCATTTGCATGTTGAAAGGCTTAATTGTGCTGCATTAAACAGCTGCCCCCAGCTGCAGCCTCAGACCTGGCTAGTATTGGTGAACTTTCTGTGTGTTGGCAAATCACTTTGAGAATTTTCCAATCAAGCAAAGCCATTAGTATTCATGAGCTTATATGAGCAAAGTATTTAGATTTTGTGCAACACCAGTTAGCTGCAGTGAACATTCCTAAGGTAACTTTCCTACAACGCTACTCAATTAGCGTTAACAGCACATTTGATAGGGCTTGCTTACTAAGGATTGTGCTTATAATGGCATTAAACATAATAATCAGAGAAGCACAGTGTGAGTAGGTTTTATTTTTCTTAGATCTACCAAAGATTCAAATTGAATGTTATTTAATCTCTAATGTAAATAAACGAGAGGGCTGAAGTGGAGAATAGCCTCTTGTTCTCCAAGGTCTATTATGGCAATAGGCACCTTCTGAGAAAGCAACCAGATGTAGCTCCTAGAACAAGATTGACTGAGGTTAGTGCATGGAATCAGACTACCCAGACTTTAAACAATCTCTTCCCCAGAAGCAACCAATAGGCTGAACCAAGAGCCTCTTAAGTAGCCTAGAACAAAAGTTTAGCACCAAGAAAAGCATATTGGCTGGTGGCTAACAACTTTATCCGTTACTTTGGCTAGGAGATTTTCATTCATTCAACAAACATGTACTGTATTAAGGGCCTACTCTGGGTAAGGCAATGTGCCAAGTTCTGGAAACATTGCAAAGTGACAGTGGTGTCCTATACTCTTGGAGATTACTAGTAGGGGAGTCAAACATTAGTCAAATAATCACATAAATGGGAATACATTTACATTCTAACCTATGTGCTATGAAGAAATAGAACAGAAGGCTATAAGAGCCTCACCTACATGAGAGACTTAAGGAAAGCTTATCTGAAAAAATGAGGCTTGAGCTGAGAACTGGAGGAGAAGTAATAGCTAATCAGCTGAAGAATGAAAGAAGAATATTTCTAGTAGAGAAAACAGCGCTGTGAGACTCTCTGTGAGTCCATTAGGAAAACTAAGAAAAAAAATCAATGTCACTGGATGTACGAATTGAGGAAAAAAGTAGAGTAGAGTAAAGGTAGGCCGGAGACATAGGTAGAAGCCAAACCATAGGAGCCCTTTGAAGGCTCGCTTCATAATTTTGGCTTCTATTTAAAACAGCAATGGGAAGTCCCTAAAGTGATGGGAGTGGTGCATAGAGAGGAATTAACATACTTAAAGTTGCATTTGAAAATATTGCTTGCTTCAATATAATAAATGGATGAAAGGAGGAGTGGATATGGGAAAATCAAATAGAATGACTTATAGGAGTCCAGCTAGAGAAAATGGTAGTATGGGCTAGAATCGTAGCAGTAGTGAAGGAGAGAAGTGAATGGATTCACAGATATTTAGGATATAAATTTGACAAGATTTGTTGATTGATGAGGTTTAGAGATGATAAACTTGAGATCTTTTTGAGAAACCCAAGAAAAAATATTCAATAGGCAGTTGAGTGTAAGGGTCAGGAACTCACAGGTCTGGTCTGGAGGTATAAATTTGGGAATCATTAGTCAATTGATGAAAATTGAGCCATGGATATCAAAAATACTATCTAGAAGAGAGAATATGTAATAAATCCAGAGGTGCACCACTCAGCTCTACCTCCACCAAAGGATTTGATGCCCAGATTGATGGAGAATGAAATCAGCAGACAGCCTCCAGCTTCCAGCTCTTAGCTCTTTCAGGATATACCTTAGCTGGGAAAACTCCACACAGGACCTCATTTCTTTTCCGGGGACACCACATCTAATGAATGAACATGGCAGGAATATGAAGGCCTGGCCACTTCAGTCAAATGTGGGATGAACCTATGATCCAGAATGTCCCCCAATGGCCAAAGTTTTGCTAGACTTGCATCAAATTTCAACTCCTTTCTCATCTCTATGCTTTCCTTTGGCAGGTATTGATTCATAACAACCATCTTGCACCCTAAACTCTATGTCAACAATATTTTACCTAGAGAAGCTAACCTATAACAGAGCATAAAATGGAAAGAGGAAGAAGCTTACAGACCAGCCATCTGCAAAGTAAAAGAGAAGGAAATGCTAGAAAGTAAGAAGGAAAACCTGGATAGCATGGTGTTTTGGAGCCAAAATAAACACATCTCAACAAAACAAAGAGTGCTGGGAGATTAGAAAAAAAAATACTGGAAAATGTCCATTGGACTTAAATCATGGAGGTCATTGGTGACCTTAGCCAAAGTTGTTTTGGTGCAGTGCCAGGAACAACTGCCAAATTAAAGAGGATTGAGGAGGGAGTTTGAAGTGAGAAAATGGACTCACCAAACAATGAGACATCTTTAGAAAATTTAGATTGAAAGAAATGGGAAAGATAGAAAGGAGTTGAAAGATAGAAACATAGAAATTGGGAGACAAGGAAGGTTGTTTTTTAAGATGGAAGAGGCATGAGAAGATTTAAATGTAATTGGAAATAATCCAGTTGAGAAGGGTATGTCGAATAAATAGAAATGGGGGCAGGGAGGGAGAAGAAACTGATAGTGTAAGGTTGATAATGAAGTGAGAAGGCATGAGCAGACAGTTTCCAAAGCACAGGTGGAGGGATTGGGCTTAAATGAGAAGGATACTCCCTAGACTAAAATAGGAGGAAAAGAGAAGAACATGAGTCCAGATGGAACTGTATGGATTTGCTAGCAGGAAGCTGAGGGAGTTCCCATCTGATGCCTTCTATTTTCTTCGGGAAGTAGGAGGTGAAGTCATCTGCTGCAAATGAGGAGGAGTTAAGAATATTCGAGGTTTGAATAGAATGTAGAATGTTTAAAACAATTGTTGTAGACAGAGGAAGAGAATTTACCAGAGACACATGGAAGAACTGGCAGGCTGAACAGGCCCCATGTGTCGGCACCAATCTGCCTGTATCTGCTCCACTGTTGGGAGACTATCTGTGGCAGTGCCAGGCTGTTCGAGTGTAGGCATAGAGAAGGAATACAGATGCATTCATCCAGGTTTGGACATTTGTCAGACAAAGATAAAAAAAAATTTAAGACAACAGGACTAGGGAGTTGAGAATATTGGTGAGAGTGTTATGCAAATAATGGACTGTGGAATCTAAACTAAATAATAATAACGAAAAGATCAACAGAGATAAAAAGATGAGAGCTGATGGACTTGGGGAAAATAAAGAGGCCAGCATATGAAAGCAATACTTTTCAAGATTTGGGGATCATGTCAATATGCAGAATATGATTCAGGTCTGCAGGTGAGCCTGAGATTCTGCATTTTTAACAGTTTCCAAGGTAATGCTGATAGGCATTAGAACTTCAATATGATCAAAAGTAGTTTTTAATTTGAGAGAGAGAGAATCAAAACTGCTATTACATTACTAGAGTGGTAGCAACTGAACTCAGAACAAACGATGAATGGGGTTCCATGAAGGACACTTTCCACAGCTACGAGGAAGCCTCCCTCTGATGCTGCTCCTCCAGTCACTTCTTTACGAACTGTATCCACAAACAAAGTTACCTGAGTGACCCTCTGTCTTGCTTCCCTAAACAAATCTAACTAAAGGTAAGGCCTTGCTGGTCCTCGTCAGCTAGATTGTAGTTCAGTAATAGTGATAGCAATAATTTACCCTGTTACTACGGACTCAAAAAAGGGTAGACTCATTTTTAAGAATAATTCAACTGAAATTAGGATTTTAAGATGAACTTCCAACACATCTCAGGAGCCCAACAGGGAGGGTAGGCCAATCCGTAAGGTGATTAAAACAAAATGAGCATTTTGAGTTTTAGGCATATGTGAACAGTAAGGAGGAGCAGTGAAAACTGTTGGAACTTCTAGAAAGAAAGACCCTGCTCTGACTTAAGAAAAACTCAAATCTAGATGGCTCAGAAGGAATTATCTCACCTCTGGGTAAGGTGATATACATGGGCCCACAAAAAATCCATTTTTCTGTCACTTACTATGAACCAAACCTTCTCAAGAAATTGTAACTTGACTTCCATTTCCCAAGTAAGCAGCCAAAGATTTTCTCTTTTGAAAAGAGACGAAATTCTGAGTGAAACAAATCATTGGTGTTAATATTCAAGCAACAACAAAACAATAAATGAAAACAATATTTGTAACTCAAGGTGAATTGATCCAACTCAAATTTAGGAGAAAAAGTAAGGTTATATTAAACCAAGATAATAATATCTAATTTTACTGTTAAACGTTAATCATGCCTGATGTTTGATATTCTTTCAATCTCGGCCCATATAATGAATTTTTCTTGGAAATGTAGTAACTAAATAATAGTAAATGTTTGTTTTGAAGAAAAAGTCCTAACTTTTTATGGGAGAGAAATAACAATTGAATAGAAAAACAGGCTATAACCACACCTTCAAAAATGGAACTTTCTGGACCACCAATAAGCCCCCTTACCTAGACACAGTTAAGTAATAAGTATATATAAGTAGTAAGTCATAGTGTAATAAGTTTTCTGGCGAAGTATTCAGGAAGCAGCATTGTATAAATGGCCCTTTCAAATCTAAAATCTATAATGAAGTGACAAATGGCACAAACATATGAGGATTTACTTGCCATTCAATAATAGTTTCATTGCATTAACCTGAATAAATAAGAAACATGGTTGCTCTCCGCACCATGACCCACTAGCAAGGCAAACATAGAGAGCAATAGGTTTTCCTGATGCTCCACAAGTCACACAAACTAGGCAAATGCCCATTCCATGCGTACTCTTGCAAAGCCTGTACATTTTTTTTTTTTTTTTTTTTTGAGACGGAGTCTTGCTCTGTCGCCCAGGCTGGAGTGCAGTGGCGCGATCTCGGCTCACTGCAAGCTCCGCCTCCCGGGTTCACTCCATTCTCCGGTCTCAGCCTCCGGAGTAGCTGGGAAGCCTGTACGTTTTTTAATGGAAGTCACTATTCAGATAAATCAGACATTTAGACTTCAAGAGGTGTAAGAATTCCTCAAACTGACCACAGGTTGTTCTGGGAAGAGTATCTGTGATAGATGGGTAAGAGGAGATGATTACACAGATTCTTGCATGAGTAAAAAAATCTGATTCTCTTAACTACTCAGTTCAATTTCAGAAGAAAAGCTTGTCGGTATCAAATGAGTTAGTTCTTTCTTGATAAATTAGAGAAATCTTACCTTGACAGAAGAGTAGACACATTATATTCTCAGTTGTGTAATGGCATCACTGGATTCCAGGGCACTCACTGATAGAAAGTTTTATATGCCATTTTCATGGGGGGAAAAGTCCTTAATGGTATGTCTCACCTAAAAGGGAAAAGTTGCAGTTTGGCAGGTTTGGAAACTTTGTGACTACGGAGCTAGAATTAAAAACTTGCACTAAAGAGAGAAAAAGTATAAAATATGCTCTTTCTCTCTCTCTCTCTCCTCCATCCCCATATATTATTCAAAATAAGGGCTTTGTTTTCGGTTTTGGTGTTTTCATTTTCTAACCTCTTAATAAATTACCTGATGCTTTTGCTCAGACCGTTCTCAAAATAGGGATCACAAATTAAAATACCTACAAGGGTTAGGCAGATAAAGCAAAGGAGTGAAGTCATTTCTGTCAAATTTAACAAAATGTTCAGTGGGGAGGACTTGGCAGCTTGTAGACTGCATGACCCATTGAAGCGTCTTAGCAAGTACTCACCTCCAGTCAGTTGTCACATACAGAAATGCTGGCTTAGTGTTGCCAAATATACAAATTTTCAAGATAAACAGTAAATCTGAATTTTTATGTACTGTCTCCTGGATTTTAAATTTGGCCACATTTCAAACATTATTTGGAAATGTGTGGGGACTTCTAATCAAGATGGTTTAGTGAGTTCGTAAATTACCACACCCCTCTGTTCTAAACATTCAGCCATGATTGGAAATATATAAAAAGATAAAAGCATTATGACATTAGCTGGGTACAAAATCAAGATAAACATCTCCATGGACCAGAAAAAGAACAGAAAGCCAACGCAGTGAGCAAGGCTCAGAGAGATGACTGGCCAGAACTGGGCACTCTGCCTGAAGCTGCAGCTGGGTTGGGACTTCCAAAAACACGTAGGCAGTTTAAAAAACAGTTCACTTGCTGTTAGGAACTGTGGCTTACTGGGACTCATTGGACCTGAGAAAGTGGGAGAAAAAAGACACTGCCTTGAAACAAGGACCACGATTTCCAAATATAGATCAGGAGCCCTAGAACAACTCTACAGATTTTCTAGATATCGCTTACCCAACTTGTAGGATAATACCTTAATCATAACTTTTCATTCATCTACTCAATCATGTATTCAACAACTATTTCTTGAGCAGCTACTAAATGCTGGGCAGTGTTCTGGGTGCTGGAGAAAAATGAGTGCACAAAACGAAGTCCCTATCCTATTGAGTTTACACTTTAGTTGAGGGAGAGGGGCCAGTGTGGGAAACAGATCACAAATAAACAAGTGAATACATAATGTCTGAGGGTGGAACTGCTAGGAAGAGAAAATAAGCTAAGGTAAAGGGGAAGAAAAACATCAAAGAGGGAAGGAAGGATGCTGTTTTATAAAGAGAGCTAGAGAAGACCTAGTGAGAATGTGATATTTAAGGGAGCCAGTTATAATGACATGGGAGACAAGTGTCCCAGGCAGATGGCACAGGAAGTTCAAAGGCTTTAAGGTAGAGACATGCAGGGTAGGCTCAAGGAATAGCAAGGAGATGAGTGTGATGAGAGGAGTGAGTAAGAAGAGTGGTAGGAGCAAAAGTTAGAATTGGAGCAGAAGGCCAGATCACATAGAACCTTCAAAGCCATTTCCATGTTTGTGACTTTTTATTCCCAGTGAGATGAGAGACCACTGTGGGGGTTAGAGGTGAAGAGAAACATAATATAACTAATGTATTAAAAAGATAACTAGGACAGCCTTGGTGAGAAAGGACTGGAGTGAAGGACAAGGAGCACGGAAAGAGGCAAGGAGACAAATTAAAAGCCTATTTAAGCAATCCAGACCAGAGATGATGAGGGCTTGGACCAGGAGGGAAGCAGTGGAGGTGGGGAAACGTTGTTATGGTCTGAAGTTATGTTGAAGACAGAGACAAGAGGATTGTTGTTGGATCAGAAGGATAGTGTGAAAGAAAGAGGGGAGTCAGAAATTATCCCAGATTTTTTTAAAGAGAACTATAAAAACTATAAAACTACTAGAAGAAGACATAGGGTAAACACTCCAGGACTTTAATCTAGGCAAAGATTTTATGGGTAATAACCTCAAAAGCACAGGCAACAAAACCAATAACAGGCAAATGGGACTGTATTAAACTAAAAAGCTCCTGCAGGGCAAAAGTGAACAATTAACAGAGTAACGAGGCCACCTATTGAATGACAGAAAATATTCCCAAACTACTCATCTCACAAGATGCTAGTATCTAGATTAAACAAGGAACTCAACCCAAAAGCAAAAAATAGAAACAAAAACAAATAATCCCCTTGAAAAATGAGCAAAGAACATGAATAGACATTTCTCAAAAGATATACAAATGGCCAACATATACATGAAAACATGCTGAATGTCACTAGTCATTAGGGAAATGCAAATCAACGCCACAATGAGATATTATCTTACCCCAGTTAGAATGGCTATTATCAAAAAGACAAGAAATAACAATGCTGATTAGGATGCAGAGAAAAGGGATCTGTTACACACTTTTGGTGGGAATGTAAAGTAGTACAGTCTCTATGGAAAACAATATGGAAATTTATAATAAAAAAAAACCTAAAAACAGAACCACGATATGATCCAGCAATCCCCTCTACTGGGTATTTATCCAAAGGAAAAGAAATCAATATCTCAAAGGAATACCTGTACCTTCATGTTTGTTGTAGCACTATTCACAATAGCAAAATATGTAATCAACCTAAGTGTCCAGAAACAGAATGGATGCAGAAATTGTGATAAACACACACACACACATACACACAATGAAATACTAGTCAGCCATTAACAAAAATGAAATCCTGCCATTTGCTGCAACATGGATGGAACTGAAGATCATTATGTTGAGTGAAATAAGCCAAGCACAGAAAGACAACTATTACATGTTCTCACTCATCTGTGGGAGTTAAAACAATTGATCTTATGGAGGCAGAGAAGAGTGATAGTTACCAGAGGTAGGGAAGGGCTTGTAAGGGTTGGGGAGGATAAGAGACTGATTAATGGGTATAAACATACAATTAGATAGAATCAATAAAATCTAATGTTCTATGGTAGAGTAGTTATAGTTAAAAGCAATGTATTATATACTTCAATATAACTACAAGATTCAATATAACTACAAGAGAGGACTTAAAATGTTCCTAACACATAGAAATGATTAACACATGAGGTGATGGATATCCTAAACACTTTGACTTCATCATTACACACCCTATGCATGTAACAAAATATTACATGAACCCTACAAATATTTACAAATATTGTGTATCGATTAAAAATCAGCCTATGAATAATCATTAAAAAAGAGAGATGGCGTCTTTATAGGTTGCCCATGCCGAAGTGTAGTGGCTGTTGAGGCTGAATCATTGCACACTACAGCTTCAAACTCCTAGGCTCTAGCAATTCTCCACCTCAGCCTCCCAAGTAGCTGGGACTACAGGCAAGTGCTACCACGCTTGGCTACAACTCCAGACTCTTTGGCCTCTGTAGCTGGAAGACTGATATTGCCATTTTCTGAGATTGGAAAGTATGAAAAAGAGTAAGGTTTGAGGTTGGAAGTTGGATAAGAATCAGAGTTGAAGATGTGGGCTTGTGAAGTTTGTGGTATATAGAATATATCCAAGTGGAAATTTCAAGTAGGAATCCCAAGGGAGAGGTCCAGGTTATGGGAAAAAATGTAGAGGTCATCAGTAGATTAATGGAATTTAAATCCATGAGACTAAACAAGATCAGAAAGGGAGAGCATGTATATTTACGAGTAAGTCCAAGTAGCACACTCCAATCACACAATCTGAGAAGACTTTAACAAAGGGTCTATTTAAATAGTGTGGCAGAATTTCGATAAAGAATAAAGGATGATGTATTACCCCAACACCAGGCAGCCTAATGGGTCCAGGGGAAGGAGGAATTACCAGAAACCCAGAGAAGGTAGCTGAATAGAGATGCTCCCCTTGACAAGAGCTGTAACCTTTAGTCAAGGGAGGCAACCCAGCAGTAAGGAGGCTAGAGGAAGCAATACTCTATCCCACTCTCCTCCTAAGCTCCAACAGAAAGTCAAGGGCAAAGAAGCTGTTGATATGGTGTGCTTGAATCACCTCTTAGAGCACAAACCAAAGAAGAGGAGGGGAGAAAGAAAATATGGGGAGGCAAATAAAAGAGATCCAAGCACAATCAATAAACAGGAAAAGAGACCCAAGAATTGAGCCCTAGGGAATTCCTGTTTTGTTTTGTTTTGAGACGGAGTTTCGCTCTTGTTGCCCAGGCTGGAGTGCAATGGCACAATCTCGGCTCACCGCAACTTCTGCCTCCCAGGTACAAGCGATTCTCCTGCCTTAGCCTCCCGAGTAGATGGGATTACAGGTGCCTGCCACCATGCCCAGCTAATTTTTGTATTTTTAGTAGAGACAGGGTCTTGACATGTTGGCCAGGCTGGTCTTGAACTCCTGACCTCAGGTGATCCACCCGCCTCGGCCTCCAAAGGGAATTCCAGTTGTAAAGGTCAAACAGATGAGGAGTGTGGTAGGAAGAATTGTAAGATGACCCCCTAGAATTTCTACTCCTTGGTGTTGATGGCTTGTATGGTCCTGCCCCTTGAGTGTGGCAGGACCTGTGACTTGCTTGTAGACAACAGGGTATGGCAATGTTGAAGGGATTTCAAGATGAAATCAAGATCCAAATTAATTGTTTTGAGTTAATCAAAAGGAGATGTTCCTGGTGGGTTTGACTTAACCAGGCAAAAGGTCTTAAAAGGGGGGATGGGGAGGGGACTAGGTTGACCTTGATGTAAGAGACTCTCTTTGTGGTCTTGAAGTATGCAGCTATGCTGGAAAAGCCAGTGTAGCAAGGAATTAGTGTGATCTCTAGGATCAAGAGTGGTCTTCAGCCAACAACCTCCAAAGAGCCAGGCCCTCAGTCATTCATCCACAAGAAAATTATTTTGCCAATGGCCTGAGTGAATTCAGAAGCAGAATCACCTCCAGTTGAGCCTCCAGGTAAGAATGCAGTCCAGCCATATCCTTGATTACAGTCTTGTATGACCTTGATCCAAAGGCCCAGTTAGACTATGCCCTGACTCCTGACTCATAGAAATTGTGAGATAATGTATCTGTTTAAAGCCCACTAAATTTTTGGTAATTCCTTACACAACAAGAGAAAACTAATATAAGAAGAAACCAGCAAAAAAGACTGAGAAGAAGAACCAGGGAACAGGAGAACCAAGAAAGTGGCATTCCAGAAGTAAATTGAAGAAAATATTTCAAGAAGAGAGTTACAGTTGTGGCAAATGCTTCTGATGGTTCCAGTCAGATGATAACAGAGAACTGATCATTAGAATTTAATTGCATGGAAGTAACTGGTAGCTTTAACAGGTAGATGAGGAAAAAAGCCTGATTAAAGTGGATCCAAGAGAGAACGGAGAGAAAAAAAAGTGAGCTGCTGACTATAAATTTTTCAATAAGTTTTGCTATCATAGAGAAATGTGGCAGTAGCCAGAGGCAAATGTGGGGTCGAGGGAGGGTTCCTTCACAATAAGAGATATTGTACTATTTTTGAAGGCTCATTGGGGTTACCAAATAGAGAGGAGGTAAATGATGACAGAAGAAAGAGAGGCAGAATTCGTTGAAGTTATGTACTTACATAGGCAAGAGGGTATAGGAATTAGTGCACAGGTGGAATTAGACCTGGACAGTTGAGAAATAACAGTAAGAGAGAAGTCAGATTCCTTGGGTCCAGATCCTAAAACGAAATATTTAAGAATAGAAAAGTAAAGAACAATCTCACTCATAAACACTTATGTAAATATTCTAAATAAAATAGGATATAGTAGAAAGCTAAATTCACCAATGTTTTAACATTTTGGGGGAGATGTAATTCACACATCATAAAATTCACCCTTAAGTGTACCATTCAGTGGCTTTTAGTGTAGTAACAAAATTGTACAACCATTACAACTTCCAGAACGTTTTTGTCACCCCAGTAGAAATCCCATATCCATTAGCCCTATGGAAATCCCATATCCCTCACAGTCCCTACTCCCAGTCCTTAGAAACCATTGATCGACTTTCTGTCTTCATGGATTTGCCTATTCTGGACATTTAATAGAAGTGAAATCATACGTGACCTTTTGTGACTGGCTTCTTTCATTTAGAATCACATTTACAAGGTTCATCCACATTGTAGCAAGCATCAGTCCTTCATTTCTTTTTGTTGCTGAGTGATATTCCATTGTAGGAATACAATACATTTTGTTTATTCATTTATCAATCAATGAACATTTGGGTTGTTTTCACTTTGGGGCTATTATGAATAATGCTGCTATGAGCATTGATGTACAAGTTTTTGCCTAGGAAATAATTTTAATTTTCTTGGATAGATATCTAGGAGTGAAATTGTTGGATCATATGGAAACCCTATATGCAATTTTTTTAAAAAACTGCCAAACTCAATTACAAGGGGGCTATACCATTTTATCTTCCTAC
Source organism: Homo sapiens (assembly GCF_000001405.40). Classification (NCBI taxonomy): domain Eukaryota; kingdom Metazoa; phylum Chordata; class Mammalia; order Primates; family Hominidae; genus Homo; species Homo sapiens. The sequence continues at coordinate 80,047,571 of NC_000012.12, read as the reverse complement.
TAGAAATGAATGAGGGTTCAAATTTCTCTGCATTCTCATTAACATTTGTTATTGCCTATCTTTTTTACTAGAGCCATCCTAATGAATGTGAAGTGATTTCTCATTGTGGTCTTGATTTGCATTTCTCTCACTAGGGAATGATTTTGAGCATCTTTTCATGTGCTTATTGGCCCTTTGTATATCTTCTTTAGAGAAATGTCTATTCAAATCCCTTGCCCATTTTTAAATTGGATTATTTATTTTTATTGTTGATTTACAAGGGTTCTTCATGTATTCTGGATTATCAAATATATGATTTACAAATATTTTCTCCCACTCTGTGGTTTGTCTTATCAGTTTCTTGATAATGTCCTCTGAAGCTCAAAAGTTTGTAATTTGATACAATCCCATTCTTTTTCTTTTGGTGCTTGTACGCTTTTGGTGTCATATCTAAGAAATCATTGCCTCATCCAAGTTCACAAAGACTTACTCTTATGGTTTTTTTCCTAGAGTTTGAAGGTTTTAGCTCTTGTATTTAGGTTGTTGACCCATTTTTGAGTTAATATTTGTATATGTTGTGACTTAATTCCAGTGTCATTCTTTTACATGTGGATATCCAGTTGTCACAGCAGCATTTGTTGAAAAGACTATTCTTAATCAAGTTATCTTGGCACTCCTGTCAAAAATCAACTGATCTTAAATGTAAGGGTTTATTTCTAGACTTTATATTCTATTTCATTGATCATATGTCTGTCCTTGTACCAGTGCCACAATGCCTTGATTACTGTAGCTTTGTAGTAATTTTTGAAATCAGAAAGTGTGTGTCTACCTTCTTGAGGTAAATTTTTAAAAAGAAGGAAAGTGTGAGTCCTCCAACTTGTTCTTTTTTAAGACCAATTTGGCCTCTCTGAGACCCTTGCATTTACATACAAATTTTAGAATCAGTTTGTTGATTTCTTTCAAAAAAAAGCAGATAGAATTTTGATAGTGATTTTGTTGCTATAGATCAATTTGGGGAGTATGTTTATCTTTACATGAAGTCTTCCAAGCCACAAACAAGAGATAACTTTCCATTTACTTAGCTATTCCTTAGTTTCTTTAAAAAGGCTTTATCATTTTTAGTTTATAAGTCTTGCACTTCTTTTGTTCCCTTTATTCCTAAGTATATTATTCTTCTTGATGTTACTATCAATGGAATTATTATGCTAACTTTCTTTTTGAATGTTTATTGCTGGAGTATAGAAATACAATTGATTTTTGTATATGAATCTTGTACTCTGCAACCTTGCTGAATGTGCTTATTAGCTCTGATAGCTTTTGTGGATTTTTTATTATTTCTGTATACAATATCATGTCATCTGTGCATATAGTTTTACCTCTTCCTTTCTGATCTGTGTGCCTTTTATTTCTTTTTCTTGCTTAATTTTCCTGACTAGAACCTTCAGTACAATATTGACTAGAAATGAACCACATATTTTTTAAACTCATAATTCTGTATGGCTGACCCCAAGAATTTAAAGACTTAAATAAAATAATATCAATTAAAGTAGTATATTAAATGAGAGATTTCAAATGATTACCTCAATATATTTAAGAAACACTTATACCATGCTGGTATGTACCAGATAGCTTTAAGCACCTTATAAGTATTATCTCATCGAATCTTTACAGTAATTCTATGATTTAGCTGCTGTCATTCCCTATATTACACATAAGGAAACCAAGCCAGAGTTAATTTATCCAATATAACGCCGCAGCTAAGTAGCAGAGCTGGAATTTAAACCCAGCCAGATTGGTCCAGAGTTGTAGCTCTTAACCATTTAACATGCTGACTCACATATATGTCATTATTAACCAAGTAGCTTAATGATGAAATTTGAGAAGCATTCCTTTACATGTCAGGAAAAAGACAAGGTTGCCAACTACTGCTACTTCTATTGAACATTTTAGTGTAGGTTATAGTAAATGCAAGCCAATAAAATTTTTTGGTATAATAAATTAGAAAAGAAGAGACCTAACTATCATTATTTGTGAAAAATATGGTTTGTCCACACAAAAAATTCAATAGCTTCTATATTCAGCCTTTAGAATCTAAAAATAATCCACAGATTCAAGGGTAAAAGAGCTGCATACAAAAGTTGGGGGCATATTCCTAAGCACCAGTAATAATCCATTGGATAATATAACAGAGAAAATATTTCAATACTATATGATATCTAGGAATCAAGCTAACAAAAGATACACAAGTGGAGAACCAAGTGTTTGAGAAAAGAAAGTAGACTAGTGCGACTATAGTGCAGAGTTTACACAGAGGGAATTCAGCAAAAAAGGAGTTTGGCCAGATTAAAGAGGCTTGATCCATAGCAACTTTTTGAGCAAGGAAGTAGAAAAAATAATGTAATATTTAGAGAAATTTAATCTGAGACCAATTCAATGGAATCCATTAGTCTAAGGAGCCCAGAAACGCAGTGGGGGGATTCAGTCTACCTCCTCGTGTGGAGATTTTTACAAGGAGTTCGCTTGTAGTAAAGAGCAGTGTACTGCCTGCCACAAACTCAAATAAAAGAAAAATCAGTATTTTAAATCTGATTGTTTTCCTGTACAGTAATAATGGAAAGCAGAAAACACTGCTGCAGTGTTGCTTGTCAAACTCTGGTCTTCATATTTTCAATATGAGGTCAAATGATGGAATCTTGAGTCATCCAGTGGCCTGGTTGATGACCAATTCTTCTATCTAATGACTAATTTTGGCATTTAGAAAAAGGCTAAAAATATGCCTGTGATCATAGGCAGAAAGCAGTTATTTTAAAAAAGAGACTTTGGGGCCAGTTGCACAAAATTATAATGAAACCATGGTAATAACAGGCAATAGCTGTAAGGGTTAACTCATAAGTTACGAATATTTTAGGGCTGGGTGCAGTGGCTCATGCCTGTAATCTCAGCACTTTGGGAGGCTGAGGCAGGCGGATCACCTGAGGTCGGGAGTTTGAGACCAGCCTGACCAACATGGAGAAACTCCATCTCTATAAATAAATAAATAAATAAATAAATAAATAAATAAATAAATAAATACAAAATTAGCCAGGTGTGGTGGCGCATGCCTGTAATCCCGGCTACTTGGGAGGCTGAGGCAGGAGAATCGCTTGAACCGGGGAGGCAGAGGTTGCTGTGAGCTGAGATCACGCCATTGCTCTCCAGCCTGGGCAACAAAAGCGAAACTCCGTCTCAGAATATTTTAACATCAAGTTCTGACGTTAGTATGGCACTATATAGGGAGGCCTAAGTCCCCAACTGACCTATTTTTGTTAAATATAAATAAACATATTCAGGCCCTTATCTTTCCAACTTCTCTTTGGCATTTTCATTTGCCAAATATTTACTGGACACCTGCTATATATCAGGCACTGTGCTAAGTCCAGAGGATTCAGCAGAGAACAAAGTAAATGCAGCACCCGCCATCTCAAAGTTTACATTCCTGCCTGAAGTCTGCAATGTGGCAAACTTCTCCTAGGCTGCCAGGACACCACTCTGGAGCTTTTCCCTGCCTCCCTCATCACTCTGTCTCCTTCACTGGCTTCTTTTCTTTTGCTTTTCTCTTAAACATTGGTTGCCCCAATTCTCAGCCCTCTTCTCTTCTCCCTCAGTATTCTCCCAGAGAAATCTCCATTTATTCCCATTTTTGTATTTCATTTGTATAGTACAATTACATTCAGATCTAGACAGATATATAGATTACTATGTGCCAAGATCTGTTATAACCACATTACAAATATTAACTCATTTAATCTTTGTAACAACGCTTTGAGGTGGATACTATTATTTTACCCATTTTCCAGATGAGGAAACCAAGTCACAAATTGGTTAAGAAGGTGGCATAACTAGAGTTTAAACCAAGACAGACCATGACCTAGACCAGTATGCTGTGCACACTCCCATGTCTTCAACCTGTCACCTGTGTGTGGATGCCTCCCCAATGCAGATCATTAAGTTGTAATTCTCTATATTCAATCTCATATTTTATAATGGCTGCTAGACATCTGTACCTGAACTTTCCACACATAACTTAGAAACAATGTGCTTTCTACTCTGAATGGTCGTGTCGTCCCAAAATTCTTGTGTTGAAATCTTAACCCCAAGGAAATGGTATTAGAAAGTGAGGCCTTCTGCTCAAAACTGCTGCAGCTTTCCACCTCCTGGTATCTGTGTCGGCAAATGGCCCTTCTTGCCTTGATCCACAGGGACGGAGAAGGGGATGTCATTAATATTTTGTTCATTAATACTGATTAATTAATCCAAAAAAAGTGAGGCCTTCTGGAAGGTGATTAAGTCATGAGAGTGAATCCTCATTAATGGGATTCGTGCCTTTACAGAAGAGACTCCAAAGAGCTGTCTTGCCCTTCTACCATGTGAGGACATAGCATGAAGGGGCCCTCTATGCACCAGGAAACATGTCCTCACCAGACACTGAATAGACTCATGTCTTGATCATGGACTTCTCAGCCTCCACAACTGTGAGGCATAAATTTCTGCTGTTTGTAAGCTATCTAGCTTATGGGATTTTGTTATAGCAGCCCAAACAGACTAAGACAGTACTCAATTTATCAAATTCCTTTTCTTTCATGCTCTACATTATATGTACAGTTCCTTATCAATATCCTCTTATAACAGCCTCCTAACAGGCCTCCTTAATACAGCAGTTCTCAAAGTATGATCCAAGGACATCTAAGAATTTTTGAGACCCTTTCAGGAGTTCACAAGATCAAAATTATTTTCATAACAATACTAAGATATTATCTGGCTTTTTTACTGTGTTGACCTTTGCACTAATGGTGCAAAAAACAATGGGTGATAAAACTGCTGACAACTTAGCATGAATAGAATAGTAGAAGCAAACTATACTAGAATTTTATTCTTCACCACCATACACTCCCAGTTTAAATTCTAAGAAGCCAGATTCACTAAAGAATATCTTTGATGAAGTAGTAAAATATATGAATTTTTCAAAATATTGACTCTTGAGTACATACCTTTTAAATATTCTGTGAGATGAAATAGAAAGTACACATAAAGCTCTTCTGATCTACTGAAACAGTCCTTGTCTCAAAGAAAAGCAATTGTGTAGGTGTTTGAATTGTAAGTAGAAGTAGCCATTTTTTCAGAGAATGTTAGAAAAGGATAATATTCATACTAATTCAGATATTAGAAAAATTAGAATATTGGAAATCTTAACAAATATGATTTTTTTGTATTATATATTGAAATGTGTCAACATTTGGAAGTTCTACATAACTTGGGGAACCAATATTTTCTAGATGACCAGTGCATTTGGTTACAAAATCATATATGGGTGAAAGGTTCGTTCAAAATTCAATATACACCAATGGATTTTAATCCATCACAGTAACAAATATGGTTTCAGATTCTACATTGCAACTAAGCATTATGAAACTACCACTATTGTATTTTGGTTTACTAGCAAAGAATGTCAGATACTCTAAGCTTGTAGGTCCCCAGCTATCACACAAACCCACTGCATGCAACCACTTGGGCCCCTTAGTATCCCCCTCCATATGACTCGGAAAGCAAAGGTAACCAGTGCAAAAATGAAGTTTCATACTGATTGCTGCACCACGAGTAATGACTCAGGAATTCTGTGTCTAATGCCAGCAACCCGAAACTGTAGAAGGCTAATTTTTTAGCTTATAAATGAGGTAAAATCTCAGACTGTTCACAGTTCTTGACAGATAATGAATGATGAGAAAATTGTTTAACTAAGTGAAGTGGTCATGTGAGGCAATCCTGGAAAATAGACTAGAATGATTCGGGCAGAGATGGCCTAAGGAGTATGATTATCTACAGGTGATAGGCAGCTACTGAAGGTGTTTTAGTACAAGTATAACACAGCAAAAGTGTTACCTTATTAAAATTAATCGGAGTGATATGCTAACTGCCAGTGTAGAGCTAGACAGAGTGTTTACAGCGAAGAAGGCATTGTGATAAGGCTTCTAGTTAATCTCTGTTACAATTGAATAATGTAATTATAAGAATCATTAACATTATATATATATCTCACTTGTTATGTGAACAGCTTTAAATACATTAACTCACTAAATGTGTAAACAACTTTATAAGGTAAATATTGTTATTGCCTATCTTAGTTCAGGTAGCTATAACAGAATGCCACAGGCTGGCTGGTTTTAACATCAAACACTTGTTGCTCACAGTTTTGGAGACTGTGAAGGCATCAGCCAACTCAGTGTCTAATGAGGGCACCCTTCTCGGTTTGTAGACAGCCATGTTCTCCATGTATCCTCATGTGGCCTAAAGAGTGAGCTTTAGTCTCTTTCTCTTATAAGGATACTAATCCTATTACTGAGGCGCCATTCTCATGACCTCATCTAAACCTAATTAACTCCCAAAGGTCCCACCTCCTAATACCATCCCACTGGGGGTTAGGATTTTAAAATATGAAATTTGGGAAGACATAAACATGTAGTCCACAATATTACCATTTTACAAATAAGGAAACTAAGGAATCTAAAGACAAAGTGTCTTGCTCAAGTTCACAACAAACCAAATACAAGTAAATGGTAGAAAGAGGACTTGACTCTAGGAAGTCTTTCTCCCAGAGACCATGTTCTCAACCATTATCTTATACTACACTATTCTTAGGTAAGGCATGTATTCATTATACCCATTTTACAGCTATGCAAAGAAGTGTAGAAAAATTAGGTCACTTACCCCAAGTCATAAATCCAGTACGTGTTGAAACTAGGACTATCCTTCTAAATATAAAAAAGGAGAAGATTATATAGTCAATTAAATAAATTCAATTAGTATCCTTATTTCGGTTCTTTTCAACTAATCTTTTCGTGGTCTGATGTAAAGGGACTCCTTTGGAGATTGTTACATGAACAGCATGACTCAGACTCCGTGGGACTTGCGGTCATAATCCTGATGAGCAAAATAGGAAAATGAGGTAGGCAACGCCATACAGGATGGAACCACTTAACTTCGAACTCTGACTGAGAATGACAGGAAACCAACTCAAAACTCAATGTCAGCAACAACTGGAACCATGGCCTCACTTCTCTCTCTCTCTCTCTCTGTTTCTCTCTGCCATCTCTGCTTCTCTCTGCCCATTGACATCATTCTTACAGATTTGTTCATAAAACTGAAAGTATGTCTATCATCATCCCCAGACTCACATCTTACTAGCTTCACCACCAAGAGAAAAAAAATTTTCTCTGATTCCAGCTCAGCAATACCCAGGAAAGGATGCCATTTGGCCTAACTTGAGTCATTCCCTCATTTTATGACCAATCCCTGTGCGCAGTAAGGTAATCCGCTAGTATAACCCAGGTCTCTTGTCTATCCCTGCATGGGGACAAGCTTGCGGAGTGTATAAAGAACAAGTCAGGAAACAATGATTGATAGTCCCTTCTAAAACCACACTATTGTAATTGGAGAAAAGCTGTTCCCCTCCCCTCTGCCCCCACCAAAAAAAAAAAAAAAAAAAAAGCAGACAGAGAAGGGGGATAGTGATCTCAGGCAAACAGAAGCAATAGAGCTCCACAATATCTGAACAGGGACTCTCTATTTGGTTTTGGCACCCTTTACATTGGAAGCACATTTTGAAATTCAGTACATAATTCAGTTCAGTACAAGGCTGGGTTTCTTTGCTTTATTTATTGATATTTTGAGTTCCCTCACTGAGTAACTCAATGAGACAATAATTTTCTTGGGGATGGGGATTGAATTCATATATTTTCTAGGTATTTTTTACATACATTTAGTAAATTCCCATTGAAAAAAGTCCAGCCAACTTTCCTTGCCACACTATAAATGTAAAAATGTTTGGTTTATGGCAGCAGTAGTTTTAGGGAGCCTACCATTGTTTGGGATTCTTCCCCTGTGGTTCCCAATTGCTCCCAAGGAGATGGCCTCCACACTGTTTTGTCTTCATAATACTAGCAGCTCACTGTTGAATCAAATAGGGCCAGCCTCAGCCAGAAAAAAAAGAAAGATAGATGCGACAGCAATAGTCTCCTAAAAGCTGAGCCTTGGCAATGTATTATACTAACAGTTCTGACTTTGTGATGGTACTTAATATATTCCAGATTTTTTTTTTTTAAGACTGAGTCTTGCTCTGTCACCATGCTGGAGTGCAGTGGCATGATCTTGGCCCACTGCAACCTCCACCCCTGGGTTCAAGCGATTCTCCTGCCTCAGCCTCCTGAGTAGCTGGGACTACAGGCACGCACCACCACAGCCAGCTAATTTTTGTATTTTTAATAGAGACTGGCTTTCACCATGTTGGTCAGGATGGTCTTGATGTCTTGACCTCATGATCCGCCCCAAAGTGGGCGCCTCAGCCTCCCAAACTGCTGGGATTACAAGATTGAGCCACCGCACCCAGGCTTCAGATTTTTTAATGTTTATGTTACATTCTTACCATGGCCATTTTTAAAACTTAAAATAATGTCTACTATTTTTTAACTACTTGGTTAGGTGTTTCTATATATCTTAGCTAATTCGACCAAATTAAAGTTAGCATTTACACACACACACACAAATACCATTAATGATTAAAGAAGATGAGGTCTAGATTAAGGATTAAACCTAAGCTCATGACCCTTCTATGTTGTGAAGCCAGAGTTTCCAACTAGGTCTGTCTGACTTCCAGAGCTGCCTTATGGCACTATTTGACTAGAAACATCAAATCCTAATTGCATTTCTAACTATTGTACAGTTAATATTTCCTTTGAAAGACATTGGTGTGCATTCAGTCCAAGTGGAAATATTCACCTCCTAACATAGTGACACTTTCTCCTCCACACATCGAGCATGGAATTTCCAAACATTCAAAATCATCTTCACATTAAGCCACTTGTTTAGAGAAGTCCCCATCTTGAACACTTTGAGCTGTCAAGAACCAGGGACAAATGTGTGTTCCCATGATACAGAAATGATTTTCTAAAATTATCTTCAGGAACAAAATCATAACAAAGATTTTGGATGGTGAGGGGAGAATCTCTTTTTTTTTTTTTTTCCATTTTGTTTCACTTTCTGAAAAGATTTTCCTCAAATGTTCTAAAAATCACATTTGGGGTAGAAATCAAACAAGACCAGCCTCAACCAAAAAAGAAAAGAAAGAAAGAAAGATAGGTGTGAGAGTCACAGTCTCCTGCAGGCTGGGCCTTGGGGATGTCAGTTATGTGTCAACACCTCTCCTCTGGAAGCAATGTTAGTACAGTCACCAAGAAAGGCAAAAGAAAAAATCTTCACTCAGCAGCATGAGCCCAGAAGAGACAACCGAAGAGAATGGCAAAACGGTGTCAGTAAGCAGAATAACTGTGGGTAAGAAGGGAGTCGTGTGGTCTCAACACAAGGTTCTGTTTCTCTTTCACTATAATGACTATGGAATCCTGTGAGATCAAACACATTTGTTAAAAAGGGAATATGTGTCCCCTTTCTTAAGTTGAGTAAACGTGGTCTGCATCCAACAAGATTGTACCACAGAGAGAAATGATTCCCCAAATTTTCCTCTGGGACCAAGGAGCCAAAGGAGTTTGAACAGTGCATTTTTCAGGTTTTTTTTTTCTCTCTTTTCTGAAAGAAGTTAGAATGTACCAGCTGATGTCACTGACATACCTTGATACTCCTGAGGAACAGGAGGTAGAAAAAAAAGGGAAGAAAATAAATTTAAATTGGCATGCTCCTGACTTTACCAGCTGGCTGAAAGAGCATTTTTCCTAATGAATTGGAAACAATTCACAGCCTAACTATAAATGGAAGGAAGGCCCTGGGATAGCTTAAAGAAATATACAAAAACTAATATATGTGTAATGATTTTCATATTTTTGCTTCTTATATATTCCTGTTTATCAGAATATTAAACTCCAAAGAATAACAGGTGGTCTGTAGGCTACGTGCAAACATAGATAGACAGATAGACAGATAGATGATAGATAGATAGATAGATAGATGATAGATGATAGATAGATAGATAGATAGACAGATAGAATATAAAACCTTAATAGTTTTAGGTTTTATGGAGAGAGAGAACTTACTTATTTTATGTATGGTTTGGGGTTTGGGATATATGTGTGTGTGTATTTGTAAGCCAATTAAAAAAAATTTTTATGTATCCACACATTAGGAAATATAATGAAAAAAATCTGACAAAAATTCCAAGGAATAAATGTAACAAAATTTGCAAAATGTATATGAAGATTTATTATTTAAAGATTTATTTTTATTTATATAAATGTATGGAGTGAAAGCATAATTTCATTACATTGATATACTGCACAGTGTTGAAGTCAGGGCTTTTAGCATATCCATCACTGGAGTAACATGCATTTTACTCATTTCTCATTATCCACCCCAATCTCATCCCACCCCAGAGTCTCCACCATCTAGCATTCCACACTCTACTTGCATGTGTACACATTATTTAGCTCCCGCTTATAAGTGAGAACATGTAGTATTTATCTTTCTGTGGAAGACATTTTTTAAAACACTGAGAAAGGGAACCACAGAAGACTTAGACAGGTGGAAAGGCATACCATGTTCTTGGATAGGAAGGTACAGTTATAACAAGAATGCCAATTTTCTCCACCATAATTTATACAATTAACTTGATATTATTAAATAACTAGACAATTTTTTTTCAACTGAGCAAGCTTATTCCAAAGTTTTTATATAAAATGAACATACAAAACAGAAGAATTCTGGAAAAGAGGTATAAAGTGGAGGGACTAGACTTATTAGGTATTTAAAATATATAATAAAGCTATAATAATTGAAACAATCTGTACCTGCACTTGACTAAACAGAGAAATCAATGAAACACTATGGAAGCCGACAATTAGATGTAAATACCTAACAGTATTTAGTCTACAATAAAATGGCATTAGAAATTTTGAGAGGAAAATGGATTTATAAACGGTGTTGGGAAACTGAGCAGTCATCTAAAGAACAAGTTTATTCTATCTGTGCCACCTTTACACTTAATGAATTTTGATGGATCAATTATAAAAATGTAAGAAATAAAATTAAAAAGTTACAGAAGAAACCATCGTGGGTTTTTAAAAAGTGTAATCTGACAGTCTAATATACTTTGTACACGTGATGCAAAATACAGAAGCATAATCAAACAAGTAAACATAACCATAAGAAACTAAAAATGGCCAGAAACAGTGGCTCACACCTGTAATCCCAGCACTTTGGGAGGCTGAGGCAGGCAGATCACTTGAGCCCAGGAGTTCAAGACCAGCCTGGGCAACATGGTGAAGCCCTGTCTCTACAAAAAATACAAAAAATTAGCTGGGTGTGGTGGCACATGCCTGTAGTCCCAGCTACCCAGCAGGCTGGGGTAGGAGGATCACCTCAGCCCAAGAGTTTGAGGTATCACAGAAGGGATATATTAAGGGCTCAAATAAATAAATAGTAAAGCCATCCACTGAATAGAAAAAAAAAAGTAGAAAAGACTACAAATAGACAGTTTATAGAAAAGGAAATTAAAATGAGAAATGCAAATAAACTTCACATTGAAATATCATTTTTCACCTATCAGGAAGATAAAGATCTAAAACTTTTATTGCATACTCTGTTGGCAAGTCTATTGGGAATGGGCACTCTCACTCATGTTGACAGGAGTAGGTACTGGTAAAACCCTTTTGGAGTGTGATTTAGCAGTGTCTACCAAAGCTATAAATATGCATACTTTTTACCTAGCAAAGGTTACCACACATATGTGTAGAATATGAAAGCATAAGGTTATACATTCCAGCTTTTTTTAATTGTAAATATTGCACACAGCTTTATATCCTTGCATAGGGGCTGATAAAATCAAATTTGGTTCATCCATTTAAATGTGCTTACTCCATACAACTGCAAACACTAAAGAAAAGGACAAAACAAATCCAAAGCATATATATAGTGATCCTAAATCCCAGTTTCCAGGGCATCTGGGTTGATGCCTGTTGTTCTGGTGTTCCATCCAATTGGCATTGCCTTGTACTGTCCAAAGTGACCTGTCTATTTAACACATAATTTGGTTGTTGCAATGGAGTAAATGTTTATATCCTCCCAAAATTCACATGTTAAGGTCCTAACTCCCTGTGTGATGGTATTAGGAGGTGAGGCCTTTGAGGGTAATTAAGTCATGAGGTTAGAGCCCTCACGAATAGGATTAGTGCCCCTATGAAAAGACTATAGGGAGCTCTTTTGCCCTCTTTCTGCTATTTGAGGATACAATAGTCTGGAAACCAGCAAGCTGGTTCTCACCAGAACCCAGACATGCTGGCACCCTGATCTCTGACTTCCACCTCCAGAATGATGAGAAATAAATTTCTGTTGTTTATAAGTCACTCAGTCTATAGTATTTAGGTTGGTGCAAAAGTTATCACGCAATTACTTTTGTACCAACTAATTATTACAAAAACTACAATGACTTTTGCACCAACCTAATAACTTGTTCCAGCAGCCCAAACTAACTAAGACAGTCACTCTAGGTGTATTTCACTTTGGAAGTGAGAGAAGGGATTGGGGTGAGGCAGGGAATGGGATATGAGGTTAGATGAAGAGAAAGGGAAGGGAAAGACAACTTGATGCTTCCCAGCCAACTTGGTACAATTCAATTCTTCTCTTTTTGATCCTATCAAAGCTGTAAGCTATAGATGTTAAGTCTCTGGAGCCACAAGAACCTAGGTTCAAATCCTGGCTGTACAATTTACAATCTATATGAACTTGGACAATTCCTTAACCTCTCTCTGCCTCAAATTTCTCATCTATAAAATTGAGATACTAGCGCCTATCTCATTAAGGTTATTGACAGGATTAGATGAACTAATGTATGTGAAGCACTTAAAACAGAGTCTGACGCCTATGAAGCACTATAGATGCATTAACTATTACTGTAATTCATGGTGCTCTTAGTTTGGATACCTCATCCAGACCTTGACAAAGTCAATATATACTGAAAGGCTCAACTACTGAAATTAATCACACTAAGATCTACATGTAAACTGCATTCACTCATCCAACACATTTTTGTTGAGCATTTATATTTATGCTCTGAACTAAGCTCTAGGAGAATAAAATTATATAAAGCACAGGAGGAAAATAAGATGAATTGGTATAAAGCCCACATGCATAAGATGAAACTATTATAAGATAGGTTGATTATGAATTTTTAAAACTTGATTAAATTAAGCAAAAACAAATGGTCTAGTTGCCAGTAAGTTTGTTAATCTTTTGATTATCTGATCATCTTAACAAAACTTCAAAACAGAATAAAAATTTTTAATATAGGCCGGTTTTAGCTGATACTGAACAATAAAGCCGTACTTAACTGCACTTTCCTGGTCAAGAACAAGAACTTTGGAACCAGGATAGGCTCAGGTTTGAAACTAGCTCTGCCACTTTCCTTGTGTACCTTGAGCAAGATACCTAAACTTTCTCTCCATTAATTCTTCATATTTAAGCTGAGCAGCACTAGCTACCAGTTTACATGGTGTTATAAGGATTAAATGTAAGGCAGTTACCTAGTGTTTAGCCCATAATAAATGCTCAGTAAATACTTGCGAGCATCATAATTATTATTTCTCTGAATTTAAACAAGTAGTACTTATATCTCTATTCACATTACATCTTCTCCACGTGATTTGCCTTCATTTTTCTCCACGTAAATGAAACTAAACATAATTCATTATTGTTAAAATATTGAATGTTTTTTAAAATCCATTTCCAAAAAAACGGTGACTTGCTGATAGTTCTCATAGCAGGAGTATAAACTAACTCCCCTTCAGGGAGTTGCATAGCCATCTCTTTGTTTAGGTGATTTCTAGACTTCCTATTTAGGCAAGGCTCTGATCTAGAAGACATAACTTTTTATAATCCAGCTCTGATGACACAGCATGAGTGATGGAGCTATAAACAGACTCCCTCCTCCTCCCCCACAAACCATGTTTCTGTAGGATGAGGGCCCAGTTAGTGGGAATTCACTTGTAAAAGACTTGGAAATACTTTCTTCAGCACACAGCTGAGCACCAAAACTTTTGAGCTATATGCCGTCTTACAATTATGCTCTAAGCCAAGAGAAAAATCTTGCTAAGTTATTTATGTTTTAGGCATTTGATTTTTCATTTTAAAGTGCTAATATTACAAGTAACTTAAATAGCAGGCACAGTCTAAAGATTTAAAAAGAAGAAAAAGTTGATGAATTACTGATGTACTTGCTAAAGTGAATATTAGGAATTTTAATGTCAGATGTTCTAATGGGGAAAAAACGATGTTTGAGAACTAAAGAGATTAGCTGAGAACTGAACTCTAAGGCAGGTATTTTTAGGAATCTTTGGTAGTGTTTTAATGTCAGCTTAAGAAACAAAGTAAAGTATTTGTGTCTCATAGTTGCTAGGCAACATATTGGATTTGATTTGGTTTCCAGTCATTTTAAAAAATAGTGCCATGATTATAACAGCAATGAAACAGTATTATCCTTTTCTCAATTCAATATTAAAATACTTAAGAACAGTTGGCTTTGATGGGGTCATTATTACTTAACTTTTATTTTTTCATTGTTTCCATATCCTTATTCCAGAATCCTGGAACCATGCACACTGTACTCTTAAAAGAATAACTTATGTCATAATTGTGCATCATGCTGTTTTACTATTTTAGATTAGATATTTACATAAAATTCAAGATACTGAAGTTTGTAGCCTTTTTTGAGTTTCTCCACACTTTGATCATCATATTCCTGAATCATCAATACATTTTCTTTTTAAGAAAGCAAGGGAGTAGTATGTACCTTAGAGAGATTTTCACTTAAAATAGTTACAATAGCTTCAGTTTTTTTTTTAAACATTTACACAAAAACCTAACTCCCCAACCAAGCCAGAAAGATTAGGTATTATTAGTATTTACGTATTTTTGTGAATTTTTAACTTAGACAATATTTGTGTTTTCTTATAAAGTTAACATATACTTTTTAATTTTTTTTTTAGTCAGGTACTACAAAGCAGTATAAAATAAAAAGTAGCATCCCTCTTCCTACTCCTTCCTCAAGTTACTTCAATCGTATTCCCCAAAAATAATCGCTAACACTTTCTTACAACTCTACATATTTTTAAATTCTGCTTGGAAACATGTGCTGGATTTGACACAACTCATTTATTGTTAGAGCTTGAGTGCATTCTTTGTTACCACCCAACCAAGAGTAAAAAAGAAAAAACAATTTTTTTCAGGAAAAAAAAAGGAATCCCTGGACCCAAACATTTCTCTTCCAATTCTTTTCAGGTAGTAACTCTTTCTCTCCTTTCCATTTCTGGCCAACACAAACACACTACCCAATGACACAGCTAACTGACCATATTGGATGGGAATTTCTGGATGGAAGTTTTTAAAAGGTTAATATATCTGACATAGTTTCCAAGCTCTTAATTTAGTCTAAGTGTAATGTACCAAACAGTTAATATCTCTCTTCTGTCATTTATTTCTATTAACTTTCTCTTTGTTATTGTTTACTCTCATTTTATTGTTTACTTTACATAAAAGTTTGAAGGGCTGGAATGATCTGGGCCTCTTGAAGGTACAGGAAGCCCACTCTACGTACACAAGCTAAAGCTGCACCAAGAAATTGTTACTAAGAGCCCTGTCTCTCTCTCTGTCTGTCACACACACACACACACACACACACACACACACACACACACACACCTTGAATCAGAAGGCTTTTCTTATAGATCCTGTCCTCCTCCAGGATCCAGTTTTCTGGATAGTCCAAACGATTTCCATCCTCCAGCCCTAGGAGAAGCTACTGTTCTTAGATCCATTTTTGGTATCTGGAAGATTAGTTTCCTTCCTGTTTAGGCCTTGTTTCTATAAAGTACATTCTGTTCTCTCTCGCCTGATTCTCCACCCCCATTACCCACGCACACATGCACACACAAACACACACATGATCTTTGCCATAAGGTACTTTTCCAAACTGTTCCTCAGCAGCCAACTCTCAATTAAAGCCATCCTAGGTATTTGGCTTGTTTGTCATCAACAAATTTTAGGGTGCCTGCCCAGCTCATGCCCTCTTGTCTGAGAGCTGCCTCTTCACTCTACAGTCCCAGTTGTTTATATCACATGACCTCCTTCCTCCTTGGCTATAAGCTGATTGGATTGCAGGTGGACATGTGCCCCTTTTACTAGTCCCATCAGATCCACTCACTTGTGAACTTGAACTAAGAATCGCAGTACTGAGAGTCAGCAAAAGCTAAAAAGATACTGACATGTCAGGAACTAGGGTGGTCATTTGGGTGTAATCATGCTGATGAGGAAGCAGAAAGAATCAGACTTCAGACAGAAGAAAACAAAGTAACAAACATTCAGAAACAATTAGAAACATGAGGCCATGTGACAAGTAAAAGCAAAAACAAGAACAAGAACATAAGAGAGAACAAATACTCCCTAATTGTTGACAACTTTCCATTTTTTCATGAAGTACATACACATTTTCTGACCCTAAATCCTTTTTAATAGCTGAGAGTCTTTTTAATAAACTCATCTTGGTTTAAGCTAGATTGATTGGACTTTTATGTCTTACAACCAAAAAAATCCCTGACTATGATCTTTCTTACTCTCTTACCTTCTTCGTATTTTTTTTTTCTTTTCCTCCGTGGATTTCCCTGCCCCAAAGGTAATGCTATCTTGATATTTTCTCTTAATCTCTGAATCATGCCCAGAAATTTTATGGCATATAATCAAATATTGATAGACTTTTATAGCATAGAACACAAATAAGAGGATCAATTGCATAAGGCAATATATGAGCTTTCATTTTTTCCAGTGCTAAATTTGAGGCACTACACCAGGGACTCTACAATCATTGTCTCTTTTCTTATAGCAGTCATCCAAAGTGAGAGGTATTTGTCCCTTTTATAGAAGAGAAAATAGTAGTCTGAGAACTTTATAGAATAATACTGATTAAAGACACATGGCTAACAAACTGAAGACTTGGGGTTGTAACCTCAGTTTATCTGGTTCACAAACTCTCTAGTATACAAAGTCCATATATTTCAATATCAAGTCCATACATTTCAATATAATTCATTTTATAATACAATATAAACGCTCTTAGAGAAGCCAAGTGTCCTAGTGCATCTCTCTCTCTCTCTCACACACACACACAAATGAGCAAGAAATGGCAAAAACGAGAAGGCTTCATCCTTCACAAGTGCCGCTGGAGCCAAGAGGCAATGTTGCAACACAACAACAAGAATTATGGAGTGAATGAGTTCTGTGCAGTAAAGGAGATAATGGGCATCTCTTTGCTCTCACCTCTATGCTAAAGCAGAGTATGAAACTTTCTCCCACATCATTAACATGTCAGAGAACTTGCAGAACAAGGAGGCTGGGCAGGGAGAAATGCACCTCAGCCATCCCTGGGGAGAGGACAACAATAACAGGCATTTTACAGAGCCTGTCTACTCTGAAAGCTCCATGAGAGCAGGAACCCTGTACTTTAGCACCTGGCACATTACCTGGTACATATGAGGAGTTCAATAAATACTGGTGAATGAAAAAACTCCAACTCTCTAAGTTTCAGCAACTGCACAAATTCTGACAATCCTAAATGGGAAGAAAGCTGGAAACATACAATTGATGCTGATTACAATTGAAAGGATGGAATCTAAGCAAGTTCTGATGGAAATACTGATAATCCTCTGTGGGTGGGAAGGAGGTGGAGATACTCCTGACAATGCAAAGTAACCACTCAGACACAAACAAGAATGGAAGGTGAATTCGCACAGAACATAGAGGAGAGTCAGCAAATGCCAAAGAATCAGTGGAATACATTTAAAAAGGAAAGACAAAAAATCATACACTTCTTTTTTTTAATCTGAGAGCATGTACTGTTTATTATCTGACTAGATTAGAAAAATAATCATGGAAGACACCTTAGTTCATTCTAATAAGCCTGTTGATCTGGTCCTCCCTGTTGCCAGCATCTCCACCTTTTACAAAATGGGTGGTCTTTTTCTTCATTCCACATTGTGGAGAGGATAATTTGAAGGGCCACAGGATGTTATTTGCTTCTTTGAAGCATTTTCCAACAGTATAGATCTCATGAAGCAGATCCACCATGCAAATGATGCCATATTTACCAAGAGATCCAGCAATCAAAGTGTTATCTGACACAGCAATTTACTTCTTATCGATTTTGCCATAATCACGCTTGTAGACGAGTTCATTTACTGACTTCGGATTTGGGTACCCCCATGCAATATATGGCTCTACAATCCTCAGCATGTTAAATGAAGCTTTGTTGATCTTCACAAGGGTTCCATTGAAGATTTGATGAAGGCGAAGAAGCTGCAACACCTTTTGGACCTTTGGGCTCACGCCATTGATACCTCTGACCCTGATGACAAATGCCAATTTGGGTTCTGCAGGTACATAGAAGCTGCCAGCTTTTCTTGCCATCCGAGCCATTCGAATTTCAATTCTGTACATCTGCCTGTATTCCTTATGATAATGCTTCGCTTTTTCGTAAATAAGCTTCCTCCTTGCCTTTCAAAGCATCTTTTGGGCAAAATTCTTTCTCAGGCGCTTGATCTTCAGCTCTGCAAAATTCCTACACTTTTTCTTAAAGGTTTCTGGCACAGCCAGGAACCTTATTCTTCTCTTCAACACCCTCCATGGTTCTAGCTGGAAAAGATGCAAAAATCAATACATTTCACTTAGTGACACATCCGTAAGGATTTTGCCAATATTCTAGTGGGAAGGGTTGGAAGTTAATCCCGTGAATACACAGAATATCACATAATAATGATGATAATAATATTACTGTAAGTAAATTTTGTTGAGGACTTACTAAAATATTTCAAGTAAATTCATTCATTCAAACTTTGAATCCTGAAAATAACCCTATTGGGTGGCTACTATTATTATTCCCATTTTTTGCAGATAAACAGAAATTCAAAGAGGCAAAGCAATTTCCTTAAGGTGAAAAGATTAGTAAGTGATAAAACCAAGTTTCTAGCTCAAGCTCTATGACTTCAGGGTCCATGTTCACAATCACTGTACTACACCACTCTTAGTCTATATAAACTGTACATAATCTGTTCTTAAGTGTAGTTGCATCTGTTTTTAATCCATTACATTTTTCTTATAAAGATCTGAGTTTAAAATAAGGAATCTCTTTCAGTTTTTGCTATATATCAAATCCGGATCCAGTAGGTCCCACTTTACAGTTGTATATCAACTTAGTAGCCAGAACTTCTATCCATTCCTTACCTTTAACTACTAAAAACTTGTCTCTCATCTATAACTACAGAGCCTGAATATAAACCAGAGGCAAGAATTTATTGTCTTTGAAGTCATTACCTTTAATGTGCCTTTAAAATTATTCTAGACCTGTTTCTGATCTCTCATTTTCAGTGATTACTATACTTCATTTTCAATTCATGACTATTTAAACCTTTCTAAGCTCATGAATTTTAAAAAATAGACACATAGCTATATAACAACCTGTCTAAGTTTTGGATCATTTTCTTGGCTTTGGCAACCAGACTTTTGGCTCATGGGCTTGAGTTAGTAGTTAAGTTCCAGTTCTATTCATTTGTCTAGTTTTGTTATAAACACCTACTTTATGTGTTTGGGAGAGTTGTTTTTTTTTTTTTTGGTGGTGGGGGGTTGGTTGCTTGGTTTAATTTTATTTTGCCATACTTCCTGTTCACATATGATTCATTCTCCCGTTTAGGCAACACTTTAGGCAATTTAGGACAACGAATAAAAATGTCAATAGTTTTGACTTTTGAGTTTCTAAGACCTGGGATTTAGAACTTCAAAAGCAAATTTTAAAAAGGAGATCAGGAAAGAATGTCAGCAAGATGGTGGAATAAGAGGTCCCCACTGATATCCCCCCACAGTAGCAACAATTTGGCAGCCATTCATGTTCAAAAGTGCCTTTGTGGGAGCTTTGGAACAAAAGTAGGAGACTGCATAACCCTGGTAGAGCTCAAGATCAAGGAAGGCTGTTTTGAGAATGCACACTCATGCCCAAGTTAGGCTCATTGACCATGGTCCTAACTACAAACTCAGAAATAGCCCCATTCCCCTTTGGCCTCAGTCCTAGCCCTACTTGGACATGCTCCTGCAACCAGCACCATCTGCCAAGGGAAAGAGGAAGAGCCATGTGTCTCCATGTCCCCAGTAATAGGCCCACCAGCTGTGTACTCAACTGCGTATCCCAAGATGGCCCTGTGGCCCTTATGCAGCCATGACCTACCACCAGTCCAGAATCATTCCTGCTCACATAGAGACCAAGAAGGAGCCACATAAAAATCCCATGAGCCATGGACCTGACTGGAGATCCTGAAGCAGCTCTGTGACCTGGCTCCAGCCCTCCTCTCAGTTCTGCCCACCCAGGAACCCAGCAATGCTCATAAATGCCCTGGCAGGAGGTACAATTACCGGAGTACCAGGTGTGAACCCTGAAATAATGCTGATACTCAGTTTCAGCCCTACTCTGCTATGGTCCTGGGGCAGTTCTGCTCAACCACAGAACTGGCAGGAGACATGCCCATCTGATCCCCCAGTAGCAGTCCCATTGACCTCAGTCTTGACTGCAGGCCTTGAAGTAGTCCTGTAACCTGGCTCCAGTCCCACTTTACTACAGTCACATAAGCAGTCCTGCCCACCCAAACATCTGCACCAGGACCCAATGAAAGCCACATACATCCACATCCCTGGTAACTGGCTTATTACCTACAGATTGAACCGAAGACCCAAAGTAGCCACATAACCCAGCTGGCTCTAGCTCAATGATGGTACCAGAGATAGTTCTGTCCCTTGGCTATTTGGCAGGAACCACCCTGCTCACACATCTAGTAACAGGCATACCAACAATGGACCCAACTGTAGACCCTGCTACAGCCATATAACTTGGCTCCAGCCACAATCAACTGAAATCCTGGAGGCAATCCCATCAGTCTGAGGACCAGGGAGGAGAAAGTCTTTAATTACTGAAACCAATCTGTAACAACAGGAAGGGGTATTGGTTCCTTCAAATGCATAAAGATTAATGCAAGACTATATGAATCATTAAGAATCAGGCAAATATGACACCATCAAATGAAATTGATAAAGCTTTAGCAATTGACACTGAGGAAATGGAAATCTAAAAATTGCCTGGAAAAAAGTCAAGACAATTGTCTTAAGGAAGCTCAATAAGCTCCTACAGAACACAGGTAGGCAACTCAACAATATCAGAAAAATAATGCCTGAACAAAATAGTAAGTTCAACAAAGACATATAAATCACACACAGAAAAAGAACCAATAGAAATCTGAACCTGAATTATACAATGAATTGAATGAAAAATGAAATAGAATGCATGAACAAGGGGTGTTATTAAGCAGAAGAAAGAAGCTATGAACTCAGACAGGTCAGTTGAAATTGTACAGTCAAAGTAGAAAAAGGAAAAAAAATGAAAAGATATGGCAAAAGCCTATGGGATTTTGTGGGACATAATTGAGAGAACTATCATGTACATTATAGGAGTATAAGAAGGAGAACAGAGAGAGAAAAGAAGAGAAATGGACATGCAAGTACATGAAGCTGAAAAGTTCCCAAATAAGTTCAACCAAAAGAGGACTTCACCAAGACACATTATAATCAAACTGTCAAAAATCAGACAAATAGAAAATTATGAAAGCCAGGAAAAAAAACCCCTGAATCATCACATACAAGAGAACACCCACAAGACTGTCAGTGGATTTCTCAGCTGAAACCTTGCAAGCCAGAAGAAAGTTGAACAATATATTTTGAGTGCTGAAAATAAAAATAAATAGCCAACCAAAAATACTTTACCTGTCAAAGCTGTCCCTCAGAAATAAGGGAAAGGTAAAGACTTTTCCAGGAAGGCAAAAGCTGAGGGAGTGTATCACCATTAGATTTGCATTACAAAAAAAATGCTAAAGGAAGTTCTTCAAGCTGAAATGAAAAGATGCTAATTAGTAACATGAAAATTTATGAAAGTATAAAACTCACTGGCAAAGGTAAATGTATAGTCAAATTCAGAATACTCTTTAATACTGTAATGGTGATATATAAATGACTTGTAACTCTAATATGCTTAAAAGACAAAAGTATTAAAAATGTAGCTATAATATTGTGTAATTAATAGAAAATATTAAAAATATAAATTGTGACATCAAAAACATAAAATGAGGGGAGAAAACTACAGTGTAGAGTTTATGTATGCAGTCAAAGTTAAATTGTTAGCTTAAAATAAACTTTTATAATTATAAGATGTTTTATGTAAGCCTTGTGGTAACCACAAAGCAGAAACCTACAGTAAATACACAAGATAAAAAGAAAGGAATCAAAACATGCCACTACAAAAAAACAAAAAACAAAAAACAAAACAAAAAAAAACAACAAAAAACATCAAATCACGAAGGAAGACCAAAAGAGAGGAAGGAAGGAACAAAGGAACTCCAAAACAGCCAGAAAATAATTAGCAAAATGTTAAAAGTAAGGCTTTATGTATCAATCATTACTTTAAATATAAATTGATTAAATTCTTCAAAAGATGAAGTGATTGAGTGGATTAAAAAAAAAGATCCAATTATATGCTACCTACAAGAAACTCACTTTACCTTTAAGAATACACACAGGCTGAAAAGGAAGGGATGAAAGAAGATATTTCATGCAAATGGAAAGCAAAAAGTGCAGGGGTAGCTATTCTTACATCAGACAAAATCAAAATTGTAAAAAGCAAAAATGAAGGTCATTATATGATCATAAAAAGATCAATTCATGAAAGGATATAACAACTGTAAATATATAAGAACCTGACTACAGAGCTTCTAAACATATAAAGCAAATATTAACAGATCTGAAGGGAGAAATAGACAGCAATACAACAGTAATAGGGGACTTCAATATCCAACTTTCAACAATGGATGAATTATGGAGACAGAAAATTAATATGGAAACATTAGATTTAAACTATACTTAAGACTATATGGATCTAAGAGACATATACAGAATATTTTATCTAACAGCATCATAATACACATTATTCTCAAGTACAAACAAAATATTCTTTAGGTTAAATTCTATATTAGGCCATAAAACAAGACTTAATACACTTAAAAATATTGAAATCATATCAAGTATCTTTTCTGAACACAATGCTATGAAACTAGAACTCAATAACAGGAGGAAAGTTAGAAAATCCACAAATAGAGGTTGAGTACCCTTTATCCAAAAATGCTTGTGACTAAAAGTGTTTCAGATCTCAGATTTTTTCAGATTTTGTGATATTTGCATTATACTTACCAAGTAAACATCCCTAATCTGAAAACTGAACACAAAATGCTCCAATGAGTATTTCCTTTGAGCCTCATGTTGTTGCTCAAAAAGTTTCAGATTTTTGAGCACTTCATATTTTGGGTTTTTGGATTAGGAATACTCTACCTTTATGTAGAAATTAAACAATGTGCTCTTGAACAACCAATGAGTCAAAGAAGAAATTAAAAGGTAAATAAAAATACTTTGATACAAATGAAAATGGAAACACAAAATACAAAATTTATGGAAGGCAGCAAAAGCAGTTCCAATAGGTAATTTTATAGTGATAATGTCCAATATTAAGAAAAAAGAAAGATCTCAAATAAATAACCCAATTTTACACCACAAAATACTAGAAAAAGAACAAAGTTAGCAAAAGGAAATTGAATAACAAAATTCAAAACATAAATAAATGACATAGAAACTAAAAAATAAAAATAGAAAAGGTCAACAAAACTAAGTTGGTTTTTTAAAAAGATAAAATCAAAATTATCTAGACTGACTAAGATAAAAAGAAATAAGAGACTCAAATACATAAAATCAGAAGTGAAGGAGGAGACTACAACTGATACCACAGAAACACAGAAATACAAAGAATCCTAAGAAAACACTATGAACGAAAATGCCAACAAACTGAATAACCTAGAAGAAATGGATACGTTTCTGGGCACATACAACTGACCAAGAACATACAACCAACCAAGACTGAATTATGAGGAAATAGAAAATCTGAACAGAAAAATAATTAGTAAGAAAATTGAATTAGCAATAAAAAGTCTCCCATCAAAGAAAAGCTGGCTTCATGCTTTAATTCTACCAAATATTTAAAGAAGAACTAAAAACAATCCTTCTCACACTCTTCAAAAAATTAAAGAAAAGAGCATACTTCCAAACTAATTTTATAAGGCCAGCATTACCCTGATACTAAAGACAGATAAGGTCACTACAGGAAAAGAAAATTATAGACCAATATCCCTGATAAACACAGGTGCAAAAATCCTCAACAACACACTAACAAACCAAATTCAACAGCACATTGAAAGGACAATACACCATGACCAAGTTGGATTTATCCCTCGGATGCAAGGATGATTCAACACACACAGATCAATAGATATAATAACTCACATTAATGAAATGAAGGATAAAAATCATATGACCATCTCAATAGATGCATAAAAAGCATTTGACAAAATTCTTTCATGATAAAACCCTCAGTAAATTAAGTATAAGCTATGGTATGAATAACTATGTTTCCCCCAAATTCATTTATTGAAATCCTAACCCTCAAGGTGATAGTATTAGGAGGTGGGGCCTTTGGGAGGTAGTTAAATCACTAGGACAGAGCCTTCATGAATGGAATTAGTGCCCTTATAAAAGAGATCCAGAGAGATAGTCACCCTTTCTGTTATGTGAAGATACAATGAGAAGTTGCCACCTATGAGCCAGAAAGCAAATCCTCACCATATACCAAATATGCCAGTGCCTTTATCTTGAACTTTCCAACCTCCATAGCTGTGAAAACTAAATGTTCATTGTTGATAAGCTACCCAGTTCATATTTTGTGATAGCAGCTCAAAAGGACTAAGATAGTATAAAAGGAAGGTACCACAAAATGACAAAGGCCATGTGTGAAAAGTTCACAGTTAACAAAATGCTCAACAGTGAAAAACTAAAAGCTTCCCTTTAATGTTAGGAACAAGACCAGGATACTCACTCTCACCACTTCCACTACATAGTATTGCAAGTCCTAGCCAGAGCAATTGGGCAAGAAAAAGAAATAAAAGCCACCCAAAGGAGAAAGGAAGAAGTAAAATGGTCTCTGTTTACAGAAGACATCCTGCAACTTTACTGAAATTGTCTATTAGTTCTAACAGAGAAACCTAAAGACTCTACCATAAAACTGTTAGAACTAATAAACAAATTCAGTAAAGTTGCAAGACACAAAATCAACATACAAAAATCAGTAGCATTTCTATACACTAACAACAAACTATCCAAAAAAGAAATTAAGAAAACAATCTCATTCACAAGAACATCAAAAAGAATAAAATACTTAGGATAAACTTAATCAAGGATATGAAAAATCTGTACACCAACACCTATAAAACATGAAAGAAATGTGAAAAGACACAAATAAATGGAAAGATATCCCATGTTCTTGAATTGCAATAATTAATATTGTCAAAATGTTCATACAACCCAAAGCAATCTACATATTCACTGTAATTCCTATCAAAATTCCAATAGCATTTTCTGCAGAAATAGAAAATATAATCCTACAATTTGTATAAAACCATAAAAGATTCTGACTAGCTAAAAAAATCTCGAGCAAGAAAACACAGCTGGAGGCATCATATTTCTGATTTCAAATTATATCTTAAAGTTATAATATTCATAAAAGTATGACACTGTCACAAAAACAGTACTCAACATCACCAATCATCAGGAAAATGCAAATCAAAACTACAATGAGACAACATCTCACACCTTGGTGGTTATCACAAAAACAAAAGATAAGTGATAGAGGTGATGTGGACAAAGAGGACATGTACGCTATTGGTGAGACTATAAATTGGTACAGCCATTGATGAAAACATGCAGAGGTTCTCAAAAAATTAAAAATAGAACTACCATATGATCCAGCCATCCCGCTTCCTGGTATGTATTCAAAGGAAGTAAAATCATCTCAAAGAGCTATCTGCACTCCGATGTTCATTCATTGTAGCATTATTCACAATAGCCAAGATATGGAAACAACCTAAGTGTCTATCAATGGATGACTAAGAATAGATAAAGAAAATGTTGCATCATATATACATTCATATAATATGTAGAATATTTTTCAGCTTTTAAAAAGAAGAAAATTCTGCCATTTACAACAACATGAGTGAACCTGGACGAAATTATGGACATTTTGCTAAATGAAATAAACCAGACACAGAACAGCAAATACTGTATGATCTCATTTATATATGGAATCTAAAAAAAAAGTTGAACTCACAGAAACAGAGAGTAGACAAGGCAGTCATAAAACGAATAGGTTCTGGAGACCTAATGTACAGCATAGTGACTATAGTTAATAATAATGTATTATATACTTGAAATTTGCTTAGAGTATACAGATATTAAGTGTTCTGCACAGGGGGGAAGGTAATTATGTAAGGTAATACATATATGAATTAATTTGATTGTGGTAGTCATTTTATAACATTATATAATACAATTTTTATCTGACAATCATACCTTAATAAAGCTGGGGTAGAGGACAATAACTGAAGGCATTAATAAATGCTACTAACAATATCTTTAGGAGCTCGTATTATTAGCTGGGCAGTGTTTATGGCTCTCAATGGAAATCATATCTGAGAATAGTAATGGCTGGGGGAAAGAGACTCAGAAAATGCAAGAAAAGGACTTGAACTCTGGGCCTCTAGAGGAGTCGTATACCCTGACATTACCCAAAACGAAGGAGAAATGGAAGGAGAGTAGGAGAAATGGAGAATGAGGGTGGTGGAGTTCCCTTTCTCAGATAATAATCGTGAAAATAAGGTCTAAGCTTCTGGGGCTCAGTGAAGTCCAGGATCTGTGGAGTCATATTGGCTGCAGGGTACATATATGCAGACAGATAAGACAGCTCATAGAGACCCTATAGCCCTTAATGGGGGAGACTAGCAACAAAACATTTCTCCTTCTCTAAAGACCAAGATGTAGTTCAGCAGCAACTTGCAAGGATTGATAAACAAGAACCAGATAGATAATGTCCATCTCAGTACACTCCTGAATGAATTGGTCAAAACAACTGAGGCCAGATGTAAAAACCTCAGATCTCCTTCACGCCACTCACTTGATAGTATATAAAAGGTGCTTGAAATTGGCCATAAGCTTGGAAAAAGGGATGGTGAAATCCTGAGTTGACTAAGAGCACATTTCATCGCTTTGTGCAACAGGTGCTCAAAATGGATATTAATTTCGATCATAGAAATGTCACATACAAGTTTATGTTTCTTACATGTACACATTTGTGAACTGATTGTGCTATAACTTAGCTCTTCAATTCCTGCCTTTGTGAACTGTGATTACTTTGGGACACTGTTCTTTCCACCTAACTCCTGGGTTTCACTGCTTGCCTGATGTGTCATCTTGTCTTACTGAAGGACGACCCCATCGGATTCTAGACTTCTGATGTGTGGATTAGGAACATGAATTTGGTGTGTGTGTTTGAATGTAATTCCAACTATAGGTAATTTTCTGGCTTTTGATAATCCAGTCTTCCCCCACAGCCTTTAGCAAGGCCATCCTAACCCCGAGCCTGCTCTAGACATACCCCACATTCTGATTCTATCTTATGTGTAGTAAGATGAGATCACCCTCTCCAGAATGCTGCCTTAATCGGGCTTCCTCCTGCCATACGTCCACAAAAATAAATCTTAAAAAAAAGAAAAAGTCTTCATCTTGCTAAAGATTTTGACTTATGTAACCAAGGAAAACTTTAACATCTGTATATTTTCCTTTCTATACCTTTAAAATGCAAATAATGGCTACCCCTCCATGATGCCAAAATATGCAAATATTTTTAATGTTTTGCAGTTAAATAAAAGCCAATTTCCTCCTACTTTTTTCGTCAGGACATCTTCTTAATATTAAAGCTAGTATAGGATAGGTGGACATTTTTTGACACCAGATTATCAGAAAGACACATATTTCAGATCAAAAGTATTGATTGGTTTCTCTTGGGATTGTGATAAAGCAGTGAAAAGTTTTTCTATATCAGTGGTCTGAAAAATCTGGCTTCCTGACCTCTTCATCCTAACATTCTCAATGAAAATCATACTGGGATTTGTATCCAGGTAAAACAAAGCAAAAAGCCTAACTAAAAGTGCATAGATTTCCCCTATGACAGTTCATTTTCTTCCCAATAGAGATCTCCTGGCTCTGGGAAAAGGTAAAGCATTATTGTGTCTTATATTAGTTTGGTAGAGCTTCTATAACAAAATACTACAGGCTGGGTGGCTTAAACAACAATTTATTTTCACAGAGTTCTGGAGTCAAGAAGTCCAAGATTAAGGTGTCAGCAGGTTTGTTTTCTTCTGAGGCCTCTCTCCTTGGCTTGCAGATGGCCGCCTTCTCCCATTTCCTCACATGGATTTTTCTCTGTGCACACACATTCCTAGTGTTTCCTTGTGTTCCAAATTTCCTCTTCTTATAAGGACACCAGTCACATTGAATTAGGACCCACCCTAGAAGCCTCATTTTAACTTAATCACCTCTTCCAAGGCCTTATCTTCAAATACAGTAAAATTCTAAGGTACTAGGGCTTAAGGCTTCAACATATGAATTTGAGAGGAACATAGTTTAGCCTATAATACTTGTCTTTTCTAAAATTAGACTAAGAGCAATAATCATGAAAAAACATAGTCTTTTAAGAAACAGATTCTTCTAGGGTTGATAAAGTATTTTAGGAAGCTGTACAGAATTGTTTAGATTAATGATTTCCTATAGAATACACAGAAACATTATTTCATGTTATCTAAACTATAAGAGTCTGTGCAGCCTCCTAAGAACTCTTAGAACCACAGAATGCTTTGTATCTTGGGAACATCTGTATCATTTAAAATCATGTTTACTTTGATCATTCTGTTATAGAATCCAGTATGCACTTTATAATATAAACTCTCCTTAGACTTCTTTTGTTTCTCAAGCTAATTTTATATCCTTTCATTCACTTTTGCCCTGGGATCCAATTCCTAGGAGTGAAAACTACTTATTTTAAAATGTGTACAGTCTTCCTGGGGATTATTAAAGTTTCATTGGTAGAAAATGTATCCTTTCAGATTCTCTGCTTGCTTGTCAATTCACGATTTCTTCAAAGCCAAATTCTTGTTGCTGACCTCACTCCAATGAAGGTCTGCCTCAGGGAGAGATTCCATGTATTTAGCGAGGTCAGGACCAGACCGTGGCATCCACATTCACCTCTCTACACTTTAGAAAAATGTATTGGTGCCACAGGGCACCAGTAAAACCAAATCTTTGTTAGACAACAGATTCATTTCTGTGTGAAACCATTCACCGGAGAGTAACATTTCACTTTTTTCTCCTTCAGAAATTTTTTTCTCAATGCTTCTGATAGAAAATCAGCTAAATCATTATTTTTAAAATTCTTACTGCCCCGTTCCGTGTTTCATGCTATTAAATTATTGTAATTACTTCAGATTACATACTGACATTGCACACAAAATCCATATACTGAAGGCAAAGTTGTTTAAAACACAAATAGATAAAAGATTTACCAGGCATCTGACTTCCCACATAGTGAATGGAAACTTTGCTTTGTAATTCTCGGAAGCCCCTATATTTTTCATAAATGACTTAACAAATTTAATTAACTTTTTTCCTTGTTAGCCATCTGTCAGAAGAGAGGACTTTGGGGATATAACATTAATATATTTGGGCATTGAAAAACTGCTGCAAGGGAACAATACTGTACATATTTAAGGCCAGTATCCAAATATTCTGGAAAGCTGAACCACATAAATATAGAACAGCCTCACACTTTACACCAGTCACTACATAGTTGGGAAACTATGCATCAGTTAAACAAAGAAATCAAACACATAGGGCCTGCTACATTTAAATATTTAAGTGCAATATTTTAAACAAATCCTATCATTGTAGTCCACAGGATTTCCAAGGCAAAAAGTAAAGTCTGAGCTTTTTATAAAACACCTTTTTTTTTCTTGAGAGTTTGAACTTCACACAATAATGCTTTTCATTTCTGTACTTTCTCCAAATGTTTCTGACTTCTTAGAGGCTACATTGTTTTGGAAGAATAAACTGTGGATTTTCCAAAGAGACTCTCTCTCTCCCACTCAGCTGCCCTGAGGGAGTTAGAGCCTCTGTACAAAACTTATTTTAATTTCCTTCCCCAAAAATGATCAAATAAGGACTGTTTCCCCACCAACATTTCTACGGCAGGAGGCTCTGACAAGTGCAACCTGTATCACCATAAATATCTTCTTCTCTGTCCTGCTCTGGCATGTCCAAAGAAAAAGATAATTTAACACAACCAACCATGCTAGAATCAGGACTCCAACGATTACAAAGATACACAAGGTGAGTATACAATTATAAGTTGGAAAGTGGATACATTGAGTGTCTCTGGAATTCTGCCATTCACAATTGGGAAAGCTCAACAAAAGCTAAAGAATCAGAACAATCTCTTTTCATAAAATGCTCCTGCTTGTCACCAAAATAGACATTTATTGCCTGCACGATTCTCAGCATCCTGGTTCAAATAAGGATACTGCCTATTACATATTCTTTACTATTTTGGAGTTGCCATGGCAGAAAAGAGAAGAGATATTTTTGTTGATGGAATGTCTCTTAACAGAGCTCCTTATTTTGGCCTTCCTGACTTTCTGACGCAGTTTTCAGATCACTTTTAAAATACTTCCATGACTTAATTTTTAAAAATTATTTGAAGCGATCAACATTTCAGCATCCCAGAAAGAGTAAAAGATACATTATTAAGTGTGTAAATGGGCAGATAATCAGGATTTATAGATACGGAGTTCAGATGAAAAGATGGATGATCTGTCAAAATTTTAATGAGCTCTTTAACTTTCAGTTCAAACTCCCCTTGTTTTTTTCTCAGCACCTCTTTCTCTTTTCCTTTCCCTTAACCTTTGTCTTCTAGGTATTCATTACTGTATTATCATTTAAAAACAAAATTAGTGTATTAGACTGAGCTAGGTTTAAATTAGTTTACACTAATTTAAAAACAAAATTAGTGTATTAGATTGAGCTAGTATATTAGATTGAGCTAGGTTTTTAATTAGTGACTTAAAATAACAAGTTTCCCCTTTTTGCCACACACCGAATATTCTTTGTGGGTAAGTAGGGGGCTTTGCTCTATGTTACCCTCCCTCTGGGAATCAGAGTTTTCAAGTACTGTTTATCTAGAAAGGGGCTGACACACTATGGCCTGTGGACTAAATCTGGCCTGCTGCCTGATTTTATATGACCCAAGAGCTAAAACCACTTTTTAAAAAAAATAATAATATTTTGTGGCATGTGAAAATTATATGAAATTCAAATTTCAGTGTCTCAAATGAAGTATTATTGGAACATAGCCGTGCTCATTTATTAATGTATTGCCTATGGCTATTTTTGCACTGCAACGGCAGAGTTGAGTAGTTGCAACTGAGACCATAGGGCATGCAAAACCTAAAATATTTATCTTCTGGTTCTTTACAGAAGTTTGCCAGTCTTTCAGTTACAGCATGTTTAATCGCCGTGGCTGACAGTAAAAGAGAAAATGGTAAATTATGCACTGGCTCTATGGGCTTCCAGAGGAAGTGACACATAGACTTCTGCTCGCTGTTCATTGTGCAAAGCAAGTCACATGACTACACTGAATTTCAGCAAAAGTGTAGGGAAATACAATCCTACCATGTACCCAGAAAAAAGCAAAAAAAAAAAAAAATTGATAGCACTGATAACTATTAGAAAATCTTAATTATAGTACAAGATAAATACAATTTCTATTTTATAAATAATCTATTATTTTTTCCAGAAAAGATGGCAAATTAACAAAGCTACCACCCCTAAAACCAAACTCTGACGATGTCACAGAAATGACATAGAAATTAAGGAATCCCAGAACTTTGCACCAAAAGGTTAAGAAGCTCTTAGGGAGAGAAGTTGAGGTCAAAGCCTGGTATAACTGGGGGAAGGATATTGAGAGTAAAATGGAAACCTAATGTAGAAGAAGACTGAAAAGCAGTAACAGGGGAAGGCTGGCAGATAACTTGGTAATGATGCCCACTTATTTTCACAACACTACCCTAGGATGTCATTGCTCATCTCTTTGCAACAGTCAAACAAAGCCAGCCTAGAATCAACAGGGAGATACTAACATCAAAGTAGCACAGGAGCTCAGGAAGAGTTAGGATGAAAAACTACAAGAACAGGCAGGCTGGAAAAGAATGCTGAAAAAAAATGATAATTTTAGTAGATTAGTTTTTAAAAATTAGTAGACTTCTTTAAAAAAGGGTTGTTTTTTGTTTGTTTGTTTGTTTTGTTTTGTTGTTTTGCGTTCTTTTCCAAGATGGCAGAATAGAGGCTTTTCCAGCACACTTCACCCACTTGGAAGAAGCAAGATAGTGTATAGAGATTCATGCTTTGACGTTTTATCCAAGAAAGAACATGAAAGTTCAACAGAAAAGAGAAAGAAAGAGAGAAAGAAAGAAAGAAAGAAAGAAAGAAAGAAAGAAAGAAAGAAAGAAACAAAGAGAGAGAGAGAGAGGAAGGAAGGAAAGGAAAGGAAAGGAAAGGAAAGGAAAGGAAAGGAAAGGAAAGGAAAGGAAAGGAAAGGAAAGGAAAGGAAAGGAAAAAGGAAAGGAGCAAAATAGTGTACAGAGATTCACACTTTGAAATTTTATCCAAGAAAGAACAAGAGAGTTCAACAGAAAAGTGAAAGATACTTGGAAAGAGAAGGTAGGCAGGCACCCCACACGGCCGGGTCCAGCTGAAAACCACAAGTGAATCCCTAATACAGGAGAGCATGAGTGAGTGTCTCTCTGTGATCCATCTTCTTAGTGAGGAATTGTGCAATCCAGGTCACAGGAGAACACCAGGACACTCCCAAGCCCTGGATCTAACTTGGGGGCAGCTAGGAGACTGTGAGAAGGAATGTCTCCAGGAAGTGTCCCACACATGTTCCCAGACCTAGGCACCAATAGAAGGATGCCATTCTTGATCTTAGCTCCTAACAAGCTGTGCAGGATCCTGCAAGCTAGAAGCAGTGGTAGCCATCTTGGCATTAGAGAGACTCGAGCTGGGGATTGGAGATCTGGGGCTTTAGCAGGGAACTGGCTCCCACAGCCAGAACTGAGAAATTAGTGTAGTATGTGCACCAGCTGCTGGCACTGGAACCAGGCTCCTATCCTTCACAGGAAAGAAGCAGGAGGAGAGTTGGTCGGTCAACACAGTTTTGACTGAGCTGTGAGTTTTACAGCCTAGGGAAGCTTCGCTGACTGGAAGCGAACCTCAGTGACTAAGTAAGTGTCCCAACTTGCTGCCACAGTGGGGATGAGGTAGTTGCCTTGCTGGGTCTGGGGCATAAGAGGAGAGAAGGTCCCACTTCACCTGCTAGGCTATGGCACTATGGCCACTCTTTCTTCCCCAAACTGAGACCTCAGCACAGCAACAGCCACTATGCTCCTCACCCAAGCATTTCTCCAGGCCACTGAGGACTGCCCCCTAACCCTGTCAGGGCTAGTGCTTATGCCCAATATTGGGGAGCCCAAGTTCAGGCCCTGTTCCAATTCCATCTAGCTTTGCCCAATCTCCCAAGACAGAGCACAGGACCCAGATCATTGAGCATCCCACAGCCCAACCCATCACCTGAGACACCTGAGAATTACACATGTTAATAGAGGTCAAGAATAAATCCTATTGCCACCACTGCAGCAGGCTCTTACCTGAAAGCATCATCTACTGGCCAGGAGGTTGACCCACATAGCTCATTACAATATCTGCTGATACATGTACACAATGCCCAAGAATAAAATGATGCTCTTGCAACCTATGCTACCACTATTGCCCATAAACCCTGGCCACTCTCAGGAGGTCATAAGCCTGCTCACTCATCCAGTATACCACTACTACAACTGATGTTTGAGAAAACACCAAGACTGTTTATAACCTAGGAAGTCATACAGAGTCTTCACATTGAGCACACCCAGAGGCAAAGTCAAATGGTCCTAGCAAACTTACTTTATACTCATACCCTTAAGACAAAAAATAAAGTCTTGCCCCAAAGAAAGTAAATTCAAAAACAAGAAGCTATTATTTCTCCAGTCGTGCTGAAAGCAGAATAATAATATGGAAAGCATGAAAAAGCAAGGTATTATGACACCACCCCCCTCCAACCCAAGGAACACAGTAATTCTGTAGCAATGGATCCTAACAAAAAAGAAATCCTCAAACTGCCAGATTAAAAAACTCAAAATAGTGAATTTTTTAAAAGCTTGAAAACCAATAGAAAGAAATCAGAAAATCAATTCAGGATATAAACCAAAGATTTATCAATGATATATATTATCTTTAGAAAGAAACTGAAGAGAAGTTCTAGAAATAAAAAAAATCATATAAGGAATTACAAAATACCTTTGAAAACTTCAAGAATAGACTAGACCAGGCAGAAGAAGGAATCTAAGGAAGTCAAGATGAAAAAAAAGAATTCTAAAATCAACAAGAGAAAAGTGTCATCAACTATAAAAGGAACCCATCAGACTAACAATGGACTTCTCAGCAGAAGTCCTACAAGCCAGAAGAGAATGGGAAGGGATTTTCAAATTGCTGAAAGAAGAAAACTGCCAATCACAAATTTTATATCCAGCAAGATTAAATGAAGGAGAAATAAAGTCTTTCCCAGACAAGCAAATGATGAAGAAATTTGTCACCACTAAACCAGCCCTACAAGAAATTCTCAAAAGTATCCTAAACATGGAAACAAAAGGTCTACATTCACCATCATAAAAACATACAAAAGTATAAAACTCACTGTCATATAAAACAATTACACAGTGGAGAAATAGATAGGAATCAAATGTCAACAAACCAGAATTCCACCAAACCACAAAGACAGGCAGAGAAAAAGATAGAAACAAGTGATTTATAAAACAAGTAGATAACAATTAACAATATGTCAAAAACAGAACTTCATATAACAATATTAACCTTGAACATAAATGAATTAAATATTCCACTTAAAAGATACACATTGGCAGAACAGATAAAAAAGAAACATGATCCAACTATATGCTGCTTACAAGAAACTCACCTTATTAGTAAACACATTTAGACTGAATTAAAGGGTTGGAAAAAGATATTCCATGCAACAGAAACCAAAAGCAAGTAGGAATAATTATACTTACATTAACAACGACAACAACGAAACAGACTTTAAATCAAAAACAGTAAAAAACAGACAAAAAAAGTATTTTATATAATGACAAAAGGGTCAATTCAACAAGAGGATATAACAACCCTAAATATATATGTACCCAACAAGTGGAGCACCCAGATTCATGAAACAAATATTACTAGACCTAAAGAAAGAAATAGACAGCAATACAATAATAGGGGGAAATCTCACCATCCAACTCACAGCACCAGATGGATCATTGAGACAGAAAATCAACAAAGAAACATTGGACTTAAATTGGACTTTACACTAAATGAACTTAGCAGACACATATGGAACATTCTACCAACAACTGCAGAATATACCTTCTACTCATCAGCACAGAGAATATTTGCCAGAACAGACCATACGTTAGGCCACAAAACAAGTCTCAAAAAATTTTTCAAAATCAAAATCACATCAAGTATCTTCTCAGATTACAGTGGAATAAACCTAAAAATCAATACCAAGGAGAACCTCAGAAACTATACAAAAACATGGAAATTAAACAGCATGCCCCTAAACACTTATGGGTCAATGATGAAATTAAAACAGAAATTTAAAAATTTGTTCAAATGAATGAAAATAGAAACACAACATACCAAAACCTCTGGGATACAGTAAAAACAGTGCTAACAGAGAAGTTTACAGCATTAAATGCCTACATCAAAAATTAGAAATATCACAAATTAACAACCTAATGTCTCACCTCAAGCAAGTAGAAAAACAAGAACAAACCAAACCCAAGGCTAGCAGAAGAAAAAAACAAAGATCAGAGCAAAACTAAATCAAACAGAGATTCCAAAACCAAAAACAAAAACAAGGTATCAACAAAATGAAAAGTTTGTTTCTGAAAAGAGAAACAAAATTGATAATTGCTAGCTAGATTAAACAAAAAAAAGAGAAGATTCAAATAAAAACAATCAGAAATGGAAAAGGAGACATTATAATTGATACCACAGAAATACAAAAGATCATCAGAGACTATTACAAACAACTATATGCTCACAAACTAGAAAACTTAGAGCAAACGGATAAATGTCTAGAAGAAATGTACAACCTCCCAAGATTGAACTAGGAAGAAATATGAATTCTAAACAGACCAATAATGAGTAGTGAGATTGAATCTGCAATTTTAAAAAGTCTCCTGACCAGGCACAGTGGCTTACACCTATAATCCCAGAGCTTTGGAGGCCAAGGTGGGCAGATTGCTTTAACTCAGACATTCAAGACTAGGCTGGGCTGCATGGTGAAACCCCATCTCTACAAAAAATACAAAAATTAGCCAGGCATGCTGACATGCCCCTATAGTCTGAGCTACTTGGGGGGCTGAGGAAGGAGGATCGCTTGAGCCCAGGAGGTCAAGGCTGCAGTGAGCCATGATTGTGCCACTGCCCTCTAGCCTGGGCAACAGACAGAGACCCTGTCTCAAAGTAAGTAAGTAAATAAATAAATAGTCTTCTAACAATGACAACAAAAATCTCAGGACCAGATTCACAGCCAAATTATACCAAATGTACAAAGAAGAACTGGGACTAATCCTTCTGTAACTATTTCAAAAACTCAAGAAGGAAAAAATTTATCCTAACGTATTCTACAAAACCAGTATCACCCTGATACCAAAATCAGACAAAGACACAATAAAAAAAGGAAAACTACAGACCAATATCCCTGATAAACACGGAGGCAAAAATCCTCAACAAAATACTAGTAAACTGAATCTGACACCACATTAAAAACATTATATGGCCAAGTGTGGTGGCTCACACCTGTAATCCCAGCACTTCGGGAGGCCAAGGCAGGGGATCACTTGAGTCCAGGAGTTTGAGACCAGTCTGGGCCATGTAGGGAAACCCCATCTCTATAAAAAATAGAAAAATTAGCCAGGTGTGGTGGTGCATGCCTGTAGTCCCAGCTACTCGGGAGGTGGAGGTGGGAAGATCATTTAAGCCTAAGAGATGGAGGTTGTAGTGAGCCAAGATTGTGCCACTGCATTCTAGCCTGTGTGACAGACCAAGACCCTGCCTCAATCAATAAGATAATACACCATGATCAAGTAGGATGCAAGGATGGTTTAATACATACAAATCAATAAATGTAAACCATCACTTAAATAGAATTAAGGACAAAAACCATATGATCATCTCAAAGATACGGAAACAAAGATACAGAATCAACCTAAATGTCCATCAAAGGAGGACTAGAAAAAGAAAATATGGTGTATACATATACACTATGCAATACTATTCAGCCGTCTTTTAAAAAAGAATAAAATCATATCTTTTGCAACAACATGAATGCAACTGGAGGCCATTATTTTAAGTGAAACAACTCAGAAACAGAAAAATACCACATATTCACAGTTATAAGTGGAAGCTAAATAATGTGTACACACAGACATAAAGTGTGGAATGATAGATAGATATTGGAGGCTCAAGAGTGTAAGATGCTGGGAGGGAGGTGGATGATGAGAAATTACTTAATGGATACTATACACATTATTCAGGTTATGGATACACTAAAAGCTCAGACTTCACCACTTCACTATTTGTCCATGTAACAAAATTGCACTTGTACTCCTTAAATTTATGCAAATTAAAAATAAAAAGTGTGTAAAGGATTTGATAAATTTAACACATGTGCAGAAAAGGCTAAGAACACCAGGAATAGAACCTCATTACTTTGACAAAGACACAAAGGCTATCTACAAAATAACTAAAACAAACATTTCAATTAATAGTGAAAATTTATATATGTTTTTTGGGATCCAGAACAAGACAAGGAACAGTGCTGTCACTGCTAGTATTCAATATAATACAGATAGTCCCCTTCTTGCAATGTTTGACTTATAATTTTTTTGACCTTATGATGGTGTGAAAGTAATATTTATTCCATAGAAACCATACTTCAAGTACCACACCATTCTATTTTTCATTTTAATTACAGTATTCAATAAAATACATGAGCTATTCAACACATTATTATAAAACAGGCTTTGTGATAGGTGATTTTTGCCCAACTGTAGACTAATTAAGTGTTCTGAGCATGTTTAAGGTAGGCTAGGCAAGCTATTATGCTCAGTAGGTCAGGTGTATTAAATGCATTTTCAACTTACAATGGGTTTATTGAGATGTAACCCCATCATAAGTCAAGAAGCATCTGTATTGACATTCCTACGTGCAAATTAAGACAAGAAGAAATCGAAATGAAGACTATAAAAGAAGGAAGAGATTGTTAGAATGAATTAAAAAGCAACATCCAGCTATATGCTGCCTACAAAAGACAACCTGAAATCTATATACCCAGGATGAAAGCAATTGGATAGAAAAAGATATGCCATGTATCTAGTAAGCATAAGAAGACTAAAAGGTCATATTAATATCTGTTTGAATAGACTTCAAGATAAAGACCATTACCAGAAATAGAGATCATAATTATTAAAAGCTCAATTTGTCAGTAATACATTATAATCATAAATGTACGTGGACCTAATAACAGAGTTTCAAAATTCATGATACAAAAATTGACAAAATTGAGTGGAAATGTAAACAAACCATAATTGGAGATTTTAACAATCCTCTCTCAGCAATTGCTATAACAATTACATGAACTCAGCAAAAATGTAGAATTGAAAAACAGTATCAACCTACATGACGTGAAGATATTTATAGAACGCTACACCCAGAAAGAGCAGAAAACACGATCTTTTCAAGAGCACATGGAATATCGACTAAGATAGAGCATATTGCGGGCTCTTAAAACAAGTATTAATAAATATCAAATAAACATAAAGGATTGAAATCCAGACCTGAGTTTGTTCTCTGATCATAATGGAAGTAATTTATCATTTGATAAATTACAATAAAATATTTAAAATACCTACAATATTCAGAAATTAAATAGCATACATTTAAATAACTTATGTGTCAAAGGAGAAATCACAAGGGAAATTAGAAAACATCTCAAAAATAATGACAATTATAATACATCTCAAAAGTAGAATTTTAAGCTGAACATCTAGGAAAATATATCAAAATTTATACTTAGAGGAAAATTTACAGCTTTAAACTCTTATATTAAAAAATAAAGTATAAAATCACCTTAGGAAACTATGAAAAGAAGTGCAAAAGAAAAGCCAAAAAAGTAAAAGAAGAAAATAATAGATGAGATCAATGAAATAGAAAACAATAGAGAAAATTAATAAAGCCTGAAATGAATTATTTGTAAAGACTGACAAATTGATAAACTCATAGTTAGACTCATCAGGAATTACAGAAAAATGACACAAATTATAAATATTAGAAAATAAAACAAGTAAATCACTACAAATTCTATAGATATTAAAAGAATAATAAGAAATGTTATGAGCAATTTTATGCCAATAAATTGAATAAATGAGATGGGCAAATCTCTTTTAAAATACATCTTAGCAATACCGACACAAGATGAAATAATAAATCTGAATAATCTTATATCTATTGAAGAAATTAAATTCATTTCAATAAACCATCCCACAAAGAAAGCCTCAGCTTTACTAGTGAATTCTACCAAATATATAAAAATGAAGAAAAAAAAAAAGAAAACCTTGCAGAATCTCGAAATCGTTGAGATCAGGTAATGCATTGGAGGCGGGGTCGGGTGGGGAAGCCTGCAGGTTGCATATGTAACAAGTCTTTCTCAAGAACCTAAAATATAAGTAATTTGGCCCAAACACCTCATGCCAGAGAGCCGCACAGGGCTAGCAGATATGAAGTGAATGTGGAGAAGAGAAATTGAAATTCTGAAGTGTACTGAGATCCATGGAATATTGAAATTGCTAAAATAGGCTTCCCCAAAAGGAAAGAACACTGCATGGAATGGGACATGGGTGAGAAATTCTGAAAACAACCTGTTAAACTGGAATATGTCCTCACAGCCTGCATAGAAGGCAATGTCAAAGCGACACACTGGTAAAATCTGCAACTTATATTGTAGGACATGTCAGAATTCAAGAGTTAGATATTAGTACTAGTAAAAATAAAAAGAAAGACATCCCAGAATGTCTGGCAAACTTTCAGGTGGAGTCACTGCACTGAAGTTTGGTGGGACAGGTAACGTAGAAGAATTTTTTAAAAGACAGTTACAGATTCCTAAATGCTGTGAAAACTGCTCTTAAAGAGCAGAATAGAAGGAAGGACTAACCTTTTTAAATGCAGCTAACTCCTCCTGTTTCACACCTAGTAGAACAGAGAGGCTGGCCTGATCCGGCTGGACACTGGGCTTGGCTGTGTGCAGTTCCCGAGAACTGAGAGTTTTGTTTTGGTGCATTCCAGATTAGGATTCGCTAACTCCAATTGATGAAAATTTAAAAATTCATATAGAAAT
Organism: Homo sapiens; assembly: GCF_000001405.40. Taxonomy (NCBI): domain Eukaryota; kingdom Metazoa; phylum Chordata; class Mammalia; order Primates; family Hominidae; genus Homo; species Homo sapiens. Next base: position 80,006,896 of record NC_000012.12, on the reverse strand, counting down.
AATTAATAGAAATGCATAATTATTACAAAGAATGTTGCTAAGAATGTAAGTGTTGAAATGTAATTAATAATTAAGAAAATGTGCAAAGTTTCCCAGAAGTCCATTATAATGCTGTGGTTGAGGATTCTATGAATATGGTTAAAAAAAAAAAGAATCATTGACATCGGGTGTGGTTGTGGGTGCCTGTAATCCCAGCTACTTTGCAGGCTGAGGCAAAAGCATCACTTGAGCTCCGGGAGGTAGAGGTTGCAGTGAACCGGGATTGCACCACTGCACTCTAGCCTGGGCGACAGAGTGAGACTCATCTCAAAATAAATAAATAAATAAGAATAATTAAGCCAATTATGATCGTAAGAACAGCTCCGACTGATATTGCTGGTGTGGCTTCTTTGTTATCCACAGCAGAATTTGCAATCACTGTAATTTCTAAAGAAAACAAAAAATTTGCCATGGACAGAATGGGTGTATGAGTGAAGAGGGTATGGGAGGTGGCCTTTTCAATTCTGAAAATATGCTTTATCACAATTAAAGAACTATGATGGGAAAACAACACTCTTCTCCAATAACTTCCAAGAAGTCAGTTGAACATAATGAAAAAAAGGGCTAGCTGATGTTTAAGAAAAATCACTGTATTCATCAGTTATCAGCTTCAGTTGGGAATATATGTAATAGCTGACTACTGTCTTTCTCCATCCCTAGAAATAATTTATTTTGTGTTTTCTAATAAAGAGATATTTGTGCACTTCATATTACTGAGTGCAGGAGACATGTACAATATTTTGCTTTAAATGAAATCAGTTATGACAATTTTATTATTATTCTGATAAAATAAATTTTTTAATGCTTGCCACCACTAGATGAGAAGTTCAAAAGCAGCCTTTCTATAGAAAGTAAAATTGACTATGTAAAATTATATGACAACTTCATTTAATAATTTTTTATTGTAAAAATACATTTTTCCTATTTCTCTTCATAAAAAAGTCTTAGAAGCAATATCATCCTAGTACTTGGCCTCTAGACTATTATTATTTTTCACCAAAAAGAACCAGAACACCTTCCAAAAGTGGTTGGTCCCACATCTGAGGCAGGAAAAGTGCAATATGGATATGGGATATCATGATATGCCAGAAAGCAAAAATGTTATCAAAGGGTAATCAGACCATGTCCCAGGGACACAGAGCATGCTTGAAGTTCCCACTAACCAAAGATGAGACAATTTAAGCATCAAAAAAATAAAGATGCAATTTAGTAAAACACAGGAACATAGAAGAATTAATAATGAGTTAATCAGTTTAAAAAGGGTGGCAGATGGAGCTCCAAACAAAACTCATTAAATACCACAGAAAGTTGCTAGGGCAATAAATAATTACCCTGTAAATTAATAGTAAAATAAAAAGAATTAAGCACTTGTCCTTCCTTTCTTGTATAAACTGTATTTCAGGGTAACCAAATATCCTTGATATATGAGAAAGGTCATTCTAGTCATCAAACATACCAGCTAATAAATGCAAATGAAATGATAAAATTAAAAAATTTCCATTTGCAAACCCTTGTCAACCTAAATCATAAACAGAGAGAGAGAGAGAAACTCTAAAAGAAAATTATGTTTATTTGGGAAAAGGCATTGCAATGGGAATACAATGGATAATAAACTAATGTGCATATTCCGAGGATAAAAGAAGACGAAGTTTCTTTAAAAAATTATGAAGATTACATAATCATTTTGGGATAATTATCCTTGGTTACAAAGATTAACAAGGATGATGCCAGTTCAAAGTTGGATAGACAGTGACTGGGCAGATGTCCTCACAGAAATATTTTTTGTGTGTACAGTTGCAATGACCTTTGTGCAAGATCATGATTTTTGCAGTTTTTTTTTATAGTTCTTGTTATCAGGCGTTTGTGCATAAGAGCCCTCCACTGATGGCCTTCTGATATAGTTTGGCTCTGTGCCCCAACTCAAATACCATCTCAAATTGTAATCCTCACATGTCAAGGGAGGGGCCTGGTGGGAGGTGATTGGATCATGGGGGCAGTTTCCCCCATGTTGTTCTCATGATAGCAAGTAAGTTCTCATGAGATTTGGTGGTTTAAAAGTGTGTAGCAGTTCCCCTACCCCTTTCTCCCCTGCCACCTTGTGAAGAAGGTGCTTGCTTCTCCTTTGCTTTCTGCCGTGATTGTAAGTTTCCTGAGGCCTCCCTAGCCGTGCAGAACTGTGACTCAATTAAACCTCTTTTTTTCATAAATTACCCAGTCTCAGATAGTTCTTTATAACAGTGTGAAAATGGGCTAAAAGAGAACTGGTACCAGAAGTGTGTACTACTATAAAGATACCTAAAAATGTGGAAACAACTTTGGAACTGGGTAACGGGCAGAGGTTGGAACAGTTTGGAGGGCTCCGAAGAAGACAGGAAATTGTGGGTAAGTTTGGAACTTCCTAGAGATTTGTTGAATGGTTTTGACCAAACTACTGATATGGGCAATGAAGTCCAGGCTGAGGTGGTCTCAGATGGAGATGAGGAACTTATTGGGAACTGGAGCAAAGGTCACACTTGCTATGCTTTAGCAAACAGACAAGGCATTTTGCCCCTGCCCTAGAGATCTGTGGAACTTTGAACTTGAGAGAGATGATTTTAGGGTATGGCAGAAGAAATTTCTAAACAGCAAAGCATTCAAGATGTGACCTGGTTTTTCCTGAAAGTGTACAGTTATATGTGCTCATAAAGAGATGGTTTGAAATTGAAACTTACGTTTAAAAGGGAAGCAGAGCATAAAGGTTTGGAAAATTTGAAGCCTGTCCATGTGATATAATAGAAAAACCCATTTTCTGAGGAGGAATTCAAGCCAGCTGCAGAAATTTACATAAGTAACAAGGAGCTGAATGTTAATAGCCAAGACAATGGGGAAAATATCTCTAAGGCATGTCAGAGACCTTCATAGCAGCCCTTCCCATCACAGGCCTGGAGGCCTAGAGTGGGAAATATGGCTTCATGGGTCAGACCCAGGGCCCCACTGCTCTATGAAGCTTTGGGACTTGGTGCCCTGCCTCCCAGCCATGCCAGCTCCAGCCATGGCTAAAAAGGGCTAGGGTACAGCTAGGGCCATTGCTTCAGAGGGTGCAAGCCCCAAGCCTCTGTGGCTTACACATGGTGTTGGGCCTGTGGGTGTGCAAAAGGCAAGAGGTGAGCTTTGGGAGCTTCTGCCTAGATTTCAGAGGAAGTATAAAAACTCCTGGATGCTCAGGCAGAAATCTGCTGCAAGGGTGGAACCCTCATGGAGAACCTCTGCTAGGGCAGTGCAGAAGGGAAATGTGGGGTTGGAGCCCTCACACAGGGTCCCCACTGGGGCACTGCCTAGTGGAGCCTAGTGGCCACCATCCTCCAGACCCCAGAATATCCACTGACAGCTTGCACTGTGCACTTAGAAAAGTTGCAGGCACTCAGTGCCAGCCTGTGAAAGCAGCCACAGGGGCTGTACCCTGCAGAGCAACAGGCGCGGAGCTGCACAAGGCCCTCGGAGCCCACCCCTTGCATCAGCATGCTCTGGATGTGAGACATTGAGTCAAAGGAGATCATTTTAGAGCTTTAAGATTTAAGGACTGCCCTGCTGGGTTTTGGACTTGCATAGGGTCTGTGGCCCCCTTGTTTTGGCACATTTCTCCTTATTTGGAATGGGAACATTTACCCAATTCCTGTACCCCCACTGTATCTTGGAAGTAACTAACTTGCTTTTGAGTTTACAGGCTCATAGGGAGAAGAGACTTGCCTTGTCTCAGATGAGACTTTGGATTTGGACTTTTTTTTTTTTCTTTTGAGACGGAGTCTTGCTCTGTCGCCCAGGCTGGAGTGCAGTGGCGTGATCTCTGCTCGCTGCAAGCTCCGCCTCCTGGGTTCACGCCATTCTCCTGCCTCAGCCTCCCGAGTAGCTGGGACTACAGGCACCCACCACCATGCCCGGCTGATTTTTTGTATTTTTAGTAGAGACAGGATTTCACCATGTTAGCCAGGATGGTTTCCATCTCCTGACCTCGTGATCCGCCCGCCTTGGCCTCCCAAAGTGCTGGGATTACAGGTGTGAGCCACTGTGCCTAGCTGGATTTGGACTTTTAAGTTAATGCTGAAATGAGTTATGGCTTTTCCAAAGTCATGCATGATTGCATGTTTGGTTTTTTTGTTTTTTTTTTTTGAAACGGACTCTCGCACTGTCGCCCACAGACTCTCGCACTGTCGCCCAGGCTGCAGTGCAGTGGTGCGATCTTGGCTCACTGCAAGCTCCGCCTCCCGGGTTCTCGCCATTCTCCTGCCTCAGCCTCCCAAGTAGCTGGGACTACAGGCACCGGCCACCACGCCCGGCTAAATTTTTTTTGTATTTTTTAGTAGAGACGGGGTTTCACCACGTTAGCCAGGATGGTCTCAATCTCCTGACCTCGTGATCCGCCCGCCTCGACCTCCCAAAGTGCTGGGATTACAGGCTTGAGCCACTGCGCCCAGCCACATGATTGGTTTTGAAATGTGAAAAGGACATGAGATTTGGGAGTTGAGAGGGGTGGAATGATATGGTTTGGCTCTGTGTCCCCACCCAAATCTCATCTCACATTTGAATTGTCATTCCCATATTTTGAAGAAGGGACCTGGTGGTAGGTGATTAGATCATGGAGGTGGTTTCCATCATACTATTCTTGTGATAGTGAGATAGTTCTCACGAGATCTGATGGTTTAAAAGTGGCAGTTTCCCTTGAGCTCTCTCTTTCTCTCTTCTCACCTTGTGATGAAGGTACTTGTTTTCCCTTCACCTTGTGCCATTATTGTAAGTTTCCTGAGGCCTCCCCAGCCATGTGGAACTGTGAGTCAATTTAACCTCTTTTGTTTATAAATTACCCAGTCTCAGATAGTATCTTTATAGCAGTGTGAAAATGAATACACCATAATAATTGCAGTGTATTAGTTGGCTTGAAGGACACACATATGCACACACATACATACATACATACATACATACAACCACCACCATTCCTTGGGCTGCTCAAAGGTGCTATTAAATACCAGTAGACTTATGCTCTGTGCATCTGCCCCAACTCCATTTTCAGGGAGGCAGATTGCCAAAACCAGAGAAGAGTGCCCTGCCCACATTCCACACCTTTGTTTTCATTCTGTAACCAGAGATAGAACCAGCTACCTGTAGAATCCCTGCATACCTCAGTTAGAGATTTAATACCTGCTTCCCCTCCCCATCCCAAATTCCCATTGACTCTGGAAAAAGTCCTTCTTGGCTTTACATCTTGCACACCCACACTTAGAAAGTATACTTCTAGCTTAGCACCGGGTGCAGGCCACCAAATGAAAGGACACTACCAGCTGAAGTCTCTGATTCTTACCATTTGCATTTTTTTTTAGACAGGGTGTTGCTCTGTCACTTAGGCTGGAGTGCAGTGGCGCAATCACAGCTCATTGCAGCCTTAACCTCTCTGGGCTTAGGTGATACTCCCACCTCAGCTTCCAGAGTAGCTGGGAATACAGTTGTGCACCACTGTGCCTGGCTAATTTTTGTATTTTTTGTAAAGATGGGGTTTCATTAAGTTGTCCAGACTAGTCTCGAACTCCTGGGTTCAAGGCAACTGCCCACTTTGGCCTCCCAAAGTGCTGGAATTGCAGCTTGGGCCACCACACCTGACTAACATTTGCATGATGTTTTTGTCTATTTTTCAAAAATGATATTTTTGCCTATTTTTTTCTCTTTTCTTAATAGTTTTTGTGAGAAGAGATGCTTTCCTATTAACATGCACTTTGCTTTACTGTTAGCACCTACTGATTGCTTTCTTTAGGCACATCAATGTCTGGAAAGAAATAGATCCATAAGGAATCTTGTTTGGCAAGTTGAACAAGTTAGTTGAGCTTCCGTTTCTATATCTGCAAAAGGGGAAGAGATTTTTACCTCATAGGGTACTGTGGGAATTATAAAGTGAATATGAAATCACTTTGTACACTAAAAGCATCATAAATATATAAATTCAGGTAATAAAATTCTAATTGGATCAGCAATTCAAAGTCTCCTAGTTGGGCATCCTGATTTTGCTAGGTTTCATTTATTACAACTAATATAAACCACATCAAACTAGCTTAAGATAAATGGAGAAATGTTATATAAGAATGCCATGGTGTCTTTAAAAAAAAATGAGCAGAAAAACAGCAGCGCTATGAAAGAGGGCCTTTAGCGGGCCCCAATCTTTCCTGTCCCTATCTACGCCCTTCTCGATGACTCAAGGAGCTGACGCATTTATGAAATTGTGTCCTTCCAGAGTCTACATAGTCCCTTCTACAACATGATGTGGGTACTTGAGGCCCCAGAATTTTCAGGAAGAAAATACCTGAGTTTATTCCCAAGGCCTGCACTAGCCTCTTCCCTGGGTCTGTCTTCCCAAGAGCAGACTGTTCCATCAGTGTGCCCCTCTGGTCCCAAAGCATAGTCAAGGGGCAACTGTATGGGGGGATTGTGGATGGTGCTTGGATAGGATCCTGAGGTGTCCATGTACATGCAGTGTGTGGCCCTTAGTGGTACTTGATGGAAAAGGGAAAAGACCACGTGGCATCTCTCCCCCAAAAGTCACTTTCCATTGTAAAATTCCAAGGGGTCACAGAGTTTCAAATGTTCAAACCTCACCTCCTACGTAGTTATAAAATCTATTTGTCAAGATATAAAGATAGAAAAGATCTTATTTTGAATTGGGTGTGGTGGTTCACGCCTGTAATCCCAGCACTTTGGAAGGCCAAAGGGGTGGATCACCTGAGATAAGGCGTTCAAGACCAGCCTGACCAACATGGTGAAACCATCTCCACAAAAAATACAAAAATTAGCTGGGCATGGTAGCAGGTGCTTGAAGTCCCAGCTACTCAGGAGGCTGAGGCACGAGAATGACTCGAACCCAGGAAGCAGAGGTTGCAGTGAACCGAGATCATGCCACTGCACTCCAGATCATGCCACTGCACTCCAGCCTGGGCGACAGAGTGAGTGAGACCCCGTCTTAAAAAAAAAAAAAAAACTTATTTGTAGTTTGTTTTCTTAATTTATGGCCTTTCAAATATTTAAACACAGTTATGAGAGCCACCATTTGTACTCTTGCTCCTGGTTCGATTAATGTTAGGGATCAGACATCTTTTCTTTTGCAAAGGCAAGCTATGTCCTCAGCTCCAAGATAATAAGCAAAAGGCTCAGTCACAGGTAGAGAACAAATTCCAGTCTCTCAGCCCTGCTGCTAAATTCCTGAAAGAGAATCAGATTGGCTCAGCTTAGGTTGAGAAGGGGAGGAAAGCTCCAATCCTGGGTCCAATCAACTTAGTACTTTGGAAGTGGGTCTTTTCATAGAAATAAGACTATTAGGAGAGGGAGACATTCCTGCTGTAGAATGAGCAGTTCCCAGAGAAATATGGCAGGATAAGAGTCCCTACTGAATATTCAACTCCACAGGTAAAGTAAATGCAAGACTTATTTCTCTTATTTCCATGGGGAAAATTGGTAAAACATAAAAAATCAATATATTCCAGTTAGAAGACAAATTATAACATGCTTTGTTAGTCTTTTATAGTTGGCTTTAACAGGAACAATAAGTACAAACTATAGTGGAGAGGAAATTTCTTCTGCTAAAGAGAAATTAAAGTTTTATTAATATAACACTCAATCCTTATCTTCATATATTTTAAGAATTGATCGGTGTGCTAATACAGGTCTAATAATTTTTTCCTTATTAGAAAATCAAGCTACAGTGTTAATAAAACATTCCATTGACTTGTTCTTCCAAATCTCCACTGTTTAAAAAAAAAAAAAGTAACAAACCTAATAAGGTATACAATGTTCTGTTATAAAACACTTGCCAAGCCTTCTAGCTATAGCAGAATGAATGCAGTTCATAATTGAGAACTCTAACAGTCCTATTTGAAAAATACAAAGATCTGGAAACTAGTATTTGCTTTGGATACAAGAAAAACATGTAGAGTAACACTGTTTCAGCAAGATTATCTCCAAGTGACAGTATCAAATATGGAAGGACTGAGAAAGTTATATTTTCAACTTTTCTGAAAAGGAAAGCCTCATAAAAAGAAGAAAGGCGCACATTGTTGCCATTTCCATGTATGTTTCTTCACCTCAAATAACCTACTGTTACTGTTTATACTTAAACTGAAAGGCCCATCTATTATGCCCAAGTCTGAAGCTTAACCTCCTCTATACTTCATGCAGACAAAACTTCTGCTGATCTCATTTGGCTCCCTAGACAATATACAACCATCCAGGAGTCATCCACAATTCCAAACAAAGGATTATTTGCTCAGGAGCAAACCAAGGGGCCATAATTCCACATCTACAAGGGGCTTATGGGGAGTAATTTAGGTGTAATGGGGAATAGAAATTAGCCGGGTGTGATGGCATGTGCCTGTAGTTCCAGCTATTGGGGAGGCTGAGGCAGGATAATCGCTTGAACCCAGGAGGTGGAGGTTGCAGTGAGCCGAGATTGCACCACTGCACTCCAGCTTGGGCAACAGAGTGAGACTCCGTCTCAAAAAAAAGAAAAAAGAAAGAAAAAAGAAAAAGAAAGAAATGTGCTCTTAAAACATTTTTGCTTGGAATATACAATTAAAGAACATTTAGATACTATGAAGTCCCTCAAACGTTTTAAAGTCTAAATATAAAAATGTTCTCATAAGTCTAACCACTAGTAGCAAAAGAGGCAATTCCAACATATTGTATATATTGATATTTTAAAAATATTATATTACTTAAAGAATGTAAATAATATGGTGATTTAACACTACCATCATTCATTTTTCTAAATGTCAATAAGTTGCTCTTTAATAGTCCCTTTTGCTCCTTGAATTCATGTTTCCTTTTCACTCCCTCACAGAATTGTACGTTAATATATTTTTGTGCTTACACCCTCACATTGATCACCTTCATCATATTTCTTTGCAATAAAACTATGTATATAAATTGAAATTATGTAAATAGGTTTTTCTCTATGATCTCAATGGTCTAAGTGTTTCATTAAAAATCATCTGGTTATTATATGTATTAGCCATAAATCATTGCAAATATCATAAAGTATTGTACATTTACAGTATTATAAGATTGGAGATGGGAGAGAGGTAGTAGACCTTTCGAAGTTTAGTGGGACAAGGGCAATTGTGAAAGGGAAGACAATAAAGAAGTACAATGGCTCTTGACCATGGGGAAATTCTCAGGCAGTTCAATTTTTGAAATAATAAACATGAAAGTTAAAGTTATATGTGTCCAAGTGCTCCCCTGGGAATAATTCTTGTAACCCAAGAATGTGCATATTTTGTTTTGAAGATCTTTGGACTGGCTGAATTTACTTAAGGCTCTATTTGAATAGTAAGAACACTCCTTTTAAATTGTTAGTCCCAGTGGAAAAATTAAAAATTGTAAAAGATGCCTTATTGAACACTTATGAGAATCTGTTTGAAAACATTATTATTTTTATTTGGACTTGCTGGGGAGAGAGCTGGTAGTAAAGAGGAACTGAAACTATCTTCCTGCCACATCTATTCCTCATAGCCACCGCTTGTCATTACTTTCATTTGTACTGCAGAAGCAATTGGTTCTTTCAACCTTCTGGGGGCCCTAAATTGCTCAATGATTAGTCTTCTCTTAGGAAAGTTGTATTCTCTTTCATCTTTGTTTGCAACTGGACTCAATCCATATCTGTTTTGAAAACTTTACTGAAAGAAGTAAAGAAGCAGCCAATACATTCCAACATCTTGAATTTTTTTTAACCTTTTCTTTTAAAGCTATGGCTTCCAAGAGCATTTGGTCTGCTTTCCAAGTTATTGTGGATGACAGCTTTCCAAATATTTTTCCACAGTATAATAAATGTGGACAGCCTTCCAGATGATATTAACTGTGTTCTTGTACCCACTGCCTGGCCACTCAGTCAGTGCCCATTTTTAGGTTACCAAAACCTGTCATTTTTAGGATACAGGTTCACTTGCTATAATAAAACCCCAAAATAACAGTGGTTTAAGCAAAATAGTTTATTTTCATGTAACAATCCAAGTTTAAGCAAAACTTGGCTGGAAGAGCAGCTCCTTGATATTGGGGCCCAGGCTTCTGTCATCTTGTTGTTCTACTGTCCTAAGTAGTTGCCCATGTCAAAAAATGTTCAACACCACATCCACATCCCAGGTAACAGGAAAGAGAAAAGATAAATTGAAGGACATATCTCTCCCTTTTAAAGACATGACCAGGGCCAGGTGTGGTGGCTCACGCCTATAATGCTAGCACTTTGGGAAGCTGAGGTGGGTGGATCACCTGGGGTCAGGAGTTCAAGACAGCCTGGCCAACATGGTGAAACCCCATCTCTACTAAAAATTACAAATATTAGCCAGGCATGGTGGCAAGCACCTGTAATCCCAGCTACTCAGGAGGCTGAGGCAGGAGAATCGCTTGAACCTGGAGGGTGGGGGCTGCAGCAAGCCGAGATGGCACCATTGCACTCTAGCCTAGGAGACAGAGCAAGATTCCATCTCAAAACAAACAAAAAAACAAACAAAAAATGACCAGAAGTTGCATACATTACTTATGTTCATATCCATTCGCAAATGTTTGATCATATAGCCACACCTACCTGCAAGGAAGGCTGAGAAATGTCATTTGGTAGGTGGCCATGTGTCCCAGCTAAAAATTTGACTGACTACATACATGGAAAGGGAGAGGGATTGTATATTGTGGGACAAATAGCTGACTCTATTTGCTACAATGTCTGTCAGACAAAGGTCTAATATCCAGATTCTACAAGGAACTTAAGCAAATTTACAAGAAGAAAACAAGCAACCCCATTGAAAAATAGGCAAATGATATGAACAGACAATTTTCAAAAGAAGACATACATGTGGCCAAGAAACATGTGAAAAAAAGCTCAACATTCCTTATTATTAGAGAAATGCAAATCGAAACCACAATGAGATACCATCTCACACAAGCCAGAATGGCAATTATTAAAAAGTCAAGAAACAACAAATGCTCGAAAAATGCGAGCTTGTGGAAGATTAGGAACGTTTTTACACTGTTGGTGGGAACGTAAATTAGTTCAACCATTGTGAAAGACAGTGTGGCAATTCCTCAAAGATTTAGAACTGGAAATACCATTTGACCCAGCAATCTCATTACTGAGTATATACCCAAAGGAATACAAATCACTCTATTTTAAAGATATATGCACACGTATGTTCCCTGCAGCACTATTCACAATAGCAAAGATGGGGAATCAACCCAAATGCCCATCAATGGTAGACTGGATAAAGAAAATGTGGCACATATACACCATGGAATACTATGCAGCCATAAAAAGGAATGAGATCATGTCCTTTGCAGGGACACAGATGAAGCTGGAAATGATCATCCTCATCAAACTAACACAAGAACAGAAAACCAAACACCGCTTGTTCTCACTTACAAGTGGGAGCTTAACAATGAGAACACATGCACACAGGGAGGGGAACAACACACACGGGGGCTAGTTGGGGGAGGGTGGGGAAGGGGAAGGAGAGCATAAGGAAAAAGAGCTAATCCATGCTGGGCTTAATACCTAGGTGATGGGTTGGTTGATAGGTGCAGCAAACCACCATGGCACACATTTACCTATGTAACAAACCTTCATACCCTGCACGTGTACCCCAGAACTTAAAAATAAAATAAAAAATGCCTGCCAGAAATATTGTATGTTTTACCTATATAATGCCCAAAAAATCATTTGGACTCCTCTAAGTTACTGCAATCACAATAGCTGTCACTTCTTAGGGGCTTGTGATATTATCTGTTCAGTGATATTTCTTTCTGACAAGGCTGAGAATTACTCCTCAAATAATAATTCAGTATAGCGTGAGGTGGTTATATATCATATCAAAAGAACTGCTGAAAGTAGGTAGATCATTGTTCTCTCAAAAGAACCATGACTTGCTTAAAAGGACACTTAAGGAAATATCCATTTTTCTCAAGCTTCTCTTTAAATGACACTGTTATGTCAAGAAAGCCATTTTTCTCCCCCACCTCCTTCCTTTTTTCTTTTCCTCCTGCTTCTCCTTCCTAGATCCGTATCTAACAAACAGTTAAAACGTATCTGATTTGTGCCAGGAACTTTCAAATACTATCCCACTGAAGCCATATAGCAATTACATGAGGCAGAAATGATTATCCCCAATCTACAGATGAGGAAATTGAGACTTAGAGCTTACTGAATAGCTCAAGATCACATCAGTAAGTTATACAACTACAATCCGATTCCAATTGTATTTCCCCACTACACCATGGTAGTGGCTTGTTAAAAACTTCCAGGGAGCCCTACATCTCTGTTCCAGCCTAAAACAGGTGATGTGTGTGATGAAGTAGCTTTCTGTGGGAGTGTCAAACATTGCAATCCAATAGATCAAGAAATGACAAAGTGTAGCAGGTGTGAAGAGTAATTGTAGACCATATGGCAGGTACTGCTTGCTGTCATTCAATATGGATGCATTCCTTCTTCCTTAGTACCAGAACCTCTGATTTAGCTGGGCACAAAGCTGACCAACTCATTTGCACCTATACAGGACCAGTATAAGCAGAATTTTTCTGTACATCATATATAATAGAAAGTATTCTTAAGGGAAAGAGGCATGATCTCCTATTTATGAAAGTTGGAATGTAAACATGATTTTGGAACATGTTATGGGTTAAATTGTTACAACCTCCTCCTTCCCCACAAAAAAAGCTGAAATCGTAATCCCCAGTACCTGTGAATGTTACCTTATTTGAAAACAGGTCTTTATAGGTTTAACCAAGTTAAGAATAGGTCATTATATTTCCAGAAGAAGAAATATAAGAAGAGGAAAATTGAAACACACAGGGAGAATGCCATGTGAAGACACAAAGACAGGCACAGAGGGCAGATGATGTGGAGAGACACAGACAGAACAAAGTCATGTGATGACAGAGACAGAAATAAAAGCAATGGATCTGCCAGCCAAGGAAATCAAGGAATGCCAGCAAAGAGCATAAGCTAGAAGAGGCAAAGTAGCAGCATCTCCCACATTCTTCAGAGAAAACCTTGGTGATGGCAAGGCCTTACTGAGAGGTGACACTGTGCTGGCAGCCCTCCCTCGCTCTCGGTGCCTCCTCGGCCTCAGCGCCCATTCTGGCTGTGCTTGAGGAGTCCTTCAGCCCGCCACTGCACCGTGGGAGCCCTTCTCTGGGCTGGCAGAGGCCGGAGCCGGCTCCCTGGACTTGCAGGCAGGTGTGGAAGGAGAAGCACAGGCGGGAACCCGGGCGGGAACCAGGACTGCAGCGGTGCTTGCGGGCCAGCTAGAGTTCCGGGTGGGCGTGGGCTTGGCGGGCCCAGCACTCGGAGCGGCCGGCGGGCCCTGCCGGCCCCAGGCAATGAGGGGCTTAGCACCCGGGCCAGCAGCTGCGGAGGGGGCGCCGGGTCCCCCAGCAGTACTGGCCCACCGGCGCTGCACTCAATTTCTCGCTGGGCCTTAGCTGCCTCCCGGCGGGGAACGGCTCTGTACCTGCAGCCCTGCCTGAATCTCCCCCCTCTCCCCGCCGTGGGCTCCTGCGCCGCCTGAGCCTCCCCGACAAGCGCCGCCCCCTGCTCCACGGCATCCGGTGCCATCGACCACCCAAGGGCTGAGGAGTGTGGCCGCATGGTGCGGGACTGGCAGGCAGCTCCCCACCTGTGACCCCTGTGCAGGATCCACTGGGTGAAGCCAGCTGGGCTCCTGAGTCTAGTGGGGACTTGGAGAACCTTTATGTCTAGCTAGGGGATTGTAAATACACCAATCAGCACCCTGTCAAAACGGACAAATCCGCTCTCTGTAAAACAGACCAATGAGCTCTCTGTAAAATGGGCCAATCAGCAGGATGGGGGGGGGGGGGCGGTGCCAGATGAGAGAATAAAAGCAGGCTGCTGGAGCCAGCAGTGGCAACCCTTGGGTCTCCTTCCTCTGGGTGGGAGCTTTGTTCTTTCGCACTTTGCAATAAATCTTGTTGCTGCTTGCTTTCTGGGTCCACCCTGACTTTATGAGCGGTAACACTCACTGCAAAGGTCTGAAGCTTCAGCTTGACTCCTGAAGCCAGGGAGACCACAAACCCACCGGGAAGAAAGAACAACTCCTAGAGGCCCCGCCTTAAGAGCTGTAACGCTCACTGCGAAGGTTTGCAGCTTCACTCCTGAGCCAGGGAGACCATGAACCCACCAGCAGGAAGAAACTCCCAACACACCCGAACATCAGAAGGAACAAACTCCGGACAGGCCGTCTTTAAGAACTGTAACACTCACCGCGAGGGTACGTGGCTTCATTCTTGAAGTCAGTGAGACCAAGAATCCACCAATTCCGGACACATTACCATTGAACTTTCAGCCTCCAGAGCTACGATAACAAATTTCTGTTATTTTAAACCACCTAGCTTGTAGCACTGTATTTATTTAGAGTCAGAGTCTCACTCTGTCACTCAGGCTGGAGTACAGTGGCGTGATCATAGCTCACTGCAGCCTCAGTCTCCCAGGCTCAACTGATCCTCCCACCTCAGCCTCCTGAGTAGCTGGGAGTACAGGTGTGCACCATCATGCCTGGCTAAAGGTATACATATTTAACATATATATTATATAGTATATATTATATATCATTTAATACATAATATATATTACATATAATCATATAGTATATATAAATATATGTTTATATTTTTAAAAAAAATAGAGATGGGTCTCACTATGTTGACCAGATGGGTCTCAAACTCCTGACCTCAAGCAATTCCCCCATCTTGGTGTCCCAAAGTGCTGGGATTACAGGCATGAGCCACCACTCCTGGCCTAAAAATCTTTTTTTGTAGAGATAGGGGTCACCTTAGGTTGCCCAGGCTGGTCTCAAACTCCTGGGTTCAGGTGATCCTCCCGCCTTGGCCTCCCAAAGTGCTGTGATGTGATTACATGTGTGAGCCACTGCACCTGGTCTGTAGGACTTTATTACAGCAGCCCTGAGAAATGAATACAGTGTCCAGTCATCTTGGATTATGAGATGGCTTGCTACAGATGTCAGAACACAAGATACGGGCCTTGGTGACTTCCTGGAATACAGCTCTGGATAAGCTCTCGTCTGGGGAGGTTTACATAATAAAGAAACAAGTTAGAGTCTTGAAGCAAGTGTCATTTAGGGTTTCTATTACTCACAGATAAACCTAATTCTGATACAAGCCATATACCTCTTCTACTAGGTGCTACCAAAGGCTGTGGCACCTAATTCTAGTCTTCATTGACTAGCCTGGTTCTCCACTTATGTGGAAATTGTTGGAAATTTGATAAAGCTAATTATATGTTCTAGCTTTGCCAAGGAAGACAGTAAAATTAAGATAGTTGTTTAGGATTGCTGGAAACTAGAGGCAAATGCCTCCAGGGTTGAAATCATGGGTTATTATGATTAAAAATGATACTTGCATAGCACAATGGATGAAAGCACAGACTGTGATATCAAATACCCCTGGAAACCAATTCCAACTCTATGCCTCACTAGCCATCTAAGTGATTTTGAATAAGTTATTTCACATCTCTACTCCTCAGGTTTCTCATATATAAAATAGATGATAAAAAGGGCATGTTAATGAATTGCTTAATTTATGATGAAAAGCATGAGTGAGATGATGATAATGACCTTATAGACTGAAGAGGGTATTAAAGGAGAAATATACATAAAGTGTTTAAAACAGTTACAGACACATAGTAAGTTTCTGCCTGTCACCAGTAGAGGGTCTTGACTGCAAGTTTTCCAAGTTGTTGGCGTTTTGAACAAAGAACTGGACAAAACGCCCAGCAAAGCAAAGAAAGAATGAAGCAACAAAAGAACAAAAGCAGAGATGTATTGAAAATGAAAGTACGCTCCACAGTGTGGGAGGGGCCCCAACAGCTGCTCAAGGGCCAGGATACAGAATCTTCTTGGGTCCAAATACCCACTAGAAGTTTCCCATTGGCCACTTCATACTCACCTCATGTAAATGAAGTGGTAGCCCGCAATCAGTCTGATTGGTTGCAGAAAGCAGCCAACCAGAGGCTGAAGTGAAATTATAAAGTTCACACTCCTGTGCAAACATTGCTTTTTGCAACCAATCAGAGGCTAAGGTGAGTTACAAAGTTATACCTCTATGCAAACAAAGACTCCGCCCGCAATCAGTCTGACTGGTTGTGGACAGCAACCATTCAGAGGCTGGAGTGAAGTTACAAAGTTGCAAACGAAGACTGGCAGTATGATTTGTTGCCGACAGCCAATTTCCCATCGGCCGCCCAGAAAAGATGGGGGGTTTGCAAAGGGAGTAGCCTCTGGTCCTTTTGTTACTTAGGCATGGAAAGTTAGGGTTTTCCTTTCTTTTTAGTTCTAGGAAGTCGGCAAGAAACAGCCTTAGGTTCCCTGCCTCTAGACCCTGTTCTCCTGCCTCATTCCCACCTAGGGCTTTTGCACATGTATTTCCATTGCCATGGTTGTTCTTTTAACATCATCAGACCCCAGCAAAGACACACTTTGTGTCTGGTTAATTCACATTCACTCTATAATCTCAGCTCAAAGTTCATCCCTTCATAAAACCCTGTCTTGGTCTCCCCTAAAATTCAGCCGCATATCACTTTATGATTTTTTATCATAGCTATTAGTAAAATTTGATCTAGGATAATTATTAGTGTTATTATTTGCTTGATTTCTGTCTTAACTTCTAGGCTAGCACTACTCACAGTGTGGTCTCAAAGCTCACGGGTGCTTGTCTGCGAACTATTTATTACTCATCATCCAGGAGATAAATACAGAAACTAGATTAAGTATTTAGAAACTTGTAAAACAATTTGACATAGTATTCTGAGCTTGTATTTTGTATGTTTGATTTTTTTGTTTGTTTTTCTAAAAACTCATTTTTATAAAAAGCTAGAAAACATGTCTACAATAATTTTTTAAGTTTTTAACTAATCTTTCATTACAGATTGTTCAAGAAGCTTGGTTTAGGCCAAGGATTAGCAAACTCTCTTTGTAAATGGTGAAATAGTAAATGTTTTGGGATTTTCAGGTCACATAGCCTCTGTTGCAACTATGTAACTCTGACTTTGTAGCATAAAAGCAGCCACAGGTAATACACAAAAGAATGAATATGGCTGTGTTTCAATAAAACTTTATAGTCAAAAACAGATGGTGGGCCAGATTTGACCCACGGGGTGTAGTTTGCCAACACCTGTTACAGGCCATAAACTCCTGAGGGCAGATATCTCATTTGTTTTATTCATCATTGTCTTTCAATGCCTATGACATCCCTCACATAATGGGTATTCAATAAATATTTATTAAAAGTTAGTCTAATCTCTAAAAGGGGTGCAGAACTTGCTTGAATTGACATGGAGGTCATATGTCCAAGGCCACCAAGCCATGGATGACCATGAAAAGGATGTTAACTGCCTGGTTAGTAAGATTTTTTTTAAACTATGGATGTTCTAAGGATCAAATACATTCTGGGAAGCAATGATAATCACCAGTTGCTTGAAGAAAGAGGATGTTGGCAATTGGCTGGGTATTAAGGAAGCTGTGAGAGTTTGGGTTGATGATACCACAGGCACATGAGGAAGGCTGCAAATTCTATTTCAAGGCAGCTCTGAGCCTGGTGAGTAGGTAGCACAAGCAAAGCTTACCCTCCTGGAGAGAAAAAATTATGCACAAGAAGTAGTCATTAAAATTAAGTTGTGTCAGACATGCCAAAGGAATACTGTGGTGATCTGATCCCTTTATGAATATTTGATGAATGTGTGGAGATCACAACTAGTGGGCAATGGAACAATATCGGAATGGTGGTAGATAAATGGAAGGAAATATTATCATGTTAGAAACCTCAGAAAAAGTATAAATAATGGCCGAGTTCAGCAGAGAAATCAATTACTCCAAGATGTCCCTTCTCCAAAAGGCCTATTTCACTATGACAAAAAAAAATGTGTATTCTTAATATTAAACATATGGTGAATTTAAAAAAAAAAAAAACTTCAGAGGACCCTGAGATCAAGTCCCAAATCATATGATCTACATATAAGGTTCTTCATCATTTGATTCCAATCTATCTTTCTAGTCACATCATGCCAAGAACCCTTTTCCCAACATAGTATATGTTTCCCAACATAGTATATTTCTAGAACCACACCAGGTCATTCACTGTTTCCCTTAACATGCCCTGCAGTTTCACAGCTTAGTGCCTTTGCTCTAGCTATTCACTGCCCTACAATGCCTTTCTTTTCCTCTCCATCCAGCACATTCTTATCACCCTTTGAGACATAGTTCAAACATCATTTATACTGTTGAAGCCTTCATGACTCACTTATCCAGGAGACAATTTGTCTCTCATTCCACTATGATTTGCCATTACATTATATCCTAATTATTTGTTTGCATGTCTGCCTTTGGGCTGAGACAGAGAGGCCCTTGAAAGCTACTTTTAATATTCTGTTGCTTAATTAAGCAAATTGACAAAAATGCAAATAGCTCGTGATGCCGCGTTTAAAGCAATTATAGCAGTATTTTGTTCTGCATACTATCTTACTGTTTTCCTTCTGCATTGACTCCCTCACAGCTAAATCTATTTTGCTACTTTAGGACCCAGATACAGAAAACATCCCTATGAAAGGCTGATAAGCTTATCTGAAGAAAAAAAGAAAGAAAAATGAAAGAAAGGAAGGAAGGAAAGAAAAAAGAAAAGATGAAAGAAAAAAAAAGAAGTGGGGGGTGCCAAGGTTGTATACCGAAATCCACAAAGAACATTTAGAGAAATTTTCAATGCCATGTGCATTTGGTTAACTTGCATTTAACTTTCCAACACAATGTACTTTCAGTCATCATACTCCAAATTCAATGCATTTCCTTAGGAAGCAAAACAATCTATTTTTTTTCTCTATGGACAGAATGTTTTTGGCAACTGAAACTTGACACATAATAATGTTAGTTAAACCCAATTTCTAGTTCTTTCAAAATAAATTCCCAAATATTGTGTTTACAATAGAGTTAGGATCCCAGAGACTAATAGACCCATCAGGGGACTACGAAGGAACCCAATTGGTTTCTTTTCTTTTTTTTCTTTCTGTTTTCTTTTTTCTCTGTGTTTCCTTCTTTCTTTCATTCATTCCTCCTTCCTTCTTTCTTTCCTTCCTTTTCTTTATCTCTTTCTGCCTTTCCTTCTTTCTTTGTAGTCTCTATGAAATAGTTTAATAGCAAAATTAAAGACAAAATTTAAAAGCTGTTTGAGGTTTCATGGAACGTACTCAAAAGTTGTTAGCACCAAAATGAAACAAGTTGGATGTTGCATTTAAATATACATCATTCTGAACTTGAACTTTTGACATTTTATTTCATAATAAATTTTGAAGAAGTAGACTCATTATTCTCAAGTTTTTCTCATTTAAAACAGATATCAAGGTACAAGTTTTCATTTGGTAAATCAATCTGACCCCTCAAACAAAGTGAAATCTGATACTAATTTTCAAATGGCCATGCTTATTCAACTATTTTCTGAACAAGATGCCCTGTTAGACATGGGGAAAGACAATAAAAAGTTAGTCTTACATGTCTTGAGACTCTACTAGCTATGTTCCAGTCAGCAGCAGGAAAAAACGAGGGAGTAAGGGTTGGCCTCTAGTAAGAGACTCATCTACAGAAGTGGGGCAGACATTCAGATTCAACTCAGCTACAGAGATGTCCCAGTGAGTTGGCAATAGTGAGTATCTGGAACATTGCAACAATTTGGGGTAGCATAGGAAAGTAGTTCCTCAGGTGGTCTTTACAAGGAAATAAGTCACAGATGGGGTCTTGCTGTTGCCTAGGCTGGTCTCAAACTCCTGGCCTCAAGCGATTCTCCCACCTTGACTTCCCAAAGTGCTGGGATTACAGGCATAAGCCACTGCACCTAGCCTGGAACACTCTTAATCATGAGATGCCTAGTGACTATAGATCAGTTTCCCAAGAGTTTACAGAAAAGTAAAGAGAGCCAGTAAATCAGGTCAGTAGTACCAGCGAAGTCAGACAATTGATGCAGTCATAATCTAAATCTCTAGTATCAACTAAGAGTAAGGCAAAGTGTCAGGTTTTCAGAGAATAGACAAGTTACATACAGTGACAGGACCCAGCTATCAAGGTGGATAACCCATCATTAGAACTGAGGCACAAAGTCAGAAACCAATTTAGGAACAAAAATCATGATGCTGCATCATAGAATTCTTTAGATGATTCTTGCCTCTTTTCAATATTGGCCCTGAAGGCTGGAGTGAGGTTGAGGATGCCTTAGGATTCAAATGCAATGACAGGGGGTGTCAGGGAGGAGGCAGCGGGGGGTGAGGGTGGGTGTATTGCAAAAATCCAGCAAACAGTTCTGAGAATTGGTCCCTACCCTCATGACTTACACTGCAAGACTGAGAAGGGGAAGAGGTGGATGGTACTCAAGAGGAAAGTTACTTCATGGATAGACTTCATGGATATTCAGTTGGCAAGAACAAAAGCTATCCCCTACAATGAGTTTCAACACATTGCTGTTGCCTAAGGGATACAGAGTAAAAAAAGGATGGTATGTGTTCTGAGATATTTAAGCTACAGATCTGTTCAAAATAATTAACTTATATGGGATTTATGTGGACTTCAATGTATTGGACAGGATTAAAGCCTTCACAGTTTCATTGAAAGTTCTAAGTGAACTTTGGATTGATGATTGAATCTCATGTATAAATTCAGTAGTGAACTTTGCTCTCAATTTCCCTCTCTGTCTGCCTAATGAAACCTAAAGTATAAAGTTATAAGCAAATATTTATGGCTCATAGTATAGCGCGAGTGGTTCAAGAACTTGTGATATTTTTGCTAGTACTGCAAGGCCAGTTAAGCTAATCAATGGCACCAAGAAAAAAGACATATTTATGGTCAAACTTATGGCCATTGGCCATCAGGTCCAGGAGTAGAGAATAAACTCATTCCATGATAGCAACCACCAAAGCCTAGGACTATGATCCCAAAATAATCCCCACCTTCACTTTACAGCCATTATGGATTTCATCATTAGCTAATAGCTTAAATTTTAGTTCTCAATCCAAAAGAATTTTTTTTCAAAATCATACTTTCTTTTCTAACTGCGAGTTGAGACCCAAAAGTGGGTTATAAAATCAGTTCAGTGGATTGGGACCAGAAGTTTAATTAAACAGAAAAGAATAAAATAGAATTGAAAAACAAAGAAGAAAAGAAAGAAACTTTTGTTTTAAGTGTATGTGTATGTGCTAGGTCTCAATATTAAATACATTTCTTTATGTGAATTACAGTTAAAATATAGGTAAGATGTAAACGTAGACATAGATATAGACCTGTATGTATGAAATAAATGACTAGCTAATTTTCGCCAAAATACTATAACCAACCCCATGGGAGATACCATCCTCCAGACTTTTGTGCATCTACAAAAAATATAATCACAATAAAATGACTACCTTTGACAGCAGGGATAACTAAAAGTTAAAACAGATAGAACAGATTACCTAACAGATAGAACAGATTACCTAAATTTTCATGCAAAGTTTGAAAGACAAACTTAAGCCAAACTTCTTCAAACTTAATTTTCTCATGTTAAAAAAGTCAGGATAATTTAAAAGAATATCTAAGTTCTCAAAATACTTGATTCTATTCTATTCTATTCTATTCTATTCTATTCTATTCTATTCTATTCTATTCTATTCTATTCTATTCTATTCTATTCTATTCTAATTCTATTCTATTCTATTCTATTCTTCTGTTCTGCCAACCCCAAACCTGAGTATAGTCATTTGCTTGCATCCATTTCTAATATAGATGTTTCTGATACAAAATATTTACAAATGTCTTTTTCATTTTAACAAAGTTTCTTTTTTCTGCCATACAATGAATTACCATTCAACAAAGAAAATATGGAAGAAAGAAAAATCACTCTTAAGCCTACCATTTAAAGCAAATAGTGAATATTTTTCTAAGCAGGGTAAATTATTCAATACTTTCCAAAGGATTAACTTATCAGGACAAGTTAAGAGATCACAATATGTAGGGTCTTCTGTTTGACTTTTATCTTTAAGTTATAGAAATATGCTTTCTGTAAAATGAAGAGCAAATCAGTATAGCATTATAGTGTCAACCTTTGCTTTGGCAGAAATAGCCACTGATAATTTTGGAGTAGGGGTGAATGCTAGAATTCCTTTTAACTAGAGTATCAGCTGCATAATTCTCTTCTGATCTCACACTCACTTGTGCCGATCTTCCATTTTCCCTGCCCAGGCACGCAGTGGAAAGAGATCAGAAGAGAATTCTCACAAGGAGGCAGTTTGAACCTCCACTCCCATTCTGCTCAAACTCCAGTTTAAAGATAGAAATGAAATCTAAGCAGGGTGTGGTTGCACTGTGGGATGTGAGTTTGGCCAGAGCCTTAGCATTGTTATCTCATCTGTTTAACCCACTCCCTGAGCTCTCAAAGTCCTGTCTCTGATTCATTCTTTCTTAACCCTCTGAACCTTGAACACAAAGAGCTGGCATTTTAGAACTGGATCAGAGTAGCAAGTACCATCTAAATCCAGAGTCTTTGTTATGGCCCATAAGCTCCTACATTCTCAGGCCTCTGTCTATCCCTGCGACTTCCTCTCCCGCCAGCCTCCCCTTTCATGCACTGCCCTCCTTGCAGGTTTCAAACAGATCCAGCATGCTTCTGTGGCACATGCTGTTCTCTCTGCCTGCAAAGCTTGTCCCGTGGGTTTCTGCGTGACCTAATTCAGATCTTGCTCTATTTGTCTTCATAGCACTTATCATTATTCCCATGGTTATTTCTATTTGTTCATTTATCTCTGTCTCTGAATATATAGAATATAAGCTTATGAGGGCAGCAGTTTTGTTTTGTTCACTGCTACATCTCCAGCACCTAACACAATGCTTAACAGACAGCAAATATTTGTTGATTAAATGAATGGATCTAAGCAGAAAGAAAAGCCAGGTGATGACTGGATATAGAGGTAAGCAGTGTCAAGCAGGATACAAATCAAATCCCAAAAATGAGATGACTAAAAGTCCAAGAATCTGCCCTTCTGTCTTTCCGTTAAGTGATTTAGTGCTCTTCTGCCCACAGCCACAATAATGAAATAAGAAGATTCCCTACTCTAAGCTGGTGGAATATTTCCAAGCATTGCTCACCACCACTTAATTGGAACCTCTCCTCTCTTCAAGTGCCCCTTCTCCATTTTATTTGGCTTTGAATCCAGACTCCCTTTCTTCACCCTAGTGACTCAGTGTGGACCAGACCTGAGTGTGGCAGTTCCCGCAATATTGCTTCTAGTAGTTACTTCTGGTTTAAGATCCTGTGAGCAAACAGCCTAGCCCCTCTCAGCCAGTCCAGGCATTCAGGACCCTGCTGTTGCCATCTCCAACCCCCAACCCAGTCCTCCTTTTCCTACTTCCAGCTTCTTTAGAGAGAACAGGCTTTCCACACTGGCTGCCACCATACCTGGGGATTTACTACTCTATTTGTCAATCATGTGAGCCAATAAATTTCTTTTAAAAATCAAAACAGACCAGACACGGTGGCTCATGCCTGTAATCTCCATGCTTTGGGAGGCCGAGGCAGGAGGATCACTTGAGCCCAGGAGCTTGAGACCAGTCTGGACAACATAGGGAGACCCTGTATCTACAAAAGAAAAAATGTTTTTTTCAGTTAGCTGGGGGTGGTGGCTGATACCTGTAGTCCCAGGTACTTGGGAGGCTAAGGTGGGCGGATCACTTGAGCCCAGGAGGTCAAGGCTGCAGTGAGCTGTGATTGTGCCACTGCACTCCAGCCTGGGTGACAGAGCAAGATCTTGTATCAGAAAAAAAAAAAAAAGAAGAAACAGAGAGAGAGAGGGAGGAAGAAAGAAAGAAAAAGAAAGAACGAAAGAAAGAAAGAAAGAAAAAAAGAAAAAGAGAGAAAGAGAAATAGAAAGGAAAGAAGAGAGAAAGAGAGAGAAAGGAAGGAAGAGGGAAAGAGAGAAAGAGAAAGACAGAAGAAAACAGGAAGGAAGGAAGGAACAAAGGAAAAGAAAATTGATTTTTTTCAGTTGAAGGATAATAAAATCCAACACAAATTCTTTTATGCTAAAAATAACATAACTGAGTAGCCCAGGTTTAGATCTGGGGTTAGAAGCAGCTCAAAGGAGGGTCCAGATATTATTATCAGGACATAGTCTTTTCATTTTTTCCTTTGAATGACTTCATTCTCAGATCACCAGCACCTCCCAGGGCTAAATGCTTTCTCAGTCACATCCAGCAGAAAAAGTGAGAAATCATCCACACGCACGAATTGGGGGAAAGGAATCACTGGAGTTAAGCTAATCTAAAGTAATAACTGTCTGAAGACTCTTGCAGAGTGGCTTGGGGTCAGCTTTACAGTAACCAACTGTGCCATGGGGGAAGGGAGAAATTCATCACTTGGAAATCTGTTGAAGTTCTTTCCTAGAAGGAGTGTGAGTGAACATTGGGATCCATAAACAATAAAAGTTCACTACGAAGAAGCAGCAGACCCAGGCACGAGGGTGCCACCCTGAGTCAGGCAGTCTTGCAGCAAGGAACCAGACATGAGGTCTAGATATGGTTCCAGTCCCTAGGAGCATTTATGGGAGTAAGGCAATGCTAAACAACTTGGAGTATGGACTGGGAAGTATGATACAGTCATGAGCCAAGAGGATTAAGAACTGTTGCTAACACTAAGAAAAGGGGCAATATCTCAGATAATGTTAAAGTGACACCAGCCTCAAGGCTGATTTGATATTAAGCTCTCAAATGCTTCCTTGAATAAGAACATGGTTGGTTTTAGTGAAGTCGAGGATGTGGTAGCATTCAGAGAGGAATTAGGGGATGTAAGAGTATTTAAGATGCTAGATGAAGAATGATCAGGATAATGATAAGATTCAGAGTATCACCATGAAGACCCATTTATTATTCTTTTACTCTCCTAGGTCTTCAATATCTCCTCCAGTACTAGCATTTTACCTTTAATCAAGCTTCAGACTCTTAAACTGTGTGTTTGACATATGTACAAAGATATGCCACAAGTACCCCAACTTCAGCTCCTTGCCCCAATCAATTCCACATTTCCTCCAAACCTGGTTTTTCTCTTGTCTTGCCAATCTCAATTAATAGCACCTTCATCTAAGCCTGTTCATCACCTCTTTCTCTCTCTGTTCATCATCTCTTTCTCTTTCTATCTGTATTTCTCCTTTCATCTAATCAATCATTAAATCCTGCCTCTTAAACCTCCTATGTATTGCTCAACTCCATCCCCTTCCCTCAGACTGTTGCCCTGATTCAGGCCCTCATTATCTTTTGTACTTAAATTTTCTCCAAACTGGATTCCCTACTTGGAGATGCACACTCATGAAAACCATAGTCCACATAATTCTTCTGTGTTTCTACAGCATTCTGTGCCTGCTTCCTACTTTACATTTGCAATATCATATTGCAATTATGGGTTTATGTGTCTGTCCCACTAACTATTACTGACTTTCTCAAAGCTGAAAATTCATCTTTGAATCCTTAGTACCTAACACAATGTCTATTGAATGGACCAAATCATCCAGTGTTTATACACATAAATACGTTCAACTCTCTGCTAGTCATATAACCATACACAAAACATCATTATCAGTGCCTTGCTCTGGGAGCATTCCATGAAGAATTTTGTCTAGGTACTTACAGTACAGTAGATCTGAATTAGAAATAAATTCGGAATTTCACAAATTAGAATAAATTAAATTAGCCTGGTGTGGTGGTGCATGCCTGTGGTCCCAGCTGCTCAGGAGGCTGGGGCAGGAGGATCGCTTGAGCCTGGGAGGCAGAGGTTGCAGTGAGCCAAGATTGTGCCACTGTACTCCAGCCTTGGGTGACAAGAGTGAGACCCTGTCTCAAAAAAAAAGAATAAGAATAAATTATATAGATAAATCAGGATGAATTATATAAATAAATTTGAATAAAACAGAGAAAATTCTACTTTACTGGAATATTTTACTGAGAGTACATGATACACTTTCTTTTTTTTCTTTTTTTTTGGGACAGGTCTCACTCTTGTCACCCAGGCTGGAGTTCAATGGCATGATCTCAGCTCACTGCAACCTCTGCCTGCCCAGTTCAAGTGATTCTTTTGCCTCAGCCTCCCGAGTAGCTGGGATTACAGGCACCCACCACCACGCTAATTTTTGTATATTTGATAGAGATGGGGTTTCACCATGTTGGCCAGGCCGGTCTTGAACTCCTGACCTCAGGTGATCCACCCACTTCGGCCTCCCAAAGTGCTGAGATTACAGGTGTGAGCCACAGCACCCAGCCTGAGCCACCGCGACCAGCGGATACACTTTCATTAGTAATTTACTGATGCAATGGCCTGTGGTTCTGTAATATGTATATTATTATCCGTGAAGATCAAAGAAAACATTCCAAGTTTGGGCTGTCTCCCTCAATTATAATTATTGATAGCCTACTTTGCACCATCACTCTGAAGAAGAGCCAGAGAATCTTTGGGTGTCAATTTAAAACACTACCATCATAGTCTAACTTCATGTAAGTAATCAGTCAGAAACTCCAAGTAGAGAAAGTAGCATTCTTATCATAAGCAGACAATAAACTTTCTTCTGAATTTTTTGATTAATAGTCTCAGGTACATGTAATCATTTTGGCTCACCTACTTAAATGATACTTTGATTATGTAAGATAGTGAAATTTTAAATCATGTTACTAGGTTACAACATGTTTATCATTGTTTTGATTGTGATATGTGACCTGATTATTCAAACAGGAGACCTGCTTTATTCAAACAGGAGATATTACATAATATGTTTATAGGTATATGCTTTATAGTAAAATTGCTCAGATGAATCTAACGATAGGCTCTAATTTTAATAATAAATTTTTCTGAATGTGCTGCCTTCTTCCTCTTCTTTGCAAGAAAGTTAACTTGAAAATACATAAATTTAGGCTGGGCGTGGTGGCTCACACCTATAATCCCAGCACTTTGGGAGGCTGAGGAGGGCAGATCACCTGAGATCAGGAGTTTGAGACTAGCCTGGCCAAATGGTGAAACCCTGTCTCTACTAAAAGTACAAAAAAATTAGCTGGGCATAGTGGTTGGTGGCGCACACCTGTAGTCTTAACTACTCAGGAGGCTGAGGCAGGAGAATCGCTTGAGCTCAGGAGGCAGAGGTTGCAGTGAGCCAAGATTGTGCCATTGCAGTCCAGCCTGGCCAACAAGAGAGAAACTCAATCTCAAAATGAATAAATAAATAAATACAAATAAATAAATAAAATACAGAAATTTTATCATTTTTAAAAGGTAATGGCATTATTTATACATTTTTAGGTACTGTGACTAAAATCCCTTTCTAAGTAATATTTTTGTCCTTCTTTTCAAAAAGTAAGTATCAAATTAGAGAATGTTTATCTTGTAACTCCAGTGAATAACTTAGATGCAATACTAATGGGTCGGGTGGGGTGGCTCACACCTGTAACCCCAGCACTTTGGGAAGCCAAGGCAGGAGGATTGCTTGAGGCCAGGAGTTTGAGACCAGTCTTGGTAATGTGGGGAGACTTCTGTCTCTACAAAAAAAAATTTTTTTAATTAGCTGGGCATGGTGGTGCACAACTATAGTCCCAGCGACCTGAGGGGCTAAGGTGGGAGGATCGCTTGAGCCCAGGAGATTCAGGCTGCCATGACCTATGATCATGTCACTGCAGTCCAGCCTGAGTAACAGAGCAAAACCCTGTCTCAAAAAAGAGAAAGAAAGAAAGAAGAAAAGAAAGAGAGAAAGGGAGACAGGGAGGAAAGGAGGAAAGGAGGAAGGGAAGGGAGGGAGGGAGGGAGGAAGGAAGGAATGAAGGAACGAAGGAAGGAAGGAAGGAAGGAAGGAAGGAAGGAAGGAAGGAAGGAAGGAAGGAAGGAAGGAAGGGAAGGAAGGGGAATTTGCTCAAGATACAGCCTTGGTGTTGTGTGATGAAAAGACTCTAGGAGATGAATGCTTTACAGAAATAAATGATCCAAAGTTTAACCAAAGGGTCATCAAGAACAAAAAAAATGGGTGGGGGGAAGAAATAAAACTGCACAAGTTAGAGGTAATGTTGTTTTGAGAGGTATATTTCAGAAATAACCAAATATGCAAAATGCATTATGAAGTCATTTCAAAAAATTTCAAGCTTGGTTCTTTGAAAATAATACACAGCCTTGTGTATTATTTTGTGTTTACTTTCTCTAAAGTAAATACAAAATGTGTTTATCTTGTAAAACTTTATTAATCTGTTTAATGATGTATGCACTTTTCCATATGTATGTTATACTTAAAATTTAAATGCTTACTTTAAAAAGGCTCACCCTCTAACACATTTAATATGCACCTGAGATGATAATTCTAAACCATCAATACAATAAAACCCCACTATTCCTTATCTTTTTCTCAACATGCATCTCTTTAGTTCATAAAAACAGGCTCATTCATTCACAGCAAGAACTGACCATTTCTGTTAATGATCCATATTGTGTCTGCATGTGTTAGAAGTTCAATGACGATAAGAATTATAAAGCAAGACCTCTGTCACTTTCAAACAGTATGCTCTAATAAGTCCTGAAAACTTTACTTAATGTTTACACATACTTTACTAGACACCCAGCATGAAGTTGAAGATATATTAGAGCTTAATCTGTAAAGATATGGACCTTGGCCTTTCAGATATGCTATTGTACAGTGACTCCTACTGATGTTACACAGTGCGCACGTGTGTGTGTGTGTGTGTGTGTGTGTGTGTGTATGTGAGAGAGAGAGAGAGAGAAAGAGCTCTCTCTCTCTGGCTTTTTTTTCCCCAATGAGTCAGTGGTGTTGGATCAATAAAATTAACATTCCTATTTTACTCATTCTGTGGAAACAAGTTCATGTGCCAATGGGTGTGCATGCTGATACTGGTGAGGCCTTAACTTCCCCCAAAATGCATATTGTATTAATTTTCCAAATAAATATTTAACAAGTATTCAATGATAGTCAGTCTTTTCCTCTCTTCTTTTTATAGAAAAGGGGTCTCATTATGCTGCCCAGGCTGGCCTTGAATTCCTGGGCTCAAGCAATCCTCCCCACATGTGTAACACCCAGCCTGGTTATTTCCTCACTTACATTTTACAATAGCTTGAGATTATCTACATTTGGCATTCAGCATTTTATATGCCAGAGAAAGACAGATGAGAATACTGCAATTTGGGGTTAAAATGAAGGGTCACAAACTGATAGATCACAGAGCAAATCATATCCAGCAGGTATATTTTGTTTGAAAAATACAATGTTTTTAAAAAATTACTTAATTCCCAGAATTAAATAATTTAAAGGTTGTATTTTTAAAAGATCTAGATTTGGGCCAGGTGTGGTGGATCATGCCTGTAATCTCAACACTTTGGGAGGCTCAGGCAGGCAGATCACTTGAGGTCAGGAGTTCGAGACCAGCTTGGCCAATATGGTAAAACCCTGTCTCTACTAAAAATACAAAAATGAGCCGGGTATAGTGGCGGGCACCTGCAGTCCCAGCTACTGGGGTGGCTGAGGCAGGAGAATTGCTTGAACCTGGGAGGCGGAGGTTGCAGTGAGCAGAGATTGCACCACTACATTCCAGCCTGGGAGACAGAGCGTGACTGTCTCAAAAGATTTGGAGTTTCTTTTGACAATCAAAAGATCTAAAAACATTGTACTTGTATAACTATATGGACTGAGCTGAGTCCTGCTACTTCCTCTAGGCTAAATGTAAACTCTTCAGTTCAAGAATTGTCTCCATGCAACACACAGCCTGCTTCACCATTTATATTACCTGCCTGACTCCTAAAGACATTTCAGGTTTTAATCCCTGGTTTCCATAGAGAGTATAATTTAATTATCTGGTGAATTGTTTAATTAAAATTTTATTTTCCCCTACTATATTATGGAGAATATTGATATTTTAACCAAAGTATTTTGCTTAATGCTTTTAAAATGAACATTTGAAGTGCTGTAAGACCCCTTAAACAAAAAGAAAACAAAATCCTTTTTATTGGTTGTTTTTATACTAGAAAATCAAGTTTAAATAATCAATGTATTATCAACTGCTTTTTAAAAATATATTTTTGTAAGTTCAAATTTCCATACCGTTATTTATCCCTGTATTAGAAAAACAGACTTAATGATAGCTAACAAATGGCATTATGCTCATATACAAAGCATGGCATATTTCCATGAATACAGCCCAAGATCGACATACCCAGCTATTAATTTATGAATGCATTTATGTGTGTATAGATATCCTACCTTTTATTTCTTTAAAAGTGATTTTTTTAAAAAAAAGCAATCTTTTGGGTTTTCACTTGAAGCATGTAGGAAGGTTTCCTGGTGTTAAATGTTGGGGAAATATAAAGAAAACTTACTCTTTTTTCACTGGCATTCAGTACTATCATTACATCCACTATAAACTTTTCCTATTTATTCAAACATTACACATAGGGAAAAACTGGCATATGAGTATTCCACTCTATGTTCATCTTTTATGATAACTTGGCACTCAAAAACTGTGTAAAACAATCTGCTGAGAACAGATATTATGCTCAAGTTTTACCTTGAGGAAATTCCCTACGGCTTAGTTAGGAACAAGATTTTGCATGGAAACTTTGAGGCATCCATAGCTAATGTTAGTGGATTCAGCCTACTATATTTAAGAGTGAAGCATTTAATTTTTGTCTCCTTATAAGGTTGCAAGAGATTAACCTCTAATTTTTAATATCATCAACATTTATTTAATGTGCATAGGAGAGCCACATGCTTATATGCTGATATAAATATTTTTGCCAAATGAAACATTTTACTAGTTATATAACATAAAAATTATCATAGTCTTACAAATTATACCTTATGAACTTTCCTTGAGAAATTATGTTCTTTCTTAAAAAAGGTAAATTTACCTTAAAAAAGAAAAAAAATCTTCACACCAATGAAAGCTTTGAGAAAGAATTTGAGAAATTTACCATTTATTATCTACTATCTCCTACAAAGATGGTGCTACCACCCACCTTCAGTAGCTTTCAGTCATTCACCCCCAAAGAGGGATGAATGTGTAATGATCCACAATCCTTCACCCACCCCTCATTCCATCTGTATTTGATGTCTTGGATTGTGAAGCGGGATGTAAATTGTAGTCAGAGAATGAAAATAGTTCATCCATTCTCAGTAGGGAATTGAATCTGTGACTTAGAACTCTAACCAGCTGAGTCAACAGGCTAAGATAATGCTGTTTACGTAGACAGTGTATAATTTAATTTTCCTTTCAAGCTAGATTATCCTAGCTCGCCTATCTTCTCTCCCACCATTTTTCAATGCTCTTGATTAGCCATTCTTTCTCAATATAAAATAGAAAAAAATCTTCTTTTTATATCCTCAGAGTCTGAAACTTGGTGTCTTCAACCGCATCCGGAGCTGTTCTTTTCTACAAATACATATGTTAATTTTGCCTCCTCACCATTGGTTAGTATGGTTCATTCACTCTTATGTACAGACCCTAACCTAGGAAAACCCAGAAGTAGCAAAAACAGATTATCAGAAGTGCCTGTTATGGCTTTTTGTGTAAACTCTGTTCTCCCTACATACCATATTACCACACTAAGGATAGAGATTTTTATATTTTTTTATGGATCATAATACGAAGAACACGCTTAAACATGTTTGCTGGCTTAATAAAGGAATATAGGGAATCTCATGGCATAGAGGTAGTTCCAAAATTTTAGTGTGCAAAAGAAATCACCTAGAGGGTTTTTAAAACAAATTTCTGGTCTCCAACACAAGTTTCTGATTCAGAAAGTTGGTTGATGCCCAAAAATTTGCACATTTAACTAGTCCCCAGATGATGCTGATGCTGTAAATCCAGGAACTACACACTGAGAACTACTAGCTTAGACCAAAACAGTGAATTCTTGTTAAGACTATAAGGTGCTCTATTCACATATGCAGTAAACATGTTTCTCTACCTTTAGCCTAGTTCTTCTACCCACATATAAAATATAGAAATGCTACCTAAGATTTAACATGAATGTAGCAAGACTATAAAATTAATTGGTTTCTTCAAACCGTATAAGAAAATCTACTTGGTTATTATTTAACAGTAATGATTCTGCTAACTAGTGGGAGAGGAAAATGATAGTTTAAAGGAAGGGAAACTGGAGGGTGTTTCTGGGAACAACAAGGGTGGAGTTGCCAGTGGCAAAAACAGGGCAGTTTTGCACAGAAGCTTTGCTGCCTGGCAGCTCTAAAAGTATGAGCCTGAATTTTCTCCTCTCTCAAAAACAAGACACAGCTGCTCTGCCATCTCCCTGACTTTCTCTCCTCCAAACCAAAGAGAGCCCTTAGTTTAAGCTCTCTTCATTTTGTAGGAAAGGAACAAAGCATGTGCTTCTCTGCTATTTCGCCTAAGCTCAAATGTAATTTAAGAAAGGTGATTTTTAATGTCATTTGCTAAGTTCAAAATGCCATAGCAATGTAACAGCATCAATGAGAAGTGATCCAGTTAGAAGTCCAAGGAACATTTTAAAAAATCAATGTTAGAGATTAAATTACTTTCATGACAAAGAAGGCAAGTGCACATCCATTTAGAATGTAATGTAGCAAGCAGCTAATAGGGATCAGTGGAATCAAGCAATCAAAATGCCCGTATTTAGACAAGAACAATTTCTTCTTCTATTTAGAAAAGAAAGACATCAGTTCTAGGTGCAGCTCAATGTTTCTCAAGTTTAAATTGCTTTTTTATGTTGAAATTGGAATTGTTTTTCTGTATAAGAATATTCCTTTACAGTTGGACATAATGCCCAGACCAGCAGTAGCAGCAGCCGCAGCAACAGTAGCAGCAGCAGCAGCAGCAGCATATTCTTTATGAAAGAATAAGGCTCACGGTAAAAGCTGAGGGAAGCAACACCCATGTGTCTACCTTCAAAGCTAAAAGATCCTTCAGGCTTCATTGATTAAACTCTTTGCTAGCTACGTACAAAAAAAAAGCTGCTTTTTGGCAATTTGAACAGTTTCCTCCTAGTGTCATTTAGCTGGTTCCTTTTTATCCTTCTTTTTCCTGTAAACTGGGAATTGGGTCTAAGAGCTTGATTAGATTTAGATTAAGCATTTTGGGGATACTTCACACTGATGCTATAATCGAATAATCACACTGGGAGTCACATAGTTTCAACTTGTCTGTCAGTAATACTAGGTTTGATCAGTATGTTAAGTGATCAGTATCTCCACTGTAAAGGCAAGGTTTTTTCCCCCTTTGCAATTAACAGGTAATGTGAGGTGATACTTGGACACACTATGTGAGTATCCTCCTCCCCATCAGCTTCTCACCTAGTGATTTCGGCTTTTTTGCCTGAATCAATATTTCACTGGAGGTTCCAAAATGATGATTTTTCTAATTCTATTATTTCTTCAATATTAAAAAGCTGACATTCTTTTGTAAAAAAAAAAGAGGTTTCACATATTAACTGGTTTCAACAGTTCTTTAAAAAAATGACATGGTAAATAATTTCTTACCTAATTCCAGAATAAGATGCTGATATAAATGTCTCCTCCACTTGTAGCAAATGAGTTTCTCTCTCTCTCTCTCTCCCCCGCCCCGTCTCTCTCTCCCTCCCTCCCTCTCTTTCCCTCTCTCTTTCTCTCTCTCTCTCCTCAGAACTCATGGGTTTTTATTTATTCAATGTTTTATAATCATTTAGTTATTCTTTACAGATGCTTAATTTGTTCCAAATTTGGTCAATGGAAGCTGCTTCCAGCTAGTTCCTTTGTTTGAAGACTTCCTTGCTTTCTGGCCCATGGCACTGCAGGCTCTATTTTTACCTAACTGCCTCAGACTTTGAATTAGCCATTTCTTTAAGGGAACCTAGTTCCTTCAGAGATATTTCCAATTCAAACTCAACATTATATGATTTTTTTGTAAGTTATTTGATTTCATACTTACGTTATCCTTTTCTTACACTGAAAATCTTGTCTCCTTAAATATTTATGTATTTTCCCCAAAAATATGCAATAATGGTTTAAAAATTATAATAGCAATATTATACTAACAATAAAAATCAGAGAGATGCTTAAGGTTTTTCTTCTTTGTTTCTTTTTTTGTTTGTTTTGAGACAGAGTTTCACCTTGTTACCCAGGCTGGAGTGCAACAGCGTGATCTCGGCTCACCGCCACCTCCAACTCCCAGGTTCAAGCGATTCTCCTGCCTCTGTCCCCTGAGTAGCTGGGATTACAGGCATGCACCACCACGCCCGGCTAATTTTGTATTTTTAGTAGAGATGGGGTTTCTCCATGCTGGTCAGGCTGGTCTCAAACCCCCAACCTCAGGTGATCCACTCGCCTCGGCCTCCCAAAGTGCTGGGATTACAGGCGTGAGCCTCCATGCCCGGCCTTTTCTTTGTTTCTTAAGTTTTTTTACTCTTTAGATTATATTTCATTATATCTCAATAGGATGCACAGAGTATTACATTCACTGGAAATATATTTTTTTCTCTCTGTGTGGTTATGTTTGCAATTTGACATATAGCAAGACTTATTTGTTTATCTTTTCAGTTTTAGAGATTCTTGGTTTGAAATTAATCTTGTGTTATTTAATATGTAAAATATTTACATGATTCAAAACCAAAACTACATAAAAAGGCATACATTGATTACTTTTTTTTTTTTTTTTTTGGAGACAGAGTCTCCCTCTGTCACCCAGGCTGGAGTGTAGTGGCATGATCTCGACTTACTGCAACTTCTACCTTCTGGGTTCAAGCGATTCTCCTGCCTCGACCTGCAGAGTAGATGGGACTACAGGAGCCCACCACTACACTCAGCTGATTTTTTATATTTTAGTAGAGACAGGGTTTCACCATGTTGCCCAGGGTGGTCTCAAACTCTTGAGCTTAGGCAATCTGCCCACCTCGGCCTCCCAAAGTGCTGGGATTACAAGCCTGAGCCACTGTGCCCAGCCTGATTTCTAAATCTCACATAATTCCCTTTCCCCTTCACCCCATTTCAAAAATCACCCCATGGATAACCTTTTCTTTTTTTAGTTCCTTGTTATACTTCCTGTGTTTCTTTGTGCAAAAGTAAACAGAACATATGCACCTTGATTTTTTTTTACTGAGCCATATATCATGGAGATCTTCCTCATTTTTTAATAACTGCATAATAATTTAAAATTCGGCAATATCATAGTTTATTCAACCAGTCCCCAGAGCTGATTCCTAGAAGTAGGATTGCTGGATCAAAGGATAAATAAAATTATAATTTTTCTGAATAAGGTTCTGTATTTTTTTAGGTTTTCCAGAAAATTCCAATAATCAGCCATAGTTGGTAACCAATAACCCATATTTTGATAGCCATAGTATATTGGTTTAATCAAAGCAGCAAGTTTTAATTGAGCCACTACCTTGAGCTGGGCATTATGGGAGAATTTAAAAAACTATATTCTCCTCCTGCCCTCAATGAGTTACTAAAAGGAGTTGTCCTGCCCTAATCTCCTGAAGGAGGCAAGTTTAATCAGCAAAGGAAAGAAATAGATTGTATTTAAATGTTGCTGTTTCTTTTACTACCAGAGTTTTCATAATAGGAACTGGATATGCAGTACTTGATAGATTTTACACTTTACATCACTCAGAATGCTAAGGGTTATAATGCAATTATGATCTTGAGCCAATGATCATTTTCTCTTACGGAGAAAAAGTTGTTTTCTACAGCAAAAAAATTGTTTTCTATAGCAAAGATTTTTAACTTGGACATGACCCATTAGTGGGCTGTGAAATCAACTTAGCATGTTGTAAACAACATGAAATAGAATAGAATAAAAAGTATCAGAGTGCACCATAGGTAGTAAAGGCTTGTATTATTTCATGCAAATATTTATATCTATAAACACACATACATTTGTAAGAATACTAAATGTGACATAAAATTAATTTCTTAAGGTAAACTGATCAAAAAGATTGAGAAACACTACTTCATAGGAAAGGAACAATTGTTTTCTTTGAGTAACAGCTACTCATTTTTTACATTTAACATATTAGTCGTATACTGCTACAATTTAGTCCCTTGGTCTAGACGTATGCTTATTTGGGTCTGGTATTATGTAATAAGTTTTACTCAATGACTTTTTTGTTTTGATTTTTAAAATTATTCTTTTTAGCTTATAAAATACAATAAAATAAAATACATTTAAAGCAGAAACGACAAGCTGTTGCCCCTCATTTATTCTATCTATGTAGTCTGACAGGCACTTGGTTTTATCACACCTGACTAGCCTCCACTTTAAAATGGAGATAATAGCTGAACTCACCTCATAGAATTGTGAAAAATAAATATTTTAATTCACGTATAGGGTTCAGAACAGTACTTCTATAAATATTGTCCATTATTACTGGGGTCAGATTGCAAACATATTGAAACTCCAAAATTGATAATTTAGGCAAAGGGTTTTTAGACTATGACAATAGTCTAAGTAAACTCTCAAGTTAGGGTACAGTATCAAACTTAATGCTATATAACAAATATGTAGGGGGTTATTTTCCAGATGCAGGCCTGAAAACCATGGGTAAAACAACTCAGAGTTCTTCAGGAGAACATTACTAATATCTGCTGCTATGCATTCATAAAGCAATATGTCTCCCTGCTCATCACATGTTACATCATTTTATCCACCCAACTCTTCCCTCACTGTCATATTTGTTCAACTCTCCATTTGCTTGATGATCACATTCCTGCTTCCTCCTTGTCATACAATTTCTGGACCACCTGCTCCATCAGCCTGAAACCATCTTCACTTCAGCTCCAGGAATCCTGAGGAAACAGCTTATTCATCTCTGTATATCTAGCACTCAGGTATTTATCTGTGGGTAGGAGATACTTTATAAATGTTGCTCAAATTGAATTGGATTCATTTAAGGGAAATATTGCCTAACCTATTGGAAATTTTGTAGCAAATTCCTTCCAGTCTCAACTTCCACAAACATAAAACTTCTGATAATCTTCCTTGTGTTTCTATATGAAATTAAATCACTATGATATGATACCTGAGTTGCCAGATACAGCATATAAAAATACAGTGCATCTACTTAAATTGGAATTTCAGATAAATAACAAGTCTTTTTAGTATAAGTATGTCCCATGAAATACGTGAGAAATATTTACACTAAAAAGTTTATTTTTGTCTGAAATTTACATTGAATGGGGGTGTCCTATGTTACAGCTGGCAACGCTACAGGAAAAACACTTTATTTTTGCTTACCCTTAATGTTTACTAATTTATGTCATTTATACATGTTTACTGTTGTTTTAAGTTGTATTAGTTTGTTCTCACACTGCTAATAAAGACATACCTGAGACTGGGTAATTTATAAAGAAAAGCGGTTTGACTCACAGTTCCACATGGCTGGGGAGGCCTCACAATCATGGCAGAAGGCAAATGATGAGCAAAGTCACATCTTACAAGGCAGCAGGCAAGAGAGCTTGTGCAGTGGAACTCCCATTTATAAAACCATCAGATCGCATGAGACTTTTTCACCATCACGAGAACAGTATGAGGGAAACTGCCCCCACGATTTAATTATCTCCACCTGGACCCACCCTTGACATGTGGGGATTATTACAATTCAAGGTGAGTTTTGGGTGGGGGCACAGCTGAACCATATCATAAGTGTCTGTCTACAGAAAGTTTTAATAAATGCTTTTTATAGTTATAATCAGCAGGCTTTCCTCTTTGACTTCTATACTATCTAAGCAAAACTACATGTGCCTATAGAATAGAGGTAATAAATCCTTATCATGTAGTTTCTTTGTATTCATGGAGGATTTATGTGCAAACTTAGTAATTATTTTTACCTCAGCCTTTCTAATAAAGATTATTGATGGGCTGTGAAGTTTATTATTCTCAGAACATGTCCTGTATCTTTCAAATATGAGTTTCATTCCCTGTTGAGATAGAGAGGTAATTCTATTATTTATTATTATTATTATTATTATTATTATTATTATACTTTAAGTTCTGCCATACATGTGCAGAATGTGCAGGTTTGTTACATAGGTATACGTGTGCCATGGTGGTTTGCTGCACCCATCAACCCGTCATCTAGGTTTTAACCCCTGCATGCATTAGGTATTTGTCCTAATGCTCTCCCTCCTCTTAACCCCCACCCCCCAACAGGCCCCAGTGTGTGATGTTCCCTGCCCTGTGTCCATGTGTCCTCATTATTGAACTCCCACTTCTAAGTGAGAACATGTGGTGTTTGGTTTTCTGTTCCTGTGTTAGTTTGCTGAGAATGATGGTTTCCAGCTTCATCCATGTCCCTGCAAAGGACACAAACTCATTCTTTTTATGGCTACATAGTATTCCATGGTGTATATGTGCCACATTTTCTTTATCCAATCTATCATTGATGGACATTTGGGTTGGTTCCAAGTCTTTTCTATTGTGAATAGTGCTGCAATAAACATATGTGTTCCTGTGTCTTTATTGTAAGATGATTTATAATCCTTTGGGTATACACCGAGTAATGAGATTGCTGGGTCAAATGGTATTTCTGGTTCTAGGTCCTTAAGGAATCGCCACATTGTCTTCCACAATGGTTGAACTAATTTACAGTCCCACCAACAGTGTAAAATTGTTCCTATTTCTCCACATCCTCTCCAGCACCTGTTGTTTCCTGACTTTTTAATGATCGCCATTCTAACTGGCACGAGATGGTATCTCATTGTTGTTTTGATTTACATTCTCTAATGACCAGTGATGATGACCTTTTTTTTCATGTTTGTTGGCCGCATAAATGTCTTCTTTTGAGAAATGTCTGTTCATATCCTTTGCCCATTTTTTGATGGGGTTGTTTGCTTTTTTCTTGTAAATTTGTTTAAGTTCCTTGTAGATTCTGGATATTAGACCTTTGTCAAATGGATAGAGTGCAAAACTTTTCTCCCATTCTGTAGGTTGCCTGTTCACTCTGATGATAGTCTCTTTTGCTGTACAGAAGTTCTTTAGTTTAATTGGATCTCATTTGTCAATTTTGGCTTTTGTTGCAATTGCTTATGGTGTTTTAGTCATGAAGTCTTTGCCCATGCCTATGTCCTGAATGGCATCGCCTAGGTTTTCTACAACCATCTGATCTTCGACAAACCTGACAAAAACAAGCAATGGGGAAAGCGTTCCCTATTTAATTAATGGTGCAGGAAAACTGGCCAACCATATGCAGAAAACTGAAACTGGACCCCTTCCTTACACCTTATACAAAAATTAACTCAAGATGGATTAAAGACTTAAATGTAAAACCTAAAACCATAAAAGCCCCAGAGGCAATTTTATTCTAAGATGCACTGGGTGACTCAATCAGATCCAGAGCTTCAAACCTGCCATTGTACCAGGGCCTTACCAGGACAGGGAATAGCAAGAGACAGTGGTAAACGTGCTACTGGTCTATTCTGGGAACATGGTCCCATTTCTTTCACACAAATGATTTGGCTCCTGGCTACTTCATCAACTAGCACTACATAAATGGGCACATATTTTCAGGCTTTTGAGAAATAAATATATTTATGGTTGCATCTATAGAATCCATTTAATCAGACATTTTCACATATTTTCTAAAAAAGAATGAAAGTTAATCAAGCTTTCCATAAAATATAAGATACTACTTCTCTATTATAAATTGCATGCTTGGAATGGTGACTGTGAATCACTGAATGTCATTTAGATCATTTGAACAACAGCAAATTCAGTCATTCAAAACTCAGCATCCTGATTACAAATCAGGTTTCCATCAAGCTACACATAAACAGAGAGTTTGTTTACATTATACAGTGGACCCCTCTAGGTTTGTCTCCTCAATCTTTTGTGTTTCTTTTCATAACAGTACCCCGAATTTCCCTTCTTGTATTGTCAGTCCGTGTACCTCCACCCAATTACCAGTTCCAGGGATGGACAAATTACTTAGAACTGGCCAGAGTACAGCATTCTCCTGTTTACCACAATCTGTTTGGGAGTAGGCATATGACCCAAGCCAGGCCAGTAAGATTGAAAGTATTCACGGAGTACTCAGTCCAACGGGACGCTTATTGGACATCCACCATGACATAACATCATCATATTTTAGAATACTAAGAAAAAGAAAAGGTTCTGGAGGAAAATATCTGATCAGAAAGCAAGAATCAAGAAACAGAATGGCTTTGGACCTCTTAGCAAACTGAGAGCTAAAAGACATTGTGGCAGTGCCTTCAAAATTCTAAAGAAAATTACTTTTAACATAGAATGATATACCATGCCACAAATTGTGAAGGATGAATAAAGATGTTTTAAATAGGCAAGTTCTCAAAACTTTACCTTTAGTTCACTCTTCCTCAGGAAGCTATCAGAAAATGTGATTCTTCAAAATGAGGGAATAAATTGAAAAATAAGAAGCCATAGGATATAAGAAACAGATCTCTAGGAATCTAACACATAAGAAAGAACCCCAGGATGACAGCTGTGTCCCTGCTGGCAACCAGTTCAGATTGGAGCAAGTCAGAAGGCTCCAGGAGTCTTCTTAAGGAAGATGAAAATCAAAAAAAACACTTGATTCATTAGAAGGTATCAATAAATTGAAAGTGATAGAATGCTTCATCTAAAAATATTGAGATATGTGGGTAACTAGGAGAGAATTCAGTGTTAATTAATAAAAAGAACATGCCAGTTTGAACCACATAATGCCAATTTTCAATAATTTTGTCCTATAAAACTATAAATTTCATATTGTTCAATTTAGTAGACAACTAAGGAATCAAAACAATCATAAAAATTATCTTCAGGGAAAAAATGTACAGAAAAGGAAATACAATAATAGGTACTAACTACAGCTCAGTTGGTTATTAGCATTTTCATTGTCATAACAGTGTAGACACTGACTATTGATCTAATAAAAATAAAAGTATAATTATATTGCTAGACTGAGTGCTTAGAAGGAATTCCTGTGTACAGTAAATATGGGGAAGATAAAAACAGGGCTAAATTTTTATCTTTAAAAGTGGCAAATCAATAAATAAAGCCTAAATCAGAAAAAGTCAGAAAGTAGCCAATAAATGTGTTATTTAGATATAGAGCTTGATACCCGAAGAATTAACTGAAAGAATTTAAAGTAGTTACTTCCAGGCCGGCATTTGTAATAATTCAAGCAAGAGATAATGAATAAGGGTCCTAAAACAATAACAAAGGGGGTGGAGAAAAAGGAATGACCGATATTAAGAGGATTGTGCAGATAGCTGTTGGTGATTAGTTAGAGCCTCAGGTTTCTGGCTTGGGCCATCAGACAGATGATGCTGTCAGGTAAAATAACATGAACGAATATAAGAGTAAGGAAGTACAACATTGAACATGTTAAACTTGAGGTACATGGAGGACAAGATATTGAGAATACAAAAAAGTAGTTGAATGTGTGGGTCTGGAGCTCAGGAGTAAGCCATAATTTGGAGTAACAGATGTGACTCCTCATAATTTGGAGTAACAGATGTGAAGCCACTGTGGCTGGCTTGAGGGTAGGAAGAAACCCAATCTCATTGACGTATGTATCTCCAGCATCTGCCACAAATAATGCCTGGAATATTCATTCATGCATGCACTTATTAAAAAAAAGACACCATCAGTATATGTTAGGTTTGGTTCTAGGCACTGATATTTGGTAGATGCTCAAGAAACATTTGCTAAACATATTATAAAAACCACAGATTAGATGAAATTGCCCAGAGACTGTAGAATAAGAAAGAGCTGTTATCACAGTTCTAGGCAAACCAATGTGAAGGGGCAGGCCATATAAGAAAAATAAACAAAGGAAAATGAAAAGGTCATGTCAGAAACATAGCAAGAAAACCAAAAGTGGATCACAACAAGAAAGACCAGGAAGGAAACAGCTTCAAGAAGCATAGAATTGTCAATACCCAGAGAAGTTTAATAAGATATGATTGACTTGTCAATAGGGAGCTCATTGGTGATCACATCAGTTCAAGTTTCAGTGCCAGAGAGCTTATTGCAGTGGAGGGGAAAAGAGAGGAAAGGAAATTAAAACCGGAGAAATAGGTGTCATTTACTAAGAATAAAATTTAGGAGGAAAGGGAGGGAGGGTGAGAGAACTGGTATTTAGAAACTGCATTTCAGACACAGTGGAATATCCAGGTTCACATTTCTAGTAGGCATCATTTGGAAGTCAGTCTTCTGTAGGTGGTAGCAAAAACCACAGAAGTGGATGCAAAAACGTGAAGCAGGACAAGTGAAGCAGTGATTGTCAACTGGTCAGGAAGATTCTCTTCTGCTATCTCTGGGATACATTCTCCCTGCCCAGGTGAAAATGACTGTCATAGAGAACCAAAAACAAAAAAGAGAGAGAGAAAAACTCTGTTAAATCCAAGAACAGTAGTCCTCAAACTTCATTGTACAAGTAATCACCTGGAGAATCTTATTAAAATGCTTATTCTGATCCACTACGTCTGGGTAGAATCTGGGACTCTGCATTCTGATGCAACCCCAAGCAATACAATCTTGCT
Source organism: Homo sapiens (assembly GCF_000001405.40). NCBI lineage: Eukaryota > Metazoa > Chordata > Mammalia > Primates > Hominidae > Homo > Homo sapiens. The sequence continues at coordinate 79,964,295 of NC_000012.12, read as the reverse complement.
GGTTCTGGGACCACACTGAGTAGCGAGGGCCTAGAAGTCAGAAAAACCTTATTAGATAGGACCTTTTTTTTCCTTTGTGATTCCAAGTTTGTAAATACAAAGACACTCAAACAAGTTTAAGCAATAATGATGATAATCATCATCATCATAATAATGATAACCATTTGTGATCTTAAGTGACTGAAAAGACCAGTTTAATAATTGGCTCCTAGGACAGCTGGGTCTTTCCAGGTACTCAAATGATATTGTAACAATTTAGTTTCTCTCTATTTTCTGACTCTGCTCTTCAGTCAGGCAGGCTTATTCCTTACAGTGATACCTGGCAACACTACATATACATTACCCAAACTTCAGGTACAGCAGAACTGTGCTACCTTCTTTCCCTGTAGTTGTAATAAAAGACTCAGAAATTAGTCTTGTTGCTCATCCTTAGTCCAATTACTATAACTAGGAAGTAGAAAACTCTGATTGGACAAACTGAAATCATCTGCCCAATTCTGGAGTTATGGAGTGAGCTTAATACCACCCCATGGTGCTAAGCAGACAAAAGAAAAAATTAAATAGATGTAGAGATATAAGATGGATGAATTGACCTAGCGTCATTTCCTCTCTTTTTTGGCGACACTGCTCCCATATGTAGTCCATGTGTTTTGGGGGGTATTAAAAGACTATCTGTCTTCACTATTTGAGCCAATAATCACTCCTTGAGATGTAAATGGAAGTCAAAAGAAAACAACAAAGGAGATAAAATAGAAAAGTAAAAGGAAAATCTAGAAAGAGCTGTGTACTGAAAGCTAGTGTAAAAGATAATTTCAAGAAGAAAGGCATATTTAACTATATAAAATGATACAGAGAAGATAAGAGTAGTACTGAAGAGAGACCATTGAATTTGACAAGAAAGCGTTGATGAACTTTGTCAAAGAAGTTTCAGTGAAGTATGGAAGAAGTATCCAAATAGTAGTCAGCATTGAAATAAATGGCAGTTAAATTCTTCTGTCAAGGAGCTTGACAGAGGAGAAAGACAGGGTTGTTAAAGTAAGAAATGGCTGGGCACGGTGGCTCACGCCTGTAATCCCAGCACTTTGGGAGGCCGAGGCAGGCAGATCACCTGAGGTCAGGAGTTCAAGACCAGCTTGGCCAATATGGTGAAACCCTGTCTCCACTAAAAATACAAAAATTAGCCAGGCATGGTGGCAGGCGCCTGTAATCCCAGCTACTTGGGAGGCGGAGGTTGCAGTGAGCTGAGATTGCACCACTGCACTCCAGCCTGGGGGACAAGAGCAAGACTTCATTTCAAAAAAAAGAAAGAAAGAAATGGCCGGGTGCAGTGCCTCATGGCTGTAATCCCAGCACTTTGGGAGGTTGAGGTGGGCAGATCACCTGAGGTCAGGAGTTCGAGACCAGCCTGGCCAACATGGTGAAACCCCATCTCTACTAAAAATACTAAATTAGCCAGATGTGGTGGTGCATGCCTGTGATCCCAGCTACTTGGGAGGCTGAGGCAAGAGAATCACTTATACCTGGGAGGTGGAGATTGCAGTGAGCTGAGATTGTGCCATCACACTCCAGCCTGGGCAACAAGAGCAAAATTCCATCTGAAAAAAATATATACAAAAATAAATAAAAATAAAGTAAGAAATGAGGTGGAGATTTCGTGTTACTTTTTAAAGATGGGAGACATTTGAGGACATCTGACTGCAAAGAAGAAGCCAAAGGGAAACGATGAAAATACAAAAAAGGAGAAAATCATTGACACAGTAAATTCTTACAAGGAGCAAGAATTCACGTAATCCAGAGCACAGGAAGATGTGTCTAAACTTTAAGCTTGTGGCCAGAATATCTTCATAGAAAACACTGGGGGTGGGAGGATGGAATGGGGAAGGAGAGCAGGAAATTGAGATTGTTCATATGAGAGAAGCAATTTGCTCTATGAACAAGGAAGAAAGGTGGTTTGCTAAAGAGGAAGAGGGCAAGGGGGCACAGGAAGAAATTAAAAAAAAAAGCATTAAGCTACATGAAGAATTACGAATTTTGGAATCATTAGTGAAGGGGAGAGAAGCAGCAGCTAGACCAGCACATCAAATCAGAATCTCAAAATCACCATGGGTGCAGCCAAAATTTGGATGCCATATTGTAGCGGCGCCAATCCCAACAGTTGCTTTTTTCCAGCCCCGTTCTCCCTTTTACCCAGGAATAATTATGCCTCTGTGCTCTGTCTCCTTCAGCACTATACACCTACTGCTGTTACAGCATTTTTCAATCTTTTGTTATAGATATCTAGTTTATTTACCCTTACACACTGAATTCTTGGGAATCAAAAACTGTGTTTTACACATCTTTGTACTTCCAGCACCTGGCATAGGGCTTGGCACATAGTAGGCATGCAATAGATGTATGTTGGATTCAATTGAGTACATAAATAAAATGATTAATTTTCCTGCAGATTGGTATCTGATAAACAAGCTCATTAAATGCATGTTATTATGGGAGAATAAAAATGTGTTTTTGGGGATCCATTGATGTTTAACGTGCAAAAATTTATGAGCCCAATGCCATTAAAAGCAATAAGCCTTGAAAAGCAAATATCTAGAGTTACAGATTGCTCAGATCATATTTATGGAGAGGTAAGATTAAAAGAAAAGCTCTTAAGAAGAAAATTGCTATGTTGTTGCTTTCTAATGTATGTAGCTGTACTTCCTCATGAGATAATCATCAGATTCTGTCAGACTGTCCATTTCTTGTGTAATGCCAAAGTTAACTGGGCAAATAAGTTTAAAAAATAAAAATCATTTCACACTAGAATTGTAGAGCTGTAATCATTCAAAATGTTTGCTTTACTTCTCATGGCCCATCTAAAAACACTTAAAGCTCTATGTGAACAATCAGCTCCTCTGTTAAAATATTCAACTCTTCTATTAACTCAAGGAAAGCAAACTAAGAGTATACATTGTTTTTATTTGCACCTCACAGGATGGCCACTAATGTTTAGCTTGGGTATAATAGCTGATAGGATATAATGGAAAGGACTGATCCAAATTTGATGTCATTAGAAAATACCGGTTTTGGCCGGGCGCAGTGGCTCACGCCTGTAATCCCAGCAGTTTGGGAGGCTGAGGCAGGTGGATCACTTGAGGTCAGGAGTTCGGGACCAGCCTGGTCAACATGGTGAAACCTCTTCTCTACTAAAAATACAAAAATTAGCTGGGAGTGGTGATGCATACCACCTGTAATCCCAGTAATCCCAGCTACTTGGGAGGCTGAGGCAGGGGAATCGCTTCAACCTGGGAGGCAGAGGTTGCAGTAAGCAGAGATCGTGCTACTGCACTCCAGTCTGGGCAACAGAGCAAGACTCAGTCTCGAAAAAAAAAAAGAAAAGAATGTTTTTTTAAATAAAATTTAAGTGAAGTTTTCAAGGAGATTATCTGGCACTAAAAAAAGGAAACAAGGCCTGGAGCAGTGGCTCACGCCTGTAATCCCAGCACTTTGGGAGGCCTAGGCGGGTGGATCACGAGGTCAGGAGATTGAGACCTTCCTGGCTAACACGGTGAAACCCCGTCTCTACTAAAAATACAAAATATTAGCCAGGCGTGGTGGCCGGAGCCTGTAGTCGCAGCTACTCAGGAGGCTGAGGCAGAAGAATGGCGTGAACCCGGGAGGCAGAGCTTGCAGTGAGCCAAGATGGCGCCACTGCACTCCAGCCTGGGCAACAGAGCGAGACTCCGTCTCAAAAAAAAAAAAAAAAAAAAAAGGAAACAAAACAAAACAGAATACTCTAGGGAGGAAATGTCTTATGGAAGGTCACCAAACTGTCAAAGTAGAGAGGAGGTGCTTATTGCGTTTAAAGTCACTGATGAGGCCACATTTGCTAGTGGTGGGATTTCCAAGTGTAAAATATCAGCAGCAGAATTTCTGTGATTCTCTCTTTCAGGCCATCAGAGCACTAAGAGTGGGGCTGACCCACAATGGCAGAGGCTGAATCACCTAGCTCACCCTCTCTCACACACATATTTTTGTTCCATGCAACCAGAATAAGATCTAAAATCTGGGTTTGAATGTAACATGGTGCTTTGGCCAGGTCATTTAAACCCAACTAGACCAAAGTAATGTCTGCTCCCCTAAAACTATCCTATTTCTCTGCATTGAGGTGTGGAGTCAAGTGCTAACTTT